>NC_000010.11:70370368-71620368 GCF_000001405.40 Homo sapiens | reverse complement strand
GCTGCGGCTCCTGAATGATGACAACGGCTAACGTACTGGGCGCTGTGCCACGCCCTGTACATGCCTCCTTCTCTGTGGCAGAGACAACTACTCGGCACCTTCCCCACGCTTCCTGGCCTGCTGGTGGTGAGGTGGGGGCACATAACTAGTTCTGGCCAATAGTCATTGGGTAGAAGTCACGGAGCCACTTCTGGGATGAAGCACAGAAGAGCTGGTACTTAGCCTTCCAGCTGCCTCTTCCCTGCTGCAGGGACCGAGGGACCTGCAGATCATGCTCCTCAGCCACTACACGGGGTAGGGTTTCCCTGTCCACCTGTGCTAGCCTAGTCGTCCACGTGAGAAATCAACTTTTATGTGGGGCCTAACTTGTTACTGCAATATAAGCTGATGGATGCATTCTCTTTCTTTTCTATTTGTTTTTTTAAACAAATGAACAAAGTGAGGCTCATTACTTTACCTGAGGTCACACAGCTAGTACATGGCAAGGCCAGGCTGAAACACAGGCCCTGTCTGACTCCAGAGCTTGTGCTGCCCCCACACAAGCTGTCTTCCTTCTGGGTTGCCTCCAAGATCAAGCCTCAATTCCTTGGCTTGGCATTTGAGGCCCTCTGAGACCTGGGTCCCGGCCTACCTCCCCACTGCACACATCCTTGCTTGCCTGGATTATGGCCTGCTGTGGCCAGCCAATCTTCCTGTGTGCCTCTGGGTGCAGCCCTAGGCCCCTCTCACCATAGAACCTCTCCTGATCCTCTCAGCCCCACAGCTGACCCCTCACTGCCTGTGGTCACTGGACCTGGACCCCACGCTGGTATCCACATTTCTCTTCTCTTGGGCATTATGGTTCTCCTGAAACCACAGATGGGACTTTCTTCTGAGCATCTCATTCATACAGTCATCTCCAAAAGGAGGTGCCTGCCCTAAAGGGGGATACAAGGTGATCCATTAGGGTGTGAGAACATATTAGAACTTGTTTTTATACCTGTTTTTTCCACCTTTTAAAACTACTACATTAAAAAATTTGTTTTTTGGGGTTTTTTTTTTTTTGAGACAGGGTCACCTAGGGTGGAGTGCAGTGGTGCAATCTCTGCTCACTGCACCCTCCGCCTCCCAGGTTCAAGCAATTCTTATGCCTCACCTTCCTGAGTAGCTGGGATTACAGGTGCACACCATCATGCCTGGCTAATTTTTGTATTTTTAGTAGAGATGGGGTTTCACCGTGTTGCCCAGGCTGGTCTCGAACTCCTGGCTTCAAGTGATCCACCTGCCTCGGCCTCCCAAAGTGTTGGGACTACAGGTGTGAGCCACTGTGCCCGGCTTAAAAATATGTTTTAAAATGTACGTACTGTATTTGTATCAACACACTGTTGACTCCTAGGACCATGGGTTATACTTGGCTCCCCAAGAGGCTAAATATAGCTCCTTGTAAACAGCAGGTGATCAATACTTACTTTAGTTATCTCAGACAGATAGGTATGGAATGCCTTACTTAGCAGGAGATGGAGACACACATGTACACACACACACACGTGTGCACACACACTTGAGCACACACACAGGCACATGGTGGGACTGACTTGCCCACGTGCCCTGAGTCCTTGGGGGGACCATGTCTGGTTGAGAGGAGCTGCCAGAGGGGGGCAAGAGACGTGGGCAGAGGGGCTCCTGGGTCAACAGGGTGGGTCACTGGCTAAGCAGCCAGAGTAGAGAGGGCTCTCCCGAGGACGGTGGAGGAAGCCCAGCCTGGAGCAAGGCCACCGCGGCAGCCCCACGCAAGGAGTAATCGAAGAGAAGCACCTCAGGCTGGAAAACCTAATGGAATTCCAGAGCAGAGTGGGCCAGGAGGAGCAGCAGCAATAAATAGAAGTCCTATTAGCATGGCAGCTGCTGACAGGCAGGGAGATGGGGTGCAAGGAGGGGTGAGGGCAGGGGAGGAGGCAGGCTGAGAGGGTCCTGAAGGGATGGAGACCTGGCCCCACCGAATAGAGGCCTCGCCGCCCTGCCCCCCTACGCCCGCCCCTGTGATGCAGGGTGTGTCAGGACCAGTGCAGGGGGCTGCCCCCACCCTGAGCCTCCTGCCTCCTCCTCTGCAGCTCTCCCTTACTTCCTTTTAAGGCTGGGCCCAGCCAGGGTAGACCCCCTGGTGATGCAGGGGTCTTCTTATGGCCCGGGATCCCCTCCAAAGCACTTAGGTCCTTTCACTCTTCACGTGGAAAAGCTGGGGTCATTATTACACCAAAAACAGGAATTAGACTTTCTGCTAAGGTCATTATTTGAACAGGAGCAAAAACGGGTACAGGCATCCCAAAGAGGGCAGCAGATGATCCATCAGGGTGTGTGAAAATACACATATGGTTTATTTCTACTTTTTTTTTTTTTGAGATGGAGTCTTACTCTTGTTGCCCAGGCTGGAGTGCAATGGTGCTATTTCAGCTCACTGCAACCTCCACCTCCCAGCTTCAAGCAATTCTCCTGCCTCAGCCTCTCACGTAGCTGGGATTACAGGTGCCCGCCACCACGCCCGGCTAATTTTTGTATTTTTAGTAGAGACGGGGTTTCCAGTGTTGGACAGGCTGGTCTCAAACTTCTAACCTCTTGATCTGCCGGCCTCCCAAAGGGCTGGGATTACAGATGTGAGCCACTGCACCTGGCCTTATTTCTACCTTTTAAAATTGCTATTTTTGTACATGCTTTACAATATCCCTACTAGATTAGTATGATGATCATGTATGTAACTTCTAAATAATAACCACACATATGGAAACATGTGCTTACATGTTTTTTGCAGGGTGTAGGGGATAATCCAAAAGTAGAGACTAGTGATTTTTTTTTCAGCCTTATTTATCCTCAGAACCTACCAGGAGTGGGGTGCCGCAATGTTTGTTTCTATTTTATAGCTGAGGACCTGAACAGCCCAGGCAGGGTGGTGGGTCTGGATGGGTGGTGGGTCTGCATGGGCCATGTGTCCAGGGACTCACCTCATCCTTGTCCACCACCTGGATGAAGAGTGGAAGGGCAAAGCCGACCTGTGCCAGCTCAGTGATGGCCACGCTGTACTCGGAGCTGTTGAACTCCGGGGCATTGTCATTGATGTCAATAACCAGGATATTGAAGGTCGTGGTGACTGTAGCGTCAGATGGGGTGCGGTCATCGTTCAGCTCCGTGCCCTATGGACAGAGATCAGTCACCCCGGAGTGAAGGCAGCTAATCACAGCAACAGCTCTTGCTTACCAAAGACTTTCTCAGCACCAGCCACTGTGCCTCAATGTGAATGATCCCATCTAATCCTCACCACAACTCCAGGAGGAGGATTTTATCATTAGTATCCCCATTTTAGTGATAAGGAAACTGAGGTTCAGAGAGACTAAGTAACTTGTATAAGGATTCACAGCCAGGGTAGATTTTAAGCTCAGGTAGTAGGATCCTAGGACTGACAGCAGATGGATGAGATGGGGTAGGGAGGACAAGACAGATCTGGGGGTTCATCGAGGGACAAGAGGGAAGTCTTCATTCTCTTTGGCAGATTGTGAAACTGAGGCCAAGAATGTTTGTGCTGGTGGTTAATCAAGACTTAACTGAGCATCTGCTATGGGCTGAACCCTGTGCTCGACTCTGAGGGTCAGCACAGATGGACTGATTCAGATACCTGGGTGTCCAGTCTCTGGGCCAGAGCCATGGGCCCAAAAGTGCCCATTCCCAGTTCTGAGTCAGCCTTCTGAATCTGAATCTCTCTGGGTGAGAGACACAGGAACAGATACCTTTCAATAGCTTTCCAGGGGATTCGGGTTCACAGCCAAGTGTGAGAACACACCCTCACATTTTATATAAAGACAGAAAAACTGAGTTCAAGTCCCGCAGTGGGGTGCTGGGACCAGGGGGCAGCTCTCTCTGGTAGAGCTGACCACCTCACTTCCATGGCAGGAGAGCAGACAGGAGGGAAGGATGGTGGTGGGAGCACGCCCTCCCATGGCTAACCCACACCTGAACAGCAGGGCCTCCCAAGGTCAAGGACAGCAATTAAGGGCCAGGCTGGGCTGCACCATCCTCCCCATGGCGCTGGAAGGGCCTCCTTCCCAGAGCCCCTGGCCTCAGTCTTTGGGCCACCCGTTTCTCTCAATCAACGGCTGATGGCCTGGGCTGGGAAGACCCCCCGTGGCTCAGACAGGATCCATACCCCTAAACGGGTTTCTCAGGGAATGGCTCTGCAAGTCACTGATTTGAATTGAAACCGACCGTGAGTGGCAGGCGGCTGCAGCGGGTGCGGGACTGTAGCTCTGCCTCACATCCTGGGGTGGAGACCCCAGCACATTGCTGTTGCATTGCTCCCTGCTGCATTGCTGTTTCTTAACAGGAAGTCATGGCACTTGGAAGTGGGACAGAACCCCAGAAATGGGGCAAATTCCAGAATTCCAGGTGGCTGCAACAGAGAACTTGGAATCCTGGGACAACAGTAAGGAAGGACCACAGGATGAGCACCTACTGTGTGCCTCCCGCTGAGAGGGGATAAAAGTTCCAACCCGTGTGGTTGTTGATGATGGATGCGGCAGGCCCAGCACACCTACAACTTCATAACGTGGGTGCCTTCCTGATGGGGCCCTGGGCACAGCCCCGGGAGGCAGTGCAGGGTGAGAGCACGGAAGCGAAGTGCTTCCGGCGCCACCACCGGGGGCAGGAGCCCTCGGACACTGCTGGAGGTTGGCATCCGAGTAGGGGCATCTCCTCTACCTGGGGTGAAGGTGCCCACCCAGGTCTCACCTTCACAGTCAGGATGAAGCCATGGCTGTACAGGGGGTTCTCCCGGTCCAGCAGGCCATTCAAGGTCAGCACTCCGCTGATGTAGTCCAGGGCAAAGATGCTGTTGGTATTCCCTGCAAGAGAGAGAAGCATTCAGGTGTGACCAGGCACAGGGCAGGGGGGCATGGAGCTGGGGGCAGGGGGGCATGGAGCTGGGGCCAGGGCTCCTCTCTGGGCATTAAAGACTCATCAGTTACTTGAAATGAATGCTGGTTCAAGAGTAATAGAAAGAGCCCTGGAGTCCATGGAGCAGCCGGCAGACAGCAACGGGTCCCAGAAGGAGAACAGCATGGCCTTTCCAATCTCCTTCTGGTCTCTGTGACCCAGCCAGGGAGAAAGTCTTGGTTTGGTGCTACTATGCTTTAACACTTCTCTAGACTCGCTTGATTTCTTTTTTAACAAAGAGAGAGCAGGCTTCAGGCTCAGAGCCTTCCAAAGGGAGTGGACGCCAGCCAGGATGCAATAACCTGGTTTTGTTTCTCTTGTGCTTATTTTTATGGTGACATTCTATTCTAGTCTAGTCTAGTCTAGTATATTCTATTCTAATTTTTTATTTATGACCGTGATGTAAAGTTTCCTTTTACAAAAAATGTAAATTAAAGACATAATTTTAAAAAAGTACTATGTTAAGTACTTATTAAAATTTAAGATATGTATTAAAGTACTGGCAAAAATTATCTATGAGCCACACTTGCCTCAAACCGATGTCTCTGTAAACCCACCCCTCTCCCTCTGCCACCTTCAATTTCTGCTTTCTCTCCACAGAAACTCACACTGGCGTCCTTGGGTTTCTCCAGATCACTATGCTCTTTCCTGCCTCCTCATCTTTTAGTGTCTGTCATTCTCTCTTGTCCTCATCCTCTGCCCAGCTCAGTGCCAGCCTCTTCTCCTCCTCCAGAAAGGCAGTCCTGACTTCTCTAGCTGGCCCTTTCTGGTCCCCACAGGCAGTAGCCACTGTTTTGTAACTAACTGTTCCCCAGTTGATTATTGGGTGTTCATTGGATCTCCCTTCCCGGCCCTCTGAAGATGGAGACCTTTCATGACTGTCCCTTAAGGTACCTGGCCAACGCTGGGCACACAGTGGCAGGCATGTTCCTCACCTGGGCCAGTCCTGCATGGGCCCCCACCTTGCCTATATGCCCTTCCCACATGTGAATTCACCTGGGAAAATCCCAATTCCACTCTGCTGTCTTCTTCACAAACCAGTTTGTTGGTTCATTCACATACTCACTCACTCCCATTCATTCACCCACCCAGCAATCTCTGGGGTAGGCTTTCCTATAGCAGGCCCTGAGCTGGGCATTGTTGGGCATGCAGATGTCAGCGTGCCAGGAATTCTGACACCAAAGCACTTTGCAGCCTGGTAAGTGATCTCTGGTACCCACCAGAATCGGCATCTCTGAGTTCACAGCAGGGAGGGGCTGTTTACAGATGGGAAAGCTCAAAGAAGGAAAGCTCCATAGAGGAGGGGTCATTAATTCCCTGGACCACTGACTGGCTGTGTGACCTTGGGCAACTTACCTAAACCCTCTGTGCTCTGGTTCCTCACTTGTAAAATACAGATAATAATGGCATCTGCCCCACAGGGTTATGAGAATTAAATAAGTGTGAAAGTATAGATATATTACTTTGGGACCATCCCCGGCACAAAATAAGGACTCAGTAGTGTTGTCGTTATTGTTTGAGGTGGTTCCTGGAGAATGGGCAGGACTGAGGAAGAGGATGGATGGACACCGATTCCACGTTAGAGAATTAATACCCAAGCCTTCAACACACGCAGGTGAACACCAGAATCACCGTGGAAGTGGCTGTAGCTCCCAGGTCTTCCCCTTCCCCAACTCTAAAGGGATCTGCATGTAGCAGAGGCTCATAGCCTCTCTTGGATTAACTAGGGAAAAAGTCAAGGGTGGGGCAATTTCCTCTTCTAACTTTAGACTTTGGGACAGAAGCTATTCTCAGCCAACCCATGCTGAGTCACCTGCCTGTGCTGGTCAGCAAGGCAGCTTACTTCTACCCAAGTTAGTGGCTAGTGGCCACTCTCACCTGTCCTCCCAGTCCACTGTATGGGCTGGGCAAGGCCAGGCAGAAGCTGCAGACAGTGGGGCCTGTTTAGAACTCAGTCTATCAGTCTATGCCTTCGGAATCTCTAACATGGGGCCAGCCCAGGAGGGGGTGTCACTGTAGCTATCCCCTTGCCTAAGGCTTCCTTTCCCAGCCATGGAGACTCCTAGGTCACTTCCTGCTGGGTTTTGTATGGCTGCGTTTGCATAGTGGGGAGTTGGGGGGACAGGATTGCAAGGAGGCATATAAATGTATGATAGAAGGGAGTTTCTTTAGCTGGGAATTTTGCTGCTAGAGAAACGAGATGTGTGTTTTCATCTGTTCATTCATTCAACAAACAGTTATTGTGCTTCTCTAATGAGCATACAGGCTGGGCGCGGTGGCTCATGCCTGTAATCCCAGCACTTTGGGAGGCGGAGATGGGCAGATCACTTGAAGTCAGGAGTTCAAGACCAGCCTGGCCAACATGGCAAAACCCCATCTCTACTAAAAATACAAAAAACAGCTGGGTGTGGTGGCGCATGCCTGTAATTCCAGCTACTCAGGAGGCTGAGGCATGAGAATCGCTTGAAGCTGGGAGGCGGAGGTTGCAGTGAGCCGAGATCACACCACTGCACTCCAGCCTGGGCGACAGAGCAAGACTGTCTCAAAAACAAATGGCGATACATTTTAATGGGGGCCACAGCACTCAACGTACAGGGTGATCAGTGCTGAGGCTGGGTGAAGCAGAGGCAGTGCAGGGCCCTGTAGGGGCTGAGGTCCTCTGAGCCCCTAAGGCTCAGCTGAAGGGCTGCCCTGAGGCAAGACCTCAGAGCCTCCGGCCTCCCACTCCTGCCCCAACACACTCACAGGCAGGGGTCCCCTCCCCAGCCCCCCCACAGACAGCATCCCAGCATTCCAGATTTTCATATAAATTTACTTTTTTAAATAAAGGAGCCTATCAAATGTTTAGCTAAATGTGATTCAATTTTTATCTTTGTGAGATTTTTCTTATAAATCATTCACAAACCTGAAGCCCCTTGTTGAATGACGTGCTTTCATTTTTGGTTTGAAAAACAGGGTTTTCAACCCTGGAACACTCACTTGTATTTCTTCACTCAGCTCCTATGCCCCGTTCACGTACACACTGCCCACTCCAAACCCGGCATCTGTCCCCAGCACATAAGACACCCCATGCCCCGACCTAGGCAACCTTCTCCAACAAACCTGCAGGCAAGTACCCCCCACACAGTCCACATTCAACCAAACTCAAGACACACATACATACACACACACACACACACACACACTTCTTTTTCACACATCTGTTTGCATGGAGTACACCTTCCCACCTCCTGCCAAGCACGAGTGATTAACTCCCCAGACCAACAGCCAGAAAGAGCTATACCTAGGGAGCCGACAAGGCCACCTGAGAGAGGACTGACTCAGTGAGATGCTCGGTAAGATGTTCTTACTGTCACCATAGCAACACTGGTACTCTCTGGGATGCTGCTAGGCTTGGGTAGGGGCAGGAGATGAGCCCTGCCTCCAAAGCTGGAAAGGCCAAGGGCACGTCTCATTCAAAGATTCATTGGTTTTTTTAATTCACTCATTCCTTCAAGTTCATATTGAGCACCTACTATGCGCAAGGTGTTGGAGAATCGGTAAAGAAAAGCAGGCAAGGTTGATGCCTTCAGTCTCATATGAATTGTCTGTGAAGACAGACATTCATGATAAAACCACACAATTGAAAGTGTAAGTACTCGCTGAGCTAAGGCCCCTGAAGAAAAGCAATTCGGAAAAGAAATGGTTAAGATTACACCCTCTGGAGGCAGACAGCACGGGTTCAAATCATGGGTCTGCTACTTACTGGCTGTGTGAACTTGATCAAGTGACTTATATGTGGGCCTCAGTTGCTTGGTCTGTAAAAGGGGGGCAATAATAGAACCCACCCCAGGCTGTCACTTTAAGGATTAAATAAGTTAATATAGTGCTGGGGACACAGGAAACTCCCAACAAATGTTGGCTGCCTGTGCTTTACCAAGATGGTACCACCATGGTCTCTCCCCACCACCCCAGCAGCCTGTGCCTACAGCTGTTTTCCCAGCAGTGACACTGAGCCAACCCCACACTTTTGCCAGGAGAGCCTCGCCACAGAGAGCTAGTGTTTACAGGCTGCCCTGAACTGAGGCTGAGAACAAAACCCTCAGGCCCACACACAGGGCCCTGAACCCAGAGCTCTGACCTCTGCTCCCCCCTCATTCAGGATGGTGGGTGCGGAGGGGAACTCCACATCCCTGCCTCGCTCCCTTCACTTCTTCCCTCACTTCCACGTCCTCCCCTCCACAGGCGCTGTGGGCTTGGCAGCCACACATGCAAGTTTCTCTGCTCTCCTGGAAACTGATACCTCCGTGTCGGCCTTCTGGTCTCCCAGACATTCTTCATCCAATTCCCATGGGGGGCTGGGGGGCTGGGGGCGCTCACCAGGGAAGCCTTTCATCTGTTCAGCCCCACTTCTGCTGAGCAGAAGGGCAGCTGCTTCCCCTGGGTGGACAGGTGCTGTCCTGAGTTCCAGGGTCGGGGAGTATCTGGTAGGGGAGGGGTTTTGGGGTGGGGTGGTGGCTGCACTTTTACCACCGTAAGGATTCTGGGAACTGGTGATTCAAATTGATCACAAAAGAAAAAAGCAGGTCATTACTGGCCCTGCTGGTTTTCCTGGGGGCAGCCACCTCCTCTAGGAGCTCCAGGAATCAAGACCTTTTCAGATTTGCAAGAGAGAGGCTGGGAGGAATGAATCATGTGTGAAAGGCTGCTGGGCAGGGGTCGGGGGGTGGGGATTGCAGCCTTCATTCTCCTATTTATTAAAAAGTAGCAGCCACTACTTATCAAACACTTACCATGTACCAGGCACTGAGCTAAGCTGTTTGCACAATCACATCACCTATTCGTTGCAACCACCTTATAAGAAGATATCCCATCTTCTGTGTGAGAAAGCAGGCTCAGAGATGCTCAATAACTTGCCTAAGGTCACATGGCTAGCAAGTGGCCAGCTTGGACTTAGATTTACATTTCTTTTTCTCTCCCTGCAAGCATTCGCCTTCCACACATTTGTGCACATTCTGCACCTGGCCCTGTGCTATGGGGCAAGGAAATAGGATGAGGCAAATAAGAGATCATCATCCTTCATAGAGTGGAGTGTCAACAAAGTGGCTTCTTCCTCAAGAGGGAGTCCTAGGGCTGGGCACAGTGGCTCATGCCTGTAATCCCAGCACATTGGGAGGCCGAGGTGGACAGATTACTTGAGGTCAGCATTTCAAGACCAGCATGGCCAACACAGTGAACCTTATCTCTATTAAAAATATAAAAATTAGCCGGGCATGCTGGCAGGTGCCTATAATTCCAGCTACTCGGGAGGCTGAGCAGGAGAATTGTTTGAACCTGGGAGACGGAGGTTGCAGTGAGCCAAGATCATGCCACTGAACTCCAGCCTGGGTGATAGAGTGAGACTCCGTCTCTCTCTCTCTCGTCTCTCTGTCTCTCTCACACACACACACACACACACACACACACACACACACACACACACGGGGGAGTCCTTACACATTCTGGAAAGTTCTAGATAAATTCCTCCATGGTAGAGTTTTACATAGCAGCAGAATGTCCATGTTGCGATGTCTTCCAGGTAGCTGGGGAGGTGGCCTACCATGGGGACTGGTGGGGGAAGGTAAGGCAAGAGACAAGAGCTGTCAGCACAATGGGGCTGGTGACGTTCGTCAGACACTGGGAAAAAGCGCACCAGGCGAGGCTGCTGTTTATGGCACATGTATAATTGGACGAGTATAACCAGGAATATTTAGAAGGTAGTGAAGGAGACAGAGAAGCAATGGCCAGAGAGGTAGATGGGAAACCAGCCTAGTGCCGGGTGCCCAGAGTCAGGGAAGGAGGCAGTCTTGAGAAAGAGACGGTCTGCAGGGTCAGATAGAGCAGAGAGCTCAGGAAGAGGAAGGTCTGGCAAAGGCCACTGACTGGGTCTTCAGATGTCCCCAGAGTCAGACTTTAAGATACTGAGGGACGGTGGGGCAGGGATGTGGGGACAGTGAGCACAGGTCCTGAGGTGCTGCTGCCCAGAGTTTGGTGTAAAAAACAAGGCAAGAGGCTGAGTGGCAGCTAGAGGGCGCCGCAGAGTCAAGCAAAGGACTTCTGCTGTTTTCTAGGTGGTCGGAGGGAGAGGGAGAGGGAGAGGGAGAGAGAAGTGGACTGGGAGGGGCTGCAGCAGGGGGTAGAAGGTCTGATGTTGGGGCGGGGCAGTTCTCTCTCTTCGAGCCATGTGGGGCAGGGGGAGCTTAGGCTTATCCCCCTACCTCTTTCTTCCTCCAGGCTGGAAGGCTACCCCCCTTCACGCCCCCTGCCCCACCTGCAGCATCGCCCCTCCTGCCTGCTGCCAAATCTCATCATTCCCACATCTTGTCCCCTTGTTATCTCACTGGCAGCATCTTGAACCACAGCAGAGCTGGGTCTGGGCGAAAAGCAGTTTAGTGAGTGGCCGATGGTGCGTGCGGGAACACAGGCTGATGACTTTCAATTGCTTTGTCTGCTCCGCTGGGCTAACAGCCCCTGAGTCCTGCCTCTGCTCTTCTGCACTCAGAGTTAAAGGAAAGCCTAAGGCTCCCCACTCGGCCTGGGAACTGCCCTTTCTGAAGGTCCAGTATCACCTGCTATAGGAAGCCCACCCGCATCTCTCGCCTGGAGGCTCTGCCACCTCTGGCTCCTCTGAGCCCTTGAGTGCTGGGCTCAGAACTCACGAGGCAGCTGCCCTGTGCAGTGCGCTTCTTTAATTCTCATGCCTGGAGACCCAGCGTGGCCTTGAGGATAAGGGCTGGGGTCTCATGCTGCAATCTCTGGCAGTCCCCAGAACAGCGCTCATTATATATTTGTTGGATGGCCTGAAGTTTCTCTTCCTCCCTCTGCAGCAATTCCAAAGGGTCAACCAGTATGTAAGAGGCAGCGGCATACTTGGGGCCTAGTCCTGTGTTGGGGCCGCAGGGGAGAGAAGAGAAGAAAAAAGCCATGGCTTATGAGGAGCTCGGGATCTTAGGAGCTGGGCCTAAGCAGCCATCTCTTTAAATGGCAGTGTCTGAATGGAGGCAGGAGGCTGGATGAGATTGACCTGTGCGATCCTGATCTCCACTGTGGCCTCTGACTTGGTCACCTGGCCCTGCCCAGGTCCAGCGTCAGGGACCTTACCCAGGGAAGGGAGCAGAACTGGGATCTGCTTCCATTCCTTCCAATGGTCTCTCTTCTAGTCATGGTCTGTGCCTGGAGTCTATTACGTCAACACCCTGGTGAAGACCGCATACTGAGCATGAACTCGCAGGATGTGAAAAAGACCTAGGTTCCAACAACAGCTCCATCACTTACCAGTTGTGAGACCTCCTGCAAACCACTCATTCCTTTGGGCCAAATTTCCCATCTGTAAAGTGTGGATAACAACTCCTACCTCACCAGGCTGTGTGAGCATCAGGAGTGATCATGTACGTAAGGCACTTATTGTGGTGCCTGACATGTAGCAGGTGGACACTTTGGTTTCTTCTTTCCTGCCATGCCTGTTTTCTTTTATTTTCTTTCCTTTTGTTTTGAGACAGAGTTTTGTTCTATCACCCAGGCTGGAGTGTGGTGGCTTGATCACAGCTCACTGCAGACTTAACCTCTTCAGCTCAAGTGATCCTCCCACCTCAGCCTCCCTAGTAGCTGGGACTGCAGGTGCACACCACTGCGCTCAGCTAATTTTTGTATGTTTTGTAGAGACAGGGTTTCACCATGTTGCCCAGGCTGGTCTTCAACTCCTGGGCCCAAGCAATCCTCTGGCCTCGGCCTCCAAAAGTGCTGGGATTACAGGCGTGAGCCACCACACCTGGCCATACCTGTTTTCGGAATAGTAGACTCAGAGCAAGCTAGTCCCAGCTGTGGCCCCTCTCACCCAGAGTTGTGAGGGGCATGCCCCACAATGGCCAACATAGATTGAGTTCTGACCTTGTGCTGGGCACTGCGCAAAGTGTCTTGTATGCATGTCTTATTCAGTCTCACAAAACCCCTGAGACAGACACACTATCCTCATTTTACAGAGGAAGAAACTGAGGCACAGCGAGGTTAAAAATAACCTGCACTCGATCATCCAGGCAGTGAGAGGTAGAGCAAGGAATTAAACTCAGCTTCCAGGAAGCTAAAGAGTTCATGTCCCATTCAGAGGCCCCTGGCCCTTCCTGTCTTCCCTGCCAGGTGTAGCCCATTAAGCAGCTGTGTGTGGGCAGCCTAAGCCCCCGCCCCTGGGGCAGGCTGGCTTGCAGGCCCATCGCTGTCCAGCGGAGCCATATCATTCTGACTGGTATAGAGTTGTATCACTGTATAATGAAAATTGGGAGTCAGTATGAGATATGGGCCTTGAGCAAGACATCTTATGAATTAAAAATCGTTACTTAGCTGCCTGATGACAAAAGGGGCCTGCATCCTGGATGGCATCTGGGCTGGGCTACATTCAACAGCCCCACGATCAACATATGGCAGCCAGCGGTGTGGGTTACCTCGGCTTTCAACCAGGAGAGGGGACCAGCCTGCCGAGAGTCTGCTGCCGCATAAGGATCCTGGGTCAGTCGGGGTGGGGGAAGACCGCCCCTCCCCAAAGCTTCCCAAGCTGCCTGGAGCCTCTTCCTGCAGGTCTCTTCTGTGTGCATTCAGGCCTCCATTCAAATGTCACTCCTCAGATTCCTCCCCAGTTACCCCCACCTTCCCACCCTCACCCCTGTCACTCTCTCTCCATTATCCTCTTTTATTTCTTTCAAAGCACTTCTACTTTCTGAACCTCTCTTCCATCTGTTTATGTGTTTCTTATTGTCTGTTTCTCCCTACTGGAATGTAAGCCCCAGGAGGGCAGGACTGGTTTCCCCAAGTGCCCAGCAGATGCCTAGCAGGTGATCAATCAATGTTTTCTGAATGGATGAATGGGCCACAGCAGGAATGTCTGAGGGCCACTCTGAGACTGGTCCAAAAGGCTGAGGAGCAGAGTGATACTGGGGTGACTCCTGATGTCACACATCATAAAGACACCACAGCTGCACTAGGGCCCACGAGGAGGGATCAGCCAATTAGTAATTCCAGTTGGGGCTGTAATACCCTCCTGATGCAGCCACAGTGCTATGTTTGTTTGAGCTGAGCCATCTCAGTTAATTAGTTATTACTGTCCAGTCAGGGTAAGACAAACTTCCAGTCCCTCAAGTAGGTGTGAACGGCAGTCCGCTTGTCTTACAGGCATTTTACACCACAACAGTTTTTATCAAGCTCACTTAAACCAACAAATTATAACCTCTCCTAATAAGGCTACAAACTGGACCCTGATTAATTTGCTAATAACTGGCTCCAGTTTATGAAGCATTAACTTGAGTAGCCAAAGATAGTGAAATCTATCATGCCAGTTTGCTAAGGGTCAAGCCACACTCTTCCACCCACAGCAATGCACTGTGCATGGCTCCCTGTAAAATGGAAAGCCTCAGAGAGGCGGCCCCTGGTCCTCTGAGGATGTTTTGATGGGGACCAGAAAGACATCACCAGGGACTATGGCTGAAATAAGAACCTATTTCCTGAAAAACCTTTACACTGCCATGGAGAGAATTTCTTCAAAGGGAATAATCATGAATGTGCCCATAAATGCAGTCACCAGGATGTTCACCATAGTGCTGTTTAGTAAGAAAAACTGGAGGTAACCTAGATGTCCAACAATAGGGGATTCATTAAATAAGTTATGATATGAAATGCAGCAAGCCACTAAAACGTTGCAGAAGAGATGCTTGTAACTTGAAAAAACAGATGTGTTTATGATGTGTTTTAAAAAAGGACAATGATCAGCACAGTTCCATAAGATACTTTTTTTGGCTTAAAAAATGTGCACATAGAAAAAAGGAATGAAATGTTAGCAAAATGTGAACACAGATTATCTGAGTGATAGTGCTAGGACAGAGGTTTTCAGACTCAGCACTGTGGCATTTGGGGCTGGATAATTCTTTGTTGTGGGAGGCAGTCCTGTGCATTGTGAGTTGTTCAGCAGCACCCCTGGCCTCTACCCACTAGATGCTGGTAGCACTTTCCCCCAGATATGACAATCAAAATAATCTCCAGACATTGCCAAATGTCTCCTGAGAGGCACAATCGCCCCAATGAAGAACCATTGCTCCAGCCATTTCAACTTTCTCTTTTGATTGATCTGAATTACATTTGTTGTCTTTCTTTTTTTTTTTAAAAAAAAAAGGTCAATACAAGTTCCTTTAAAAAATAATCCCCAAAGTTCTACAACTTCCTAGTGGTGACAGTTGTACAACACTGTGAATGTAATTAATGCCGCGGAATTGCACACTTTAAAATGGTAAATTTTACGTTATTCATATTTTACTGCACCAAAATACCCCCCAGTGTTTGATGGTGTGTGTCTTTGTGTTCCAAGTTGGTGCTAGATGCAGGCTGCTTTGCAAACTGATTCATTTTAATGTGTAATTCTTCCTCTCCCTGGGTTACCACAATTACTAACAACAATTCACCAGATTTAATCTCCCTGAGGGCAGGGGCCTTTCCCGCCCTGGTCTTGCTACATCAGCTAGGATGAAGGAAGGAATTTGCTCACAGAGGAGCTGCGAGGCACTGGAAAGGTGAGGTCTCTGCTTCCAAGTGGCATCTAGTCTAGATGAGGAAATAGGACCTGTGCCAAAAGGGGCCCAGTCCTGCTGAGGGCAGCTTGCCAGGCCCTGGAAGATTCTGCAGGAGGCTGGAGGAGGAGGGCAGGGCTGGGGTAAGTATGGAGGAAGAGGGCACTCCTGCTGGGGAGACTGGCCTGAGCAAAAGGGTGGAGGTGGGACCATGGCTTCCCAGGTGGGGAGCCAGCAGGAGAAGCAGAGAGTTCACAGGAAGCTGTCAGGAGAGGCTGATGCCCAGAGGAGGAAGCAGTTTGGATTTTTGTCTGGCTCTGAGGAGCTCCTGCAGGGGTTGGGCTGGAGGCAGGAAAGCCTGCTGGTGACGAGGGCATGGACTGGGTGATGGCAGAGAGAAAAGGGGCAATAACAAGGGCTGACGTTTCTTGTGGGCCCGCTGCGTGGCAGACGAGGTGCTCAGCACTTCATGTGAGTTGGTCAGCTACTCCTCAAGGCCTCCTCCTGTGAGGGCATCGTCATTATTCCACTCTTAGCTTTTAAAATTCTTTTTATTTATTTTTTATTTTTAGAGACAGGATCTCACCCTGTCACCCAGCCTGGAGTGCAGTGGCACAATCAGCTCATTGCAGCCTCAAACTCCTGGGCTCAAGGGATCCTCCTGCCTCAGCCTCCCATGTTGCTTAGATTACAGGCATGAGCCACCATGCCTGGCCTTCCATTATTATTGTTATTCCCATTTTACAGGTGAGAAAACAGAGGCACAGAGAGATTAAATGATTTGCCTGAAGTCACACCACTGGCCAGTCACAGAGCCAGGATTCCAGGCCAGCCTGTCTGCCTCTAGAGACTACAGGCTTAGTCCACATGCTGCTTGCCCCTGAGAGATGGGGAAGATGCGTGCTTCTGCCTGTTGACCAAGCGCTTCACATGTTTGTTCACATGCACGACCTCACTGGATCCACAAAATACCGTGTGAAGCCAGCACTGCTACCCATTTATCAGATGAGGAAACTGAGGCACTGTCAGGTGAAGTGACATGTCCAAGGATACATGGTTACTAAGTGACCATGCTGGGATTAGAACCTGGGTCTTTTGGGTCTCACATAGCCCTCATGGCTGCCATGGGCCTTGCCTCTCCTGTGTGGGACTGGTGCTCCCTCAGCCCTGGGGCCCGGAGTCTGGCCAGGAGGTGAGCAAGGTGAGGAAAAGGAGAGCAGGAAAAGGAGGCCCCCCCTGCTGCCTGCTTGGCACCCGGTTACCTCCGGGGCCTGGGGCAGGTAGGCCCAAACACCCATGCTTCCCTTCAACTGGGGTCTCTCCTTGGGCTAAGAGTGGGAGCCAAGGTGCCCCAGGTCCCCCAGCCTGTGCCTCCCAGAGGGCTGGCTGTCTGTTCTGCCTGTCACTGGGCAGGGCCCACATAACTCACCCGAGGCTTGGCACTCAAGAGAGGTCAGGGCACAGGGAGATTTACAGCCCCGATAAAGCCATCTCAGTCTGTGCATAAGCAGTGTTTGATATTTGATGATCTGAAAGGCCTTGTCCCAGGGAAGGAGGGGGAGGGAGGAAGGAGTGGGAGAGACACTTAAGAAAACAAAGAGGACGGTGATCAGACGCCCAAGGAGAAGAAAGCCCATGGCAGGAGGAGGGGGCACGCGCTGTCTGTCATCCTGGACGTGTTGTCACCCCCTCCTCTGGCTCCAATCCAGCAATGGGACATGGGAAAGATGGGCCCAGGGATGAAGCTTCTCGGGAAGTGGGGACACCAGAGACCACCTATCTACCACTGGGCCTGTCCGTACCAGGTATGGGGTGGGTCATACCCCCAGGGAGCCCACCGTCTAATGGGGAAGATTGGTCATCTTCGGGGAAGGACAAGGCACATGTATGAGGAAGCCGACTGGAGAACTCATAAAGGAGTGGATGTGAATTTAAGAGACTGGTTTCATCATTTGGGGCTTGTGGACATTCTGAGATTCAGTTTCCTCTTTGGAGGTGAGAATACCTTCCCCTCTCACAGGGCTGTTTAGAGGTTCAGTGAGATAAGGAATCTGAAGATGCTTTACAAACTGTAAAGTGCTGAACCCATGTCAGGATGCGTCAAAGATGGTGAACTGGGTGCCTGGGGCAGGTGGAGCTGTGCAGTGCCACAGACTGGATGACGTTAAGCAGGAAAGATGGGCAGAGCGGGGCAGGGTGGGGTGCAATGGCAGTGACAGGTGCACCCTGAAGTTTGTGGGACAAAGAGGGTTGGTGCCCCTGAAACTTCCCTCCAAATCCTACTGCCCAGGGTCCAGCCTCCCCCTCCAACTGCCATCTGTTCAGTCCTTTGTCTTGCATCACTGAGATCATGTGGAAGCAGTGTGGGCCTCAGAGGGTACTGAGTTCAAATCCTAGCTCCACTACTTCTAGCTATGTGGCTTTGGGCAAGTGACTTTGCCTTTGAGCCTCAGTTTCCTCACTTGCCAAAGAGGGACACTGACAGACTCTGCCTCCTGGGGCTGCTGGGAGAACAGAGCTGGTACAGAGCGGCTCTCACTGATTGTCCGAGCCCTCTCCATCTTCCCTGCCATCTTTCCTCCATGAACACTAATCCTGACAGTGCCACGGCTGCCCCTGCCCTCCCGCCCCAAGTGCTGCAAGTTCCAGAGTGAATGACTTTCAAATCTGTGGAAGGAGAACCCATCACACACACCTTGAGCCGGGTAATTTATGAATCAAATTGTGCTCCGTCAGGACTCTGCAGCCCAGAAATAGATGTGGTCGGACGAGGTTCAGGGAGCCAGCCTCAGACACAGTTATCTTCATAGAAACTGGCCACCAGCTGGCTGAACCAGCCCGAATGACCGACCTTGAGGGGTCCCCTGGGGGCTGCAGAGCCCCCCCCCCTCCGCCGCCCACCCAGCCCAGGCCCTGCTCCAATGCCTGAAGGGAGAACAGAGATCTGCCTGGGGCTCAGAAGACAGCTGTGACCCTGGGCCAGTCACTTCACTTCTCTGGGCCTCAGGGTTTTCTCCTGTTTAAAAAAGAGGGGGCTTTTCCATGGCAGTGGTTTTTCAAATGTCTTTGTTTCAGTAGCAGATTCTTGTATCAGACAAAATTTCACACAGAGCTCCAGTATAGAAAACAGCCAAAATCAGAGCTAGTTGCCCTGGCTGAAGCAGATGACGGGGTGTGGAGTCCAGCACACCCAGCACCCCGTTACCCTCCAAGGGGGCCCTGAGGGATGGGGTTCAGGGAATCTGGAGATTCCCAGGACGTTTTCAGTTTTAAGATGCCATGGGAGATCTGATCTTTTTGAAAGGGCAGATATTGCAGTGGCTAGGACCAGGGTTCGAACCTCAGCATTACTTCTCACTAGCTGTGTGACCGTGGGCAAGTTATCTACCCTCTCTGGGCTTGCGTTTCTTTAACCATAAAAAGGGGAGGAGTAATTCTTATCTTATAGGGCTGATGTGAGGATAAAAGCAGGTAATAATCCTACTTAGTTCAGCACAGTGTCCAGCACATCACAGATGCTCAACAAATGTTAGACCTCATTGATTAGTAAACTGAGGATAGAGGTGAAAAAGTCATAAGGCTTGTAAGTGGTCGCACTGAGATTTGAAGCCATGGCCTTTAATGCCAATGCCTATATTCCTTCTCCTACTCCTCCCTAGAAACAATGCTTCTAGAAGGCTCCACCAGAAAGGATGCAGATTGTGCCAGGCCCAGTTTCCTAATGTTGGAGGGTTTTCCGGCATTTGGTCAGTGACTCAGAGTATAACATCAAAGCAGATGATTCTGGTCAGGGCATGACTGAAGGAAAAAAACTACAGATTTGGTTAAGCACAAACCCACTCAGCAATGTGGAAAACATCAAACATCTTGGGTTCGAGTGAGTATGAGTCAGAGTCATCATATTTATGAGAAAAGATGGCAAATTTGTCCTACAGAGTCAGAGCCCCCAGTCTGAAAACAGAAAGGCCAGGGTTTCCCCAGGAACTCTGATACCATGGGGTATAGGAAAGGTCAACTTTTAAAAGCTCTGTGGTCTGCCGGGCATGGTGGCTCAAGCCTGTAATCCCAGCACTTTGGGAGGCCGAGGCGTGTGGATCACAAGGTCAGGAGATCGAGACCATTGCGGCTAACACGGTGAAATCTTGTCTCGACTGAAAATACAAAAAATTAGCTGGGCGTGGTGGTGCGTGTCCGTAGTCCCAGCTACTCAGGAGGCTGAGGCAGGAGAATCGCTTGAACCCGGGAGGCAGAGGTTGCAGTGAGCTGAGATAGTGCCACTGCACTCCAGCCTGGTGACAGAGTGACACTCCGTCTCAAAAAAAAAAAAAAAAAAAAAGTTCTGCGGTCAAACAAATCTGGGAAATGCTCAACAGACATCTTCACTGCTGGACTTGTCAGAGCCTTTAATGTGCTCATGGGCATTGTGATTTGCCAGCACAAGGAAATTGTGATGCAGTGTCTCTCTAACTTATTTGACCACAGAGCCCTTTTTGCAAAGCTTATCTCCTAAAGCATCAGTGGGCCAACCCACTGAAGAAATTGAAGGTGTGGCCGGGTACGGTCGCTCACGCCTGTAATCCCAGCACTTTGGGAGGCCAAGGCAGGTGGATCAACTGAGGTCAGGAGTTTGAGACCAGCCTGGCCAACATGGTAAAACCCTGTCTCTACTAAAAGTACAAAATTAGCCGGGTGTAGTAGCACACATCTGTAATTTTAGCTGCTCGGGAGGCTGAGGCAGGAGATTTGCTTGAACCTGGGAGGCGGAGGTTGCAGTAAGCCGAGATCGCATCATTGCACTCCAGCCTGGGCAACAAGAGTGAAACTCTGTCTCACCAAAAAAAAAAAAAAAAAAAAAAAAAAGGAAAGACATTGAAGGTGTAAATGGGACTATTCCCACAGTTTCCCTCCAGTGGAGTCTCTGAGCATACAAGTTAGATGTGTCAAGTGTCAGAGGTGGAAAATGGAAAGATGCTTAAAGCCTAGCAGGTTCCAACTTTTCCTTCATCCCCTGGAGAAGTGAGAATCAGAGATGAGAAGTAACTTGGTCAACAACACACAGCACGTTAGAAGCAGAACTGGCACCAGATGGGTGGACCAGAAGTCTGGCTCAAGTCTGGACTCCTGTCCAGGCCACAGGTCAGATGTGGCTCTCTGGTCTGCTTTGAGAAGCTTTGGGGACCACACATAAAAGTTTTACTATGGAAAATTTCAAAGAAACACAAATGTAGAGACAAGAGCACAATGAAGCTCTCGGTACCATCACCCAGATGCAACAATCATCAAAATTTTGCCAATCTTATCTTAAAATCACCCCCCACAACACTACCAATTTTTCACGGTGTTAACAGAGGAAATCCCAGTTCATCTTTACATACTGTATGCATCTCTCATAAGGACTTTCAAAAATGCAACAAAACATGCCATTTTCACCCTAAATAAAATAAATGATTCCTCAATGTCACCTAAGACACAGTCCACATTCAAGTCAGGGATGCCATTTTTGAAGCCAACGTCAGGATCAGAGGTTTTTACCTTTTCTGCTCAGCGCTCACAGAACAGGCCTCTGAGATGATTGAAATCAAAGAAAAGGTGCCTTCAACAATAGCTGCAATGTTCCCTTTCTTAAACAAGAACAAAAAGAAGAGCAAAAAAGATCCAAAGCAAATATGGCAAAATGTCAACAAATGTTATCAGGGTGGTGAATACATGGGGGTGTGCTGTGTTGGTTTCTGTACTTTTCTAAATATTTAATATTTCACATTTGCCAGTGAACTTGGCCCTGCTTCTCTGACAAAGGCCAGGGGTCCCGGGCTGGGATGTGGGGTGGAGTGTGGGGTGGGGTGGGTGGTTGGCCATTTCATCCCGGCAGCCTGCCTCCAGAATGCCCTCATCCTCCCAGCTGGAGGCTCAGCCCCAGATGTCATATTATGTCCCAAGCCCTTGGCCCAGTGCCCCACACCAAGTAGGCGTTCAGAGAATGCTTGATGAATGAGCCCAGCCAGATAGGGAGGGATGTCCCAAGACGCTCCCATCCCTTGGCTCACACAGGCAGAAACTTCTGCTGAGCAAGCGAGAAACAGGAAAAAGAGAGACGTCCTTGCCTTTTCGACCAGGGAGGAGGCTCCACAACCCAAATCTTTCCAAAGCCTCTGGCCGCTTTTTTGAAAAAGAGAAGTCACAGGAGCGACTTTTGGGTCTTTCCCACTGGGCCACCCTACAGATGCGTGGCCTGGTGTCCTTCTCAATTACATGGGTTCCTGGCCCTGCCTCCTTCCCCATCAGCTGTTCTGGGTTACAGACCCCTAGTCTGTCGGCAGGAGGGAAGGCAGGCTCTCTGGGAAGTGCTCCAAAGCAGTGGATACCCTATAGCACTCCCACTCCAAACTCTGGGCATAGGCCCTCCTGGAGAGGGCCCGGAGCAAAGGGTCCTGCTACAGACAGATGGCGTCACTTGGGGTGTTTGCAAGCTTGAGACTCAGCACTCATAGAAAAGAGGAAGTAACCTCTTTGCTTGTGGAGGAAGCTCTTGGCACTGCTCCTGGCACCAAGCAGAGCCTCAGAGCCCAAACACTGTCCCCAGCCTAGGCCAGAACAGAGGGCAGCCTTTGATCTTCAGCTCCCTCTACAAACCTCTGCCCAGATGTACTCACTCTCCCTCCCAGCACTAAACCCCAAGCAAGGTCAGCTGTGGCCTCCCCAGCCTACAGGCTCCCGTCGGAAGATGACTTACGGCTTTAATTACGAAAGGCCGGGTGGAGCCTCAGGAAGGAGCCAGCCCCACCATGCTTGGTCCCTGTCGACGTGGAGCTGCCAAGTTGGCAAGGCTGGTACTGGTGCCTGCCTACACATTGCCACACCAACCCCTACTCTCTGTGCTATGGCCAGGCCCTCCCCTCCCTTCCCAGTTGCCCACAGCCTGGGCCTACCCCGCCTTTGAGGGTGGGGGTGGGGCGGGATCATGGATACAACAGAGTACACACTCTGTTAGAAGAGAGGCTCTGAGGGCGACAGTTTTGTCTGTCCTGTTCATGGCCATATCCCCAGCAGTGAGTACGAGAGGTGCCTGATAAATATTTATGAATTATCAAATAAGTCCAAAGTCCTGTATTGCAAAGGTGGACAATGGTAGCCATTAAACTGTCTAGCAAGCTAAAGGCAGAGCCAATAGACCAGAAGCAACTACCCTGACCCCCAGGGCCACACCTCTCCTTCCTCACTGCTTGGTGGATGAGCTGCCAGGTCCTGCCAATCCCTACTGCCCTCCTGCACTGAAAGGAGCCTCCTTGGGAGGTAGGTTCCAAGGACCACCACAGCAGGCTCTGAGGAGCCCCTGCCCCTGTCCTTGACAGCCCTGTACCTGTGGCAGCTTCAGGGCGGATGAGGTGGGGAGTGGGGAGGGAGAAGTAATGGTGAGGACAGCTGGGGCAGAGTAGCCCCAAGAGCCAGGTGGGAAACAGTCCCTTTCTCAAGCTCTGGGCCTCTGCTTTCTCATCTTGGGGCTTGGAAAGGCTCAACTGGATGATATCCGGGTCCCTGTGGCCTGTGACAGGTGAGGTCCATGAAACCAGCCCCATGTTGGGAGAAAGACGGAGACCAGCTAGGGGACAGAGGAGGTGGCGATGCCTGCTCTGCTCCCCACCCTCCCGGCCCCAGGACTGCCATCGGTTCCTGCCCAGGCCTGGGTTATCAATCTCCTTCCACCTGGAGAACTCCCCTAAATGAAATTCCTGTTGGCGTGGGGCCTATGATATAACAAGTCAGTCACTTTGCCTGGGAAATGAAAGATGATGAGGCAGAGTTCCCAGGACAGAGGCGACCTCCATAAATCTGCCAGAGTGTGCTGGGGATTACTTTGTGGGATTAATTATCTGTCCTTCAAACAAAGACCTGACCTCAGTGGCCCAATGTCCCCAACCTGGGAGGGAGGAAGGGAGTGCCGGGCAGCGGGGAGGTGGGGACCGGGGCTGGGAGGCAGGCCCTGGGGCGGGCTGGGCAAGGGGCATTGTGGAGTGCCAGTTCAGCACTTCACTCCTCCTGTAAGATCCTACGTGCTCCCCCCTGCCCAACACGGCAAGTCCACCTGGCTTCCAGCACTTTCTGCAACTTGGCCCTTTGTGACCTATCCAACAACTTTGTGACCCATTCCCATCTGCTTCTCATGTCTGTCCAGAGCAACCCTACCCTCAGCTCCTCTCCTGGTTACCCCTCATGCTGCCACACTGGAGGGAGAGGGGTCCTGGCGTGGAAGGGAAGGGTCTGTGTACAGTGGACCGAATAAAGGCTGGATCAGGGGCCAGCCAGTATCTATCACTTTACCAACCATATGGCCTTGAGTTTCCTGAGCTCCCTGAGCCTCAGTTTACCCATCTGTGTGATGGAAATAGTAGAGGCAGGGTCTGCACATGACAGGGTTGTCATGACCATCCAATGAGGAGGGTGGTCCCTGAGGACTTCAGACTCATGCAGACCTGGGTTCGAATCCTGGCTCTGCCACTTCTTGGCCTAGCATGACCCTACATGTTATGTTACCTTTCTGAGCCTCAATTTCCTTATCTGTGAAATGGGGATATTGATAGTGCTTGTTGTAAGTGTAAGATGCAACCTCGAGAGAGGGCCTTGCATGACATCCTTGTGTGGGATCCCACCGACATCCTAATTATGGCTGCAAAAAAGTGGGGTTCAAGGGGCTTGTTTCCTCTCTCACTGTAGGCCAGTCTCTCCCCACTGCTGAGGTGTGTGCCTCCCACCACCCCTGAGCAGGGCCAGGCAGAAGGCGCCACCCTTGGTGCCAGGGAAAACCAGTGCTAATCACAGAGGGGGCTGCCCAGAGCCAAGCCCCAATTAGCAGTTCTGAGTCACACGGACCATGGAGGAAAGTCAGTTGGTGTGGGCTTCAGTTTCCCTGGAGAGGTAAGAGAAAGAGAAGGATTTCACAGGAGGGACATTGGAGTCACGTGGTCACCTCTGGGCTTGAAAGTGGCTGGGGTGTGACAGAAAGGCCTTGGATATGGGTGTGGGTGGTTTGGTGCCAATTGCTGGCAGTGCCACGCATAACCTGGGCAGTCCCAGGCAGGCCACATCAAGGCTGGGCCTCTGGTTCTCAGGGTACAGTGGGAGGCAATGACTCCCGCAGAGCGTTGTCTCGGCGGATGACAGGGGAAGGCCCCTGCAGGTGCTTGGGATGCCCCTTGGGAAAGGATGGCTCCTTTCTGGGTTGTGAGGGCCGTGTGTTTGGGACCTGCAGATTCCCAGGGATTCAGTGGTTACCATGGGGGGAAGGAAAGAATGTCAAAGAGACAAATACTTGTGAACCCCAGGCCAACCAGGTGGCCATGCCAGAGGTGACACTGTCCTGGGCACAGGGTCCAAGGATGGTGGAGTAAGCATGAACCTCCGCATTGGAAATAGAATGGGGGCGACAAACCTGCTACTGTCAGTTAAGTAGATGATGCAAGCGGGTGGTCAGGGAAGGCTTCCTGGGGGAGGTGAGTGTGAAGATAAGTTTTTAAGGAGGGGAGGGATACAGAAAGATCGCTAAGATGGAAAAGAGGGGAACGGGCAGACTAATTAGAGAAATAGGATGGCAGAGGCTCCTCCCTGCTTTTCCCTAGCAGCCTTCTTTCAAGATGGTACAATGAAAGGCAGCCATTTTCTCTAGGTGATGTCAATGAACTCGTGATCGATAGTAATTTACCCTGCACTTACTATATGCCAGGCACTGCTGTGCAATGCCTCATCGAAGTAGGTATTTTGAACTCTATTTACAGAACTGATTTGTCAAGGCCCCACAGGAAGCTGAACTCAGAGCCAGGATTTAAACTTGGACCTATGTGATCCCAAGCCCTTGGCTGATATCTCAGTATATTAATGCCAGAGCCCTTTCTCATGGCACATCCTGTCAGTAATTTTGCCCTGTGGGTAAATTAAATATTAATCTATTTTGCTGTATATATATGTCTATGAATTTGAACCATAACAAATTGCTGACATTAAATCATTTTGTCACTACGAAAATGGGGATTTTATATGGTTCAACCTGATAGCATGTGGCTTCTAACTGATGCAGAGTGTGTGGGGGTCAGCAAACTTTCTTTCAAAGGGCTATAGTGAATATTTCAAACTTTGCAGGTCAAGAGGCCAAATCAAGGACATTATGTTGATACTAGAAAGAAAGCAGGCTGGGTGCGGTGGCTCATGCCTGTAATCCCAGCACTTTGGGAGGCCAAGGCGGGCAGAGACCTGAGGTCGGGAGTTCAAGACCAGCCTGACCAACATGGAGAAACCCCATCTCTACTAAAAAAATACAAAAATTAGCCAGGTGTGGTGGTGCATGCCCATAATCCCAGCTACTCGGGAGGCTGAGGCAGGAGAATTGCTTGAACTCAGGAGGCGGAGTTTGTGGTGAGCCAAGATTGTGCCATTGCACTCCAGCCTGGGCAATAAGAGGGAAACTCTGTCAAAAAGAAAGAGAGACAGAGAGAGAGAGAGAGGGAGGGAGAGAGAGAGAGAGAAAGAAAGAAACAGGAAGGAAGGAAGAAAGAAAGGAAGAAAGAAAACAAATTTCCACAAACATTTTTGAGGAATTCAAAATATAATAATAATTGAGCACAATTTTTTATACTACAGTCCTGCTAATGAGAAGAATGGAATTTTTGTGGTGGGGGATAACATTTTGCTTAACTGGAGTTCACAGATCATGTTTACTACCCTCAGATCAATGGCAAAAATACTTATCTTTCTTTCTTTTATCCTTTTTAGAGAAAAGGTTTCACTCTATCGCCCAGGCTGTAGTGCAATGGCATGATCATAGCTCACTGTAACCTCAAACTCCTGGGGTCAAGCAATCCTCCCAACCTTCCAAGTAGCTAGGACTGCAGGCATGGGTTACCACACCCATGGAGATGAGGCCTTACTCCGTTGCCCAGGCTGGTCTAAACTCCTGGCCTCAGTGATCCACCTCTTTGGCCTTACAGAGCTTTGGGATTACAGGTGTGAGCCACTGCACCAGGCCTAAAAATAGTTATATTTAAAACCCATTCTCAGCTTGCAGGCTGCACAAAAACAGGGAGGATTTGGCTCCTGTGTCAATGTGGGGTGTGAAGAGGTTAGTCACTGCAGTTACCATTTGCGTTCCCCTGATTTTTAGTCGGTTTCAGCATCTTTACATGTGTCCACCAGTCACTGGGGTTTCCCACTCTATGAATATCCTGTGCTTATTTTCGTATTGGATTTTCCAACTTTTTCCTCTCGATCTGCAGGAATTCCTTATATATGCTAGCTATTAGTTCCTTGGTTTTAATTGTTGCAAAAATTTCCCCATATATCATTTGCTGTTAACTTTGTCTATATATTCTGATTGAATTGGAACTCCTTTGACGTAGAACAATTTTTCTTCTATGGCATGTGCTCCGGGGGTGCCGAGAAGTCCTTTCCTACTACAAGGTCACGAAGATATACCCCCACATTTCCTTTTATGAGCTTTATATTTTACGTTTCACATTTAGGTCTTGAATCCATCTGGAGTCTACCTTGGTATATGGTGTATGGTAGGGATCTTGCTTTATTTTTTTTCAACGTGGTGAGCTAGTTTTCCCAACACCAGCTACTAAACAAGTCATCCTTTCCTCGGTGATTTGCGGTGCCACCTTTATCATATAACAAGTTCCCATATTTATATCTGGGTCTGGTTCTAAGAGCTCTATTCTGTCCCATCAGTCTGTCTATCTTTGAAAGTGTACTAGATGTATTTGGGGCCTGCCCCACGCATGGCCCCACCACCCTCTCCTGTACCGGCTGCCTAGGGGACAGCATCTCAGGCTGCCAGCTCCCACGGCTTGTGGTGGACACTGCTGTAGTGGTAAGCTGGCCAATCTGACCCCTCTAGGAAACTCAGAATGGGATAACTAGAGTGTAGAGGTGCTTGGCAGCTGGGACAGCAGCTGAAAGGGCATTTCAAGAGCGGCGCGAAGAAGAGGCAGTGTAGACATCATGGCCCAGGTGAGACTGTAAGGGAGCCAGTAGAGAGAGGCAGATGCTCAGAGAGGGCACGGATGCTATGGTGGGCTGAAGAATGGCCATCAAATGCACCCAGGTCCGAAACGCTGCAAGCTCTGCATGCTACTTACATGGCAAAGGGGACTTTGCAGATGTAGTTTGGTTAAAGATCTTGCAATGGGAGATTAGCATGGATTGTCTGGGTGGGCCCTAAATGTAATCACAAGGGTCCTCATTAGAGGGAGGCAGGGGGAAATTTGACTACAGGAGAGGACAAGGCAATGGGACCAGGGAAGAGGGGATCGGAACAACACAGTCACAAGCCAAGTGATGCTGGCAGCCACCAGAAGAGGTGGAAGAGGCAAGGATGGGATTATCTCCTGGAGTTTCTAGAAGGAACCAGCCCTGCTGACACCTTGATTTTAACCCCATAAGCCTCACTTCAGACTTCTGACCTCTAGAACTGTAAGAGAATAAACTTCTGTGGTTTTTAAGCCACTAAGTTAGTGGCATTTTATTATGGCAACTATAGGAAATGAATACAGATGCTGTAGGAAAGGAGAAAACATCCAAGCTTCGTTCCTAGTTCCTGAGCCAGGAGATCCAATGCTGAGGAGGGTCAGCTCAGAATGTCCATGGGAACCCTGAGCCTCACAGCAAGCCCCTTTTCCTGAGCTCCTGAGAGATCTTGGGTTCTTGTAAACACAGATGCCCTGAAAGGAACAATCCACACTCCTTAGCTTGGCCCAAGACCCTTCAAATCATCTTGCATCTTTCCCTTTCTGCAGTCTGGTCAGTCTGTTCATCTTCATCTTTCCCTTTCTGCAGTCTGATCCGTCTGTCCACTGTCCTTTAAATGTTTCTTGGTCCTCCCTCTAAGCCTTTGCTCATCACAGCCTCTCCTGCTTGGGATGCTTTCCTTGCCACCTAACCAACCCACACCTCAGTCCCAGCAGCAGCGCCAAAAACATTGCCGTGTGGGTGCTAGTGCACCCCATTTCCAAGGGCCATTCCATCCAACAGAGAGCTGGCATTTCCTGAGCACCTGCCCTGGGCCAGGAGCTGTTCTGAGCCCTTCACATGCATTGAGGTGACTCTCAGAAGGAAAGTCAGTCAAGGAAAGGCCCAAGTCAAGTGACTCCTACATCAGCATTGCCTGATCTTCAGTCATGTGGATGCCAGCCTCCCAATTTCTGCTATATATGTATGAAACTTCTATTATTATTTGTTTAGTAGTTTTCTTTAATTTTTTTAAACATCATCTTAAAAAAACTCTTTAAGGGTATCACACATGGAGAACCAGTTCATCAGCCATGTGTAGAGGGTGGCTGTAACATGGGGAGATGAGCCTGTGTCGTTTGCCTCCATGGTTAGCTGCATCAGCTTGGCCTCTGAAGGCTCCAGCAGCTCTCCTTGTGTCCAGTGGGGACACGAGCCCAGTTGAAGAGGTGCTAAAGACATGAGCACCCAACTGAACCCTTTCCTGGGTAGAACTGACAGAAATGGAAATTCTGTAAGAGAATCAAGAATGGAATAACCGTCTCTTTGTGTGATTCAATGTTATTTCACGCCCCATCCATGCACCACTTAAAATCATCCCTTGGGAGTATCATCTTACAGTTGGGGAACCAGCATTCGGGTGAAGCTGTTATCCTCGCCTCTGCCCCAGCCCTCAGCCCTCTCGGCCTCCTCTGATCTCCCCCAGGAACTTACTGACAGCACCAGCCGCTCAGCAAATGCTGTGATGGAGGAGCGATTTCTCATACGTTTACCTCTGTAGCAAATCCTCAAGCTTCTTGGTGGCTTGGTTTTACATTTTCAGTTTCCATTTATATAGTCTTGTCTGTCTCCTCAAGACCACCCATGTGGAAGCTGGCACATTAAGACCTTGCCAACCACATGCTGAGTCATGAATGGCCAATTCCCCAGTCCCTAGAGAAGAGACTGGTGTTTTTTTTTGTTTTTTTTTGTTTTTTTTTTTTTAGAGACAGGGTCTCACTCTGTTGCCCGGGCTGGAGTCTGGAGTGCAGTGGGGCCATCTTAGTTCACTGCAGCTTCGAACCCCTGGGCTCAAGTGATTCTCCCATCTCAGCCTCTGGAGTAGCTAGGACTACAGGCACTCGCCACCAGGCCCAGCTCCTACAGACTTCTAAAGAGGACTGAAAGCATCCCAGGGACTCAAATCCTCATTTGCAAAGTGCTCCTTTCAATCTCAACTAAATTGCTTTTGCTGACATTTGGTACTACCACTGTCATTATAAAGAAAAACTAGTCACAAGCCCCTTTAAAATAATCCTTGGTCTGCCGGACGTCGTTGTGAAGTGCCCTTCAGCATCTGCCTTTATGGATTCAAAAGTGCTTCAATGACGTGATCCTACAAGTGAGGGCGGGGAGATCCTCACGAACTGGCAGTCAAAGGGGGTAGGAGGGGCAGTGAGATAGAAAGCAGAAGCAGCCTGATTCCACCCACCTTGCACCCAAAAAGAAATGCCTTCAAGTGGTGGGGAGGGGTAAGGCTGGGATGGGGGCACAGCCCAACAGAATCAGATGTTGAGCAATAATTTCGTTCTGTGCCAGAATGTTTGTTCACTTCAATGAATGTCTGAAAATATCTGCTCTGAAATCTCTGTTTCCAGGATATTGGTCAAATATTTGAATGGGGGCAGCCAGTTAATTGACTCAGAGCATTTGACGGAGAGGCAGAGAGAGAGGTGGCAGAGGAGCACAGGAAGTTTAGCCAAGTCCAGAGGTAGACCCAGTGATTCTCAGCCTGTGGCAGCCCGCTCAAGTGCTCAGGGCAGGGAGCGGTGGAGAAAAATGGGCTTACAGCCAGCCTGCTGGGTTCAGTATCCAGTTCTATCACCTACCAGCCATGAAATCTTAGGCAACTGGGCCTCAGTTTCCTCCTCTGTAAAATGGGGATAACAGTAATAGGACAGTCTCATGGGTTTATTGAGAGGATTAAAAGAGTTGATGTAGGTAAAGCATTTAGGTCCGTTCCCACACATCCAAGAAGTGGTAGCTATTAATATGATGTCATTATTACTCCCTAGTTTGGCATTCAAACCTTTCCCAATGTGGGTTCCAACGTGCAGGAGAATGTTAGGGCAGGGGTTGGGGGAAGGTCCTGGGAGCGTGTGCTCACACCCTACCCTGCGGGTGGCAACCCTTCTTCCTCACCATCTCCCCAAACTCTCCTTCAAGGGCTGCCTTTCCTGGGGAGAACAAACCCTTTCCTAACCTCCGAAAGTGTGTATTACATATGCCATGCTTCAGGCACCCATGATGAATTATTTGTGTAGTTGGTTCTCCCTAGGGTCTGTACTGGACATGTCTGGGGAATGGGTGGGGTGGGCTTTAAGTAAGCTGATATTTTGGCTAAAAGAAAGCTTTCTTTTCTCCTCCTCCTTTCCTTCCTTCTTTTAAAAAAATTGCTTTAGGCTGGGCACGGTGGCTCACGCCTGTAATCCCAGCACTTTCGGAGGCCAAGGTGGGTGGATCACAAGGTCAGGAATTCAAAACCAGCCTGGCCAATATGGTGAAACCCTGTCTCTACTAAAAATACAAAAATTAGCTGGGTGTGGTGGCGGGTGCCTGTAGTCCCAACTACTTGGGAGGCTAAGGCAGGAGAATTGCTTGAACCCTGGAGGCAGAGGTTGCAGTGAGCCAAGATCGCTCCACTGCACTCCAGCCTGAGTGACAGAGTGAGACTGTCTCAAAAAAAAAAATTACTTTAAACAATGGGCTCTGTAAGAAAGATGGGTGAGGAGGGTGGCATGGTGTCCTCATGGCCTTTCCTGGCCCTGTAGAGGGAAGGGCTGCAGACTGGAGCTGGGGGAGCTGTTTGCGTGTGAGTGGGGAGGGGCACGCAGTGCACAGGGCTCAGGCAGTGGAGCTATGGGACCCAGATCCCAAGTGCAGCCTGCAGCAGGGGGATGAGCAGACAATCCATCTGGCTCCAGGGTCATGGGCGCCCAGGAGATGCTGGGCCATTTCAGGGGCTAGAGAGGGTGCCTACAGCAGAGGCCTGGTGAGTTACCCACCTGCAGCGGCTTTGTGCAGGGAACACCCAGAGGGATGAGGGCAGGAGAGCTGGCAGGGCAGTTAGAAAGTGCAGGGGAACTGCCTCCTCCCCATCCTGTAGGTGCCTCTGCAATATTTTGTGGGGATTTTATAGAGAACTGAAGTCTTAGGGTTATACAGACATGGAGGAAGGCCACGAGTCAGTGAAATCTGGATTTTTAGAGACCCCATTAATACCTACAGGCTGAGGAATCCAGGCATTGTTTTTCTTGTTTGTGTTTGTCATCAACTAGACTATAATTTTTTTAATGCTAATAATAATAATAAATAATAATAATAAAGTGTGCCTACTATGTGTTAGGCACTGTTTTGAGAGCTTTACTTGTATTAACTCATCTGACGCTTAAAATAACCCTATGAATATTCCCATTTCACAGATGAAGAAACTGAGGCACAGGTGGATGTAACCGGCTCAAGGTCACCTGAGATTTGAGCCCAGACTGACTGTGGGAAGGGATTGTGATGAAGGTTTCTTGCCTGCTCTCTCTCCCCAGGGTGCCTTGCCCGTGGCAGGCACATAATAAATACTGATGACACGGACACGCTGATAGAAACGTAGGTGCAGATGTCAATGTTTTTGTTCCCCAGGGAAGCCATGAATCAGAGCTGTGTGGGGTGGGAGGTGGCTGATGGGCTGAGTAACTAGAACTCCATCTGGCTGCTCACCCTCTCCGCAGGGTACCCCAGGGGGTCTCCCTCCTACGGCCCCCACCAAGTTCTGTCATCCTTCCTGCTCCAGCAGCAGCTAAGCTGAGCCCAGAGAGACAAGGAAATAGCAATGTGGACTTGTGGGTGTCTTCAGGCTTAATATCTTTGTAACCATATTGCAAAAGGGCATGCCTAAGACAGCGCCTTATGCTTAATCTTTCTCTCTTATTGCTTTTTCTTTTGTATGATTTAACCTTGCACCAGGTATCAAGCTAGATAAATAAAAACTTTTATTTCAGATTAGCCCCGGCTGGGGGCTGCCTTGAAAGCTAAGCAGTCATCCAGGGAGTCAGATGAAAAAGGGAGCTGGGAATCTGAGCTGCTTAGAGGGGCTCGTCTCAGGTTCAAAGCCCCCAGAAGATATTGGAGACCTTTTCTGAGGTGGGAGCTACGAGGATCTCCTCCCATGCCCATAACCTGGAAAGGTGGATGCAGGCAGCTGAAATTTCCCTGGTCCAGCCTTCCTAAATCCCCTTCCTAGATGCCTTCCTAGGTACCCTCTCCTCACCCTGGTATTTTCTTCCTGATGTTTAACACAGCGGGGAAACACTCTCTTTGCTGATTTATTTATGATCCCTTTTCTCCACTAACATGTGAACTCTACGAGGGTGGTGATGGTGGCTTTCAGTTCACAGTTGGTCCCCAGGGTCTAGCATGGAGCTTGGCACACAGTAGCCACTCAATAAGTACTCACTGGCTAGCTGAATGAATGAATGAACAAATGAATGAATGAATAAAGGAATGATTGAATGAATCTTAATATTCCACTCCTACACACAGACCACCAGGCTGACATGAATCCCTTGGCTTCTCAGGCAGAATAGCAAACAATAGCAGGAAAAAAAATGTGAGTTTTAGAAGCAGGAAGGTCTAGGTTTGAATCCTGGATCTGCCGCTCATTTGCCATGCGGCCCTAAGCATGTTTCATGAGCTCTTTGCGTCTTAGCTTCCTCATCTGTTAAATGGCTCTAGCCAGCCACATTTGGGGGTTATGATGGGGGTGAGAGATGACGTATGTAGCTGAAGGCAAACTCTTGCACACATCCAGAGAGAGATACACAGATGTTCATAGCAGCACAGTTTGTAATAGCAAAAATCAACCCATCAACAGGGAAATGGATGAATAAACTACAGTATTCTCCCATGATGGAGTAATATGCATAGCAAACATGAAAAACAATACCCACCTGACAGCATGGATGAGTCTTGGATATATACTATCGAGGATAAAATAGGAGTCCCAGGAGCCTATGTATAACATGATATTTGTAAAATAAAGTTCAAAGACAACTAAATTCAAGCAATATGTCATCCACATATATGCGATAAGATATTTGCCAAAAGGAAGAGAATAAGAGAATGCAGGATTCAAATATGTGGTTCTGGAGGATGGGAGGCAGGGAATGGGGTAGAGGAGGAACACACAGGTGGTAAGGTGTGGGTAAGGTGAGGGTAAGGTGTGGGTAAGGTATGAATAAGGTGTGGGTAAGGCGAGGTAAGGCATGGGTGATGGTCTTGCTCTAGGTGAGCTGGTGAGTTTCACAGGCATCCACAATATTATTAAGGCTAAGAATGAAACAAAAGAGAGCTACACATGGACCAATGTTAATCGTGAGCCGAGAATTACGTTTAAATCAATTCTGTGTACCAGAGGTGGACCAAGTTAAAATAGAAAGAGAATGCAAACTGAATGGTGGCTAATTTCTTATTCCTCCAAAGATCTCAAAGCTCTTGAAAGTCAATAAAAAGCAGTTATCTTACAGATTGAGGAAAAAGCAGAAAAGAAACAAAAAAGAAAAAAAGACAAGTTCCTGTTGACATGTGGTAACCAGAATCGCCCACCAAAACAACCTCCAGCCATGAGCTAGAAACCCCCCAACCCCACAGAGCTGCCTCAGCCATGGCTCTGGCTCAGAGATGTGGTTCCCTGAGCTGAGTGGACCAATAAAAAGAGCCCGTGCAGTCCATGCTTTGCCCAGCTGGGGAAGTGGACTCAGGTCTAGCAGAAGGGAGAGGCCTTGAGGGTGTTTCCACAGCACTCTATGTCCCGAGCAAGGGACAGAGACAGACTCCTGCCCATGGGGAGGGTATGGGGAAGACGAGACGCAGAAAGGGAGAGTCCTAGACTGTGCTTCAGTGAAACCTCTTAAAAGTCCACCCACCAGTGTTATTTATGGGAAGGAAGCAAGGGGCAAGCCACTGTTGCTGACAAAGAGCATACAGGACCTCATTAAAGGAGAGAGGAAGAACAGGGAATCATGAGCATGGCTATAAAGACTGGTTTATCACAAAGGCGAGCTCATGAGAGCATCAGGAGAGGCCGGCTGGCAGGAAGCACACCCTGCAGAGAAGAGGGCGAAAGATCAGGGGGAAGGAAGAAGTGCAGACTTTTCTGTGGCTCATCAGGAGAAAGTGAGTGTTGGTGTGATGCATTATTGCTGTCTCGGCATGATGGTGGGAGAGAACTGCAAATAACAGGCCAGCGTGTTTGTATAATTAAATTAAAAACCCTCTAGAGGCTCTGTCCCTAGATACTCTTGAAAGAAGAGAGCTACAGGATACAAATGGGCTAAACCTGCACTTTGGACAGCAGGTTTGTTCCAGCTTGAGAGAGAATGCTTCTCAACTGCTAGTGGCTGCCAGAGGGCAGGTAAGAAAGGCTTGGAGGCCCATCCTTGTGCTGGGATCAATTAGTGATGTCTGCCATGGATGAAGAATGGGGTGTTTTGGTACATGTGGGTCTAGGGTGGCATTCACAGATATTAACAGGCTTTTCCTATGAATATGCCCCTTTCTGCCTAGGCCACCACCATGATCCGAGAAACCTAGACTCAGACGTTAGTAGTTTCTTTGTCTCCTCCTTTTCCCACATCATCTATTTTCAGTACATCACCAGAGCCTGCTGACTCGGTTCCTGTACGTCACCACAATGACCCCCAGACCTCCCCGCGGCAAGGACAGATTAGAGCCACAGCCTGTTAGCAGATCGCCCTCATTCCAGTGCTTCCTGCTCCAATCCACCCAGAACTGATGAATCTCCTGGTGACCCCGCGTTCACTTCCCCGACCCCAGCTGCACTCAATAACCTACTTCTTTTGCTTTCTCTGTCTTCTAGCAAATGTCCTGCCACCCCTCTCTGATCTGCCCTGGACTCCTTCCTGGTGACCTCTGGCTCCAGCCAGGTGAGCCATTCCCCAAGATGCCCTGAGATGTTTGGGGCTTCCAGGCAGCCATTGTGCTACCCTAAGCCAGGAGCTGTGGTGTGCGATTCAGAGTTCCAAAGCAATTCTGCTTTTCCTGAGTTTTTACTTCTCAGGGGAAGAAAATGCCAAGCAGCTTAATCACAAGGGCTTTGAAGTGTTTCGCACGATGGTCTCCTATGATAGCTGTCCCCCACTAGGCCATGGCCAGAGGCCCGATTCAGTTATTGGCATATGTGGGGGGTGTGAGGTTGTGCAAGTCTGACTGTATCTGATTATTCTCCCTGCGTACACACACACACACACACACACACACACACACAGACTTCCCTTCAAAGCAATCAGTGTATTTTCATGTATTTCAGTATATTTTAAAGCACTCAATGTACCTCCTCACTTGGGTAGCATTAAAATAAAATTCAGAGACAAGCAAGGGAAGGCTCTGTCCTTCACTACCATAGTGCCCCAGTGTGACCTGGAAGTGAGGCCACTGCCTTGAAAGTTGAAAGTGAGGGGTTTCGGCCTGATATTTCTCACCTACCCTTGATTCTAGAGGGTTTCTCAACCTTCTCTTCATCATCACCCACCCCACTCAACCCCTTGCCCCAGGAGCCACTTTAGACATTTTTACGTAATTGCTTTCCTCCCCCGACATGAAATGTCAACACCATGGATATAATGTAAATCTGCTTTAAACATTAAAAGAGTAAGATCTTCCCCAGTACAAAATTTTGCCGCCATTGAGAACACACGCTCCTTTAGACCAGAGCTTCTCAAAGTGTGGTCCCCAGACCAGCAGCATCAGTGTTGCCCGGGCGCACCCACAGAGTTTCTGATTCTTTAGGTTTAGTGGGGATGCAAAACCTTGCATTTCTAATAATTCCCAGATGATGCTGATGCTGCTGCTCTGGGGAGCACACTTTGAGAACTAGTGGGTTGTCATGGAAACTGGGAGGTTCTGGAACCCGAGGGACTTGGGTTCAAATCTCTGCTCTGCCTCTTAGTAGCTGTGACTATTGGCCAATCTATGTAAACTCTCTGAGCCTTGCTTTCCTTGTCTATGTCTCTCTCATAGACTGTTTTGAGGGATAACTTGTGTCCAGGCAGTGCCTGGTGCACGGCAGGCACCCAATAAACAGGGTTCTCCTCCCGTCACTCGGGGATGGTCCTGAGCTGCGGACGACAGCAGATGGGGAAACGGATGTGGGCGGCAAGAAGAGATTAAGCCTTTTCAGCATGAAAAGAGGACAGAGCTCTGCCCTCACCCACAGCACTTGTCCTATCAGCACCTCCTCTAAGGCCTCCATGCCCCCTTGGCCTCTGTCTCCTAATGTGGCCTGTGGCTGGGCAGTCGGGGCTGTGACTGTCTCTCAGCTGGACACCCCAACCTCTTCCCTACCTGCTCCTACCTGCTGTCCCCCAACCTGTCTGCTCCACCTTGACCACAGTGGGCTTCCCAAACGCAATCCTGACTATGCACCCCACTCCCAAGACCCCCCAGGTGGCCCCCTGCTGCTCCCAGGACCAGGGCTGGCATTCTCCTGAGCCGGGCACTCCACATGCTGCATGGCCCGCCCTGCCTCCCTCTGCGGCCTCAGCACCGGACCCCCGCCCCCACCCCGCCTCCCCTGTGCACTCTGCCCGGCCACGCTGAGCTACTGCAGATGCATGAATGTGGCTCCTCTCCTACTGCAGAGTCTCTGTACACACTGTTCTTTCTGCCTGTCCGCCCCTCTTTCCGGCAAATTCCTACTCCTCCTGCAATGCCTGGCTTTTGTGATCTCTCCTCATGGAGTCTCCCCACCCTGCGTTGAGTGGATGAGGCACCCCCTCCCAAGGATCTTTTCTCCCTTCTTATCATGGATATTTTTGAACACACACAGAAGTAGATAAAACAGTCTAACAGGCCCCCAGGGAGCCATCACTGCATGTCAACATCAGCATATCTTGTGCCTCCTCTTCACAGAGTTCCACCGAGGTATTAAAGCTGCCGCTGCATAGGTCTGTCTCCTGACCAAACTGCAGGTTCCCAGGGCGAAGATGGTGCCCTGGTCTCCACCACTTCTCAGGACATTAGCACAGCTCCTGGCCCAGGGAAGGCCCTCGGTCAACTGTGGGTGGGAATGAAGAGTCCACGCTGCTCAGTGCCTTAGCTACGAGATCAGGTGCTCTTCTGAGTGCTGACTCGGCTCAGCTCACTAAACCCCCACAGGCCTGTGAGGCAGAGGCTGTTATCTCCATTTTACAGATTGGAAAACGGATGCTTAGAAGGTTATGCAGCTGGTCAGTGGCAGAAGCTAAGCCGAGGCCACCTAACTCTAGAACACAGCCACCAACAGAAATAGAATATGGGCACATGGGGGATTTTAAATTCTCTAGTAGCCACAAAAAAGAAATAGATAACATTAATTTTAATAATATGTTGTATTTCACCCAGTATATCCAAAATATTATCATTTCAACATGTCATCAATATAAAACACTACCAGTGAGATATTTTATCACCTTTTTTTGCACACTAGGTCTTCAAAATCCTATGTGTTTTATTGACAGCACATCTCAATTCAGACTAGCCGCACTTCAAGTGCCCAGTAGCTACATGGGCTTGTGGGCAAATGCACTGGCCGGCACAGCTAGAGGTCACTACCATGGACAGCGGCTCCAGAGCCTGTACTCTCAACCACTGCCCTGTGCTCAAACAAATAAAGGAGGAAATGAATGAATGAGTCCCAAGGACCCCTGGGTCCTGCTTGTTACTTGACAATGCATAATCCTTAATATTTTATGGCCCTTTAGAGTCTCTCCAGCACCCTCTCATCCATGTGTGGATTATTAACCTGGTTCCACGGGCGAGGACCACAGGATTGAGAGGTCGAACATCTTGCTCAGATACATTGCTGGCAGGTGGCACAGCTGGGCCTCGAACCCACAATTTCTGACTCCAAGTTCAGTGCTCTGTTGGGGGGGTGAGTGCAGCTGCCCCTTGAAGGAGGACTGTGGCTGTCTGGCAGAGGAAGGATGAGGCCAGAGGGGGTGTCTGTTGAGACCACAGGCTGGGCAGTCCTTTGGGGATGGGAGCCTGCAGAACTCTGTTTTGGTCAGGCCCCCAAGAAAATGATGCCACTTGTGGGTGGCAGGGCAGGCACAGGCTGAGGGAGCAGATGGGGCCCATGCCAGGTCCTCTGTGGGAACTTGTCATTCCTCAGTCTCAGTTTGGCCACAAAGGGCTGAGAACAAATTGATGGCAATGGAGCCATAACTTAGTGCTGAAGGCCTCTTTGTTCTTGGCAAAACAGAGGGGTCATTAGTAATGGGGAAAGCACTGGTGTGCAGACATAAATCCCCACAGCTGCGGGGCTGATAAACAGCCTGGAGGGGACAGGGCCTCAGGGGACTGGGCAAGTTAACTGTGGGCCACGGATCCATTGTGGGCTCAGGCCTGTCTCCAGCCACGTGGGGCAGACAGACCTCACCCACTGCAGACAGAGCCACCACCAGCCCAGGCTTCTGGGGGTGCCCCAGAGACTCAAGTCACCCATGTCAGTGACACTCAGGACTCTCCATTTGGCTCTGCCCACCCCCTACAAAGCCCTTAATTCTTTCTTTCAAAGGAAAATGGTTCCTGAGCAGCTAGGGCTGGGGCAGGCCCCTACCGGGCACTCAGGGCAAGCTTGGGGCAATCAGCTGTGAAGATGCCCTCAGGGTGACATGAACCATCCCTTCTGCCTGCTTTCCAATAAACAGGCACTGGCCAGGCCACCCAGGAGAGGGCTGTGACCAAATGTCACCAGAGAGGCAGGTGTGTGAGACAGACCCTTGGCAGACAATGTTCTTTTCAGCCACGTCTACACTGGTGGAAGGAAGTAGAGATGAGGCCAAATCCTAGCCTGCTGTCCACCTGCTCCCCTGGGGACAGTGCCCTCCTGCCCATTAGCCTGCTTTAGGCTCATGCTGAGGATGGCTCTCAGGGAGACTGTGCCAGCCCAGGGCCACAGAGAAAGGGGTAGGAATGGGGGGTGGGGGCAGCCCTGTTGAGCCACCCTTACCTACCTTTCTTACCTAGGTAAGAAAGAGCAGGGCTGTCATTTGCTCAAGGGGCTCATTACCCAACAGGGGTTTGGGTGAAGTGAGGTGCTGACAAACACCCACGAAATAGGTAAAGGAAGTTCTAAGGCCACCCTGCACGTGTTGTTCAAGTGGTAACATAGCAAGGATGGCAAATATTTGTCAAACAGTGGCCCTATCCCTTGCCACATCCATAGCAGACTCTGCCAATTGAATACTGCACTCATGAGCCTATTTGGTTCCATGATCCTCTGCAGGCAGCCATTACCAATCAATCAAAGCTGGCATGTGAGAGGTAACCCATTTGTCATCCTTTCTAAAAGCCCTTAAGACACATCTGTGCTGGCAGTGGGAATCCTATAAAGCTATGCTGAATGCCTCAGGCCTTCCAGAAGTTTCTGTCTCCTGCCCTCGCCTCCACACACATCCCTTCCCTGTGGTTTCAAATCCTGGGTCTCCCTTCTCACCCTGTTGTTTGTACTTGGGAGCCTGTCCCAGGAGATTTTGCCACTGGAGATGCTGCAGGCAGTTGTGCCCGGACTCCAAGCTCCAGAGTCCAGCCCAGACACCAAAGGCTTAGCAGCTTGGATCTCCAGCCTCCTTCCCCAGAAGGATAGAGTAGAGAGGTGGGTCTGGCTGGAGCCATCTTTGAAGACTGGAGAGGACCTAAGGGTCTGGACTGGCAGCCTGGCACCCAGCATGAACCTGGAATGGGCCAGCGCCCTGGAGGATGGGCTCACAGGGTCTCTGCAGGAGTTCCCATTCTAAGCATGACCTTGAACCAAGTCCTGGCTCTCTGCTCCCCACCTCCATCCAGGCTGGGGTATATCTGGAACCAGCCCGGAGGCTGTGAGCACATAAGAGACACGCCCCTGCCCAGCCCAGCACCCCCTTCCTGCTGCCGCTCTGTCCTGGCTCCCCAGCTCCATCACCCAGGGCTCACCGGTGTTCCCTCAGTTCTCCAGCACAAGCCCCTGGTCACTGGGAGGCTCCTGCTCTGTGTCTCAATTTGCAAAATTCATGAAGAAGATCAGCACCAAGACAGGCCTCCCCTTCTGCTCTGCCCACCTAGAAAGGGCCTCGATTCCCAGGCAGGTCCTGCCTTCCTGCAGAACAGTTTCCTTCCTGGGCCTGGCTTCCTCACATCCCCGTCTGAAGACTGCCTGCACCTGAGCTGCCTGGGGTGCTGTGAGAAAGGACCATTCTTGGGCCCATCCCAGACCTCCAGAAGGAGAATCTCCATGGGGCCCAAGGACTTCGTAGTTTTGGTAGGAGCCCCGGGAGATTCTTGGGCATGCTGGAGTTTGAAAACTCACTCCCCTAGAGTGACATTCATTCATTTTGCAAGTACATATCGGGGTTTACGCTACACCAGGTCCTGTGCTGGACACCAGAATAATGAAATGGGGGAGGGGGTGGTGCAGAGGCCCAAACCCATGTTCCTGCTGCCAGTCACCACCTGTGCTGGGCTGGGAGTTGCTCTGGGTCCTGGGGTTCCCTGGGCTTAGAGGTGCAACAATAGTCATGTCAGCAGCTGCGGGTCCCAGGGAGCCCATGACACCCCTGGTTTCCTGCATTGCCAAGGACATGAGGTGTCTCCCTCCTACTAGCTAACCCCTAGCTTCCCAAGGTAGCATTAGCTGCTAGCTGTAGTAATAACCACAGCTAACACTTACGTGGTACTTTACATACGTTAACTAAGCCCTTTATATGTTAAATCATCTGACCCTTACATCACCTTGAAGTAGGTACTCTTGTTGCTCCAATTTTATGGAGGTACAGGCAAATTGAGGGACAGGGACCCAGTGAAAATGACATGGCACAGTAGACTCCATCCTCCTCCATGTTCTTGATCACTATGCTTTGCTGTCCTCTGAGCTTTAGGGGCAGGATGCTACTCCAACAATGCCACTCCCAGTTCTGGGGATGTGGGGGTATGGTAGGGAGAGGCAGTGGGTAGAATCTGGCCTGGTGGCCAGATGTCCTTTCGGCCATCAACCTGGCCTGCCCAGATACACCAGGCTGACCCTTCACTGACTCGTGGGTTGGGCAGGGAGGCTGTGTATGGCATGTATGGGGGGGTGGGCAGAGCCAGAGTCTGTGGGCGAGCAGCCTGTCACCACATCCTCAAGGCAACCTTGCTCTAAAACCACCCAGCCCTGGGACAGCCGAACAGAGCTGCCATTTGTCAGTCTTTGGGTGGGGCGTGGGTCAGGGATCCCATCACCCGGAACCATCTCTGCCGTCAGTCACTATTCTGCTCAACCAAGGCAGCTGGGCGGCAAGGGGGCTGATGTTCCCCCCCGCAACATTCCAGATGCGACATGAATTCTTAAGGGTTGGAAATGTGAAAAGAACATGAAATCAGCTGTAGTTGCAGCTCCGTTTGTTCTAAAATGATGCTAGAACTGCCACCTTTTCATCAAATACGAGAAGAAAAAGACAAACCCAGAGCGCTGCAGGAGGTTAGATAGGAGTCACCAAAGTCCCAGGCCCAGAGCCCCAAAGTGCCCAACCGTCTCAGACCTTGGACAGCGGCACACGCGCCCACCCCCCAGTGCCCACCAAGCAGCCCCCAGACAGCTTAGCCTCTGTCGGCTTCCCAGCACCTCTTCTCCCTGTTCCTCCTGCCTTCACTCAGTCACCTTCCTGGCCCTTTGGCGAGGACTGTCCCTGTAGTCAGGTCTCCTACCCTGTCCCACATGCCCGCAGACCTCTCCTTAGCCCTCAGAGCCTGAGATGCCTACTGGCTCTCCTTGGGTGGAGGACAGAGGGGTGAGAGGAGAGAGGGGCAGCCTTCTGTCTTACCTGAAACGATGGTGTAGCCAATGCCCCGGGGACGTCCTTTATCCTGGTCTATGGCGGTGATGATGCGCACCGTCGTGCCCTGGGCAGAAGAGAGGAGGGACTTGAGTTTGGGTCCCCTGGCTGCTGTCTTTCTTTGTAGCTATCATGGCACCCACAGCTTCCCTCCCCAGGCTGATCCTGGCTGCAAGGGCAACCCAGGAAGTAGATGCCAAGGGCTCAGGCATCAGCTGCCCTGGGCACACACTGCAGTTCCCAGGCAAACACCCTAGGGTCCACGGGGAGGCCAAACCTTACCGATGTTATCATTCCCCTTTCCCCTTCCCATATCCCTTATTCAAATGGACCACCACGGAAGAACAGATGAGGGGCATCCAGCGAAGAGACAAGAGATCTGGTCTCAAGCTCAACCACCCATCACGTTGCTGTGTGACCTTAGGAAGGTTGCTGCACCTCTCTGGCCTCACTTTCCCTCCACCTTAATAAGAATAACAGCAAAAAGCCTGGGACCTTGTTTTCACTGGGGTCTGAATAAAGGAGAACATGGTGGCTCAACTACTTTAGGGATGAAAGCATAAATCATGAAAGCAGGTATCTCGGGGGATGACGGTGGCAACTCAGGAGGCCGCCATGGCCCTAGGAACCATGGCCCACACAGCACTGTGCCTGGCAATTCCTGCTTGGAATGGCTCTGCCCACACCCCTACTCATTCTCTCTGCAGCACTGATGGAGAAGGGGCAGGAGCTGGAACTAACAGTATAGGAAGCCAGGGGAACGCGTTCTTGGGGAGCACAGCCTATGGCATGAAGTCAAGAACATCTGAGCAGACAGCTGCTATACGCATATTAGGAGTGCGAATACACATATGGCTCACATGGAGAAACGTACAAAAAAGGGGAGAAGTCCACCTGGAGGAATTGGCGAATGGTCGTACAGATGGCAACATTCAGCATGGGTCATGAAGCATGAGTAGGAGTTTGCCAGGGAGAGAACATGAAGAGGAAGGTGCTCTGGGCAGAAGGCAGAGCTCAGGCAAGTGCCTGGAGGCATAAGACTGTCCTAGGAAGAGATCCTGGCATACAACTGGCACATTCGAATATCAATTGATGGGTTGATTGATTGACTGAATAAACAAACGAACAAACAAGAGTTTGTTTAAACCTTCACAGAGCCCTTAAACCTTAGGGTGGAAGGTCACCGCCACCACTCGCTGAGTCGCCCCTTGCCTGGGGCAGCCTTTACTTGGTTCCCCAGGTCCTATCACACCATGGCCAGTGCCAGCCATGCCTGCCCACCATGCCTGCCTGAGGCTCTGGCTCCAGGCCACAGTGTTCCCCTGGGTGATGGAGAGCAAGATAAGCCTGTCCCCACCCCCTAGGGAAATGTCAACCCTGGCATCTGCATGGCTAATGAAGGGCTCTTGTGTCCTCGGCCACTTCCCTCCACTCACTGTTTATCAGCAGGAGGCTGAAGCCCGAGCTGCACCCCCACCCCCTTCACCTGTGCAGAGGCTTGTTCCCTGACACGCATGCCCTGCGCTCTTGTGGGGCAAGCTACCCCTCCTCTAACTCCACCCAGTCTCGCTGCCATGACACAGCAGGGGCACCCCCCACCTCACCCTCCCCAAGCACTTGTATCCCTTCACAGCAGTTGCTCCGTGCTCTCCTGGCTTGCTAGGATAACTGGGCCTGAGGCCCACTGGATCACCACCCCAGAGAGTCACTAAGCAGTACTCAGGGGCAATTGCATGTCCCAGACACACATGCAGAGCAGGGCTAGGCCAGGCCTGGGACAGTGATCCTCAGGGGGAGACACGAGGGGGCTGGTGCAGGCTTGTGCAGAGGAGACCTGGCGACAAAAGTGCCCTCAGTCCTCAGAGCCCGTGCTGGGCTCCTGCATGGGGCTGCCCAGAGGCCCCCTGGGCGGGCAGGGCTCTGTGGAGGCCAGTCGGTTCTCCAGGACAGGAGGACAATGGGGACTCTTCCTAAAAGAGTCATACCCGAGCTTCTACGAAGCAAGCTCTGACAGGCTCCTGGCAAAGTTTGGGGTTTCATCTTTTTTTGGGTAAATAAATCCACTTTTAATAAAACCCTGAGCTTTTAATACAAGTGCAGCCAGAAAGACTGGAAACATTATGAGAAGGAATTAACAGGGAGGAATGGGGGCTCCTGGGAGCCCACAGCTCTTGTTTCAGAGGCTCAGTGATTATATTTTCAATATACTGAAACTTATTTCCAAAGACGGGGGATGGAGAAGTGCGGCTGTGCTCGGCCCGGAGCCGACCCTGCTCCCAAGGGCACGCTGCCTGCTGTGCTTCTCCAGGGAGCCAGTCCAGCTGGGGTGTGCGCCAGGGTGCGACCTGCCAAGGGCTTCTGCCCTGCACAGGAATCCACATTTCAGGGAGTAGGACGCCTCCGAGAGAGAGGCTACAGTGTGCAGGCCTGCAGGGGCCCCGCTGTTTGTAATGGGAGGAGCAGAAAAGCACCACAAGGTGGTTAAGGGTTTGACTCTGCTGCCAGACTGCGTGCGCTCGAATCCTTTGAGTAAGTTACTTATAACCTCTTTCTGCCTTGTTTTCCCCATCTATAAAATGGGTAAAAATCACAATCCCCACCCCTCAGCAGCCGATAAACGTGAAGCACTCAGAAGAGCACCTGGCACATGGTGAATGCTATAAACGTGATTGTTACTTTATTTGGGCCTGGAATCACTGTGTGCATCTGATGACAACTCAGGGGCCTCTTTCCAGAAAATGCACATCCACGTGGATTTTTCCAAAGAATTTCAGCAAATTCAGACTCCCCAACACCCCATATTAATCATCTCTACCTAGAGGCAAGTGGCTTTCTGTGCATTGTGAGGACAGCTAGCAGCCTCCAGGGCAGAACTGGCACTAGTGGAGTGTCTACGATGTTCCACTGTGTGGGGCCCCCAGCAAGGTTCCCCCTCTCTCTCTTTCCTCACATGGGGGTATGTGTGAGCAAACCGAGGCTCAGAGTGCTCAGGGATTTGCTGAGAGTCACATGGTGCAGTGGGGGGTGGGGTGGAGGGAGGCGGAGGTGACTGGGGAATGGAGGGCAGTGTGGGGTGTGCCTGGGGGACCCCTTTGCTCTCTGGAGGAGGCAAGGGCTCAGGGCTCTGCACCCAGTGCGTGTGCCAAGATGAGGAGGGGGTGAGGTGTGAGACACAGCCCCAGCCTCTGAGGCCCGGGCAGTGGGGACACAGTTGAGAGAAGCTGGACTTCTCTTCCCTCTGTGGCTTGTCCCCTTCCAAAGATGCCCTTGTCAGGAAAGCCGTGGACACAGGAGCCCAGCTGGGCTGTTCCTGGCCTCAGGGACCCACGTCCTCCTCCTGCTCAGCAAGCTCAGCCGGGACACCCCCTACCCCATTTCCATGACGGGATTAAGGACTTGAAAGGTGAACGTGCAGCTTGCTTCAGGAGTAGGAGGCGTCCTTGGGGGGAGCAGGCTGGTGGGGGCTGAAGGGGACTTCCGATGAGAGCTGCCACAGCAGATTCTGAGGTAGCAAATCCTATTTCTCAGTCCTTAATTCCAGTCAATTCCAGTCGAAAGGCTGATAGGCATCGGCTGGCAGTAATTTGTGCAGTTTATCCGCTCTTTTCACCTTCTATCGGCCCTTCACTGACGGGCAGGCCGACATGCTGCTGCTCGAGTGAGGAAATTAAAATCTGATGCAATAATCCCAAATAAGAAGGATTTTATTAGGTAATATATACACTTTAGATGAGGCATGCTAACCTGATACGCTGATAGGGGGAGGCATACATGCTGTGAGCCGCAGATAAAGAGGGGGAGTTGGGGAGAGTGGGGAAAGGTCCGGTGGGGGCCCCGGGGCAGCAGAGGCAAGGCTGGGAATGGGGGTGCTGGGGTCCTCTGGCCTGGGAGGCAGAACAGGCCAGGGTGCATCTCAGCCTGGGCCCGGCCTGGGAATGCTGCGTTAAATCAGGGTTCTACACTGTAAAGGGACATGGAGGGCCCAGATCAAGGCACAGAAACCAATTAGCAGCCGGGAAGGATCAGGCTGGCAGTGCAAGGGAATCGGCCTGCAGGAGAGAGGCTCTGCAAGAGGCGAGGGAACCTGAGAACTCCTCAAGTGTGGAGACTGGAGGAAGGGCAGAGATGTGTGGACACGGAGGCAGATTCTGTGGGCCCCAGGGGAGCCGGGCCAGGCTGGAGGGTCTGAAACCCTCAATGCACTGCCTTTTCTGGCTCCCCCAGCCCAGCCATAAGCCAAGCTGTGGGGCTGAAACCTGCACCACCCAGATCGGGGGTCTAGCAGCTCCCTGGGCATGGGCCTTAGTGCCCTTGTGGAGACAAAGGAACAATACTGGTGAGGCAAAGAGACATCAAGATCCTTGCGTCTGAGAGAGGAGAATCACAGCATATGCCAAGAAATGGAGCATCAGGAGACCGGAAGCTAAGGAGGGCAAGGCTCTGGTTTGCTGAGACTGAGGAGTTGTCCTAGCAGGGGCCTGTGGGATCACCTGTAGAGCAGAGGGCATGGCTTAGCATGGGGCCTGCACATGGGACCAGCCGCATCAATGTCTGATGGGTGCATAAAAGGATGAAGTGCAGACCCAATGGATGGACAGCTCAGAAATCTGCAGGTCTGAAATAAAAGCATGCAAACTTAGCATTGCACGATATACTAAAAAGATACTAGAAAAAGACAACCTAGGGGTCTCAGGGGACACTCACACCAAGAACACACCTCTTGCCAACTACAACGACTCTGAAAGGAAGCTGAAGCTGGGAGCCCCAACCCAACCTAGCTACTGTAATTGACTGACCAGGTCACTGCCCAGCGTGGTTTAATGTCCGCTAATTGGCAGCACTTGCTGTGTGTTTTATGTGCATTATCTCCAACCGTTAAAACCCTAAGGAGAGGGAGGCACCACTGCAGGCACAATTATCCCCCTTTCCCAGTGAGGACCTGGTCAGGAGGCCGTTTGATTCAGCCAAAGTGAGTACGGCAGTGCGGGACTCCTCTGAGCTCCTCTGGCTGCCCAGCCACTGCCATGTTCTATACTTCAATCTAGTTGGCCTTGGGCATCTTCCCTGCACTTAGCTCTGGGCATGATGCCCTGGAGACCCAAAGGAAGGATGAGATCATGTCCCAGAGACTCAGGTACCTTGATTACTGGGGGCTCAGAAGTAACCCACATATATAGGTAACATTACAGGCGAGACTATAATTAAGTGGAAAATTACACAGCATAGAGAGAGTTAATTCTACCAGGGTTGAGGGAGAGGAGTTGCTATCTCTGGGACGGATAGGGAAGAAGCCAGGGAAAAAATTATAAGAAAGGTAGAGAGTGAACTGGGAACAAATGGGTGGGTGGACTTTGGGCTGGCGACAAGAGCAGGCACAGGGGCGGAGAGGGTGCAGGATGGTGAGTATGCTGGTCTGCCCAGGGTGAGGGTGCTTGTTCATTTATCCATTCCATTACCATCTCCTGAGCACACACTGTATGTTATGCCCACAGCAGACCCTGTCCCTGCTGAACTGCACGCTTCCAGTCCTTCAGGGGAGCAGAGGTGGGGCAAGTTGTTCAAGAGTGCTGACCACTCAGGAGATGTCCAGGGGCCATGGGCAGATTGTGGGCCCTGCCTCATCTGAAAACAGCACGTCACAGCTGACCTGATGCTGAGAAGGTATCGGCCTGGCAAAGTTGGGCTAGGGGCAGAGAGAAAAGGGGCTAGGAAAGTCATGGGAAATGGGCTGGGCTGTGCTGAGAAGAGACAGCCTTCAGTCTCAAAAGCAGGGGCTCCCACTGCCCACGGAATGCTAAGAAAGAGAAGGCTGGGGAATTGGGGGCATTGATCTGTCCCCCTCTACTCTCAAAGCAGCTTCAAACACTCAACAGTAGCAGGCCGGAAAGGATCCTGCTTCTTAGAGCCTCCCTCCACACCTGTCCCAAGAAGGAAGTGGCCAAATGCCAGCCCCATACACCAGGAGACTGCGGCCTCATGCTGTGAAGGGAGGCCAGTGGCCAGGGCAGCCATGGTCTCCAAATGAGGGGTCAGGCCCAGGAGCACAGCCTGCACCCCAGTCAAGGGAAGCTCACCTGTCACACTCAATTCTGTGAGCCTGTGCAGGGGTGCGGGTGGGGCCCTGAACGCTCACGAGCCTTAGGCGGGTGCCCCACTTTGCTCCCAAAGCTGAGTCCTTCCTTTAAGCACACTGAGTTCTCTCAAAAGAAGGGGCTCATTTTTCTTTCCCCAAACGCTGTTCCCTAAGCTAATGACCAGGGATTGTGACTGCCTAGGGGAGGCGCATTTTTCTAATTTTTCCACCCACAGCCGGTGTTGCATTCAAGTTTGCACAGACGCACGAATGGTTATGAGACTAGAGATGGCTGCCGTTGCCCGTCTGGCCCACAGCTGAGCAAAGCTGCTCCATCCACAGCCTTGCAGAGTGGGCCGAGGCATGTTTTGTCCTCTAAGACACCCATGGGTAGCCGATCTACAGGCTGGTGACCTATGACCTTGCAACACACCAGAAAAATCAGGAGCCTTTCTTGGAAACCTGGACTTAAGAAATCCAAAGACTGGGCATTAGGGAGGGCAGAAGGAGCTGCAAGCTCGCAGGGAAGAGCCGGGGCCAAGAGGACCCTTGAAGAAGGGCAGCTGCCACCCTCTCTGGCAGTGCTCATCAGCAGAGAGGGACAGACTGACACGGCAGAGACACGGCTGAGCCACACTGATGTTCTGTGGAGCCAGACTGAGTCCATTCTTCAGCACAGGCTGAATTTTCCATGGGATCCCCATCCCTCCACATAAGTCTGTCTGAATGGCTCCCCGTTACTTGCCCTGGAAGCCTTTGTTCTTTGCCACACAGAGCCCCTTGGGTAGAGTGAGAGGGTGAGGAGATGGGCGTGGTGTGAAGAGTGGCTGGGGTTTCGCTGTGCCAGAACACTCATCACTGCCACGCACAGGGACTGCGGAGGAGCCAAGGAGGAGCCCAGCCCACTAACAGGGCCCATCCCTAACAGGAGCTCAGAAGGAAGTCCCTCTGAGAAGGGACTTCTGAGAAGGAAGGGCCAGGAGTCTTACCGGAGGAGAATGCTCGTAGATGTTGGTGCTGTAAGGCAGGTTGATGAAGATGGGGTCCATGTCCTGGACATCTGTGATGATGATGGCCAAGTTGGCCAGGGTGGACAGAGGCCTGGTCTTGTCTTGATCCTTAGAGAGCGGAGAGAACACACAGCCTTAGGTTGAGTGATGGTGGGGACACTCACACACATATGTACACACACACACAGACCTGCACCGTGCAGCACATAAGTGCAAACACATGCACACGCACACACACACCCATGCTCTTGCACTCCAGCAGGGAAGGGCTTAGTAAAAGGAAGCTTAAGAATTCTAAGAAGCCATGGTGATTTCTGAGCTGTACAGGAAAACACAAACAGCATCCCCAAGGTCCAGAGGAAGGCAGCTTATCCAGTGTTACAAAGCAGGGCTGGGGTACAGCTAGACCTCCAGCCCCTAGTAGCCCAGGCCTGACTTCCTTGGACATCCGGTGGTGGGATGACCAGCTTGGAGTAGATATGGTGCTGCCCTCAGCTCCTTTGCTGAGTTCAGCTGGAGGTCACCACCCCTCTCTGTGCCCACTTCCTGCCCCCACTCATCCCAGGGCAGCAGAGGATTGACAAAGATGGGGACTCCTCAGAAGAAAGGCCACAGAGGGGATTAATCTGGCACCTGTGTCCCTGCATTCATGAGTCCCTTGCTTTGGGCTGGGGATTTACTGGTTCAGTGACTTTTCCCAATCCAACCAGCAGGGGGAGCTCCAGGGTCTGTGACATCTGGGGGACTCCGAGAAAGACTCCTGAGAGGTCACACAGGCCATCCCCCTGCAGCCAGGCAAGCAATATTTAAACCGTCAGTTGGGAATTTCATTGTATAAAACCTCAACGATGCATCTGTAGTCCCAGCTGCTCAGGAGGCTGAGGTGGGGCAATCACTTGAGCCCAGGAGTTCGAGGCTGTTGTGCACCAAGATTGCACCTGTGAATAGCCACTGCACTCCAGCCTGGACAACATAGCGAGACCCCCATCTCAAAAAAAAAATTTTTTTTTAATGCTTGGCAAGAAAGAAAACTCCAAATCTATCTTCTACTGTTTAAGTAGCCTGCTGCAACTGAATAACAATAGCCAGCAATAATAGTAACTGCAGTGCTTTGTACAGATGACGTGGCAGCCACTCTACCGGGCACTTCACTCGCATCTGTAGTTATGATGAGCCCATTATTCAGATGAGTTAACAGAGACTCAGAGAGGCTGAGTAACTTGTCCACAGTCATACAACTTCTAAGTGTGTAGCCAGAACTCAAACTCAGATCCTTTCACATAAAAATTTGCCACTAACAGTTTTGACTTGGGGCTCTAACATCAGTTCGGTCTCTTAATTTGCTGAGTAACCTCAAATGAGTTCTTTTTCCCCCTGGGAATCTGATGTCCTTTTCTGTGAGATGAAGGGGCTCAAGTGAATGACTTCTAAGGCCCCTCAGGCTCGAACATTCTCTGAGCTAAGATTTGAGGAGCGACTGTCCCCAGGTTAGCTCTCCCTTAGTTTGTCTGGGGTGACTTGAATGAAGCAAGGCATTCCTGGAGTTCCAAGAAGCCTGGTGCCTCCTCCTGGCCTGCAGAGATGGAGCTGCTGTGCCTAGGAGAAGGGAGGGCTGGTTGTCTTTAGGAATCCTCAGGGACAGCCAATGAGAGGGTGGGAGGGCCTTTAGGGATGGGAGTGGGTGCTGCAAGGGAGAGGAAGGTCTGGAAGCAGGAGGTGAGCAGAGAGGTTCTCGGCAGGCAGCCTCCCAGGCTCCAGGACTGGGGCCCACACGGCAGGCTTGGGCACTGCCCATGGGGAGAGCTCCCAGCTAGGGACCTGAATGACCACCAGGCACCCAGGGCTGGAGCGGGGAAGCTCAAAACAAGTCCCCTGACCTCTTGGACAGGGGATGCCAGTGGCTCTGATTTGCCATAACCAGGCTTTTGCAGGCAGCTGGCTTTTGTCTAGCCTGGCACAGGCCCTCTCTGTCCCATACCTGTGACTGCAGTCCTGTTCATGCCACAAATGCCCCTGCCCAGCCCACTCTGGACTCTGTGGTGGGGAAAGGGGAGTGATCCTGTCAGGCTCCCAGCTGTAACTCTGGGGCCCATGGCTCTCAGCAGCTTGTTCCCAGAGGATGCCTCAATTTCCCCATCCTGGTACCAGCTCAGTGGTGGCTGGGAACTGACACTGTTGCCCGCAATGCCAGGCCGAGAATCTCCTTCCTTGGGGAAGTGCTCAGCAGCCAAGGGCACAGCACCAGCCCCGAGAAGGACTCGGTGTCAGCTCCTCCAGAAGCAAGGGAGAAGCCATCTAGAGAGGGACTTCTAGGGCCCCTCCTGTTCTGCTGCTTCCAAGCCTGATTACTGGGAGAGTAACAGCAATTTAACTGTATTCATCATCCCAGCTTGAGCCCAGTCCTCTTGATAGGCCCCGCCACCCAGATTCTTGCCTGTGCCCAGCTCTGGTCTATTCCCCACGGTCCAAAGCCATTTTTATGGTGGGTGGAAATTATCCCACAGCGGGCAAGCATCTGCGTGTTTCTGGGCCCTGGTGTGTGCAAACAGTGCGGTGGAGGGGCAGCGCATGTGTGGGTGCCAGGCTGCATGGAAGGTGCAGGCAAATGTGCACAAAAAGCAAATCCTGGGCTTGCATGTCCCCTTGACCTCTGAGGTCAGTTTTACAAACAGCAGCACACAGCTCCTCCCAGGCAACTAACACTTAAACAGGGGAGAAGGAAAGAACGTGAGTGTCACCTGCAGTGACCTCCCCACAGCCACTGGGCCAGGGCCAAACAAGAAGTTCGCATTTCCTGGGTCTTGAGGCCTCTCTCTGCATCTTGGCCAAGTCTGGGGGCACCCCATCTTTCAAAACTGGATTCTGGACCCAGTCCAGATCCAGAGCCTTGGATCTAGAGCCTGTGACCTACCAAGGAGAGCCCCCCAGCGCTGCCGGCAGGCCCCTTGACAGCTATGTGGGTCAGGAGTGGATGCTGAGTGTCAGGCAGATAGGACCTGGAGGGTTGAGAGGGACTCCCATGTTTTTTTGCTCTTGGCGTAAGCTTTGTCAACAGAATCTAAGGGACAACAGGCCAGCTTACGGCCCTGCTGCCAGCTGATGGCTCCAGCTATGCCCTGAGGCAGCAGCTGGGAGCAAGGAGAGGGGGCGGGTAGGGGGAGGACCCTATTTAGAGTGTGGCTTGCCTGTTCCCCAGGATCTCCCAAACAGCTGGCACAAAGGGCATGCTGCGATGTTCTTGAGACCTGGAGATGTCTAGCCATGGGGCATGGTGGTCAGGGCACTGGACTGAGAGGTGGACAACCTGGTTTGGGTTCTTGCTCCGCCACTACTCATGGGCTGTGTGACCCTCAACAGAGTCAGCCATCAGATGGGATAATTACCCTCTCCTGCCTTCTGCCCTTGACTCACTCATCCTGGAATTCCCAGGGGCCAGCAATGTGCTTGGCACAGAGGGATGATGTGGAATGTCACCACTCTGTGGAGTAGAGGCAGGATGCCTGAACTCCTTTGGGCCCTGCAGGTTGGATGGTGTCAGGACACAGCTGGGTGAACACCTCTGTCCTGTGTCCCAGAGAGCAAGAGGCACTCTGCACTAAGAATGTCTCAAGGAAGTTACCCGAGCAGGCTATGGAGTCGGGCTCCTGGGTGACCATGGAAAGTCACTGAATTGCTCCTGTGCCTCAGTTTTCTCATCTGCAAAGTGGGCATCTTAACAATACTTATGACACGGGGCTGCTTGAGGTTTAAAGTCCCTTTGAGTGCTCAGCACGGTGCCAGGGACACAGCACAAAGCCTCAGTAATGCCAGCCTCATTTCTATCATGACTGTCACCACTATAATTATTATAGATCATCGAGTGTGTGCCACTGGGTCAATGTCCCATTGGAATGCCCCGTCACTCTCTTCCAGGGTGGGAAGAGGCAGCTGGGACGGCCGGGGCCCCAGCATGGAGACTCACTGTGGCGTTGACCGTGAGCTGGTAGGCCTGTGTGGTCTCGTAGTCCAGCTCCCGGATCACTGTGACGATACCGCGGGCGCTGTCAATGGCGAAGAATTGGGAGGGGGGCTGGAAGGAGTAGAGGACGCTGCCCCCTGCCCCCAAGTCGGGGTCTGTGGCATTCACGATGAAGATGGGCGTCCCCACTGGTGTATTCTGGGGATGAGAGCAAAGCAAGTACAAGGGTGAGCCAGTGCGGAGCAGCTGCGCCATCAGGGCTGAGTCCCTCAAAGCCCATTCTCTACATCCTTCAGCCAACCAGACCCGAGGCCTTGTCATTTTCATTCTAGGAGGGGCCCCAAAATTTAAAATGCGGTATCTTTTCTTTTCCTCTTCTTCATTTTTTGATGGCCTCCTGGTGGCTGTAAAGAGCACCAGTTCCAAAGATGATTTGCTTAACCTAGAGTTCTGGATGAGGGGTCTTACGGTCCCCAAACCTGTTTCTTGGTGGTTTCGCTTCCTCTGTCAAATGCTCCTTGGCTGCCCAAGCTGCAGGCTTCCTTTTTGGGGACCAGCCTCAAGCCTCCCTCCTGGCAGCCCTTCACAGACAGACCATGCACTTAACACAGGGGTGCTCTTTACGGGGCCCCTGGTCAGGCTGGAAAGGGCCTCCGGAGAACAATGGATGGGGCTGCTGAGGGTTCTTCCTGGGTTTGTGGATTTGCCCCCATCAGCAGACAAGTGTCAACCTGAATGGGCAGGCTCACGTCCTGCCTGTTCCAACCACTCTGTCCACTGGGGACAGGAGGCAGATGCAGGGCGCCCCTCTCCTCCTCACCATCCGTGACTCCCCAGTGCCCTTTGCATAGAACACAGGCCCTTGTGGTCCATTCCCGTCTCCCCCTTCACATTTTATTTCCTGGAGGCATGGAGCTATTTATACTTCTTGAACCCAGCAGGCTCCCTCACACCTCTGGCTGTCTGAATGTGCTTTTCCTTTGCTAGGTTTGCCTATCCTAATTCAGCTGCTTGGAAGATGCTCATTCCCTCCAAAACAGAATCAAGTCTGCAAGGGGGCAAAGCAGACAAGTGCTAGAGTTTCAGGGATGGACAGACCATTTGTTGGAATCCCAGCCTTGTTGTGTGTCTTTGGGTTAATTACATAATCTCTCTGATCCTTAATCCCTTCACTGTACACTGAAGCTAATCATATCTCACAGGGTTAGTGTGAAGAATACATAAGATCATGAGTGTAAACATTCTAGCACATAAGTGCTGAGAAGACAGTAGTTGCAATTTTAATTTCTGGAAACCTAGAGGGGCACAGACAAGGGCACCTTCAAGGGTGGGGCAGGGAGGTGTCAAGAAGCACTGATATTAACAGTACCATCCAGGGCATTCCCTGTCTACCCACTCCCCTGGCACCATGATCCACCCAGTTCTGCCTTTCCCCAATCCCCGGGCTCTCAATGGATTGCATCTCCAGGCTCTCTTGCTGGCTGGCTTCCAGCTGGATTCTGCCAATGGGAAGTTCTGGTAGGAGCTCCCAGAGCAGGAAGAGAAAGAGTTTGGGGTCTTACTTCCTCTACCCCCTCCAGCTCTACCCCAGCAGGCTCTCTTCCATGGCCCCAACTCTCAGTGGGCTCTGATAATACAATTTTCGTCTCCTTTCCCTTCAGCCCTAGGGGTAGAACTTTCCCCTGTTGCTAAGCCCTGGGTACCTTAGCATCCCTTATTTCCACCACCCCTCCCCCACCTTAAGGAGATCTTTCTGAGGTTCTCAGCTAACCCACAGTTCTCTGTCCTGCCCTCTCTCTTTCTAGATCACACAGAAGTGCCAGAGCCAGTCCCATGAATCCAGAACGAAACACTTCATGGGGGCCCACGGCTCCTGCCACAAGAAAGGAGGGCCACATTCTGATTTCAGAGCTGCCAGCCCCCTGTGTGAAAGTCTGCTTTTGTACTTCATATGTATCTATATCTAGCCATGAATAATATAAGATACTGTTTTGTGGGTATTTGTAAATAGATGGTTTTCATATACAATAGATCACTCTGAAGCTTGCTTTTTAATTCAACATTATGCTTTTATGTTTATTTGATTCGGTAATCAAAAATCTTCCAACAAAGAAAAGCACAGGACTCAACAGCTTCACTGGTGAATTCTACCAAATATTTAACAACAACAACAACAACAGGAAACAGGGTAGCCGGCCCTCACTTCAGAGCACTCGGCCAGTCTACTTAAACCACTCTGTATGAAGCTGGCGCCCAGAGGAGAGGGACGGCTCCCGTGAGATGTCAGCTCTCCAGCTCCCTGCCTCGGGGAGGCGAGGACATTTGACTGTCCATACCGCATGGTCCTGAGGGGAAGCCTCTCTGATCCTTCTGCATCTGATCAGAGGATTTAAGAGCAAGATTCAGGAAATGGTGGAAAAGGGGAAAAAGAAGTGATGGTCTCCACGTCTGACCTTCTTGGATTATGTTTCATGCCCTGCGGTGAAAACCCATTTAATTTCTGCATAACTTAGAGAAGGTTTTAAATGGGCCTGGCAAGGAGCCATTCATATACTTAGAAGGGACAAACTATTGGAGAGAAAAGAATGCTGACTTCCTGCATTTCAGGTCCTGGGCACCATGCTCTATCAGGGAAGTAGATGCGGGGAAGGAGGGGCGCTCATCAGCACATACACTGGGGGCTTGTCTGAACACCCAGCTGCTGTTCCATGGAAATGCACAGACATGCACACAGATCTGCAGACTCAATGCAAGCAGATTTGCTTTATGGGGCCAGGTGCATCTGGGTTTCCAGGTAGGCTACAGGGAGTAACACTTGGTGGCTCAGAGCATGAATTCTGAGTTAGACTCCCTAACTTTGAGTCTGGAACTTTCCCCTGGGAGATTGCAGACATATGCTGTTAAACCTCTTTTTGGCCTCAGTTTCCTCATCTGTAAAATGGAGCTGTTAGCAGCTCCTACCCAGGAGTTCAAGACTAGGCTGGCCAACATGGTGAAACCCCGTCTCTACTAAAAATACAAAAATTAGCTGGGCGTGGTGGTGCGTGCCTGTAATCCCAGCTACTGGGGAGGCTGAGGCAGGAGAACGGCTTGAACCCAGGAGGCGGAGGTAGCAGTGAGCCAAGATCATGCCACTGCACTCCAGCCTGGGTGACAGAGCAAGACTCCGTCTCAAAAAAGAAAAAAAAAAAAAGAAAAAAGAAAAAAAAAGTATTATAAGAGATAAGGTGTGAAAAAAAGAGAGTCTCCTTGGGCCAGACACACAGCAACACTGAGCAACACTCGATAAATGGTTATTGCACTTATTACTATAGTAATAAAATATCATTACAGGCAGGGTGAGATGAGCCCCACATAAAGGGGGAAGTATTAGAAATAGTGTAAACAGTTAATGAATCTCTTCACCATGAACTTGGGACAAATGGGCACCTTAAAATTCAGAAAGAGAACATCTCTGCTGATTGGATCCTGGCTGCTGAAGACAAGATGAGGATGGAAGAGCCCCAGAAGACCTTCCACAATGGGCTTGAGAGCCTGTGAGGGGAGGGGTGGGATCTGAGGCAGGGGTGAGGGGGGCACCTGGGGGCCTGGGAGGCTCCTAAACGAGGAAGCCAGTCCTGACCATACACCACCCTGGATGGCTGGAATGCAGGAGCTGGAAGGAACCTTGGGGTCATCTAGTCCAGCCTCCCCATTTCCTAGGGTGGACTACAGATGTGAAAATGAGCCCAGAGAGGGGATGTGCCTTGCTCCAGGCCTCACAAGTGGATCATGACAGAGTCGAAGAGTGGAAATCGGGTGCCTTGACTCATACGGAGTGCTCTTTCCACCCCACCCAAAGAGATACCAACAGCTGCCTCCCCACCCACCCTCCTTCCAAGAACAGCTGCTCCTCATGACCACAGCTCTGCTCTAGGTGATGGGTCTAGGCACTCATGTTTGTTCCAAGTGACTTCAGACCCAGGCCATGCCAATCAGGTGGGGCCTGAGAAATTAAATCAATTTTCTCTGAGAATCTGAAAGAAAGATCTTGTTATCTGGCTGGAGTGGGCACCATGACAGGCCGAGAGCCACACAAAAGCCACAGTTACAGGGTGGCAGAGATGCCACAGGCAGTCAGAGGAAGCCCACCTGCAGTGAGCGGAGCAGAGCACAGTGCAGGAGAAAAAATGGAGATGAGGGCCTCCAAGAGCCTCCCACCCTGGCTGTCCCAGGCCCCGCTGACTTTGTCTCCTGCCCATGGCTGCGGTGCTGGGACCTGCCTGTGCCGTCCTTTCTATGGGCACCCCACTTGCTCACGCTGGCCTGCATGGGTCTCAGCTCCTTGCTCCTGCCCCCCAGAACATGCCCAGCCATGGGCAGGGCCTCCTCATTTCCATGGCTCTGCCCCAGGCTCACCCAGACCCTCTGCTGATGGGACTCTACCTCTTTAGCGCCCACAGCAAGCAAAGTGCCAGGCCACCACTCCTGGACTGCTAATGAGGGCACAGTGCCCGCCACCCGAGGCTGGAAGTTACAATGGGGAGAAGAATCAAGGAGCCTGGGTAAATGCCAGCTCCCTCTTCTTTTTAACCGTCTCCAGACACTCCTATTAACGTGCAAATCCAGGTTGCAGGCAATTATCAGCATGCGCATGGGGAGGTGGCCGGACGGGCAAGGGATGGCTTGATCATGGACTTCACACAGTCAGCCAGGACAGGCCTTGAAGAGAGATGCTCGGCAGGGCCAGACTTTGCCATCTGAGGACAAGGAGAATGAGTGGAAGATGTCGCTCTGGTGTCTGGGGTGGGGTTCGGGGCGTCTGGGGTGGGGCTTGGAGTGTCTGGGGTTGGGGCTGCACGGGTTGGAGTTGTAGAAGCAGCACCAAGAGGCCTGTTGCAGCTGGGGGTTGGGCTCCTCCTTTCCAGGGTAGCTTCTTCCAACACCTCCATTGTGGACACTCGCCCTGGGTCCAGCTTCTTGCTGGAAAGGAGCAGCCGTGGTCTTTGGAAGAAAGACCCCATGGGGCATGATCACTTCTGCTTCTGAGGGAGGCCTCTTGACCCACTTCTCTGCCCCACCCCTGCTTCCCTCCTCCCCTCCTTCATGGTACCCCCCTGCCCAGTCCCACCTACTCCCTTATGGCTTCTGGGCCATTTCAAAGGAAGTCTCCCCAAATGTACACCCATGCCTTCAGGGGACCAGGGAGCATGTCTAGGCATTATCCCCTTCAAAATTCTTGCACCTGCCAGGTTGTCTCTCTCGCCAAGTAACCCACGGCAGGTCTTGCCTCTTCCAGTTCCCATTTAAGCTCCATATCACTTCTGATGGACCTGCTGTAAATGGGCCACCCTGTGCAATTCAGAGACAAATAAATCTTTTTGCTACTCCTGGGGTGACAAGGGAATAGACTCTGGGAAAGTTCTGCCGTGCAAAGGATCTTGTTTGTTAATAATAATGATAAATAGCTCACTTCTCACATGCAGTGTGAGTTACATTACACTCCAGGCCTCTCCAGAGGTGGCTAGGTTGCTCACTGGAACAGGGTGAGGGAGGGTGTGCAGCAAGGGAGAAAAGGCCAGAGGGAGTGGGGCAGAGAGGCAGGAAGGAGGAACCAGACAGAGAGAGCAGTAAAGAAAGGGGGGCAGGGAGGAGGGGCAAGGAGAAGGAAGAGCACAGGAACACAGAGGAAAATGCGGTGAGAACAGTGAGAGGGGCAGGACTGAGGGCCAGAGTGAAAACGGGATAAAGTGGAAAGATAATTTGCGAGAGAAAAGGGAGGAAAGGAAACTTGGGGAGAAAGGAACTAACTGAAACAGGAAAAAAAAGAGACATTCTAGAGGAAAACTTATGAACAGAGGAAAAGACATACAAAAATTAAGCAGCAAGAGAAAGGAAGATAGGAGAGAGAGAGAAAAGAAGGACGCCACACCCTCTCACCTTTAGGGTGCACCTGCTCCCTTCACCCCCTTCAAGATTTATGCTGTACCCTTGACCAAACTTTGGCAAAAAGCCCTACCATTTCCACCATAGGTGCCATCTCTAAAGGTGTTATTAATATTTATGGAATGCTTGCTAGATGCTGCTACAGTCTTTAATATCTTATTACAGAGCCTGTTATAAAATGCATTAGTAATAAATTCCTGACAGATGGAGTCCTGACAAGGTGCAGGCTTCTCGGTGGATCAGAGCTGGTAACAGCCTCCTGTGCTACTCAGAGGCTGGGCAGCTGTCTGCTGGGGCTGGGGTGGGGAGAGGAGAGGGGCTAGTGGGATTCTGCCCTCCCATCCTCTGCCCTCAGTTGCATTTTTATACACCTCCGCTCCCTGCTTCCTTTTCCCAGATGGGGAAAATGGAAGGTCAGAGAAATGAAGCCACTTGTCCAAGGTCGCACAGATTGTAAGTGGTGGAATCAGGATTCAAAGTCGGGTCACCTTTCTGTGCCCAGACCTCAGGATTCCAGAGAAAAGGGTGGAGAGTGGGCTCAGGGCCCCTCCTCAAGTGGGACTTCCTGGTCTGGAAGGGCTGGGGATGAGGGTGGCAGCTGAAGACGCCTCTAGGTAAGAGAACAGAGGTTTGGTGGGGAGCTGTAGCCAAAAAAGAGCTTAGGAAGGAAGGAGGGTACTTCAAAATTGCACACTTTCACTGAGAATAAGAAAATGGGCTCCCATTGGAACAAGAAGAATTCAAGTCAGAGGCAAGGAACTTTCTGAACATGGGCTCCTGGGGCAGAGGAGAAACATCTGCACTTCGGTTTCTGTTGGATGCTAAAGCAGGCGCCTCTCCTACTGGGATGCTTTGGGAGGATGTCACTTCCAAATATGGGGGTTTGTGGCATTCCAGCTTATGGGGGAGCAGTGATGGAGGAGAAATGGGGTCTATGGGAGAGGTGGGCTATGTTTCTTTCTCAAATAGGCAGGAAGGCACTTGAGCGCAGGAGGACGAGGTCCACACAGAGGACAGTATAGGGGAGAGAAGCAGGAGGGGCGAATGCCCATGGGGCACCAACACATATCTCAGGGAGCCCCATTCTGGTCAGGGAGGGGCACATGTGTGCATAAACCCATGTGTACCCATACTCCGGCATCTCTGCCTGGAGGAATCGGGGAGCGATAATTTGACGACATCTCTTCTTTCTACCAGTATTTGCTCTCTTGGGTGAAATGTACTGGATCTAAAATGTGCCAGGTATGCTCTGAGAGCCGGGGTGGGCTGCCAGCTCTGTGGCCTGGGCCCTAAGTCACTCACACCCTGACATGGCTCGAGGACATCTCTCTGGGCCTAAGCTGGTCTCCCCAGCTGTTCTGGTCTCCTCCAGAGCCAACTCAGCACCCTCCCATCTCCAAGTCCCTCCTCAGAGTCCCTCCTTCACAGCTTCCAGCTGTGTACTGGCTTTTTGGAATCCCTGAAAGACACTCATCAAAGTGCTTATCGAATGGCCCTCCTGACCTGCTGCAGCCATACGAGACCTCCCCCTCTTTCCCAGCTCCCACTCTTCACCCTCCTCTTCCTTTTTGCTATTTACCTTGGATACCTCTTTAGTCCTGGCACTGTCACTTGTGCATAGAAGGCATTCAATAAATGTTTTAAAAGAATCAGGATTTTGTGGTAAACATGGCAGATTGAACACATCCATTTAATTCTGTTTTTGTCCCAGCCCCTCACCAAAATGACAATAAAGGAATTAAAAATGCACAAATCCACAAGGGCAAAAAGAACAGGAGAGGAGACAACAGCAGATGAGAGATGTCAACAAAATTCTGGAAACTGGAAACAGATGGGCCAGTTATAACTGCCTTAGGAGACGGGTGAGCTGAAGCTCAGGCCGGCATCTCAGAACACTGGAAAAGCTCAGGACCCGGAGACACCAGGTGATGCTGAGTGGGAGGGAATGGGGTGGGGCCAAACAGCTTTAAAAAGAGTGGTTAGACTCCCAGATCCCTTCCCCAACTCTTGCAGAAAATGTGAGATTTACTTTCTAGAGGGTCTGAGTTAGTTGGGTTCTGGACTCATGGATGGAAGCTGAACCAGGCACTGAAAACAGGGAGGTTAGGAGGAAATCTGTACCCTCCCCACCAATCCCATCCCTCTTCAGTTCTCTTTAGCCATTCAGCCTCCTGAAGGCTCCAGGCAGTAAAAAGGAAAACTGGTGCAAGAGAAAACACAAACATTGACATGTTGCAGATCCCTCGAAAGAACAGCCAGGTCCTCCTCCAATCATCCCATAATGGAGCCCACTGGCTAACAAGCAGTCCCAACCATGCCCTGCTCCACACATACACAGCAAGCTTCCAGGCAGCTACACGTGAACTCACTGGTATATATGAAGAGACAACTAAGGATCACTAAACATTTGAGAAGAGCCTCTAACATGAAAGACAGAGTGGGAAAAAACAGTAAAAAGGAATAACAACAATAAGCATCTTTAATATGCTCAGAAAGACAAGACACAACATCTTTGGAAAAAGAATATTCCAAGAGGAAAAAAGGCCCAGTAGAAATTTAAAAACTTAAGAGAAGAGTTGGAAGATAAAGAAATTTCCCCAAAAGTAGAAACAAATTCAAAGGGATGAAATGGGAGAGAAAAGTAAGAAAATTAGAGGAGCAGTTCAGAATATCCAACATTCCAACTAATAGGAATTCCAGAGGAAAAAAAATACAGGCCAGGCATGGTGGCTCATGCCTGTAATCCCAGCACTTTGGGAGGCCGAGGCAGGTGAATCACCTGAGGTCAGGAGTTCGAGACCAGCCTGGTCAACATGGTGAAACCCCTGTCTCTACTAAAAATACAAAAAATTAGTTGGGCATGGTAGTGGGTGCCCATAATCCCAGCTACTCAGGAGGCTGAGGCAGGAGAAACGCTTGAACCCAGGAGGGAGATGTTGCAGTGAGCCAAGACCATGCCATTACACACCAGCCTGGGTGACAGAGTGAGACTCTGTCTCAAAAATAAATAAATAAATAAGTTAAAAAAAAGAGTAAATGAAGAGGAAGAAATCATCCAAAAAGTAACATAAGAAAATCTCCCAGATCTGAAGGACCTGTTTCCAGATTGAAAGAGACCAGTATGTGTTCAGAAGAAAGACTCATACTGAGGCATAAAACCATGAAGTTTCAAAAACGTTGATTATTTTTAAAAAATCCTGAGACTTTCAGAGAGAAAACAAAAGGTCATATACAAAGGATCAAGAGTCAAAGTGGCACCAAATTTCATAACAGTGACACTATAGGCTGAAACACTAAGGAAGAAATAAGCTCACATTATAAAGAACACTATTTCCATTCCAGAATTCTATACACAGCCAAACTATCAACAAACAAAAGCATAGCATGAACGCATTGTTCAGATGAAGTGAAAAAAATTCCCATGAACACTTTTTTCTGAAAATTACTGAAGAGTGTACTTCAAGAAACTGTAAACCAAGAAACAGGAAAATATGACATTCATGAAAAGGGATCCAATAGAGAAGAGAGATAACAGATTCCTCAGAGTGACCCTCTTTTCCTCTCCAATGCCCACCCCACATCAAGCCTCCAGAACACCACACAAGTCAGAGCACAGCTGGCCCATGTTGAGACAGGAGGGTGGACACTCCAGGGAGAATGTTGTTAAGAAAAATGAAAATCAAATTTTAAAAACTCAATATACTTTGAATATGCTGAGAGGCTCCCTACATCAAGCATTAAGGAACACTAAGAAACAAACAAAAAAAGAAGTGATTACTAATTCTAGAGAAAATAAAAGAGGAAATATAATTACAGTATATTATGTGGCTCAGCTGTGAATAACATTTACATAATCATAATACTGTGTACACTAAATGCTGTTTTAGCTAAAAAGAGAAATATAATTAAGTTTGGAGGATGGATAGTGAATGTTAAGAGAAGGGTGTTTATGTAGGGTGTATGTATGTTAAGAGTAGGACATAGTGAAAGTTATGAGTAGGATGTTTGTGTAGGGTGTATATATGTTAAGAGTAGGGTTCAGTGAATGTTAAGAGTAGGGTGCATGCTCCAGTGTGTGTGTATAGCAAAGATAAGGTAGAGGATGGTGTAAAAGTGAAATTCTCATCCTTCATAGGTGAAAAATCAATAGATAATATTCAAAACTAAAACAATGTATAGGCATGTGATTTAGAAATAAGGAAGTAAATATCAGAAATTGAATGAGGTTCTCTATGGGTGGGAAGCAGGAGTGGTAAAGAATGAATCAGGGTCTGCTGCTTTTATTATAAGCTGAGCTGTACTATTTGACTTTTAAATTCATACATATATTACTTTGATAAAGGTTAATATCAAAATTAAAAACAGTTTTTCCCTATGGCTGCACCACTGAGTGGCCTCCTCCCTTTCTTTTCTTTTCTTTTTTTTTTTTGAGACCGAGTCTCGCTCTGTCACCCAGACTGGACTGCAATGGCATGAACCTCCGCCTCCCAGGTTCAAGCAATTCTCCTGCCTCAGCCTCCCCAGTAGCTGGGATTACAGGCTTGTGTCACCATGATCAGATAATTTTTGTATTTTTAGTAGAGACAGGGTTTTACCATGTTGGCCAGGCTGGTCTTGAACTCCTGACCTCAAGTGATCTGCCTGCCTCAGCCTCCCAAAGTGCTGGGATTACAGGCATGAGCCATGGTGCCCAGCTGCCTCCTCCCTTTCAACTCTGCCCCCTGCAATGGATCCTGAAAGTCCCTGCCTTAAAGCACTCATCCAGCATCTCATTTCCCCCCAAATCACCATCATCTGCTCCAAGGCAAAGTCTCCCAAGCCTTGACCATCATGATAGTCTCAACAAACTTTCTCTCTTTAAACTCTTCTTTCACTACTGCTCCACTGAGGTCCTCGATTTCAGTTCAGCTATTCTATGTGCCAGCCCCAAAGTGTGGTCCCCTTCCAGGCCTGTGCTCATGGTGCCTCTGTCTTTTTGACCTGCCTTCCTTTGGATATTTCCCCTAGAGAGCAGACGTCAGACATCACCACCCAATGACTGACACTCCCTCCCTTCTTAGAAGAGGCTGTTGGCTCCACCCAGGTTTCTAGCACACATGCCTGGGTCTGGGGCAAGACACCCTCTCCCTCACCCCATGCACACATGCTGGACATGCAGAGCTAGGTGGAGTCTCATCAGAGGGACATCTGGGGCCTCCCTCCCTTCTTCTCAGGAGCTTGACTTTCAAGGCCAAGTGTGATACCCAAGCATGAAACAGCCCCAGCTCCTTCCTATTCAGAGACTAAGGAGCTCCAAGGCAAGTTTCCTTACCCTTGACTCCAACTGAGTGACCTTCCTGTAGAATGAATGACAGTAGAATTTGGAGATCCCCCAGTGCCACCTGCCATCACTGACAATATTCCAGGGCCGTCCCTGCACCTGCCTCCTCCAGGCTCCCCCTGCATCTTCTCACTTGCAGACCAGCAGGAGCAGAGGGAGAGAGCACGTGGCAGCAGAGGGTATCATGCATCAGGGACGGACGGCTGGCCCACATACAAAGGATCAAGAGTCAAAGTGGCACCAAAGTTCATAACAGTGACACTATAGGCTGAAACACTAAGGAAGAAATAATTTCACGTTATAAAGAATGCTATTTCCATTCCCAGCAGTGGGCTAAGGGCTGTGCGCAAAGAAAAAGGGAACAGGGAGGGCCGTGGTGACGGTGCAGCCCTGATACCCACCCTGGCCCCAGCGCCCAGGACATCTGCTTTCAACACCAGGCAGCATGTACCAGGTACCACCCCCTCCCTCGTGGGCTGGGCTTCTGTTTTCCTCTCCATGAAATGGGAGGAAACCAAGAATAAAGGTATGAGTTGGGAAATCCAGTTCTTAGCTATTTAGAGTCATAATCTCATACCCCTCCCTAGCCAGAGTGATTGGTCTGATTGGCTGCTGGAAGCCTCATACCCCCGTGCCCTCAAGTAGGGACTTGGAAACAAGCTTCTGGAGACCAGGAAGGATCCGTGTGGTGCCTGTATTCCTCTCCATGCACACTGGCCTGATTAGGAAAGTCCCAGAAACAACTGTCCCAGACTCTGGGTCACAGTCCAGCTGCTCTCCAATAACTTCCCACTTCCTTCTCTGTTGCTATGCAATGTCAACATAAACATCTGATGCCTCAGTGTTTCCATCCAGGAAATGGGTATAGTAATCCCTATACTATCTTCTATAGAGAGCTGGGGTGGAGATAAAATGAGTTAACTATGGAAACATATTTTGAAAAATCAAAGGCCAAAAAAAAAAAAATTCTCACAACTTTCTGCAGAGGCAGAAAACTCCAAGAGAAAAATCCAGGGAATGATACGATGTGATCTATAAGAAGAGTCCTGTCTAAAAAGCTAGCCTGTAGTCCAGAAGCTGGGCCATCACGGTTCCAGGGCACTGTCTCTGAACCCAGGGCTGCAGGGGCTGGAGGCATACAGTAACCTTGAGACTTGGTAGATTCTGAAAAGTGGTGACTGAGAGACGCAAGGAGTCTCCTGGAATTTTTTTTAAATAAGAAAAAGACTAGCACTTTGGGAGGCTGAGGTGGGAGGATTGCTAGAGCCCAGGAGTTGGAGACCAGCCTGGGCAACATAGTGAGACCATCTCTACCAAAAAAAAAAAAAAATTAGTCCAGTGTGGTGGTGTGCACCTGTGGTTCCAGCTACTTGGGACTCTAAGATGGGAAGAATGCTTGAGCCCAGGACATTGAGGCTGCAGTGAGCTGTGACTGCACTGCTGCACTCCAGCTGGGGCCACAGAGTGAGACCCTGTCTCAAAAAATGAAAAACAAAAATCCGACAAAACAAAAAAGAAAACCTGCCTCATGGAGATACAGTGAGGCTTATGGGAGACAAAGCGTGTAAAGTGTTTAGTGCATAATAGGTGCTCAGTAAATCTTTGGCTCTGTCATAATGCTATTACCTCACGGGGCTGTGTAAGGGTTAAGGTGGAAATGTGTATAGACAAGGGTCAGTAAACTGCAAAGTGCTTTGCAGATGTTACTTATGGTGGGAAGGTCTGGAAGGGGAGGGGAAGGTTCTAAAGGCTGAGGTCCCTGCTTTGCCCTTAGCAGAGATAAAACTCCCAGGGAACCCTCTGGGGATCATATGTCTCCCACCTCCATCCCAAAGGGGACCACTCTGGGTGTGCAAAAGCCTCTAACACTGCCCTGAGCTCTTTGTACCCAGATCTATTGCTCACAAATGGGGCTCCATCTCCCAGCCCCCAAATTCATTCCTTTGCATGATGATGAATCATGTTAAACAAAATGAATATGCAAATCTCCTCAGGGCGGGCCTTACATCTATGGGAAGCGGTGCCTAACAAATGGATTCTGAATAAGAAGACAGCTCCAGCAACGCAGCTCTCCTGCTGTCTCTCCTCCCCTGCCCCTCGGACTCCTCCCACCCCTGTCCCTCTGTCCCAAGCCTGGGTGAGTGTACATTCTGAAGGAGTGGGTGAAGGGGGCAGCAGAGGCCTGGGCAGGTATGAGTGTGGTGGGGTAGGCCTGGTGTGGTTTCTGCCTCTCCAATCCTGAGGCTACTGCTGCCGGCCCTTCAGGCGGTGTGATGTGATAAGTGGAACCTGTCACTTGGTGCCCTGGGGCTTAGGGGCAGACAGAGCTGGGGAAGGTTCGAACGGGGCTGCAGAGGAGCTGAGGGGTGGTGAGGGCCGGGGGGTTTGAGGAGATTGCGGGGAGCTGGACCCAGGCAGGGAGAGGGCAGTTGCAGAGTCACTGGGCTCTGGGGACCTTGGAGGAATGGCTTAAGCTTCAATCAGTGAAGAAGGACCGAATGATCCTATTCCAATGTCTATTCCAATGGTTCACACCCCTGGCTGCATATTAGAATCACCTGGGGAGCTTTTAAAAAATAGCAGGCTGGCGCCCAGTCCCTGACTCTGTATCTTTAAATTCCCATCAAGTTCTCATGTACAGCCAAGGTGGGGAAGCACTGCCCTAGCCCAGGAACCCTGTCTTACAGATGAAAAAGCTGAAGCTGGGAGTGGGGGGACTGGATGGTGGTCACACAGACGGTTTCTGCAGTGAGTTCTGCCTGCAGGTGCCCATGTTAGTGCTGACTCCCTGACGTCCCCTACCTTGTCCAAACATGGATGCAAGGTGGCTTCCCAAACACACAGCATTCTTAACCTCGAGGGAAGCAGCATGGGGTGGAAGAAAGAGCCCTGGATGGGGGACAGAAGACCCTGGACCAGGGTCCCCTGTGTGATTCTGGACAAGAATCAAAGCTTTTTGGCTTTCCGGTCCTTGTCCATCCAATGAGGGGGCAGAACCACATCACTCCGCACTCCCTTCCTGCTCAGTTGTGAGTCCTTCCTCAAATCCAAGGCACTCTAGTTCCAAGCCAGCCTCTTTGCTCTGGGACCATCCTTGGAATATAGAAAGGCAGCACGTTCTGAAGCAAAAATCAATGAAAGCATTTCTCCCTCCCTTTCCTGTTTTTTTTCTGAGCCTCACTCTCCAGTGAGATATATGACACTCTCATGCAGATGAAGCACAGGTTAAAACGCCCCACGGCTGGCTATGGGCACCTGCCATGTGCCAGGACTGCAGGGCACAGTCCCTGCATGTGGGCGACCAGTGAAGGAAGGACTTTCTGAGAGTCAAGGGCACTATAAGCCAGGACGCCAGAGGCCTGGCCCCCTGTTGCCCTGTCCCTCCAGCTCTCATGTGGATCACTAGCTGGAAAGGATGGGAGGACACAGAGACATCAATGTGACAACCCAGACACCTGTCTTGTTCCCCTCTTCCACCTCTGTGTGAAAAGTACTGAAGCTCTCTGAGCCTCAGTTTTCTCATCTGTAAAATGGGGGCAATAACACCTTCCTCCTGCATCTGTGGGCCTAGCAGTAATGATTCTGAGACACACAGCCTGAGGCCTGGCCCACAGTCATAGCGGTAGTAGCCATCACTGCAGGAAACTTCATTATTGCCAGTGGCAGCCTCAGGTTCTTATACTTGGGCGGGGACAGCCCAAGGAGGTCCACTCACCTGAGGAGCATTCCCTGAGAGGGGAGGGTGCCCGGCTATGTTGTCTTCAGGAGCTGTCCCAGGATGGGGTCCTGAGAGCTCTAAAGGCTGGATGATGGTGCCTCTGTCCCTGCTGGGGGAGGTGGGCCCTGCCGCAGGGGTTGTGGGAGGAACAGGGCAGAGGGTCCAATTCCTTGGTCTATTGTGTCTCGGAGACCAAGGCCCACTGGGCTCCACTGCTGGCTTCAGGGACAGCTAGAGGTCCTGAGGGTCCTTGGGGTCAGTCTGATAGTCTTCTCATGTCACACAAAGACCATGAGAAGACCACCAGGCTGACACTAAGAAAAGAGGGAAACCAGAATCCTGGGTGCTCCCTGCTGGAAGGCTTTCCTAGGATGGCCATGGTCTCATCTGTTAAGATCAGGCTTGACCAAGAAACAAACTAGCCTTCTCTTCCCTACCAGAACCTCAAGAAGGTATCTTCTGGGTAACTGAAGTGGATAACCAACCGATCAGGAAGTTCCAAGGGCCTTCCAAGCCCCTTCTGGAATGAAGAATGCGGAGACTCGATTTCCACCTAGAAACAGAGTCCCACCCCTCCCTCCTTCTCCTCCTGGCCCCGGGGGTGCCCAGTGAAGGGCCCAACAGCTCCTAGGGCACCCTGACCTTCCCCCAGGAAGTGGGAGAGACCAGCGGTAGGAATTGCAAATGACGTTCATTAAGCAGGATGCTAATACCATGAATTACAAATGAAACCCAGATGAAGAGGACCCTGGCAGCCTTACCTCTGTTAGATATTAATTGGGCGACACTTTGTTTTAATGGTACGTTAATTAATGCGGAATTTCGACGGAAGTCCTCGTGACACTCACATTAATACAAACGAATTCATTACTGTCGGTGTTATTACAAGAAATGACAAATAAATCTGTAACAGTGGGACCCTTCAAATAATAATCACGAATCATTAGGTTTGCCGCTCGTTTGTACTGTAGCTTGCAAATATGTGTATATGTTTTCTGCTGCGAGGAAGCCTTGCCTTTTGGCTAGGGGAGGCAGCCGGTGGGGGCTGGCTCTGGTGGTGGAGGGGAAGCATCTTCCAGACTTTTCTACATCTGCTTTTCCTTCCCTCCTCCACCCACCCCAGGACACTCCTCTTTCTCTTCCCAGAGCTTCCCCCAGGCTTAGCAAGCCCCGTGTCAGCAGCATAATTGATGCTGCCCCCACACCTGCAAATCCAGCATGCCTGGTGTACACTCAGTGGCCTTGAGGATGGGACGGTGGGGGAAAGAGTAACAGCACTGGGGCCCTGGGGTGGACTTGGGCCTGAAGCAGCTGTTCATTCTCAACACGTTTCCCACAGGCAGCCTTGTCTTTTTTCTTTCTCTTTTCCTTTTCTTTCTTTCTTTCTTTTTCTTTTTTCTTTTTTTTTTTTTTTTTTGAGACAGGGTCTCACTCTGTTGCCCAGGGTAAAGTGCAGTGGCACGATCACAGCTTACTGCAGCCTGAAATTCCTGGGCTTAAGTAATCCTCCCATGTGTCAGTCTCCCAAGTAGCTGGGACTGCAGGTGCACACTACTACATCTAGCTCACTTATGTTTATTTTAATTTTACAGAGATGGGCTCTTGATATGTTGCCCAGGCTGGTCTCAAACTCTTGGCCTCAAGCGATCCCCGACTCCTCAGCCTGCCAAGTCACTGGAATAGTCAGTCTGGTCTTAATGTGTCACCCCAAACCTCAGAACATCTGTGGGAGAATTCATATGTCCCATGACCAAGGCTGTACTAGAAGTTTTACGTACTTTCTCCTCTTCAGCCCTCACAACAGTCCCTGAGGCTTTATCCCCATTGTAAAGGAGGAGAAACAAGTGTAGAGAGCTCAAGGCCTTATTCCTAGCTCCTGAGAGGAGGGCCAGTCTTGGGACTCAGCTCTGCCTTAATCTAAAGCTCCCAATACCCTGTTTCCAAAGAGAAGTTTCCATCTGCGGGAAGCCCGTTAATATCCTGGCGGAGGCAGGGATAGCTAGATAAACCCAGCAGGCTGGTCCCAACTCTCCACCCTGCTCTGTGCTTCAAGGTCTGTGGGACCTTGTAGTCCCACAAGGTCAAGAAAGGAACCTCCCCGACCCCGCCCCACAAGCTGGGTCTGCAGCTGCCTTCCTGATCATCTCTCACACCCTCTAGTGCCTTGAAGTTGCAGTCAAGACCGTTTTCGCTTCTCTGGGGCAGTAAGTGAGGCCCCAAGAAACTACCTTGGAGAAAAGTGTAAAACCCGCCTGAGTGACCCAGGTGGATTTTGATCTGAAAATGGCCCGCAGGCTGCCTCTCCTCTGTTCTGCACTCAGGGCAGGCAGTGCCAGTCAAGCACAGTGCTCTTCCCAGACTGAGCCTCGGGATTCTCTACCCAACATGCTGATAAGCAGCTTCCATCGAAGGCCTGGAGTTGGCACATGATTTGAATTGCTGCTTGTTACCCCTGTTTAGAGCATCTTTCCCTGGAGGACTTTAAAATAGAGCCCAGTCTCCTCTGACAGGGATGCCCCAGAGCAGTTCAGCTCAGTGGTCAAGAGATCCAGTAGATGACCCCTCTCTGGAGTCCCTCCAACCCCACAGGCTGGGACTCTATGCATCCGTGCCCCCTCCCCTCCTATATGGGCTAATCGGTCAGTCTTATCATTCACTTACAACAGCTTTCTGACCTTTGGCAAACAGGTGAAACAATATGGAAGCCAAATCCAGTTCTTTCCAGCCCTGAATGTCCACTAATGGGACAAACTCTGTGGGCCCTGCCCAGTGACCTGCCCTCTGCTCTGGCCCAAGGAGCCCCAGCTCTTGGAGGTGAATGCCTTTTAGCTGTTGGCTGCTGTTTCAGGGGTCAGATCCTGGCTGATCAGTAGTGGGCCATATCCACATTTGGGTGTCTGGGGGCTCTGGCCCCTCCCCTGCTTACGCTCTGCCTCATTCACAATGGTGCTGAATGAACCAATTAATCACCTAACACTGTTAACTGTACTAATTACGCTTGCTCTTGAAACTTGTGGAACAATTATTTACTGTCTCTGTCTCATGAGCTATCGGTTATGGTGATTGCAGGCAGGAAGTCATTTCTCTTGAACCAAGATAGAGGCCTAGTCAGGCTCAGAGCTGGTTTTTCAAGAACTCTCTGGAAGGCTTTGCCTAAGTATGGCAAAGCCAGTGGCTTCTTCATGGGGACAGGCTTTGCAGTCTAATAAAGGAGGCAGCTCAACACTGATCTTAAATGAAGTCTTTATTATACCAAAGTTGTTCCCCTAAAAGATAAAATGACAACCACTAAGTACTACCCTGAGGACTGTACTACTTCCTTTTTCCCTCTGTCTCTGTGTGTACACAGTGCCCCCCTTGGCAAGGTTTGGCATCACACACCCAGAGACCTGCAGGGAGGCTGCACATGCACATGGGACTGTGTTTTCCTCCTGGTTCCCCAAGTTGGGGCTCTACATTACCTCTTCCCAGCCCACCTCTGATGTTGCTTCTCCTGTCCCCTAATCCCTTCCACTTGGAGGAGAGCTGGTGCCTCTGACCAAGATCTACATGAAGATAAAGAAGACGTATTCGGTGGAGGCAGCTGTCAGGCTCTGTGCACCCCTCCTGGACCTCGAGATATTCCTGTACTCTGAGGCCACTGGATTAGGAGCTCAAGTCCATATGCCATCACCCCCCTCCACCACGCACACACATACACAAAGACACTCTCCCCTCTCTGTCTCCACCCCGCATGACTGCGTGTGATGTGGCAAACACGTATTTACTCAGGCGTGCAGCAGGCCCCCGCAGGCTGTGGCCCTGTCCCCTGGGCTCCCTCCCCAATCCCAGCCCTCCCGCTGCCCCAGTGCTCATTTCTGAACGTCAGGGCAAAAAGCACTTAGAGCCAACTGCTGAGCCCAAATCTATTCCGGTGCAGAGAAATGCATTCCGTCACCACGCAGCTGACAGGCTCCAGGCAGGCTGGAGGAGCAGCGGCCAGCCTCCGACTGACCCTACCCCACGGGGCCTCTCTTCCGGCTCCTGTTCCCGGCTGGAGTCAAGCACGCCAAGTGGCTGCTTAGCCCTGGCCACAGCAGTTGAGACACTCCCATCTCCATGGAGGCCTCTCTGGGTCCCAAACAAGCCACCGTCCACTTGATGCCTCTGCAGGAGTCTCAAAGACGGCATAGATTCAGCACGCCTAAGAACAAACTCTGGAAACTGTGTCCCCGGCTCCATGAATGTCAATACATTCCCTCTGCACCCACCACTGAGCCAGAAACCAGACTCTTCCTTGCAATTCTGCCTCCAGGAGCAGTTTGCTCCTGTCCCTCCCACCCACCACCACCCCTGCGGGGACCGGCTCACTGGGCTCCACAGCCTCTCTGGCCCTGCAATGTGGACTCCCCCGTGGCGCTATGAATGCCCTGAAATACATATCTGGGCGTGTCGCCACAACCCTATTCCAGTCCTCCAGTAACTCCACAGTGGCTTCCTGTTGACCTCCAGATAAACACCACAGAAGCCCTTCCACACCTGCGCTGCCTGGCCTGCCTGGTTGCCCTTCTCGGCTTCACTGACTCCTCGCCTCCCTCCAGCCCTCTGGCCTTGCACTTCCTCAGATGAACTGGGTGTTGCGCTGCCTCCAGCCGCTGCCTGTGCCATCCGTCTGCTAGAATCCTTTCCTCATCTTCACCCCCAACTCTTGCCTATTCAGCCTTCACATCTCACCCAGGCCTGTTTCCTCCAGAGGCTTCTCTGACCCCCAGTCTGGATCGGGTCCTTGGCTGTATTTGCTCAGAGTTACCTGGCTATTCTCTGGGTCTCCAATCCCACTGACATTAGGTGACTCTCTGGTCACCATCTGACTCCCCACTAGACTGTAAGCTCCTTGGGGTGGGTCCATGCCCAAGTCTGCTCTCCACTGTGTCCCCAGGGCCCGGCCCAGTGCCCTGTATTAAACAGGTACTGAAAAACATCACTGTTGAATGAATGACACCCTGGCCACCCGTCTCTTGACCTGCCCCTCATCTGCCTATTTAATGAGATGGCTGGGAAATACCAGCTCTGAAGTCTCTCCCTCTCATTCATTCAACAAATATTCACCGAGCACTGTGTCCTAGCCCCTGCTGGGAAGTGGAGGCACACTGACAGGCACCTAGAGAGTCTGAAGGCATCTGTGAAGGCAGAGTGCCCATCTTCATGTCAGGAGGTGTGACAGGAAGGGCGATGCACCTGTGTCCTAGTTCCCAGCTCCTCCACTGCCTGAATCTGGTACCTGTGGATCTTTGCTCATGCTGTTCTGTCTGTCTGGAACATTCTTCCCCATTCATTCATTCCACTAATAATGACCGTGCACCTACTATATATCAGGCATGTTCTGTGTTCTAGGTGCAGTGGACACGCAGGCCAACTCCTATGCATGTTTCAGTCCCAACTTGTTTATCACCTCCTCTGGAAAGCCCTCCCTAATTCCCTGAACCTGGGTTGGGTGCCCCTTCTGTGGGCTCCCAGAGCCCACATTCTGCACTGCCTCCATCACAGCATTTATTACACCACCTTAAAATTGCTTGCGTTGCATTAAAACTCCACAACTGCCTTGCTCACCACAGTAGCTCCGGTACCATCATATCGCTCTGCCTGGTATAGAGGAGCCACTCAAAATCCATTTTTCCGCACGAGCAAATGCCTCTGTTTCTTTTACGAATGTCTCCACAAGCTCTAAAGGTAGAGAGGAAGATGCTTTGGACTGAGTTACAGTTGCTGAAATAAACATGGAGAAGGGGCATTGGTAAGGAGACCATGACCAGCACTGGAGAGGCGGAGGGGCTTTGAGACAAGACACCGAGAGGGGATATGAGCTGGAAAACAGTGATTTCCCTGTCCTGGGTGTGAGAATGCTGTGGCCATCAGATCAGAGGGGAAATGAGGCTGCAAGACCAGAAATCCTTGGATGGGCAAACTTGGACAGCCGGGTTACACAAGACTCCAAAACCCTCTGCTTTCAGTCTTACTTCTGTTTGGCCCTGGTACTTCCCTCGGGTGTCTATACCACCCCAGATGTCCTCCTGGCATTGCCCGTCACTCCCTGGGGGGTGGGGGTGGCCTCTGCAATCACTCTGTCCTCTACCTGGAGAGTCACCTCCCCTAAGATAATGCGTGCTTCACTCCCTCAAGGTCTCTGCTCACATGTCCTCAGAGAGGCCCTCCCTGGCCACAAAGCCTGCGCTAGCCACTTGCCTGCTTTATTTTTCTTTGTGGCCCTTCTCACCAGCAGACATAGATGTATGCGTTGGTTGTCTTGTCTCCCCCACTAGATGAAAGGTGCCAACAGCAGGGACTCCATCAGTTTTGTTTGGCTGCGTCCCCAGCTCTGGGAACAGTGCTTAGCACACAGTAGGCCCTGAAGAACTGTTTCTTGAATGAATAAATGAATGATAGCAAATAGGAAGATGGTATGTGGCATCTAAAGCTTATCAGACTAACTGAAAGTGCAAAAGACTCTTTGGGGGTAAGCATCGGGTCTCCTTATGGAGCAAACAGAAATCAGCCCCTGCAGGGGACACAGGGCAGGCTCATTGATGACGACAACCTGAAGACAGCCCGAGAAAGTGGAAGGTGCAAACTGTCTCACTTTTAATGAAACGCACGGTGGATGAGAACGGTCTAATGGGTTTCTCCGAAGGCCACTGACCTCTCTGGCAGGGACAGCTGCTCTGTCCTCCCCCTCCCCTGCCGTGGCCTGGGAGCACGGTGCCTGTCTCAATATCACCTCTCCTCTCTGCAGTCTTCTTTCCCTCTTGTAGCAGGAGCTAAAGAGATTAAATGATCAACCCCCAGGAAAGGCTGGGGTGAGCACTGCTGTCTCTTTCAAGCTATTGCATCTGGTGCTTCTGGCCTAATGGCTGTTTAGTGGATGCGAATCCCTCCTTCGACAGTAACTTACAGGGTGGACGTGGCTTTCCCCTCCTGCTACTGTCACCAGGGGTTGGGGTCGGGGACTGACTCTGTCCCCAGGGTTACCCCAGGGCACACACTGCACCAGTCACAGACACCAGACCCCAGCCACAGACCACCTCCAACCTCTAAATCTAGCCATAAAATGACTCTCTAACTGTCAAGAAATTGGAACATCATTCGATGGGCTCCTGACTGGCGGAGAAGTCAACTGAAAATGATCCGACTCCCTTTGAAGGTGGGGAGAGTTAGAAAACGGAGCACTATCTTCTTCCCCCAGATAGCTGTGGCCAAAGTTCTTTGCCTCGTGGGTCTTGTCTGTGGCATTGGTGGCTTCTACTTCATGCCTGATTGTGGGAGGGGTATTTGGGGTGTGCAGCGTGTCCCAGGGCAACGTGCCTGTGGCCCCGGGCCTGGTGTAGGTATGCTCCTCCTCTTTTCCATCCCGGTCACTAACCGGTTAACCCTCTGCCAGCATTCCCACTCCTGTGGCTGGAACACAAGGCAGAGGGTGGGAGCGGGCGTGGGGCAGGCTCTGCTGGCAGGGCTCTGATTGCCTTGCCTGCCACTGTCCAGCCCCCAGCCTACTCCCATCGCCAGCTTCGTCCACTCTGCCCTCCCCCTGGTGAGGCTGGGGGTGATTGGAACCCCTTCTGCTAGAGCTGATTAGGCCTGATTTCACCAGCCTGCTTCCACCTCTGGAAACTTCCCCTGTTATTAGAGTTGTTTTCCGCCCACTCTCTCGGTCCACTGGATGAGGAGAGTTTATTTGATTTGATTTCTACCCCCATCTCCCTTTTTTCCGCTACTCCCGTCCACCTCTCCTGCATCTGTGGCAGCCAAGCAGACCAGAGTTCGGTAAAAACCAGGAAAATTAGCTTCTAACCTCAGGAAAGAGCTATAATAAAGCCAGGTGAATAATAAAAGCTTTATCTAACATAACTCTGATTAAAAGCTCAGGCCTGCCTCCTTATCCTATCCTGCCCCACGAGGACGAGGCTGGCCCTTTAAAGCAGCTGATGGTTGAAGGGATGGAAAATACAGCCTGCTCTTGCTTCCAATTTGCTTTTTTCCATCTTTTTTTTTTCTCCTTCTCAAGCTTTGTTTTACAAATTGGGGCACTCTCTAAGAGGCCCAAGGATCCGTCTGCTGCACTTCATTCTGCTCTACAGTACTTAGCAGCTTTGGGAGAACCAAGTCACTGTGAAGCAACAGGTCCCAGCAGCCCTGGGATCCTCCACATCCCCACATGGGGTGGGGTGGCTGGTAAGAGGGTGCTGGGAGGTTCAGCTCCACCCTGGCCCCTGAACTCTATAGAGCCTGAAGGTAATCACAGTGCCCATCTGGGCCTCAGTTTCCCATCTGTCAAATGGAAAGAACCTTTTCCCTTGCTAGAGTGGCTAGGAGAAGCATGAGGACTTGTAAAATTCAGATTGCTGATGGAAAAAAAATGGTTGACTTCCTCCCTCTTAGCTTGCACTGTTATAACCAGAATCATCTATGCGGAACTGGGTGAACAGGAAATCACTTGGCATGTATTCACCCGGCATGGACAGCATCGGCTGCATATGGACCCTAATAAACATGCTGTGGGCCAGACCCTGGAGAGGTCATTACCATCAGACATCTGATCTGTGGGTGCTTTGACAGTGAGGGTAAGGAGAGAGGGGAGCTGTCCCCATCCTCAGGTCTACTACAGCAAGGTTTCTTCCAGTGCTCTCTGGATAATGGAGGTCCTCGGGGACAACAGGCCTGAGGATGAGGGTGACAAGTTCTGGACCATACTGGGCTGCAGAAGTGAAAGCCCTGCTCCAGAAATCAGACACTTGGGTCCCCACCCAACTCCCTGTACTCCTGGGTGGGGCCGGGTGCTCAGCTCTCCGGGCCTTGGTGTCCACACCTGCTGAATGGGGCCCTGGAGGAACAGCGTCTCATAAGTCTGTGCATTCGGGCTGTTCTGAGAAGTTCTGGACTTGCTAGCCTTGCATTACAATGACCTTAGAGCACTGCAACGCTGGCCTCTGGACAGGCCTAATTCCACAAGGCAAGGGCACTCCCATCCAATTCCCCTTTTTGGTGGTTGTCCCCCACTTCAAAACCAGGGGCCCACTAAAGCCCCTAGGCTCACAGAAGCCCCCTGCACGCTGCCACCCTGGAAAGGGGCTTGCTGTTCAGAGCCTCGAAGAACCCGCTCAGCCTGTGCCTCCCCCAGGGGAAGGGGTGGGGAGAGCTGAAGTGTGGCAGCCTGGAGCCTGGCCCTGCTGGCTGGGCGGGTCAGTTTCATTCACCATTCCCAGCCTTCTCTCCCTCAGGGCACCAGGCTGTGGAGGCAGGAGTCTGGTGCTTTTCAATTTCACGCCAGGTATCAGCAGCCAGGTCTTGGCTGGCCTTATCTTCTCGGCCTCCTGCCTAGGTGGGCGCCTGCTGAGCTCAGCCTCCCTGCAAAGCCCAGAGAGAGGCTGTACAGGGCAAAGACTTGTGGGCAGAGGGGGCCCTGGAGAACTGACATCTGTTGGGCAGGCAGGGAGGCCAGGCCCTGAGTCCTGCCATCGGAGGTGGCAGCCTTGTGACCAAGAATCCTTAAGCACAGCAAGACCCTAAAGACAGAGGATTGAGGGCTGCAAATCACAGAGTCACAGATTAATCAATATTCTCCCAGCTGGACGATCCTAGGGATTCTTTTGTCCTCTATCCCACTCTCCCTCATTCTCCATATGAGGAAAAGGAGGTTCTGGAGAAAAGAAGTAACTTGCCCAAGGTCACATGGAGCGAGCAGAGCTGGGATCCAACCCCAGGCTGTGATGCCCAGATACCTGGCTGTTAATTACTAAGCTACGCCACCTTTCTATCTCCAAGTCAACTACATCGAAGATCCTGAGAGGGTCTTCACACACTGAGCGATCCCTAGATAGAAGGCGCCTTCCTCCTGCATGGGACCAAGCCACTGCCTCTCACAGCCTCAGTTTCCTTATCTGGAAAATGAGGAGAGGAAAAAAGTCCTTACCGTCTTTTGTAGATATAAATCAGGGGTCAGCAAACTATGGTCTGTGGGCCAAATCTGGCCCACTGCCTGTCTTTGTTGAAACCACCAGCAAAGAATGATTTTTACATTTTTAAGTGCTTAGCAAAAAATCAAAAGAAGAATAATATTTTGTGATGTGTAAAAGTTATATAAAATTCAAATCTCAGCATCTATAAACTTGTATTGGAACACGTTGTCCTCAGTCTTTTATATGCTATCTGTGGCTGCTTTTGTATCACAAGAAAGGTGAGTGGTTGCAACAGAGTCCATATGGCCTGCAAAGCCTTGAACATTTACTCTCTGGCCCTTTATAGAAAATCTTTGCTGACCTCTGATGTAAGACTGAACTAAGCCTGGCCTCCAAACCCCCAGAGCAGCCAGGAGTGGGAAAACCCAAGGAGGGAGCTGGGTGCAGAAACTCCTGCCGGAAGTTCTCTAGCCACACATGCACAGGTGAATCCCATCAAATGATAGCACGCACACTCTCCACAGTGCTCCTCAATGTCCAGAGTGAAGAAGTTTCCTCCTAGCAGCCTGCAGCTCTGGGACCTGCCCTCTAGCCCAGGGCCAGGGCCCCAGACTTGCCTTTCCAAAGTCTCTGTTCCTACTAACTTTGCTGTGGCTCACAGGTCCATAGGTTCCCTGCCCGGCTGGCTGAGGCTTGAGTGTGTTGTCAATAGGCAGGTGACCGTGTGGCTGTTGCGGGGGCCAGGAGGAGAGGAATCAGAGCGGGTAATTGCTGCGTGAAAATGACAGCACAGCTATTTATCCACCCCAAACTGGGCCTTGGCATACCAAGAGGCGGCCAGCGGCTGGGAATCAATACCGCCCCAGAGGAGGGATTATTAGGGAGAGAAGGGGGTTTGAAAGATCCATAAGAGCCTGATGACTGTCTATTTCCAGGGGGGCCATCAGCTGCATGAGAATTGTGTGCTCAGGAGCAGGGCTCTGGCAGCATGTGCAAGGGACGCTGGGCTTGCAGGAGATCTGGGGCCCTCTCCTTATTTACCTCCTGACCACCAGAGGGATGGAGTTGGGTAGGGCCTGCGTGGGAGGAACCTGGGTTCCAAGAACCAGACTTTGGGGTGGAAACTGGGGAACATGAGAGAGACCCATTCACCCAAAGTGTGCAGCTGGCCCAGGGACAGCAAGCAGAAGACCTTGTCCTGGTCTTAGCTCCAGCCTGATCGGCTATGTCATGCTGGATAAGCCCTCCCATCAGGGCCTGCCATCTCCAGTCCAACAAGACCCAAGGGACAGGAAGTCACCTGGGCACTTGGGATTTGCACAGAGCTGGGCTGCTGGGGAATTTCTCAGCTGGGGCCCTGGTCGGCACAACTGAGAGACGGTAGGTGGAGACTCCTTCCTGAGCTGACCTTCTCTAGCCCCATCTCAGAGCCTTCTTTTCCTTTCTCTGTCCAAAAGAGCAGGGAAGAAGTGAAATGGGGGGAATAAGCAGGGGGTCTTCCTGGGGTAGTGAGACCAGCTAAGTCATCACCAACAGCACGTGTGGTTTGTGCAGGCAGCAACGTCACAGACCCCACGATTCTATCAATCTCCAAGGGCCAGTAGTTGTGAGTCTGGGAAGGCTGGGGCGGGTGAGACATTCCTTGACCACAGTCTAGTAACTGGCCCATACAGGCATGCCTGCAGGAGCCTTAGCACCATGCACTGAATAACCCAGTCAAGCTGAAATTGCCTAGTGAGAGGGGGAAAGGCAGAGGAGAATGAGCTGCTTTCTGGTCCAGGGTCTGGGCTGATAAGAGGGTGGGTTCCCTAGTGCAGACCCAGGAGGATTGTGCACTCTGGTCTGCACGTGAGCCTCGGCCCCCTCCAGCTCCATCCCCCTACCCCGGAGGAAGATCATACTGCCTGACGGCTTAACATCTGAGATGGCCTATGCCCCACATCCTTAGTGAGCAGAAAGTCATGGTCCACCCAGGACTGCCCCCACCAGCACACTAGCGGGGTCCTGTTAAAAGGGAGGTCCCTGGCTCCCCACCAGGGTCCAGGCAGCAAAGAAAGTGTTCTGAAGCCAACTTGCTCCCTGCCAGGCGCTACACCAGTGAGCATCCTTGCTCTTCCACCATTTAACAAGACAAAGGCAAACACATGCAGCCTGTCTTCAAGGAGAGGGAAAGGGGAAGATGGGTGGGGAGCAAGCAGGAGAGGGAGAAAGAGAAGAAACAGGGAGACAGAGAGAGGTCAAGAGAGTCAGAGAAAGGGGTAAATGGGAGAAGATGGGAAAGAAAGAAGGTAGAGAGTCTAAGAGAAACAGGTATGGAGAGAAGGGAGAGAGGAAAGAGAGAGAAGGGAGCAAAGAAGTAGAGTGGAGTGGGAAGGCAGGAGAGGGAGAGGGCTTGAATATGCATAGTTCTCCAAGGAGGAGAGAGGCTGGGTTTGCAATGCAGCCCTCAGGAGACAGCAGGAACAAATTGGGTTTTGAAATGGGAGATAAAAGGAGCTGTTATATCTCTAGTTTTGCATCATTTAGTTCATCAGGCTTGACATGCGTCTAACAAACAAAGCCACAAGCAGAGAAAGAAAGACCAGAGAGAGAGAGAAAGAGAGAGAGAAAAGCAAGTGGTCCTCCCCTGGCCCTGCACACTAAGCTGACACCTCTGATTTTTATTCCAAAGACTTGGTCTCCTGCTGGAAGGAGCCAGGAGGGAGCCCTGGAGTGCCAGGCTATAGGTGGGCTGGGTCCAGGAGGGCTGGGACTGGTCTGGACAGGCATGAGGGTCCTAGGCTGGGGCTGCACCATAAGCCAGGGTGCTCACTCTGGGTTCCTGGCTGGGGTTCCCAGGGGAAGGGCAAAGGGGCTACGGCGTGGATGGGTCCAGGTGTCTGCCCTCTGGAGGACACTGTCACACACCTGTCCCACCAGTGGGGAGAGAACTAGGGAGTGGTAGTTCCCTAGGCAGAGCCACAGCGTGAGGAGGATTCATGTCTGGACTGGAAGGACCAAGGCACCGGAAACTCCCCAGGTTCCCTGGATACAGGCTGAGCCATGTTCCCAGGGTCAAAATCAAGTGAGGAGAGCAGTTTCAGGGCTTCAGGCTTTTGTTCTCTCGTCCCTACACATGTCTCCTGATTTCTTATTCTGTCCCTTTACCAACCATGAGAACTTGGCAAAACACTGCCTCCAGCCTTGGTTTCCTCATCTATACTGAGCGGTAAGAACTCCCACACTGGCCACAGGTGAGGATTTAGTAGAGTAGGGCAGGCAAAAGCACCTGGTATACTTTCAGAACCCAGATGCACTCATTCACAGAAAAGAAAATACAGTTATGAATGATTGCAAACTCCTGCGAGTTTGTTGCACGCTGTATCCATGGACAAGGCAGTTGTTCTAGCTGCCTGTCATTTGCTGGAGTATATTCGCCTCAGCATCAGACAGTCTTGATGCACTTGCCTTGTACCGTTTTGCTAAAATCAGATTAATCGGAGAAACAGAAAAAAAAATATGTTGGACATGACAGGGAAGCAGGAAGAGAAATGGCTTTTGGCTGGGGCGGGCCAATGGCTCCAGCAATCACGGGCCCTAGAACAAGTCATTTCACTCGTCTGGGCCTCAGTTTTCCCAAACGTCGAGTGAGGCCAGACAGGCTGGAAGGTCCCTTCCAATTCTGATAGTTGATCCTCTGGAATCTGGGAGGTTGATGGTGGCCATGCAATAAGCCAAGAAACTGCCAGGCACCAGGCTGACATATTTTCCCTCACTGGGGGACCTGGTGGCGAGTTATTAACACATGCTGGAGACTGTGAGAAGTTCTCAGCTTTCGTCAACCCCTAGTGTATCGGAAATGAACTCATTGATCACTTTCGTAGTTGTTCTTCCTGAGCAACGTGACCATGGAGACCTGGTGGGGGCGGGTAGGGCCAGGAGCAATGCAGACCTGCGTATCTTTTTCCTGGCCTTGCTGTACATATTGGCCTGACTTTGGATCTCAGTGACTCCCATCTGTAAAATGGACTCAGTGATGTGGACAGTGCTGGCTGCTGAGGCTTAGAGGGAAACCGACAGCTTTACTCTGTGCAGGGCTCCCTACTGAGGGAGTGGGAGAACCATAGGCTTGAATCCCAGCTCTGCTCTATACCAGCCGAGTGAGTGGGAGGAGTCGGCTTCAGTTCTTGGCCTCAGTCTCTTTGTTTGTGAAATAAGATGATAATAACACCATCATCGCAAAAACAGTCAGGAGAGGGAAACGAAGTGATGTTTGACTCAGTTAACACAGCGTGGGCCCAAACTCAGGGCTCCTTCAAGGGCCACTGTCACTGTCGATTTGGGGCCTAGGATAAAGCCAGATAAATGGCTGAGATGCCTTCAGCTGGGGTTTTTTTGGGATGGACTGATGGGACAGGCAGGAGGAGAAACCAAAAGCCTGCGGTCCACACACTGTTCCTTCATCACTGGGCTCCTTGGACATCAAAATGAGAAAGGCTCTTTATATTCCCTTAAAAACACCCAGTTTTTAAGGCCACTTGGCAGAGGCCAAGCTACTCCTGGCTGCACTGTCCTCAGCATCAGTGATACCAAGAAAAATGTCTTATATGAATGTGTTTTCTAGTGTCTTGACTTTTTTGAGGGGGGCAGGAATGCTAGTGACATTCTGCTAGCAAACGAAAATGCAAATGGGATGACTACCCCTCCCCACCGTGTCAGATCCCTGACGGATCATGTCCCGGGCTCTCCGCTGTGTTTATTACCACTAATGACTTTCTCGTTATGATTTGGCTCCGAAACATAACCGATGATTCTAGGAGAAATCCCATTATTTCCACATATTATTCAATTAGGGAACCAAGCTGCTCTTCTGCTTGGGGAGTAGGGGTTGCCAGCCCCAAAGGGTGGGCACTTGCCTCTTGCTTTCACCCCCAGGCCCTCAGCCATGGGCCCATGAAGGTTGGGAAAATGGAGATGGAGCTGGGGGGAGCAGTTGGAGGGTCAGCGCCAGCTCCTGTGGCAGTCCTGTCCAGTGCACGGTGGCGAAGGCAATATGGAGCCTTTCAGAGCAGCCTCGCAATCAAATATCCAAATGGTTCTGCCTCTCATTCCAGTTTTATAGGCCAGACTGTCCTCAAGGCTCGCAGGACAGCAGAGGTCTCCCATGGCAAGAGGAGCACAGCTCAGGTACTTGCATCTTTGTATTCCATGGTCTCCTGGCCCCCAGAGACCCCACTGCACCCTGATGGGTCCCTTCCACCACCTCCTCCACTTGGGATCCTGGCCCCTTCTCTTCATTGTGACCTTCTCCTGAAGACCTTTCCCCATCACATCACATATCCAGCTTACCCTACTGACCCGTTTGGGTCTGGATGGGACAGGGGACTATGCGTTGAATATCAGCAATGGATTTCCATTGTCCACTGTCTTCAACCCTGCCCCACCCAAAAGTGAGTCTCCAGCCCCATTCCAAATTCAATCTACAACCCAAATCCCAGCAGCCTTGTCCACTCATTTCCTGTTTTCGTGATCGTCCTCCTCCCAGCCTACTCTCATTTGTGTCATGCCGTCACTCTAAAACCTTCAGTGACTCACTATTTTCATTACATCAAAAGCAAACCTGCCTTTCAAAGCCCTCACAGTCTATTCCTTCCACTGTTCGCAGCCCACCCCTCCCTCTTGCCCAGGGCCTTCTCTGGCTCCATTGAACCAGCCTCCTCCTCACTAGCCCCAGTCAGACCAAACTCATTCCTCCTTCTGCTCCTCTGTCCACTCCCTAAATGTGTCCCCTTCATTGCCTTGGCCTCCATCAAGCCATACCGTTCAGGGTGCCTCGAGCCCTCCTTCCACAGAGGCCTGTCAGCACCTACAGCCTGCTCTCCATGGAGTAACCCTCCCTGTGCCTCCTTGTCCCCATGACACCATGCTCACTTCTATGTTTGGTTCCCTTTCCCACGATGCAAGCGCAGGCTTCCTGAGGGCAGGGGCCATGCCACAGCAAGGCGCGTGCACCTTCTGCTTGCCTTCTGACCCCCAGCCCATGCAGATCTCGGGCAACCAGCCCCGAGGCCTGGAGATCGAGGACTTCTGCCGAGAGCGTGTGTCCTTTCCTTGGCCATTTCCCTGACTGTCTGTCTTGGCCTGATATTGTCTGTTTTGGTAATGGGCACTTTCCCTGTGTCCCAACTCAACACCGTGTGGAGAGAGCTGCCTATGCAGCACATCTGGGCCGGAGCACAGTGAAAATGTAATGCCACTTGCCTGGCTCAAACCCTCATGTCCTCAGGGCACATGGGACAGGGTGGGCTCCAGCTGTGCCCTGGCAGATAACCAAGTCCCTGCCCTGGGGCTCACATCAGGGTCCATCTCCTCCAGCTAGCCAGCCAGGGACAGTTGCCGCTGGCCTGGGGAACACTCAGAACTGGCTACCAGGCAGAACACAGGTCAAGTCCTATCCCACAGAGCTCCACATGGTGAAAGCCCATGCGAGGGTGTCTGTCTATGGATGAAGCTTTCTTCCCACTTCTTCAGACCCCCTGAGTGGCCTCACCATGAGGCATTTTCCTTGGCGTTTTCCAGGATGTGGAGCGAAACCTTCTACAGTGCCACAAAGCCCACTAGGCCTGGAAGTCAGGCTCATGCAGGAGGTGCTGACTCGTGGTGCTCATGGTTCCGAAGACTCCTCACCACCGGAACGGGCTGGGAAAGGCAGGAGGGGCCACGCCCTGTGTGAGGGAATCAGAGCTCACCCTCCTCCCGGTAGAACATGGAGACCTGATCAGGAATGCAAAGTGGGCCCGGAGCAAGACACAGGCTATAATTTACACAGTGTCTTTGGGCTTACCCAGAGGTTACAAGCACCATCCACCCGCTCCCAACCAGTCTGCCCTTCCTTCAGTCCTACTGCTGTCTTTCTCCTGCTCCATAAACCACCAGCTCCAAGCCATAAAAAGTGCAATGAGCAGTCTGGATGGAAAAGACTGGGCATGGAGCAGGCAGTCAGCCATGCTTCCCTGAAGAGCCGCGGAGGGCACAGGCAAAGTGAGCCCAGCCCCCAGGGGCCCTCTCCTGACAGCCCACACAGGGAGGGGAAGACAGGGGCTCTTCAGGCATCAGGCCAGGAATGACTGGCTTCCTCAGCTGGAAGGACCTCTTCCCTCAGCCTGTCCAAACCAGGAGGGGCCTCCAGGAGCCTGGAGTTTAGAGCAAGAATGAATCCCACAGATCCCCACAAGCCTTGCTTCTTGGTTTGGAGCAATACTTTGGGGCTGTGCCAATGTCCAAACCTGTCATATCTTCCAGCACAGGCAGCAACTGCCATTCTCAGAACAGAGCCACTGGACAGCAGAAGTCAGGGCAAAGGAAAGAACCTTAAAATGTCACGGGGTCGAACATTTCAGGGAAGTGGCTCTGACTATCACATGAGTTTAACTGTTGGTTCTGACATAGGGGGTGGTGGCAGAACTGGGCTGGAAAATGCAGATGGGTCTGCTTGTCAAGCTGGCAGGATTCTTCTGAACTTTAGGAATGAAAGGTATTTCAAGAAAGTGTAGGGGTCAGAGAGTTTTAAGTAGAATTATTTCATTTCTGTATCAGTAGCAAAAGACTGACTTGAGTAAGGGGAGCAGCAAGGATGGGGCTGTGGGGATTCCGCAGCGATGGGAAGTTTTTCTCCGCAGTGATAGCGCTGTGGTGGTTGCTAGGGGCAGCCAAGACCCCCAGACATGAGAGTGGCAAGAAAACTGTGAAAAATCAGGACAGGTGCTCTGTGGTGGAGTTGAGGGGCCTGTTCCGTGGGCTAGTTTATGAGCCAGCCTGACCCAGATTCAGCCCGAGATGATGGACACTTGGCTCCAAAGTTTATGGATCGGGGGTGGGCTGGAAATATGCTGGCCACCTGGAAGGAACCAGTGGGATCTGGGGACAATCATGTATCCAGGGTGGGGACAAGATTGGGCATCTCGGCGCAAAGGGATGCAGCAGTGCCCTGAGGGACAGCCTGACACACTTAGGAAATGTGTGGGAAAACACTGGGCTGTTTATCATAAAATCGGTAAAGAAAATAGGATGGTTAAAATTCAGACCCTGGCCGGGAATGAGGAGGGGACAGTGGGAGCTTCAAAGGTGCTGGTTTTGAAACCTCAGGAAAAAATAATGCTGGGAAATAGGAAGTGGGATGAGATCTCTTTCCTAGAACAGAGTTATAGATTTAGACAGCTGGTAATGAGAGCGGGCTGGGGGAGAGAATATTTATTTGCACGTCTTGCTCTGCCACCCCATCTACCGTCTCTGCAGCCACCAGAGACCCCTCCCAAAAGCAGAGCTACAACTGCATCCTTCCCTGACCCCAAAGCCCTCCAACCTCTCCAGTGCCAAAGAGGAGAAAATCCAAACCACTGACTGGGATGTGCTGCATCCTGTGTCACATAGCTCTAATCACCTACGCTTTTAACAGGCTGCCCCAACTAAGTGCCTTCTGGCCTCTGCAGCCCCAGCCAGTGTGTGTGTGTGTGTGTGTGTGTGTGTGTGTGTGTGTGTGTGTGGTGTCCAGCCAGCCTAGGGTCACAATTGCGTGGGTTTCTACTTGTCTCCCTCATTAGACCACAGGCTTCTGCGGGGCAGGGCGGTGTTTCATTTGTGTGTCTTCCATATCCGAGAAGCCAATGAGTATTTGAGTATTTGTTGAATTTGTTACCCATAAAATCAAAGGCTAAATACAGCATGGCATGGCCTAACCCTGTGAGGTGGCAGGGAGGTATTCCTGTCCTCATTATGCAGACAAGGAAGCCAAGGTCCAGATAATAAGTGACACTCAAAGTCAACTGACTGATGGCAGAAACAGGATGAGAATCAAGGGGTCTTGTGATTCCGGAGCTCACCATGCCGCTTCTCCAAGCCGCCTTCGGGGCAGGCAGTGCCAGCAATCCATGGTCTACAAAGACGTAGTCCCACCCAGCAGAGGCCAGAACACAGGGAGAGTGTCACACCCACAGTGCCAGATACAGCGCTGGGCACACACAGACAATTAAAAATACTCGGCTGGGCGCAGTGGCTCACGCCTGTAATCCCAGCACTTTGAGAGGGCAAGGCGAGTGGATCACTTGAGGTCAGGAGTTCCAGACCAGCCTGGCCCACATGGTGAAACCCCGTCTCTATTAAAAAATACAAAAAATTAGCCAGGCATGGTGGTGGATGCCTGTAATCCCACTTACTTGGGAGGCTGATGCAGGAGAATCGCTTGAACCTAGGAGGTAGAGGTTGCAGTGAGCTGAGAGTGTGCCACTGCACTCCAGCCTGGATGACAGAGTGATACTCCGTCTCAAAAAAAAAAAAAAAAAAAACAAAAAAAAAAAAAAACAAAAACAAAAGAAAACTTGCCAACATCAAACTTAATCCTACTCATCAGAAGGCCTTAGTATAAGGAAAGCTCAGGGCTGGGGACTCAAAAGGTCAGGTTGCCTGAGTCTCCATCCAGCCCCAGAGGGAGTTAAAAGTGGACCTCAGAGAGGGCCCCTCTGGGAGGGCTTCTGCCGTGGGGTGTGCCTGGCTGGCACAGATCCCCAGCCTCTGGATCTGGAAGGCTAAGGGTTAACTCACCTCTCCAAGTTCCACCAGCTCCCCTCCACCCCTGACGCTCAGTGCTCCTAAAGAAGGGCCTGCCATTACCCTGATTGGACTCTCCAAGGTAATCGGGGCCTCAGAGCCCAGCTGCTCGGTTGCAGGCGCTCTCTCCCTTAGACGCAGCCAGGAGGCTGGCGGAGAGCAGTCTCTGTGAGAGGCAGATGGGGCTGTAATGAACTGAAGACGTGTGACAGCTACAGAGGAACAAGTTCATCAATTAGAGGCTCCTTGCCCAAGGGCTTCTGGGAATGGCTGTTGTTGGGGAAGGAGAAGGCTGACTGGGCTTCCTGCAAAGGTCCTGATGCCTCAAGCTAACTCACTTCCCCATCTTAGGCCCCTGGAGGAGTCTCAGCCCCTCCTTCCTGGCTCCCAAACAGCTTTTCCTACCTTTTGCTCTGGGGTCTCTCTGAGGGACTCCCCATTTTTGGGAGGAGCTGGCTGGTAGTTTCCCTGGGGACTAAGGGTCTTTTGAACAAGACTGAGAAACGTTTAGTCCAGCCCCAAACTCTTCAACTCCTTAGAAAATCAAATTTGTGAGCAGAATGGAATCACTGACACTGTTGTTCCCCTCTTTGGCTCTGAATCACACATTCAGAGACCAAAGGTATAAAGAAGATCTTGGTTCAAAGCTGACCCTGAGGCACCACAGTGACACAGAACCAATCTATGTGTAGGAGTCAAAAATGTCACCACTTCCTGCCTGCACAGGAAGTGCCAAATATGGGTGTTGTCTATGGCTAGGAAGACAAGGGCAGTGATGGGCCATGGAGGCTCTCTGGTCCTCAGCCGCTACCTCAGCTCCCCCTCCCTACCCAGCCTGGCTCCCCATCCCTACCCTAGGGCTGGGAAGGGTAAGCCATGCCCACTTTCCCAAGGCTAATGAGCACAGAGCAGTCACTCTAGTGGGGTGAGTGCAGCTACTACTTGTGCAGGCAAAGGCTGTGGGCGACTAACTCACACACATTTCAACTGCATATATTTTAAAATAAGGGGCAAATGGGCATCTTAGAATTGGAAAATACAATATTTTTAGAGACATGTGGGTGTCAATGGAGGTTCAGAATCATGAAGAGGTGATGCTGGGCTTATGACCTTATGCAGGGAATGAGGGGACACCGATTGTTTGCACTGGCAAAAAGCTAGAATGCAGCCCAAGGGTCCGCAGCTGGGGGAGTCTTGGCAAATGAAGGACAGCTCTGAGGCCTCTTTGCTCTTTATAAACCCTGGTAAGCCAGTTACAAGCTAGTCAGAGGTTCACACGCTGCTGCTGCTGGGCCCAAGGGCTGGGTTCAACCCCGTGGCAGCCTCTTAGGGGTGAACTGTCATAGACCCTATCCCAACCAGCAAATCTGGAACCATGTGGTGCAAATGGCAGGGAAGCCTATACCAGCTTGACATAGGAGGAATTTTCTTATGATGTAGAGATGCCTGAACTTGCCACAGAGCCGAGAGCCTCATGCCAAAGCAAGGTGTTCAGACAGGCTCTCTATGTATCATGCATATTCTGAGGTCTGCTGGCCAGCTGTGTAACCCAGGGCAGTCACATTCTGGGTCTCTGCTTTTTTATCTACATGATGGGAAGAGTGAATGAGCCTTCCTCCAAGGTGGTCGAAGAATGAAACGATGCCTAGAAAGTGCTGAGCACAGTTTCTGGCCCATGGGACATGTTCGGTAAGGATTAACTGCACATGATGCTGTGCATTGGTCGGACAGAAGGTTGGGGAGATGAGTGTTCTGACTCCTCCCTCTTCTGATGGTCACGAAGGCTGTGAATGCCAACCCTGGTTGGGGACATGTGAGATGAGAGGCTGTCGGAATTGTAGGTGCTTGGGAAAGAGGGAGAAATATGTGATAGCTCTGCTCACCTGCAAGACCTCGAGAGACCTAGCCTCACACACCTGCCCCCCGATGCCATGCCAGCCAGGCAACAAGAATGACAGCACAATCCCCACGGTCCTTGGCAGAGCAACACAGAGTGGAAAGGGGGTGCTTCAGGCCAGGCGGCGGGTGGAGAACGGCTTGGCAGTCTGCAGAGGCCTATTCACCTGTCCTGGGACTGTGACTCCGGCTGCTGAGAGGCCCCACTGTGGGCACCGGCAGGGTGAGAGGAAGGCCTGAGCTGGCCAGACAGAGCCGGGAAAGGTGGGCCTCTCTCTCCTCACCCAGCCTGGCCGACGGGTCCAGAGCCCCCAAGGAGGGCTTGTTACATGCCAGTGGAGTCCTGTGTAAGGAAAGCCTGGCTGACAGAGATAAGCTGTGGCATCCCAGCACCAGCCCGGGCTCCTAGGAGCTGCTGAAGCATATATTAATGGGACCCATTCAGCTCAGCCCGCATGGCAATTAATAACCGGCCAGGCAGAGACTGAGTCTGGGGAGAGTGTGTGTGTGTGTGTGTGTGTGTGTGTGTGTGTGTCTGTATGTGTGTATGTGTGCAAATGCCTGAGTCTCCATCCAGCCCCAGAGGGAGTTACAAGTGGACCTCAGAGAGGGGTAAGCTGCAGGCTGGGGTGGGTGGGTCAGAGTCTCTTTCCTTAAGGACCTCCTCCTTGCAGCAGACCTGTTCCCACCCCAGGCTGGGTGAGAGGGGCCTGTCCTAGCTTAACCCTTCCAGCTGAGTTCCGTGGGTAAGGAGGAGGTGGGAGGCAGGAAAGGGCCTGTTTCTTGGGCTTGTAGGGCTCAGGTGGCCGGGAGCCACCCAGCCAGGTGGAGCTGGGGGCGAGTAAGGGAGAGACAGTCTTAAAGTATGAGTGTGATACACTCTAGTTTCCCTTCTCCTTGATTTCCATGTTCTGCTAGATGTTCTGAGATTGGAAGGGTGTGTGACGGAGGGAGGAATAGGGATATGCAGAAACATGCCATCTGGTGCTTTTGTGACAACTTAGAAAAACATACCCTTCAGAGTGGACCCTACCCTATGAGTGCAAAGCTCCATGAAAAAATGGCCCCTCTGTGCCGAGAAAAGCATGCTCCTTCCTCCAGACAAGGCCACCCCGCTCCAGGATACGCAGCTTCCTGAGCAGTGAGCAGTGCTGGGCTGCATCTCACCAGCGCTCTCCTCCCTGCACCGGGTACTACGTGCATGACCCCAGAGGGCGGCCCTGCTCCAGAACTGGCTGTTGCCACCCTGGGTGGGTCCCTCCCAGCTGAGTCCTGTGTTGAACATCTGGGTCACTCTTGCTTGGCCCATGGCCCTGGCTGCTTCCTAGAACCTTTGTCTTCAAAGTGAGGTCGGAGGACCAGCAGCACTGGCATCGCCTGGGAGCTTAGTGGAAACAGAGTCTCAGGCCCCACCCAGAGCTACTGAATCAGGATCCACATTTTAACAAATGCTCAGCTGACTCACATGTGTGTTAAAATACGGCTGAGAAAACACTGGGGTTGTCCAAATAGTGGCAGAGGTGGAGTAGAACATGGGGGAAGAGAGACTCAAAGTAGAGAGAGAGAGACCCTCCCATAGAACAGGGGAAACAGACGTGTGCTAACCAAAGACAAAGCAGTGAGCAGGGGGCTTGGGGACACAGGAAACAACCTGTTCTGCTGGTTTTAGTGCAGTGCCCCATCCCCCTGCTCAAAGACCTATCATCAGAGACCCTCCCCCATCCCCAGCATGTGGGGGCTTTGGCTATCTGCCCCAGGTGGGCGGAGGCCCAGCCTGGCAGCTCAGAGTCCCAGGGGAGCATGTTGCAGGGCAGGCTTGGGCCCCCAGGGTGGGGAACAGGGTTCTGGGGGCCTGGCTCTACTCCTTGCCAATAGACCCCTATCTCTCCACAGACCTTTCATCAGGATTCCCAGGCTGCTGCGGAGGCCCGGGCACCTCAATCACTCCTATCGCGCTGGTCGCAGGAAGAGAATAGCTTTCAGCTCAATTACCCTTCACATTCCAATATCATAACGCTCCGATGAGGCTTTTTAACCAAAAACAAAAAAGCTGTGTCTGCCGCAGGCCGGCTGCAAGGCCAGCCGTGCAGAAGGGACGGGCCTGCCTGCCTGACAGTCACTGCTCAGCCCTCTGGGTGAGTTATGGGAAGGGACCCGTCCCAAGGCACTGGCCAGGCCGAGGGGGCACTGAGGTCCTGGACCTCAGTTTACCAACATACGCCCTGCCTCTACATTAACTGTTAGAATTTGATTGACCCATGACCTTCTTTAGGGAGAGAACACCGAGACCCAAGTCCCAAGAGGCCTGGCGGTGGAGTGACATACCCCACCTACCCCAGGATGGTCTTTCTTGTCACAGTAGCCCTGTCTTCTCTTTCTGGGCACAGGAATGCTACGAGACCCTTTTAGTGCCATGGCATGATGGCATTATTCAGCCAGGCCACGGCCTGGAGAGATAGACTCTTGGTTTACATGCCATTACACACCCTTTGGCTCATGTGTTTCTTATAACACTGACCAGCCGGGAAGCTAGCCAGAGTCAAAGTTACTAACCCCACTGCACAGATGGGTAAACTGAGGCCCAGAGAGATGAGATGAGAGGCCCCCAAGCATATGGAAACATCCCAGTCCAGCCATGGGGACCAGGGAGGTGAGGTCTGCTCCAGCCAAAAGGGTCCAGGTGGACGCAAACTGATCTCTCCTCTTCTATGCTGGAAGTGACATGCAAGGGTCCCCTGCAGCAGGCAAGTCCTGTTCCTAAGTGCTTCATGTGCATTGCAGAAGCCTTATAAAGTTTGTGATCGTCCCCATTTCACATGAGAAAAACTGAGGCTCAGAGAGGCGAAATCACTTGCACAGGGTCAGAATTCATACCCAGGCCTGGCTAACTCCTGGTGCCCTGGTCTTGCTTCTCTGCTATATTCAAGATGGAACACCTCTAAACCACCCCAGGCATGGGAGAAGCTGTCCCCATGTGGACACTGTTCTCACAGGGAGACAAAACCAAGCATCCAGGCCATGAACTGTGCACGCCCAGTGAATGATCAGACAGCACACACATCCCACACTGTCCCGTCCCACGTCACACCTTGAAGGGCTACACACAGGGCCCAGAGGAGGAGGCTGGGCTGCTCTCTTCCAATCAGCTGTGCTGCGTCGACCTGGCAAGCTCAGTGCTAATGGCCTTGATGGCAGCATTCCCTCCCTGTGTCCTGCTGGCCTCCCGCTGGCTGTGGCTGATTTGCTCATGATTTAGCACTTGGGGGCACTGACCCGTGAGGGAGACACCCGGGACAGAAGGAGGCAGGGCGGCTGTGGCAACTGAGGTGTGTGCACGCGTGCGTGCCCTGTGCAGGGGCGGGAGGCTGTCTCTCCAGGAACAAGCTGCCCAGCCTGGCTCTCTAAGACTGAGAGAGGTGTCTGGCATCCCCACCCCACTCTGTCCTACGCTGACCTAGGGCACTGGGGTGGGGCTGGAGAGAGGGGTGGTGGGAGACCTCAGGAAGGCTGCAAGGTGCCACAGTCCAGGTGTCCTGCCCTACGAGCCCAGCACCACTCTCACAATGGTCTGTCATCTGCTGGGTTCTCTGAGAACCCCGGCCACATGCGCCCGACACTCGAGACATAAACACCTCTGCAGCCCAGCCCTTGGTCAATAGAGGTGCAGCATGGTAAGGGGTGCTGGGAGTGACTGACAGAGTCCACATCCCATCTCTGCTCTGTGACGTGGGCAAGACTTAACCTCTCTGAGCCCCAGCTTCCTCATTTTTAAAAGAGGGAGAATCCCAACGCCTTGGCCATAGATTGGTTATAAAAAGCACCCGAGTGACGCATGCAGTCTCCATGATCGTTATTATTATTGCTGTTCAGCGTTTCCCCTCCATCCAGTACCCCTGGGGTTTAGAGGTTCAAGGAAATGATAAGATACAGACCCCATTTTTTATCATTTGTGAATCCTGGAGCTTGAGACTAAGAGGTCCCAGGTGTCATACGAGTGGCATAAGCAGAAACTGGAGAAGGAGGTCAGTGCAGGGAACGGTCTATCTGAGCCCATGCCAGGCCTGTGCCCTGCCCCTTCCTCCTTCATGCCCCTAACTTCAGGCAGCCCTTTTCCATCTTTTGGGGCCTCCGCCCACCTCAGAAATAGAGAAGCAGACAGATAACTCAGAAACGGGGGAAGTCCCTCTGCTCACCTTGGACCCAGGCAGTCCCTCTTCCTGCCTCCTGGGCCCACGTGGAGAGCCACAGGTGAGCGCTGGATGCTGCAGTGGGGGCAAGTGTAGGGGTGGGACAGGACAGGGACAGCCACTTTGCTAGGCTCATCTGAAGCTCATTTGACCCAATTCTACCGCCTAGAGGAAGATGTGCTTGATACATGCCACAGGAGGACCAGGGACTTGGGAACCAAGGCAGGGCCCGGCTTTCTTGTAGCACCAAAGCTGGGATGGGTGAACCCCCTGCTCCACCCCCTCAGCGATGCAGAGGGCCGAGCTTTTGCTGGTGGCTATCTGGGTCCTCAAGCACTGGGTCTTGCATCCTGTTGCTGTGGGTGAAGGCTTTCAGCCAGGATCTGCTGGAGGCCAGGGACTCATTCCTCTTGGGTTCCCAGCACCAAGCATGGGCTTGGCACCCAGCAGGCCCTCAGGCAATGTTTGGTGAGTGAGTAGATGAATGAATGAATGAGGGTGGGGTTGGCACATGGAAGCAACACTCTAGCATGCCTCTGCCACTCTGCTGTAGCAAGCCAAGCAGGGACGCCTCTTTCTCTGGTTTCTGGGCTGCTGCCAAGAAGCCAGGTTTCCCAGGAGGGTCACGGATGCTCAGGCCCCCGCTGAACCCTCCTCTGTGGTGTCCCAGCAGTGTGGTGGCCACTTGTTGGATGTAGCACCACCAGCACCCCGTACCTGCCATCTCTCCCTCTCTCCCCACCTATGGTATGGGTTCCTGCCTGCAGCTGGCAGCTCTGGGTTCCTGGACTCTACCACTCCACCCCTACTGGCTTCCATGGGGCCTCTTCCCAGCCAGCTACCCTCCCTAGTCCTGGATGCTCTGCCCACGGCTGGCCCTCGTGGATTGTTCCCAAAAACCACCAGCTTCCCACTGTTGTGCAGACAACCTGCTTCCATCCTCCTGCCTGAAGGCCACAGAGAAGCAAGGCAGGTAGAGCCTGGGGGTGCTTCAGGGGTGCACTTTAGAACACATGTCCCACTGCTCTGCCTCCAAAGCACCTTGAGTCAGTTTCCTATGGCTGCTGTAACAAGTTACTACATACGTAGTGGCTTAAAACAACACAGATTTATCACCTTGTGGTTCTAAAGGTCAGAAGTCCAACATGGGCCTCAGGGGGCTAAAATCCAGGTGTCGGCCGGGCACAGTGGCTCACGCCTGTAATCCCAGCACTTTGGGGGGCCGAGGTGGGCAGATCACTTGAAGTCAGTAGTTCAAGGCCAGCCTGGCCAAATGGTGAAACCCAGTCTCTACTAAAAATACAAAAATTAGCTGGGCATGGTGGTGCACGCCTGTAATCCCAGCTACTTGGGAAGCTGAGGCAGCAGAATCACTTGAACCCAAGAGGCAGAGGTTGCAGTGAGCTGAGACTATACTAGAGCCTGGGTGACAGAGTAAGACTCTGTCTCAGAAAATAAGTAAATAATAAAATGAAATAAAATACAGGTGTCGCAGGGCTGCGTTCCTTCTGGAGGCTCCAAGGGAAATCTGTTTCCTTCCCTTTTTCAGTTTCTAGAGGACACCCACATTCTTTGGCTCCTGTCCTCTTCCTCCATCCTCAAAGCCAGCAACATAACAACCTCAGATCCCAACACTCACCTCTGCATCCACTGTCATGTCTTCTCCTCTGACCCTCCTACCTGCTTCTTATAAGGACCCTGGTGATTACAGAGGCCTCACAGAGAGGTCCTTAACCGCAAAATCCCCTTTTCCATGTGGGGTCACACAGTCACAGGTTCCAGGAATTCTGATGTGGCCATCTTTGGTGGGCAAGGGGGCATTACTCTGCTTACCACACTCCAGCCCCATTAGATGACGCGATTTCCTCCAGTAGCCCTGAGCAAGGCATCCTCCTTTTGCCCCTAGCTGCCTTTGACTGACGAGGCCAGACTCAGCCCTTCTCCCACGGCCTGGCAGGGAGCTCGAACCGCACTTCTGAGCTACCTTCAGCACGGGTCTTGGAAGAGAGCACACCAAGGGCTGGTTCATGGAATTCCTCTCTTAAAGGATATGGGCTACAGAGGAGCGGGAGGAAGCTCCCTGAGGGCAGGGACGGCATCCTGCAACAAATCCGCTGAGTCCCCACCGTGCGCCAGGCCCTGAGGGTCCGTCCACGGTGGAAAGCCACATGTCCCTGCCCCTGCTTTCACAGAGCTCACAGTCACCCGTAAGAAGCTAACAGTGATCAAATAGTCCTGCATATATGTGAGTAATTACACCTCAAGGTCAAAGCTATAGAAGCTCTGCTGCTCTGAAAGCCCAAGAACAGAAAAATCTTTCTGCATTGGGAGGAGGGATGAATTAGGAATGGAAGATCCCAGGGGAAGCTGGGAGTTCATGAAAAACGGGGAGGGTGATGTGTTCCAGGGAAGTAGAAAGGCCGTGCAAAGGCCCTGTGGCCTAGTGCCCTTGGGGACCACAAAGAAGGTGGAGGTGCAGGAATACAGAAGAGCAGGGGAAAGAATCTTTAAGGGGAGGCTGGAGAGGGGGCCGGGATGAGACCCCGCCAGCCTTCCGGGCTTCTGGTCGTCAGCTTCAGAGCACTACAGAAAGGTTTTTGCAACATCCCTGGCACATCCCAGGGACTCAATACATTTGAATGAATAGATGGATGGATGGAGAATACATGAATGAGCCTCTCTACCCTCCTCCTGCCCCTCACCAGTGACCTGCCCCATCCCTCCCTTCTGCACAGCAACGGTTAAACGGGATCTCTAAGGCTTGCTCACTTATTTATTTATTTCCCCCCGGCTGCTGGCTCCGACCCGTGCCTCCCGAGTGTGGCTCCGTGGAAATGTCTGTAATCGCCAGCACACTTTAGGCATTACTTCCACACCATTTAGAGCTTTCCGCCCCAATAGCTGCTATTGCATTTCCCTCCATCTCCATCTTTTGGGCTGTGTTGGGCGGAATATTTTTTTCTAAGGTTTGGTAGTCCCCGAGTTTGAGGGATCTGGTGGTTTGGGGGAGGTGAGGAGAAAGACAATGCTTTAGAAGAATTTATTATTCTTCTCCCATTGCCCTGGCCCTGCCCCAGCCTTGACCAGGAAAGGAAAAAACAATCAGTTCTAGCCGCTAAGGAGCCCTTAAAGATTTTTGTGTTTTCCCATGCAGGACTGAGATTGGGTTGCTGATGTGAACAGAAGCTTTGTGGGAGGCTGGAGGTGCTAGAACACAATAAAGGTCATCTTGGATGAATCCCTCCCCTAACCAAACACCCTCCCTGCTTCCACCTTTTCATCTCAGGGCCGGCTCCTCTAAAGGCAGCAGCCGGGCAGTAAAACCCCAAACCCTGAGTGTCTATTCCAAGGGTTAAATGCATTTGGGCTTGCTTTGGGGGGCAGACAAGAGCCGTAAGATGTGAGACAAGCTGTGTGACCTTGGACAAGTCACTGAACCTCTCTGGGTGTTTTTTCCCCAGCTCTAACATGAAGACAATCACACCTTTCTTACCAACTGGAAGGACTACACTGAGGATGGAAGGAGACAGTATGAGGGGAAAAGACCCCTCTCCTTTTTTCCCTTCTCCTTCCTCTCTATCCAACTTTTTTCCCCATCCCATTCACCTCCCTATGATTCCTCTTCACCCATCCAGCCTCTTATCCCAGCACCTAGGCAGCTCCATATCCACCTGAAAGATGACCCTGGACAAGGGAGAGAGTGTCTCAAGGTAATGACCACAGGGGTTAGCTCCCCCTGGTGCGTGCAATGTATAGGCGGACTGTCCCATATCACCTGCACAGTGGGGACCTTGTGTCAGCACCACATGCATTTGATCAGAGACAGTAAGCTTCCCAGTGACACACAGATGTAAGTGGTAAGAGCAGGATTCAAACTCTTCTGTGGTACTCCTAATACCATGCTCCTAACCAGTGTGGGGAGTGGCCCCCAAGAGGAAGCTGGCTGCCTGCTCCCAGGGGCTTACATGTTAACAGAAACCCACTGGAATGGATATAATAAAATGACAATGGGCAAAAGCAAGCCACGGGGTTAGAAGCCAGGACAGTGGCTACCTTTAAGGGAAGGGAGAGGGACAGGGAGGGGCACAGTGGGATCTCTAGATGCTGGTGAGGCTCTGCTTCTCGATCCGGGTGCAGTTACACAAATGCATTCACTTTGCAATCACTCATAAAGCTGAATATTTATGAGTGTTTGCTTCTCCATATGTAAGCTTAAGTAATACGTTTCCTCAAAAAATAAGACAAAAAAAAAAACCTGTGTAAGCTTGTGGGGGCCACCAGAAAAAATACTCTAGGAATTAACTCATGCCACTGGCATGAGGCTTTAAGCTCCAGACAGCATGGAGTGGACAGGCCCAGGACAAGCATTTACAGAGGAGCAGCTGAGCCCTGGAAGTGAGACGACTCGCCCAAGACTCAGGGTTGAGCTGCACTTGTCTTACTGTGCACAGGCAGGCGACCGCCCCTGTCTGCAGGTGGGGGGCCAGGGGCCACCCCAGGAAGGAAAGGCTGGGCCAAGGTCAAGAGGCAGAGGGCCCACCTGGGAGGCGGGTTTAGAAGCTCGGATGGGTGGGTATAAGGAGCAGAGACTTGTGCCTCCAAATCCAGAGGAGAGAGGACTAAGTGAAGAGCCGGGGCCGGCCCTCAGCAGCTGCTTCTGAAGGGGATATGTGCTCTGACATCTCTAGCACTTGGCTTGCTTATCTGTAGAATGGGGATAAAGGACCAACCTCCCCTACCCTCTCCCACGGGATGGTTCTGAGGAAGGAAGTGTCAGGTTTGGCTCCTGGCAGGAAGGAAGATGGTGCTGTGGGCTTGGATGGCAGCATCTCAGGGGAGGGCACCGCAGGAACAAAGGCTGGGTGGCAGGAAAGTGACCACTTGGTATTGGGATAGGAATGACAGGAACACCAGGGGCTCAAAGCCTCACACGGATGGGATGGATTTCTGAAATGGAGGGTTCGTCTCAGCAATGGTGGGAAGTGTGGGCTCAGACTGGGAGGTGCAGGGATGGGAAGGGGTCAGTGGGAAAAGGCCTCCCACACCATTTCCCTCTCTTGGGAGCAGGATTGGGAGAGGGGACCAGCCTGAGCCCACGACTCTCCGGGGCAAGGACGTGAGTGGGCATTGGGCTCCCTGGGGCTGGCAGTGCCCCATGCCTGGGAGGTGGGCTGGCTGATCAATGATGAAGACAGTGAGTGGGGACGATTACATTGTATCTAGTGATTATGCCCCGGGTGACATCTCTCGGTGGCATTATCTCATCTGGAGAGAAGAGCGGGCTTTTTAATAGATGGACAGGTGGCTTCCACTTAAGGTTATTATAAAGAGGGAGAGCCCAGCCCTCACAGCTTCCAGCCAACACCACAAAGTTGCTAAGTAATTAAAGGCTGCTAAGGAATCAGAGAAATTATAATAATTCCATCAACCCAAAGCTCGCTCTGTCTCGTTTTCCCCCTCCTGGTAGAAAACAAGGTGGGTCAGGCAGCCTGCGCACACATCAAAACAAGCCTATTGTGTGGTGGGCCTCCATGTCACAGGGGCTGCCAGGCCTGTCCCCAGGCTGTTTGGATAATACTTGAACTTGTTAGGATAAGTGAAGGGACCAAGATAAAAACTGTAGAGACCCCAGAAACAGGAAAACAATAGCAGTGTGCTGGTGGCTGATCAGACACCTGTGGACACCTGTGACCTGCATCAAGAAGGCAGTCCGGGCCTACTGCTCATGGGGTTTGGGGAGCTGCCCAGAGGGGAGCACCCTCATCCCAGCCCTGTTCTGGACACTCAGGCCTTACCTGGGAAAGCAGTGCTGTGCCTCTGGCCCAGGGCTGAGCTCCGTTTCATAGGTTCTGGAAGCCAGTTCCTGAGAATCTTCCCCAGCCACCTTTGATGGCCCATGCTTTGCCACTAATTGCGGGGTGACCCTGGGCAGATCCTTGACCCTTACTCAGTGTGTTGCTCGCCCACAGAGTGTGCGGCTGGATTAAGTCACCTCCAGGGTCACCCTGTGCTGGTTTCACAGAGTCTACGTGGAAGTCTAGGCCTATTACCAGCTGTTTCTTGATGACTCTTTCATTTTTTTCCCTTGCCATGTCTTTGTTTTATGTTTCCCACACATTTCCTGACTGCCACTGGAATGTCAGTTTCCTGACCACCAATGCCCTGACTTCAGCCAATCAGTCCACGGGGATGAGTCCATCTGTCGAGCTCCTCGGACTTCCAGGCAACTTTCCTGAAGTTCTCAAAGCTTTTCATAACAGTGGTAATACTCTTCAGGTCAGGCGAGAGGGCTCATGCCTGTGATCCCAGCACTTTAGGAAGCCGCAGCAGGCAGGCTGCCTGGACCCAGAAGTTTGAGGCCAGCCTGGGCAGCGTGGTGAGACCCTGTCTCTACAAAATGCTGGTGGCCCTACAAAAAATACAAAAATTAGCTAGGCATGTTGGTATGTGCCTGTAGTCCCAGCTACTTGGGAGGCTGATGTAGGAGGATCACTTGAACCCAGGAGGTTAAGGCTGCAGTGAGCTGTGATCACACCATGCCACTGCACTCCAGCCTGGGTGACAGAGTGAGACCCTGTCTCAAAAAAAAAAAAAGAAAAAAGAAAAAGAAAAGAAAAAAGGTAATACCCATCAGTTACCAAGTACAACCTATGTATGTGGTGCTTCATACACGTGCTCTCATTAAACTTTCACAACTCAGTGTATCCCTATTTTACAGATGAAAAAACTGAGGCTCAGAGAGGCTAACACCTTGTTTATGGCCTCCCAGTGTGCAGTTAGAGCCCACATGTGCACAGCCCCATCACAATGCAGTTGAAGTCTGGTCCCCATGTCACAGATGGACACAGGTTCTCACGATACAAAGCTGCCCTTGGCTGTAGGTGGGGCCTTTCTAGACCCTTGGTTTCCTAAGTCTGCCCCCACTTGGGGTGCCCCACTGCCTGGAGGAAAAGGCATACAGGCAGAAGACCCTGTACCCTCCCTCCATCAGGCCCCACCATGGGGGCAAGGAAACCATTTAAAAGAAAGGAGCTGAAAAATGGCAGATGGACTCAGCGTGCGAGGCTGACAGCCCAACACTGCAGCAGAACTAGCAGGCAGCTATCATCTCCTTCCATTTAGAGGTTCTTTATTTAAAGGGCAGGGGGCACAATAAAAGGTGTTCCGGTGAGTGCCGTAGAATCCCTAATGCTTGAGAGCTGGGCTCTGCACAGTCCCCCTGCTTCGTATTCATGGCAGAGGGTCCCGCAATCATTGCAATAGAATTATATGGGCCCCCAAAGACTCCCAGCTAGAATCGGCGAGGAAACTGATGTAATTAAGAACATTATTACCATTAAAACAAAATAATAATTACAGGGGGGCTCCCTCCATCTCCTGCTCCCACGCTGTCCTCTTTCGTGGTGCTGTGGGTGGTGGAGGACGCCCACAGCCTTGGCCACGCCCCCAATGGGCATGGAAGAGGTGGTGTTACAGGGGACATGAGGGACCAGGGGTCCTTGGCTTCACCCCACTGGGTGGAGGAGGAAGCAAGCAGCTTCTGAGTGTGTGGCTGGGCTGAGCTCAGGGCCCTGGTTTTGTGGGACCCTGTTGACTCCCTCCTTGGCACCTAAGAACCAGAAAGAGGTGGCAGAAAATGTTGAATCTTCCCTGCAGGCAAGGGGAGCAGGCTGGCATTTAGCCTGTGTGTGTGTGGGCAGGGGAAGGGGGTCATCACCTGCTTCTCACAAACAATGCTGTGTGCACAGCTGATGACCGAAATCACGGAGGTGCCTCTGCAGCACACTAACACTGCAGGCCACAAGGAAGGGGTGTCACTATGACCGTGGCTGGGTCCTGAGCTACAAGGTGATGCCCAGCAGGGGTGGTCCTCACTGCAGACAGCCAGCAGTGAGCTCTGAGTACAGTTTCTCCACTGGACCTCCTAAGCCTGTGCATGAGGCCCAGAGTTCCCTGTCGCTTACCCCAGCCAGGGATGGATCAGGGCCTCAGCCCTGCAACTTATTGCAAATCAAAAGCAGGCCATGGCAAATTGCAAAACAATACATGCAAAGATGCTGGCAGGTGAGAACGAGTTCATAGGGCCCTCTGGGAGGCAGGACACAGGATGGAACATGCTGCAGGTCTATCTGACTCTGGGGAACTTGGAGAAGTCAGTGAATTTGTCTTGGCCTCAGTTTCTTATATATAAAATGAAAAGAATAATTCCCCCCTAACTTACAGAGTTGTCATGAGGACAAATGAAAGACAGTGAAAACACTAGGAGATACAGAAGATATTATTTAAATAAGAACACACACACACACACACATACACACACACAACCCTCAGGACTGTGTAGAAAGCCCTGCTGCTCTGCCCACAAGCATATGTCGCTTCACCACTACCAGCCCAGAGCTTGCTGTCCTGGCTGCCGCAGGCGATGGCATCTGCCTGCCGCAAGAGAGCAGGGCTCCAGGCATGTGTCACTGTGCTGACAGAGGGGACAGACCAGGGAAAGGGCAGGCACCTCAGGGTGGTCGCCGAGGGCCATAGAGACATCGTCTGGGGCTGCCGCTCAGCCAGAAAAACCCACTCTGGCTGTGGCCTGCAGGAGTCCAGAGCCCCTGCGATGATTTATTGGTCTCCCTCTCCCAGATCAATAGGTGCATGGTTATAGATGCAGAGGGGCCGCCAAGGCCCGTGGCCCCAAGGTATAAATTAATATGGCCTGTCAAGGGGCTGCCTCTCCTGGCGTGGGAGATGACACGCTCATGAGTGGAGCTGTCAACTCAGGGGCCATGGCAGGCACAAGCCAGTGGGAGCCCCCTCGCATCTCCCCCCCAGCTTCTCGCTGCAACCTGAGGATGCAGTTTATAAATCATTCAGCATCTGACAGGCACGCCATGTGGGAAGGTAGCTGGGGCACTGCTGCTGGCTGCGGTGGGTGCTAATAAGTTGGCCTCTTGGACCAAATCCACCTCTGCACGCTCTGGACCCTGTCTGGCCACCACTCCAGGGCTCCTCACATGCCAAAGCACACAGGATGACAGGGCTGAGATCCAGGAACTAGTGGGCACCAGCAGAGGGCAAGGTGCTTTCAGTGTCTGGGAGGAAAGTGGAGTGCAAGGCACATGTGAAAGTGCCCTTGCCAGCTCAGTGCTAGGCCTCACCGCTCCTCACCCAGCCCTGGACCATGCACAGTAAGGAAGCCCTCACCTCGGTAGACCAGCTGGCCGAGCAAAGTACTTTGTGTAAATGTTCCTTTTGTCCTCACACCGCCCAAGAGGCAGAGGGAGCCGCATGGCTGTCTGCATTTGTGAATTCCATTCACCCAATTCACTCAAAAGACACTGAGCACAGTCCATACGCCAGGCCTGGGGCAGGGTGCTGAGGATGCACAGATGACCAAGCTCAGTCCTTGCTTAGTCTGGCGGGAGGGATGAACACACAAACAACAGCCACAGCCATCTCCTGAGCAAGCACTTATCCTGGGACCCGGGCTGAGCACTCTACGTGAGTGATCTCATTTACTTTAATCCTCACTACGATGTTTGCAAGGCAGGTATAATTATTTCTACTTTGCAGGTAGAAGTGAAGCTACATGTCAAAAAGTCGTGCCACCCCAGGCCTGCCTCCTAATCCTGGCTCCATCCCTTTGACTAGCTTTGGGCATGCCATGTAACTGTCCTACTTCAGTGTCTGTCTCTGTAGGATGGGAATGACAAGAGTGGCTACCCCAGGAGGTGGTGGTGAGGGCTCCCTGAGATCCCATGCAGAAAACAGTGTTGGGCACACAGGAAACCAACAACAACAATCGATTTATTATTACTGTCACCATAGAAATAAATTATGTATTTGATTTCATTGACAAATGGCATCCAGGGATACCCTTCTCTCTGCTTTCCCATCTCTAGTAAGGAGGTACAGGGAATGAGCAGCTTTCATCCTTGTTAAGGGACATGGAGAGGTGGTTCAGGTTAGTGGGGCCCAGGGCCAGGAGGCGTGGCTTCGGCTCTGACCCTGATCGCAGCCAGCACTGAGGCTCAGGCAAGGACCCTCCACCTCTCAGGCTCCCAGGATCTCACCCCAGCTCCAGCCCTTCCCCATAGTAGCCTCATCCCCACCTCAAGCTGGTCACCTGAGGCCATGGGACAAGGATCTGTACAGGACCTGTCACAGAGACCTGGGCAGGGACACAGAGGCTCACTTCCAGCCTGGCTTTGTTTCTGTGAGGTAACAGTGGGGACCTGCAAAGGACACACACCCACTTAGCCACTGTCCCTCCTCAGCAGTGTCTCTAATCATAAATCAGAGTTGACTTTCCTCTGGGAAATTCCAATATATGAAAATAAGCTATAGGATCCCTGAAAGTGAGTGATATTCATAGACACCATAGTCTCTTTCTCTAACAAACTCCTACTCAGCCTCTAAGGCCCCAAACAAATAGCCCCCATGTACAGACCACACTGTTTCCAATACACTGTGCACATACAAAGCTACCATGGCATTTAATACATTTAGATGTAGTTAGACATTCACTTATTTGACTTTCTCTTAGTAAAATTGCCTTCACCAAGGACAAAGACCTTGGTCTTAATCACCAGCATTTTACTGAATACACTACAAGCCACAGGCTGTGCTAAGGACTTTTCCTAGCTACATTCTCTACAGCAATCCTGCAAGACAGATATTGTTGCTCATCTTACAGATAAGAAAGCTGAAATCCAGAGAGGTTAAGTCACTTGTCTAAAGTCACACAGTTGGGAAATGGTAGCATTTTTTCCTATCCTGCATGCCCAAGTCAGCTCAGAATCCCTGGACCCTGCTCAGTAGCTGTTCAACAAATGTTTGCTGTGTTCATTAAAAAAAAAAATTGGGCAGATCCGAACATGGTAGGTGAGATGTGGGCTTTGAACGACAGGCAGAGTTGAGTTAGGCTGAACTCCAGTACTAGTTAGAAAAGTACAATGTGTATGTGTGCGTGTGTGTGTGTGTGTGTGTGTGTGAGAGAGAGAGAGAGAGAGAGAGAGAGAGAGAGAGAGAAACAGACAGGTATCCATTGCCATTGAATTGGCTCTATGGCTGATAGGAGAGTTCATATGAAGGAATAGCAGAAGAGAATACCGAAAAATAAGTTGGGAAAGGTAGGTTGATGCTAGATGGATAAAGGCCTAGACTGCCCAGCTAAGGAGGCTGAACTTGTCAGAACTTCAAGGACAGCCACCTCTGAGACTCCAGCAGGTCCTCCAGATTCCCTGACCCAGTGAGCCATCTGGCACCACCAGACTTCTAACCTCACACCCATCCTCCTGCCTAAACACCCCAGCACCAGGGTCACCTCCCTGGGGCACACTGGAGGGCTGAGGGGGTGGCCCTGGGAGGAGCAGGGAGGGGGCAGTGCTGAAGGTCAGCGAGGCGGGCACGCGCCCCTAACGGAGGTACTGGAGCAGCACCTCTGGGCACAGACACAGGCAAACACGTTTGAGCAAATTGGAACGCCATAAAAGTCTATTACAGCAAATCAAACAGCAGTCAGCATGACAGCCATTAGCCTGAAATGAATACACGGGGACTTAATGAGGTCTGTCGAGGCTGGCTTGGTGAATTAAGTTGCCAATTCTAGCAGGATTTCCCTTTTCTTTATGGACTTGAAAGCATCTACACTGCCTCGTTAGGACTTCGACAAGTGAATTGCAGGGCCTTTCACCCTGATAAAATGGATAATTACATGGAGAACAGCTTAGTGAGGGGAGTGGGGTGGGCAGGAGGGGAACGAGAACAAACAAACTCAAACACACACCTGCCCAGCTTCTCCTGAGCTGGGGGCTGGACCCGGCAGAGGCTTTCAGAGGGAGTGGGGGCCAAGGAGAGGCAGGCAGCGGGGCAATGCCTAGCCTTGAACCGCCTCCCACTCCCTGCTGTTCCTGGCCTGAGGACTTGGGTCCAGGTGGGTCATGTCTCCAGGCAGCCATGGAGGGGCTGAAAGTTCACATCCAAGATTGGCTACCCCTCAGCACCTCTCAGAAAACCTCTAGTGGGATCCTCCAAGGCTCCCCAGACCTGGCTGTTCTCACCATTACCAGAGGAGTTTGTAAAAAATGCAGCTTCCTGGGCTGGCTCTCCCCAGCCTACTGATTCACAATTGCAGAGGTTGGGAATATGCTTTCTAACCAGTCCCCTGGGAAATTCTGCTGGGGCATGTTTGGGACCCTCTGATTCATCACTTCCCCAACACGCAGTGCTAGATGGCTGGAGAGAAGTGGTCCTCCTACTTCTGCTTGCATAACTCCAGGGATGGGGAGCTCAGCACATTCTCAGCAAGGCAGGGGCATAGACTGTGTGTGCATGGGTGTGTGTGGGCAGTCTTATTATTAGGAAGCTCTTCCTTAGATAGACCTGGATTTGCCACCCTGTAACTTACTCCCTGTGCCAATCCTTGGGTTCTGCACACAACAGACTCCATCATTATTAGGGCCCTAGATGGCTGAGATGGCCAAGAGAGGAATTGAATGGATGGAAGCAGCCACCAGAGCTTCTCCGCCATCCTGCAAAGAACGATAAGGTGCTGAAGGATGGGAAGGACCTTCTCCTGCTGGGTTTCATCCTCTGATCATGGGATGTCAGCCCTGGAAGGGGCTGGGTTCAACTCCCTAGTTTGAAAGCTGTAGGGCCTGAAGCCAGCAGACTAGAACCCAGGTGTCCTGACTCCAGTTTCTCTCTTCCCACGAAACAGCACAAGAGCAACCACTGCTTACCTCAGCCAGACTCTGCTGGAAACCCACCTCCTCCAGGAAGCCTGCTGAGATTTCTCTGATCACCCTGGCAGACCCTGGCATTCACACCTAACAGGGTCTGCAGTGCTCCCTCACCCCATTTCTCTGGCTTGCATCCTCACCCTGTTCACATTTGCAGGGCCCTTTGCTGCTGAATCACACTCTAAAGGGCAGGGGCCTGGGGTTTCCAGGGTGACCTCAATGCAAGCAGGAAAGCTTGGGCTCATTTCCGGGGCAGGGGCCAGTAGACTCTGGGCTAGTACCCCAGCTGTGGTCAGAGCCAGGCAGCTAGTTTCCAGCTCAGGTGACCACACCAGGCAAGGGCTGGTCAATGTCAAGGTACCTCAGATCAGGAGTAGCCAGGCCTCCGTCCAGCTGATACCACATCCCCACTGGCCACACTGAGCAGCCCCAAGCAGGGCATCGAGTATCAGGCCACTAAAGCAACCAGGGATGTTTACACACGAGCAATTAAACCATGTGGGCCTTCCTCCAAGGACGGTGTGTCCTTTGCAGCTGGCTCCTCTCAGCCTACCCTCTCCTTGTCAGATGGGTATCATGCAGGCCACTTTATCCACCTGCCCTTTGTTTTTATTAGATAAGGAGGGCCATGGCACAGAGAGGTGAAGTGACATGCCCAAACACATTCAGCAAGCTGGGAACAGAGCAGGGGCTGGACCCAGGGTCTCTTGCCTCTAGTTCTAACTCCTGTCATTCCACATTCCTGTGGCCTCCCAGGTCTCTGCACAATGACAGCCTGGCTCAGAGCCAAGCCCACAGCAGACATTCAATAAATATTTGTTAAATAAATGAATGAATGACTTGAAGAGACTCTCTCCTTGGAGGCACAGGCCTTTGGAGAATCCCAGGGGATTCCAACAGGGCCGAGTGTTGGAAGTCACATCTCCTGAAGCAGGAGAGAGGAAAAGGCTGGCCCCCAGCCCAAGGGCAGGAGAGGAGGGACATGACCCCTCGTCTCCTTGCCAGTGCGGCTCCCTGCTGCCCCATGAGAGGGAAGAGAGGGCAGCCATGCCTGCCAGGATGGCAGCTGAGCAATGGGTCCAAGGCTCATTAACTCTGAGCCGTGCCCTTGGTTTCTGAGCCCAGGCCCGGAGTGCAGGCTGGCACGTAGAGACCCTTAATTAAATTAGGGAGACTTCCAAATGAGAGAGAGCAGGAGCCAAGCTGCAGTCCCTGGGCACACCGGCCACAGCTCAGAGCACCATGCCCCCATGTTTAGGACTGCGGGCTCCCCAGTTCTCTCCCGCCCCAGGCAGGCGAAGTGCATGGTGCCTCCGCTGCATCCCCACCTGCACATCTGTCCTCTCTTCCATCTGGTGCCAGCATAGGACCGTTGGCTCGCAGCTCAGTAACAGAGGCCAGGGAGTGGGGTGTATGAGCAAGATCTCGTCACCCTCGAGGGAGGCTGAGCCTGCCCTAGAAGCCAGGTGGCTCGAAGTTAAAGCTGTGCGACCTCGGGCAAGTCACTCTCCCATGCCCAGCCTCATCCATGAACTGACTGCGATATTCTCTCAGGGCTTTTTACTCCCTGATCAGTCATTGGATCAAGGAGTTAGAACTCAAATGACATGGTGCCAACCTGCCTTTCCAGAGGGTTCTACCTTCCACTGTTCCCATCCCAACCCTTCACTGCCACCGCCCAGCCCAAAACCCCGAGGGCAGGCCCGAGGGACACCCAGTGAGAAGCCCTTTACCCTCCCACTTCAGAGTCTTTGAATCACTAACTGCCAGACCATAAGACTGCCATCAGCCACCCAGGAGAGGGGCCGCAAGCAGTGGGAACCCTGGTGCCATCGGGAGCTGGCAGCCAGCTTATTAACGAACCGTTTGTAATGCAATAATTTGTACTTCTCAATTACCAGCAATGGCTTGATTTTACACGCATGCACTCATGCAAACATACTCAGAGTACACAGTACAGGGGCCTGGGAGACCATGGTGGAGAGCGCGGGGCTAGGGAAAGCCCCTTCCTAGAACTGCATGCTCCCTGAGTCCTGGAGGGACCTGATTCTGGCCAAAGCAGGAAGATCTGGGGTTAGGCCTGCCCACCCACCCTGCCCAGGCCCACATTTGGATACGAGTGGAAGGAAAGAGGGTGCAACACCTGCTTCTCCCAACTCTTGTCCCACCATTGACTCCAGCTGGAGGTGTGGGGCTCAGCCTCCAGCACAAGGCTCCCAACCTACCGGCCCAACTGCTCTTCCCAACCCCAGGCTGGGCCCCGATTCCCAGGGTACCAGCATGTTCGCCAACCTGCTCAGAGTTGGCACCTGGGCTGAGGTCTGGGCAGAAGAGCCACAGCTGCTCTCCCCACCTGACTCTTCACCTACACCATGGTGGTCTGGGGAGCAGCAGGTCTCTGATACCCTCAAGGGTAACCCCAGTGGCTCCTACCTCAGGGATGCGGACGCTGTAGGGCTGATTGTGAAATGTGGGCGCGTTGTCATTCACATCCCCAACCTGGATGTTCACCTTCCGTGTGATCACCTGGCAAGAGAAAGGCGGGCAATTAGCGCCGCCACCTGACTCTGGCCTCTTCCACCCTAGGGGTCCAGAAATCCTGTGACCCCAGGAACATGCCTCCAGGGCCCCAGGGAACACTCACCCCCTGGTGGTCGCTGACAGAGAACTCCACGGTGAACTCTGACTTGGTCTGAAAGAAAAGTGAGAGAGGGAGGGGGGCAGTTAGGCGGTGCTGAGGTCCTGGGTCCTGGGCCCTAAATGGGGCGGGAGGGGCTCCAGGATTGCCCTAGGAGCTTGCCTGGAACCAGGCACCCAAAGGCTTCCCTAAAATACCAGCATTGCCCTTTGGGTTGGGGAAGCAGGTGTGGAATATGGATCCTTGCTTTAAGAGAGCAATAAAAGACAGAAGCCGAGCATCTTGGGTGCTAGTCTTGGCTCTGCCTCTAAGATGCTGTGTGACACTGAGCAAGTCACTACACACCTCTATGGTTCCTTCCTCAAACTCAAGGAGAGGGTAAGGGTTGGGGATGTGTTCACGTCTTTACCTTAACTTGCTAAGGGCTACCATGCCGTCAATTCCTGCTTCTCTGGATATTGGGGGAATGTTTACTGGGGGTAGGGGTAGACTTGTACCCTCCATGGAGGGCCATTCTACAAGGGATGAACACAGGGTCACTGTCCCTCTTGCCTCTCCAATGTAGCTGCTTGCTTGGAGACACCTCTAGCCACCCATTCCAACCCTAAGTCCAGACACCAGCATTGGCCCTTGAAGAGGAATACCATTCAGGCAGGAAGATGCCACTGTGGAGTCAGAATGGGGTCTTAGAGGAAGACGCCAAAAGATGGCGGGCCGTCCTTCCCCCAGTGTCTCCTCCTGTCCCCAGGAGAGAATTGGGGCAGGGGTATGGGCAAGTCATACCTCTCTGTCCAGTGGCTGCCGGAGCCACACCACGCCAGTGTCAGGCTCCACTGCAAAGAAGCGAGAGGCCTCCTCCCCAGACACGCCAAACACCAGGGGGTCATTGTCCATGTCTTGGGCCAGCAACTGGGTCACAGAAGAACCTGGAGTAGCCAAGGGAGAGAGCAGAGGGAAAATAAGAGAGGTCACGTTTATGCCTTCCTACCTTGCCCAGGTGGCTGAACTCTCAGCAGGGAGTGGCCATTCAGCAATCCTCCAGCAGGCCACAGATCATCACAAGGCCCTGGCGCATCTGGGAGCTCTGATCCAGGTACCCCACCTCCACCCTGGTCCACTTGTCACAGTGTGTCATGATGGTATCAGGGAACCACCACTCACCATGTTCTGAGTGTGTAAAAGACACTTATGACTTCTGCCTGCCCCCCTTTCTCTGATTTTAATTTGAAGACCTCCTTCTCCAAGTGGCTCAGATGAGGACAGGCCCCCAATATTTCAAGTCTTATGTTCCAAGATGAGCATATAAGTCAGCGCTAGCCAATCAGAGTGTGCCATTTCCCTGGTCATGATGACTGGTTCAGGGATGAGCATGTGACCCAAACTAGCCAATCAAAGCCAGCCCTGGGACTTTTGCTGGAACTACTGGGAAAGAGGAGCTCTCTTTCATGGGAGTTGCTCATTGGCACTGCGGGCAGCCATCTTTGGCACCACACAAGAAGAGCCTGTCTGAGAATGAAGCACACAAAGGAAAACAGAGGCAAATGATGTATGGAGAGACAGATTCCTGATGGCTTTCTGAGGGTCTGTCACCAGCTCTGCTGACATTAGCTCCATCCTCTGGACTTCTCAGCTATATGAGCTAATAATTCCCCTTGCAACCTTTTCTTTGGCCTAAGTCAGTTTAGTTGGACTTCTGTCTTTTGCAAATGGAAGCACCTTCTCTAATTCAGAATACTTTGCAAAATCTTTTGGCATTCATTCAAGAGTGACCAGGTGCTGCCCTTATGATGAGCACTGGAGTACACAGAGGTTAAGAAGATGTAGCTGAGCCTCAAGGAACTCCAGTCTAGAACTGGGTGACAAGGTCTAGTTCCCATCCTCAAGAAGGGGATTGAGAGGCAGGTGTCATCCCTTACCAGGAAGCAAAGCCCTGGCCTGAGGGCACCTAGGCTTCAGGATGCCTGGTCTATACCCTCCCTAAGAAGTGCAGGGCATCATCTCCTGGGGCTCACAGCTCCCCTGTGTAGCTTTCAGGTAGGGTCACTAACTGCCCTGCTTTGCCCAGGACTGAAGCATTTCCCAGCACATGTGCTAAAACCAGGAAGCCCCAGGCAAACTGGGATGGTTGGTCTCCTTAGCTTCAGGAGGTCCTTAAACTCACTAGAACTGTATACAAAATGTGATAAGTGTACAGCGCGTCATTTTCCGAAGACAATGTCTATAGTCTTCCTCTGATTCTCAAAGGGGTGAGGAGATCGGAGCCATGGCCTAAGGCAAATCACTTATTTCCAGGTTTCAGTTTCCCCTATAAAATGAGACAGACACTACCTGCCCCAAATACTGACTCTCACATTTACCAAATAGCTCTGAAAATCAAGCTAGATAGAAAGAAAGGATTCCAAATTCTTGGAATTTTATCTAGAAAAGAACTTTTAGGACAGTTCTAACATGATGATGCTAGCAAACATTTCTGAGCCCTAATCATAAGCCAGGCATAAGCTGAGCTATTTCCATGCACTAATTCAGTCCATAATGCAATTCCCCCCATTTAACGGATAAGGCAACAAAGAGTGATGAGGTGATTACCATGTCCTCATGGTCAGCAAATGGCAGAGCTGGAATCCACATCCCAGGCATTTGGGGCTCAGAGCCTACATTTCTTTCCACAGCACAGATATCTCAACACTCAATATGTAAACTCAAGATTCAGGACTTCATGGACATGACCTATCAGATCCTAACAAGAAGCCCAAGATCTGGAAAAGGAAGACATTGGACATTCACTGGGCTCTTATGATATGCCAGACACAAGGTCCATTCATGTGGATTCTCTCATTAAATCCTCCCAGCAAGTCTGTTTGGTAGTTGTTATTCTATCCATTTTGCAGATTAGGAAGCTGAGTCTCAGAGAGGTGAAGCAGCTTCTCCAAGGTCAAACAGCAGAACAGCAGAGCAGGAAATGGCAGCATCCAAGGTGATGGGAGAAGGTGAGAAGGAGGAGTAAAATCCTGGGACATCTTCAGAGCCCAACCCTCCCATTTCGGAGTTGGAAAAGCTGAAGGCATTTGGCAAGTTGCCCAAAGCACAATGGTGAGCCACAAAGGCAGGGTTCAAACCCAAGTTTCCAGACTCCCAGATTCCCAGTTCATTGCTCTTTCTAGACGGTGTAAGAGGAAGTATGTGAAAGTCACAGATAAACCAAGCACATCTTTCCAAAGCGTTTGCATTGCCCGGTGACAAATAAATGTTTTATACTAAAACGAACAGGAAGACATTGGGAGCAGCATTTGATTGATTAATTAATTATTTTTTGGGTGGCAGGGTCTCGCTCTGTCACCCAGGCTGGAGTGCAAGTGGCATGATCTCAGCTCACTGCAACCTCCACCTCGCAGGTTCAAGTGCTTCTCCTGCCTCAGCCTCCCCAGTAGCTGGGATTACAGGCATCAGCCACCATGCCCAGCTAATTTTTCGTAGTTTTAGTAGAGATGGGGTTTCATCATGTTGGCCAGCCTGATATTGAACTCCTGACCCCAAGTGATCTGCCCACCTCGGCCTACCAAAGTGCTGGGATTACAGGTGCGAGCCACCATGTCCGGCCTAATTTATTTATGTTTAATTTATTTGTAAAGATATAATCTAAAGCCATAAATGAATTTCTAGCCTCCCCTGACTTCTAGGAGTATACATTTCTTTTCCATTGCTCTCAGGTAATCTCTAGTGGCAAAGTTTGGGAAACACTGAGTTACCTCCCAAAGCCTTGGGCAGATTCCAGATGGGGAAACTGAGGCCCATAAGCGCCTTGCTTGTCCAGGTGCAACAATGAGTCCATGGCAGCCTGCAGCCCCCTGGACCGCAATCCTCACCTGCTGTACCTCAGGGCCCAGCCCAGGTGGAGGATCTGGGGCCAAGCTCCCAGCTGGCCAAGAGGATTCTGGGAAGACCACCCTGGCCTTCCAGCCAAGGTTGCACAACTGGGCCCAATATCCCAAATGGCTCTCTCAGGCTTGACGCTCAGGTCCTCCCAAGAAGGGGGGCGCTGGGCAGGACAGGGATGGGGCCATCAGCTGCTGTCACCCACCCTGTAATTTCCCGGACTTTTATCCATTTTCCCCTCAATTATGTGCTGCTCAAAATGGTCCTTTTCAGCTTCTTCATGGGCTCTTGCCTGCTCATGCCTTCTTTGTGTCCCAGGTAATTGCTAGTGACCTTTTCTAAGTGTACTAATTAAAGGTGCCGATTTAATATTATATTTAAGACAAGACGCCCTGCAATTTTCCAGCTGGGCACATACTCCTCCGCCCAGCGCTGCTCTGCCTCTCTACAGAAGCTGGGCCCAGCCCTGGCTTCTCCGGGAAGCAAGGCTTGTTTCTCCACCAGGGGAGGTTTCCAGCAACCTATGGTTGTGCTATTCCTACAGGAGTGAGGCCAGTCTCTGGGGTTCAGCTCCAGCCCAGTGTTCTTAGTTACAGCCATGCAGGAGAACCATCTCTGGCTGGGGGACCCTGGGGTACACATGCCACACAGGTTTGCTTCCCACCTGAGAAACAATATACCTTGCATCTCAGGGCTGAAGGATATCTGGAGTTCCTTTTGTAAAAATTTGTGGTAAAATACACATCACATGCAATTTACCTCTTCAACCATTTAAAGTACACAATTCAGTGGCATTTAGTACATTCACGATGCTGTGCAACCATCACCACTAATTCCACACGATTTTCATCCTTTCCAAAGGAAACTCCATGCCCATGAACCAGTCACTCCCCATGAATCCCTTCCCCAGCCCTGGCAACCACGAATCCATTTTCTGTTTCTATGGATTCGCCTATCCTAGATATTTTATATGAATGAAATAATACAGTATGTGGCCTTTTGTGCCTGACCTCTTTCACTTAGCCAAATGTTTTCATGGTTCATTCATGTTGTAGCATGTATCAGTACTTCACTCCTTTTTAACAGCTGAATAATATTCCCTTGTGTGAATGTAACACATTTTGTTCATTCATTGATCAGTTGACAGCTATTTATGTTGTTCCCATCTGTTGACTATTGGAAATAATGCCGCTATGAACATTTATGTACAAGTTTTTGTTTGAACATCTGTTTTTAATTATTTTGGATGTATACTTAGGAGCACAATTGCTGGAACATACAGTAATTCTATGTTTAAATTATTGAGGAACTGCCAAAGTGTTCTCCATGGTGGCTGTATTATTTTACATTCTCACCAGCAATGGATGAGGCCTGGTGTTTTTTCAGCGGTAAGGAGGATACCCTGCTATTCACAGGGGCTGGAATGCCCTCTTATGATAGAGAGATGGGAGCTGGCTGGGTCTCCGCAGCAGACGCTATTGGTACCCTGCCCTCTGTCCCTCAGCACACACATTTCCACACACACCAGCCTGACTTCTAACTGCCAGCGCCTGTGAGTGTTCTCCCGAGGGGTTCCGGCCATCAGAGACTGCTCCTCCTAAACACAGCACAGCCGGGAAGTGCCGGGAACCAATGCCCCAGTAAGCGGAGCTCGCCGAGTTACTGTGGAAGATGATAGATAAGGATGACCTTGTCTACCATGGTTAGAGCTAAAAAATGTTAGCTATCATCATCATGTTAGAACCCTCCTAAAAGTTCACTTACAAAAGCTGCTTAGTCTTCTTTTCTAGATAAAATTCCAAGAATTTGGAATCCTTCCTTTCTGGCTTGACTTTCAGAGCTCTGTGGATAAGGTAGGTAAACAGCCCAGCTTTGGCACCTCTCAAGAGCATAACTCAGAGGTCCGTGTTCTACACTGGCAACTTGGTTGACAATAACGCATCTTTATGGCTTCCCTCCCTTCCTGTCTCACTTCCTCACTCCCTACTTGTGTTTCCTGGAACCTCCTCCCCAGTAAGCTTCTTGCACTTAAATCTTCATCACAAGATCTATTTCTGGGGGAGCCCAAATTTCCAATGCATGTTTAAGACGGTACATTGGAACTACTGTAGAGCTTTACAATGCAAATTCCCAGGCCCTCTTGACTGGGTTGGCTACTGGGAAGCCCAGAGTATAAACTTTTAAACAGCAGCCCCCACTCTCCCTGCAGGAGACGCTCACACACAGCCAGGTTAGAAGTCCTGTAGCTGGTTTATAGCAGGATGATATTCAAATATTTAACAACAGGCACAGTACAGGCATCAACCAATCAGAAAAAACGCTGGCCGTAAACAACCAGACCAGTAAGTACTGCCTGTAAGTCAGCCTGGTTTATGGCTCCCATTTTAGATGCAGAGAAAAGCTCCACCCGTCCCAGGATGACTGAAAGGCCCAGTCTTAGGACTCCTGGCTCAATCAGTGCGGCAGAGGATTCTGTGCACTTGGCCTCTCCTACCCTCATGGGGAAGGGGCATCCAGCTAGGCCAGCCCCTCCACTCTGTGCCACCCAAACCATGCCCAGTCTAACCTCATGGGTGGAAAGCAGAACATTCAAGAACTTAATCACTGTGCATCTGTGTTCATGCCAGCATTCTTTGCAATAGCCAAGAAGGGGGAAGCGATCCAAGTATCTGTCCACAGATGAATGGATAATCAAAATGTGGTAGATACAGCCAATGGAATATTATTCAGCCTTAAAAAGAAAGGAAATTCTGACACATGCTACAATATGGATAAACCCTGAGGACATTATGCTCAGTGAAATAAGCCAGTCCCAGAAAGACAAATACAGTACAATGTGATCTCCCTGATATAAGGTACCTAGAGTAATCCAATTCATAGAGACAGAAAGTAGAATGGTGAGTGCCAGGGGTCGGGAAGGGCAGAATGGAGAACTATTATTCAATGGCTACAGTTTCAGTTTTCAACAGAAAAAGAGTTCTGGAGGTCGGTTAGGCAACAGTGTCAATGTGCTTAACACTACTAAACTATACACTTAAAAATGGCTAAGATGGCAAATTTCATGTTATGTATATTTTACCATAATTAAATTAAAAAAAAAAAACCTTAAATTGACCATTTCTAAGGCCCTAGTGATCTGGTCCAAGATGACATCCATCACTGAATCTCACAGGCTCACTGGGCTGAGCCCCATCTGGCCCCACATGCCTTCTTTCTGTTCCCGAACAGGACAAGTTTGTGGCTGCCTCGGGACCCTCGCCCTGATTGTGCCTTTGGCTGGGAAGGTTCCTACCCTAGGTCACTCCACCTCTACGGCAGCTTCCTCATTATTCACCTCTCGGGTGGCGAGTTAGCACGTTGGGGAGGCCTTCCTCAAATTCTCAATCAGCAGAGTCTAGCTAAAGAGACGCCTGGTTACTCAGTGTCCTAAGACTCCACGTTATTGTCTTCACAGTCCTCTCTCTCTGAAAGGATCTGCTTATTCACTTGACTTGCTGACCACCTACCCCAACCCCCTGCCCATCACGCAGCACATTCAGCCTGACCTGCCTATTCCTTGTCATATCCCTAAGCCTAACACAGGGATTGACATCCTGGAGGCACTCAATAAATAGTCATTGGGTAAATAAATGAATCCTGCTAACAACTGCCCAGAGGTGTTAGGAAAAGACAGCCCCCCAAAGTCATGAAGGTCTCTGAGCCACAACGGGAAGAGAGAGTATAGCAAGTTAATTCTTAACTGTGTGCACAAATGGACAGGGGAAAGGATAGCTGATCAAAACCTAATAACACCCAAATCAGTAGCACTTGTCTTTGGGCCCAGGCAGGAATCACAGCTGTGCAATGACTGGGGGTCCAGTCTCTGAGGAACCGGCCCTGTACCCCATCCTGGGGGCTGTGTACCCCATCTTGGAGGTAGGAGGTAGGAATCTGCCCACCAGACTGCTAAGGCCCCTTGGGAGTTGCAAAGCTGGTGGCACATCCTCCACCGTGGCCTCGGCCCTCAGCAGCAGTCCACATCTGCCTTCCAGGCAAGGGGTGGACAATCACAGCTTCCCCTGAGGCCCCACTGGGCCCATGCTGATCGCTGAGATGACTGTTATTACTCTTATTGTTGTTATTTGCACTGAGGGGCAAGGGCTGGGATTGGGGATTGTGGTCATGCGGCTCCTGGAGAGCAGTACCTGCTAGATGAGGGGCGGGCCAGAAACTCTGGCAGGGCAGCACAGGCTGCAGGGCTTTTTATTTTCTCTAGATGAGAGAAGGATGAAAGCAATATTTGTTACCAAAACACGGAGGGGTGAATAAGCGGTGTGAGAACATACCCTGCTCCCTCCTTGCAGCAGCATCTCCTTAAAGCACACCTTCCATTGTGCCACACTCTGCTCAAACGCCTGCTTAGTTCCCAGAGAATGAAAACGAATTCCTTACCATGATGTCTAGTGCTTCCCAATGCATCCTCAACCTCCCTGGCCATGCACATTTCCCTCTGCACCCCTGGGCCCGGCCTGCCAGACTGCTGTCACCCGAAAGCATACCAGGCCCCTGCATGGATTCATTGTTTGCACCTCTGCACAGCAGGCAAGAGGCCATCACCCCTTGAAGGTAGAAGTTGATATTCTGGGACACGCTTGGCAAATCTTCCTTCTCCTCTTCCCCATCCCTCATGATTAACTACTGCTTTTCTAGGGCCAGGGAGCTAGCCAGTCCCAGCTCTTGCCCACACAGACCTTATTAATCAATCACAGCACCTTTTCCCAGTGAATCTGCATTCAACTTCAGAATCCTTCACAATACAGGGTTCCATGCAGCCACCATAATCAATCCTAAAAGGCACAAGAAAGCAAGGCTTTTGCAACCTGTGACCTAAAAGGACTTCACACCAGCTGTGATCTACTGTCCTTCCCCATCTAGGGGCCAAGAACCTAGTGGTCTGCCTCTGCCAGGCTCAGGGCTGTTAGAGAGACAGAACCAGCCTTGGTGTCTGCAGGCTAGCTCAGAAGCAGGGACTAGTTATCGCTGAAGTGAGAACCAAACAGACAAAGCCCCCTTCTCATTTTGCAGAGAGGGAAGCAAGGGTCCTGGCCGGGAGAGGGCCGCCTGGGATAGAGCTATGCATGTGTGAGTAGCTGAGCCAAGGAGTTGCAAACAGCAGGGCCCCAGCCTCAAATTCCAAGGCCACGGGTATGGCCAGGGTTTTCTGAGAATAACTACTCCTCACTCCAACTGTCCCACCATGGCCATCAAGCCTGCTGCACACCCCCACCTGCAAGAAGGGAAACCCACCCTCCTCCTCCTGGCTGGCCGGGTCCCTGCCAGGGCCAGGGGCTCCTGCCCTCCCACTCTCCCTGGGATGGGCTCCCCAGAGCCTGAGCTGGCCTTGGAGCCTGCCATCTCATTTGTCTCTCCTCTGGGATCAGACAGGCCAGTTAAGTGCCTTGATTCCTGGGGATAATCTCATTTGTCTTAGGTCCCACCTCCCACCCTTCTGCCTTCAGTCTCTCAAATGCCCTGGGTCCTGAACTTGGTTTGACCTCAGGGGAGCTCTTTTCTTCATCTTAGGCTTCACCAATATCTCCACCTGGGGGAAGTCAGAGGGAGTAGAGTGAGCTCTGACACTGGCCGGTTCTCTCCTGAGAGGCAGGCGGCCTCTAGGCTCACCCTTCACTGATCGACGCCCTCACTGTCATCAGAAAACCCTTGACCTGGGTCAAAGGAACCATCTCTACCTTCAAAGCCCACAGGCCAGCTTCACTCCTGTGCTCTCCTGCAACTCCGTCCACTTGGAGGGGACGGCATGAACTGTCAGGGGGAAAGGAAACCAGCATTCTGTTTCCTGGGCATGACTCTTTGCCAGGTACCACACTCAATGGTTTTCATTCATTTACTCTGTCACTTATTTCTCCTAATGGCCTTACACAGAGGGGTTAGCATCCCTGTTATACAGGTAGGAAAACTGAGGCTCAGGCCAGGTGCAGTGCCTCACGCCTTGTAATCCCAGCACTTTGGGAGGCCAAGGTGGGTGGATCACTTCAGGTCAGGAGTTCAAGACCAGCCTGGCCAACATGGTTAAACCCCGTCTCTACTAAAAATACAAAAGTTAGCTGGGGGTGGTGTCACAGGCCTGTAATCCCAGCTACTCGAGGCTGAGGCAGGAGAATTGCTAGAGCCCAGGAGGCAGAGGTCACAGTGAGCCAAGATCATGCCACTGCACTCCAGCCTGGAGGACAGAGCGAGACTCTGTCTCAAAACAAAACAAACAAAACAAAAAAAGAAAGAAAGAAAGGAAGAAAAGAAAAGAAAGGAAAGGAAAGAGAAAAGAAAAGAAAAGAAAAGAAAAGAAAAGAAAAGAAAAGAAAAGAAAAGAAAAGAAAACAGGCTCAGAGGGGTAAAGTGACCTACCCAAGGTCAGCAAGCCAGGAGTCCAACCCAAGTCTTTCTCATTCCACAACCCTCATGGTTTTTATCACAAAGCCTTTTATCCAAATCCAAAACTCAGCTCCTGAATACAGCCTTCTTCTCACCCCAAAGCAACTAACCCCATGGGGGCGGCCTCCAGGTGGACCCTGGTCTGAAGGTGAGCAGCCCTGAGGCAGAGACTTGGTGGGGATGGGCTCCCCTCTAGCACCCTGGCTTTCCTCAGTCTACTTATTGCTACCAGCAAGACGGCCATTCCCTCCTGAGAGTCAGAGAAGGGGCTGCGGGCTCACCTGGCCACACAGGTGTCTGCACTGATGGGGACAGGCTAATCCAGGGAAGAAGGAGGCACTAAACAGAGCCGGACGACACAAACCCAGAGGCTCTGGGGGCAGGGAAGAGGAGGAATAAGTGAAGTACACACAGGCACATATATTTTTTAAAATGTATTTATTTTATTGATACATAATAATTGTACATATTTACGGGGTACCTGTGATATTTTGATACATACACAATGTGTAATGATCGGATCACAGTATTTAGGATATCCATCACCTCAAACACTTATCATTTCTTTGTGTTGAGAACACTTCAGATCTTCTCTTCTAGCTCTTTTAAAATATACAATAAATTATTGCTAACTATAGCCACCCTATTGTGCTACACAGCACTATCCTTTTTTTTTTTTTTTTTTTTGAGATGGAGTCTCGCTCTGTCACCCAGGCTGAAGGGCAGTGGTGCTCTCTTTCAGCTCACTGCAACCTCTACCTCCCAGGCTCAAGCGATTCTCCTGCCTCAGCCTCCCGAGTAGCTGGGATTACAAGCGGGTGCCACCACACCTGGCTAGTTTTTGTTTATTTGTTTTGTTTGTTTTTGAGACAGAATTTCACTCTTGTTGCTCAGGCTGGAGTGCAATGGCATGATCTCAGCTCACTGCAACCTCTGCGTCGTGGGGTCAAGCGATTCTCCTGCCTCAGCCTCCCAAGTAGCTGGGATTACAGGCATGCACCACCATGCTCAGCTGATTTTGTATTTTTAGTAGAGACGAGGTTTCTCCATGTTGGTCAGGCTGATCTCAAACTCCCTACCTCAAGTGATCCACCTGCCTCCGCCTCCCAAAGTGCTGGGATTACAGGCGTGAGCCACGGCACCTGGCTGGAATTTCACTCTTGTTGCCTAGGCTGGAGTGCAATGGCATGATATCAGCTCACTGCAACCTCCACCTCATGGGTTCAAGCAGTTCTCTTGCCTCAGCCTCCCAAGTAGCTCGGATTACAAGCATGTGCCACTATGCGTGGCTAATTTTTGTATTTTTAGTAGAGATAGGGTTTTGCCATGTTGGTCAGGTTGATCTTGAACTCCTGACCTCAGGTGATCTGCCTGCCTCAGCCTCCCAAAGTGCTGGGATTATAGGTGTGAGCTAACTATATTTTTTTACTCATCAACCATCCCCTCTTTCACTCTCTCCCCAGCCACTGGTAACCATCATTCCACACTCTACTTCCATGAGATCCACTTTTTAAGCTCCCACACGTGACTGAGAACATGCGACATTTGTCTTTCTGTGCCTGGCTTATTTCACTTAACATGATGATCTTCAATTCCATCTATGTGGCTGCAAATGATAGGATTTCCTTTTTATAGCTGAATAGTATTCCATTGTGTATATATACCACATTTCTTTATCCATTTATCATTGACGGACACTTAGGTTGATTCCATATCTTGGCTATTGCAAATAGTGCCGCAATAAGCATGGGAGGCAGCTATCCCTTTGATATCCTGATTTCCTTCCCTTCACACACACATTTTTTAAAAATTAATATGCCCCAGAGGAAAGATCAGACATTGAATACCAATACTTCAGGGACCTGGCCCTGACTCTTAGAAACCCGGAGCTCCTCTGCCTCTGACATAGCAAATAAGGACCATCATTTGCTGAGGGCTGCGAGGACCAGTCATAGGCACCTATGTGCTCTATTCCCCTACAACCCAATGCATCACAGAGAGGTCAAGTTACTTGCCTAAAGTCACACAGCTAGCACAAGGCAGAGCTGGGATTGCTCAGTGACCCTCCTGTTGACATCCTCCACTGATTCCCTCAGCAAACACTGCCTGGGCACCTGCTGTCCCTGGTACTGCTGTAGGCACTGATGATAAAACAAACACTGCAGCCAGAAGAACCTGCCCTCCTGCAGCTGACAGTCCAGCGGGCAGACCTACATATCTATCACACTGCACACTTCTCCTGGCCTTTCCCCGGGACCCTGGGGAAGTTCAGGATGGACTGGCAGCTGTTTGCAAACTGTAGGCATGAAGAACTGCATCCCTGCCCTTCACCTGGCCCGAATGTGACCCTCAGGACGAGCATTCCAGGGAGTCCAAGGACAGGAGGTTGAGGACTTGGAACACAGGCTCAAAGGGCACAGGAGAAGCTTTGGGAGCAAGGCAGCCTTAGAGAAGTCCCTGCCTTTAAGGCTGAGAGAATCAGCCGGGCCTAGAACTGATGTGGCTGGCCCTGGTTCACACTCAGCCAGGACTAGCTGTGTGACCATGGGCAAATCGCTGCTGTCTCTGAGCTTCTCCTTCCCCACTGACACTACGAAGGGGCTGGCATCAATGGCCAAAGTGCAGAGGTCCACGAGGAGAACTGAAAACAATCTTGGCAAATGGGTCAAGTTTCATGTGCCCACTCCAACCTCCGGGTCATGGTTTTGTGGGTGTCGTGCTGGGGAGTGTGAGGTTGCATCTGAGGTCAGTAGGAAGAAGTGTGTGATCTGCCAGTGACACACGATGCACACAGGGGAGGGAGTAGCTCTACTTGGCCGAATATTTGCATTCTTGATATGGCCAACAAGCTCATTTTACAAAGGAGAAAACAGGGCTGGGTGGCCCGGTGACAAGTCCACAGTCAACCAGCTCAACAGCTAGCAGGTGGAGGAGCTGCCTCTCAAATTGGTCCCTGGACTCCCCATACGCTGTTCTTTCCACCACACCACATTAAGGTCCCTTCCAGTTTAGATATCTACGATATTAAGGCTCTGTTTTCCACATACTGTGTACAAGGAAGGCGCTCCGCAGCGGAGGATAGACAGGCAGAGAAGACCCAACCCGGCTCCCAAGGGTTTACAATCTGGTTTGGACACTTGGGGAATGAGCTACCGCAGAGCCAGCAGCCAGGGTCCATGGCAGACTGGATATTTTTTTTTTCTGCCCTGAAATAGCAGCCTGAGCATGAAACAGCCATGAATAAAGGGGCCCTGGAATGTTCTGTTTGACCTTCCTGAATCCTTGCGGCAGCTCCCAGGCCCATGAGGGTTGAAGTCTTGTCTCAGGGCTTGGAGAGCCAAGAGGTAGTTACCAGATTTAATAACAGTGATAACAGTGGGGTGGGTGTGTTTTTTTTCCCCTCTCCTGAAACTTTTCAATTCATTGAATTGTTCAATTAACTTTACAAAAGGAAATGTTGAAAAATGACGGCAAATTGAACTTGACATTATCATTAAAATAAACAGAGCACTGCAGGCCATTAAAGGCTCACAAAGAGATTATCCAAACACTTGCAGGCACATGCTGGTTCCTTCCTTCTCAGAAGTGATCCTGATGTCCCCTTCTGCCCTAAGCTACAGGGAGAAGTCACCAGTCACCCTCCCCATAGCTCAAGAATGAGGCTGCACTCGTGAACCCATCCTCACAGTCCCCTGAATGTGACCGTGGGGGAACAGCAGTGGCCTGGCTGGAGGATGACTCTCCACTACGAGGCTGCCATCTCCGGGGCATCCCTTCCGTCTTGGGCCTCTGTCCCAGTGCAACAAAGGGTCATTTCAGCCCTGGCTGCAGCTTAGAATCACCTGTAGCCCTTTTGACATCCCAACTGTCCATCTGTACACCAGACCACATACATCAGGATCTCCAGGGAGGGACTCAAGCATCGGGATTTAAGAACAAGCTGAACCACTCGAGTGATTCCAATGGGCTGTGGAGTTGATATCCAGGGTCTTGATGATTTCTGAGGTTCCTTCAATCTTCAGGACATATCTGAGAAACTGTGATGGAGGAAAACCTAGAGGTCAGCAGTTCCCACACTTGTCAGCACACTGGAATCAGCTGGAGCTTTCGAGCAATACTGGTGTCTGCATCCCACACTCCCAACGTTGTGACTAGCTGGCCTAGGGGCCAGCTTGGGCTTTGGAAAGTTCTAAATCGCCAGGTGATGTACTGGGCAGGCAAGAATGGGAATCACTCCTCCAGGGAGGCCAGCTTCCCTGAGCCTCTTCCAGTTCTCCATGTGCTTACCCATGTGGAACCCAGCTACAATGGGGGCACCCCAGGCACATTCAGCTTAGGCCAATCCACAGGTGGAGCAAAAAAAAAAAAAATGTTTTGCTTTGTTGCCACTTCCCATGTTCAAAATTTTCCAATCCCAATATTAAAAAGATGTTAATTAATGGCTTTGAGGCCATGCATCTCAACCTGATTTCATATTAGCATCACCTGGAGAGCTTCTAAAAATAAGGATGCCCAGGCCCCAACCACTAAGGATTCTGTCTTAATTAATTGGTCTAGTGCAGGACCCAGACAGCAGTATTCTGATATAAATCCTCAAATGATTCCCACGTACAGCCAAGTTAAGAACCACCCGGTTAGAGCAGTGATTCTCAAACTTGAGTGTGCATCAGAACTACCAAGAGAGCTATTAAAAACAGATTTATGGGCCCCTCCCAGACTTTCAGGTTCTGAATATGCATTTCTAACAAGCTCCCAATTGCCACTAATGCTGCCTGTCTGAGACCACATTTTTGAGAACCCCTAAGTTAGAGTTTCCATGAGTCCAGGTCCTAGAAATTTAAGATTTTTCTTTTCTTTCTTTCCTTCTTTCTTTCTTTCTTTCTTTTTTTTTTTTTCCAAAACCTCTGTCACCTGGGCTGGTGCAGTGGCACAATCATAACTCCTGGGCTCAAGTGATCCTCCTGTCTCAGCCTCCCAAGTAGCTAGGACTACAAGTGCGCCACTGCACCTGGCTAATTTTACAATTTTTTTTTTTAATAGAGATGAGGTCTTGTTGTGTTGCCCAGGCTGGGTTCAAACTCCTGGGCTCAAGCAATCCTCCCACCCCAGCCTCCCAAAGTGCTGGGATTACAGGCGTGAGCCACCGTGCCCGGCTTAAGATTCTTTTCTAAAATAATTTGGCTCTGGGGAATTTGGGACTCAAGGCCTGATTTCAAAATTCCATCACCTCCTGTACCCCTGCTGTCCACCCCTTAGCCAGAGACCCAACCCAGCTTGTCTTCACCTTTCAATAGCAGGAAAAGAAATGAAGAAAGGCGCAATCATAAAAGCAGGTGAGCAAGACAACCTCCCTTCTGCCCTGCCCTCCTCCCACCCTCCTGCCGCGAAGGAGGTCAGAAAAGTCCCTCCAGAAATCACTTCCTCTTTGAGGAGACTCGTAATTACCCACAATGATCACAGCACCATTCATTTTGCCCTAAAATTAATACATCACGTTGAGAATGATATCGCACTAATTTATCACAAGATTTATGAAACTTGCACTTTTTCTAATGAGATTTATGCAAATGCCGTTCTTGCCTCTGTTTGTGTTTTTAAAAGTTTTGACAGGGAAGTGGGGGTCCAGCCCAGTTGGCAGAGGCCCTGCCCCCACTCAGGGGCAGGGCTGGGGCTCCGTGGTGGTTCCCACCCTCCGAAGGCCCCAGGTGAGCAAGCGCCTTCAGGCTTTTCACTGGGCTCATTCTCCATTCCTCTCCCCCTGGGTACACACCCTTTATTCATCTCATGGGGCTCACCTGCTTTCAGGTGGGCAGGCAGTTACAGGGGCAGGGCTGGGTCTCTCTCATCCTACCAGAGGCCTTCCAGGTACTCAGTCTCTGAGATCAACTGGGGGTTATGGGTGCCGGGGTAGCAGGACCCAGCTAGACAGGGTGGAAACTAGCATGAGGCAAGTCAGGCACCCAGGAGGCACTCACGCTTAGGTCCTGCCCCTGTACTTGCACAAGTCTGAGAATGTCTCCTGAATTTCTGTGCCCTGGGGGCCAGCTTGCTTCACCGCAGTCCCGGCCTTGCCACTATTTATTGAGCATCTACCGTATGGGAGACACTCTGTTAAGCACTTTGCACACACAACCTCATTCAATATTTACCACAAACACGTGAGGAAGGTATTCCCGCACTCCAATGAGGAGACTGAGTCACAGAGAGGTTTAGCAACTTGCCGAAGATCACACAGCTAGGAAGAGGTAGAGCCAGGATTTAAGATTCAGGACTGCCTGACCCCATATACAATGTTCTTATCCAGTACCAGCCCCAGATGATTCACAGAAGGCCTTCCCTCTGCTGGAGTCACATCCTACACACCCAGTTATCCAAGACATAGACAAAAAGCAGGAAATTAGCCCCAAAGGCCTTTGAGCAGGTAAAAGCCATGGCACAAAATACATGCACTAAATTTCAAGCTCATTACAGAAATGAGAGATAGGGCCAAGTCCTCACTCAGAGCCTGTTGACTTGTACTTTACACACAGTTATGATGAGCTTGGCACTTTGCTGCTTGCGATTTATGGTAATCCCAAGCAGGTGCATGGACAATAATAGGAAGCAAATGAACAACAGCTTCTGCTGCTCACAAAAGGGAAAGGCAAAAAATTCTCCGAAAAATGAAAACTAAAATAATTTGAGTCCCTTCACTAGCTCTTGTAAATGACAAAGCATCATCATAGATTGCTATTCATGGTGATATGTTCAACCACAGGCCAAGGAAGTGCTGAATGATGAGTCATCCCTATATAAGAAGGCAGGTAGGTATATAAGAGATCTTATGAATATTCTATGCACGCTATTATAATTAAAAAAAAGGATTTTGTGTGTAAAGGAATGCTTCCCAAAGTGTATTTCGCGAATCATTAATTCCCTGGCAGGCTAACGGGTGCTCTGTGAAAAAACGTTCCTTGGTCCAAAAGATCTAGGGAACATTGCATTAGAAAAAAAATCTGAACAGGTTTCTTTCCTGCAGGATCTCTCAGAGCCTTTATTACAGTAACGTGTGCTGTGAAGCTCCACAAGGTGGTAAAGAAAATACAGCCTTCCCCACATCTATTTGTTCAGGAAGCCCTTTATTCCGAGAGCCTCTCAAAGGATGCCAGTGGAATGGGAAATAATAACTGGGGAAATGCTGGGCCAGGGGCTTTTCTGGCTGTTCTTACCTCAGGCATGTCTCTTCTTGGGGTGAGTAGATGGATGGATGGATGGACAGACGGACAGATGAGCAAATGAGTTAAGGAAAAACAAGCTGTTCTCAACAGAATCTCTGTTGTGGAGGGGGATGCATGAGTGTGGAGTCTGAGAACACTGCCTAGATGATTTCTGCCCGGATCCCTGCCAGCTTGCAAGTCACCACCTCATGGGTGGGGAACCTGGGCCTCTCTGCTTCTAAGGGTGGCAGGTCAGGGGCAGTTTGAGCTGCTTTCACTCAGGCCAAATCCTGAGCACCTGGGATCATAATCATAATAACTTGAAATATGTACACAATGCACATACTTTCCTGGCCACCGATTCTGGGATTCCCCTGCCAACAACCCCACCACTCCCCCACGCAATGAGCTGTCTGGGGGCTACACACTCTCTTAACAGATGAGGAAACTATGGCTCAGCACTGCTGAGTAGTGTGCCCACAGCTGTACAGCATGGGCTTCTGGACATGGAGTCAGGCGCTGAGGTTCCACTCTCGGCCCTTCTGTGTAGCCTAGGCAAGTTGCCCCACTTCTTTGGCCTTGTTGCTGCCTAAGAAGCTGTGGCAGGGGCAAGCCGGGAAACACAAGAGGAGCGCTGAATCAATCCCACAATCTGGAAGAGGCCACGAGCCCCCCACGGCAGACTCCAAGCGCAGCACACCCCGCCCTGTGTCCTTACTGGCCTTCGATCCTCTGGACAACATCTCTCACGTGACTGTGAGCGCCCTGAAGGCAGGAACTCTGACCTGTGTTCTCTGCTGTATACCCAGAGCCTTGAGGAGTGCCTGGCACAGACAGGCCTGTGGTCAATGTCTACTAAACAAATGATGGATGAATGGATGAATGAAAAAATGAGAGTGACCTGGTTCTAGTGTTTGCAGGAGTGTGGTTCTTGTAATGTCAAAAGCCACACCAAGGACTCCATTCCATCTCTGCAAAGCACATCCCAAGGAGCGTCCTGCTGTCTTTGTTTGAGGGGCAGAGAGAAGAGAGTAAGGGTCAGTTTTCCCAATGCCTGACCTGTCTGGGGTCTGCCTAATTGGGATGGATGTTCTTTAGTTGGGTGTGTTTGGTTTTTAACTAGGCAGAGGGAAAACTCCTAGAGTCCTCAGATGTCCTCTTTCCATTGGAATTAGTATCTACCCTTCCAGTCTAGTATAGACAGAGCTAGAAGCTCTCAGGCCCCACATCATGGAACTGGTAAATGTGGGTGGGCAGGAGGCAGGAATGGGTAAGTTGAGGGTAGGCTGCAGAGAGCTCCCTTTGCCATTTAGCCAAGGGGCTGCCCAGAGATTGGCCCCTACACACCTCTGTGCCACCTGTGACACCTGTCACCCATGGCTTTCAATGCCCTCTGTTCCTGAACATCGAGTAATTTCACTCCTGGAGACTGTGGCAGGACTCTGGGCTCTGTGCTCTCTCTAGCTGGGGCCTCCCTCTTAAACTGCCTCTCTCCAGGGTGCGGCACCACTGTGAAGCTGTGCTGGGCAGCGCAGTAGGGCAATAAGCCCTGGACGTGACCTCCCTGGGTTGCTGGCACCAGGACCTGCGTGTGCTCGAGTGGGGAAGGCTCGCCTCTGGTTCCAGTGGGAATCGCAGAACGTCAGAGCTGAACAGGGCCTTAGACCCACCAAGTGCCCTCCAATTGCTCAAAGAGGCAGGCGAGGGCTGCTGGACACCCCACAAACAGGAGCAGATTTGGGGCTAAACTCCTGCTCTCCTTTGTTGCTATGAAGACCTCTTTACCTCATCTTTTCCAATGTGTGTCTCCCCCATCTGCCAACTTTGCTGAAACCCTCATCCTCTGACAAACTGTACTGAATATCTCAACAACCTCAGAGGATTAAAGTGTGATACTCCTAGTTGTGTTACAAATGAAGGGCGTAGAGTATGGCCTCTGCTGAGGTCAAAAAGAGAAGAAATAGCTCACTCCTCCAAAAACACCTTGGCCAAACCAACACCCACTACCTTGGTTCAACAGAAGCTCTTACCTCGTAAACAGGTCTGGGGCTAAGGTCACTGTGGGCATTTTGTTGGATTTCGACAGTGTGCCCAAGGCTGTGCAAGTCTGTTTGCTTGCCTGCATGTCTCAGGGTCTCTCAAGGTGACTGATGTTTCCTGGGGTGTGCAGGAGGAGGGAGCTGATGAGTTAGCCACACTGGACTGACAGCAGCACTGGGGGAGAAGTCTAAGGGGGTTCAAGCAAGATGCAGCCACACTGCAAAGTAATCAAAGTACCCCAACCCCATCATGCCACCAGCCAGTGTGTGGAAGGAGGGTCTCAGGGCAGACCTCCACCAATCAATCTCAATCTGTGATCACATGACGCGAGGAGCTCCCAGCCTGACTTTAAAGCACCCAATCGATGCATTTGGTGCACGGCTACCTGGAATGGCACCCAGGTTGGTGGGGGAGCCAAGACTGGTTACAGCCCCTCTTTTTATTTTATTTTATTTTTTTTGCGATGGAGTCTCGCTCTGTTGTCCAGGCTGGAGTGCAGAGGTGTGATCTCAGCCCCTCTTAATACAGCAGTTGGGAGGGTGGGCTCTGCAGCTAGATTTGCTTGTGTTTCAATCCTGGATCTGCCACTTTTACAAGCTGAGTGACCTTGGACAAGTTACTTTGCCTCCCTGTGCCTCAGTTTCCTCATCTGTAAAATGGGAATAATAACAGTATCTACTACACAAGCTTGTTGTGAGAATTAATACATGTAAAGCTTTAAAAAGTGTCTAACAAACACATAAGTCCATGTTCAATAAGTGTCAGTCGTTACTATTATTTCCCAAGTCATTCATAAGATATCAGGGTGGCCTGTTCTGAGCCAGGCCCTGGCTGTCCCTAATGACCCTCATTCGTGTAGCCCTGGCTCAGCTATCAACTACTGTTCAGCTTTGGAAAGTTACTTGGCCTCTTTGGGCCTCAATTTCCTCCTATGTAATATGACGATCTCCCATTTTATCAACTAATCTACTCATTATTCACTCACCTACTCAGGCACTTGTTACTCAATTAACGTTTACGGAGGACCTACCATGTGGCTTCAGTATGTGTGCCAGACACAACCCTGGACAATGAGAATCAACAAAAGTCATAAGATAAATAGAAAAAAATCCTGCTCTCAAATAGGCCATAGTTTAAGTGGTCATGATTTCTGATTCTAATAACATGCAGTAGGTACCTGGATCAACTTGAAATTTGCAAACAACTGAAAATAGCAGATAAAATGTGTTTAAACGTATTAAATGAATAAATGAGCTGATAAAAAAATCAAGAATACTCAGGTCAAATACTAAATGAAGGAAGAAACTCAGAGAGGCTGGGTCATTTACAGAACCAGGTAAACCCAAGTTTTCATTATTACAGTCCCCGGGGCCCAGAAAAGAGGAGAAAAGGCCTAAGGCAGAATCTTGCCCCACCCAGCATAGGGGTCTAATAGGAAACACCCCCCTCAAGCAGGCACCCCAAAGAACCTCCCCCTTATTGTCAGAGTGACTAGAAATAAATTCATACCCCCACACAAGCCAGTCTTTAAAAAAAAGAAAGAAAAGAAAATGAACTCTCTGAAATCGTGGTGCTGAATAGAGAGGGGAACGTGACTCTTAAGGATTTGTAACCCTAATGGCCCACATCTGCATTTGCAGCCCAAATTCACACGGCCTGGGTATCTAAAATCCTTAAGTGAAGAATTTAATTTAAAGTAGTCCCAGACAAGTAGTGAGCTTAAGTGCTTAAGAAAAACAAATACAAATTCCCTCTGGAGGAACTCTGACCTTTATCTCAGGTCTCAAAGAATCACTCTCTCAACCAACCAAATGAGTAGCTCACAGTCAAAATTCACACACACACACACACACACACACACACACACACACACACCCCGAGGCACTGTGAATGAAAACCTAAAGAAAAAAATAGATGGCATAATCAGGCCCTCAAATAGTTCAGATATTACAATTATCAGGCATAGAATGTAAAACATGTTTACTGTGTTTCAATAATGGAAAGAGAGGCTTGCAAATACCAGTAAAGACCAAGGAAAATTTTTAAAGGGTCAAATAGAGCCCTTAGGAATCAAAATATGATCATTTGAATTTCAAACACATTAGCTTTGTAGAGGATTAGACATAGCTGGAAAGAGAATTAGTGAATTGAAAGGTAAAATTGAAGAAATTACCCAGAACGCCACACAGAGGGGTTAGAGATGGAAAATACAACAGAAAGGCTAAGAAGAATGGAGGATACAATAAATGATCTAACTTACATTTAACTGAGATTCCAGAAGCAAAGAATGGAGCAGATGCAATATTTGAAGAGATAATGGCTGAGAACGTTCCAGAATTAATCAAAAACTCCATAGATTAAAGAAGACAAATGAAATCCAGCAGGATAAATAAATAGAAATTCAAACCCAGATAGGTCATAGTAAAACTTCAGAATACCAAAGAAAAACAGAGTATTTTAAAGGCAACCAAAGAAGAAAAACAGACTACCTTCAAGGTACCAACATTTAAACTTACAGGTGATTTCTCAATGATCACAGTGGATCCCAAAGTCAATAGACTGAAAGTACTGAAAGGTACTTCAAAGTACTGAAAGTAAATGGCAACCTAGAATTCCATATTAAGCAAAAATATCTTTTAAGAACAAGAATGATACAGACATGTTCAGGCTATTTAATTAGTCAATGCCACTAGGGATAAGTAGGAAAAAAAGATGAAGAAAGAAGTTCAGGTGAACAATGTAGTGAGTTGCAGGGCACATATGTCCCGTTTAAGGCAGGGAGCTTTCTCAGTTCCCACTGATTGTTGCCAGGTGCAATCAACAAAAACTGGAAATTCATGTTTGCAAGAAACATTTCAATGTTTAAGTCTTAACAATCAGATGTTTAAAGAAACTCTGAGTGGGTCAAACAAATCAAGGCTGGGAACAGAATGCAGCAGATGGATCATGGGTATACTATCGGTTTGGAGGGATGAAATGATTGACAAGTCAGATGGACCAGGAAAAGGGGTGTTAAAGTGGCCAGGGCAGCACTAGAAAAGGTTCTGCTGCCAATCTCAGTGACTCAGGTCCAAGATTGGCAGGTAGCCCTCACTCCTGCGCAGAAAGATTCCCATCTTTTTCTCTAGGAGCTGTACCCAAATTTACGGCATCTTGTACTCAGGAGAAGGTGCCAGGCCAAAGTTCCTCTGTCTGGAAAACCTTTTACCTCCTTTCTCTTAGTAAATGCCTTTCCTCCACACTTCCACCCAGGCACCTCCTGACTTTCCCTCCATGCTGCCTGTGCTCACTGGCAGATTCAGCCACACAAAACAACTGTTGATGGTCCATCTCCCACTCTCCTGCAGGCCTGACTATGACCCAGGGCCTGGCCCCTTGAAGGGCACAGAGTTGGTACCTAGTGGACAATAGCTGAGGTTCCCAGAAAGGTACAGAGAGGGGCAGGGGCCAAGGCCTGAGGAGTGCAGATGTTGCCATATTATGTATGCAATGATGGTGTACGCACAGGGTGGATATATTATGCAAGGGCCTCTAGGCTGGATGCATAAGTGGTCATAAAGAGCATTAATAAGCAAAAAATGAGAAGGAAGTAGGCTGTTTTTATGCATGGGGTGGGAGAAGGAGAGAGGTGAGAATAGTAGCTGGCCTGAGGATGATGACTGGTTATCCTCCAAGGCTCACCAGGGTGTCTAGGCATGGGGTTCCCATGGTGGGCAAGACCACTTACAACCAGGGGGTGGAAACAAACTCTAAATAAATAACCACACCATGAATTATTTCATTACCATGGTGATAAGGGCCATACGGAGAAAAGTGAGCAGTTAGGCCCCACCCCACCAAATGATTTAACGATTCTTTTTAAACTTGTGTTTTTAATAATTATTTGATTCATTTAAATTTTATTATGCCATTAATTTACATAATTCAAAATTCAAAAGGAACACAGAGCCTCCTACCCATCCAGCCCTTTGCAAGAACCGCTGTTTGCAGTTTCTTATGTCTCTTTCTAGAGACACGCTTATGTCACGTCCATGTAAGCAAGTATGTATGTGCATGTACAGCTGACCCTTGAACAACACGGGTCTGAACGGCTTGGGCTAAGTTCTCAGGGAGTCAAAAGTTATATGAGGATTTCTGACTGTGTGGTGGTCAGCACCCCTAACCCCCACATTGCTCAAGGGTCATCTGTATACACATATACACACTCATATATATTTATATACACTTTATTTCTCTTTTTTACACACGTAGTAGTCTACTGTCTTGCACTTTGCTATATCTCTGACAGTAGATTTTAGAGATAAAGGAAATGACGTGTGAACTTGGACCTGGAGGATGAGTTGGAGGTGAGAGGTGAGAGAGCAGAGAAGGCCATTCCAGGCAGGGGAAACAGCTGGTTCTAGATGCACCTTGGGGAGGTGGGGGAGGCCAACAGGGGAAGGGGTACAGAGCATATGCCTGGCCCAGGGTTGTGTCCCTCCCAGTGGGCAGTCTGTGCCCAATGAGTGATTGGTGGGAAGGTACCAAGGCCTGGCTCTCTTGCTCAGCAGGGATCAGCCCCTCCCCAGGGCTCCCCAGAGGGTCGGCTGAGGCCTTTCCAGCAGCTGCATTGCAGCTCCACTTCTCCCTCTGCCCAGTCCTGCTCCCTCACTCCTGCACACCCCCGTAAGCCTCCTGCACAGCAATTTCCAGCTCAGTCTGTCTCTAGAGACCCTGGCCTAGGACAATGAAGAGTAGCCCAAGAGTACAGCGCTGGAGTTTGACACACCAGGTCAGGTCCAGCTGCGCCCCCTACTGACCATGCAACTGTGGCTATGGCCTGAGCCTCCGTTTCCCATCTAGAAAATGAGGACTATGATACCTGTCCTACTCTGCTGGAGGTCTGGTGTAAGATGATATTTGGGGAAACCCTGGTAGACAGTGATGTCACCTTATGCCACATTACTTGCAGCTGAGCCCCTGTCATGTGTCCCCTCGAGCCCCTGTCATGTGTCCCCTCATAATCCCCGCCTCCTGCCCCCACTCTAGGCTGGCCTGTGCTACAAAAGCACCAGGCTGCTCCCCTCCTCTCATCCCATCTTTCCCAGTTCAAGGCCCACCCCCTCCAGGAAGCCTTCCCTGATGGTCACACATTCATTCTTCTGCCTCCCTTTCCTCTGTAATCCCAGAGTGCCTAGAGTCTCCACCAAATAACCTGTTCATTCAGTAATTCACATCAAAACATCCCTAGATGCAGAGGAGACAGGGACTAGTACCTCTGGAAATAAGGACCCCAAAGAGGCAGACCCCAAAGATGAAATTGATTCAGAGTCTTGTGTTTAATAATGTCTTCGCAGCTTAATTCTCCCATTTATCCATTCAATAAGTTGTCACTGACATCTACATAATGACAGGACAGGCGTGGCTCCAGGAGCTTAGGGTCAAGTGGGTCTGACCTGAAAATCTACATAAACTCTGTCTTCTACTCCAAATATATTGATGCTTCTTTTAATATAAAATTTTTCTTTCTCCATCCATTTGCAAATAAAATTAGTCCCCCAGGAAGATAAGTCAGACTTCTCTGTGGCTTCTCAAGTGCCAGCTGGGCATGAGCATCTCAGACTGAGACGCCTGGACAACCTCCTGTTCAAATGTGGCTTTGTCATAGAATTGGAGCACCCTGAGGGCAGGATGACACCCATCTGGAGTAAGGGACTCCAGCATGACCACCCACAATGGCAGATGTGCCTACCTGGCAACCACGCCCATCCCACCCCACACTGCTTCTCTGCCCACACAGCCCCAATCTGTTCAGACAGCCAGTGGAGGTAGGACCATCTCCTGCCTCGGGGCATGAATCATTGCTGGGCTGGGGCAGTCAAACAGCCTCACCTGCCCTGGCTGACTCTGGCCAATGAGATGGAAGGGGAAGTTGGCTTGGGAGCAGGTGGGAATATCCTCTCAAACAAAGAGCTTTCAGCTCCTCCTCCCTTGCACCTGCCTGGAATGTCGCAGACATGGCAGCCTGAGCACAAAAGGTCAATGCAGGACGGATGGCCAAAGACAGAAAAAGCTGAGGTCTCTAATGGTGTCATTCATTCCCTGAGCCAACCAACTCTGCAACCACCAACTTTCAGACCACTTTTTATAAGAAAAACACACACCCAGCCAGGCGCAGTGGCTCACTCCTGTGATCCCAGCACTTTGGGAAGCCGAGGCAGGTGGATCACGAGGTCAGGAGATTGAGACCATGCTGGCTAACACGGTGAAACCCCGTCTCTACTAAAAATACAAAAATTAGCCGGGCATGGTGGCACATACCTGTAGTCCCAGCTACTCAGGAGGCTGAGGCAGGAGAATCACTTGAACCTGGGAGGCGGAGGTTGCCGTAAGCCGAGATCGCACCACTGCCCTCCAGCCTGGGTGACAGAGCAAGACTCCGTCCCACAAAAAAAAAAAAAAAAAAAGAAAAAAGAAACGAAAAGAAAGAAAAACACACACCCCTATTTGTGGACACCACTGCCAGCCAATTTTCTGTAACTTGCAGCCAATACACTCCTAAATGACACAGCCCTTTAGTGTGTACATGAACTTGTATGTAAGTTGCTCATTCAAGTCCCCATTTTACAGACATCAATGCATAGGAGAAAGTCAACACCTATTTGTAATAAAACCCCAGCAAACTAGGAATAGAAGGGAACATCCTTAACTCAACAGAATGTATATACCAAAAACCTACAGCAGGCATTGCACTTAATGAAAAAAACTTTAGACACAGTCCTTTTGAGATCAGAAACAAGATAGAGGATGCCCAGCATTGCTGATAATGTTTACAAATGACACAGTGGGTGGTCCAAAGGCACCCCCAAGGTCACCACCAGGAGATGGCAGAGCAGGGCCGGGCTCTGACCTCCTGACTCTCAGTCCTGCACGCGGCTGAAAGAGCTGTCAGAGCATTCCCTGAGTGCCACACAAACGCCGGGGCCCAGGGAGTGCCAGCCTCCCCAGCAGCCAGCCTGTCCTGTGCTGCCCAGCTCCTCTGAGTCTGGAAAAAGGTGATCCTGCGGCCCCTCTCTGGGTTGGAGGAACACCTCCTGTTAAGTTTCCTGCCGCTGCCTCCTCTTTCTCCTGCTCCCCTGGGAGATGGAGGAAGAGAGAGGACGGTACTTGGCAGGTGTCTTGCAAGCACTTTGGCCCTGTCTGCTTATCTGCGTCCCTACCACCTCGCCACGGCAAATTGCTTGTTGATAAATGAAGCTATTTAAGAGCAAATGATGCTGGCATTACAGTTATTAATGAGGACGACGTGGAGAGATATTTAAGAGCGGCTCGACTGTTCTCGCGTCCTCCCACCTGTGAGTAATGGGGCCACCATGCCTCAAGCCCTCACCCCCCACATCCAGATACAGGCCCTGGGACCACAGCTGCACGCTGTGGCCGTGGGAGGTGTGGAATGGTGGGAGGATCCCAGAACCATGATTTCCACAGGTGCGCTCGGGCTGGAGGACAAGACCCAGCACCTCCTTTGAAGGCTCCGCAGCAAGGATGTAAAAATGTGCATGTGAGGGGGCATGTGTGTGTGCACAGGCACATGTGTGTGGGGGGAGAGTGAACATGTGTGTGGGGGGAGAGTGAACACAGAAACACAGGAAATGTGTGTGAGCATGTACACCAAAACAGTGATTTTTGCATTACCTAGTCCCAGGACTGGCACTTAAACTCTCTATGCCTCAGTTCCCCACCTGAAAAATGGGTGTAGGATTGCATCCACCACACAGGCCACTAGGAGGATTAAATCAGCTGATGCACCTAAAAGGCTGAGCCCAGGGACCAGCCCTTAGGACGGCGAAGGCCCAGGAAAGGGTGAGGAGCTTCTCCCTCATCCCATGACTGCAGTGATTAAGACGCACTTGCACGTGGGAGCTAGTGGGGGAAAGTGCCAGAGTGGAAGAAGAGAGATGGTGCTCGCCTGGGTTCTTGAGGGAGGCTGGGAACAGGGCAGAGAGACTGGCAAAGTGAGGAGCAAGATGAGGGGCGGGGTTGAGACCCAGCTGGGAATCACCAGAATAGCCACACTGGTTGTTAAAATGTCCAACACCATCTGCAGATTGATAAAGAGCTGCTGTCCTAGGCACTCCCACCCCGCTGCCTGGGCCTGCTCCCCAAAAAGTTCAACCCTCCCCACCAGCCTCTTGTGGGCTTGGGTGTCCCATGCTGGATAGGTAAGTGAGCATGTTGAACGTCACCCCTGGAAGGGTGAGAGTGAATGCACAGTTATGCTGGGGTGGGTCACCAAGTCCTAAGGACAGCCTGGCATCCAGGGAGCTTCCCAGAAGGCAAAGCCCCCAGCCCCAGCCTTACTGGCACCCAGGCCCCAGCTGAGTTGTGATTTAATGTTAGACCCCTGCCTCCATCCGCCAGGACGGGCCACTGAACAGCATTTTTGTATCTTCTGCAAAACTGCAGCTGAAGATGCTGTTGACTGCACCTCTCAATGTCCTTTGTACCAAGACCCACATGATCAATTCCTGCTGGAGATTTACTTCCACAGAGAAAAACTGCTCTACAGATTAATGGGCACGCTTTCTGTTGCCTGGAAACACTTCAGGATGGCTCCCTCTTGGATTTAACTGTCAGAAAACTTAGGGCCAAATGCAATGCCCCAAATGTTGTAATCCGCTCAACTCGGGCACCTGACACCACCTAATCCCTCTGCTTCCTCCGGATGAGCCACAATATTTTATCCTCCTGTGTCTCCATTCGCACTCGGCTTTTCCTGCTAAGTGCCCCCAGGTCTTTTTGGAGGCAAGAGATCTGAAACAAACCAGCCCAGCAGCATTGATGATACCCCTAACCCCTCCACCTGCCCAGCAGTCCAGTGCCCCCACAGGTGGTCCTGAGCACTGGCACACCCCCACCAATGGGGTGGAGGAGGCAGCCTCTCCCATTCCTATGGGGCCTGTCCCCCCAACCTCAGGTGTCCACTATGGCCTAGAGAACAGGAGGCTTCCCAAGGGTCAAGAAACTTCTGGCATCAACTTTAAAGCAGTCCTATGCTAAGAAGAAGAAGATAGAGAGGTATCTTTGTTGGGGCAGGGGTCCAGGTAGGTGGGGAGGGGTAGACCTGCAAGGGATTCTGGGACCTGAGGTCCTTTATGACAGGGAACTCTACTTTGGAAGTTCAATACTAGAGGGAATAAAGAAATGCAAAGGGAGAAAGGAGAGAAGGGGAGGGAAAGAGACAGAGGGAGAAAAGGAGGGAGGAAGAAAGTGACGAAGGGAGCAAGGAAGAAAGAGAGGGAAGGCAGAAAGGAGGAAGGAAGGTGGGGGAAGGCTTTGGCAGTGGGCCTCATACCTGGAAGCCCGCTATGGTCATGGGGATGGCGAATCACAGAATGGGGACCGCCACCAGGGACTTGGCCAGGCCCTCATTGCGAAGGGCCTCAGTCAGGCTCCTGATGCTCTGGACGGGGAGGGTGGGAAGAGGACTCACACTCACGCCAGCCCCGACTCCCCCCACCCTTTGCAGCCCAGGCTCTCCTGGCCACTCAGCAGGAAGCTGACCTAAAGCAGATGCCACACAAGCCCGCTGCTGTGGGCTGGCAGGGGCTCAGTCACCCATGTAGGCAAGAGGACCCCACACAGTGCGAGACTCAGGGCTGCCCCACAGGACCCCACACGCAGCCACGTCTCAAGGGTTAGCTCTGCGAGCTGAAGGAGAGGAAGCCCCCAGATGTTGGGAGCTTGGCTCAGGATGGAATTGTGGAGGAGAAACTGATCCAAGAAGTCCTTTGCTCCCATTTGCCACGTCCAGTAATTTCCCAGCTTCCAGCACTTAAAAGCTTTCCTACCTGGACCTATTTGTCCACCATTTAGACAGAGGCTGGTACTGACCACACTATCTGCTGAATGACACCCAAAAGGGGAGGGATGTGGAAGGTGAGCCTAGCCTAAGGCACCCAGGGCCCCAGCCACTCTTATCTCACGTGCACCCTGAGAAGAGGCGCCATTTAGACACTGCCTCAAACCCTGTTCTCTTTGGTGGGGCCATGTGGGGTCTCCTGCCTTTCCCCCCACCATCACACACCTCTCCTTTCCCCATTTCCTGACTCCCAAGGGTGGCTGTGAGCTGGCAGCAGACTGCCTGTTCCAGGGAAGGCCCAGTTAATGCCTTCACCCCTTCGCTCATCCTGGCTGCTCTGCACCCTCTGGAGGCAGGGAACTCCCTCCCTTTTAATGAATCTGTTTAGCAGGGTGCCGGTGACTGTGCTGGGGCCCTGCAGACACCCAGGATAAGCCAGTGCACCCATGAGCAGAGCAAAGTTCCAGCCCTCCAGCCATGAAAATGGGGCTGCCACCCAGGCCACAGCTGGGCAACGGGAAATGGGGCTCCCCAGGGATCTCAAAGTCCCCTTTCCCAACCTCAACCCCACCCCAAGTTTCCCAGGCTGTCAGGCTGCAGATTTTCACAAAGCCATCTCAACACATCCACTTGGATACCCAAAGCCAGCAAGTCTAAAATGGAACTTCCATTTTCCTCCGAAGGGGTCCGTGGAAGACATCACTACCTGTCCAGCTCCAAAAACCAGACACTGGGAGCCATCCTAGATTCTTCCATCTCCCTCATATCATTCCTTTGGCAAGTGCTATCGAGTCCACCCCCAAATATAACCCATCTCCATCATGTCCTTCTTCTTGTGTGAGCCGAGACCACACAGCCGCCCCCATCCAGTCTCCCTACACTCATCCTGGCTCCTCCAGCCTTCTCTGCACTCAGTATCCTGACCCCATCTGTTTCCTCACCAGCCCCAGCAGTGGCTCCTGGCTCACAGGTCGTGGACGCCATCCCTGATGTGTGCAGCAGGTCCTGCTCCATCTTGCCTTCATACCTTTGTTCCTCTGCCCTCCTCACTGGAAACACTCCTCCATCCTCACATCCAAGTTGTCCCTCAAGTCTCAGCTCCAATGCAGCAGCCACCTCAATGCCTCTCCAACAGCCCAGGCTCCAGCAGGCCTTCAGAGCAGCCTGTGCTGGGCCTCACTTTCGAGATGGGTTGGCTGATGTTAGTCTAGCCCCCGTCCGACCCGGACAGCAGTGTCTGCATCCTGCTCACCACTGTCCTCCCAGAGTACAGCCTGGCTTAAGTGCTTGTTGAATAAACTGCTGCAGAAACGATAGGGCCAGACTGGGGTAAGGACAGAACGGGAATGTGGGCAGACGCGCTGCAGACTGAACACCACAGGTCCTGCCCGGCCACCCACTCCCTGAGAATCTCGAGCAACCCCTCATTTTCCAGTCCCCTGGCACTTCAGGGGGGCCATGCACTAGGTCTGGCCAATGGGCCACAGGAGGAAATGACCTGTGTCACCTCCCAGCTAAGGTGTGGGGGAGCAGAGGTGCTTCTCTCCACCCCTCCTCCCTGTGCCACGGTGGATTCTAGAGGCAACATGTTGAGACAGCAGCAGAGTCATGGGACTGAAGCAGGTGGATCGCTGGATTACCACGTGGCAGGCAGGTATCCAGAGAGTCACCCAATTTGCATTTTGTGTGAGCCTTGACTGTGTGAAGCCCCTGTGATGATACTAACAGGAACATCATCTCAGCCATGTCTCTGACCTATGGCTCCCCGAGCCCCTAAATCCAGTCCCCTTATGGATGCACACACACATCCCAGCCTCTCCGCTGCTCCCACAGGAGTGTATGCTGCTGGCATCCTCCCCTTCCCTTCCCCACCCCAGCATCACCCCAGCTTGGTTTCCCTGCCCCTGATCCTCACCGGGCCCCTGCTCTCTAACTTCCTGGCAGGGGCAGACCCTCACCCAAGTCATGACCCAATAACCTGGGTAAGATGTGAGGCTTCCCAGGAGCACGTTACCTTTTGAAGAATCAAAAGTATAAAAACCCAAAGGAATGGCTCCCTAATGGTGGGCTTTATGGCATTAGCAGGAGCAGGAAGCCTTCCTGGCTCAAGAGAGCCTGTTGTGTCTCTCCAAATCCACTCTGCCCCTTGCAAGGCTCCTGCAGATGGACAGGCTCACCTTGGCCGCAGTCCCTTCCCCTCTCACTCCTGCTTTCCTGCGGGATTCAGTTCACCCGCCCCCAAATCCTTAGACAAAAACCTCCTGAAGGTGTCCACACTGCGGGTTCCCTGAGGAACCCTGAGACAAGAGAGAAGAGGTAAGAAATGAGCATGAGGAAACCCCAAAATGTTAGCTCTGCCTTCGCTCCCCCTTCACATGAGCAGCCTAGAGATCAGTCTGGAAGAAATCAGTCTGGATATGAGTTTGGGAGACAGCCAAACCTGGGTTTGAATCCTGCCTCCTTTAATTACCTGCTGTGTGAGCCCGGTCAGGGCACTTAACCTCTCTGAGCCTCATCTTACATAATGGGGACAATTATTTAGTTTCTCAAGGCTGTTCTGAGGACTCAGTGAAGAACCATACGTGGAAGTCCCCTCCTTGAAGTGGACACTCGGTAAATGGCCACTCCCTTCCTCTCTCAACCCAAATGCATAAAGTCTCCATGTGACCCATGAACAGACATAAAAAATAACAGGACAAATAAACCATGCCTGCTCAGGCTTTCCATTCTTATAAAAAAGAAGAAGAAAAGACCTTGTTTTTGGCCAAGTCATTTGTTAAGGAGGGGCTCTAAGAAAATATGAAAATGTTTTCATTTATATATTTCAGGCTTTGGAGACGGGCTCTTAGATTCCTCCACAGCCACTGGAGTTACTAATGTACCATTGAATTTGGGGTGACCCTTAGCCAAGGAGAGCAGCACCAGAGACCAGAGATAGATGGGAGGGGGCAGGGGAGGCATGGGATCCAGACCCCTGCCCCAACAGCATCTAATGAACTACCTGGGGCCATGTTTGCCTGGACCAGCACCAGATCCTGGAGATGTAAAATGAACCAGATGCAGCAGAAATTGCAAATGAACCTCAGTGACAAGCTCTATCATGCAGGGCTGCTCAGGATGCTCCAGGAGAACCGAGGGGGACAACTCCCTGTGACAGGGGAAGGGGCCATGGCAGTGCAGGAAGATAGGACCTTGAAGGATGAGAAGGCATCATCAGGAGGCTGAGGAAGGGGAGGGCACTAGGCAGAGGGAACTGCAGGTGCAAAGGCCCTGAGGTGTAAGGTTGCATGATGCATCAATAGAACTGTGAATCTCCAGGCACAGCAGGAGGGAGGGGGTCAACCATACAGTGGTAAGAGATGACGGTGAGAAGCTGAGAGCACTCGGCAGAGTATGTATGCCAGGCTAAGAAGCTTTTATTCTATCCTGTTGGCAAAAGAGAGCTATGAAAGGACTTTAAAATAGAAGGATAACCTGGCTTCTTTTGTACTTTTAGAAGATTCTTTTGGCAGACATGTAGAAGACAGATTTGTGTGGACAGACACTGAAAGCAAGGAGACTAGTTGGAAGGTTATTATGAAACCTAGGCCATAAATAGCAAATCACTTTTATCTTATGTGCCAATTCTCATAGATTGGTAGGGGCTGCCTGGGGTACTGTGTGGAGAAGAGAAAAAGTACCATGATAGAGTAGTGATGTCTGGCCCGGGCACGTGATAGGAGAAATGTGGCATCAGTGCTGGGGATTTACCAGTCCTGCCTAAGCCGGGATAATAAGAGCCCAGCAGAGAGAGAAAGGGACAGGCAGTGTGAGCGACATTTCACAAGTAGAAACAGCAAGATCTAGTGACTTAGTGAATTGGTTTAAGAACAAGAAAGTTGGCATACAAAGCTCTGGCTTAGGCAACGAACTGAATGTTGGATGAGAGGGAGAAGAAAGACTTGGTGTCTGAGGTGCTTGCAGATGTCTCGAGTAAGATGCAGGGCATGCTCGTTCAGTGCTCTCAGGATACAGGATGGGCTGGAGGAGGTTTTTGGAGCTGGACCCTGCACATGGCAGCCGAAGCCATGAGAGTGGTGAGGTCCAGAAGAAAGGATTGTAGAGGGAGCAGGGAAGGGGCTGAAGACAGAGGCCTGAGGAAGATTCAAAGAGGAGCCTGGGGCTGGGCGCGGTGGCTCACGCCTATAATCCTAACACTTTGGGAGGCCGAGGCAGGTGGATCACCTGAGGTCAGGAGTTTGAGACCAGCCTGGCCAACATGGTGAAATCCCATCTCTACCAAAAATACAAAAATTAGCCGGGCATGGTGGCAGGTGCCTGTAATCCCATCTGCTCGGGAAGCTGAGGCAGGAGAATCGCTTGAACCTGGGAGGCGGAGGTTGCAGTAAGCAGAGATCGCGCCAATGCACTCCAGCCTGGGTGATAGAGCAAGACTCCATTTCAAAAAAACAAAAACAAAAACAAAGGGAGGCATTCACCTGGCTTAGCCCTCAGACACACAACATCTGCAGGAACTGCCCAGGAGCGTCCCTGGTTTCTCTACCCTGCTGGGACCTCCCAAGTGAGCCTTGGATGAAGGCCAAGGAGGAAGATGGAGAAGAGTTAGGGGTCGGTCATGTGGGATGCTGCACAGATCTCAAGAAGCAAAGATTGAGGAGTGGCTCCCTCTGGGATCTCATTCAAGGTCAAGGGTAGAACAGCCCTAACATTTCCAGTGCTCCTCTCAGCCAAGGCACTGTTCCCAGATTCTCTCAGGAATGTTCTCACTCTGGAAGAGCCATGAGAGGAGGCGTGTCCGGCTGGGAGCAGGAGGGAGCAGGTCAAGCCAGCACGCCAAAGGGGGTGCTTTGAAGTTCCTGGCAATGTCCAGGGTGAGATCATACATGTGTTTGGTTTATCATACATGTGTTTTCTTTAACTCGTATATCCAGGTTCTACGATACACCCTTCTGTCTATGTGATATATTGCACACTTGAAATCAAAAGTACAAATAGGAAGTTGAAAGTAGGGGCAGACAAACCCTCTCTTAAGCTGCTGGTGCTCCCATCCTCTGTCCTCTTGGCCAAGTCAGTGGTTTTCCATTTGTACTTGAAGTGTCTGTTCCAGCCCCAAATCTTTCCAGAGAATCCTCAGGAGCAAATTGGAGCTGGGGACACATCTTGCCCCTTTCTTGGCTTCCTACCCAGCCATCTGCCATGTGACCTTGAGCATGTCACTTCCCTTCTCCGGGCCCTGGGTTCCTTCTCAATACAGTGAGAAGCCTGGGCTAGAGATACTGGAAGATCCTTTCAGACACAAGTCTCAGATTCTCCCAAATCGCCGACTTGCTATTACCAGGTTCAAGATGAGGAGATAACAAAGACACAGTCCTCCTCTGCATGAAGGGGTGGGGACGGGGGCATGTGCATGAAAGATGCAGCCATGAACTGCAGCATCCTGTACTTTTCCTGGGAGGGGGAAGGAAAACTCCCCTTGCATTGTTGATGCCCTATTTAAATAGTCCCTCCCCACCTGCGTGCTCTGTGTCTCTGTACAGTTATCCTCAGCTCCCATCAAACCAATCACCAAATGTCTGGGAGCTGCCAGGGAGGTGGGGGCTCCACATGAACGACCAGAGGACAAAGGACCTCAGAAACCATCTCAGCCACCCCCTTGCTTTGAAGAGTGGAAACTGAGGCCCAGGGAGGGCAGCCAACCTGCCTAGGCCACATGGCAGATGGGAAATGGAGCCAGAGATAACCCCAGGCCCCGGCTCCTGCAGGGTGACATTCTTCCCACCTGCCTGCAGGCTTCTGACCCCAGGCATGGAACTGGGGCCTGCTCCCTGCCTTCCAGCCTCCGCCCCTCAGGGCCTGCATTCCAGCTATTGGCTGCAATCCCCAACCCTGTCACTGGCCAGATCCTCCCTACCTTTTCCTTCATACCCCTGCCTCCCAGCCTGCCATCCCTGCTCAGGCAAAGCCAGCAGGGGACGGGGACCCCTCGGGTGACAGATGGGCCTCACACTGTTTTCAATTGTCACGCGGGCATACAGGATGACAGACCTTGGGAACCGGGCATTAATACCGAAGATTTATAGTCAAATCTGTCACGCCTGAAGGCTCTTCCCCCAAAGTTGGCTCAGCCTGAAGGTCGCTTTTCAGAGGTGATAAGTGCAAAAAAGCTGTCCTCAACCGCCCTCCTAGACCCTCCCCTCTCGGGAGCCAAGAGCTCAGGCTGCACACAGGAAACAGAAAGGGAAGCAGGAACAGGAACTCCAAACCAGAGAGTCTAAGACCATCCCCCAAGTGCTTTCTCTCTTCCTACCCCGCCCTCCCCACTGTGATGCTCACACTTGGGAGGTCCCAGCAGGCTGGAGAGGTCAGGGACGCTCCTGGGCAGCTCCTGCGGATGTCGTGTGTCTGAGGGCTAAGCCAGGTGAATGCCTCCCTGTGCTGGTGGTGAGAAGAGAGCCACACTGGCCCAGAAAAGCAGCCCTGCACTAAGGTTACACAGCTCTGACCAGCAGCTACTCTCAGTCCCCATCTGAGAACTGGAAGGCACCCTGCAGGGCCTGGAGGGGCAAATAGTCACCATTCCCGTCTTCCTAGTGAGAGGCAGAAGCCAGCATCCATCCACTCACCAAATTCTTACTTGAAGTCATCAAGGGTCTTGAATGAAAGAGATGAGAGCAGTCTTAGACATTGACCAAGCCAATGGCCCCATTTTACAGATGGGGAAACTAAGGCTCAGAAAGAAGTAAGAATCCAGGTTTATTCATTCATTCAACAGTTACTTGGCATGCGCTGGGGGCTCGGCCTGCTAGCCGGGGCTCTTGACCTGCTGTCTGCTCTGAGCACAACCCCTGTCTGTGCTGAGCACACAGAGGAGCGCAAGGACAAGTAAGTTCTCTTAAGAAGGAAAGACTACCAGAAGATGCATGTGGACCTGTGAAACACAATGGGAAAGTTAAAAGCAACGATCGTGGCAATGCACTGGCTCATCTCACCCACCCCGTGCCCCTAATGAGCAATATGTTATTTTCTCCATTTTACCAGAGAGGAAACTGAGGCACAGGTCTAACAGCTGCTAGTTGCCAGAATGCAAGGCCCACCTTCTGAGCACCGTATTCCACTGTCTCCCAGGAGAAGGCAACATGGCAAACGCTGTTTGCTGCCAAATGTTTGACCAGTGAGAGCTCTACTAAGTGGGGAAAGGTCTCTGTGGGCTAAGGTGGTCTCTGAAGGCTTCCTGAAGGAGGCGACAGAGGCATTAGAACTGACAGAGCCAAAGCCTCAGCAGGGATGGTACCCTAATAAAAAGGAAGCCTCCCAGACTGAACCTCCTGTTTCAAACTTACTCCTGGAGCTGATTGGCACATACTCTGACCCCTTCCTTAGGGATTTTCCCTTTGGCCCCACCCTGAGGGCTCCCTGGAGGTGAAGGCCACTGGACCCTCTGCAGAACAAGCTGGCCCTGGTGGCATGTGGGAACAGGCTGTACTGGCAGCTGGTGCCTCTGGCATTGTGGAGAGGAGGTGGGGGAGGGAGCGGGCACCAACATCCTGGACTCTGGAGCCTGGCATGAGAGCAGTGCCATTCCTAGGTTATAGATGAGCTAAATTAGCTGTGACGCTCATTAGCGGCAGCTCCTAATTAGTGAAAATTAATATTGGCTTTGATAAAGACGTCGGCGCCAGCTCTCCAAGGCAGAGGCATTATCATCCTTGTCAGCTGGGCTAACGACTGGGTAAGTGGAGGAGCCAGGGGGCCTGGGAGTGGGCAACAGGTCCCTGGGGAGGGAGCTTGATGCTCACAGGGGCCAGCTGTGGGCACCCCTGCCCACTGCTCACCTGACCCTCTAGTAGCCATACTGCAAGGGCCTGGCCCCACGTCTAGAGCTGCAGCTACAATCATCATCCATAATATTGTTGGGTTCTTCTGTGCCCCAGGCAGTGTAGCAAATGTTTTCACATGTATTTGATGATCCCAAGAATGTTGGAAGTAAGTACTTTTTTATCTCCATTTTACAGACGAGAAAAATTGAGGCTCAGAGAGGTTGAGGAACTTGCCCTGGGACCTCTGGATACCAGGATTTGGGCCCAGGCAGCCTGACTCAAGAGCCATGATCCTGACTTTGGTATTATCCTGCCCTTCCCTTCAACCTCACCCCCAAAAGGGGCACTCTGGATGCCAGCCCCATCGTATACCAGCACGTAACATCATATCCGGCACACAGTAGGTGATCAGCAAATACTTATGAATGAACACACAGGTGCACAGAGGGCCCTTGGTATTCCTCCATGGCATTTATATTGACTTTTTATGTCTTCCTTCTCCATCCACTTGATGCTGTGGAGAACCTGTACTTCCATTTACAGCCCCTGAGTAAGTCCAGGACAAAGTCTCCAGGCTCTGTATTCCAGAACACCGCCTCTCCAGTAGGGAAGACTCCGGGAGCATCCTGCCTTCCCAGGCGGGAATGGAGGCCAGGAGGCTTTGCCCAGACCTTGACTGTGCTATTGCCAAGTGACCAGCTCTGGGGCCTGGCTCCTCTGCCACTTGGGAGAGGACTCGGCAGATGGGCTTCCCTTCACCCCAGTCCCTGCTCCCCAGCCAGAGACCCTGAGTTCCAGCCCAGGGTAATGAGGGGAAGTAACAGATACACCTACTTTTAATCCAAATAAAGGAAAAATGTTTGCCACCATGGAGTTTATAAAAATAACAATGCATTATTCGGGTATTAATAACAATAAAGATGTCAAACTGTCAGATAAGAAGTTAATCTCATTCCGAGCACAATTAAAGATGCTATTTTCCCACCACCTGGGACCACACTGGAGTCTACCACTCAGCAGGCTTAATAGATAAAGGGCCATGCACAGAGCACAGGAGTCCTTGGCACTGCCAACCTGCCCTCCCACCACTTGCTGCCACCTCCAGACCCCTCCCTTGGCAACCCCAGCACAAGGGCTCAGGCCTCGCTTCGCTGTGGAGTATCTGGCAGGACCTTCAAGGCCAAAGGGCGAGGGCAGAGCAAGTTGAAGCCTGGCCCATGTGCCTGCCATTCACCCAGGCATTTCCTGGACAAGTGAATGCTGGGCCAGCACTGTACAAGCAGAGGGGACAGTCCCTGGCAGCTGGGCTGAGTGAGGGTCCAACCAGAAAGAAGGAGACACTGTTAGAGCTGCGAAGAGAGGGGATTTAACGTGGGGAATCGGTCACACGGGTGATAGAGGAGCCAAGAGGCCAAACAGGGCGGTGTGGTGACCCAGACAGAGGCCCAGCAGAAAGCCACACTGCCAGCCCTTTGCGGGAGGGACAAGGGAGGAGGTGGTGTTAACAGGAGCCAAGAGACACAAACTTTGGAGCTACCACCCGAGGAGAGAAGGAAAGAAACACCCTGGCTCCTCCCTTCCTCCCACCATCCAGTCTCCTGCCAGGGCCTCCTGTTGGCTAAACCCAGGCAGAAGCCAGCTGATCTGGGAGCCTGAGGAAGGCAGCCCATGGGGTCAGCTCCCCGCCACTCGGAGCAGGGCTGGAGGTGGCCAAGAATGGAGCTGAGGACAAACAAGCTCGGGACTGGCCCAGGTCCAGCCCTGAAACTGAATCACCTATCATCTGTCGAGCACCAGATCCATTCCAGGCACACCTGTAGATGTGGGGGACAAAAATACAAATTAGAAGTCACATTGACTCTCAAAGCAATTACCACCTATTGGGGGAAATAAGCATATAAACAGATGGTTTCCACGTAGGATGTGTGTACATGCTAAGCTGTATTACAGGCCATGAGTACAGAGGAAAGATCCCAAGGATGGAATCCCAGCAAAGCTTCCGGGAAGAGAGACGGCTTGAGATGCATGAAGGAAAAGAAAAAGGAAAGGAAACCTAGGGCAGGTGTACCAGGCCGCAGGAATGGCAGGAACAAGGCCCTGGGGTCAGAAACAACACGGCGTGGGATGGTTAGAGAGGGAGGGTTTGGGGAAAAGTTCTCACGGGGACACGTCAATGGGGGTGGCGCTGGCCCTCCTGGTGCAGCTTCCAGGGCTCAGCTGGGTCCACGCAACTGGAGTCCAGGAAGGTGGCTGGGCTGGAGACTGGGTATCACTGGCTTGGGGGTGGTCATAAAGCAAATATGAGGGAAATCGCACCACAGAGAGCACATAAAGGGGGCAGAGGGTGCGTGCCTGGGAAGCATCACTGCTGAGTGGGAGACGGAGACAGAGAAGGCACAATCACAGTGGTGGGAGAGAAGCAGGGGTCCCTGAGGAACACAGTTCCAGGTCGTGAGTGACCTGCAGGGTCAAATCCAGGGAAAGGTCCCAGGCATATACCATCTGCAACACATTTGCTGAACTCGGCAGAGTGAGAGCCACTGGCTGGCCTTAGTGGGTACCACGTCAGTGTTGTGGTGGGAGCAAGAGCCGGGCTGCGCGCAGATGGCAGTGCAGTAAGCCAGGGACTGCGGTCAAGAGTGGGCGAGTGCATGAGCTTGGCTGAAAGACCCGCAAAATTAAACTTCTGCTCTTCAAAAGACACTGCCAAGAGAATGAAAAGACAAGCCACAGACTGGGAGAAAATATTTGCAAATCATATATCTGCTAAAGGACTCAGATATATGAGTCCTTTATCTGTATATAAGGAACCCTCAAAACTCAATTATCAGAACATGAATAACTCATTTTCTAAACATGGTCAAAGATTTGAATAGCCACTTCACCAAAGTAGATATATGGATGGCAAATAAATTTGTACATGAAAAGATGCTCAACATCATTAATCATTAGGAAAATGCAAATAAAATGACAATGAGATACTATCACATAAGTATTAGAATGGCTAAAATAAAAAATAAGGGCCAGGCACAGTGGCTCATGCCTGTAATCCCAGCACTTTGAGAGGCCAAGGCGGGAGGATCACTTCAGCCCAGGAGTTAGACCAGCCCAGACAACACAGCAAGACCCCACCCATCTCTACAAAACATAAAAAATTAGCTGGGTGTAGTGGCACATGCCTGTAGTCCCAGCTACTCAGGAGGCTGATATGGAAGGACTGCTAGAGCCTAGGATGCTGAGGCTGAAGTGGGCCGTGATGGTGCTACTGCACTCCAGCCTGGGTGATAGAGCAAGACAAAAAAAAAAAAGTAAAATTAAAAATCAAATACGTCCCATAGTGGACATTGCTAGGGGGTAGGAGGAAGGGAGAATGAGAAGTTATTATCTAATGGGTACAGAATTTCTGTTTGGAACAAGTAAGTTGGTTCTGGAAACAGGCAGTGGTGATGGTTGCACAACACTGTGAATGTAATTAATGCCACTGAACTGTACACATAGAAATGGTTAAAATGGTAAATTTTACATTATGTATATTTTACCACAATAAAAAGAAAAGCCTCTCATGCCACATGCTGGCAAGAGGAGCAGCTGGGACCCCCGCCCACTGCCAGTGGGAAGGTGAAAGGGTACAACCACTTTGAAAACCAGCGTGTCAGTTCCTTAAAAAGTTAAACTTATGCTGGGTGCAGCTGTGTCAGCCTGTAATTCCTGCTACTCAGGAGGCTGAGGTGGGAGGATCACATGAGCCCAGGAATTGGAGACCAGCCTGGGCAACATAGCACAAATTTTTTTTTATTTTTAAAAAGGAAATGAAAACATTAAACCTATACATATGATTCAGCAATCTCATTCCTAAAAATTTTCCCAAGAGAAATAAAAACATGTGTCCACACAAAGTACACAAATGGGCCAGGCATGGTGGCTCACACCTGTAATCCCTGCACTTTGTGAGGCCAAGGCGGGCAGACCACCTGAGGTCAAGAGTTTGAGACCAGCCTCGCCAACATGTGGAAACCCCATCTCTACTAAAAATACAAAAATTAGCTGGGCATGCAGCACACGCCTGTACTCCAAGTTACTTGGGAGGCTGAGGTAGGAGAATCTCTTGAACCCAGGAGGTACAGGTTGCAGCGAGCTGAGATTGTGCCACTGCACTCCAGCCTGGGCAACACAGCAAGACCCTGTCTCAAAAAAAACAAGGGGGGGACACAAATGTTCACGAAAGCTTTATTTGGAATAGCCAAAAACTGGAAATAACCCAAATGTCTATCAATGAGTGAAAAGAGAAATTGTGATATAGCTTTTACAATGGAATATAACTCAACGATAAAAAGGAATAAACTGTGGTTATACACAATATAAAAGGACTCCAAAATAATTACGCTAAGTGGAAGAAGACAGACAAAAAGAGTACATACAGTATTATTCCATGTACGTAAAGTTCTGGAGAATGCAAACTAACATATAGTGACAGGGAGCAGCTCCAAGGTTGCCTGGGGAAGGAGGAGGAGTGGAAAGGAAGGGCATGAAGGGGCATGAGGAAACCTGGGGGTGATGGATATGTTCGCTATCTTAATGGTGGTGATGGTTTCAAGGGCGTGTGCCTATGTTGAAACTTATCCATTATACACTTTAAGTGGTGCAGTCTATCATATGTCAATTACACTTCAATAACACTATAGAATAAAGATTGCTTTTCTTTAAAGGAGCTTGGCTGAAAAAGGAACGAAAGTGGTAGAGGGAGATACAGGGTCCAGGAGGGTTGTGTGTTAGGACGCAAGAGGCATGAGCCTGCTTTGGGGCTCTTGGAGGGAAAGGGAGCTACTGAGCCTCCCTCAGGCCCACAGAGAAGGAGCCTGGCAGAAAGACAGCTCCTGAGAGCCAGCCTGAGGGCAGTCACATGCTGAAGGCTGGGAGGGAGGAGGAGGGTGTCCTGGAGCAGGTGAGGAACAGAGGCGTGCGTGGAGTAAGGCACCTGCCTCACCCCTGCCCTGTCTCCTGCCGGGCCCCGGCAGAGGGGTACAGGGACTATGCAGGGGAGCGTGTTTACTAGGAACAAGTGTTCGAGTTAAGAGGGCCACAAATCACCATAAACAAAGGGAGGGTATAGGAATCGTGAGTTCCCAAAAGCTGAGGTGCCAGACACCATTTCCAGTGACAGATCAGGGAGGACTTTGTGGAAGGGCACCTAGGAGGGAAAAGGTGGCAGAAGCCAGAGCTGAACAGGGCAGGGCAAGTGCAGCCTGGCCATGCTGTCTGGAGCTGTACAACAGGATGGCCCTTAGAAAGTGTGGGAGATGATAGCAATCTTTTTAGGGGACCAAGCATCCACACAGGCTGGAAGGATCATGCATCATGGATGCTAGTACAGATGGCCTGGCCTGGTAAGCCAAGGAGCCTGGGATTGATGTGTGGGCAGTAGGAGCTACTGAAGGTTTCTGAGCTGAGGAGTGACACCAAGAGAGCAATGCTTCAAAGACCCTGCATTTATCATGTCCAAGCACCTGCCATGGCTCACCATTACCCAGGCTCAAGTCCAAGTGTTAAGGATTTGGCTTAAGGGCCCCACAGCGGGACCCTGTCTTTTCATACTCTTTCCTGCCATCAAGTCTCAAGTTTGGCAGCTCCAGGGCTTGGCAGAGCCAGGAGCTTTACTGGCAGAGCTAGAGGAACTGGGGACAGAGGAGGACAGGGGGCCAGGTCACAGGTGGACAGCAAGGAGCGTGTGGGCTGGGGCAGAGCTCAGAGCTTCCATCAGGGTTTGTTTCGCCCGCAATTCCTCTCTAAGAGGGAAGAAATTAAGTGTCTGCCCACTTTTCCCCATGAAGGAAGGCTCAGGAAGCATCTGCTAGGGTAGGCCAGAGCTCCCATAAAGCAAAATTGAGGAGGCCAGGGTGGGAGAAGTGGGGAGCAGAGGCACTGGCCGGGAGTCATGGGACCTGGGTTCTCATTCTAGCTTTGCCTTAACTTGAAGTGTGACCTCAGTTTGCTCCTCTGCGCAGTGGGGATAATAACATGAGCCGATACACATAATGCTGTTTAGGTGCCAGGCACTAGTCTAAGCTTTTTACACGCACTAAGTTTCTGCACATCAGCCCTGTATAGTAGATATGATCATCCTCCACACTTCATGGACAAGGAAGCCTTGGCACAGAGAGGTTCAGAACCTTGTCTAAAGGCACACAGGTGGTGGCGGCAGAGTCAGATTTGAACCCCCCAGTCAGCTCCTGTGCTCTTCATCTCTGCTCCTAACCACTATGGCGCACTGCCTCCCACCCAACCTCACAGGCTGGTGGTGCTGGGGGTGCGTTAAAGGATTTGTCAGAGGTGTGCATCAGTAGTTCTCAAAGTGGGTTCCCCAGACCAGCAGCATCACCATCGCCTGGAAGCTTCTTAGAAATACCAGTTCTCAGGCCTCGCCTCAGACCTGCTCAACCAGAAACTCTGAGGATCGGGCCCAGCCATCTGTTTCAGCAAGCCTTCCAGAGGATTCTCATGCACACGGAAGCCTGAGAACCACTGGCATACATTATCACCTACAAAATGTTCTTGTTCAAGTTCACACGTTTATGTCTGTACAGTTAATACACTGAACTGAGGTTCAGGTCTTAGGACCCAGCAGCCCAGGTCCTGGGTGGTCCTTCCCTCTTCCCTCTGGGGTCTCTGAAGGGGCTCGCGGAGCCATTCTGCCTTGTGCCCAGCCCCTCCTTGCAGCTCTTGCTAGCATCCTCTGCGGAGAAACACCTTTGGCTCCACAAAGAAAATAGAGGCAATGTCCTTTAAGTAATGACAACCCTGAGTAGAGCACACCCATCCCTGTGGGGCTCACAAGCTGTCTTTTGCTCTCCCTAGATTCCAGCCTTATAATGAACAGCAGTCTCCAAGGCAGTCTGCAACCCCACAGATATATGCACGTGCACACACACACACACACACCCCTCATGCTGTCTTGTCAATGGGCGGAGATTTTCCATGTGGGTTGCTACAAATATATAGAAGAAGCAAAGTATGAAATAAAGGTGAAGTCACACACTCTTAAACACATACCACGCAAGAAGGCAGAGGTGTGTTTGTAAGCGGGACACCACCCCACAAACACATCAGTACCTACACACACACACAAATGTGGACAAGGACGCACTCACATATGCACATACACACAAGCAAAGATACACTCGCACATACACTGTGAGAAGGGACACACACTCTCATATACACATGAGCATGGACACACTCACACATGCACACATGTGCAGGGACAAACACACGTGGGTAGGCACACACACTTTCACTCACACATCAGCAGGGACACACGCATATCCGTGAGGTGGGGCACACTCACACACTCTCACATGCACATGCATGTACACTCACACATGGGCAGGGGCTCACACACACAGGCAGGTACACATTCTTACTATCACACACGGGCAGGGACACACATGAGCACACACACATGAGCTGGTACATACACACATGCATGCTCATATACATGGGAAGGGACTCACACACATGGGCAGGTATACACGTTCACATATGTGGGCAGAGGCACACTAACATGTGTGTATACACATGCAAACAGGGACACACTTCACATGCTCATACACACGTGTGCACATGCACACACACAGACGGGCACATACACCCACAGTCTCTCCCTTTCTCAGACACACACCTATACACACACAGGGCACACCCCTGCAAGGGGTGGCCCTGGAGTGGGTGAGAGGAAGCAAAGTCTCTCTTGCTTTTCCGGAATGTCCTGCCTGCGTTGAAGCCGTCCCTGGGGAGCAGCAGCAAGAGCCGCCCAGCACAGGCCGGGGTGACGCACAGGCTCTTTTGAGACATCACCTTCCAAACACCCTATTCCTCCCACCCTCCGGAGAAAAATTATGACTTTCTAGGGAGGATATTTTTCCTCTCTGGTGTTTTCTTCCTCTCCCCTTGTTCAGTACCCGGCACTAATTTATGACTATTTTTCCAACTCCACTGAAGTAAGAGGGTAATGGCTTTCGGCCGTTTGCTTTCTCTCACCTGTCACTCAGCGCGGCTACCTGACAGGACTGCAGACAATGTTCCAATCACAGGGTTGTTTTTTTCCCAGGGAAGCAAAGAATTCATAGTAGCTGTGGGGAGAGTTATTTCATTCCTGGACTGAACAGCGTCAGGTAAACAGCGGTAAAAATTCACGGCCAGCAGGGCTGCTCTGGTTGAGGGGTGGGCCTATCAGCCACGGGGGCACCCCCCTGCCCTGAGCTGGCCTAGCCAGAGATCCAGACCACTCGGTGGCACTCGATGGCTCAGGGCCCTCCGTTTCTATTACCCAGGCCACTCGAGGAGTCTCTCGACCCTGGGGAGGTCACACTGCCTCTTTGTACCTCAAATGCCTCGTGGCTAGAGAATGTCCTTTGTCTTAGGGATAGGGGATGATAGCTAGGCATTGAGAACACTGGTCAAGACCACAGGAGCTCCTTCAGGGGCTGCCTGCCCCCAGCTGAGTCACTCTGGGCAGGTAGCTGAGTCTGTTTCTCTTTTATAAAATACAACTCTATACCAGCGCTGTGCAACAGACTTCACTGCCATTATGGAAACACTTTCTATCACAATGCCTAATACAGTAACCACTCAACACATGTGGCTGCCCAACACCTGCAGTGTGGCCAGTGTGAGTAAGAAAGTTAACTCTACGTTATTTAATTGTAATTAATTTGCATGTAAAGAGCTACACGTGGCTAATGACTACTGTATTAGCTCTAGACTTTTCTGCATGCCTGAAGTATCTCACACTGAAATAAGTGGAGATAGAATCACTGTGTCTTCATCCTAGGTTGTTGTGAGGACTGAATGAGATCATGCATACATAGTCCTGGCACCTAATTGGCCCTCCATAAGTGACAGCTCTCATGAGCTCTATGGGACACAGTCAGAAGGACAGGAGAAAGGGGGACTGGATTTGAACTTAGGAGTGTCAGAGTATAAGGAGACTTCACAGAACTTACTTTCCTGTCATTAGTATTTGATTTAACTGATAAAGAGATCTAGCTTCCACCAGTAAGAGGCACATGGGAACACATGAGCTGGGCCAACAATCAGTCATCCACAGGAGGCCTGCTGTCCTGCTCTACCCACTCACTCCCACTCCCACCAGCCCCCTCCCCACCACCCTGACATTGGCATCATTGGGAACTGACAGCAAGTCATCCACCCAGGCTCCAGCATAGTGGGGCTGAGCAGAATTGCTTCCAGATGAGACAAGTCCTCATCACTGATACCTGGTGGGCCTCAGAAGACCCCTCTTCCTTGGAGCCAGAGCATCCAGGAAGTGCAGCAGGACCAGTGGGGGAATGACTGCTGGACCATCTTCTCCATCCCTGCAGGTAGGGAGACACAGACAGGCTGCCTTGGATTTCAGTCTTGGCTCCACTGTTAACTAGTTCTATGATCATGGGCAAATTCATTGTTCTTTCTGAGCCTCAGTTTCCTCATCTGCCACACAGAGGCGGACATAAATATCTACATGATGGGTTATCATAAAGATCTGATGCAATAATGTATATAAAGCACCTGGCACCTTATAGGTGCTCAATAACCAGGTGCTGCTATTACTCTGTCATTATTATTATTAGCAGGTAGCAGAACACCTTGGTTAGGAGGATGGGTGCTGGTGCCAGACAGCCTAAGTTCAAATCCCAGTCCCACTCCCATTCACTAGCTGCATGATCTTGGGTAAGTCACTTCAACTCTGTTTGCCTCCATTTTCCTATCTATAAAATGGGAATGATAATTGTACTTTCCTCACAGGTTGTCATAAGGATTAAAAGGGCTTATAGTAGTTATGGATGGAGAGCAAGTCCTATAGGTGTTGATTTAGTGAAAATATTCTAATGGGGACTCCAGGGATTGGGTATTGGGTAGAAAACATCTACACCTTCCTTACAAAGAAGTGGCCAGTGTAGGGAACCCCAGCAGGCCTAGGTTTTGATCTGTTGATGGCAGGACACTGCCCAGATGGAGAGACACAGAATGAGAAACTCAGCCGACAAATTTCAGGCAAAACAGGTGAAGTTCTACCATGAAGATGTCTTTGATCTCTGGGTCCTGGCTCTCAGACACCCAGGGAACTTCACACCCACTGATGCTTGGTAACAAGAGAGTCACTGTCCTAATTTACAGACAAGAACACCCTGGCAGGAGAGATGGCAGGTAAGGGAATACTAACTTCCCCCACCCTCCCTTCAGCGATCCCTGCTGAGCACTCCCTCTCCCAGCGCTGTGGGGACCCAGAGAGGGGCTCCTGAGAAAGGTGCCTTCTGGAGCAGGAAGAATGGCAGGGGATGCGGGGTGGCCCTCAACCCATTGTTCATTACTCTTTTAATGGGCAGAGGACTGGGCAGAAAATAATTGGATTTCAGGAAAGGAAAACACTTCTTGGCAGCCGGGTGCGGACAGGCTGGGATTTACTGGCCTTGATGGTGTGCCAGACTCTGTGTTGGGCATATGTCACATGTCATGTGCCATCTCACCAAATGAGGGTACCAGGCTGGAGCAGGGACAGGCACCCTTGGGCTCCCGGGCAGCCTGCCTTCTTTCTCAATATGGTCCCGATCTAATTTCAGAACGCGGCCTCTTTACTGCCATTTCTCAAATAGACTCAGATATTTATATTTTGGGAGCTAAGAAGCAGTACCAGTTTTCTCATTGACACATTTCTAGTCAATCAAGTAGGTAATCTAGGTTGTGAAAATATACGCCCCCCTCCCCATGGCATTCAATGAAGCGATTTTCATTTTAGACGGGGGAAATGCAGCCGGTAAGCATTTAAATTTTCCTGAGTTGGCCTTTAGGCCAATGAAGAGGTTGTTCACTCTTGGACCCAGGCTCTCTGAGGGTGGAGGCCTGGCCCAAAGAAGCACTCCCACGTGTATCTTCTGGTTGCCTGTGTCTGAAGATTGAGTGGGGACTGAGGCCGACCTAGGACTGTTGACATATGAAGAGCCTTTGCTTCTGAAAAGCACCTGTGCAGGCAGGGGCAGGTGCGGCTTCCCAGGTACAACAGGAGTTGCCATCCTGATCACTGAGCACCTGGTGGGGGCCAGGCCCTGTGCTGGCCACATTTATTATTTCACTAAACAATCAAAACAGATCTGCAGAGAATGCTTGACCAGCTCCATCTGACAGATAAGAGAGCTGAGGCTCTGAGAGGTGACAGAACCACCCCAGGTCTCTGCATGCGTTAGGGCAGAGCCAGGGTGCAGAGCACTTTGCTCCTTGGCACATGGCCTCTCACGTCACACTGTGAGTGTGGTGACCGGTGGCTTGACCATTCACTCTTGAGGACAGCGGGTTCACTGGCTTCAGAAGCCCCACTCTTCCTCCTTCTCCTCCTCCCTGAAGCCCCACTTCCACTGACCCACAGCTCCAGCAGGGCTCCCTCTAAAGCAGATGGCGGTGGGGCGCCTGAAGAGGGAGACAGTTCCTTTCTCCTTAATTGACTGTAAATTGTTCCAGAGTCTTTAATGAAGGCCGTCAGGAGTAATTATGTCCACTGCTGCACCACCACTCTGTGTAAACACACAAGGCGGGGCCGGGCAGGGGCGAACTGCACTGGGCATCTCAGCACCTCGCCTCCCGGGCCTGCCTTCCCCCATGGGCCCCCTCTTAATTCACACATCTGCTATCCGATGATAAGCCCCAGCTGAGCTTCAGAGACACAGGCGATGTCTCAGGCAGGGGACTCTCGAAACGACCAGGTGGGTCCCCAAGCCCAGCATGCTGCCCAAAGGGCAGGCGCTGCCAGGAGCTGACCAGGCGGGTGATGGAGGACTCACCCCAGACTCATGGAGCCAATTCAGGAGGCTAGGAAGCTGCATGGCCAGGGCAGCGGTCCTAAGTGGCCCAGCCACAGCAACATTACTGAAGAATTTCTTGGAAATGCAGATTCCAAGAAGCCGGGCACTGCCAACATGAGCCCACACCCCAGGGGTTGGACTATAACCTTGGTGCTGATGTGTAATGAACGCTCTGACTTTGCACAAGTCACTAGCTTTTCCTCATTATAAAGTGGGGGTGAGGGTGGCCTTCGGGGTTGCGATGAGGACCTAATGTGTGGGAACACGGCACAGGGCTTGCAAGCCACTCTCAGCCCAAGTCGCGGTGGCCGCGCTGTCCTGTGAGGTGATGGACCGTGCATGGAGATGTACAAGCATGGAGGAGACATGGATCGTGCAAAAGATGACAGAAGGCTGGTGCACCACTCCCAGGGCAATGTCTGTTCAGGATCACCCTGGCGCTGTTCTCCAGACTCCCGCTGTGGGGAGGCCCCTGCTGTCCCTGTGTGTCTCCCGTCATTCCCTCTCCAGACACCTCTTCCGGAGAAAAGGCTTCCCCAGCCTAAGGCTGTCACAGCCCAGGATGGATGTCTTGTGGGCTGACAGGTACTTAAGGCATCACCCATAGAACTGGCCCTTTCTGTGTGCCACACCCCATGCCAAGTCCCCAGGGGACTCCGAGGGAGAAAGGCCATCATGCCCACTGTCAGTGTGGTGCACACTACAGGCCATCCCACCTAACAAGGCTCAAAGACATGGGCTCGGCCTCCAAAGAGTTTGTGGTTTGGACTCTTCCCTGTCTCCTGATGGTCCCCTAGAATACTGTGTGGCTGCAGGGGTGGAGGGAGCAGTGGCTGATTAGGACAAACACCCAGGGTGGACAGAGTTGAGCTGAACTGAACTTCCAGGTCCCCACGAGGGGCTTTGCTTCCCTGGCCTCATGCCTCTGTGTGTACTGTTTCCCAATAGTGCACTAAGTCCCTGCACTACAGATCCTTTCTGATATCCCAAGGAATATGCAGAGGTGGTGTCCCTAGTGACCAGGCTGGGCTACTCGTCGGGGAGACAGGTGTAAGAAACCAAAGAGATGTGTCCACAGGCTCTGCCCACTCACTTCTGCTCTTCCTGGACTGTCCAAGGCAGCCTGGAGCAAGGGACCACAGCAGGAACCAACCAGCTGGCCACTACCGCCCCAACTCCACATTCAGGAGCAGGACAGGGCAAGAGACGGGGCTGGGATGAGCAGGATGGGAGGGACAATGGTTGGCACCGCGATGAGGCTGGAAGCTGATTCTTGGCTCATGGATGGGGCGAGCAGGGTGTCTGGGCCCTGTCGGACTGCTCACTCCAGAGTGTGGGAGACAAACGCCGCTCCTGGCCCGTCAGGCCTGAGTTATCTACAACATAGGGTTTCTCCAGAGAGCTCATAAAGCAGCCGATGCGGCAAAGCAGGTTCAACACTCAATAATCTCTCCATCTCACTCCAGTCGGACGCCAGCATATTCATCTTGAATTATCCTTTCAAAGGCCAAATCAATCCTAGCAAGTGTGCGGGTTCCCGCCGCACACAGTCCTGCTGCCAAGAGAGCCCAGGAAAGGAGGGCCCACAGGCGGTGCTGTGACACCAGGGCACATCCTCTCCCTTGCCCAAGGGCACACGGCCAGAGGGGACCAAGGTTGGAGGATCTTGTGCCCTGTCCACCGTGTTATGAAGGCAAGTAAGGAAGATGGTAGGTGGGGACCCTGTACCAGCCCCTGGGCTGGAAGTTTCTCCTCTTCATCCACTCTGTTCTGTGCCAAGAAGAGTAAAGCATTGGTTATGGAGAGAGAGAGAGACATGTGGGCTTGAATTCAGCTCAGCAGCTTAATGCCTATGAGCCCTTGGGTGGGCAGCAACCTCTCTAAGCCTCAGTTTCCTTGTCTGTAAAATGGGCTCCATAACTACCTCCTTCATGGGGCGTTGTGAGGATTAAATGAGTGAGGCACACAAAACATCCCTAGCACAATTTCTGGAACACAGGAAGGTGACCAGGAGGGAGAAGTTGGGCCAAGTCTGTGGATAAGGACCAGCTACAAGAGCTGGCCACCTCTAGAATAAAGAACAGCAGACTTAGGAAAGCCCTGCAGACCCTGGAGAGCCACCGTATGAAGAAGAACAGGCTGCCTCCAGGGAGCTCTGGGGCTGGCCAGGGGTAGTAACAGCAGGAGGCAGTCAGCCTGCTAGTAGCAGGTGGTGCTCACTGCCTGCTGAGAGGTAGAGTTGCCCGCTGCCAGGGCCCACCAGCGCTTGCACCACCTGTTGGTAGGCAGCTGCATTAAGGGGATTCCTGGTTAGGCTAGGAGGTGGGCCCAGGAGCCTCTAGGCCTCTTCCTCCTGGAGAGTGAAAATGTCCCTTGGAAGAGTAACGCATCAAACCACATCACATATTTACGTGGCAGCACAGTGGGCTTTGGCCACATAGAATATCATTCCTGTCCCCGAGCTGCTTCTCACCTAGTTGGGAAAAGCACTGGCCGACAACAGCACCACCGCAAATAATAATAGTTAACTTCTCCTAGTGCTTACTATTTGCCAAGCACGGTTTAAAATACCTGACTTAACCAGGCACAGTGGCTCATGCCCCCACTTTGGGAGGCCAAAGTGGGAGGACTGCTTGCGCTCAGGATTCAAGACCAGCCTCAGCAACACAGGGAGACCCCCATCTCTACAAAAAAAATTTAAAAAACAATTAGCCAGGTGTGGTGGCACACACCTGTGGTCCCAGCTACTTGGGAGGCTGAGATGGGAGGATCACTTGAGCCCAGGAGGTCGAGGTTGCAGTGAGCTGTGATCTTGCCACTGCGTGCCAGCCTCGGTGACAGAGCAAGACCCTATCTCACAAAAAAAAAAAAAAAAAAGGCCAGGTGTGGTGGCTCACACCTGTAATCCCAGCACTTTGGGAGGCCAGGGCGGGCTGGATCACAAGGTCGAGATCGAGACCATCCTGGCTAACACGGTGAAACCCCGCCTCTACTAAAAATACAAAAAATTAGCTGGGCATGGTGGCAGGTGCCTGTAGTCCCAGCTACTTGGGAGGCTGAGGCAGAAGAATCGCGTGAACCCGGGAGGTGGAGCTTGCAGTGAGCCGAGATCGCGCCACTGCACTCCAGCCCAGGAAACAGAGCGAGACTCCATCTCAAAAACAAAAACAAAACAAAACAAAAAACCCTTACTTTAATCTTACTTTAATTTTACTTTAATTAACTTACTTAATTCTCACTGCAGCTCTATTAGTAAATACAGTGTGATCATTATCCACAATTTTGAACTGAGTAAACTGGGACAGAGAGAGGTGAAGTAGCTGGTGATACAGTCCACACTTGCTAAAGATGCAAAGGAGGGCTTCTTGGAAGAGGAAGCATTTAAAGATGAATTGCTCAATAAAAACAATGTCCACCATTTGTACAGCTATTTCACTTCTAAAGCTCTTTCATTAGCTCCCTATGAGGTTGTCCAGGCAAGTATGATCATCTCAATTTCCAGAAGAGGGAAACGAGGTTCAGAGAGGTTAAGGGACTTGCCTGTGGTCACACGCTAATAAGTGGCAGAGCTGGCATTGAAACCCAGGCCTTGTGCCTCCCACTCCATGCACTGTGCTCAGATGTGGAAAGGAGGAAGGGAAGGCACATGGGTGAGGGGACCTTCAAGGAAATCCTTGCACCAAAGAACAACTTTCCTGGCCATCCAAGCCCTTTCTTGGTCAAGGGCTGACAGAACAACTTGATCTCCTATTCCAGACAAAGCTGTTGTTGGACAGTCAGGCTCACAGGTCCCCTGAGGGGTGTAAAGAACAGTCCTGATGAGGGGAGTGATGACAAGTTCAAAGTCGGCTCTGCCTGCCCGTCTCCTCAGCCAGCTGGAGGGTATTCAGCTCTTGTAAATTACACCTTTGCCAGTTACTAGGGAGTCCAAGTGTTCTCGGTTGGCTGCAAGCTCAGCACATCCTCGTCCCAATGGCACACCTGTGCCAGGCTCATGTGTCAGCCCCCCACCCCTGCAAAGGGGGTGCCTGCTTCCTGGCCACTGCACAGCTGGACGAGACCCCCACCGCCATCACCACTGGTCACTGGAAAAGGCTGTGGACCCAGGAGCAAGCAAGCTGACTAATCTCATACTTTCATCTATTTTCCCCAAAGTCATTTTCAGCACTCTTGCTAACTCTGCATAGTATATCCAGCAAGGAATGCATCTTCTGAGAAACAGGGAAGCAAGGGCTGAACAGGGAAATTGACTTGCCCAGGCTCACACGGTTGCATAGGGGCAATGCCAGGCCTGGGACTCAGGCACCGGCCCCAGTCCGGGGCCTGGTCTCCCAGATTGAGCTGGGCTGGCCAACCTCCCCTCCTTAGGAGCAGCTGCTCCTTCACCCAGCACCTGCCCCATGTGGACCCTTGGCCACTGAGGCTCTTTCCTAGGTAACAGACTGAGGAAAGACCCTACACAATCCTGGGAGGCAGCATTGCAGGGCGGTAAGAGTGTGGTCATTGGAGATTGAATACGTGGAATTCAAATCCTGACTCTACTGCTTACTGGCTATGGGACCTTGGGCAGCTTGCTGGATCTCTCTCTGAGCCTGGAACAAGGTGATCGTACTAGAACAGATTTCCTGTCATCACTGTAAGGGTTAAACAAGATTGTGCAGGTAACCTAACTAGTAAAACACAGGGGCTAAATAATTACTATTGTTATTTTCATTTTTAACCACAACAACTTCAAGACACAACACAAATTGCTTGCCTCACAGCTGGTCAGCCTGTTCCATTGCCTTCTTGTGAAATGCCTCCCCTCCAGCTTCAGCCTATCAAAACCCAACCAATCAAGGCCACCTCTACTATGAAGATTTCTCTGTCCCTGTGCCCAGGATGAGTTTCTTCCTCCTCGGGGCATTAGCAAGGCTCTGTAGTTCATGCCTCCCACTTGCCTGGTGTGAGGTGGTCATTTACCATTGGTTCTCTTCTCCACTCCAGACTGGAGCTCCTTAAAAGCAAAGACCTACATACAGAATCCCAGACTTGTGGTTAAGTGCACAGGCTTTGGGGCCAGAGGGCGATAGGTTCAGGTTCAATTTTGACTCTACACAAGCTGTGTGAGCCTGTGTGAGTTACTTAACCTCTCTGAGCCTCTGCTCCTCAACTGCAAAATGAGGGTTATAAGACTCACTTTTTTGCTGTTAGAATTCAACGAAGCAATGTGTATGAACGGCTGATCTAGAGAGATTAAGTATGTAATAAAAGCTAGTCACTATTTCCCCAGTTATCTCTAATGTGCATGTCCCTACCCCACCCCCCAGCACAGGCTGGCACAGGTGTTCAGTGCCTGGCATTAATGGCATGCTCACACGACAGGTGGCACATCATCATTATCATTAGTGTTATTATGGCCGCATCCAAAACACCAGCCCCGCCCCATACCCACACCTGTGTGTTGAGGGGCAGTCCATAGCCGGGGCTGCCACAGGCTCCAGATGTGCCCAGACAGGGACCGCTTGGGAGTGGCTACAGCCCAAAGGACCCCCAAGAAGACACAGTCTGTTCTATCACCTTAGAGGGCCTATGCTGCCCTGGATAATGGCAGAGAGGAAGCAAGGACGCAGAAGCACCCAAGCCCTCCTGGGGGTTCTGTCAGTCATCCCCCAACTCCTAGAAGGGAGAGAAAAGTCCTCCCTTCTGTGAGGGCACCAAGAGCCCAAAGCCCTGGGTCCCTTGGTTCCAGCACCGATCACCTGGATGGATACTAGATCACCTCCTTCCTCCAAAACCACAGCCCACTTGCCAACAGCCCCAGGAAGCCTCCAGGCTACCCTCCCTTCCCCTCCTTAAGCGCTCTAGCTCCAGATCCCAGCAGCTGCGAGGCACCTGGAGACTCTTCTCCAAACTTCAATTCCCGAGCTCACAGCCCACCAACCCAGGAGGACGCCCCTTCTTGCCCAGGCCTGGAGGCACCAGTGACTGCCTGGACAGAAACCCTGGAATTCCCTCTGCAGCTGGTGTGCGAAGTCAGGGCAGCTGCAATCCGGACCCCAGCAGTAACTCACTAGGGACCCTGGGCAATCGCCCCATTCTCCACCTCAGTTTCTCCATCTGTGCAACTGTTTGTCTAACAAAGTGGTCACAAACTGTCCGACAGGAGGCCCCAGGGGTTTTTCATGGGTCCTCTGATTTAATATAGGAGTGAATGCACAGGTGGAAAATACAGGCTCTTTCACCCCTCACTGCTACCCGTGACTTTAATTTCTACCAAAGATGGTTCTTCTTCCTTAGCACCTGTTACAATTGAACATACTGTATATATTTTTTTCTATGCTGCTTTCTGCCTGCTCCCCGCTCTAGAATGTCAGTTCCATGAGGACAGGGATTTTTGTCTCTTCTGTTCGCATGCACAATACCTGGAACAGTGTCTGATGCATAGAAGACACTCAAGGAAACATTTGTTGAACGAATGAATATAAGTATATATGTGCATCTGTCCGTCTACCTATCTATCTATCTAATCTATCTATCCTAGACTTCTGGGCAAGATTACATTTGCCCAAACAGTTCCACAGCTTAAAAAGAAGTTTAAAAATCATCTTAATTGCAGAAAAAAAAAACATTAGTGGGAAAGTTGATAAAATTTGCATAAACTCTCATTAATAGTATTACATCAAAGTCATTTTTCTGGTTTCCATAATTGTATCATGGTTATGCAAGATGTGAACATTATGGGGAGCTGGGTGAAGGGTATATGGGAACTCTGTACAATTTTCAACTTTTCCGTAAGTCTAAAATTATTTCAAAGTAAAAAGTTTAAAAATAAAATAAGGGGCCAGGTGCAGTGGCTCATGCCTGTAATCTCAGTGCTTTGGGAGGCCAAGGCAGGAGGATTGCTTAAAGCCAGGAGTTCGAGACTAGGCTGGGCAACATAGCAAGACTCCTATCTCACACACACAAAAATTAAAAATTAGCCAGGTGTTGCTTCATTAGCCTGTAATCAGCTACTTGAGAGGCTGAGGTGGGAGGATCACTTGAGTCCAGAAGTTTGAGGCTGCAGTGAGCCATGATTGCGCCACTGCACTCCAGCCTGGGCAATAGGGATCCTGTTTCTAAAAAAAAAAAAAAATAAAATGTAAAAAAAATATAGTATGTATTTATTTTAATATGTGTTAGGAAAAGCCAGTCAGCATCTCAGCCCTGGGATTTCACTCTGATGGTAGAAAATGGACATCTGTCTTTCTATGGAGGTGCTGTGTCCAGTTCCACCCCTCCTCTTTTTGGAGACTGTCCCATTGGGTGTAGCTGGGAGGGGCAGACAGTCACTATCCCCTGCCCCTTTGCAGCCTGAGCACAGACACATACCCAAGTTGGCTTGGCCACCTGGACACTGCTGCCCGTGCCATGAGTGGTAGAATTCATTCAGAGTGACAGCAGTGACCGGCTGGACAGATTGGCCAATTTCCAGTCTAGGTTCTTTTGTTGTGGTCAATTCCAAGAGCCTCCAGCAGCCTTCCAATAGAAAGGACAGCCAGAGGCAGTTTCTTCAGCGGGCAACCAGGAAGCTTGTCTGACACATTAAAGTTTCCTTTCGAAAATATGTTTATAGGAGCTTAAAAGCAAGCGAGCGAGTTTAAATTACAGCTTGGATTTCTATGGGCCAGACACAGTTCTAAGGGTTTTACAATTTGCTCGTTTAATATTCACATAAACCCAAAGAGGTAAACTGAACGTTATTCCCATTTTGCAGAAGAGGAAAGTGAGGTACACTGCTAGTAAGAGGCAGAGCTGGGATTCACATCCAGGCAGTCTGGGCCTCACTTTCTCCATCTTCAAAGTGGGAATGTTTGATAAAAACAGTGGCTCTCAAACTACAAGTCCATCCTGGGCCCTCTGAGAACACTTCAGGGGAGGGTGAAGGCAAAGGTGGACAATACAGACTGTTACACCCCCACTGTCTACCTCCCATCTTAACTCCAACCAAAGTTGATTATTTCTCCTGGGCACTTATTATTGTCTAACACCCCCTATATTTTTTTTCGTAGAGCTGATATCTATCAGGCTATACCACCTCTGTGAACACGGTGGGCAGAAAAGCCCTAACTATGCAGACAGCACACACCCAGCTGATGTCCGGGAGCCACTGGACTCCTCCCATCCCCGTCCCTTTAGCCCCACAATTCCTGTGGCTTTGCCACCAGCCCTCGCTGTGGGACAGCTCTGGGGTACCATGACCCCTCTCACCTGTGTCAATCTTAAGCAACCTTCTGGTTAAGAGAAAAATAATTCTCCCACTGTGGTTCTCCACCCTCTCCCAAGAGATGCTTCTCCTCTTTAAAGGGACATTGGGAGGAGGTTTCAGGGAGGAGGGACAGTTCCTTCTGGAGCACCAGGGCTGAAACTAGTCCCAGAAAAGTCCCCAATGCCTCCCAGACTCCTCTTTCACCTATGCCTCCGTGCCTGCCAGCATCTATGCTCGTCACTCCTGAGCCTTGGCTGCCCACAAAGCCCACCATCTGCCCTCCCTGGCCTCCCATTCAGCTCTACAGGGGCTGCTCCTGCGGGGAGTTGCCGGCCTGCTTGCAGGCGCACCGCTCCTCCGTCTGCAGAGACTGCCGATGCGGGGTCAGCCCACCTGAAAACTGCTCTCCCTGGGTCCAGAAGAAACAGCTGGGCATTGATGGAGTTTGGAGAGAAATTAATCAGCACCGACTGGCAGCAGTGCCAGGCGCTGCCTGGGACCAATCCATCCTAATGAATCCCGGGTTCCCACCTTAATGGCTCTTGACAAGACTAATTTACTCGTGTAGGTGATTAGCATGGCATGATCACCTTAATTGTGGCTTAAGATGCTTTTGGGGTGCTGGTGGTTCTGGCTGGGGAAGTCAGCTCCATGTGTACCAACCTCAGTGACAAAAGGAAGGACAGGGAGCCAAGGGGAGGGGACCCAGCAGGACATCTGACATCCACTCACCCATCCACTCATCTACCCACTCACCCACCAAGCACTTGCTGAGGCCGCCTTTGTGCCAGGCACCATGCTTGGTACAGAGATGGAGGCCCAGCTTGTTCCTCTGTCAAATGCAGATCATGCCATCTCTCCAGGACAATCACTGCAAGGTCTCACAGGAGGCCATGCACTTGAAGTGCCTAATAGAGGCTCGGGCAAGAGGCTGGCTGTCAACAAACCATAGCTCACATTAGCACTCCTCAGTCTTGTATAATAGAGACACTAAAATCGCTGTTAATTATAATGTCAATATTAATAAGATTAATAAGTAAAAATTAATAGACCAATGGGGAGTTCCACACAAATAGCCACGCTAGAGTGTGCTGAGGGCTTTCACAGATGCAGACAAAGCCAGCAGAAGGGCAGGCTGGGGAGGCTTCAGAAGCCTCTAAGCACAAGGGACATCTGAGCTGCAGCTTGAAAGAGGAGCAGGACTTTGCCAGGCAGGGAAGGGAAAGGGCACCCCTGGCCAAGGAAACAGCATGGTTGAGGGCACGGCAGTGCAACAGTGTGCGAGGTGTCAGTGCTGGGGGGCAAGGTGTCTGTGGAGAGTGGGGGCGACTCGCTGAGATACAGAGCTCTACTTCTTCCTGCAGGCACTCGGGAGGCTTCTGGCTGCGGGCGGTTACCACTGTGGCAGGAACCCTGCCCCCCTCCAGGGCATGGGGTATGAAGGTGGTGGCCAAGGTGCAGGGCCTCAATGCCCTCCAGGATCCCTTCTAGACCCCCTTGGTCAACTTGGTGTCTCCAAGCCAGGCTTCATGCTGCTACCTCTGCGTTCTTCCCCCAGGGCCAGCCATGGCTCAGGGCCCCAAGGTCCCCGGCAAATATTCTACATACAGCTCAGGCGGGCAGCTGGGATGATAAAAACAGGACCTCTGGCACAGCGCGGGCCTTGCCGTTCACAAGCATAGGCACGTACAGCATCTGTGCCATCTGCGGGAAAGTGCTCTCCTGGGCCCACTCCCTGGGCAGCCATCCCCATCGCCACCAACACCTCGCTCCCGACATGCCCTGGGGAGGGGAGCGCCTGGCCTGAGGCTCCAGGAGGGATGTTGAACAGGGCATGGAGCCAGCCCCCGGGTCCTGCCTTGGAAGATTCCCCTACATGCTCACCAAGTCCAGACATGCACTCCTTCCCTAAGTTCCAGGCGCACACCAGGCGCAGGGCTAGGCCCTGGGGACACAGTGATGGCCAGGCCACCTGGAGGCATTCACAGGCCAAGAAGGGAGCCAGAAGAGCAACTGAGTAACAGCAGCATCTCCATGGGGCTAACAGAGAGGATGGCCAGGCCCCGGAAAAAGCAAAGGGAGCAGCACTTAACCCCCAACAAGGAGACCCAGGAAGGCCACCCAGAGGCGGTGGCATCTGAAAGAGCCTGGTAAGCGCAGGTTCATAATGTTCCAGGTAGCAGGAACAACAGCTGCAAAGACCGTGAAGTGGGAGCTTGCCTTTCACACTTAGGGAACTAGAGGGAGACCAGCACAGATGAAGTAGAGCTAGCGAGGGGGATAGCGGGGTGGGGGCGAGGTCTGACAGGTGGCAGGTGCTGGGCTGCAAACAGCCTGGTTGCCATTGAGGAACACGGGCTTTTACTCCGTGTGGGAGGGAGAGACTTGAGCAGGCCTTGGAGCAGGCTCTGCCTCAGGCTGGGCAGGGCCATCCATGGCTGGGATAAAAAAGGCCGCAGCGTGGGTGAGGGCCGAGTCAGGGAGAACACTGAGACCTGAGGAAGCTGCTGGGGTAACTGGGCTTGGACCTTGGTGATGGGAGTGGAAGGGCCGAGAGGTGAGAAGATTCTGGGATGATTTTGGAGACTGAGCCAACAGGATGCCCTAAGGGATGGGAGGGGAGGGGAGGGAGAAAAAGAGGCACAGGAATGAGTCCCAGCTTTTGGCCTGGGCAACTGGCAGGATGGAGCCACAGCTGAGATGGGGAAGGCTGCCGGTGAGGCAGGAATCTGGGGGAGGTCAGGATTCCAGCTTTGGACAAACTGAGGATGAAAATGTCCCTTTAGACATCAGGCAGAAATGTTGAGTAGAGAGGTGGCTATAGGAGTCTGGAGTCTTCCCTGAGAGCAGCCCAGACAGAAAATATAAAGCTAGGAGTTGTCAGCATATAGGTAGTGTCCAAGCCAGGAGGCTAGATGGGACCACCACGGGAATGAGAATGAGGAGAGGAGAGACAAGAGCTGAGCCCTGGGGCCCTCTGATGCTAAGAGGTGCGGGAGGAACCAGCAGAGAGGCTGGGAAGGGGCGGGTGGTGTCCTGGAGGAGAAAAAGATCAACCAATTGAAGGCCACAAGGTCTGGGAAGAAATGATGGGATTTAGCAACACAGAGGTGGTTGGTGATCTCGACATCAGCAAGGCTGGTGGGGCATTTCAAGTAGATTCAGGGCAAGACGCGGTGGCTCACGCCTGTAATCCTAGCACTTTGGGAGGCTGAGGTGGGTGGATCACCTGAGGTCGGGAGTTTGAGACCAGCCTGGACAACGTGGTGAAACCCCGTCTCTACTAAAAACATAAAAAAATTAGCTGGGAGTGGTGGCGTGTGCCTGTAATCCCAGCTACCCAGGAGGCTGAGGCAGGAGAATCACTGGAACCCGGGAGGTGGAGGCTGCAGTGAGCCAAGATTGTGCCACTGCACTCCAGCCTGGGTGACAGAGTGAGACTCCGTCTCAAAAAAAAAAAAAAAAAAAAAGTAGATTCAGGAGGTTAAGTGGGAGACAGCACCCCTGCAGCACCTGTCCCTCATGCTAAAGGCATCATGTGACCATTCAGGGCTGATAGGCAGGGCCAAGGTGTGGGTGAGGCCAACCAGCCTGACCAGGGACTGAGCTGCTGATCTGCCCTCACGCCACTCCACGCATTCCAGGCTCTGCTGCCAACAACTGATATTAACGTCTGGAGCAAGACATGCAGGGATTCAGGGCCCTGTCTGGGGAAGCAGGGCGATGTGAACAGACCAGGAGAAGGCAGCACTAGTTAATGACTTCATTTGGCTTCTGTCTTCTCCGGCTGGTAGACGGTCTTCAAAAAGAACATTACACAGAGGGAACTGGAGCCTGAGATAGGTGAGGAGATAGTAATGAACACGTAGGCTCTGTGAGGGATTTCAGATGGCCATGCTGTGCCCTCCCATTCTGCTCCCAGGCCACTGGCCCCCTGTTGGAACGCAGGCAAGAGCATACAAAACGAGAAGGCTCAGAAGGTTGGGGGTGGATAAAAGTCTCAGTCTCTAACCCAGGAAAGCACATTCACAGAAGCTACATATAGATAGACCCTGTAGCCCAACTCTACCTCTGATTCTTAAAAGGAATTTTTAAAATGAATTAATGCATAAAAACACTTAGGACACTGCCTTGAACAGTCAATAAATGCTGTTGTTATAATAATTTATGATATATCTATATATCTATATATATAGTATGTCATATGTGTTATATTATCATTTTTAATCTATGAGGCTCCAGCAATCAGAATTAGACCCAATGGGTAGTTCCAGGGAGGCAGGTTTCCTGTTAATCTTAGGAAGAATTTTTTCTTCCTGGAACCGTCCCACAGCACAGAGTGAGCTGCCTTGTAGGCCCACGAGCTGACCATCACTGGGTGTCTAAGGAGAAGCCAGGTAATGAGGCCTCGAGCTGGAAGTTTGATCTGCTTACAACTCCAACCTCTGGTGAGCCGACACGGTCAGCCTGGCTTGGGCTCTGCCTCTTGCCACTGGCACTGAGCACCACCCTGGACCCAGCTTATCTGTGTGTTTGTCCACCCTGAAAGCCCATGGCTTGTAGGACAGCCCAATCTGCCATCCCTGGGCCACACATGGGCTCTCCCTTTAGTAAAAACAAAACATTCCTGGGTTGGAAGCTTTAGAGGTGGTGGTATTGTATGTAAACTTCCCAACAATCCAGTGAGGGATCCAGTCACCCATTTTGGTGACTGGAACCCTGAGTCAAAGAGTGAACAGTTCATGAGAGCCAAGTCTCAAAGTCAAGTCTCTAGACCACCCCACTCCCCATGGCAGGAAAAAGGCCAGTCCCCTGGACAAGCCATTTCAACCTCCCCCTCTCCCTGGCCTGCTGGTGGGAGGCCTGCACCCATGGAGCCCACACGTCCATGTGAGTCCATACCCACCATCTGCTTGGCCCAGGGACAAGTGGGTGCCAGCACCCAGCAGAGGGCTCCAGGCTGGTCTCCTCTGAGAACCTAGAAACAACTGGGGCCAGCCAGGCTGCCCCAGCCAAAGTCCACTGGGCTCATCTTTCCAATGCCCACTCATTGTTGAAATGAGGAGATAGAGGCCCAGAGAGGTGCAGTGCTGTGCCCAAGGTTACACAGCGAGAAACAGATGTTGGGCTCCTGACTTTCAGGTGAAAGCTGTGCTGTTCCCATACTGATGCAAAAAGAAGAGAAGAGGCTGGGAGGGCGCTGAGGCAGCTCCGCACCCACCCCCTGCCTAGAGAGAAGAGCATAGCTATCTTCCAGCTCACTGAGCCCCCTCTCAATCCTATGGCACCCTGGAGTCAGGGATCAATCCCCATGGCACTAGACAGCCACCCTGCTGTGACTGCCAAGTGCAGCCTTAACAGGGCTCGAGGCCTGGGAGCTGCTTCCGGAGGCCGATCGATGCTGGCGTTTGCAAAAGACAATCAAGAGCCAGAGCTGAAGGCAGCAGGAGAAGGACCTGCTGAAGGGCTGGCCACATGGGCTTCCAGCCCGGGCTTGTCACCATCAGCACAGGCCATGCAATGCCCATCCCTCCCCAACCCATCCCAATACATAGGCCTCTGAGGACCCCACGCTCAGAACCTGGCATGCAGGTCACAGATGTGGGGACAGAGCAGGGACCACTCACTTGAGAGGGGCCTTCACTTTCCCCAGCCGGCAGCAGGGTCAGTTAGTGACTGGCCACACCACTGCCTCAGTGGCCCACCTGCTCCAAATATATCCCTCCACCACAAAGGGATCTCCCAGAGGATGAGATTTAAATGGACATGAATAATGATAAATGCTGCTAACAGCACATCCATCTGCCTAGACACATGCACTGTGTGCTGCTATGTTGGCTCCATGCCAGCCCCACCCCAGGTCTGGGTGGAGAGAGGAGTCACAGGTGAATTCCACCCAAAGAATACAGGTGTGTTACAAGTCCAGTCGTCCACAAATATCCCTCAACCCAATCCAAAGGGGAGCAAACAGCTTAGCAGGGTCCCCAAGGGACGTGGGTATGCTCTCTACCCCCAGAAAGGGGCTCTGCCTATGAGAGGGCATTCCAAAAAGGCAGGAACCTTCTTCCTGGGGAGCCCTCAAACACCCAGATCCCCAAACCCTACCCCCAAATCTAGCCTTACAACACTGATCTATCACCAAAGGAGTAGCCGTTTTCCACAGAGGGCCCCCCACAGCCCCCAGGAACAAAGTGCTACTGGGCCGTGGGGACAATCCCCACAACAAACAGCCAGACACACACCTGCTGGGCCCAGCACCCCCTGAAAAAAAACCTCCACCAGGAAGAGTGAAAGGCGCTGCTCACAGGCCCCCACTGACAGCAGGGGAGAGTCTGGGCCCGCGTAAGGCACCCCACTGGAGCAGAGATCGTTGAAGAATTATGCATCCACTCTACTGCACACCTACACTGGGTTTCATATGAAAGAGTGTGTACATGACCTATTAGGTAAGCATCTTGATACCCCGCCCCACTCCGAGCCATCCTGCCTCATTTCCAAGTTCAAGTGATGCTCCCTAAAGATGCACCATGCTGACCCCTGATGCACTTGGCCTCTGGCACACAGGCCTGCCTTTGCACATGTAGAGATGGCAGACCCGAGAGTAAGAAGCCCCGGATGACAGGCACTTTCCCTAAAGTGACACCAGCGAGAATGACATGACACAGGAGGGCTGTCGGTGGAGGTGGGCAGGCCCTTTTCAGGTGCTGCTGTTTGGCTGCCTGCACACGGGCACAGGTGCCTCCCCATCAGCACAGCTATAAGACAGCTCCTGCAATTCAGCCTCAGTTTCCTGAGAAGCTTCTGGGTCCTAAGAGCTGAGCTAGGACAATGGGGCCACAGATGTAGGAGGCAGGCCCTCAGTAGGGGGCCAGACACTGGGACAGACCTGAGTGATGGGGCGACGGGCTGAGCACCAAGATGTTTATAATCACCCCCTAAATAGTTCATGTTTTTTCTAATGCCAAAGCCAGGCAAACTCAATGCAGAAAACTTAGTAATCACAGAAAATTACAAAAGGCCACAAAACAAAGTCTACAACAGCTGCCATCTTCAAATATTCACAAGGCCTTCAAGTGCAAGAGGAATCCAAACTAGTGCCAGAAGTGGGAGTGGAGCATCTGAGGCTCAATGTGATAAACCCTTTGACGTTCAGAGCTCCCCTCTGTGGGACTGAGTGCCCTGTCCCTGGAGGCATCCTAGCAGGGGCCTTTCTACACAATGGAAAAGATTCCAAAATCAGGTGGAAGATGACCTCAACCTGTAAGATCCCCTTCACTTGTGGGAAGGGATTGCACCCCAGGCCATCTGCACGCCCACCAGCCCATGCCCCCACTCACCCACAGGCGTGTCCTCGCTGATCAGCAGGTATGTATCAAAGAAGTGGTTGGTGAAGAAGGGCAGCCGGTTCACCTGGCCTGGAAGTCAGAGGACAAGAGCGTCAGCCAAGTACCCCCCATCAGCTTTACACACTCTATAAGGTGACACAGGGTGAGGGCTGCAGTGGGCACTGAGCCTGTGTCCATGGCCATGGTCAACTTCCCAGGACCCTGGAAGTCACTATCCTGCCTCAAGGCAAGTGGGGGACAATGCCAGTAGGTCGGCAGGCAGCTGTCTGGTGTGTGGCAAGTGAGGCCACCGGCCACACGTGCCTGCTGAGCATGGCCCACATGGAGCAAGCACATGACAGGGGCTCCTCAGGCAAAAGACAGGATTTAGAAGCCTCTGTATGAAAAAAATTAGTGTAAAATAGCTCACTGATCTTTTACATTGATTATATATTGAAATGATTCTATTTTGGATATATTGGATCAAGTAAAATATATGATTAAAATGAATGTCACCTGTTTCTTTTTAATTTGCCGATTTTTTTTTTTTTTTTTTTTTTGAGACAGAGTCTCACTCTGTCACCCAGGCTGAAGAGTAGCAGTGTGATCATGGCTCACGGCAGGCCGGACCACCCAAGCTAAAGCGATTTTCCTGCCTCAGCCTCCCAATTAGCTGGGACCACAGGCATGCCCCATGCCAGGCTATTTTACTTTATTTTTTTTGTATAGATGCAGTGGGGAGGGTCTTACTATGTTGCCCAGGCTGGTCTCCAACTCCTGGGCTCAAGCAATCCTCCTGCCTTGGCCTCCTAAAGTGCTGAGATTACAGGCGTGAGCCATCGCACGTTGTCTCTTTTTACTTTTCTAGTGCGGCTCCTAGAACATTTAAAATCACATGTGGCTTGCATTGTCTTTCTATTGGGCAGTGTGGCTCTAGCAGAATATGAGCTCTGCAAGGACAGGGCTTGGTTGACGGGTGGAACCCTGGTGCCCAGAACAGGGCCTGACACTTAGACAACCCACAAGACGATTTGGTGTGTGAAGGGATGGCCAGCTGATCCCACAGAATAATAACGATGATGATAATAGCTGCCATCTCAGGAACCCCTTCTCCATACCAGCTATTTAAACCACCTCACTCAATCCTGATGGCAAGGCAGGTGCTATCACATCCCTATTTTACTGGGGAAAATGAGAACTCCAGGGCATAAGTAACATGCCTTGCTTTCACAGCTGGCAAGTGGCGGTGGCCATCCAGGAAGCCAGACCCCAAAGCTCGTGCTGTTAACCACGTGCTGCTCTGTGATGGCTTCAGAGCGGGCTGGGTCTGGAGGGGGTCAGGGTGATACCTACATGGGCTGGGGAGCTTGGCACCTATGAGGAGCCCCCACATGAAGTTTCCCTGAGCTGACCCCACCTGTCCCCCAGCTTCTCTTAGGGGCCTTCAGTAGGCAAGTGAGGGCACTTCCCCTCAGTCCCTCCCAACCAGGAGGCAGCTGGTCTAGCTGGAAGTGGGACTGTCATTGTGCAGCACCTGCCATCAGGGGCACCTGCTCAGCCCTCCAGGGGCCCTGAGTGTGGGTGTATGGGGCAGCTCTCTCTCCCTTCCTTTCTGCTGACCCGGGGCTCCCTCAGAGCATGTGCCAGGCTCCCAGAGGGTGAGAAGGTTGGCATCTGGGTATGGCACTTCCTCCTCCAACCCAAGATGCCTCCTAGTTGGGACCAGGCAGAGCTGGGAGACTGGCCTCTTTTCCTCCTCCCCACCTCGATGTGCTCAGGCAGCCAAGCTGATGCCATTTCTAGTCCCTTATTCTGCCCTCTCTCACTTACTGGCCAGGACCGATGGCCCTTCTGCCTTCATTTGCCAAATTCCTATTCATCCTCCAAATCTCATTTCCATTGGCCCTTCTTCCAGGAAGCCCTCCCTGACCACCCCAAATACTCACATGCACCCACGTACACACCTCCCCAGTCTCCTGTCAGGAGCACAACAGCCTCAGACAGAGGTGGTGGTCAAGGGCCTCACCTTTTTTGAAACCTCCCTGTGCCTCTTTCTAGCCACATGATCATCCCATGTCTCAGTTTACCCATGTGTAAAATAGCCATAATAATAGGACTTCATGGCTAACCTGAGGATTAAATGAGATTACATACATAAAGCGCTTAGCGCTGTGCCACTGGCACACAGCAAGCACTCCATAAATGGTAGCCAGTATTAACAGTGGTATTAATAAATACGCTGCCTTTGCAGCCGACGGGAAGGCTTTTGATCCCTGCTGGGGGCCTTGGGCTCAGGATACAGGAGAGCAGGACGCAGCCCAGCCGAGGCAAATGAGTGCCCAGAGAATTCAATAGCTGCTTTGGGCTGTTGAGGCCAGGAAACCAGTGAGGAAAAAAAATCACCTGCAGTGGCATCGTTCATTTCTAAATTTTACTTTACAGGGCCTGCCACTAATCAGTCACTGGGAGCTCTGCACAGACAGCTAGGCAGACTCCGGGACGTGGGTCGCCTGCCACATACCAAACAGGACCTGTGTTCCCAGAGCAGGCCCACCACAGGCGGGGCAGACAGGTGACTTATTCTCAAAGCCGCTGTTAAAGCGCAGCAGCTGTGTGCTCAGCAGCTTTGGGGCCTCCAGCGAAGCGGGAATGTAAGTGGATGTAGAAGGGGAGGGGCAGGGGGTGATTTCTTCGGGGGAAGGAGAATCCCAGCTTCCCAAGTGCAGGACCCCTCTCTCTGTCCCAAGCCCCACGTGGCCCACCCCATTGTGGGTCTGTGGCTTGTGAGCACTGCCCTGAGCCCTCTCCCGCCCTCTCTGCCACCCCCATGGCCATTCCCCAACTAGAGCCTGCAAAGGCAGACCGGGAGGGCATGTGCCTGCTTTACTTAGTTCTAGCACCCTAAGGGGCCTGAGGAGAGAGGGGAGAGAAGGGCACAGAGAGGGCACAGCATTCCAGCTGCCTGCTGAATGACAAGCATTTCCCACACACAGGGGTAAACAGAGGCTGGGTGGCGGCATGGAGGTGGCATCCAGGGGACCTGATCTGGGACTGAAGGGACGTCGGTGTGCTTGTATGGGGAAGGTCCCCACCGGATCAGGGTGGGCCAAGCCAGGAAGCATAAACTTCACCCTGAATTGCGGGGTGGGGGTTCCTCTGAGGGCATGAAGAACCCAGGCAAGTGGAGGGTCCAGATTCCAGCCAGGCCAGTCTGAGTCCAAGCCCCGGTCGCCTCCCCAGGCCTCAGGGCGGTGGTGGGGGCTGAAGGTGCAGTGGCTCTGCTGAGATCCCTGCTGGAGAGATCCTCAGAGTGCCCCCGCCAGTCGCCCCTTGACAAGGAAGGCGCACTGGACAGGGAGTGCAGGGATAAATTCAAGGAGTCAGGGACTTTGCATGCTCTGCCACTGCTGCTGGGGAGCTTAGGCAGATCCCTCTCCCTCTGCCTCGCCCTCCGCCCCATTTTCCAGCCTCAGGATGGGGACAAAAAGCCCTGCCCTGCCCTCCAGTCCTGCCTCCCGGCCACAGGTGTCCCATGCACCCTGGTCACCATTGAGGTGACTGCAGCGTGGCCCACATGAGCCCCAGGGGACAGAAGCCTGACATGTTGTCGGGTGGGGAAGCCAGGTGGCCGCATGGTCAGAGGCCTCTCCCACCCAGCAACTGGGGACAGAAGGAGTGACCCAGCAGAATGCTTGCTGGCTAGTCAGTCTAGGATGGGGTGGGGCAGGCCTGCCCAGGCCTTCGCTTCCTGCCTCCCCAACAAGCCCACGGATGAAGAAGGAGAATTGCTAGAGTACATTGAGGCCAGAGGGGAGAAGGGCAGGAGGCTTCAAAGAGAGAAGGCAGGCTGGCAAGGGGTTTTGAAATCCCTGAGCCCTACCCATCCCTGACTACCAGGTAGGGGGGTAGAGATCGGCTGGGGTGACGGGGTCAGGTGGAAACAAAGTGGCGAGGGCAGTGTGGTCTGATCTGGGGCACAAGTGAAGGGCTAGGTCAGGGGTGTCTAGAGGGCCTGGGAAGGTGGTTCAGTCACCCACTCTCCCCTAGTCTCTAAAGTCAGCCACTGCCCCACTAGGCCAAAGGAACAGCACTGGCTGCTTCAGACAGGGACCAGAAAGAGGTGACTGTGCCAAGCAATGAGAGAGTGAGGGACCCTTGTGCGTATGGCAAAGCAGGCTAGTCCACATGCAGGCCGACCATACACGCTTTGGCATAGAATTGCTGGGTGACCTTGGGCAATTTGCTTAGCTTCTCTGTTTTCTATGCCCCATTTTGCTCCCCTTAGAGAAAGATAACTTCTGATAATAAAGGAGCCAACACTTAATAAGCACTTCATCTGTGCCAGGCACTATTCTAAGTGCTTGATGTACAGATTAATCCATTTGATCACTTTGACAACCTGAGAAGGAAAGTCCTATTATTGTTCCCATTTTAAAGACAAGGAAATTAAAGCACAGCAAGGTTAAGACACTCGCCCAAGGGACCCCTTAGCTGGAGCGGGAGTGGAAGACAGGAGGTCAGCTCTGGCTATACACTCTGTTCTTGTCCTCACCCTGAATGCACGAAGCATCTTTCATCTGGAGAGCTCAAGGGGAGACTGCCGTGTCTCACAGAGGAAAGCAGCCAAGGGCTTAGCACCTCCTTTATTTCTACTGATGTATTTTTTTTTTTCTTTTTTCTTTTTTTGAGACAGAGTCTCACTCTTTCACCCAGGCTGGAATTCAATGGCACAATCTCGGCTCACTGCAACCTCCGCCTCCTGGGTTCCAGCGATTCTTGTGCCTCAGCCTCCCAAGTAGCTGCGACTACAAGTGTGCGCCACCACCATGTCCAGCTAATTTTTGTATTTTTATTAGAGTTGGGGTTGTGCCATGTTTGCCAGGCTGGTCTTGAACTCCTGACCACAAGTGATCCTCCCACCTCTGCTTCCCAAAGTGCTGGGATTATAAGCAAGAGCCACCATGCCGGGCCAAATGTATTTCTTTTTAACGGATGAAGAAAGTGAGTGGAACAGAATGGGGGAGGAGGGTGGATCCCAGGTGGCAGAGTCCCCGGGGAGGCTGAAGAAAGTGTCCTGACTCCCACCGTGCAGCGAACATGGAGGCCACGGCTGCTCTCAGGAGCCCCGATTGAAGCCTCCCACATGAGGCAGGGGGGGAGCGGGGTGAGGGGGGTGATATCCTGACAGAAGCCCCCATGGAGGATAACAGACCCCTGCTTTGTACAGCCTTGGGCCAGTAGCTTCTCCAGGGTTCGGTGTCTCCTCTGTAAAATGAGCTGGGAGTTAAAAAAGCGCCTGAGGCTCCCTTGCACTCTGAGAGTCTTTGAGACTGTGCTGTACTCCTGGGCTGCCTGGATGGGAGTGAGCTTCCCATCACAGGGGGGATTCCAGTAGGGATCCCTTCAAACATGGAGGCAAGGAGAGGGAATCCTCGAGGGATACTCAGGCTGCAGGACGCTAGCAACACTCCAACAAGCACGAGGCTGCAGCAGCCTCCAGAGACTCCGCCTGGCTCCCTGGAGGGGAGAAGGAGCTGGCCCCCCACAGGAATGTGTTTGCGTGTGTCACCAGGTACACCATGCCCACGGCTCTTCTCTGGGGATGCTATGGCCCTGGGGGATGCCACATCAGGCATGCCTGCTCTCCTGGCCTGCCTTCAGTGCAGCCCAGGGCTGCTTTGCTCCCCACCACCTGCTGTCCAGGGGCCAAGCGAGAAGCAAATGCCCAGGCCTCTCCTACCCTCCTCCGTGGGCTCTGGAGCTGGCACTCTGAGCTGGCTGCTGGAAGGCCAGGAAAGGAGGGCAGAGGGGAAGGCTCCTGGCTGCCATAGCTTTGCTCAGACTATGCCCTCCAGCAGGACGCCTTTCTTCCTGCTCACCTAGTTTAAAACTACTTCTTGGTCTTCACAGCCCAGATCAAATGCTGACCCTTCTGGCTGGGTTTCTCCTGTCCCCTCAGGCCCAATTCATCTTTTCTTCCGATGGACATCCCTGGAGCCGCGCCCATCTTTCATTACCACTCTATTCACCCTGCAGTATAGGAAATCCTGCATGTGTCTTTCTCCCCTGCCAGGCTCTGAGCTTCTTGAGAATGAGTTATTTCCTCCATTCCCTCAGAGCTGGGTGCAGTAGGTCACACACAGTGCAAACAGTAGGTGCTCAGAACACAGCCGTGGAACTGAATAGAGCTGTGGCCAGTCCCTGCACCCCAGGAGGAGGACGGTTCACGGTCACAGGTGCCTCCTTCCCTTAGAGCTCAAGTATTTCTCAAGGCTCCTCCCATTCCCTCTTGTGTCCCAGGCTTTGGGGACAGCTGGTATTTTCAGCCCTGTGAGAGCTGCAGAAGGCAACTGAGGCCCAGAGAGGGAAGTATGTGCCTCAGTCACACAGTAAGACAGTGTCTCCAGAGTCCCAGAGCACAAAGATGAACCACCAGCCCCAACACCCTCCAGCCTGGCCTCCCGTGCAGAGGCTGCCCATGGGATAGACACGGGGAGGACTGGACTTACCCCAGCATCCAGAGATCAGCACCAAAAGCCAGGCCACGTGGCAGCTGGTGGCAACATGGCGCCCCATGGCTCCTGGGGACACAAAGAAAGAGAAGAGGGTGAGAAGCTTCCTGGGTGGCAGAGGGTCTGCTCCTCAGCCCCTCCCACCTCTGCAGCTCCAGAGAGAACTGGGGCTGGGAAGGGAGGAGAAGGAATCAACCCAGATGGAGGGTTTAGGAGCACATGGGAGAAAGGAGAGGGTCTGTATCATTTGGTTTTAACATTGTCCTATCCTGGGTATAGCACAGTGGCCTGTGAGTCACTGGGTGAGGCTGGGGCCTATTGGGTCCTCTTTGCCCTCCTGGGGGACTGGCTGTCCTGCGAGGGGACTCTGGGCAAAGAGTGACATATTCTAGGCCCAGTAGATGGAGGCAGGGGCTGCTGCCTTCAGCCTCCAGGACCACATCCCCCAAGAGTGACAGAGCCTGGTTATCCTGAGGACAGCATTGAGGAGATGGGCACTGACCGGGAAGACAGCGGTCTAACAGGGGGCTTGGCAAGTCCAACAAGCCCAATCCCACCACCAGTGCCCAATGAGCATATCTCTTCCTGTTTTTTTTTATTTTTTATATTCACCACATTATCCCATAACCTTGTATATGAAGGGATGCAGCAGGTCATGGTGTCCAAAGAGGCACAGAGAGGGGAGGCAACCTGCCCAGGACCTCACAGCAAGTCTGTGGAGGCTAAAGCTGAATTTTGAAGGGCTCAGAGCTAAGCTCTAGTGAGATCGGGGGCTCAGTTGACAGAGGTTCTGAAAGACCAGATCCTATTTCTAAGGGTGGCTGGGAGGGTAGACAGCTCTCTCCCATATGGCAACAGTCCCCACTCTGGTCCCATTCCATCAGGGCCCTGGTCCTCCAGCGGCTCAGGAGCAGGCCTCCCTAGAGCCCAGCAGTGACACCAGGGGGACCACACTCACCAACCAGGAATCCTAACCTCCTACAGAACTGTCTGCCCTGGTAGTGCAGGGCCAGACTCACACACATTACCCTTCAGTGCATACCTACTGTGCATCTGGCCTGGGGCGTGTTCATCTCCCTGGCTCACAAAGTAGGCTTAGAGCCATCAGACAATTTGTTCAGAGACCTCCAACTAGAGAGCAGAGCCAGCATCAAGACCCAAGCTGGTGTCCTATCTCTCTTGTCAATAAGTGACCAGGAAAGACACAGGGCAGTGAATAGAGCTGGAGGAAAGGATTTTTGGAGAGACTTCCACATCTCTGCCAAGATATAGGGGTGAGGGATTAAGAAAGAGCTGAGAGCGTGGACCCCTTAATTCTGGACTTGGAGAGGCCTCAATCCCTCTCAGCCCATGTCCTCAGTGAACAATGAGGTGACCCTACCAGATGTTCCTGACCAACACGACATACAACAGTCCCCTTTTGCTTTCCTTCTGATATTATACTTAAAACATCCTAATTACAAAGTATGAGACAGTCATTTGAAGAATAAAAGATTCTTTTCCTTTTTCTTTTTTTTCTTTCTTTCTTTCTTTTTTTTTTTTTTTTTTGTTTGAGACAGAATCTCACTCTGTCACCCAGGCTGGAGTGCAGTGGGGTGATCTCGGCTCACTGCAACCTCCACCTCCTGGATTCCAGTGATTCTCCTGCCTCAGCCCCCCCGAGTAGCTGGGATTACAGGTGCGTGCCACCACGCTTGGCTCATTTTTTTGTATTTTGAGTAGAGATGGGGTTTCACCATGTTGGTCAGGCTGGTCTCAAACTCCTGAACTCAAGTGATCCACCCGGCTCAGCCTCCCAAAGTGCTGGGATTACAGGCGTGAGCCACCATGCATGACGAAACACAAAAGATTCTAAGATGTATTTGAATAATAAGAGGCAACTCTTCCCCCTACACATCCTATCCCTGTGTTTCCACTGCCTTGAGTTTCTGAATATTAACAGCCTATCACAGGGGTTGCAAACTGAAATGCTTACAAGGCCAGCAGGGAATTTAGATGAGGGTGTTGCTGGGTGGGTGGGGATGATGGCCAGTTGGAGTCCACATGCTCTCTGTTGAAAAGTGGCAGCTGCTGATGTGTTTCAGCCAAGAGGGAATGTGGGCCCAGTGTGGCGGAGCTTCTGATTTTTCTCAATGAAAAACTAGAAATCAGGCTTTTCACATGAATTCAATTTTTAAATGTTGGCAAATAACTCAATTTGTAAGGAATACTTTGTGAGTCAAACATGACCATGGCCAGAGTGGGCAGGCAAGGGCTGGCATGCATCCTACCAGGCCTTTCTCTGCACCCAAGAAATATGTTCCCATTACACACATGTACAGAGCCGTGAGGCTACTGTTTACTTTGAGAATAATGGAGTTACCCTCTACATACAAGAAACTTGCTTTTCGCACATCAAGAAATCCCACAGACAGCACTCCAGGCCAACATTGCTTAGAATTACCTCTTTCTTTTTAGGAGATAATAATAGCTCATGGTATGGATGTTTCCTAATGGAGATTTCATCCCTTACTGATGGGCATTTGGATGTTTCCAGGTTCCTGCCCCCAAAAGCAATGCCACCGCGAACATCTCTCTGTACATAATTGTGTTGGGATTTGGCTCTTCAGTGTGGTTCTCCAACAGTGGGAGTGCTGGGTCAATTAAATACAACCCAGAGTGTGTATGTGAACTTTTACTAGACGCTGCCATATTATCTTCTGGAAAAGGCTGTGGCAATTCTCAGTCCCACCAGCAGTATATGAGAGGGCCTATGTGCCCACCTGGAAGTGATCTCTCTTTTAAATGGCTGCCAATCGAACACATGAAAAATGGTATAGCATTGCAGCTTTAATTTGCATTTCCCTAACTACTAGCGGGGTTGAGCAAGATGCCTTTCTCTAAATGTTCAAACCACTTTCCATCTGTTATCTTGCATTACCCTATCATATCCTGCAAAGAAGCTAGCCAGCAGCACTAGCGTTATCCCTGATTTACAAGTGGAGAAACCGAGGCATTGGGCAATTAAGTGACAATCTGACATCTCACAGTGAGTGAGTATCTTCTACAGAAAAAACTCCAGCCCTCTGCCATTCCAAACCAGATGTTATGAGAATTAAACAACATCTGCTAAGAACATCATCCACAAATAGCTGGGGAGAGCACACCATTCTGCTGGGTGCTGCAGGAAGTTTGCGGTGGAAGGAAGGAAGGAGGGAAGGAAATGAACAATTGTTAGGCAATCCCACAGGCCAAGGATTTTCACGGGTATTATTTTTATTCAATCTTCCAAAACACTTCTGTGAAGTAGGTCTTCTTGTCCCCATTTTACAGACGAGGACATTGAGGCTCAGAGAGGTCACTCTAGGATTGACCAGGTCTGCCTGAGTCAGAGTCTCCTGATGTTTCCATCACACCATGCTGCTGTTCCCGTTTCCTGACTTTGTAAGAGGGGAAGACATGGCCCCTCCCTCACGGAGCACAATATGCATCACACAAAAAACACAGGGTGAATGTCTGCCAAAAAGTGAGCGCCTGCATACACATGCATGCATAATGCCTTTCGCTTTCCACAGTGCAGGCTCAGGCTCCAACACTGCCAGGCACACTGGGCCCCCAACCTCTCAAGTGCCTGTTCTCCTTTCCCCATCGGAGGCGATCAGACTGCCTCAGTGCCCAGATCCATCAGTCAGGGGTAGATGCACACAACCCTAATTCTGCAGGATTGGCAGGGACTGCCTCCAAAGCATTCGGAAGCAGGGACCATCTCAGCTCCAACCTGACTCTGCCTCCATCCTCCCCACAGGGTGAGGTGGCACCGACACTAGGTCAAGGTGGCACAGGCTCCAAAGGGTAAAGCAAAGCAGCTGGGCCTGAAGGGCTCCACCCTGCTGCTGGGTTTTCCCTGAGGTCCCAGATCTTCCTCTGGCTCCTCTGTCTACGGGAGGAAAGCAAGGCCCAGAGAGAGCAGAGGCTGATGCCAGAGGGAAGAGACAGACTCCTAAGCCCTGACCTCCAGCCTCAGTGTGGTGAGGGATGCTGCTTTGCCTGCTGGCATTCCTCAGTACCCAGGCCATGGTGAGCAGCATGGGTCCCCAGGGAGAGCCTGACCTCACTCTGCTCTGTGCAATAGCTGTTCCCCCAGCCTCCTGGCCTCCTCACTTCCCATTCAGCACAGCCAAGTGGCTTCCTCCACCATCCTCAGGCCCACCTTCAGGATGCGGCCTGAGCTCCCACCAATCCTGTCTCCCCACTGGATCAGGAAACACAGACACACCCTTCTGTGCTGGGCTTCCTGCTTGGACCTGGGATAGGTGCCAGAGACCTGCTCCAGAGGTAAGGGCAGGGCCACAGCCAGCTGCCCCCAAATCTCTCAAGTGCTGGCTTAGAGCCCTCCTCCTAAGAAGACACATAGCCAGTCCCCAAAGCCCTCAGACTCCAATTTCCAACATTCTCCTTCATGCCAAACTTTGTGCCAGGCACAGTGGGAGGACATAGGGCCATGAGAACATACGGCTGTGACTGGAAACATGTGCTAGGTGTCAAATAAGTGAAACAGACTGTCACTGCCCAGGGCCATCAGGAGAGAGAAAATCCCAGGGCTCCCAGTTTTCAGGGTTCAAGCTACCCACACATCAGATTCATAATTCTAACATTTACTGAGTCTATGTTCTATGCCAGTCATTGTGATACACAATGCATTCTACATGCTGGGGCTCAGAGAGGCTAAACAACTTGCTCAAGGTCACACAGCTAATAAGTGTCAAGTCTGGATTTGAACTCCATTCTGATGGCCATCATGGCCAGGCTCCCAGCCTCAGCCCCAACCCTTGCTGAGCTCAGACATGTGACCCAGGGGAGGGTCCTGCAGAGGCGCCTGATAGGAAGTCTCTGGGCAAGACCCTGTGGCATCTACTCAGCGAGCCCAGTGAGAATTCCAACATGCTCACAGCCAAGGTATGCTGGGCCAGCAGGAGGTAAGCTGCACATGCCAAGAAGAAGGCAGATGGCTGGGGTGGTGGGTGGGCTTTTGTTTCATCTGCCCTCCCAGGCTGTTGGCATCTCACACGCATTGCTCCTAGAACCAGTAGCAATAGGAGAATGCATGCTCCATCAGGGGTGAGCAAGTCTCCCCCCTCCTCACCCGCTACTGCTTCCCTCCACCACCTTCCCCTCAAGGTTGACACCTTTGTCCCTGGCAGAAGCTGACTGCAAATTTCTCAGATTTAGAGCAGCAGCCCCGCCCACATTAACCACCTTCTCCTGTCATCACCCAGGAAGACCTGCTGCTCAGACCAGCTCTGGGCTGAGGGCTGGCTGGGGAGGCTCTGAGAGGTGGTTCAGTGACAGCATCCATGGAGTCACCCACATAGGAATCACCCCTGCCCCCCACCAAGTCAAATCAAAGTCTTATACCACAGAGAGCCAGTGAGCTGCAAGGTGAGGCTTCAGGCAGTGGGGGATCCAGCTGGGTCTGGCCACACTGCGCACATCTGCCCTGACATGCCCTACTGTGTGCTAGGCACTGTGCTAGAGCTTAAGGACACAGAAAGGAACAAGGTAAAGCCCGCACCCTGGGGGAGCTGAGACTGCCTGGGAGAGACCAACCCCAACAGAGCAGGTGAGTGAGTCATCCAGTGTTGGGAGTGAGGTGCCCTGGGAAAGAAGGAGCAGTGCAGGAACCAGCTGAGGGTCACTGGGGAGGTGACATATGAGCATGCACTCGCAGGAGAGTGGGCCATGTGGATATCTGGGAGGAATGCCTTCCAGGCAGAGGGAGCGGCCTGTGCAAAGGCCCTGAGGCAAGAGCATGCCTAGTGCGCTTGAGGAGCATGAGGAGGCCAGCGTGGCTGGAAGGGGTGCACAGCGGGAAGAGTTGCAGGAGATGAGGGCAGAGAGATCTCAGGGTCCATCATGGACACTTTGTAGGCCACTGATTGTGAGGAAACACGTGATATGAATAACCAGTTTTCAAGAAGCACCCTGGCTGCTGTGATGAGGACACACTGTAGGGGGCATGGGTGGGAGTGGCTAGACTGGTGTCCAGGCTCCTGCAGGGATGCAGGCAGGGATGATGAGCTCCAGGCAGGGGAGCGGTGTGGGATCTGGCAGATTCTGGGCATGTTTCAAAGTAGAGCTGAGAGGGTTTCCTGCTGGTGGGGATCTGGCTGTGCAAGAATGAATTGAGCCCAAGCACCTGGGAGGATGGCATTGCCATTAGCTAGGACAGGAGAGGCTGCAGGTGGAGCTGGCTGAGGGACAAGATCGGAAGTTCATTTGAGACATGGCGAGTCTGGCATGGCTGTTGACAACCAAGTAGCAACAGTGGGTCAGCAGCTGGACATGCTCAGCCAAGGTCCAGGATGGGCTGGAAGCAGAAGTGTGGGAGCCACCAGCAGGGAGGTGGTGCTTACCGCCACCAGAGGGGCAAGATCAGCAGGGCTCCCAAACCCCTGAGCTGAGGCAACTGGACAGAGAATCAGTCCGTCTTTGAAAATTGTCCAAAGAGCCTGAAAATGCATATACCCTGTGGCCCAGCAATTCCACCTCCTGAACCTCAGCTGAGGAAATTGCCATAGCTGTACGTGGACACCAAGCCACAGGGATGCCCACTGCTGCGTAACTTATGATAGATACCCAAAAGGGGACTGGCTCAACTGTGGGATGTCCCTAGGAAGCAACAGGGGATGGTGTTTGGATTCCTAGTGTGTGAATGTATGCAGGGGAGTGTGCGCATACAGCACTGTGGAGTGAAGCCAGGGTGTTGTGTGAGTGGTGAGGTTATGGGAAGTTTTATTGTCTTCTAGCTAGTTTCTGCATTCCGCCTATCTTCTGCAATAAGCATTCAACGTGTTGACATCAGTGGCCTCATTTATGGCCACCCTACCAAAATCTTGCCACAGCCTATGAACACATGGACAACCCTGATTAGACGTTCTCTCCCGCACTGTCCTGAGCCTCCCTGAAGGCCAGAGTCCCAGGTGCAAACACCAGGGGAGACTCTGGGAGCTGGGAGGGTCCTCGGCGGTCCTCTGGCTGACACCCCTCCCTGGGCTGCTACCAGACGTTTCTAGGGACATGGAGCTCCTTTTATCCTGGGCCGTGGGTCCCAGCTCGGGAGGCGCTGCCTCTCCATCCCGAGTCCAGCCCCACTGGGTCTTTCCTCGCTAGGCGAGGAGGTCGGATTGCTCCCATCACCAGGAGGGCTCCCTCATGCTCTGCCTGCAGGCAGCCACGAGCAGCAGAATGGGCTAAAACCCAGGCTCGGAGACAAGGCCCAAGGCTGGCACTTGGCCCCATACTGAGGGTTCTCCTTTCCCCAGGTGAGGACCAACAGTGTGAAAGAAAACTTGTGCCTGAAAGCACACACACACACTCTCTCACACACTCACCCACACACTCACACTCACCCACACACTGCACACACACACTCTCAAACACACACCTACACACTCACATGCTCTCACACACACGCTCTCAAACACACACTCACCCACACACTCACACACACACAAACACACACCACACAACTCACACACTCTCAAACACACACCCAGACTCTCACACTCACACACCGCACACACACTTTTTCAAACACACACCCACACATTCACACACTCACACACACACTCTCAAACACACTCATGCACACACACACTCTCAAACACATGCACACACACACATTCTCAAACACACTCATGTGCACACACTCACACACACACAATTGCGTTCTGCCACCCCCTCCAGGAGATGCATCCACAAAATGCCCCCACCCCACTGCACAACCCTGGAGGGCCCCTCCTTCCTGTTCCCACTCCTTTGCCCAGGTTGGAGGAAGCCAGGTTCCTTGCAAAGCTCCCCATGACCTGTAGGGGTTTCACCAAACACCTCTGAATCCCAGAAAAAAACCTAAGAGGAAGCCCGTTGAAGCCTGGTGTCCTAGACTGGAAAGGCACATTCCATGTCTCTGCTGGAGCAAGGCACACTCCCCTCTTTTGGGAAATAGGCAGTTCTGGGCCTAACTCCCGGGGCAGGGCCCCCACCGTGACCATCTCCCATCTCTCCCTGCAGCCCGGTCAGGAGGTACAAGGGCAGAGGGCACACTGCTGCCTGCCAACAGGCAACGCCTCCTGGCCTAGCAGGCAGGGGGGGACATGAGAGAATAGAGCAGGGGGAAGGAAAAGGGCAGGAGGGGACATCTGGGCAGCGTTTCAGTTTCTCGGGAGTGAGAGATTTTCACAGCATGGTGCCACGATTTAGTTTGAACTGTTATGAATTCCCATAAAATCAGATGCACTCAACTTTGAATAGAAATACAGAAATGCGCTGCAGAAATCAAATACAATTTGGTGATTATTCACCACTGCTACACACAGAGAGGTTCGTGCGTGCAAGAAGGCGCCTGCAGATGACACCATTAGGGCTGCTAATGGCCAAGCCCTTGTAGGTCACCGATGACCACGCTTCAAAGCCCACACTATCCAGGCCACTGCCGGGGAGGCTGCTGTGATGGAAAGAGTAGACAAGACCACCTCATGGCTATTCTGTTCTTGCACCCTCCCCTGGATCCCTCCCAGAAGCTTCCATGAAGTGGTGCCTGGGGCAGGAAGGCAGGGCACGACCTGAGACCCCCAGGGTGGGGAGCCACAGACATCAGCCTCCCCCATATGAAGCCTGGTGTCTCTGAGTTCCCCTCACCGACTCTTAAAAATATCATACAGCAAAAGATTTATTTTACTTTATTCTTTTGGGGAGCAGTGTACGGACGTAGTAAATAACTAAAAAGAAAGGGTGTACAGCAGGAAGCGAATCTCCTGTCTCCCCATCCCACAACTCCTTCCCAGAGGCAACGCTCAAGGTCTCATTCCAGAAGTTCTGTATGTTCATATTAGCACATGGGCCCCTCCCTCTCTTTAAAGAAAATGTGAGTGGTACTCATGCTATCCGACTCCTAGCTTTTTACATGACCATGTATCCTGAGGACTGTTCCATTTCAGTACATACGGAGTTGCTTGTTCTTTTTAGCAGCTGCAGGGTGTCCTTCTATATGGGGGACCATCCTTTAACCAGTCCTCTGCCAGTGGACATTTAGGCTGTTCTTTTTTGTTTTTTTTCTGTCACCCAGGCTGGAGTGCAGTGGCGCGATCTCGGCTCACTGCAACCTCCGCCTCCCAGGTTCAAGTGATTCTCCTGCCTCAGCCTCCTGAGTAGCTGGGAGTACATGGGAGTACAGGCTCCCACCACCAGGCCAGGCTAACATTTTTGTATTTTTAGTAGAGACGGGATTTCATCATGTTGGTCAGGTTGTCTCGAACTCCTAACCTCAAATGATCCGCCCACCTCGGCCTCCCAAAGTGCTGGGATTACAGGCGTGAGCCACTGTGCCCGGCCTAGGCTGTTCTTAATCTTTTGCTTTGATGAAGAAAGCCACGACAAATATCTTTGTTCCTCTGTCTGTGCGTAGTGGTGCATTTAGAAGCAGGAAATTTTCATATTTTCATAGCTGTTGGCAAACTGCCCTCCAAAGAGGGTGCACCAAGTTATACCCCCTCCACCACCAACAATGAGGAAAAAGCGGTTTCCCCACATCTTTGCCATCACTGGGCTCTCACTTTTTTTTTTTTGAGTTCCAAAAAGACAGCAGAGGCTCCTGATCCTCATATCCCCAGCCCCTGCTGGGCACATGGACAAGAATGGAGTGATCAAAGTCAGCTTCCTCCTATCCCCTGGCTCACCAGCAGGGGAACAGCCCACAGACCCCAGCTCAGGCCTGGCATGTTGCTGAAACCTGCACCCACCCCCTCACTGGGGTCACTGCCAGTCACCCACCCTGTGTTCTCCCTGTGCCCTGACCCTGTGGCTCCCTCCACCTGGAGCATCCCTAGCTCCACCTTTCACATCCCACCTTACAGCTCAAATGCCCTTCATCTACGAAGCCACCTTGGAACGCTGCTGGAACAGGAAGCTGAGTTGTCCTCATCCTTACTACATTGTTGGAGGCACCTATCTCAGCTGCGTGGGACAGCTGGCCATGCCCTTGTCCTCCTGCTGCCAGAAGACCCACAGATCCTTGCAAGCAGAGTCTACTTCATCTCATACAGCCATTTGCCCACCAGCATGTGTCTCTAAAATTTAACAGGTCTGGCAGTGAGCTGATTTCTTCCCTAAATAGTTTCCAGTCCTTGCCTTTCCCATCTCAGCACATTCATCTCTATCCAGCCAGTCAGTCACGATACCTTCTTTTGATTAATTCAGTTAACGAACATCTTCCACGCACCCGCTAAATACGACTTTCCCCCCTGTCCCCGATCACTGTATTTCAGCCACACTAGCCCCTCTCAGCCTCAAACCTGCCAGCTCATTCCCACCTCTTGGCCATCACTGGGCTTGATCAGATTCTCGATCCCAGCCCTTCACTCCTCTTCAGAAGAATGATGTGTCCACACCCATGCGGGGTCTCCCACCTCTTATGCTGAGCTTGGCTGTGAGACTCACTTTGCCCAAGCTCCACAGTAGCATGAGCATGTACCTTGTGCAGAGGGACTTGTCTATTGAGCTCCTGCCATTCAATTTGAGAAGAACACACCCCATGCAGACCCCTGGCCCCAGAAGAATGAGCAGACAGAACCCATGCACAGCCTAGAGTCAAGCTCAGTCACGTCCAGCCTAGATTTGCTGACCTTCCCTCCAGCTGACCCCTGACACATAAGAAAGAATAAATGACTGCTGTGGTGTTTTGCTGTGCAGCTTTATCGAGATAACAATGACTGATAACACTATGGATATGACACCAAAAACACAGGCAAGAAATGGAAAAAATCGATAAATTGGACTTCATCAAAATGAAAAACTTTTATGCATCAGAGGACACTATCAACAGAGTAAAAACGCAACCTACAGAAAATATCTACAAATCACATGCCAGATAAGGGATTAATGTCTAAAATATAGAAAAGACCCTAAAACTCAAAACAAACAACCCAATTCGAAAGGAGGCAAATTTCTCCATAGAAGATATACAAATGGCCAGCCAGGCGTGGTGGCTCAGGCCTGTAATCCCAGCACTTTGGGAGGCCAAGGCAGGCAGATTGCCCAAGGTCAGGAGTTTGAGACCAGTCTGGCCAACATGGTAAAAACCCGTCTCTACTAAAAATACAAAAAATTAGCCCAACTTGGTGGCGTGCACCTGTAATCCCAGCTACTCAGGAGGCTGAGGCAGGGGAATTGCTTGAACCAGGGAGGTGGAGGTTGCAGTGAGCTGAGATCGCGCCACTGCACTCCAGCCTGGGCAATGGAGTGAGACTCCATCTCGATTAAAAAAAAAAGAAGAAGATATACAAATGGCCAATAAGCCCATGAAACAATGCTCACCATCACTACCATTAGGGAGCTATAAATCAAAACCGCAATGAGATACCAGTTCATACTCACTAAAATGGCTATTATAACACACACACACACACATAAAACAAGTGTTGGAGGCCAGGCGTGGTGGCTCGCATCTGTAATCCCAACACTTTGGGAGGCTGAGGTGGGCGGATCACTTGAGGTCAGGAGTTCAAGACCAGCCTGACCAACATGGTGAAACCCCATCTCTACTAAAAATACAAAAATTAGCTGGGCCTGGTGATGCATCCCTGTAATTCCAGCTACTCAGGAGGCTGAGGCATGAGAATTGCTTGAACCCAGGAGGCGGAGGTTGCAGTAAGCCGAGATCGTGCCACTGCACTCCAGCCTGGGCGACAATGAGACTCTGTTTCAAAAAAAAAAAAAAAAAAGAAAGAAAGAAACAAGTGTTGGTGAGCATGTGCAAAAGTTGGAATTCCTGTGCATTTCTGGTGGGACTATAATATGACACAGCTACTGGAGAAAGTAGCATGACAGTTCTTTATAAAAGTACAATAGGGCCGGGCACAGTGGGTCACGCCTGTAATTCCAGCACTTTGGGAGGCCAAGGCAGGAGGATCACTTGAGGTCAGGAGTTTGAGACCAGCCTGGCCAACATGGTGAAACCCCGTCTCTACTAAAAATACAAAAATTAGCCAGGCATAGCAGCATGCGCCTGCAGTCCCAGCTACTCAGGAGGCTGAGGCAGGAGAATCGCTTTAACCCAGGAGGTGGAGGTTGCAGTGAGCCAGGATTGCACCACCGCACTCCAGCCTGGGCAACAGAGTGAGACTCCATCTAAAAAAAAAAAAAAAAAAGTAAGCATAGAATTACCCTATGCTCCAGGAATTCCACTTCTGAGAATATACACAAAAGAACTGAAAGCAAAAACTGGAACCTGTATTTGTACACCAATGTTTATGGCATCATTATTCATAATAGCCAAAACATGAAAACAAACCAAATGTCCTTCAGCAGGCAAATGAATAAACAAAATGTGGTATATCCGTTGGTATATCACAACGAAATGTTATCCAGCCATGAAAAGGAATGGAGACTGACGCCTGCCTCAACAAGGATGAACCCTGAGAACCTGACGCCACCAGCCAGTCACCAAGGACCACATATTATGAGTTTGTTTATGTGAAATGTCCAGAAGAGGTAAATCTTAGAGGCAGAAAGTAGATCTGTGGTTGCCAGGGGCTGGGGGTAACGGGGAGGGAGGGTAGCTAAAAAGTATGGGCTTGCTTGCTTTCTTCTTTCTCTCTTTCTCTTTCTTTCTTTCCCTTTCTTTCTTTCTTTCTTTCTTTCTTTCTTTCTTTCTTTCTTTCTTTCTCTTTCCTTCCTTCCTTCCTTCTTTCTTTTTTTTTTTTTTTTGAGACAGGGTCTCACTCTGTTGCCCAGGCTGGATGGAGTGCAGTGGTGCAGTCACAGCTCACTGCAGCCTCAACCTCCTGGGCTCAAGCAATCCTCCCACCTCAGCCTTCCGAGTAGCTGGGACTACAGGAGCGTGCCACTATGCCTAGCTAATTTTTTAATTTTTATTTTTGTAGAAACAAGGTCTCACTGTGTTGCTGAGGCTGGTCTCAAACTCCTGGACTCAAGCAATTCTTCCATCTCTGCCTCCCAAAGTGCTAGGATTACAGGTGTGAGCCACTGCGCCCAGCTAAAGGTATCTTTGTGAGATGATAAAATGTTCCAAAATAGGCTGTGACTATGGTTGCACATATCTGTGCATGCCCTAATAACCATTGAATTGTACACTTTAAATGGGCTTATTGGATCATATGTGAATAACATATCAATAGAACAGTTTTAAAAAATTAAAAAATGAATTCAATAACAAATAAATAAAGCTAGTGTAGAAACCAAAGCTTATCAAAACTAAGTGAGGTAAACTGCCAAGTTCACCCTTGGTGCAGACCCCCTTCCAGTCCCCTTACTTCCTCGCAGCCCCCACTTGCCTCCCTGGGCCCCACCTCTCACTCCCAGCCAGAAAGTCAGCTTGGCCTCACCTAGCCCCCTCCTGCCTCACCTGAAGTCCATCTCCCGTGGTGAGCCAACCTGTGCCAGCCAGCTCATTTGACAGACAAGGGAAACAAGGCTCACAGAGGCTGCCTTCCCTGTCTTCAGACCATCAGTCCAAGAGCCAAGGATGGAAAGGAAGACCCCAGGTCCTGGGCCTGTCCCCCATTCTCTCACAGGATGGCCCTTAGAAAGTCCTGGCCCCCCTCTGAAAGTGCAGAGCAGACTTGGTACCCTCAGGCATTTTCAACTCTGCTCTTCTCAGCCTCTCGGATGCTGACCCCATCACTGCTCCCAAGTCAAAACCATTTGCTCAGGGGCCATGCAGGTGGTCGATAGAACTATGGGTGAGGCCAAGGCCACTCCTAGTGTCCGCCTGTTCAACTTCCACCGGCTAATTCACTGCCAAGCCCTCCTGCCCTCCCCAAGACAGAGGGGTGGGAGGGGAGCCAGGACATCCTTTCTTATTTCCCCTTCTCCCCAGTCAATAGAAAGGTTCACAAGTATCCCAAGTCTCCACCTTCTTCTCTCCTTTGCTTTCTCTGCTCTCATCCCTTGCACCCCAAAACCTTCCCAAAAGGAATCTCAATGCTGAGAACCCAGCAGCTTCCATCCTGTGTCCTCCAACTCCACACAGCTGCCAGAACACCTCCGTGATGACTTTAACTCTGCAAAATCTTTCTGTACATGTGACTGCAAATCTAGACAGGGTGATGTTATGCCCATTTCACAGATAGGGGCACTGAGCTCTCAGAGGATCAACTTGACCCTGAGGATCAGCCAGGGAGTCAGCAACAGAGTCTGGGCCTCTCATCTGAAGAGAGAGCTTCCTCCTGGCACAGAACCCCATGCAGGCTGCAAGGAGTGAAAGTGAGGCAAACAGCATGCAACTGCCCACTCCCAGCTGTGCTCCTACCCACACAGGAGCTCCAAACCCCCAGCTGGGGTAGCACTGTCCTGCAGATGGGCGGGGCTGGCTCTAGACCAGTCACACTCAAAAGTGAAGGCCTCTCTCAGGCTCCTCCCTCCCATGTGATCTAATAACCTGGGAGCCTATTCTTTTTTCTTTCTTTCTTTCCTTCCCTTCCTTCCCTCCTTCCTTCCTTCCTTCCTTCCTTCCTTCCTTCCTTCCTTCTCCTCTCTCTTTCTCTCTGCCCCACTGTGACTATTCTTTGTTCTTTCTTTCCTTTCCTTCCCTTCCTTCTCCTCCTTCGTTCCTTCCTTTCTTCCTTCCTTCCTCTCTCTCTCTCTCTCTCTCTCTCTCTCTCTCTCTCCCTCTCTCTCTCTGCCCCACTGTGATTTTAGCCAAGCCGGTTTCCTCCCCTTCCACCCTCACCCACTCCAGGGCACCTTCCACAACATTCTCCAGTCTTCACAGACACCCCTTCTGCACTCAGTCCCTCTTCACTGACATTAGGTACAAATAGGAGTTCTCACCCCAAGCAGAGCCATGGGTCAGCCGTGTGACCCTGGGCAAGGTGGCAGATCTCTCCAGGCCTCAGCGTCCTTGTCTGCAAAATGCCACTTGGGACACAGCTTCCGCCTTCGCTTAGACAGGGCCCTGTGACCAGATGCCCTTCCTCCCACTGGGCATGCGGGGACTGAGGAGCCTTCCCTGAGCTCCTCTCAGCCCCCCAGGCAGAAGCAGTCCCTTTACTCTGTGTCTGGGGTCTCTGAGATGTGACTCATGCTGCTTTTGAGCCTAGTGTGGTGCAGCTGGAGCTCTGCTGTGTGTGACAGTGTCACTGTCTATGCTGCAGGCTTCCCCCCAGCCTGCCCAGAGCCTGGCGGACAGTAGGTGCACAGTGAGCACTGGATGAATCATGAATCAATGACTGAACAAAATAAAGGAACGAGGTCCCTTCAAGTGTGAACAGCCTGACACTATGTTGCAGGGAAGGCCTGGGCACAGCCCCACCAGCCAGCTGCCAGGCACACCCTCAGCTGGGGGAAGGGGATCCCTGTGGGGATGAGTGGGGGTATCGAGGAGACAGGGCAAGGCACACGCTCTCTAACAGCAAGTTGATCATTTTCCCTTTGAGTTAAGTGATACATCTTTTCCAGATTGCCTGTGACAGCCACTTCCTCCCCACATAATTGTGTGAGATGCTGTTTGGATTGTTTTTACGCGTGTTAATATCACAGCTTCTAAAAGGAGCAAGGGGCATGCAGTGGGGGCTTGACCAGAAGGAGCTTTGGGCTCCTGAGAGCTCAGTGGGAAACCCAGGTCCCACCAGGTTACCTTACTGCAGGTGGAGAGAAAGGGACAAGTCTACCTGGGAACCATCAGGCGGGGAGCGAGATCCAGTTTCAAATCCCTGCTTAGCCTCAGTTTCCTCTCTATGCTGACGGAGGCAGCACCTACGTGGCGGGATATAGTGAGGACTCAAAGGCGGCACACTTGAGAACACCCACAGGTGCACCTGGCACGCGATGCGTGTCCAGTCCACCCAAGCGTCCTCTTGCCTTGCCTCTTCCCAGTCCCCACCTCTTCTGCCCAATTCTCAAGCCAACAGTCATAGTGACAACCATGCTCCGTTGTATGTAGAGCATGTCACCCTTGTTGCACTCATCACAAGCACCCGACACCTGGACTGCAGGTTCTGTGAGAGCAGGCAGGGCAGACCCAGACCAGGCGATCTTAGAACAGAGCAGAGAGCACCACCCGTCCTGCCCTGCCCAGCGAGCACCACCAGCCTCTCAGGTCACTTGGCCTTCACTGGCCTTGGAGGCAGGAACACCACCTCATTTTCCAAATGGTGAAAATGAACCTCAGAGAGGATAGAGGCATGACCCTAAAACCCTGCAGTGCTGAGGCCCCAGTATGACTGACAGAACTAGAAATTTGGGGCTTAGGCTGAGTCTCCCCTAAAGCTGTCACCTCCTGCCACCAGCTTCTCTGCCTCCCTCCCCTCATCCCATTCTCCAGCAAATGCATCACCCCCCTGGAGCTGCTGGTTGGCTCTATCTCCTGCCTGTCTATTGCTAACCTCCCCCTAAACTGTGCTCCTCACAGGAGCCCAGCCAAGGAGCACCTTCCTACTCCAGAGGCAATGGACTTGCCCAGAGCCTGCAGCAGGGAGTGGTTTCAAATCCAGCCTCAGGTGAAATGCACAGCTGGACATTTGATTGTTGCCAAGCCACAGCCCTGTAGAGGCACCAAATCCACAGCAAGTTCCTTCTCCTCCTTCAACAGGGCTTGGCCATCACCTCCTTTGGAGTCTCCTCTGATTTTACCAGCTAGGCTGCATCAGGCCTTCCTCCACCCCACTGTGTTTCTGACAAACAGATGTCCCCGTTCGAACCCTCCATGCACTGTGTGTGTGCACACGCCTGTCTCTTTCACTGGACCTTAAACTCCTGGAGGACCCTAGGATCAGGGCATGCCTATTTCACCCTGATTGCTCCAGAGCCTAACACAAGGGCCGTCATAACATAGGAGGTGTTCAATAGTAGTGGCTGAAATATAAAACATAATATAAATATAAAAACATAAATGGAAGGGGAGAGAGAGGGAAAGAGGGAGGCCAAGCACAACCCCTCCTCCCAAAACCAAACTCTCAAGAATTCCAAAGGCTTTGCCCCTCTGCTCTGCCCTCCCCCAGTGAAGTTGCCCAGGAAATGGAGTCATGGGGCTGTGGTAGCAGCAGGTAAGCATACTGTTCTTCCCCTCTCTGGGCCTCAACTTTCCCACCCATGAAATGGAGATCCAGTTTCCTGATGGCAGATCAAGCACATGGAGAGCTTACAGTGGGTCCTTCAGCTAGGAAAGCCACCCACATTGATGCAGGTGGTGAGGAAGGAGGTCCAAGCAGTTGGGCAGGCCTGTGGAGGCCTTGAGATCCCAGGGGGCCTAGCTCCTCACCTCAACAATTTTTCTTCCTTATACAAGGAACGCTAAAAACCAGTGACAGAAATCTAGAGCCAGAAGAAGCTTGGAGATCCTCAGCATGCTGCTCATTTCACAGATGGGGAAACTGAGGCCCAGAAAGGCAGAAGGGAAGGATATTGGCATGTGCTGAGTGAGCCTACTGTGTGCTAAACTTTCTATAGAACTTCATAAATATCACCACTCCCTGTGAGGGGGTCTTGCTGACCCACTTTGCAGATGAAGAAATGGGGACTCAGGAAGAGTCTAGTTGACTGAGGTCTCACAGAAGTAAGTGACAATGGCAGAATTCGAACCCAGGTAGCTCTGGCTCCAAAGACCAAGCTCTTTGCATGGCACCACAGGGCAAAGGCTCCCTGGAGCCAGGACCACCAGAACCAGTGATTTCAAGATGATGGTTCCTTGACACCCAATCCAGTGCTCACTTCTGTACACACTGTAGGGCTGCCCCACAATGTCCCACCTTCTAGACCCATGTGTCTGCCATGTGTCTGATTCAGAAAATCATTAAACACCATGATTGGAGATTACTATAGTTGGCTCCTCATCTAACTGTTGTGCTTTATAGCATCCTCCCTCATAGACCTTCAACCCAAACTTGTATACATCCAGGGGTGGGAAGCTCACTACCTACTCAGGACACATTCCATCTTTTGGACAACTTGGTTAATAAGGATGCCTTTCCTCTTAACACCCTTCCTCTTTTAATGACCCAAAAGCTTCACACGACTCCTAGTTCACTGTGTCCACATTTGCCCCCATTCAGACACACACACACACACACACACACGCTTCCTCACAATCCACCACACCAGCCTCTTTTAATTTATTTTCTAGCCTTCTCCCTCCTGCCCTTCCCCAGTAACTACTTTCTAACCTTTACTAAGGACAAGTATATCTTTTTTAAAATACTCAATTTAAGAAAAAATATTTCACATCTGCATGAGCAATACACAAATCATAATTTTTAAAAATAACAAATTGCAGGCCAGAGTAATCATAAGTAAATTGATATTGATAAATAAGCTTTTCTCCAGAGCAGTAGGTGGTTTATTTTAATCTAATGAGTTTTGTATTTTCCCAGCTTTCAGATTCCATGATGAAGGGCTGTCTGCAATAGAATTACGACGCTCTCCGAAATATTGTAATTTAATGCCTCATTTTGTCAAGACTTTCTTGAAAATGAGATTTGTTCCCAGTGAAGAATTTTACTCGGCTCTTTCTCATATGCCCCCACCCACTCCCCAGGCACACAGGTTCTCCTCAGGTGGGGCAGGTGGTGGGGCGCAAGGGCAGGGGGCCAACAGGCCAGGTTAAATAAACATGGTGGCAGAAGGCAGAGGGCTGGGCAGGGAGCAGGAGTGGAACCGCTCCTGGCTGGACACAGCCTTGCTGTCTGACCGGGCATTACCCAAGGCCCACTCTGGGCCTAACACTGCCTCCTGCAAACAAAGAGGGGATCACAGGCTTCATCTTTCCTATGAGGAGCTGAAAGGGCTCCTATCTGGGGGTTAAAGAGAGCAGTATAAGAACCTGGAGACCTCTGAAGTCTGGAGAGAATGACAGACCCCACAGGCAGGGGAGCAGCAGAAACCAAGGGTTGGGGGGAAAGGAACAAAGCTATTTGCAGAGAGCCTCTGGGGGTCCTATGGTTGAATGCTCTCCAGGGACAGGGAGCTCAGCACCTCCTCAGCCAGCCTGCTGCTCTGTGAGGTTACTATAGCCAGGCGACGGGGGGTACCTTCCGGATGGGGGTGGTGCCGAGAAATGCTGAAGTGAGTAAAGCAGAGGCCAAGAGAGCAGCCAGGCTGACTGCCAAACTTGCTATGTGAGCTTGCATGAGCTGCTTAGCTGCTCTGTGCCTCAGTTTCCCTAATCTCTTAAATGGAGATAATAGTCATACCTACTTCATAGGGTTGTTATAAGTATCAAATAACATAATACTTGTGAAATCTCTGGAATACAAACTCACCTATATTAAGTTCCCAATAAGTGCTATTATTAGTAGCAGCAGCATCACCATCACCATCATCACCATCATCATCATCATCATCATCACCATCATCATATCACCATCATCATCATCATCATCACCTTCACCATCATCACCATCACCATTACCATCATCACCATCACCATCATCATCACCATCATCATTATCATCACCATCATAATGACCATCATCATCATCATCACCATCACCATCATCATCACCATCACCATCATCATCATGTGTGTGCATAGACTACTGGAGAGGACACTGAGAAAGCAGAAAAGGACAACTTCTGGGAGCGAAGCCTAGGTGTCTGGAGGAGAGAGGTGGGAGAGAAGAGTTTCACTGGATTCCACTTTGGGCCTTTTGAATTTTCTACATATGTTATTATTGCCTGCCCAAAAATAAAAGTGAAAAAAAAAGATAATTTGGTATTTTAGAAAAGAGAAAGGAAGAAAGACAAATTGCTCTTCTAATGTACCCCAATCTGCCTTCCAGTAACTTTCCCTCCCTATTTGGATTTCTGGACTCTGGAGTCACACAGTCAACCCCCGCCTTTTAAAGGAAGTAATTCATTGGCTCAATAAACCCTTCCTGAGCACCAGCTATAGCTGCTGAGTGCAAGGCATCCAGCAGTAGCCGGGACAGACTCCATCCCTACAGCCTGGCAGGTGAGAGACATGCTCAGCCTCACCATCTGGGTCCCAGGTGCCCCAAGTGAAACCCCTGGTGACATCACCTGCTCCCCTTCTTGGCCCACTCTCCCCTAAACAGCTGTTCTCCTGCCTGAATAAAGTTTCAGGTCCCCACTTTTGATTGTTAAATTAGATGAGTTCACCACTTACTGATACACATGCTGAGGTGTTTACAGGTAAAGTGAGCTGCTGTTCACCAGTAACTCTGAAATGCATCCAAAACAATGGTCTGATGGAAGGATGGGAAGTGAATAGATAGAAAAAGTAAAGGAAATGTAACAAAATGTACTCTATAGAATTCCAGTGGTGAGTACCTAGGGGTTCACTGGACAAGTCTTTTGACCTTTCTGCATGCTCAAAAATTAATTAAAATGTTAGGGGGAAATTAGGAGAATTCAAAACCACCAAACCTCCAGGTGGTTTTTCACATCTGAGTGTCCCTCCAGTGCCCTTTTCCTATGGGCTAGAGACTTTCCATGGGGTAATGTCCCTGCATGTCCATGTTAAAGGGCCTGGGTGTTGCCTCCAGGGCCTTTCTCATACCAGCCCCCACTGGAAAGGGCACAGTGATGTACTGGGGTGGACAGGGAGCAGGGGGAGAGCAGAGGCTAAGGGATGTTGCTCCATTCCCCCTCAAGGTCACTTCATTCTTCAGAGAGTCCATTCCTGTAGCACAAGCAGCTCTGGGACAGGCCCACCTAAGGAGAAGAAAGGTATTGCAAGGAGAAGGGAAGGGAGCCATAGAGGGAGGGGAGAGTATGCATATGTCTTAGAGGGCAGGGAGAGGAAGTGGGTGGCTGAATCCATGCTGAGGCCACAGAGGAACACTAACCCTCAGTCCCCTCAAAGTCATGCTATGAAACCCCTAACACCTTCCCACAGTTTTTTCTTACTTGATAGTACAATAACAAAAACAAAGCTAAAAATGTATTATTATAGTAGCTATCCTTTGTTGAGTGCATACTACATGCAAACATTGTGTTTATTAGTTAGTTCCCACAGCCATCTGATGAGGAGGATGCAATTATTACTATACCCATTTCACAGATAAAGAGATTGAGACTAAGAGAGAAGAGGTCATTAACCCAAGGTTACTCAGCTAGTAAACAGTGAACCAGGATTTAAATCCCAATTGGGTACCACTTGCAATTATGATTTAATAACCATGGCAGGTCAACAATCTCCATGAGACTAGAAAATTGGGTCCAAAAAATAAAAATCCACTTGAAGGTACCAGAGAACCGTCAGGTTAGACAGAAGCTACGGTATGACGATCCAGAGAACGGAATCTCCCAGAAGTAAGCCCAGACTTCTGAGAGCCTCTTTTGCACTCAGAGCTTTGGCACAGAATGAGAATGGAAGAGCGGGCAGAATGTTGGCCTTCCTGTGAGCCTGGGGAGATCAAGATTGAGTTGGGGCTAACAAGGCAGCAAGGACTTGAGGATCCCAGATCCCAGAGAGGAGGGAGGCACAGAGACATGAACTCAGACCCCTGGAGAGTTGCTGATGGACTGTGGATGAACTAGATGAAAATGAAGCATTACAATGACTAACCGAATCTGGAGTCAGCTCAGGCCCTGACTGGATTAAGATGATCAGCTGCTCTGCTGCCTGCTGGATGATACAATGAATCTTCCCTGAAAAGAAACAGCATCATTCAGATCCTCTACAATTTTTCATACGAAATGACTGACATTCATTAAAACATTACTAGCTATATCATAAACAGGAGAAAGAAAAAAACAGTCAATAAAAACAAGCCCATAGGTGACTCAGTTACTAGATTATCAAATATGGGCTTAAAAATTATAGTGATTAATATGTTCAAGACAATAGTTGAAAAAAGATGAATGATGTCACCAAGGAACTAGAAACTTCAAAACAAATAAAAATAAATTCCCAAAAGGAATAATATAATAATTAGAATCAGGATCTTAATAGATGGGTTTAACAGTGAATTAGATACAGTTGAAGAGAAGATGAGTGAACTGAAAATAGACCCGCAGAAAATAACTGGAATGAGCTGGGTGCAGTGGCTCATGCCTGTAATTCCAGCATTTTTAAGGCCAAGGCAGGCTGATCATTTGAGCTCATGAGTTAGAGACCATCCTGGGCAACATGACAAAACCCCATCTCTACAAAACATACAAAAATTAGCCAGGCATCATGGTGAGCACCTGTAGTCCCAGCTACTTGAGAGGCTGCACTGGGAGGATGGCTTGAGCCCTGGAGGTGGAAATAGCAGTGAGCTGAGATTGTGCCACTGCACTCTAACCTGGGTGATAGAGACAGAACTTGTCTCAAAGAAAAAGAAGGACAGATGAGAAAGTGATAAAATAGCTTAAGAGATATATGGGACATGGTGAAAATATCTAGTACATGTGTATAATTTAAGTCCTGAAGAAAGAGAGAGATTAAGTCAGAAGCAATAGTTGAAAATAAAATGACCGAAAATCTTTTGAAACTGATTGAAATATCAAGCCAAAGATTGGATAAATCCTAAGGATACAAAGTAGGATAAATAAAAGTATAACTGTAGAAAACCAAAGGCAAGGTCGGGCACGGTGGCTCAGATCTGTAATCCCAGCACTTTGGGAGGCCGAGGCAGGCGGATCACCTGAGGTCAGTAGTTTGAGAACAGCCTGGCCAACATGGTGAAACCCTGTCTCTACTAAAAATACAAAAATTAGCTGGGTGTGGTGGTGTGCGCCTGTAGTCCCAGGTACTTGGGAGGCTGAGGCAGGAGAATCACTTGAACCCGAGCAGCAGAGGTTGGCAGTGAGCCGAGATCGTGCCACTGCACTCCAGCCTGGGTGACAGAGCCAGACTCCGTCTCAATTTAAAAAAAAAAAGAAAAGAAAAGAAGAAAGGAAAAGACAAAAAAGAAAGAAAGAAAAAAAAAGAAAACCAAAGGCAAAACAAAAAAAGAAAAAAAATTTAAAGGAGCCAGAGAGAAAAGACACATTAATTCAAAAGTGCTAATAAAACTTATAGGTGACTTTTTGAAACAAACAATGGGAGCCAGAAGGCAATGAAATGAATGACCTCTTTAGTGTGACAAGAAAATTTTATACTCAGTAAAAATATCCTTCAAAATTGCCTGGCATGGTGGCACATGCTTGTAGTCCTACCTATTTGGGAGACTGGGGTGGGAGGATCGCTTGAGCCCAGGAGTTCAAGGTTGCAGTGACCTATGATCACACCACTGCACACTCTAGCCTGGGTGACAGAGTGAGACCCTGTCTCTAAAAATAAAAAGCAAAGGTATAATAAATACATTCAAAGATGAGCAAAAACTGCAAAAATTCAATAGCAGATCCACACCAAAAGGAGACATCTTCAGACAATGAGAAAATTACTCCAAAGGAAAATGTAAAATACAATGAAGAATAAAGAATATCAGGGTAAATATGTAAGCAAACGAATGCTGGCTGAAAGAAAATAATGTCTTATGGATGTAAAATATATATACAATTAAAATTTATAACAACCACTAACACTAAAGGTAGAAATGGAGTAAGTGGAGTTAAAGTGTTCCAAAGTCCTAGCTTTGTCCAAGAGATAGTAGAAAAAAATTACTCTAATAAGTTAAGAATACAGGCTATAGCTGGGCACAGTGGCTTATGCCTGTAATCCCAGCACTTCAGGAGGCCAAGGCGGGCGGATCACTTGAGGTCAGGAGTTCTAGAGCAACCTGGCCAACATGGTAAAACCACTTCTCTACTAAAAATACAAAAATTAGCCGGGCATGGTGGTGCGCACCTGTAATCCCAGCTAATTGGGAGGCTGAGGCAGGAGAATTGCTTGAACCTGGGAGGTGGAGGTTGCAGTGAGCCAAGATCATGCCACTGCACTCAATAACCATAGAAAAGGTGAAAAACAAATCAGTAAGGACACCAATATCTGAATGATAAGATGTACATATTTAACCTCATTGATAAAATTGAACACAGTATACAATAACAGAATAAACACTATTCTTGTGGGACAATGAAAAATATTTATAAAAATTCCCCATGCTGGGCCATAAAGTAACTCTCAAAACATGTCAAAGAACTGGAATCAGTAAAAGTATATTCTTTGATCATAACAGAATTAAGCTTAAAAACAACTGTAAAAAGTATGAAATCCCCAAATGCTTGGAAATAAAGCAATGAGGTTTAAAAACCCATAAATCAAAGAGGAAACTATAACAGAAATTAGAAAACACTTTGAACCTCACAACAATAAAAATATGACATCAAAATTTGTGACATACTAATAGCTGTGCTTAAAAGAAAATTTACAGCCTTAAGTTCAGATTTTAGAAAAGAAGAAAATCTATAAAACAATGAGCTATGTATGTATCTCAAAAAGTATTTTAAGAAGTAAATTAAAACTGAAGAAAAGAAATACAAATTCTGATGAAAAATTAATGACATAGAACACAAAATTTAATACACAAAAATCAGTAAAACTGAAAAATTGTTTTTTTGAAAAGATCAATACAATTGATTAATCCAGTGATCAATAAGATGACAAAGAAAATGAGACGGATGGCTGGGCACAGTGGCTCACGCCTGTAATAGCAGTTTAGGAGGTAGAGGAAGGAGGATCATTTGAGCCCAGGATTTGAAGAATAGCCTAAGCAACACAGCGAGACCTCATCTCTACAAGTAATTTAAAAATTAGCCAGGTGTGATAGTGCATTCCTGAGAAGGCTAAGACAGGAGGATTGCTTGAGCCCAGGAGGTAGAGGTTGTAGTGAGCTGTGATTATGCCACTGCACTCCAGCCTGGGCACTAGAGTGAGACCCTATCTAAAAAATAATAACAATAATAATAAAGAAATAAAAATGAAAGAGAAGATACAAGTTACCAATTTCATCCATGAAAAGATATCACTGTAGATTCTATAGAGAGTATAAAAATGCATGAGGACAATTAAGGAGATTTTACAAATAACTTTATGTCAATTCTTTTGGAATTACGCATAAAATGGATAAAATTCTAAAAAATGCAATGTACTAACACTGACACACAAAAACATAAGAATATAAATGGTCCTATATTTATTACAGAAATTGAAACTGTACTTTATAACTTTCCTACTAAGAAATCTAACCTCACATGGCTTCTCCATCGAATTGTTCTAAACTTTTAAGGATAAAAATAACACAAATCTTATCCACACTCCTCCAGAAAACAAACAGAAAAAGAAGGAACAGTTCCCAATTTGTATTATGAGGTCAGCAGAACTCGATACTATAATCTGACAATGATTTTACAAGAAAGAAAAAAATCACATGAACACAGATGAAAAAAATCTTAAGCAGAACATTAGCAATTCATTTATGCCAAAATACAGTCAAACAAAAGCTGTTGTAGCTATTGCAATAACAGATAAGGGGTTATGAGAAGAATAACACATCATGACAAAGTTGGATTTATTCCAAGAATGCAAGGTTGGTTAACTTTTGAAAATCAACCAGTGTAATTTACCACATTAGCAGAAGAAAGAAGGAAAATTATATGATCATTTCAATAGACACAAACATACATTTGATAAAATTCTATGCACATTTATGAAAAAACTCTTAACAAAAAGGAACAAAAGTGGCCATAAATGGAAAAGCCCACAGCTAGTATCATACACAATGGCAAAAGACTGAATGCTTTTCTCCTAAGATCAGGAACAAAACAAGGATGCCTTCTATTGCCATTTCCATTTAACATAGTATTGGACGTTGTAGCCAGAGCAATTAGACAAGAAAGAGAAAGAAAAGGTGTGCAAATTGGAAAGGAAGAAGTAAAATTATTTCTCTTTGCAGAAGACATGATCATACATGCAAAAAACTCTAACAATTACACACACACACACACACACACACACACACACACACAAAACCCAGGAGCTAATAAATTCAGCAAAATTGCAGTACAAAAAATCAACACACAAAAATCAGTTGTATTTCTAAATACCAATAATGAACAATCAGAAAAGGAAATAAGGAAAACAGTTCCATTTACAATAGCATCAAAAAGAAGACAATATTTAGAAATAAATTTAACCCAGGAAGCAAACAACTTGTACATTGAAAACTAACAAATATTGCTAAGCTAGGCATGGTGTCACATGCCTGTAGTCTCAGCTGCTTGGGAAGCTGAAGCAAGAGGATCAACTTGAGCCCAGGAGTTTGCCTCTAGCTTGAGCAACATAGTGAGACCTCATCTCTAAAAAAAACAATTTTAAGGAAAAGAAAGTAAAGAAGACATAAATAAATGAAAAGACATCCCATGTTCATAAACTGGAAAACTTAGTATTGTTAAGATACCATATTTAATATTGTTAAGATAGTACTATTGTTCAGATACACTACTGCCCAAAGCAATCTACAGACTTAATGTAATTCTTATCAAAAGCTCAATGGTGTTTTTCACAGAAATAGAAAAACCCATTCTAAGATTTTATGTGGAATCTCAAAGTACCCCCAAATAGTCAAAACGATCTTGAAAAAACAAAAGAACAAAGTTGGAGTACTCACACTTTCTATTTCAAAACTTACTACACAGCTACAGTGATCAAAAAGGTGGAACTTACATAAAGACAGACTTACAGACAAATGGAACAGAACCGAGAGCCTAGAAATAAACTGTCACATAAACAAACAATTGATTTTTAACAAGGGTGCTAAGATCATTCAATGGGGAAAGGACAGTTTTTTCAACAAATGATGCTGAGAAAACTGTCTATCCACATGCAAAATAATCAAGTTGGACTCTAATCTTATACCATATACAAAAATTAACTCAAAACAGATAAAAGACCTAAACATAAGAACCACAACTATAAACTTCTTAGATGAAAACACAGGGGAAACCACGATATTGGATTTAGCAATGATTTATTGGATATGACACCAAAAGCACAGGCAACAACAACAGCAAAAAGGTATTTGTACTTCATCAAAATTAAAATTTTTTCTGCATCAAAGCACACTATCTATGGAGCAAAAAAGCCACCCAGAGGACGGTGAACATATCTGTAAATCACACATCTGATAAAGGATTAATATCCAAAATATATAAAGATCACCTACAAGTCAACAGCAACAAGACAAACAACCCAATTCAAAAATATTTTGCCATAAAAGATATACAAATAAGCCCATGAAAAGATGCTCAACATCACTAGCCATTAGGGAAATGCAAATCAAAACCACAGTGAGATACCACTTCACACCCATTAGGATGACTATTATCAAAAAACAAAAAATTAGCTGGGTGCAGTGGTACACTCCTGTAGGCCCAGCTACTTGGGAAGCTGAGGCGTGAAGATCACTTGAGCTCAGGAGTTCTAAACTGTAGTGCACAACTGTGTAGTGTAGTTTAGAACTGTGCACTACAGTTTAGTGTAGCCACTGCACTCCAGCCTGGTCAACACAGCAAGACAACCATCTCTGAAAAATAAAATAAAATAATAAGTGTTGGTAAGGAAATGGAGAAATTGTCAGCCTTGTACATTGCTAGTGGGAATATAAAATGGTGCAGCTACAATGGAAAACAGTACGGCAGTTCCTCAAAAAATTAAACATAAAATTACCATATTATCCAGGAACTCCACACCTAGGTATACACTCAAAAGAATTGATAGCAGAGACTCAAACAGGTATTTATAGACCAACATTCATAGCATCATTATTGATAAGAACCAGAAGGTGGCAACAATCCAAATGTCCATTAACAGATGAATGGATATAAAATATGGTATATTCATACATGGAATATTATTCAGCTTTTAAAAGGCCTTAAATTCATACACCTACTAGAACATGGATGAATCTTGAAAACATTATGCTAAGTGAAATAAGCCAGACATAAAAGGATGAATATTGTATGATTCCACTCATACCAGATACCCAGAATAGGCAAATTCATAGAGAAATAAATTAGGATCAAGGTTACATGGGCAGATGGGAGAAGGAATGGGGAGTTACTGTTTAATGGGTACAGTATTTCCATTTCAGATGATGCAGAAGTTTTAGAAATGCATAGTGGTGATAGTTGCACAACACTGTGAATATACTAATGCCACTGAACTGCACACTGAAAAAGGGTTTAAAAGGTAAATTTTATGTTATGTACATTTTACTATAATTTTGAAAAAATTAGAAGAAAACTTTCCTAATTTGAAAAATGACAGCTATTAAAAGAAACCTACAGCAAACATCACACTTAATGATAAAATATTGAAAGCTTTCTCCTTGATACCAGAATTGAAGTAAGTATGCTTATTATTACCACTTCCATTCAATATTATGCTAGAACTCCTTGCCATTGCAATAAAGCAAGAAAAATGATATAAGTATTGTAAAAGAAGATATAAAACTGTTATTATTTATAGAAAACATAATCATATATGTTTTTAAAAATCAAAAAATGCAATAACCTATAAGAATAAATAAGTAAATTTAACAATGGTTGTGTAATCAATGAAAAAATCAGTTATACTTCTATATGACAAGTTAATAATACAAAATGAAAAAATTTCGAATTACTTACAATAGTATCGAAAAACATAAAACACATAGAAGGAAATCCAGTTTTAAAAATATAAGAATGCTACACTAAAAAGCATTATTGAATATAATGTATTAAAACTTAGAAAAATAGAGGAGTATATCTTGTTCATGGATTGAAAAACTCAATATTGTAAAGATGTCAATTTTCCTCAAATTGACTTACATATTTTTGATGCAGTCTCAATCAAAATCTCAGCAGGGCTTTTATGGAATTTCAGAAGCCAATTCTAAAATGTATATGTAAATGCAGAAAGCCAAAATTAAACAAGAGTCTTGAAGAAGAACAAAACTGAAGAATTTACACTGGCAATATCAAGACTACATCTGTAAAGCTATAGTAATTAAGCTCTAAAGCTTGTGTTGGTAAAAGGATAGTCAAATACTTATAGAATTGCATATACCTATATGTACACCAAAGGACACACATACAAATGTTCTTAACAGCCTCTTTTGTAATAGCCAAGAATAAAAGCAACCCGCCAGTCCAACAACAGTAGAATGGATGAATTGTGGTATATTCACAACATGGAATACTACACAGCAATGAAGAGAAACACATTAACTATACGCAACAGGATGACTCCCACAAACAAGTTAAGCAGAAGGAAACATCACAAAGAGAACCCACTGCATTATTCAACTTATATAAAGTTCAAAATAGGCAAAATGAATCTACTGTATTAGAAGTCAGGATAGGAGTTAACTTCAGAGGATGACGGGTAATGGCTCTGGTAATCACTTTTTTCTTAGTCTGGGTGGCAGTTACATGAGCATGGCCCTTTTGCAACAACTCAGGATAAACACATTTGCACACTTTTCTGCATGTATTATACTTCATTTAAAAAGTTGCCTTAAGAAGTCTCTTAGCACCAACATCAGTGCTACTAACAGCTGTCCTGCTTTGCCTCTCTTCCTGCCCTCCTGCCATGGGAAGCACAGTGCTGGTGGGCATAGAGCAAAGCTGCAGCCTCAGGGCAAGGGACCTCCCAGTCCTGGAAATCTTCCAGGACTGCACCCCCTCAACCTACAGCCTTTCTCATAGGTATGATAGTTACTCTTGGCACCCCCAGGCAGCCTGCAAGACTGTGAGCTCCCAGAATGCAGAAGCTGAGAATAACAGTAGCATAATAATAAACAATAGCAACATTTGTTGAACATTTACTATGTGCCAAGCACTTTTTCTAAGCATTTTATGTGCAATAACTCATTTAATCCTCCCAATAACCCTTTGAATTGGGTACTATTATTCTCATTTTGCGGAAGAGAAAACAAGACACAGATGAGTAATGATTAATTAAATTGCCAGAAGCCCACACAGTTCATAAGTGAAAGAGCTAGGATTTGAACCTGGGTGGTCTGGCTCCAGAGCCAGAAACACTTCCTCTCATTTAGGGTTTGGGCCCAGAGGTAAGGCCTGCTGCTCAGAGCCCTGGCCACACCCACCCAGACCAGGCACAAAGGGAGAGATGCTTCCCATTTCTTACAGGCAGGCCAGTGTGTCTGTGGACAGCGATGAGGTGTGTACCCTCCTGAAAGCCTGGTTCTAAGACTTCAGGGCAGCAGGCAGGCCCCAGCCCATGGGACTGGGCTCTTAAGCCTGGGGAAGCAGGTTGAGGCTGCAGCATGGGTCTGGGGAGAGAAGTCCCTTTCTAGTCCTAGGGAAGAGGGTCTTGGAGCTCCTCAGGGGTCAGGCCCCTGCTGACAGCACTCAGAACAAAGGAGGAAGTAGACACCAAGGGCACCTTTTCCTGTCCCAAGCACTGCCCGGGTGCCCTCTGCTTTCCACTCCCAAATCATTTCATCCATCCCACCCCCAGGCCAGCAGTCAGGAAACAGCCACGTGGAAGGTAAAGCCAGTCTACTCTGGGAATGAATTCTAGCGCCTCCCCATCCTCCGTCCCTTACCCAACATACCACATAACAAGTTTTTCCTTGGGTTTGCCTTTAACCCCTCCCGGTACAGTTTCCTCTCAGTTCCCTTTGCTCTTAAACAATGAGTTTAAGCTCATTGCCCTTGGAAGAGGCCCTCACCTATGCTCAGAGACTTTCTTTGTCTACCTGAGAGGTACTGGGGTTCACCAGCCCCTTTGTGTCAGGTCTGGATGAGTTTAGCCAGAGCTTCATGACGGACCCCACACATTAGAAGGGAACACCAGGGAATCCCCTGCCCCTTACATCAAACAGGGCCCCTTGGTCAGAGGCCAAAGCCTCAGGAGACAAAAAGTCCTGCCCAGGAGCCTTCTTAGTCTACAGCAGCCAGATACTTAAAAGTGACATCACACGTCTGTTCCAGAGACTAGGGGCAGGCCTGATATCCAGTTCAGCAAACAAACCTTGTGATCAGGCCAAGGGGCAGGGTGCAAGAGAAAGCCCACCCTTACATCAGCCAATGCATGCACATGCACACACACACACGTGCACACATGGCCAAGGCCGTCTGCATCAACACTAGAAAGGAGAGGCAGCAAGTTAGTACCACGGACTTCTGAGCCAGGCAGTTGAAAGGAAAGTAGGAAGGAAAAACAGATAAACTATGTCTACACCTGGCCTTTCCCATTCCCCTCTGCCCTTGCCCCTGACACCCAGGCCCTCCACAGCGGCTCCCAAGGAAGCTGTGAAACACACAGGTGCAACGAGGTCACCTAGTTAACAGCCTCTCTCCCGCTGTATTATTCATGGGCTCCCTTCTTCCGGCCTGAGCTCCAGTTTCCAACAGCCCTCAGGCAGGCAGCAGACACAGCTTGGCAGATCAGCTGCCTGGCAGGTCCTAGCCCATGGCCACCCCCACTCTCTACACCCCATGCCTGTCCCAGCCCCTCCTAGGATGTAGCCATCCCATGGTAACTCAGACCCAGCGGTCACCAGCACTTCAGGTGAGGGGGAGAATTTGGGGGCAGTGAGGAAGATCAGAGAAGGAAAACCTTGGCCTTGGTCAGGCACGAGATGCTGATATTTCCTAAGGAGATGCAATTCTCTCTCTTTCTCTCTCTCTCTCTCTCTTCTTCTAACACACACACATCCTGAATTGATTGCCCTGAATACAGCACTCTGAATAAGTGTGAGAGCTCATGGGGGACAAGGGCCATGCTTTGTCTACTTCTGTATCTCAGTGTGCCCTGCATAGTATCCTGCAAACAGTAGGTGCTTAATAAATATCAATTGACTTGTACAAATCCAAAAAAGATGGATGTCAAATTGTTAAGAGTGAGCATAAAGAGTTACATCAAGCCATTGCAAAGACATTGCTCCTGGGGTTTCGAGATCGTCATGTTATTTAAATGTCCAACTGTATATATCTCGTAAATCCCACATAATTCAAGTCATTAATACTTAGTAAAAATTAATTACAATGACACATACTATTTGCATAGCACGATTTTTAGGTTATCGCAACTCATTTTGCTGAGCACTTTTATGTCTCTCATGAGAGACCCCTACTCACTGAATCAAGTGATTGGTCAGAAGGGGATTTTTCCCCTATTTTACAGATGAGAAAACTGTGGCTCAGAGAATTAAAGCACTTGGGTCAATGAAAGGACTATCACTAAAGTCTTCACACACTTGCCAGGGGCATTTTTCTTCATTATTCACACCTATTTCACTGCCTCATGATTACCACCCATACAGCAACATGATAAAACTACAAGCTCTGATAAGGTTACTTGGGTCGAGACCCGGAAAGCCCAGGCTAAGGTCAGCTTAGGACTAAGATGCACGGCCAGAAATACCCAAGAGCTCCTGAGCCAGCCTGGCCAATGGCGGGGAAAGGTGTGGGGTTGGGGTTAAATTATAGACACCACTGCATGCAAACCCCTAGCTTTACAGATGGGAAGGGCTGGGGTCCAGGCAAGTGCAGAGACCCTGACATACATGGCCTTCCCAGATGGGGGTAACCTGCTCAGGGTAGAAAACCATCCACCTCATTCACTCCCATGGATGTTTAAATCCCAGCCAGCCTCACTCTCTCACATCCCCTGCCCAAATGCTGGAGGCGCCTGAACATTCAACCTCAGCCCAGGATCAATTATAGGGGAAGTCAGGACTGTAATAAACACACCTGGCAGGGCTGGATAGAAAGGGGGTGTCCCAGAACCCAGCCCCAGCTCTGTCATTGCCTCTCTGTGGATCCCAGGTGGGACTTTTGTCCTTTCTTGAGTTCAGTTTCCATCTGTATAGTGAAAGGTTTGGCTCTGGCCTTCTGTAAGTGCAGTACAAAGTAATGATCAAGGAATCAGACTGCCTTCATGCAAAAATCTGCCTCACCGCCTGCAAGCTATGTGACTTTGGGCAAATTGCGTAACCTCTCTGTGCCTCATATTTCTCACCTGTAACATAAGAGTAACAGCTGACCCTAATTCGTAGGGTTGTTGTAAGGACTAAGTGAGGTATTTTAGATGAAGTGCTAAGCTCAGGGCCTGGCACACAGTACTTAATAAATGTTTCTCATTACTACTGTCAGCTCTGACACTAAGTCTATGGTCATAAACTGGCCATCTATGGGCCACATGCAGCTTGCCAAAGGGTTTTCCCTACCATAGACACTTCACAAGGGTAGGGGCCACTGATGGGCCCCAAGGGCCTAGAACAGCACCTGACACACAGTAAGGGTTCAATGACTATTTCCTAAATGAATGAATGGCCTCGCTGTGTTTTCAAATATTAAATTCGTTGCTAACATCTCAAATAGAAAGATTTTTTTTTAATCTCGATGTTTAGATTCTTTTGAAAAATCAAAGTGTCCGGCAAGCCTAAAAGCTGTTCTGTACTGCTGCTTAGCAACATAGACCAAACAGTAGCAGGGGCCCCCATTAGCCGAGGTAAGTATGTGCAGTTTGCCACAGTGTCTTCCCAGTTGTCTGGACCCTGGAGCCACCTGAATGCCTCCTGGGGGAACCCTGACACCCTTGGCCCAGGGTATATCACAGGAGAAGTGCAGACAGCATGGAAAGTTTGCATTTACCTGGCCCCAGGGCTTCTGCCCCCAGAGATTGCCCCAGGTCTGCTAAGTGCCCATGATACTCTGGCATCCAAGCCCCCTCTGCTGTGGACAGGCCAGACCCTCTTCCCCAGAGGAAAGCCTCAAACACTCCACGTTGCTGCAACTTCCTTAGCTTTCTAGGCTGTGTCACTCCCTGCTTGGAAAACTCCCAAAAGCAAAAAGCAACAGAAAGATGAATTTAATACTTATCCTTCTCACAGAAAGAGCACAGAGATAGGGAGACACATCTTGGGAGGCTCAGGTGGGAAGATCACTTGAGCCCAGGAGGTCAAGGCTGCAATGAACTGTGATCTCACCACTGCACTCTAGCCTGGGCGACAGAGAAAGACCTTGCCTCAAAAAAAAAAAAAAATTACCTGCTTTTTTTAACTTTTTCCAAGTGGACACTAGAAAATTTAAAACTGCACATGTGGCTTGCATTATTTTTCTACTGGGCAGTGCAGCTGTGGACTCTCAGCTTGAAGTCCCACCAACTAGACGGAGGTTGGGACACAGGTGATGCTCAGTATTGGCTGAGGAATGGCCTCCCCAACAGTAGATGTGAGATCTTAAAGCACAGACAGGATGGGTTTGGAAGGATCCCCCACCCCACCACCCAGTTATGTTCTGGTTTTCTAGTGAAAGTCCATCCGTGGCTGGGCACGATGGCTCATGCCTATAATCCCAGCACTTTGGGAGGCCAAGGCAGGTGGATCACCTGAGGTCAGGAGTTCAAGACCAGCCTGGCCAACATGGTGAAATCCCATCTCTACTAAAAATACAAAAATTAGCCTGGCGTGATGGCATGCACCTGTAGTCCCAGCTACTTGGGAGGCTGAAGCAGGAGAATTGTTTGAATCTGGGAGGTGGCGGTTGCAGTGAGCCGAGATTGCACCACTGTACTCATTCCAGTCCGGGCGACAGGGAGAGACACTGTCTCAAAAAAAAAAAAAAAAAAAGATAGTCTACCCATGCCTCACCCTCTAAGACAAAGCCTTAGGCCCCCATAGAGTGTCTGAGAAAGGTCTAGCCCAGAGTTCCATTGCCACTGGTTCCCTGGAGATGACATCAGTGATCCTGGCTCCAGGAAAGAAGGGCAAGATCAGCCTCCTCCCGGGCCAGGGGCAGTTCGGAGCAGGAGAAGGAACATGGGGTGCTGGAGGAGAATAAAGTCCCTTATAAGCCAGGGCAGGATGGCTAATCTCCTGTCTGTGTAGGCAAAGAACAGAAGAAAAGTGGGCAGAGCTAAAGGGCATCCCTCAGAGGGACTCAGCCCACACTAACCCGAAGCCAGGGAAAGCCAGCATTCCTCGGGGACAGAATTAGTGATACAAATGGAAACCCAGACAGAGTCGCGGCTGCCCTTTTTGTTTTCCCTTTCTGCCCTCCCACTCTCTCTTGCTCTCTCCTCTACTTCCCTCCCTCCCTTGCTTTCGCTGGCTCCCAAATTACAGCCTTCTTTCAGAAACAGACACAATCAAGGTGGTGTGCATGGCCCTTGTCACAAATGGCATCTCAGGTCCTCTCCAAATGGAGCATGGCCTTTAAAGAGGAAGGTGATATCGCTAACCGCCTGCCTCAAGGAAGATGCATCTCCAGGAAGACACAGGCTAGAAAAAAACTCCCACCCTCTTCGGCTGATTGGCCTGTGGCAGGCTCTGGGTGGCTGATTGCAGGGCCAGGCCCGGGGCTGCTGGGGTCTGAAAGACAAGGCATGCCCGCCCTCCTCAACACTCCTTGTGCTGGAGCGGGAAGAGCAGGGCTCTGCCCTTGACTGGCCAGCATTCAGGCTCAGCTTCATCTGGGTTCCTTGAACAAGCTTACTCTCTGACTCCAAGTCTCAGTTTCACCACTTGTAAAATGGTAAGACTAGCTGGTCTCTGAGAACACTTCCAGACCTTGAGTACAGGTCACAAACTCAAATGGCTAAAGGAGCAAGGGGGTATCGGAAATGAATAAAGTGGGGTCCAAAGTGAGGCAATAGGGAATGGTCGGGACTGTGGAGAACTGCAAGCTGCAGGCTCACGTAAATTTAAAAGGCAGCTGCAGGCAAAACTCACAGGGGCGACATAAATCAGAGTGAAGTCAGAAGAGTAGTTACTTCTGGAGTGGGATAACATGGGGTGGGAGGGGGCATAAGAGAGCCTGCCAAGGCACTGGAGATGTTCTGTATCTCCATGGCAGTGAGGCGGTTACACAGGTGTATATATATGCGAAAATTCACCACTTCCACTTAAGATCTGTTGACATTATTTTATGTATGTATTCTTCCGTGAATTTATTTATTTATTTATTTTTTTGAGACAGGGTCTTGCTCTGCCGCCCAGGCTGGAGTGCAGTGGCACGATCTCGGCTCATGGCAACCTCTGCCTCCCGGGTTGAAGAGATTCTCCTGCCTCAGTTTTCCGAAAAACTGGGACTGCAGGCATGTGCCACCATGCCCAGCTAAATGTTTTACGTTTTTAGTAGAGACGGGGTTTCACCATGTTGGTCAGGCTGGTCTCTAGCTCCTGACCTCAAATGATCCACCCACCTCGGCCTCCCAAAGTACTGGGATTACAGGCATGAGCCACTGTGCCTGGCCCATTAAATAATTTTTAAAAGAAAACAGCACTTTGGGAGGCCGAGGTGGGCAGATTACGAGGTCAAGAGGTTGAGACCATCCCGGTAAACATGGTGAAACCCCGTTTCTACTAAAAATACAAAAATTAGCTGGGCGTGGTGGTGTGCACCTGTAGTCCCAGCTACTTGGGAGGCTGAGGCAGGAGAATCACTTGAATCCGGGAGGCGGAGGTTGCAGTAAGCTGAGATTGCGCCACTGCACTCCAGGTTGGCGAAAGAGAGAGACTCCATCAAAAAAAAAAAGAAAGAAAGAAGGAAAGAAAGGAAGGAAGGAAGGAAGGAAGGAAGGAAGGAAGGAAGGAAGGAAGGAAGGAAAGGAAGGAAGGAAGGAAGGAAGGAAGGAAGGAAGGAAGGAAGGAAGAGAAAGAAAGAAAGAAAGAAAGAAAGAAAGAAAGAAAGAAAGAAAGAAAGAAAGAAAGAAAGAAAGAAAGAAAGAAAGAAAGGAAGGAAGGAAGAAAGAGAAAGAGAAAGCAAGCAAATGAAAGGGGTACCGGCAACTCAGCTCCAACCAACAACTGTTCAACTGTTGATTGGGAACATGGACACAATGTTGCCAGTTCTAATCAGCAATGCCAGAAGTCTAGATGTTTATACAGACTGCTGGATTTGTTTTTTTTTGGTTGTTGTTTTTTGTTTTTTGGTTCTTTTGAGATGGAGTCTGGCTCTGTCGCCCAGGCTGGAGTGCAGTGGCGCGATCTCGGCTCACTGCAAGCTCCGCCTCCTGGGTTCACCCCATTCTCCTGCCTCAGCCTCCCGAGTAGCTGGGACTACAGGCACCCGCCACCACGCTCGGCTAATTTTTTTTTTCTGTATTTTTAGTAGAGACGTGGTTTCACCGTGTTAGCCAGGATGGTCTCGATCTGCTGACCTCGTGATCCACCCACCTCAGTCTCCCAAAGTGCTGGGATTACAGGCGTGAGCCACCACGCCTGGCCAGCTGGATTTTTAAATGTTATCAGTAAGTAATTACAAAAGAAAAACCACAACAACCCCCATCCAACGCGCATGTGCGCGCGCGCGCGTGCACACACACACACACACACACACACACACACACACACACTCAGGAAGAATTCAATTTATGAATGTATAGATTGTCAAGCTCTGAAAATAAGAAGAGTTTTCACCTCTTTACTAGAATACAATGTGCCTAACATATAAGTAAGTCAAAGGGATACAATAAAAGCTACTACATTTTGCATGTATACTGTGCGCCAGGTACTACACAATGCCTTGTAAAGTTGTCCTCTCATTAATGCTCATAGCAAGCCTATAGGGCAATTGAAAAATTATTCCCATTTTACAGATGAGAAAACTAAGCCAGACCCAAGGCTTCAGAGCTCTAGTGGAAGAACTGGTGCTCAATATCAAGTCTGTCGGCCTGCAAACTGCCTTATGAAAATCACGAAGTGAATGCATTATGATCATAATAATAACCAACACTTGCCTGGGGTTTTAGAATATGTAAAAAATATGAATGCTAAAACTGAACCTGCTGTGTCACTCTCAGCAACACAGCCTGCAGCCCCTGAGGCTGAGAAGGGCTGTCTGATATTCCCATTCCCCTCACCAATACATTGAGCTATGCCAACATTTATTATCGAGGTGACACAGGGCCCCAAGACCGCAAACCCTGAGGCCCCAAATATATGGAGCTGTGGGCGGCAGCAGCGGCCCACCCCACTCACCATTGACAGATCCTGATCAACTTTCACACTGAAAGACTAGAAAACTGTCTCCATGTGGCTACGTTTTAAATATGCCAGTTTTCTGGCTGACACCTTTCTCGTCAATGAGGTTGGTAAGAATATGCATTTTCTGCCCTATGGGATTCAATAAAGCCATTTTCATGTTGAATCCAAATAAACATGGCCTATAAATGTTCTAATGTTTTCCGAATTGGCTCTTTTGCAAAAATGATCATTCACCACTGTTGCAGACATTCAGATCAAGCATTAGAAATGTGCAGCACGCCAGCAGCACCCCTGTGCCCCAGTCATTATGCCCCCGGGAATAACCATTATTCTGACTTCCATCACGTAGATGGGTTTTGCCCCTTCTCTATGGGGCCTATGCTTTTCAGTTCTCCCCAGTCCCCACCACTCCCTATTGTGTTACATGCTTTACTCTTTTGTCTGCATCCTCACCTCTCTAGGCATGCAAATGTCCGAGAGCAGATGCCTAGAGTCCAGAGTACAGCAAGGTGGACATTCACCACCCATCTGGAAAGTACCACCATGAAGAGTTAAAACTGGATATAGGCACAGCAAACGGTTGGTGTGTTAATGATCACTTAAGAATAGGGCTGGAGAAGGTAAGAGAACCATCACCCAGGGATAAGCCATTGGGTCAATGAACAGTTACTGAGCACCAACTACTCCACTAGTGTGGAGGAAAAAGATGCAGCCTGTGCCCTGGAGGAGCTCAGTGGCTACTGAGAGGCCAGAGCCATGCAGAATGGTAAGAAGCACCAAGGAAGGACCGTGAGCGAGGGAGGCACAGGCTGGAGGGGCAGCCCACCCGCACCAGCCACCCCACCCGAGGACTCAGGAGGGCTTCCTGGAGTTGACGACTCCTGAGCAGCGTCAGTGTCACCCACATTATGCACAGGAGGCTGGAATACAGAAGAACCCAATCTGATCTGCACTTCTCTACTGAGGGCAAAAGTACTCCCACCCTGAAATAACCTATCCAGTAGGGTTCGACTTGTAAATGACCTTGCTCATCTATTCATGGACAAACAGGATTGCCCCAGCGCCAAGAGGAACCCAAAGCAAGGCTCAAAATAAAATAAAATACAATGTTTAAAAAACAACTAAAACTGAATTTGAAAACAATGAGTTCAATGGGAAATTAGGTCAATTTTTACAATCATCTTTACACATTAAGACCTGGGGGTTCAAGAAAACAGTGAGACTTATTAACCTAGTTATTTTTAAATTTCTATTATTTTTATTGATTGATTGATTTTGAGATGGAGTCTCACTCTGTCGCCCAGGCTGGAATGCAGTGGCATGATCTCGGCTCACTGCAACCTCCATGGTCCAGGTTCAAGCGATTCTCCTTCCTCAGCCTCTCACGTAGCTGGGATTACAGGTGCCCACCACCACGTCTGGGTAATTTTTGTATTTTTAGTAGAGCCAGGTTTCACCATGCTGGCCAAGCTGGTCTCAAACTCCTGGCCTCAAGTGATCCACCTGCCTTGGCCTCCGAAAGTGCTAGGATTATAGGTGTGAGCCACTGCACCCAGCCTAACCTAACTATTTTTGAACTCACTGATTTTCAAATCGATGTCTGAATGTCTTCACATTAGCTCGCTCTTTGTAAGGCCCATGACTGTGTCTCCCATAGTTCCTCCTCATCACCTTGTCCCCTGGCAGAGCTGCCCTCTCTCTGGGAAAGAGGCTAGCTTAGGGGAAGGACTGCCTCTTTGGGCAGGGTGGGATGCCTGAGCCATGCGATGACCTTTCACCTGTGACACCATCGGCTACACCAGGCCTCTGATCCAAATCTCTCCAGCAGTGTTTCAAATCTCCTACTCTCAGGCCAGCCTTGATGCCTTCAGGGTCATCATCCAGAGGACCAGGGGTATAACTTGCCACCATGCCTCGGCATCATCCCTGTATCTTGAAGCTAGAGGCCTCGAACCACCTTAGGGCAGTAGAAGTGGGATGTCCAGTCCAGGCTGGGGTCAGGGGAGAGCTTGGTCAGTATCTTCCCCTCTGGAGGCTGTTCCAAATTGGCTCTCATGCTCCTCCCCTCTGCATAAGTCCTAAGGCCGCTGAGAGGTGTTATTAATTGGCTGATCCACCCATCTGGGAGGGGCAGATGAGGTGGAGAGTAGTTGCTCAATTCCTTCTGCTTGAGGGACAGCATCTAGTCTCCGTCTCAGGCGTCCTAGAGGCAGAGTGTGTACACCCAGCTTCCGGAAACCCTGCCCCCTCCACTCACCTCTTTCTGGCCCATGTGCAGGGGTTTTTGTTGGTTTTCTTTAGAGACAGGGTCTCATTATATTGCCCAGCCTGGAGTACAGTGGCTATTCACAAGCACGGTCCTAGCACACTACAGCCTTGAACTCCTGGGCTCTAGCAATCCTGTTGCCTCAGCCTCCCCATTAGCTGGGACTATAGGAGTTCACCACTGCACCCAGTTCCATGTACAGTTTTGACTGCACACAAAGCTGAGATGTTATTCTAATCTATTTAAAAAACCCTAAAACACAAACACTCTTGTGGCATTAGCATGGTACAACCCGAAGGGGCCAGTGGTGGACTATTAATCCGAGCCTAGCAAAACTGGCCAAAGAGAGAAGCTCCAATCTCATTCTCATCTCTGTGTTCTTATCCACTGCCCTATACAACACTCTGCACCAAGGAACTATGCAATGCCTCTTAGAGAAGGCACTGTGGACCACAGCTCAAACTTTACTGAGCACATGAGTCACCCAAGGATCTTACCAAATGCAGATTCTGATTCAGAAGGTCTGGGGTGGGGCCCAAGAGTCTGCATTTCTAACAAGTCCCCAGGTGATGCCGACGCTGCATGTCCACAGGCCACACTCTGAGGAGCAAGGTTCCGCTACACCTTCACCTCCCAGAAGAATGTGCATTTTAAATGAGCACTTCAGGAAGGTGCCCTTTAAAATACTTGGCTCAAATAAATGAACCTCAAATGGTGAAACTGCAGGTAAGGTAGCTTGTTGAGTGGGGGAGCTATTCCAGAGGCAACCAGGACCATCTGCTATCACAACCCTCAAATCAAGCCCTTTGGTAAGCAGACGTGAGGAGCCCAGCTGTTTAGAGGTGAGGAAGGCCAAGTCTGAGAAGTATATGCGGACCCAGCACAGACGGGGCCAGGATGCTAGCTCTGGGCCTCCCACCCCTCACTGCTGTCCTCCAGCACTCGAGGCAGAGCTTCCTGGTTCACACCAGTGGCTTCTGTGTGCCACCTTCCCAACTCACGGGGGACACCCACCCTCTACCACGAGACACTCTGCCTTCCTGCCCTCCCCAGCCCTGGCAGCCAGAACCAAGCCTTGCTATTCCCCCAGGCAAGGGGCCCCTTCCCAGCTCCTCCTTGGCAGAGTAACATCTAGTGCCCCCACCCCTGTAGGTGCTGACCGCAGTGCGCCTACCCCTGCACCACGAACCAAGCACTAACTCCAAGCCAGCTCTCCCCATCGTGGGCTGACTCATCATCACCATGCAACTGGCCCCAACTAGGTTCTTAAAGCCCGCCCCACCCCACACCCCACAACCTAATTCTTCCCTGTGTGAGGGTCTGACTCCACCCAACACACACACACACACACACACACACACACACACACACACACACACACTCCTGTGTCTCTCTAGCTTATTTCAAAATCCAAATTAGGGTTGGGGCACTTCCCAAGGGGCTGGAAGGCGAGGTCAATGTCAATGCCAGCTCTGGTCTGAGAGGGCAAAGGACGTAGAAAAAGAAGGCTCTGCTTTCTGAATTACTAGGGAGGATGGGGGAGTATTACTACCGAGGAAAGGCTAATTTCCTCCCAGTGGACCGCTGACAGCACTAGGGCTGGGGCTGGGGTCGCAGTGGGGCGGCGGCTGGCATCGGATCTCCGCTCACAGCACGGAGGCAGCCTCTCTAGGTGCCCGCTCCGAGAAAGCCAGGCAGAGTCCCCGCCGGCTGGCGCCGTCACTGCCTTGGAACACGCGGGCTCTGCTCGAGTCCTGGGCTGACCTACGGTGGAGATGAGGGGCAGTGCTCCCGGGTGCCAGCTCCTGGGGGCAGCCAGCACCGCTCGTAGCGGACCAGTTCCAGGGCCAGGAAGGCGAAGCGAGAGCCGCAAAAGGCTCCCGGCTCCTCGAGGGGCGCGTCTTCCCATAGCTGGACCGAATTTGGGAGGATGTGTAAGTCCCCTGGGGTCTCCCGCGGGCACAGGGACTTGATGAGGGGAGGGGAGAACTACGTGCCTTTAGTTCCCCTCAGCGCCTCTGCCCAGCCCGCAGTAGGGGTGCGCCCCACCCCATCCCCACTGTCCAAATGGGGACCCAGGGCTCAGAAGGGGAGGGGATTGGATCCCAACGCGCTCCACTCTCGAAAATCTCTCCACCCCAGACCTGGACCCTCTCCGTAGCGCCGAGAGCAAAGCCCCCAAATGTTCGCGGTCCCAGGACCGGGGATGGGGGATGGGATGCCTGTCCTCCCAAGGCCAACGCGAATGGAATTCGAGTTCCCAGGAATCAAAGTTGCCGCGCGTCGGGGAGCTCGGAGCGGGGCGCGAGGCTAGGGCCAGGGGCCTGGGACCGAAGGATGCCGCGAGCGCCCGCCACGGGCGATGGCCGCGCTGGGAACAAGTGGTTCGGCAGCCGCGGTCACCACCAACTTCCCCGCCGCGCGGCGGGCGAACGGCGAGGGGAAGGAGAGGGAAGCGAGGAGGGAAGAGGCGGTGCGTGGCTCCGGGTACCGTGTGCGTGTGTGCAGCGGCGCCGCGCCTCGCCTCGCCTCGGGCTCTGCTCTCCGCCGGATCGGCCCCCGCGGGCCGCCTGCTCTGGCCCTGGCCACCGCCGCGTCTTCCCGCCGGCGCGAAGGCTCATCCGCGGCGTGCCGGCAGCTCCTGGGTCTCCGCGGGCCGCTCGCCGCTCGCCGCTCGCCGCTCGCAACTTCAGGCGCGCCGGGGGCTCGGACTGGGCGCGCCCCAAACGTCCAGAGGCTCTGCCACCCCGCGCTCCATGCCCAGGCCGGGCTGACTAGCCCCGACCACCTCAGCGTCCGGCCGCCGTCGGACGCGTCCTCTAGCCAAGCATCGCGCCTGCAGCCCGCGTCCCTCTCTCCCGAGCCGCCGCCGCCGCTCAAGTCCGCGATCAACTTTCCCTTGCTTCCCCCGCCCCGCTCGGCCCCCGCCCCGCTCGGCCCCCGCCGTCCAGACCCCGCCTCCCGCAGCTCCCTCCCTCACCTCCCGCCTCGCCCGGCCCCCGCCCGCCCGCCCGCGCTCGGCGCTCCCCCACCCCTCAGGCCGCCAGGACCCCCGAGCTCCCGCCCGGCCCCGCCCGGACCCCCGGGAGCGGCGCCGAGCCCCGCCGGGCGCTCAGGGCATGAATATTTCAGTGCTGGCGAAGCTGCCCTCTGCCGATGTCATGGCACCGGCTGCTGTGGCAACTCTACGAATCCCCCAAAGGGGCAGGGAGGAAGCCCGCGGAAGAGGCCCCAGGTGCGAGACAGAGCAGTGCCCCGCCAGGCCGCCAGCCGTCCCGCAGAGGGGCGCGCAGGGGGATGGGGCCCCCAGCGTCTCGTCCGCCCCGCGCCTCAGGCAGAGCGAGGTAACGCTCCCGGGAAGCCCGGGCGGGCGAGCGGGCGCTCGGCCTAGGTGAGCCCGCGCCATCTGTTGGCTTTAAGCGCCCCCTCTCTGCTCCCAGAGTCGCTGAGCAGTCCCTCTAGTCCTTGGGGCCTCTTGGCCTACGCTTCTCTCCAACCAGCTGCCTTTGCCCACCCGACTCGTGCGCTCCCATCTGCGCCTCCTCCCTCACTAGAGCTCAAGAGGCCTCCAAGTGCTTAGAAATGGAGGACCCCGGGTTGGAGGAGACCCGTGAGGTCACTTAGGCGCCCTCACCCCTGCGGGAGCTCCGTCTGCAGTGCCCGAGTCATGGTCTCCCGGCTCCTTTTTGCACACCTATAGGGACAGAGACTTTATGGCTTTCTGAGACAGCTGGATCAAGAAAGGGTCCATATGCAGGTAATGGAAGAGGTTTATCCCCTACCTTTGATCTTTACTTCCCCGGGGCTAAGCATTCTGATTTTTTAAAACTATTTCTCACATGACAGGATTTCCGAGCTGTCACTGTTCCAGTCAGTACATTGACAGTACCTGCCTGGAGCCAGGCTCTGGGCTGAGACTTTCTGGGCCTCAACTCATTCTATCTTCAATAAAGTCTTTCTGGTGGGCCCTGCCATTATCCCAGTTTTACAGTGAGAAACAGGCTTTAGGAGGTTGGGGACTTGCCCCTGTGGTGGAGTCGGGTATTGAACCCAGAATCTATCTGGTTCCAAAGCTCCAGTTCCTTACCATTCGCTCATTCATTATTCATTCATTCATTCACAGTCACTGCTATGTGCTAGCTAACTGAAATAGTTTCTAGGAATAGGATGGAGAACAAAACAGGCTTGGTCTTTGTGCCCCATGAAGCTTCTCTAGTAGGGGAACCAGACATTCATCAATGAAACACATAAGCAGGTAAAATTACAGCCAGAATCAGTGCTAGGAAGAAGAGTGCTTTAATGGCGCCTGGCCGAGGGGATCAGGGAAGACCTCCTAGAGGAGGTGACTGAGCTGAAGGATGAGCAAGGGAGAGAGAGTGGAGTTTTAGGCAGGAGAAACAGCATGTGCAAAGGCCCCAGGTGCCCACTGCAGGCAACGGCTGGGCCAGGAACAATGGTTTGGTGACCGCAGTCGCAATCAACTTGTGCAAAGGTGGGAAGGAGCTGGCATATGTCAGGAAGTCCAGAAAGGGTGGGGAGAGCTCCGTGCCTCCAGCGTACGAGGAAACGCTCCTGGGAAGCTTGGGAGGGTGAGTGAGCCTGCACCATCTGTTGGCTTTAAGCACCCCCTCTCTGATCCGAGTCACTGAGTGGTCCCTCTAGTCCTTGGCAGTGACTGTAAAGCCACAATGGAGTGGGGGCCAGACTGTGCAGGTGTGTTGGCCTTAATCAGGAGTTGATCTTTATCCTAAGACTGAAAGCTTCAGAGGCCGGGCTTGGTGGCTGACACCTATAATGGCAGCATTTTGGGAGGCTGAGGCAGTAGGATCACTAAGACTCTATCTAAAAAAAAATAAGAGAGAGAGAGAATTGATTGGGAGGCAACAGTTGATGAGAAGAGACTGCTTCAATTAAAAGTATTTATTTGTCAAATACTATGTGCCAAGAAATTTTCTAGACCAGGGGTGAGCACACCGCTACCCAGAGGTCAAATCTGCCTCATCACATGTTTTTGTAAAGAAAGTTTTAGTGGCACACAGACATGGCCTGTTTGGTTGTGTCTCCTTTCACACTACAACTACAGACATAAGGAATTTCAAGAGGGACCGCATGGCCTGCAAAAACAAGAAATATTTACAGCCTGGCCCTTTACAGAAAACGTTAGTTAACCCCTGTGAATTTAGACACTTTGGATATGTCAATGAACAACACACACAAGCACACACACACAGGCACACACACATGCACACAGACACGCATGCTTGCGCCAAACAAATCCTTGCCCTGGTGAAGCTTACATGTCCTCAGGCTGCTGCAGTGTCTAGGTGATTGGTGACAGAGGCCTGGAATGAGGGGGTGGGTAGAAGTGGAGAGAAGTGACTTTCAGGAGGTAAAAATCTACAGGGCCAGGAGGACAGGGAGTGGTTATACGTGAGATAGAGCAAAGGGTCAAGGAGACTTCTGGGTTTCTGGCTTGTGGTGGTAGATGGACAGTGTGCTGTTTCCTGTGATGGGGCCCTCTGAGGAGGCCACTATGGAGACCTGAGCAAGAGCTCCCTTGGGACATGTTGTGTGAGAGGCCTGTGCAGTCACAGAACAGAGATGCCAAGTAGGCTCTTGGACAAATGAACTGGAGTCGTGGTCCTACATGTCTTAGGTGGTCATGCTTTTACACAGTGTGATGGAGCCAGGAGTCCGGAGAGCGGGATCTGAGTTCTAGGTCACCCTCTAGCTGGATGGTAGCGGGCTGGACACTGGACCTCTCTTGGCCTTGTGTTCCCCATTCGTAAAATGAAAGCATGAGAAGAGGTGTTCTTCAAGGTTCTCCACCCCTCAAACCTTCTGTTACACACTGTGCCAAGCACCGTGCTGGGAACTGGGGTGTCAGTTGGGATGCAGCCAGCCCACAGAACCACCGTGAGTGTGTAACAGACAGGGAATGGAAGGGCTGAGAATTCTAACTGGATGGCGAGGCGACCCAGAGTGCAGCAACAGCAGAAAGTGTGCCACCCCTAGACTGGAGGGATAAGGGAGGAAGCAGAGTGACCAGGATCAGGGCACACGGTGGAAGGTGAGACCACAGTGGGCCTGTGTGGTGTGGGCTCGAGTCACAGAAACACAGCTACTGCCAGAGACGGTGGAGTGTGAAGACACATCCCGGCTTCTTTCCCCAGCCCTCTCGTCTCCCACCTGAAGACAGTGGACCTGGGAGTTTGCGGGGTCAGCCTGCTGTGATGCAGAGCAGCACCACAGAGGGGAGGAGAGAATGGCCCTGAGGGGAACAGGCCAGCACCGCACACCGGGGACACAGATGTGAGTGACATCCATCCTGTCTTCAAGGCACTCCCAGTGGGAGAGAGGGGCAGATGAATCAGTTACAACCTAGAAAGGTAAGTGTGGCAAAGTGGACAAATGGCCCAAAGGAGAGTGGGGTGATTCATTGTCATGAAATCTTGAGTCCAGAAAGGCTGCCTGGACAAGGGGACATCAGAGCTGGCTGCAGTGAGCCGAGATTGACCAGGAGGTCACAGGCAGCAGAAGCAGAAGGGCGCTCCAGGTGGAGGAGCAGCATGTGCGGAAGCCTGGAGGCATGCACAGGGACTCTCCCCAGGCAGCCATGGGAGCTACTGGATCCCGGAGGTGAACAGCAGTCTTGCTCTTCTGCACATGAACCAGCCAAAGGCAGGAGATGGCGTTTGCAGGAGGCTCAGAGCTGGGGGGAAGAACCCAGCCTCTATTCTCTGAACCAGCATCTCAGAAATTCTAATCTCTTCATTCCAGGAGATGAATCACCTAAGTTTTCACCTTTCTGTCTTTCTGGGATTTCCATTCCTGAAACCGTATCAGGGCTGTTTCAACAACAGCTCTCGAAGTTCTCCCTAGAGCCCTTCCCTCAGGAAACATTTGCCTCCTCTCCAAGCCCCTGGGGCATCAAGGAAAGTACACCAGTGTGATAAAGAAGCACCCCTTGCCACCTTATGTGGTCCTGGACAAGTCGCTGAACCACTCTGTGCCTTGTTTCCATTTCTGAAAATGAGAGAATGGTGCCTGCCCAGCCTCCCTCCTGGGGTGGATATGAAAGCGCTTGGACAGCCACGAAGAGCCACAGAGATGCCAACTTCCCAGGACCCAGCATCATCCAAACCCCACTCCTACTGGGGGACCCCCACTGTATGAAGTAAGGGGTAAGACCAGGCCCTGCTTTAATTGCAAAAGCTAAAAAGGGAGGTCCTCATTTGTCCTGCCTTCTGCCTGCAGGGCACAGTGCATGACTAGGCAAGCCAGTCAGAAGCTCCACTCTCAACTTTGAACCTTGAGAAGGACCATAACGTTTGTAAACAGTCAAGAATCATTTTGAAGCTATGCAAAGCACCTAGCCCTGACTCCAGGACTTCTGAAGCCTGACCTGGGTTGTATTTTCAGCTGCATCCTTAGCCACCAGCCTCCTTTTGTTCCTATTTGTTGTCTGGGCCTGTCCTCCAGTCTTCTGGTTGAATCTGCCCCTGTTAACTAACTAGTGAGTTCAATTTTTGCATCAGGTAGCCAGAGTTCATTTCTGTTGCTAGCGACCATGAGAACCCTGCCTGGTACAGACCATCTGATGATTCCTCTGGTGATTGTAGTAGGGAGTGTAGAGCAGCGTAGAGTCAGCATTGTTAGAGAAATGCTACCTCCCCTTTCCCAAAATTAAAAAGAAAAGAGAAAGAAAGAAAAAAAGTGATATACAGTTCCTTCCATATCCAGGGCATCTTGCCCAGGGATCTCCAGAAGCGGCCACATCTGTACAGCGGCTTCAAGATCATGTTTAGTCCACAGCACACTTGATTTTAAGATTCTCGAAGGCAGGGACTGTGTGTTTGTTCATTTACCTAACACATGTTCCTGAAGGGCCCACAGTGTGCCAGCCTGTGGGCTGGGTGCCGAGGACACAAAGAGCAAATGACATCATTTTGGTCCTCAGAGAAGCTACAGTCCAGTTGGAGAGATAGAGACAGAAACAGTTGGGAAGCAGTAGGATGATGCCATCCTTCAGGCTGGGACTAGATTCAGCATTGACAGAGGGGACCCCGAGCAGGGTGCAATCCACTCTAACCAAGGAGATTAGGGAAGACCCCAAACTGGAGAGACCACTTAAATAGAGCCTTGAAAGACAAGGGTACATGGCAAGGTAAGACCAGCAAGGACATCTGAGGAAGCAGGGACTGTGTGTGCAAGGTCACAGGGGCAGCACACAGTTTACAGACTTCAAGTAGTGTGGCAATAGGGCTGGACCAAGCAAGGAGTGTGCTGTGCAGAGGCAGCAAGGGCTAGACCATGAAGGGGTGGGGGCCCCACGAGGAGCCCAGGTTTTTTTCAGCAAGCAATGCTGGAGGTGGAGGAGCTAGGCTTGGAGGTGCAGATACACAGTAGAAAGCATGACCAGCTGCAGGAGGAAGAGGGGACAGTGCATTGTCCCAGGGTGACCTGGGCTGACATCTTGGAGGAAGGGGCACCTCCCCTTCAATGTCTTTGCATCCCCACACACCAAATAACCAGCTGGCTTACTGGCACTCTCAGAGAATGAGGATGCAAAGAAGAGAGGGAATCCAAATCTGTTGTTTTAACATGCCAAACCCTGGAACCACCTGGAATTGGACTCCATTCCACCTTGGCTTTCCAGCCTCCACAGGGGTGCTTTCTGCCCCTGCTGCCTTGCCCCTGGGGAATGCAAGAGAGGCAGGGTGGTGCAACACAAAGCTCGCTCCACCAGGTTGCGGTTCACATGGGTCTTAGCCTACTGGTCCAAGCATCAGGTTCCTCAACTATAAATGGGCATGATAACTCCCAGGTGCTGAAACACCTCTCAAGGCTGCCATTCAGATCAAAAGAGAAAAACACACATTAAAGTGCTTTACAAACTGTAAAAACAGAGCAGCCCTCACAGACGAGTCTTTCCTCCCCATGAGGGTCGATGATTATTTTTAAAGCACACAAACGCCTCTCCTGTGGGCTCCTCCATAGCAGCTTCCCCATCCCTTCCTGCTCCCCCTTTCATGCCCCCACCCCACAGCTGATAAAGAGCTGTTTGTTGCTTCCTGCCGTCATCGTCCCCAGCCTATGCGCCCTCTCCCGGGGCAGCGCCTGCCACCATAAACCAGACGTGTGCTCCCGAGTTTAGTTTGTGAGCCCTTGGAGCCTGGCACAGCTGTGGCGGCCCAGCTTGGCTTGTGGAGGAGCAGGCTGGAAGGCTGACAATGTGGGCTGAGGCCACCCCTCTGCAGCGTGGAGGCCCCCAGGAAAGCCCCAGGGGCATGAGGTTCCCTGGGCCCAGCCTTGGAAGCTTACCCCTCCCTTTTGTGGCTGAAGAAAAGACGGTCCTTCCCTCACATTCCTGCCCTGCTCGCCACTCCCCTCGCCCATCATTTATTTATAAGGTGTTCAGAGCAAAATGAATGACAAAAAGTTAGAAGCTAATTAAAGCTGGCACAGATTGGCACATGGGGGCATGAATTATGCATTGGTGCAGAATGGCACTTGGTGGCAAGGACTGGCACCAAGTGCCCTGGGCACTGGTAGGAAGTGGGCATGAGCCCCAGCTCTGCCTCGGCCCCCGCCCTGCCTCTCCAAGGCACTCTCCGTCCAGGGCCCTCTGCCTCTCTCTGGGGCAGCTGGCACCTTGTCAGCCACCACCCCTCAGTGGGCAATTCCACTCTGCACAGCCCAGCACATCCTGGCTGTGAGAAGATCAATACCATAACCACAGGCTGGACTCGTCCCACAGAAGTGGTCTCTGGTTCTCCAAGCACATGCCTGTTGCCGCCTCTGCATTCACGAGAAAGGGCAAGCTTCCACAAATATGAGGGCAAGTGGAGAAGGCCCGAGACCCAGCCAGCCGATCGCGACAAAGGCGCATTAGAGCTGGAAGACACTGTTCAAGACCCTGCAGTCCAAACCCCACAGTGTGCTCACACATAGAGGACCTGAGTGAGGCCCAGAGGGGGACAGGTTCTATGCAAAGGCACACAGCAAAAATAATAATAACTATAACAACTATAATAAGGGTAAGATTTATTTAAAGCTCATCTTGTGCTAGCTGCTGTTCCAAGTCTTTGTACGGCTGGTCTCATTCAATCCTCACGTGAGGAAGACACTACAGTTATCCAAACTGACAGGTGAGAAAACTGAGGCAGCACAGAACTGTTAAAGCAGTGTGCCCAAAGTCACAGAGCTAATGAGAGGCAAAGTCCGGATCCAATGAAATCCAAAGAGCCTGACTCTGAGCCCTTTCTCCTGTGGGCAAGGACAGTGGTTCTCACCCTGGCTACACTTCAGAAACTCCTGGAAGATGAGGGGGGCACAAAAATAGAATCAGTGATTCCAATTTTTTTGGTCTTAACATCTGAACATGGCATTCTGAAAGCTCCTCAGATGATTCTAATGTGCAGAAAAAAAAAAAACATTGGTAGGGGGAGGGTTGTGGATTTTAACCCCAAAAGTTATGGATGTGAGTTCTTGCTCTGCCACTACTGACTTAGTGACTTTGAGCCTAGGGCTCAACCTCTGTGGGTCTCAGTTTCCTCAGCTGTATAATGGGGTTTGTGATAACATGGCTCTGGAGTTGGACTGTTGGGATTTGCTTTGAACCCTGGCTCTGCCTCCTGGGCAGATTACCTAACTTTTGTTTCCCTCAGTTTGCTCATCTGTAAAATGGCGACAATACTAGCAGAGCTGTCGTGAGGACTGAGTGACGTGGCAACTATGAAGTGGCACCCGGCATAGTAGGTGCTCATGAAAATGGGAGACTTGGGATTGAGGAACCCTGCCTCTCATGTCCCACAGGGCTGTGGCCAAGATCAAACGAGGCCACGTATAACAGAATGACTGCGTGCACAGCAGGACACAGTGAGAGGCTGTCAATCAGAAGAGACTGGGTCTCCTGGCTGCCTGTCTCTGACTTTCTCTTTCTTTGCATATGGGAGACATGAACACATTATCACCATGAACATTACAGACCACGTAGACAAACCACTGTTCTCAATTTGGTGTATTTCCTTCCAAGGAATGTTCTATGTGCATATGGAAATGTATAGTTTTTGGCTAGGGGCAGGGGTAGGAGAGAAAGATATCTATCATGACACACTTCTGTACTTTTGAATTTTGAACCATATGAATGGCTCAAATATAAAAATAAATACAAAAGGGTATGCTTTAGGCAGAAGGAAAGTGGTCCCAGATGGAAGCTTGGATATTCAGAAAGGAAACAAGAGCAATAGAAAGGGAAATACGGGTAAATACAAATGAATCTTGGCTGTATAAAACAATAAAACTAATGTGTAAAATATATAGGGAGAATTAAAATACGCAATCCAATGGCACATAAGCAGGAAGGGGGTAAATGGAGTTAGAATGCTCTGAGGTCCTCGCCTTGTCCAATAAGCGAGTAGAAATGGGAGTGTCTGGTAAACATGAATAAATCAAGGATGTCTGCTCCATCTCCAGGCTAACCCTAGAAGAGTGGTAATTGGACGTATCACTAACCAGCCAGTTGAGGGAAAATGGAATAATGAAGTGTGTGTGTGTTTGTTTTTAAAATTTTAAGAATTTTTTGTTTTGACAAATACAGCCATACTGCACATACTGTCTATAACTTTTTTTTTTCTCTTAAGATATGTCCTGTAGCTCTTTCCACAATGGTCCCCAGAGGGTCTGCCTCCTTTTTGTCTGCCAGTGTGTATCCCATGGAATGATGGCAACAATCGAGCATTAAACCGAGTGTTGAGCTCTTCCAAACACAGGGCTCTATGTGACAGCGCAGGTCACACATCCACGGAGCCCGCCCTGACTGTAGATGATGGTGCAGGGAGAAGGCAATTCCCATTCTCCTTGTAATGCCCCCAGAAAAGTGTCTTTTTTTTTTTTATGTCCAGAGATCACTTTCTTCTTTTATTGGGAAGCAGACCCAGAGTTAGAGTCTCCACAACCTATAGTCAGGGACAGTAAGCAAAATCTGTTCTCTTTTGTTCTGAACCCCCACACCCCACCCCGACCCATCAGTCCCACACAAGAAAACCTAATGTCCACCAAAAAGAGGGGCAGATTTTGATCATCTGGCCCAGTCCTCCATCCCTGGGCCCTACTGCTGTCAAACTACCCCACAAAAGAACTTGCTGTCATTCTGGTGACAGTCTTCAGAGGACAGGATGCCCATTCGGTGTGGTCTACAAGTCACTTTCTGCCAGATGCAAGCTTTCTTCAGGTGACCTCTTTGAATCGCATGGTGAGAAAGTTATTCCCCTGTCAGTTCTGTCCTAGCGTATACAAACAAGCAAAGGAGAAAGTCTCAATTTGTGCTATTATGTCTTTTAACACTTGATAATCCCTCTTCCTTGAACCAGAAGGAATCAGGCCTTCCGCTCTGCCTCTGGCAGGCAATTATGGCTGTATTTAATAATACTGTTTTGCTATCATTGTATTTATTTCAATAGTTATCTTGTATTTATTGCAAGTAGCATTGTTTTTATTTTTTAAAAAAATCTGGGAGGCCGAGACGGGCTGATCACGAGGTCAGGAGATCGAGACCATCCTGGCTAACACGGTGAAACCCCATCTCTACTAAAAATACAAAAAAAAAAATTAGCCAGGTGTGGTGGCAGGCGCCTGTAGTCCCAGCTACTCAGGAGGCAGAGGTGGGAGAATGGTGTGAACCCAGGAGGCAGAGCTTGCAGTGAGCCAAGATCTCACCAATGCACTCCAGCCTGGGCGACAGAGCGAGACTTTGTCTAAAAAACAAACAAACTAAATTATATGATGGTGATAAAAAGTCTTTTAAAATAAATGTATGAGTTTAAAAGTGAGGGATTAAAATTTAAATTGGGTCACTAACAGTATAGTTGTCACATGAATAGGCCAAAATTGGTAAATATGGTAAGCAAATGATTGAAACTGGGAGGTCTTGGCCTGAAAAATTAAGTCAAACCATCTCTGTATTACTCACATTCAAAAGCCTTCCAAACCCTACAACACCATTCCTGCAAATCAGACCACCATACCTTTCCAGGTACAACCCAACCTCTCTTCTCTAGAAAACCTCTATCTCAGCTGACAAAATACACAGATACATAGAGGGGTGTTTAGTGCAGTGCTCTTTATAATAGGGGTCAAAAAGGGGAAGAAATCTACTTGTCCCTCAAACTGGTTAAACATACCATGCTTTGATCTATCTGTTCTATGGACCATTCTGCTCCTTGACCTCCCTTTCTCCTGGCCTGGGATTATACTGTTGTCTCCCCCACCATTGCCCTCTGCCCACTCCTCCTCTCTGCTGAAATCCGTTCTTCAAATCCCATCAGCTCCCAGAAGCCTTTTCTGCCCACTTCCCAGACCCCCCAGGTCCTTGTCTTCCTCTGGCCCTCAGAACCCTCACTGTCTGGATGACTCTCGCATCTGGGTATAGCATGGAATCTTGAATGATCTTTCCACAGTATGTCTGTCTTGTTTCCAATTAGATCATGAGCTCCCAGAAGGCAGGGACCAAAATGTGTCTGAAAATACATTGGACAGGGCTCAGAAAGTCAGGATTCAGCCCTGACTCTCCCACCATTTGCCTGCATGACCTTGAACAAGGCATCCCCTCCTCTGCCCCAAGCCTTGGTGTCCTCATCTAAACATGAAATGTGAGTTCAAGTTCCCAGGGCCCCGCTTGCTCTGAGCATGTAGGATCATTTCATACTGTTCTGTATCTTCCCATAGAATGATAAAAACTAAGATTTTTACATCTTAAGAGGGTTGCATCCACGATCTCATTTAACCCTCACAACAACTCTATGACAGTAGTGCTATTGTTATCCCCATTTTCACTGATGAGAAAATTGAGGCACAGGGAGGCTGCATCCGTAAAATTAACCTAGGTTACACTGTGGTATAAACAAACCCTGAAGCCTCAGTGGCAATAAAAGTTTACTTCTTGCTCATATATAACACGATGCTGGTGGGGTGGCTTTCCTCTGAGAGTGGCTTGGGGGATCTAGGGTGCTTCTATCTTAGTGCTTTACCATGGAAACACAAGGCCCTTTGGCCACACACAGGTCACTGTGGCAGGGCAAGAAAGGGTAGAGGAATCCACAGTCTCTTACCTGCCTTGGCCTAGAGTGACACATGCCCACGTCACTCCTGTTCCCCCATTTCCCTGGCCAGAGCTAGTGAGTCACATGGCTCTAACCTAGCTTCCAGGAGCCTGTGCTATGTAGTGTTGAGCACTAAGAATCTGCAACACGGGAGCCGCTCGACCGAGGCCACACAGGAAGGCGCAGAGGCAAGGTTTTGCACACAGACGGTGAGAACTGGGGCCTTCCACTTAACTGCTCTTCTATATTGTCTTCCAGGCAGTACCAGGTCTGTAGGGCATGGATAACAGAGCTTGGCGGTGACTGGTAAGGCATGGTGTGATGGATTGCCATTGTGAGGTGGGAAAGACTAAGAAGAGATAGCTGCCAGGCAGATGTGACATCAGGACAGGCAGCCACTGTCCATGGGAATAATCCTGACAGTTCCCGTCTGCTGAGTGCCTGCAATGGGCCAGGCATTTTTTTTTTTTCTTTTTGAGATGGAGTTTCACTCTTATTGCCCAGGCTGGAGTGCAATGGTGCGATCTTGGCTCACTGCAACCTCCACCTCTCAGGTTCAAGCGATTCTCCTGCCTCAGCCTCCCGAGTAGCTGGGATTACAAGCATGTGCCACTACACCTAGCTAATTTTTGTATTTTTAGTGGAGACGGGTTTCTCCATGTTGGCCAGGCTGATCTCGAACTCCCGACCTCAGGTGATCCACCCACCTCGGCCTCCCAAAGTGCTGGGATTACAGGCGTAAGCCACCGCACCCGGCCCTAATTTTTGTATTTTTAGTAGAGACAGAGTTTCACCGTGTTGGCCAGGCTGGTCTCGAACTCCTGACCTCGTGATCCGCCCACCTCAGCCTCCCAAAGTGCTGGGATTACAGGTGTGAGCCACCATGCCCAGCCTGGGCCAGGCATTTTATAAATGTTCCATCTGATCCTCCCAGTACCCTGGAAATAAAACCCACTTCTGCTCTACAGATGAAGAAAGTAGGCATCCAAGAGGCTCAGTAAACTGGCCAAGGTCAAGCAGCTGGATGACCTCAAGTCCTTCTGAGGTTTCTCACCCAGGGCCCTGCAGAGGGCATGACCAGGGAGGAAGGAGTTGAGGTGTGAGTTCCCATCTGGGCCCTGTCAGCCATCTGCTGCCACAGCCACAGCCAGGCATAGGCGGCCAGGGTGAGAGGGGAGCTGTTGTCTAGGGGCATCCTGAAAACGCTGGTGAGAGACCCACTGCCCTGGTCCCACCCCGCCCAGCCACAGGAAAATCCCCTGCAGGCTCCCATTCCCTGGGGGAGTACAGAACTGCAGTGTGGGGCGCCACCTGCAGGCCGAGTGCTGCACGACACCTCTCACCCCTCCCAGCTCTGGGTCACCTCCCCAAGCCCTACTTTGAAGGGAAGGCTAAAGGGCAACTCCTAGAAAAAAGCAGCAGGTTGGTGGTCTCCAGCAAGGCCTGTTCTTTACCATCTGCTCCTCCCCGCTGCTCCCCTATCCTCAGCCATCCAGGGATTCTCCCTAGCCTTGTTTCTATCACAAATATTAATGGATGGCTGGGTGCAGTGGCTCATGCCTGTAGTTCCAGCACTTTGGGAGGCCGAGGCAGGAGGATCACCTGACCCAGGAGGTCAAGGCTGTAGTAAGCCATGTTTGTGTCGCTGCACTTCAGTCTGGGCAACAGAGTGAGATCCTGTCTCTAAAACAAAAATGAAAAACAAATGAAAAAACAAATACGACTTGAAGATTTCCTACGGGCCAGGTACTTTTATGGGCTCATTTTGGAACTGGAAGTCTGGACTGTTGGTTTCAGTCTCTGCCCAGCCACTAGCTGGCTGTGTGACTCTGGGAAAATCACTGCCCATTTCTGGGCCTTGGCTGCCTTCCTTATTATAAAATGCAGGTAACAACTAGAGGCAACATTGTGGGGCCTGGAGTCAGGTAGGCTTGAATTTGAATCCCACCTGTGCCACTTCCTTGCTGTGTCACCCTTTGGGCAACTTAATTAACTTTTGTGTGCCCCATTTAATTCATCTGTAAAATGGGTTGATGGTGCCTATCCAAAGAGTCTTTTTTTTTTTTTTTTTTTTGAGACAGCATCTCACTCTGTCGCCTAGACTGGAGTCCAGTGGCATGATCTCAGCTCACTGCAACCTCTGCCTCACAGGCTCAAATGATTCTCTTGCCTCAGCCTCCCCAGTACCTGGGATTACAGGCGTGCGCCACTACTGCCTGGCTAATTTTTGTATTTTTAGTAGAGACAGGGTTTCACCACTTTGGCCAGGCTGCTCTTGAACTCCTGACCTCAAATGATTCACTCACCTCAGCCTCCCAAAATGTTGGGATTACAGGTGTGAGCCACTGCACCCGGCCCCAAAGAGTCTTATTATCAGATTAAATTATTGCTTACATATGATACAGTATAGGTAATAACGCACGTGAAGTACCCAGCTCAGAGTCTTGCTCCCTTTCCTTAACTCCCTCACATTTTGAAACTTACGGTTCACTTCCCAAGTCCTTCCTACGCTTCTCCCTAGGAAGGGCGGAGATCAGCCTCCTGATGCTGCCACTCTGATGCCAGACCCTGCCTATTCAGGGAATGCCAGGAGCCCTGGTTCCTGGAACAGGACTCCTAACCCAGGCCCAGTCAGTGTATAGAGAGGGCCCTCTATCACCTCCTAGAGTCACCCCCAACTTTATGGTGAGGACTTAACTTCTTTGCTGATTCATTGCTGTTATGATGAATGAGATCCCTCTGCTAGAGTTGCACAGTTACAACCACAGCAGCTGTTCATGGCTGCCCTGATGTTGAAATTCTCAGTAACTAAAAACAGGCGCACTGGGATACAGCCCCATACCAGGTAGGGTGAGAGGAAGGGCTAGCAGGCAGAATCCTTGTAGCTTTAGAAGGTCTCAAGAAGACCTGTAACTCCAGCTGAGACAGAGGCCTAGCTCCTCTGGAGGGCAAAGCTTAGACACGTCTCCTGATGCATCCAAATTGGGATGGGGTGGCTCTAGCTCTTAACGTTTGCAGGCCTTGTGTTTATTCTCTCTGAGCCTCAGTTTCCTCGTCTGTAATATGTGGGGATAATCCCTGGCCTGTTTACTTTCTCTGGTTGTGAGATAAAGAAAAATCTGAAAGTCTTCTATAAACTCTCCAGTCCTGTTGAGATGTAGTTCCACCCATAGCACACTGAATTCCTTTACTTATTTTTTTGAGCACACAGCTGGGCAAGGGGGTAGTTGGCTGGGGTTGTAATGGTGAGTACAATAGGCATCTTTCTTCCCCTCAAACATCTTGAGGGACAAAGGAGAAAAGAATTATCTAGCACCTTCCCAAGGAGCACTACAGCCTCCTTCTCCTTCCCTGCCTCCATTTCCTTCCAGGAAGGACTTCCTAGGTGACTCACATTGTGCCCAGCACATCACACACATATGTCACATCATTTGATCTTTCAGCCAACTGAGGCAGTGCCATCACCCCCATTTTAGAGATCAGAAAACTGAGGCTCAGGAAATGTAACTTTAAGCGGAGGAAGCTGGATTCAAATCCAGATTTTTCTGGGCTCTCCAATGAGAGTTAACCTCTGCACCATACAGGAAACAGATAATAAACAATTACTGAGGGCTTGTTAGGTGTCAAAGGACAGTGCCAGACACTTTCTGGACTTTATTTTACTGAAACCCTACACCGACCATGCCAGTTAGGTATATTAACCCAGTTTTACAGATGAGGAAACTGAGTCTCCAAGAGAATAAGGGAAGCCTCTCATTGCCATGCTGGTTGACGTCTTGGGAGTTGGACAGATTACAGTAATCAGCTAATGGCTGAGCAGTGCTCTGAAGATGAAAAGCCCTTATTGAAAGTGCTAAGCATGATGATTAAGTTGGAAGGTGGAATTAGCTGCACAGTGGGAGCAGGCTGCAGCCAACAGGAGAGGATTAGCGACTACTTGCCTGATTCTGTGGAAGGCAGGTTAGGAGCGAAAAAAACTGAGAAAGGTTTTCAGCTCCATGGTGGTGCTCACATCCAAGAGGATGAGACAGTCTGTGGACCTGCAAGGCAGTGATCACACCCCAGTGTTGAAGGGATCAGACAGCATCCATGGAAAGCAAAGTGGGCTCCCAGCTCCCTTTGCCTTTTCTCCATCCATCCATCCTTCCATCCATTCATCCACCCATCCATCCATCCATCCAACAATTACTCACCAAGGACCTAGTAGGCCTCACGCAAGCTCTCATGAGGCTCCCAACCCAGTGGAGGGAGATACACATTTAACAATAATCACATACCAAAGAATTATTGTTCATTTTTTAGATTTAATAACAGGAGCTTTGCTCTTTTGATTTTATTTTTTAAGACTTAACTTTTTTAGAGTAGTTTTAAGTTCACAGGAAAATTGAGAAGATGGTACAGAGACTGCCCCCACGTTGTGCACAGCCTGCCACAGTATCAACATCCCCCAGCAGAGCAGAGCATTTGATACAGTAGTGAGCCTGCACTGACACACCATCATCACCCCAAGTCCATAGCTCACATTAGGGTTCACTCTTGGTGTTGTACATTCTGTGGGTTTGGATAAATGTATAATGACATGTATTTGTGGTTATGTTTTATACAAGAGCCCTTATTTTTAGCAATACCTACCAAAACATTTACAAATGTGTTGCCTCAAATTAATACTAGGAGGCAGGAGTGAGTAGGGGTAGAGATAAAACAAGATTGACCTCGAGTTGATCATTGTTGAAGCTGGGTGATAGGTATATGGAGTCTGTGATACTGTTCTGTTTTGGGTTTTTCTGGTAAATGTTGGAAACTTTTCATAATAAAGTTTTGTTTAAAAAAACAAATATTGATAAATAATTAGCACTTATAATAAGTGCCACAAAGGAAGAATGAATGGCGTGATGAGAGATTATTGTAGAGGGACCCACTTTAGACTTGGGGGTGGGAGTAGGGGGTCGGTTTGGGACAGGGTGAAGCATTGGGGCATCCTTAAGCCTCGTGATTGCCAAAGTAACCCTTTCTGTCTCCTTCCTCCCAGAAGGGCAGGCTGGCAGTGTCCTGGGGAGAGACCCCTACCTTTTGAGCATCACTAGCAACCTACTGGGAGACCAGGATCCTGGAGAAGTCAAGATCAGCCCCAAAGTCCCTCATCAATTGTGATGGAGGGAACAGAGGGAAGTCCCAATTGCAACCTGCACCCATCGCTGTGCATGCCCATGTTGTGTGTGTACATTATTTACCTACTATGAGCACGGCCTCATTAGAACAACCTCAGGGGAGGGGAGCAGGACTCCCCACTTTACAGATGAGAAAAATAAGGCTCTGAGAGGTAAAAAAGGACTCGCTCAAAGTCAGCAGCAGAGCCAAATACCAAGGTTTATCATCTTGTTAGTGTCTCCCCAACCGCCCCCCGACCTGTTAACACAGCCATCATTCCTACATCGCAGGGAGAAAAATTGTTAACAAGACGGCTGGAACCTCAAGCCACAGGAGCTGTGGGCCCAGAGAAGGCAGGGCCATTCCTCTTAAGTGTAAAAGCCGTGGGGTGAGGGCATGCGGGAAGGGAGTGAGAGCTATAGTTTGCTGGAAATCTGAAGAACCAAATGACCTTGGGCCTCCAAACATGAGACAAAACAGAGTTCAGGGGTAAGCGCTCCTCCCCATCCCTTCTAGTGTCCCTCGGATGCAGATCTGGCTCAATTTCCAGGTATCTGTGAAAGGAAGGGTTCCAGCTCCAGGTTAAGGGGCACATGCTTGGTCACATGCTGTGGGCTGGAGGGTATAGGGATGGACCTTGAGGGAGTATGGGGTAAAGGACCTTAGGCACTGGGAGCCAGGGAGCTCTCAGGCCAGTGTGCCCCACTATTTCAGGCCAGCAGTGTCCACAAAGTGCACTCGGGATTTTTCCAAAGTGTCCAGCCTATAGCACTCCTCACAACAAAACTGGATCCCTGTATCAAAAGACAAAATGATAAGAAATTTAGCTTAAAGATCTCAAATGGCTTTATTGCAATTATAGAATCTGGCAACACTTCATTCCATAAAATAGAATAAGTGTTCTGATAAGCTGAGCAGAGGGAGTTGGTTTTATAGACAGAGAGGGCTGAAGGAAACAGAAGAGAAGAACAAAGAGCCTATTAGTTGCTTCAGAGCCACTTCCCTCACGAGGTGGGGACAGGGAGACAGAATGATAGAAAAACAACTGATTCATTAGCATCAGGTTACTCAACGCTACTTCTTTCATATAAGGAATAAAGCAGAGGGGATTCACTCTTGTGACCATTGAGATTTGAACTGGCCTGTTTGGGACATTGGCTGTTACCTCTTTTCAGGTAACTACTTAGTTTGGGTTTAGTGCCATGGAACTTTAGCATGGGTGACTCCCTTTGGATTTTTAGCCTGGTCTGCTGGGGCCTAATTCAGAAACTTAGTCCAAAACAATGGCCTCCTACAATTTTCATTTAACGCTTGCCTGCTCTGAGAAGAGGAGGAATGACAAGAGAGCAAAACATGGGCTGGCCCTCTGCCCTCACTGGTAAGGAGCTCACCTTTTGGACTCAGACCTGGATTCAAATTCTTGGGCAAGCCACTTAAATCCTCCAAACCCTAGTTTCCCCGTTGGGGGGCAACATCTCCCTCTCAACTGAGGCATTGTGAGGGTGAAGCAGACAATGAGAGCAAAGCATTTGGCAGAGCATTTGGTCCTCCCTGAAGCCAGCCATCGTCCTCCTCCTCACTGGGCAATGACACCTCCCCTAGTTGTTCTCATCTAAGGTGGTGTTTCTCTAGAAGCTGATCCCAGACAAGGATTAAAGTGCAAGTCGTTTATTAGAAGTGAATTCAGGAAGCTCCAGCTGAAGAATGAGGAAGTGAGACAAGAAAGGGAAGGAGACCAAAAAAAGATGTGTTATCAAGCAGGTTACCATTGTAGACAACGGGAGCTCAAGCCCATAAGGGAGCTCTGGGGAACAGCCTAGCAGAACAGTCGTTCTCAAACTTCAGCACAGACTCACTAGGAGGGCTTGTTAAAACACCAATGACTGGGCCCCAGCCCCTACAATTTTAGATTCAGTAGGTACAGGGTAGTAGTAGGCTAAGAATTTGCATTTCTAACTAGTTCTCAAGTGGTACAGTTTGCTGCTGGTTTGGGACTACACCCTAAGAACCACAAAGTGTCTCAGCATGATCTCACTTGAGGGATGAGGAAGCTAGGGAATTTATCCACCAACTCCCTGTTCATCAGTATTTGGGAGCTGCTTCTGAGGGCATTCACCCTCTGGCACTCAAGTTGACTCAGGCTAAAATCGCTCCTATGGCCAGAAAAGCCCTATTAAGCCTGTTGCTAGGGTCTCAGGTCCTTTGGCTGGGAGACAGGGTGGGAGGAGAACCGCAGAGAAGCTTGCAAGGTAGTTTGACATCTGACTGAAGGATTTCAAGGGAAGCTAAGGGTCAAAGACGGCTTCGTTGAGTCCCTAGCTATGCATTCATATGGTCGTATATTTTTGTAAAATTAGCAAAAATATTTTGTTATGATTTCTTTTTACATTCTAAGTTCATTTTTGTACCTAACTTTATATTTGTAATTTTTTATTCTTTTTTCCAAAAGAGGACCCCCCCCCCCAACATTGTCTAAGCTTCAGACCCCATAAAACCTGGATTGGCCCTGCATGGCCTAGTAGGAACACAGATTTAGGTTTGCTGAACTGAAATGAGTGTCCACGGTTTGACTCATTAAGAACTCAAGCCACCTGAGTTCATGCCCACCCAAGTTCAAATTCCAGCTCTGACACTCCCTAGTTTGAGGTAGTTTGGCCAAGATGCTTAATCTGTCTAAACTCCTATTTTCTCATTTACAACTTGGGACAGCAAAATCAGATGATCAAATTAAGTAATCCTTGCAAAGAGCCAGGCCGACAGTAAGTGCTCAACAAATATGAGTATCTTTTTTATCATTATTTGTTCCCCTGGTTTATTTCTGTTTCTTATCATTTGCCTTGACGATCTTCCTCCAAGACCAGGTAGGAATGAGTGATCTGGGGACAAAACAAAAAGCCGCTTCCAAAATTGGCAGGTCGCCTCTCTCTAGGGCTTTCTTGCCAGTTCTTCCAGCCCTACTGGCTCCGCTCCCTCTACTGGGCGTCCACCTCGTTGCCGGGTAACTACCGACGGCCCCCGCGCGGGCATTGGCTGTGCGGCCCGGCTCCCGGCCTGCCCCGCGGCTCCCGGAAGCCCTCGCGGCCATCTATTTCGTGGCCGGTGGCTGTTTGCCTGCCAGAGGCCAGCGGGGGCGGTCCAGTCCCTGGCTCTAGGAGCTGTTTCTGGCCGAGCTGAGCGCGGCGGGCTCGGCATAGCCATGAGTTGCTGAACTGGGTGGTTTTGCGGACCTGACGATTCGCCATACCCCGCTTGGTGTGTCACTGCCGTGGGCGTCTCCAGGTAGCCTCAGCCCAGGGGATACCTGGAGCGGCAGCTTAGAGCATCTTCCGGGAGCATCCGCCGGCGGCCTGGGCACCTCCCCATCAGCCCCTGCCGTGCCACCCCAGCCTGGGCCTTGAGGCCCGGAGATCTGAGCACTTCGGGACCTATCCCTCAGCCTAACCATCTTGGTTCAGCTCTGTGACACTGGGCCAAGTGACCTTGAGAAAAGACAGGGCCGGGCGCGGTGGCTCACGCCTGTAATCCCAGCACTTTGGGAGGGTGAGGTCTTGAGGTCAGGAGTTCGAGACCAGCCTGGGCAACATGGTGAAACCTCGCCTCTACTAAAAATATAAAAATTAGCCGGGCGTGGTGGCAGGTGCCTGTAATCCCAGCTACTCGGGAGGCTGAGGCAGAGGCAGAGGCAGGAGAATCTCCTGAATCCAGGAGGTGGAGTTTGCAATAAGCTGAGATCACACCACTGCATTCCAGTCTGGGCAACGAAGGGAGACTCCATCTCAAAACAAAACAAAACAAAAAAACACAGAAACAAAAACCCACTTCTAATTGCTGCTACTCAGCATATACATTCAGGGAAACTTGAATCTATGCTCCTGGGTGGCCATCCTCAAGCTTTGGGCTTGAATAAACTCTATAGCTAGTCATATTTTCTATATCTTATTATTTAAGGTTGACAAACTTCAGAAGCTTCTTTGCCCTTCTGGTACTGATAATACCAACAGTGAATAATAAGTGACATTGTTATTGGTTGCTTACTTCCTACCCCTGATAAATGGTCTAATGTTGAAATCTAAGAGGTATAATAGTTATTACATGCATTTAGTAGAATGGGTATAATGAATGAGGAAATAGGCTCAGGGAAGAATTTGATTTGCTCTGACACAGCTCTACAGGGCCAGATTTCCAACCCAGGCTAGTCAAGTCCAGAGCCTGCAATTTTCACTTCAAGTCTTCCTGTGAGGATTGACAAGAGGATGTTCAGTCTTAGCCAGGTGCCTGGCAGCTACTGAGGGCCCAGTGGAGGTTAGTGGGCAAATCATCATAGTAGTTTCAATAAGCAATAGTTCTATCAGTATCAAAGAGTGGCTGTGGTCAGAGCTTTGTAAGAGACACATTGCCGTGTTTACTTAGGACAGGAACAATCTGGAGTTTGTTTCCACCACTCCCTGGAGTTTCAAGTCCTTAAAAATGTTCAAGCTGGTTTGGCTTTGTGTCTTCTATTTCCTGTTTACACTTTGCCCCACCTCTATTTTTGCCCCTTCTTCCCCCTCTTCTAGTTATACCTAACACCACTGCTGACGCTCTTCGCTTCTGAAAAATGGCCAGCTTTCTGCCCTCAATTTAAAGGGATCAATCAGTGGCCCCAGAAGTTCTTATTTTTCTTGGCTAAAATGAAAATGGTGAAAACACCAACCACAAAAGGCAGACTCTTGTTAATGGGGGTCCTAAATGTGAAAGGGAGAACTTACCTGGCCCATGAGTATCTGTTTGGCTTTCAGGGGAGACAGCCGTCTGTGTTCTTCCTAAATGTCAGCTTATACCACTCTGGGGTTTGGGGATTCCTGCCTGATTCTCCATTTCCTTGCCTATGAAATGAATAATATTAGTCACGTCCGAGTACCACCTGCATTTTTTTTAAAGTGCTTCTTAAATTGATTTTTTTAGTTGATTTACTTATATTTACTTTTAAAATCTGTATGTCATTACTTTAATGGAAAACCACTATCACCTGGCGTAAATAGAAAGTAAGAAACCACATAAAGAGATGAAAATTAAAATATTGTTTTCAATTCTAGTGGGCAAAACCTTGATCTCTTTGTTAAAAAGGGAAACTGTTGAGTTTTAGTGAGGTGTTGAAGAATGCAAGCACTAAACTGCAAGTTTCTCCTGTGGGTAATCAGGATTGAACGTACTGAAAAGGGGAGAACTTGGACGTGCTGCAGTTCTGTGTTTAATACTCTGCTTGGTAGCACCTAAAGTCACACAGCACAGTACCAGCACTTCACTCTTTCCACATGTGGAGAAACGGTGGCCGCAGTAGTCCTTGGAGCCTTCAGTGCTCATGTCTAATAACAAGCATTTGCTCTGATTCTCTTAGGGTCGGTGGGGCAGGTGGGATGGGGTGCAAATGGATCTAAGAGCAGGATAATAACAAGAGCTAATATCTGATAGGGTTTTTGCAGTTCACAAAGCTCTCTCACAAGCCTGCTACTTCTGTACTCCCACCTGCGCTATTCCTCCTCTGCATTATCGCCATCTCAGGCATAGGTGAGATGAGCTGTTCAGCAGGATTTGATATGTACCAAAAGCTGTTCTACTACTGCTGCATCCTCCCAGGACCCCAAGAAGCAAGCGGGGAGCAGCTATTCTCATCTTACTTTCTGGAGCAGGAGAGGCTTGACTCACAGAGGCAAGCGACCCCATTTCTGGACCAGTCTCTGCACTGTCAAACAGTGTCTGAATAGGAAGGGGATGTTGGAAGAGGGTTTTACATGGAGCAAAACGTGGATAATGACACGCTAGCGGCAAGCCAAGGAGGTTAGGGGATCCAGGTTCTACACCAGAAGGGGCCCAACTCAAAGTGGTGAAGTCGCTGGCTGCTGCCTTTCACCAGCTGCCTTTCTCCCGCTGCCAGCTGAGGACCTGCACCCTTCCAGGATGGAGATGGGGACAGGGGCAGGCAACATTACTCTTCTTGTAGTTCTCTGCCCAAAAATCTAGGCTTCTCAGGCCTGCTTCCCACAACACACACACACACACCCCAACATGGAGCCTCTTGGCTTACCTTCGGGTTACCATGGCGGGAGCAGAATGGAGCTCTATCTTCTTACCATGAAGTTACACAGATATCATTATCTTGAAACCTCTTAAGAGGTAAAAAGGTGGCCAGCCATTGACCAGAGAGGACCCTTGGCCCCTGCCTATCATCTGTCACGCATGTCCTGAGGGGGTGGGAAATGGTTAAAGGGAGAGAGGAAAGGGAGCCCCCTAAATCTCTACCAATCCTGGCTATATATCCTAATAAGGCTCAGCTATGCATATTTAGGAAGACAGAGGAGAGGGAAATAGGAAGAGAGGTACAAATAATGAGGAAAGCAAGAGGTCTGCCTGGCTCAAAGGAAGTGAATTCAAACTTCTAGTAATGAAAATGGGCCCAGGACAATAATACAAATGGAGGCCCTATACCAGGTGTTTTCATATGTAAGTTACACATCAATGACTAAACTTAAAATATCTTCTCCCTTCTACCTTGACACATATATACCTTTATAACAACCTGGAAGGTCAGGTTGGAATCTAGAATTCTCTGACTTCTCAGAATTCTGCTCAGTCCCACATCTAGAAGGGTCTCCTGTGAACGAATGTAGATATCCCAACCTATAAGTCCCAACTCTGCACCCCTTGCAAACAGCCATTCCTTGCACCCAGGTGTGCCCTTAGCAGTCTGCCCTTGGGGCCATGGGTCTGGGAAAAGGCCTTCCCAGCCCTTCCTTATAGGTTCAAGCCCATTTAGGCAAGGGATTCAAGTGTCCCACGTACCCAGAGCATGGCAGAAGGGAAGAGGGCTGTGAGCTCCTGGTTATCATGTCCCTTTGGTCCTACAGACTCCTTGTCCCATAGGATGGGGTGCAAATGGATCTAAGGGCAGGATAATAATAAGAGCTAATATCTGATACGCTTTTTGCAGTTCACAAGGCACTCTGACAGGATCAGAATGTCGAGGCATGCAGGATTAATATCTCCATTTTACGGATGAGGATACTGAGGTTCAGAGTTCTCTGATTCCAAGCCCTGTGTCCTGACTCCCCTATTTCAAGAATCGAGGTGGCTGTTCCTTACCCAACAGGGCAGAGCCTGAGGTTCTTGAGCAGCAGAAAGCAAGGAAAGGGAAATTTCCCGACATCCTCACAACAGGCCAGGGCCAGCACACTTTGACATTTGACCTGTCCTATTCCTTTCTCCCAGAGCTTTATAAGCAGAAAGCAAGCCACAGACATCTGTCTTCTGAAAGACAAGGCCAGAGTTCTGCATTCGTAATTCACACAACATTATTAGAAAATGCAGTCAATTCAGTTTCTGTTTGAAAAAGTGTTGCTGGTTGGTAATGGCTCATTTCCCCTTTTTGAGTCTCAGCAAAGACTCAGAAAATGAAAAACAGTTAACATCACCTCAGCAGCTAATGAATTCCAGAGGACAGATAGGAGGTGTGACTACACCCTGGTAGGAGGCAGCCCCGCACCCCTCACCCACTGCTCCCCAGTTACAGGAATGCCTGCGAGGGGGTGAGATCACAGCGCCTTCCAGCCTGTCATCGCACGCATGCCTTGAGACTTGCCCCTCAGCCTCACTGTCTCGCCCCCGCCCCTGTCCCTCCTCCCTCCTCAATATTGATGGTGTTGGGCCTCAGCTGAAGGGAGCAGGTGGGAAAGACACAAGTGAGGAGTAAAGCCACCAGGCGCCAACCTTGGGGCGTGGTGAAGAAGATGAGCTTGGCACTTAAAATGCAAAGGCCCTGCCCTGAATCTGTGATCATTTTCAAGGAAGGTTGAGTGAGTGTCCACAATGCATTAGCTTCATTAAAGACTTTCCGGTTCCTGAGGCCTCAACTGGAACAGCAGCAGATGAAGCCCTCACTTTCTCTCCCCGGGCCAGGTGTGAGCTGATGACAACCCCTCATCACTCTTTGGTTTAGCACAGTGGTTCTCCTCGTGGGGTTCTCAGACCAGCAGCATCAGCACCACCTGGGAACTTGTTGGAACTACAAATTCTCAGGTCCCACACCAGACCTATGGAATCAGGGACTCTGGGAGTGGATACAGCAATCTGCATTTACCAAGTGCTCCAGGTGATTCTAATGAGGACTGCTGCTATTGTGACCATCAGGCACTTGAGTCTTGGAGTCAGGCAGACCTGGGTTTGAATCTCAGTTCTGCCACTTAGCAGCTATGTGAGTCTTAGTTTTGGCACATATAAAATGGGGATAATAATCCTTCCACCTAGTGACTGAATGGATTAAGTAAGATTATGCATTCACTTGCCCGGTTCATAGTGCTCAATAAGCAGTAGTTCCTCTATTTCTCTGGAAATCTGATTAGACAGAGGGACTTCAAGAAGTTCACCGTGAAGATGCTAACAGGCCAGTTCAGGTGTGTGGCTCCTGACTCACGCCTAAAGCCACCTCTTGCATCCTGTGACCGATGACTGGTTCTCACTACTTAACCAGGACTGAAACTGTCGATAGATCTGGTTTATTCCCCAGCTCTCTAAAAGGAATCCTCCTGCCTCTGAGAGCAGTGTGCAGACTTCCTCTTTGCAATGATTTCATGAAACAGCAGGACCTGCTGCACTTGCAGGCAGAGCTCTGGAACTGGGCTATTATTTCTGTCGTTCTTCCTCATTGAAAAAGTGGTCAGGATAACCTCTGCCCTGCCAACCTCCAAGGGCGATGGGAGGAGAAGTAATCATTTAGCCTGGATGGAGAGCTTTATATGGATTAAATCATTTAATCTTCACAACAATCCCATGAGGATAGACACACTGTCAATCCCTTTTACAGATAAGGAAACAGAGACACAGAGAGGTTAAGAAACCTGTCCAAGATCACTGACTAATAAGACATAGAGTCGGGGTTCAAAATCAGGCAGTCTGGCTTCTAAGTCCCTGCTCTTAAGCACTGTGCTCTGTCCATTGCTCTGTCCAGGAACACCATTAAACAGGACGGGTCACTGTAGCTTGGCACCCAGGGGCTCGGAAACCTTGGAATGCAGACCTCTTTGACTATCTGATGTAAGCTATAGCCCCTCTCCCAAAGCACAGAAACTTCTGCATATGATCTCAGGGGTTCCATGAATCCCTCTTTCCACCCAGAGGCCCCAGATTAAGACCCACATAAGACTCTTAGAAGGAAGTAGCAAGGACATCAGAAGTCTAGAGCCATGAGAACATTCTGCCCTGGTTAAACTCCAAGGAGTGGGGCGGGCTAGTGCAGTAGTGATGGAGGCCGTTGGGTGAAAGTGCTGGGAAGAGGACCTCACATCCTTCACCCTGGAGTGAGTGCATAGGAAGTGGGCTAGGAACGTGGGGGCTTTTTCCAGAATCGGAACAGCAATCAGTAAGACCTAGTGCTTGATGGATCAGTATTCACTACACTTTACAATAATCTATCATACATTTCAAAATAGCTAGAAGAGAATCATTCGGGCCAAGCGCGATGACTCACACCTGTAATCCCAGCACTTTGGGAGGCTGAGGTGAGTAGATCGTTTGAGCTCAGGAGTTCGAGACCAGCCTGGGCAACATAAAGAGACCCTGTCTCTATTAAAAATTAAAAAATAAATAATAAAATAATTTAGATGTTTCTAGTATAAAGAAAAGACAAATATTTAAGGTGATGGCTATCCCAATTGCCCTGATTTGATCTTTACAAATGATATCAGTGTATTAAATTATCATATGTACCCTGAAAATATATACCTCTATTATGTATCAATAAAAAATTACATTAAAAACTGCAAAACAATGGCACTTTTCTCACCAATATTTTGTTTTGGAAAATATAGTTATATTTCATTTTTTTAAAAAGCTGGGCACAGTGTCACATGCCTGTAGTCCCAGCTACTTGGGAGGCTGAGGTGGGAGGATCACTTGAGCCTAGGAGTTGGAGGTTGCAGTGAGCTATGATTGCACTTCCGAACAGCCACTGCACTCCAACCTCAGCAACATAGCAAGACTCCATCTCTTAAAATATATATAATAAATAAATAAACAAATAAGAAGGACAGCACTGAGGACGTTCAATCTCCTTGGGCCTCCGGAACTTAAATCTGTTAGAAACTGCTGGTCAGCACAGGCCTGGTGCCAGCTGGTTTACAGTAGCCCAAGTATGGTCTTGCTGAGGGGCAGAGGTTGGACTTGGTGGCCTCAGGGCCCCACCAGCTCTAGGCATATGTTTTAAGTTGGGAACAGAAGGCATGGTTATCCTAGAACTTCATACTTTACTCTTCTCTGTGTCTGCGAAGGTGGACCCACCCACGGTTCCTTGGCACGTTGGAGAGGACAGGCTTGAGGCATGTGGCACCTGAGATCCAGATGGTGAAGCTCTCTGCCTGTATCACATGCTCTGTAAATCTTGCTCTTGCCTTCATGAACCTTATGTTTCAAGTGCCTATAACATCTGCAGCCTTGGGTATTGATGACCAGTGACCCATCAGTGCCACCATAGAAGCACTGAGGGCAGGCTGGGTGGCCCCTGTCCCTCACACCGGACAAGTTCATCCTGACTCTGCTTCTCCCCCTCCTTACCCTGTCTACCCAGCATGTGCTCTGGGCGTCCTCAGATCCACAAACCATGTAAACTGGAAGTGCCCTTCTCAATCTTTTAAGGCAGCAGGGTGAAGAGGAAAGACAGGCTTTGGAGCCTCCTAGCTCTGGTCTGAATTCTAACATGGTCTCTTACTGACTTAATCTTTCTGAGTCTCAGTTTCCTCATCTGTAAAATGGGGATGACCCACCCCACCTGGCAGGGATACTGTACATAGGCAGAGCCTGACCATAGTAGCTGCTCAATGGTCAGTGCCTCCCTTTACTTTGATGTAGACCACACTCATCCTGCTGCAGAAGCAGGGCCTGCTCCCAAGCTCATGGCCAGCAGTGGATTGCAGAGCCCAGGTTGGATTGTTGCTCTACTCTGATCTCCTTAGCAAACAGTCATTTGTTTACGCTACACCTGTAGTGTTCTCATTTTTTGCAATATGAATAGGCTGAGGATTTTCCAAATCTTTAAGTTCTGCTTCCTTTTTACTTCACCATTCCATATTTAAGTCATTTCTCTTTTCTCACATGTTATTAGGAGAAGCCAAGCCACACTTTCAATATATTGCATAGAAATGTCCTCAGCTAAACATCTTGTTTCATCACTCTCAAGTTCTACCTGCCACAAAACACTAGAACACAAACACAGTTCAGCCAAGCTCCTTGACATTTGTCTTAGTCTGTTCACACTACTATAACAAAAATATCATAGCCTGGGTGGCTTCTATACAATAGAAATTTATTCCTCACAGTTCTAGAGGCTGGAAGATCCAAGATCAAGGTTGCAGCAGATTTGGTGTGTGCTGAGGGTCTGCTTCCTGGTTGACAGAGGGCCATCTTCTCACTGTGTTCTCACACGGCACAGGGGTGAGGGAGCTCTGTTGACTCTTTTATAAGGTTACTAATCACATTCATGAGGGTTCTACTCTCATGATCTAATCACCTCCCAAACATCCAACCTCCTAATACCATCAAGTTGGGGGTTAGGATTGGAACATGTGAATTTGGGGAGGACACAAACATTCATCTGTAGCACTAGGCTCCATTCCAAATGTTTTATGTGCATTGCCAGTATATCATCATAACCAGAGATGAGAGCAGTACTACAATCGCCCCTAGTGTTCAGATGAGAAAATGGAGGAGGGGATTGGACTTACCTTCAGTCACACAGCCAGGAAGTAGTAAGGACTCAAACCTAGGCAGAATGGCTCCAGAGCCCAGGCTCTTGGAACCCCGTTGGAACTACACTGGTTTCTAAAGGGCATCTTTGTTCATGGCTGTGCATTCATGATAGTGATAGAATGGGTAGTGGGGTGCCCAATTTTCCAGCTGAGGCATAGAAAAAAAAATGAAACAGCCTGTCCAAAGGACAAAGTGAGTGGTCTGGGGTCTTGGATTTCCAGCTTTGTGCCCAGTGTGTCCTGCCCCCAGGTCAGGCATGCCTGGGCAGGGAGATCCAGACAGGGGGCCTGAGCATCAAACAAGTGTCAGGTTCTAGGCCTGGGGGCCAGGCGAGGGGCCTGGCAAGTCCATTGAGCACTGGGTACAGGGTACAGCCTGCCATAGGGAAGCAGCTGGCATTGCAACAAGTTGTCCAGGCAGCAGCAAAAAGTGGAAGAAAACCAAGTTTGTTGAGGATCTATCATATGCCAGATACTTTGCATACAACATTAGGGCTTATTTAATCCTTTCTACAGCCCTGAGAGGCTTCTCATTTTATTTTTTATTTTTTTTAGAGACATAGTCTCTAGATACTCTGTTGCCCAGGCTGGGGTGCAGTGGTGCAATTCTAGCTCACTGTAACCTCCACCTCCTGGGCTCAAACAATCCTCCTGCCTCAGCCTCTTGAGTAGCTGGGACTATAGGCATGTACCACTAGGCCTGGCTAATTTTTGTATATATATATTTTTGTAGCGACAGGGTCTTACTATGTTGTCCAGGCTGGTCTTGAACTCCTGGCCTCAAGTGATTCTCCCGCCTTAGCCTCCCAAAGTGCTGGGATTATAGGTGTGAGCCACCATGCCTGGCCGGCTTATTTTAGACATCAGAAAAGGGCACCAGCAGGACGTGGCTAAAGTGACCCAGCTAGGAGGTGGCAGAAACAGCATTCCAACCTCGGTCTGAGTGTCTGAATCCTGTGACTGTTAATTCCTTGGCCCTATGCTGTGGCCCTGGAGCTCCTCTAACTTCCAGTCAAGCACCGGAACTGTTCTTAGCAGAGAGCACAGGGCCAATGGGTCAGCTGGCTGGAACCTTGTAGGGGCAGAGAGTATGGCTACCTTTGTCACTCTCCTTCAGGGTCAAGCCCAGGGAAGCCTGAAGTTGAGTTCGCCATCTCAGGCTGAGGCTGCCCTGGACTTCCTGAGTGGCAGAAACCTGGTGGCAGTAGGGGGTGTGCACTGTGCCCTGAGTTGCCTGCTGCAAAGGCTGTGACCCCTGGTGCATCTCTTGCCTATGTGGGCTGGGGAGTGGGTGTGACTGGGGTGAAAGGCTGGCTTAGTGGCACAGCAGATGGTCACAGCTCTGGGACTTACTATTATCCCTATTTTACAGATGAGGAAATGAGACTCAGGAAGGTTGACTCACACAGATGGTGCCTTGTGGGGCTGGGAGCAAGACTTCCTGACCTCTAAAGCTCTGTCTCATGTCCCACAACCCTGCTGTTCCAAGACAGGTTTGTCAGCAGCGAGCCATGCAGGGGTCACCTCAGCAGCAGGGGCTGGTGAACTGGGTGCAACTTAGTCTATCATCTCCAGGCTCTACCATCACCACGGCTGGCCCCCCGCCTCCCCTTGTGCTCCACACTAACTGCAAATCATCTCTCTAACAGAGATGCCTCCTCCACTTCTTTGAAAGCCATTCCCCTACAACACAGCATGAGAGACCCCCACTACTCCTTTCCCAATAGCCAGCTCTATGGCTACCTGACTAGTCCTAGCTTCTACCTGATGGTGGGGCAGAAATTCTTTCTAGGATCCTGCTGGAGTCAAAGCTAGACCGGGAACCAGGCAGCCTCAGCGAGTGGGTGAAGAGCAACAGTGACTCAGGCCCAGAGGCATACTGGCACTGACAATGCTGCCACCAAGGAAGTGACGATGGTAGAATAGGCACGAGGTACTCCCACTCAGAAAGCCCACCAAGTGGAGACATGCATGGGCTCTCAGTTCACATTCGACTGGAATGTACTATAAATATGTCAACAGGCTTTGCCTCCTCTTCTACGTGGAGTTCTCTATAAAAGCGTGACACTGGCTCAGAAGTTAAGCGCCCACATCACCTCCGAGCTGATGAAGAGGCCGAAGTCTTCTCCCTGGAGCACTGAGTGGAAGGCAGCTGAATGAGGGGTCTTTGCTCATAATACCACCCCTGGTTGAAGTTTCCCCCAGCTCCTATGCATGTAGGAATAAGCATGTTCTCAGAAATCCCTGTCACCCACTGGTTGAAGAGTCCCCTCATGTAGCTTTGTTAACTGAATAAAGGAGAAAAATGGTTGGGCATGGTGGCTCATGCCTGTAATCCCAGCACTTTGGGAGGCCGAGGTGGGAGAATTGCTTGAGTCCTCCCACCTTTTCACTTCACCATTCCATATTTAAGTCATTTCTCTCTCACATTTTATTATAAGCAGTCAGGAGGAGCCAAGCCACACTTTCAATACATTGCATAGAAATGTCCTCAGCCAAACATCTGATTTCATCACTCTCAAGTTCTACCTTTCACAAAACACTAGAACACAAACACGGTGTTTGCTTGAGTGGTTAGAGACCAGCCTAGGCAACATGGTGAGACTCTGCCTCTATAAAAAATTTTTTAAAAATTAGCTACGTGTGGTGGCAGGCACCCATGGTCCTAGCTCCTAGGGAGGCTGAGGTGTGAGGATTGCTTGAGCCCAGGAGGTCGAGGCTGCAGTGAGCTGTGATCATGCCACTGCACTCCAGCCTGGGTGACAAACTGAGACCTTGTCTCAAAGAAACCAAAACATTAAAAATTAAAAAGAAGGAAAATGAACATGTGTATGGTGCCCTAAAAACTGCCATTTGGAATTAAATCAGAGAACTCTTAGATAAAGACAACCTCTCAAGGCACCCCCTCTACCTCCCTCATTGAAAACTCCCCTCCTTTTTGGTGAGTTTTGTTCACCCCTCCAAACATATGAGCTGGTTCCAAGCCTGCTGGGTTCACATGAGACTTGAGATCCAGAGCAGCCAAAGCCCACGAACTGCTTCTCACGGCGGAGGGGGAACAAGCACGTCTGAACTCCCCCATCCACCCTTCTGCCTGGAGATGGATTTTTATTTTCCTTCCTCCCTCCCTGGGAGGGAATGACCCTCTGTGAAGTGCCCACTAAGGTGAGTAACCAAGCAGAGTGAGCAAAAGCCTGGATGATCCCCAACAGCCAAGCCGCCAGCCCCTCCCAACAGAGCGGCCTCTCCTCCCCTGGCAAAGTGGATGCAACTTAGTCTATCATCTCTATGCCCTGCCATCACCATGGCTGGCCCCCCAACTCCCCCTGTGCTCCACACTAACTGCAAATCATCTCTCTAATGGAGATGCCACCTCCACTTCTTTGAAAGCCCATTCCCCTACAACAGAGCATGAGAGACCCCCACTACTCCTTCCCCAATAGCTGCAAGGTGATCGCTCCAAGATGGTCCCCATCTCTGAGCTCAGAGACTGCTGGTTTACTTTAAGGCAGGCATGGTGCCCATTTCTTTTTCTTTTTCTTTCTTTTTTTCTTTTTGAGACGGAGTTTTGCCCTTTTTGCCCAGGCTGGAGTCCAATGGCATGGTCTCAGCTCACTGCAACATCCACCTCCCAGGTTCAAGTGATTCTCCTGACTCAGCCTCCCGAGTAGCTGGGATTACAGGCGTGCCCACCACCATGCCCGGCTAATTTTTGTATTTTCAGTAGAGACGGGATTTCGACATGTTGGTCAGGCTGGTCTCGAACTCCTGACCTCAGGTGGCCCGCCTGCCTCGGCCTCCCAAAGTGCTGGGATTACAGGCATGAACCACCATGCCCGGCCCATGCTGCTCATTTCTAAAACACTTGTGGTTGAGATGAGTCACCAGCTAGACCAACATCCCAAATCATCCGCAGCACTAAAGTCAATGAAAAAACCAAGGGGGAGACTTCAGGCTCCTGCAAAGGGAAGGGAGAACTTTTTCTTTTTGGTAGGTATCGAGTTCAGAAACCCTTTCAAGGTGTCCTCTTTAATTCTTCGGCCAAGGAGAGGGAATGTGTACTAGGCTGAGACGGTGGGGAGCATGAACTGCTGCCACCGGCTGGATTACTGACTGCTTCTGTTTCATCAGCCTCTGCAGGGCACCAATGAGCCAGTGCGCTTCTGCAGAGAAGCAAAGGGCTGATTCACGGCTCCAAGGGTTGCCACATCTTGGGGGTAAGTTCTGTTCTTTCTGCAGGACTCTTGAGAGAGAGCTCCTCGTCTGATCTGGTTCCTTTCTCTCTCTGATTCCCGTGCCATGCTGTTTTCCAAGGAATAGGCTTTTGGGAGCCTTCTAGACACCTGAAAAAAATATAAATTACTCTTCATGTCAGGAGATCGCCAATGTGAGGGGCCACAGCCCCCCCAGATAGAGCAATGGAACCTGGGCGTCGTCTTTTGAAACAACAGCTTCAACATACACAACTATTAGCAACAAACCAGAACAAAGCAACACCTAATCCTGCTGCTCAAAGCTTCAGAGCTTCAGTGATGTTCACAAAAAAGAAACCTGTGAAAGCCAAGGTGCTAGCTGGTCCTGCAATGCATGAGACTCTGGGCCAGACACCTTCCTGCTTCTCCAGGCCACTCTCTACCCTCTCCACCTGCTGCTGGCTGGGCTTTAGTCCAAGGGGCATGGAAATCAGAGGATGAATGGAGGGAATTTATTCCTTCAGCTTCCTCCTGCAGGGTTACAGCAGGCTGGCCATCCCATCCCCAGACAAAGTCACTCCCTAGGTTCTAGGACTCCCTCCCCTCCCCACATCAGGCCTGAGCTGGAATGGCCTATTACTAGTTTTTAGATAGAATGCACAACCCCCTGGGGTTCCTACACCTGCTCTTAAAACATCCTCAAGGTTGCAGTGAGCCGAGATTGAGCCACTGCACTCCAGCCTGGGTGACAGAGCAAGACTTCATCTCAAAAAAAAAAAAAAGAAAAGAAAAAGGAAAAAAAGAAAAAAAAATCCTCAAATTAGGCTGGGCACAGTGGCTCACACCTATAATCCCAGCACTTTGGGAAGCTGAGGTGGGAGGATCGCTTGAGCTCAGGAATTTGAGACCAGGCTGAGCAACATAGTAATACCCCATCTCTATGAAAAATTTTAAAAATACAGAAATTAGCGAGGCATGGTGGTGTGCACCTGTAGTCCCAGCTACTCAGGAGGCTGAGGCTGGAAGATCACTGGAGCCCAGGAGTTCAAGGCTGCAGTGAGCTATGATCGAGCCACTGCACTCCAGCCTGGGTGACAGAGCAATATCTTGTCTCAATAATAATAATAAATTTTAAAAAATCCTCAAATTGCCTAATCTGAGTGTGCCATTGCTTGTTAAGACTCTAACAGAGACATCAATGAGGCTTACATTGAATACGCAAGTATTTATTACGCCCTTGAACCAATGGCTTTGACATGTTGTAAACAGGAACACTGAAAGACCCTCATCTTGACCCAGGCCATAGACCACCAGGTCATGAGGATCCCTCTTTTTTTGAAAACCCAGGCCAGACATGCTTGATCCCTTGCACAGGGAGGCCCTCTGGTCCCTCTGGAATGAAGCATTCATGGAAGGCCCATCTTTCTGGGTTTTCCAGTCTGGTTAGTGGGCAGTTGTTCACCCACAGAACACAGGGGTCTGTGCACACTTGAGTCTTGGGCCTGAGGACTGACCATGCCAGGGGACTTCCATTCCAGGGAGACCCCTTCAGGGTAAGGAGAGCTGAGCATTTGCTTGCATCTCGCTGTCAGCTGGAATGAGCGCAGCTGGGAGGTTGCAAAGAGCCCATGGCTGGGTTTTGGCACTGGCTTTGTAATAACTCTAGGGCGAACACTGGCAGCATCTTTGAAGGGCTAGAAAGAAGGTGGAATGTTAACCATCAGCTGTGAAGGGAGTACCCCTGATTTGTGCTATTTCTTCTTCAACTGTCTCAGGAGTGTTCTGTTAATATGACTGGAATATCTGCCTTGCACGGAATGGGCATGGACGTGGCTCACTGGCATCTTGGGAGGGATGAGGCCCGAGTGTGCTCTGCTCTCTGTCCCCAAGTGAAACTTTAGGCCTTTCCTCCATGGCCCCCAGCCCTCCTGCACTCTCTTCTCATCTTCAAAGGCTCTGAAGCACCAATGTCCTTGTGTCCTCCCTTCTAGATGAGGTGCACCAGGAGGGTAGAGCAGGCTGAGCCCAGTGTTAAGCCCAAGCACACATAAAAGGACATCACCACTCCCGTGGCCTCAGCCAGCTCCCTGGGCACAATCTTAGGCCCGTAGAGGAGGGCCAGGGTGCTGAGGTAGCCGTTGCTGAGCCCCAGCAGGGAGCTGAGGAGTGCGGGGTACACATCGGACTGGAAGACCACAGTCTTCAGGTGGACGCGGGGCTGGTAGTTACAGAGCACGAAGAGGGGGATGAGGCAGGTCCGGAGGAGCACGAACCCTGGGAGCGCCTTGCTATTGGGCCCTGGCACCTGGATCCAGGCGGTGAGCTGCCGGCCACATAGGTCAGCAAAGTTGTACAGGAGGAAGGTAGTGAGGGGGATGAAAAACTTGGTGGTCCACAGTGAGCCCGAACCCTTGTTGAGGGACTCGATGTTGGTGCAGATGGCGGGGTAGATGAGGCTGGTGATGAAGAAGACGTAGGTGACACAGAAGCCCAGGCTGGCCGTCTTCTTCAGGATGGGGCGGAGAGGGGGTGTGTGGGAATCAATGAATCTGGAGGCCACCGAAGGGGCACTGAGGGAGTCCTGGGGAAGCTCCTCTTCACCAGAAAACACATGGGCCGCAAGAACAGGCCTCATGTAGTACCTGCAGGGAGGAGACAGGGCCACCATCAAGCAGGTTGCTTGGGATCTGAGTCAGCACAGCCAGGGGTGGGCACTCAGAACAGAACCTTCCAGCCCAGCATGGAGAGCCCAAGCCCCGTATGCCCACAGCTCCAGCGTTCCCTGAGATGACAGATGCTGTCACGGGGTGGCCAGGGGAAGGCCTGCGTTGTCCCTGGCCTGCCTGCCAGCGCGGTGGCCATGCCATGAGCAGGGACAGAGGAAACCAGGACTGACCACTGCATGGTGAGTCTGGGCCCCTGTCCTGGCTCACCTGTTTTTGTTATATTTTAGGAGAGTAGAGGTAAAATAGTATTAAAAATGCAGATTTCTAAAATGATAAAAGGAATGCAAGCTTGATACAACAAACCCAAATAATACAGAAAATAAATGATATAGTATTAATAGAAAGGGGACTCTGACCTCTTCCCACTTCTGATTTCACTCCTTAGTGGTACTGGCTGTTAACATTCTAGGCCGGGCATGATGGCTCACGCCTATAATCCCAATACTTTGGGAGATAGAGGCAGAAGGATTGCTTGAGCCCCAGAGTTCAACATCAGCCTGCACAACCAAGTGAAACTCTGTCTCTACAAAAATGACGATAATAATAATTGTAAAATAAAAGAAATTAGCCAGGTGTGGTGGTATATGCCCATAGTCCCAGCTACTGGGGAGGCTGAGGCAGGAGGATTGCTTGAGCCCAGTTGTTCAATATAGTGAGCTATGATCACACTACCACACTCCAGCCTGGATAACAGAGCGAGACCCTGTCTCAACAAAACAAAACAAAACAAAACAAAACAGAAAAACCAATCTGGTACATACTGTTCCATGCACACACAAACAACACTCACACAGTTACATTTCTTAAGCAAGAGTGGGGTCAAGCCATACATATTGTAAAACTTTCTGCAACAGTGTAATGCCTAAATACAATATCTGTAAATAATATATATAAATGCCTTATACTAACTGCCTAAATCATGCATAACTGTGAAACATAAATGAATACATAAAATTGCATAAAGAACAGTATCTTGTGGCCATCCTTCTACACAGGAACATGTGGCCTATGTCTCCCTTATGTTACTCTATGATGGTTCACCGGATGGATGTACAATTTAACTGCTCCTCTACTGATGGACACTTAGGTTGCCTCGACTTTTCATTACTACAGACAATGTTGCAATGAATATCCCTACACATAAATCCTTGCACATGTATACTAGTATTTTGGTAGGGCAGATTTCTAGAAGAGGAAATTACTGGATTAAAAGGTTTATACCTTTAACATTTTGATAGCTACTGATAAACTGCTCTCCTAATAGGTACTACCAGTTTAACTCTGCCCAGCACCATTTACCCACCCTAACTGAAGTAACTTGCCCTGTTCATCTCTACCAGAGGCACCTGTTTAGTTCCTTCAAAAGAACTAACCACAATCTACAGTAATTGCATTGGTTTACTTGTTTATCATGTGTCTCCTTCGGTAGAAGACAGGTTCTTGTCATCCTTGTAATCCCAGCACTTTGGGAGGCCAAGGCGGGCGGGTCACTTGAGGTTAGGAGTTCAAGACCAGCCTGACCCAATGGTGAAACCCCACCTCTACTAAAAATACAAAAATTAGCCAGGCATGGTGGTGTGCAACTGTAGTCCCAGCTACTCAGGAGGCTGAGGCAGGAGAATCACCTAAACTCGGGAGATGGACATTGCAGTGAGCCAAGACCGCATCACTGCACTCCAGCCTAGGTGACAGAGTAAGATTCCGTCTCAAAAAAAAAAAAAAAAAAAAAAAAAAAGAAGAAGAAGACAGGTTCCTGGAGCAAGGACCACATTTGACTGTTTCCAGCTAAATCTTCAGGCACGGAGTAGCCCTTCAACACATAACTGTTGAAAGAACTGAGAAGCAGCCTATAGAAGTGTCTTCCTTATCCTCAACACTGAATATCATTAATCTTTCCAACTTCTGCACTCTGACCAATAAGAAAGCTTAGATCACTTTCCCTTACTGTGTGACCTTGCCTGAGCCACTCAACCTCTCTGGGTCCCAGGTATCTGAAAACCAGGAGACACAGGCTGACTGTATTAATGCAGCTCAAACAGAGGGAGTTGGTGTAGGGGTGTGTGTGTAAGCAGTAACTTGGTTCTGGTTTCAGCCTTGTCTCTGCCTCCCTGTGTGATCTTGGGCCAGGCACACCCCTCTCTGGGCCTGCTTCCTCCTCTGTAAAATGGAGGTTTCAAACAGCCAAGAAGTTTTGAAGCCCCAGTCAGTCCTCCCACCCTGAGGACCTGCAGATAACACCCATGTGGGTGAGTGGGTGTGTGGGAGGGCCCGTCCCCAGAATCCAGAATCACTCTTCAGTGACGGTGAACGGGGTGCTTCAGCCAAAAGCCCTGTCTGGTTTCACAATCGCTATCTACGGAAAGGAATATTCTTACTTCCCCTCTATTCAGCGTCGTCAGGTCCTTGCCTTAAGTCTGCTCTCAGGAAATTCCCCACCAAGTTCCTCTGGTCGCAGCTCTTCCTCCTAAGTTCTTCCAAATTTTCCTGCATCGCCTCACTCTCCCAAATGTAGGACGGGCGAGCTTGCCTTTTCAGGAAGATTTAGTCCAAGCAGACCTGGGAGCACAGCTCTCTCCATGAGCCCCATCCTTAGAGAAGTGTCTGTGAGCCCACAGATCCAGACCCTAGTTTTAATCAGCAAAGAAACAGAAGCTTCGGTCCAGGCACAGTGGCTCGTGCCTGTAATCAATCCCAGCACTTTGGGAGGCTGAGGCGGGTGGATCACTTGAGGTCAGGAGTTTGAGACCAGCCTGGCCAACACGGTGAAACTCTGTCTCTACAAAAAATACAAAAATTAGCTGGGCGTGGCAGCCCATGCCTGTTGTCCCAGCTACTCGGGAGGCTAACTTGAGGATCGCTTGAGCCCTGGAGATAAAGGCTGCCGTGAGCCGTGATTGTGCCACTGCACTCCAACCTGGGCGACAGAGTGAGACTCCATCACAAAAAAAGAAAAAGAAAAAGAAATAGAAGCGTCTACAGGATAGCATGGTCCTGGGTGTTCTCTGTCTCACATGCTCAGCTGGAAGGGACTCTGGCCTGCCCAAATGAGACTAGGAGCTAGGCTGACCAACCATCCTGGTTTGCCTGAAATTGTCCTGGTTTTAATACTTACAGTCCCTTGTCCTGGGAGCTCCTTTGGCTCTAGGCAAGCAAGGAAGGTTGGCTACCCTGCTGGAAACAGACCCACCCAAAGCACCAGAAACAGGACACGAGCAAACAACACAAGGAGTGGGGCGACCCTCCTGTTCCTCTGTTCATTCAGTGGCTGGAGAATCATTTAAGGCACAACGCTGAGGTGCCAGGCAGTGTACAGGATGCTGGGGGATGGAGAGCCAGCCAGGGCACAGGAAGCACGGGGACGTCAGCCTGGAGCCACAGCTAGGCAATTTCTGATGACAGCCCTGAAGGGGCGGGGAGGACTGGGCAGCCCAGGGGTCTGTAGGTGCCTGGGATACTGCATAGCTCAAGCAGATCAGCCCCCTCCTATCCTCAGAACCCTGAGGACTGCTGAAGCGGTGAAGAATCCTTTAGCTGGGGAAAGTGGCTCACTACCAGCCCAGGGGGAATCGCTGTTCTGCTGAAAGGCTGGGGGTTCTAGGGGTTAACGAAGTGACTCTCCTCATGAGGACAGGGAGAATGAATGATGAGATAAGGCCCTTGCAGTTGCGAGCCAGGGATGCAGCATGATCCGGTGGGGAGAGGCTACTCCAGAAACAGCTCCAGTCCTGCCGTGACTCACCAGATGAGTGACCTGGGGCATGCTTGTGAACTCTCCAAAGCTTCAGTTTCCCCAGCTCTCAAGTGAGAAAATACGATCACAGCTGCACAGATTGTCATAAATCATAAACAAAAATATACACATAAACTGCTTAGCTTTGTGCCACTGCAAAAAATAGCTTCCTGTGGAACAGGGCCGCATCAGGGGCAGATCTCTCCCCAGCTCTGCTGGCTAACGCACCTGGCACTTCACTTAGCCTTCTCTTGGTCTCAGTTTCCTCACCTGTTAAATGGGGATAACTCCTGCCTTTCCTACATCAAATAAGATAGTGGATAGGAAAATGCTTTGAAAAGAATAAAACACGAGAGAAAGACAAGCGTTGTTTTTATAAAAAGCAGCAGGCAGCAAGAAAGCAAAAGGAGGAACTGGAGACAGAAAGCAAGAGTAAGACTCGAGACAAGAAAACAGGTCCTAGAGGTGGAAAGGAGCCCCATAAGGCAGCAAGTTGTCCAAGCACAGGTTTGGAGTCATCTTAAAATCCTGCCTGGCTCTACTGCCTACTGGCTCTGAGATTCAGGCAAGTAATAATTTAACCTCTTTGTGCTGGGCATGGTGGCTCATGCCTGTAATCCTAGCACTTTGGGAGGCTGAGGCAGGAGGATCACTTGAGCACAGGAGTTCAAGACCACCCTGGGCAACATAGTGAGACTCTGTCTCTATACAAGCTTTTTTTTTTTGAGATGGAGGCTTGCTCTGTCGCCCAGGCTGGAGTGCAGGGGTGCGATCTCAGCTCACTGCAAGCTCCGTCTCCCAGGTTCACACCATTCTCTTGCCTCAGCCGCCCGAGTAGCTGGGACTACAGGCACCCGCCACCATGCCCGGCTAATTTTTTGTATTTTTAGTAGAGATGGGGTTTCACTGTGTTAGCCAGGATGGTCTCGATCTCCTGACCTGATGATCCGGCCTGCCTTGGCCTCCCAAAGTGCTGGGATTACAGGCGTGAGCCACCGTGCCTGGCCTACAAAAACTTTTTTAAAAAATAGCTGGGTGTGGTGGCACACCTGGAGTCCCAGCTATTTGGGAGGCTGAGGTGGAAGGACAGCTTGAGCCCAGGAGGTCAAGGCTGCAGCAGGCCACGATTGCATCCCTGCACTCCAGCCTGGCCTGCAGAGTGAAACCCTGTCTCTACTAAAACAACAGCAATTTAATCTCTCTGAACCCTGGTTTTCTAATCTGTGCATGGGAATAATAAAAAATAATAATAGTACTGTACTCTAAGAGGAACAGGGGAGTGTGAGTTTGTCTTTTGTTTGTTTGTTCATTTTCAGAGAGACAGGGTCTTGCCGTCACCCAGGCTGGAATTGCAGTAGTGCAGTCAGCTCACTGCAGCCTCCAACTCCTGGGCTCAAGTGATCCTCCCACTTCAGCCTCCTGAGTAGCTGGGACTAGAGGCACATGCGGCCATGCCCAGCTAATTTTTTATTTTTTGTAGAGACAGGGTCTCACTGTGTTGCCCAGAATGGGTCTTGAACTCCTGGGCTCAAGCGATCCACTGCCTTGGCCTCCCAAAGTGCTGGGATTACAGGTGTGCTCCACGGTGCCTGGATAGAGGTGTGAGCATTGTATGAGGTAGGACACATCAAGCTCGCAGGAACACAGCGCTGGAATAAGGGGTTGTGTTTCACCAGTGTGAACTATTATTCACCATGATTAAACTTGAGGCTCCAACTGCTTGACTGTGGCACAGAGCCAGCCTCTCACGTCCACCAGCCAAGCCTATTTGTTGAACAACTGCTTTGAGCCATAGCACCTAGACAAAGAAGCCAGCATAGAAGCTGCTGAGAAAAAGAAGCATGGCTATAACTGGATACACAGGAAGGAGGCATGGACAGTGAGTGGCACCTTCACCTGGCATACTCCAGCCTGGACAGCAGCAGGTAGAGTCCCATGCAGAGCACGAGGAAGACAGTGGCCGTCAGGAAGAAGGCCAGGGCGCTGTTCCTCACATCACTGGATGCAGCCAAGTCCACCAATGAGGCCACGGCGCTGACCGTCCCGCCCATGGCTCCTCCTGCAGAGAACAGAGGACACGCAGAGATGGTGAGGGGTGGGCGAGGAGGAGTGGCTGCGGGCCCCTCCCTGCTTGGGTTTCACAAACCAAAATAAAAATTCCTCCGTGCGAAAAATGCCAAAGCTCTCTCAGTGTCCTGAAGCCTCAGAGACAGGGAGGGCCCAGCAGCCAAGCATTTCCAGCATTTCCTGAGTTTCCAAGGGGGTCATTTTCCCCTCCCTCTGCTGGACTTGTAAGAGGCTGCTGCCTGAGGTGGCACATGGCCTTCAGGGGACCACCAGTCCTCTGCCTTTCCTGTTTCACCTCTGACCCTCAACCTCCATCTCTCTTTATTGCCCTTCTAGTGGGGGCTGAAATTTTAGATTTAGGGGCAGGAAGTGCCAGAGACCTCTGGATTTCCTCTTCTCTGCCCCCGGCCCAAAGTACCCACCAACCAAACTGGGAAGGAGGCTCAGGGACTGTCCTCACATAGGGTCCCCTGCTGCCCAGAGGCCACCCTTTCTGGGGGTGTCCTCACTGGCTATAAACCCCCACCATTGCCCACCCATGAGCTCACAGAACCTACTGTGTACCCCAAGGCGGCTGTGGCACCATGCACATGTGAATGCATGTGTAACACATACAACACTCACACACACAGTCATACACCTACATGCACACACAAGCACGCAACCACCCCACCACATGGAATGTTCTCCTTGCCAATGGCTTTGACACACATTACCTGTGAGACCGTGTGGCTGCCACACCTTTCACTGCTACCTAACAGAGGAGGCCACACGACCTACTCGGGTGCCAACGGGGCTAGGAGTCAGGCGGATGGACGTGTCACCCTGGACTCTGCTACTTGCTAGCTGGGACCCTAGGGGTAACGTGGCTTCTCTGACTTTACAGTTTGCTCGCTTATAGAATGGGAATAACAACCCCTGCCCTGTGTGTTGCTTTGAGGACTGACTGAGATGTTCACAAAGGGCCTGGCACACAGTAGACTTCAACAAACGCTATGCCCTGCCTCGCCACGACTGCATTGTTGCTTCTGGGAGGCAGCAGACATGTCTTTCTGTTCCTTCGAACCCTCACAGCCATGGGTCATCTTCCTGTGCTGGCCATGAGTCAGAAGGTCTGTGTGCAGCATTGCTTGGGAACACTGGCACCAGCGTGGGCTGATCACTTACTTTCTTCCCTGCCTGTGTTTATTTGCCTGGAAAGTGGGGCTAACACTTGTCCTGTTCATCACAGGTGACCGTAGTGAGGTGGAAACAGGACGATGAGTGGAAAAGCACTGACAACAAGGCCAACACCATCACCATCAATGCGGGAAGGGCCTGATGGATGAGCTGGGTTGACTGGCGGGATGAACCTGCCCACTTCAGAGGATCAGAATGTCCATTCCTGAAGAGGTGGGAAGAAGGCTGGGTCCGTGTGGGCATGGCCTGCTCTGTCTCCATCAGGCAGCTCTTACACAGCACCACTTTCCTGCCCACTATTGCACGAAGCAGAGGGGAAGGGGGACAGTCAGGCCCCGTCCACCGTGCGCACCATCACGGCTCCCCATGCTCTGCCTGTGGCCTCTATGGCTCTACAGAGAATAGCCCTTGGTCTGACGGAGGATCCTTTCCCCAGCCTCTCCACCATAAGTTCTATTAGCCTGGGTAGTACTTGAGGGAGGGCAAAGGTATAAAAATTAGCACTGTAATTAGGAACTCAGACTCCAGAATCAAAACATCCGAGTCCAAACCTGGCTCTACTTCTTCTAGTTGTGTGACCTTCAGCAAGTCCCTTAACCTCACTGTGCCTCTGTATCCTCATCTATACAATGGGGGTGTTAATAATACCCACCTCGTAGGGCTGTGATGAAGATTAAAAGGATTATTACACGTGAAGCACTCAGAAGCCTGCCTGGTGCGGAGAAGTGCCAAATACCAAACAAATCCTTTCTGATTCCCAGTTAGGTGCTTGGCTATTTCTGTGCTTCCCACATCAAAGCAGCAACAACGGGTAAACCCTTTGCCAAGAGGATGCCCACTTCTGAGAAGCTGTAATCCCCGCCTAGACATTTTGCAAGAACTGGGGTTAAACTCAGTAAGACACTCCCCAGCTGCCCCAAGGAGGAGATCTTAACATCACTGCCTACTGATTTTCCTCTCTCTCTTTCCAACTTGTAGAGAATTTACAATATTATCATCAACAACAAACCAGGCCTCCGGGAGCTCATCCTTCATGACTCTCCACTTTTATCTCATCAGTTATGGAAATACATGCAAATGAGGGGTTTAAAAAAACACCAGCGCAAAACAAATGAATTGTTCCTCAGATGCCAACGCGTGCGGAATTCACAGACGGGCTGTGCTGGAAAAAAGCAAGTGGGGCTGGCGAGGTGGTCTTGTGGCCTCTGGAAGACTGGGACACCTTGATTTTCCAGGGTGTTGGGCACCCACGAGGGCCCAATACAGTGGTGACCACGGTTTAGACTCAGGGTCATTAATACTGGCGTAGAAGTACTAAACTTCCCCACTTTTCTGAACGGACTTTCTGAAAAATCCATAGGAGACTCCCCATCCCTAGAAGATCACAGGTGGACAGATTAACCCGAGGACCGCTTGCCAATGTAAATGGTGAGTTTGGTCACTGGCTCCTGGAGAGCCTGCCAGCAAGGATGGAAGGAACTAAGGGGATAAGAGCCTCCTTCTGAGATGGCGGTGACAGAAGGAATTAAATCCCATGTCCAGTGGCCACTGCCTTCAGTCCAGAAATGCCCGTTTGAAAGCATCGCTGATGCATGTTGCCTGCACCCAGGAAACTTAGCAACAAGTCCATTTTTATTTTATCTTAGGCCCAAGTGTTTCCCAGGATACAGCCAGAAGCCTAATCTGATCTCAGAAATGGCAAACAGATTGAAGCTCACATCTAGACTCTGATCTGCTGAGAGTAACTGCCTCAAGTGCTGCGCTGAGAAGGATTTAGAAGCTCAGGATGAAAGATAGAGATCCACCAGTGATGTCTGGCACTGGCTCGAGTGGGGAAGGGACATACCCTTGTCAAAGTATTGTCATCCTGGCCACATGCTTCCTGGCATTATTAACTAAGGGGCACAGCACAGGTTCCTTGTGAAATTGCTGTCAGTGGGCAAATGTTTAGAGCTCTCCTCTGCATAACAGGGGCATGTGGAAGGGCAGACACAGCAGCAGAACCTCCAGTCTTGCTCCCAGGGACTGTGGCCTCCTGGCAAAGCACCAATGGTTCCTGACCCGCTCCTTTTTACCTGGCTGGGTCATCTGGGTGAGAGATGTGTGTGTCTCCAGCTTAGAGAACAAAAGTGCCAAGGCCTCCGGAACAGGCTCATCAACATCAGCATCAAACATCAGCTAGAGGGGTCGGCCCACGTCGTGCACAGGCATACCCACGGGATACCAAAGCTTGGGGGTGCTGGGGGTGAGAGTTTATTCACTGAGCCATCAGCTCCGAGGGGACTGGTGCTTGTTCATCTTTGCATCCCCAGGACATAGCAGGTCCTCTATAAAATCAGAAAGGAAGAAAAGACAGAAGGAAGGAAAGGAGACAAGAAGGGGAAGAAAGATAAGGAAAAGGAAAAATAGGAGAGGAATAGGAGAAGGAGGGAAGGAAAGGGAGGAAGGCTGGTTTCAGGAATTGCCTTTTGTAGGCAGACCATGTTATCCAAAAATAGCTGCGACTCTGTCTCCCCTCCTGCCTACCTTCTCACAGTCACGGTGGGAGACTTTCATACTCTCCCAGAGGTGGGTCCATCTGTCTTGAGTCTGGGTGAGCTTATGGCTATGGCAGAACTGACCCTATGTGGCTTCTTTTGCTAAATCAGAAATAAAGCTTCTGCCTGGATCTCCTGAAATGCCGGCTTTTGCAACCCAGACACCATGCCATGAGGAAGTCAAAGTTGCCATTTGAGGTCCACATAGAGAGGAACGGAAGTCCCTGGCCCCAGCCCAGCCCTGGCTAAGCTTCCAGCCAGCAGCCACTATCAACACGCCAGCCAGGAGGGCGTGCCACCTGGAACTGGATCCTCCGCTCCCCGTCGAGCTATGCTGGCTGATGCCATGGGGAGAAGAGAAGAGCTACACCTGCAAACTCCTGTCCAAGCTGCAAATTTGTGAGTAGTAGAAATGACCGTTGTTGTTCTACAACACTAGATGACTGAAACACAATCAGCACCCATGCCATTTCCTTTTCAGAAAAGGCCACCACATGCTCATCTCTGGCTCCCTCCCATGACTCCTGGGTGGATGAACCTGGTCAGCTGCCCGGACCCTGGCTCTCACCTGATATCAGTGCCTGGGAGTTCCTCATAGGAAAGGAGCCGGTCATGCCGTAGATGCTGCTGCTGAAGACAGTGGAGGCACCGCTGAGGATCACCATGCAGACAATGGTGACCGCAAAAAAGCCACGGGTCCAGGAGGAAGTGTCCACCTTCACCAGTGCAGTTATCACCATGAAGATGGCCAGGATGACCGTCAGTGAGGCCAGGACACGGATGTGGACTGCAACCCTGGGGCGAGGATGCCAGAAGCAGTTAGACACCCCTTCGGGGCTCCTGTGTGGGCTGGGGCTGGTGAGCCACCTTAAGGGAAGCAGGCGAGCTTAGCAGTTAGGACTGTTCACTCTGCAGTCAAGAGGCCTGCACTCGAATCCTGCCTTCCCGGCTCCCTAGCTGTGTGGCCTTGGGTAAGGGACTCAGTTGCTCTGGTTTCAGCTTTTGAACTTGTACAATGGGGAGAGTTGATTCAACTCACAGGGGGGTGAGGCTGAAGAGGTGAGCAGTGTGGGGTGCAAGCGGCAGTGCCTGGCTCAGGGCCAGCGCTCAGTGGGTTCTGCTGCTTTTCACCTTGCTGTGAGGTTCAAGGACACGAGGACACCAGGATGTTCAAGGCAAACCCCTGCTCTTCCTGCCACAGGGCTGAGCTCCTGCTGGCTTTGTCTAGTGTTTAAACAGAGCAGCCACCCACTGAGCTTCCTTTCCCCAAAACTTAGCAGGAGGTTTGGGGGCAAAGGGAAGAAGGAAAGAAAATCATCGTCGTCATCTTCATCATCATCGTCGCCATAGCAAACACTCAAACAGTGTTTAATGCATACTTTTCTAGCACTCTTCTAGGCATTTTCTGTATGCCAGTGTGTTTGATTGTTACACCGGTTCTGTAAGACAGGTATTCGTACCTATCCCATGTATACAGATAAGGAAGCTGACATCAGAGAGGCTGAGGAACTAGCTCAAAGTCACTCAGCAATGAACCCAGGAGGCCTGGCTCTGGTCAGTTCTCAGAATGATGCTCTACTGCCTCCCCTGGAGTGAGGAAATATGGATGGCACAGAAGTGGTGGCCAGGGCAGGGGCATCCTCCTGTGATGGCCTCAGTCATCATGGGGAGCAGGTGATGCCAAGTTAGTGCTGCCTGGGGCCAAGGGAACCCCCACACTCCCCAGCACCATGCCTGCATATGAGCCATGTACTCTTCCCAGCCCCCATACTGGCCTGGGGAGAAAAGCAGGGAAGGATTCTATCTGAGAAGCTGCACATTTTTATTCTAGGAAGCAAGAACATCATCTCAAGGGGCTGCTTAAATCATCAGATTAGACTAAGCTTTAAACCGGATTGGATGTGTAGTTAATTTTCCTGCTAACCAGTGGGAGGGGGCTGGGAGAAAAGCCAGATTACATACTTTTTTTTAATTAAAAAAAGAAAAACTTGAAAGGTAGGAAAAATACACACACACACACACACACACACACACACACACACGTAGGTGTGAAATGATGAGCAAGAAAAGCAAGAAAGGAATTTTTTCAAAGTGCTTTTGTGGCCCCAGGCTAATTTGAGTTTCCCTCTGGTCCTCAGCTAAAGGGAGAGCAGGTGCTGTCACTGCTTTCTAAGGGGTATGAGGAAGCCCAAGAAATGAAGGGACAGTTCAAGGTTGTGGAGTGAGTCTGTAGGGAGCTGGGATGAGAACCCAGGTGTGCTGAGCCCCAGCCCATCACTCAGTCTGTTAACATGTGTACTCAATGGTGTGGTCATTCCGCAAATGTGCATTGAGCAACTACTGTGTGTCCAGTACTATGCTGGATGCCCAGGACACGGGACAGACCAGCAACAGATATGTCATCTCACTGTGGTAGGTGCTCCATCAGGAGGCCCCAGGGCATCACACAGCACATCTGAGGGGCACAAAACCCACCCTGGGCATCGTGGAAGGCCATTTGGAGGCAATGTCTATGCTGGATGGTAACGACGAATGGGAGGATATAAGTGCATGTGTCTTGGGAGAGAGAGTGAGGCATGTTCAGGGAGCTGCAAATGGACTCTGGCTGTAGTCAAGATGCGAGCAGAGGAGCACAGAGGTGATGCTGGGGAGAGGCGTGGACTCATGTCCTGGAGGAGGGCGGGGTGTGGGGCCTTTGTCTGCCAGCACAATGTTCCCTGGGAGAACATTCCTTCGCCTAGTCATCCTGGGGAGGTGGTCAGCCAGGTTGCCCACACCCACACCCACACAGCCACAAACAACAGGCATGTGACGCAGCCTGGGGCAGTCAGTGTTGCCTGCTCCTAGACCCTGGGGTTGAGTTAGGAATTAGCATGTGACCCACATAGGATCTTTAAGTCTTCCCTGGGACTGCTACATGGGAGCCGTGGAGAGAAGCTCACTGCCGAGACTGTGTCTGGGGCTGCTGGCTGCCATCTAGCCAGTTGCGTAGGGCGAGGCTAGACATGGAGGAAAAGCCATGCAGAGACACACGGAGCCCAGGGGTGGTGCAGAGGAGATCCCCTAGATCCAAAGATGCCTAAAGGTGGACCTGCCTTTAATTTTCACTTAAAGAGGACATCCTTTTATTGTGGGTACTCAAAGTACCCACTAACGCAAAGAGGTACATCAGGGTTTCAAGCTGGGAATGATATGGTCAGAAGCTACAGCAATGCTGCTGGTGTCCTGCCCATGTGCCCTCCCTTTTACAACTCCAGGAGTGGTGTTACTTACCTGGGAGTGACAGGTAAGGAACACCTCCTAAGAGCAGCCTTCAACCAATGACTAGGGAAGTTGGTACATAAATACCCCAGCTCCCTCCTGCTCAGCCATGCTCCACACTGGCTCTCCAAGATCCCCAGCAGGACTGTGTTCTTGTCCCTCCTGAAGGAGCTGACTTGATAAGGCATCCTCTGCTGACTGCCTTCCCTTTCCTGTCCCCATTCCATACTCTCCCACCTTCACCTCCCAGATAAACTACTCGCATTTGAATCCTTGTTTCAGGGCCTGCTTGTGGGGAACCTTGCATTAAGATGCCCATGAAGACCTCACACTGACACACATCTTCTCAAGGTCTGCAGGGGCTTTGGCCTGGACAGGAGCTGTTGGGCAGCCAGGTAGACACCTGGACCCTTGGCGGCCCGGAGCATCTATCGTAAGAGTACAGCAGGGGCCCTGGAGGCCAGCAGTCAAGACTTACCCCTGATGCTCGAGGTGGTCCTACACACTCAGCTCTGTCACACAGTGTCCCCACCCTCTCCTAGCAGCTGGAGCTGTCCCACCCACTCCCAAGATAAGGGCCAGCAGGGCATGGAGCCTGAGTCAGGAGACCGGAGCCCTGCCCAGCTCTGTCATCGGCTCTCCGTGTAACCCCTGACAAATATTCAACCTCTCTGGGCCTCAGTCCCTTCATCTCTAAAAAGAAGCAGCTAGACCCGATAATATTAAGGTCCCTAACAGCTAATGATTCTAAATCTGAAAAAATTCAAGTGGAGAGAGAGGTTGGGAACAAATGCCAAGAAGTTTGAACCAGTTCCTTGGGGCAAGAAGGAGGCAAAGGCCAGGCTGGAAAGATGAGGCGCGCTGCAAAGGCAGAGCCCTGCCTTGTTCTCCCCCAGCACAGGCACAGGGCCTGGCAGGCACTGGGTAAATATTTGCTGGATGTACAAATTGACAAGCAAGGGAGATCAGTAGCACCCGGGGGTGGGGAGGTTTCATGCTGGTCTGAACCTCCCAGCGGCTGTCTGCTTCTTGATCCCTGCTGCCTCAGCATGGCAGGAAGTCCAGCTGGAAGCATCCGCCAGCCTCGGGAATGGCCTCTGCCTCTAACTGCCTCCTCACAGACACGGCCAGGAAAAAGTCCAGCAGGAATGGTGCAGCATCATGGGAGCCCTCCTGTGTGCCTGTCGCTACAAGGTAATAAGTTCCTTGAACAGGAAGGTTGTTTTGCAGAGAGCTGGGGGACTGCTTACTCAGGTACCCCCAGGGCAGGAAAGTTGGGGAGGAATCAGAGAGGAGGAGGTCAATACCAAATGCATTCCAGAAACGATGCAGTGTGGAACGCTGCTCTGTCCCCTCCTCTGTCCCCCTACATGGCCCTTCACCCGCACAGGTCTCCTTCCCGCCTGCTAATTATCTGCTGCATAAACCACTCTTGCCCAGAGCCTCCATCCGTGGGCTCTAGGGCTATTTTCAACATTCATCAAGCTTCATGAAATGTGCCAGCTGCAAGCCTGGTCCACAGGCATGAACAGAGGACACTGGCTTCCCTCTCTGCTGCTTCCACCCAGGAAGGGAGAGTGGCCCAGGGGACAGTCGTGCTCTTAGGGTCTTAGGAAAGTCTAGACTTTCAGCTGCTGTAATGTCTGGGGTTCTACTTGGAGACAGGGCATGGCCAAGAGGACAGCTTCAAGACCAAGACCCTGGGGCAGGTCTCAGTCCTGTGAAGACTCTTGGAGAGGCTGCCTCCAGTACCCAGGTTGCCGGTCCCCCGACTCCCTGACTCGTGAGGGCTCAGGACCCCACTTATGATTTCTTCATAAGTCTCCAAGATGTAAATCCTCCTCATAAGTATTTATGATGCTGCAGATTTAACATAATAAAACACTTGGCGATTATGGATAAGCCAGTCGGGAAAGCCACGGTTCTCCAGGAGGGGAGAAAAGGAGACTTTTCAATCTCGCACATTAAATAAAAAACAGCTTAGCCCCAGACCATCTTCCCACAGCCTGGAAACAGATGGAGGCCTCAGAGGATGTTCCTGCATTGCCCTTGCCCCCTCTCCTAGAGCCTAGGAGGAGCAGGGGCAGGCCAGGGGTGGGCTAATTCCCTCTGAGAATGTCCTGTAACTGCTGAGCCATCTGCCGGGACCCAATCTCAGAGGGTAGCTGGCCTGGGGGCCCACATCTCACTGGAGACAGACCCAGCCCTTCTTAACCACCCCCTTCCATCGCAGCAGCCTGAATCCCGGAGAGACAGGGCTCTCACTAGAAGGATCTTGGGAGTGGTTCTGCCTGCAGGGGCAGGGGTGGGTGCAAAGCTGGGGAACTAGGATGTAGGTGGCTCAGGGGTTCCAAGCACAGATGTAGGGTGAGAAGGTCCCAGTTCAAATCCTGACTCCTCCCTTTCATTCTAGCCAAGGCTGGAGTGCAGTGACGTGACCATAGCTCACTGCAGACTTGAACTCCTCGGCTCAAGCGATCCTCCTGCCTCAGCCTACTGAGTAGCTGGGACTACATGCATGTGTCACCGTGCCAGGCTAATTTTTTAAAAATTTATTTTTGTAGAAACAGTATCTTGCTATAGTGCCCAGCGTTCTCTCAAACTCCTGGGCTCAAGCAATCCTCCTGACTTGGCCTCCCAAAGTGCTGAGATTACAGGTTTGAGCCACTGCACTCCGCCTGGCTCCATCCTTAATGGCCACCTTCCCTTGGGCCAGTCACCTCCATGAGCCTGTTTTCCCATCTCAAACCAGGGTCACAGCAGTTTCCAGCTCTTAGGCTGCCGTGAGGGTTAAAAGAGATAATGCATCTGCAGGATATAATGCTCAGAAGTGCTACTGTTAATTGGCTAGCATTCTCTCACAGCCCAGAGGCTGGACGTTCCCTGCCACTCCTGACCCATGGCCCAGGAGTACTTTCAGCCTGTGGGACCTCCAGACCACTGAAGAGGCAACAGGCAGACTCAGCTGTCCCATGGTGCCCCTGTGGTCTCCTGATTTCCACCTGGAAAATGAGGCAATGTCACAGCCTCCCTCCTGGGTTGCAGTGCAGCCTAAGGGACATGACAAGGGGTGATCGAGGCATTACACTCTTGCTATAGTTCAGATGGTGATTCTGGAACTGGAAGGGGCTGGGAGCTCTCTCTAGGCTATCTGGGCTGGACAAACAGCCCCACATCCTCTGGGCGGGCTGAGCGAGTAGACAGATAAAACCATAAGTGAGCCAAGGGCTCCCCCCACCACGGCTGTCTCCCCTCTTCCTCGCCTCCTGCTCCTGCCTGCACTGGCTCTCAACACACCCTCTCTCCTGCGAGGCGCAGCCGGGACCCCTGCTCTGCCCTCCTCTACTCTCCTCCTGGGGTGGCGGTCTCCGCAGGCTGTGCCCCCTCTGCTAGGACACTGACTATGGCCCTAGCTTCGAAGGCAGGAGTGAGGCCTGTGAAGGCCAGTTGGCTGGTGAGAGGGGCTGCAACGCCCCTCTCCTTCTCATTCTTCCAGACTGCACTTTGGTTTGGAGAAGGGTGCAAATTCCATTGGGAGGTGGGATCTATGTCCCCTTGAAATGAAGGGGGCTTTGTGACTGCCCAAACCAGTCAAGTGTGGCAAAAGTGACAGCACATGACTTCCAAGACCAGGTTGTAAAAACCACGCAGCCTCTCCCTTGTTCTCAGCCACTGGGTAAGCCATCCTATTACCCTGAGGCTGACATGTGACACTACAAAGAGAGAAGAGAGAGAGAGAGGGGATATGAATGGCTGCAGCTCCAGCTGCCATCTGACTGCAACTGCAGGAGAGAGTATGACAGCTGAACCTCGATAACCCCCAGAACATGAGAAGTACTCATGACTTGTATTGTTTTAAGCCACTATGCTTTGGGATCATATTATGTAACAGATAACTGCAATATCCCCATGACATAATATGTTTGGAAAGACTGATCTATTCAGGCTCAGCATGTAAAAGACACTCGTGGTGCCCTCTCTCCTCTTGCACCCAGAGCAGACATCACTAATCAATCCCAGCACCCTCCCTGAAGCCAGACCTGCCTTAGAATCTTGTCCAGCTAGAGATCTGGCAGTCACTACAAATTGATTAGAACTGGGCAAAACAGATTTGCTATCAGTGACCTCAGGTTTTAGTAGGCCATGGCGAACAGCAGCCCAGGTTTCTGGACCGACCATAACATAGCCATTGATATCATTTAGTGGCAGCTTAGGAGAAATGCAGGCAAAGTAGCTAGGGCTATTGTCTTTGTAAACTCAAATTGAGAATTTGAGCCAGCAAGTCACCCACGGGGGTCTATGGACATGCTAATTTGCCCAGCTAGCTCCTGAATAACTCCTTCCCAGGCATATCCAGATGGAGCCTCTCGTGGCCCTTACCATTACAATGTTGGAACTTCCCCCGTGAGCCCTCTTGGGAGTGGTTGACACAGGAGCTGGTGTTACCAGCTTAGCACTGAACAGTCAGGTGACCCATTCTGGGCCACAGACTTGCAGACTGACAGGATCCCTGAGAAGAGAAGGGAGGAAGACCCCTGCATCCCCACACACTTCCCACTGGCTGCTGCCACAATGTCACAGCGATGTCACAGTATGTGGCTGGAGAGTGACAGCCCAGCTCCCTGGGGGCATCACCAGGGATCTGATCTGACTTCTCACTCTTCATGCATAAATCTGAGCTGCTGCATCCTACTTTGGTGACCACCACTTAAGTAGGCAGAAAAAAAGCAGCTGCAGGCAAGAGGGGAGTAGAGGAGGCAGGAGACCAAGGCAGAGGCCTGAGAGAGGGAAGAGAGTCGCCTACCTGTTGACAAGCAGGAAGTTGGCCACCAGGCACAGCATGGAGGGCACGGTGGAGGCAACGGCAAGGTAGCTCTCAAAGTAGTTCTGCAAGCACACAAGTGAGGAGGTGCTGCGGTCACTCAGGGATGGAGGTGAGCAGTTCCACGCGAGCAGAGACAGGGCCCCTCTCTGTGGGGCTTCTCCCCACTGTCTTCAGACACCCAGGAGCCGTGGGTGAGCCCACCTCCAAACAAGGCCCCACCCCATCTCCAGCCTAAGACCGCTCACTCAGCCACTCAACAAATAGCTGCCAATGTCAGCTGTACTAAGTGCTAGAGGCATAGGAAGGATAAGTCGTTCCTGTCCCCAGTGAGGCCCTTGGTGCTGTGCAGCCCACACTTCTGCCCATGGACTGAGGCCATGGGGACAGAACTCAGTGTTATGTCTGAAAAGAAAAGTTTGACCTATCAGCCTTCTTGGCCTATCACCAAAATGCAAGACTATCCACGTTTTTGTTTTTAAGTTTTTAGTAGAGACGAGGTCTTGCTATGTTGCCCAGGCTGGTCTCAAACTCCTGAGCTCAAGTGATCCTCTCGCCTTGGCCCCGCAAAGTGCTGGTATTACAGGCATGAGGCACCGCTCGCTTGGGTTTTCTTGTGACCCAACCACATTCTCGCTTTCTTGCCACAAAGTGACCTCTTAGATATACAAGAGGCCCTGCTCCCTACAGGGAAACTCTGTTCTCACTCTGGATTTTCTCTCTTGATAGAGCAGCTACAGAAGGTCAAAGCCATTTGGGGAAGTAGCTCCTAGATTGCACAGAATGAGGAAAAAGGGCATTTTCTGGCAGCAGCTCAGGGGTGTGACAAAGAACTGTGCAAACACAGACAGATGAATTGCCTGATTATGATGTGCTGGAACTCACAGCTAAAGCAGCTGTGTGGCAGCTGTATGTGTCTGTGAAAACTCAAAGAATGTCCAGTCATTAGGATGGACTGTACTATGTGTGCATTATCTCTTAATATACCTATCTTTAAAAACAAAACAAGGCTGGGCATGGTGACTCATACTTGTAATCCCAGCATTTTGGGAGGCCAAGGTGGGAGGATGGCTTGAACCCAGGAGACCACCCTGGGCAAATAGTGAGACTCTGTCTCTACAAAAAATAAAAAAATTAGTCGGGCATGGTGGTATGCACCTGTAAGTCCCAGCTACTCAGAAGGCTGAGGCAGGGGGATTGCTGGAGCAAGGAGTTCGAGGCTGCAGTGAGTAAACCACTGCACTTTAGCCTGGGCAACAGAGTGAGACCCCATCTCTAAAAAATAACAGAAAGAAAGATGTCATGGGCCCCTTTGAGTCTGAAGCACAAGCCTTCCATAGTTCCCTTTGAAGCCTGCAGAGTGCTTTGTGGTCTTTGAAATCTGTACCCTGAATATAAGGCTGTGGTGGCCTTGCAATTAAAATGATAATCGCAGCTAGTGAGGTCCGTCAACCATGAGCCTGAGAAATAGCCTTTGAGCTGCACCTCATTGTTCCTGCCCTGATGGGCTCAGTAGAGCCTGGACTGGTCGGGGGCACTCAGTCAATTACATCTTGACACAGTGGCTGGGCCTCTGAGGCTGGGAGGACACTGAGTAGAATGAAGGAGAGAGGCCCTTAGGAGGAGAGGGCTGCAGATGGGGCTGCGTCTGCCCCCAGCCCAAGCCCCGGTGAGGCCCCTTCATCCAGTGGCTGCTCGATCTGTGTAATGCAGAATCTCTGATGATTTTGTTTCTTCGAGCAGGCTCAGGTTCCCTGAATGAGAATTTTTCAGGTAACTGAATGTGCCTGTTTGTTGATATTGAAGCAGTAAAAGGTATCATTTAATGTTGAAAAGCTTTTTGGATATTGACCACTGGATAAGACTCTGAGTCTCTTTCTGTTGTCTGGGCCCATTTCTCTGCCTTACAAAGAACTCAGAGAACAGACTTGAGGCCAGGCCATCATTCCATGAGCACAGATCAGGAGATGGAGATGCACATGGTGACAGGAGTTGACTCAGCACATCCCACAGAATTTATAAAAACAAACCACTTAATTCCTGATAGAAACACATGGTGGGTTGTATTCAATTATTTGCTGCTTTTGCCTATAGGAAAAGTTCTAAAATGAGGTGTGGTGGCAGACTCTAAGGTGGCCCGTGATCCGTGCCTCCTGATGCTCACACCTGTGCGATGCCCTCCCCTGAGTGTGGATGAGACCTGTGGCTGCTTCCAACCGAGAGAGTAGAGCAAACATGAGGTGTTACATAGGACTGTAGCACCCACATTGCTGGACTCTTTTCCTCCCTTGCCAGATTTGGGGAGGCAAGTGGCCATGTTGGGGAACCCTACCTGGCATGGAACCCCAAGTTGCTGAGGGCGGTCTCCAGCCCTCTCCCCACAAGAAACTGAAGCTCTCAGGCCTACAACCACTAGGAACTGAATTCTGCCAACAACTGGAGTGGGCTTGGAAGTGACCTTTCTCCAGCTAAGCCTCAGAGGAGACTGTAGCTCTGGCTGACTGATTGCAGCCTTGTGCAAATTCAGGCAGGAGACCCAGCTAAGCTGTGCCTGGACTTCTGGCCCACAGAAACCCTGTAATTATAAATCCAGGTTGTTTTAAGCCACTCATTTGTAGTATTTTGCTAGGCAGAGATAGATTCCTAATTCATGAGGGTTTCCGATAGCTGGGTTCCTACTAATCAGGGTTTTCCTGAATATTTCAGCCTTCCTGTTTCAATTTAAATTCAGTTCCTTGAAGAAAACCAGGACAGTTGATCATGTTCCTTTCTTTGACCCCCCAAGAGACAGGAGGAGCAGTGTGCTCACCCATGAGGGGCACAGAGGGTTAGCACACCAGTCCCTGCAGCCCTTCCCCACCAAACCCTCTGCTGAAATTAGGGTTTTTGCAGGTGGCATGTGCTGATTTCAAGAAACGGACTTAGTGGATGTTGCTCCAGACGGACTTACCCTGCCTGCCCCTCAGGTAACTCACCTTGGTCCCCTGTCCACAGCCATTGGTCCCATGGTCATAAAATCACTGCCACTGCTGCCACCACTGCCACCAAAGGAGGAGCTGACCCCCACAGAGAGACCCCACGCCCTGCTAGGCTGCACCAGTGGCTGTGAGAGGGGTGGGGGACGCTCCCCTGAGGATGGGGGAGTCAAGCCCCGTGAGACCCACTTTAACCAATGAGAGGCAGGAGCTGGAAGGAGCCCACAGATCGTTCGCCCGCCTCTCCTCTCCCCAGACTGGCTGCTCTGAACGTGGTGGCTCCACAAGACTTTTCCAAGGTGTTCCGTGTGTGCTGCTGCAAAGCTGTGGCCGCTCCAAAATACCATCGCCCATTGTGTTTGCTCTCTGTGTCCCAGCCCTACTTCCCTTTCCCTCCCTCTTACTTCCCTGGACCGCACTCCCTGATGGAGTATTCCCACCAGCACTGCCTTCCTAAGAAACCAGCGGCGAAGGTCTACGTTCCACTCTTGATTATTTACTTTGTAGCCAGGCAGCTGGCATGTCCCTCCTGGGTTCATCTCATTTGCTTCCAAGAGGTGTTGGGGCTATCTTCTCCCATTTTACTTACGGAAATGTGAAAACATTTGAATACAGCTCCAAACTCACTGTGACTAGGATGGTAACAAGACTGCCCCCAAAGCAATCCATCCATCTAATGAATGGGGGATTTTATGTACAGCAGTGTTTGGGGATCGTTCACAGAGTTCACCTCCACTGGGGCCTGATTCCTGAGAGCTCCCTCAAAAGTCTGTTTTGATTTGTTCTACCCCTACAACCAACTCCACTTCTAGAGATGAGCACATGGACCCAAAGGCCAGCTCCAGCCATAGAGGAGTTGGGGGATGAGAAGATCGTCAGGGAGCTGGCAGTGGGGCCACTGTGTATGATGGTGGAGGTTGAACTTTGCACAACTCCAGGGGCACCAGACCTGTAGGCTTGTGATAGGAATGGCGCCACTCAGAATTATGCCACAGCAGCTCTGTTTACATAGCTGACTAAAAGCCTGGAGGCCTGGGGGTCAATGTGGGCCTTATAGAACCAGAGGTGAAAGGCTGGGTATGACTCAGCAAGAAGGCAGGGCTGGAACGCAGGTGGATGCAGGGCAAAGACATTAGGAGGTGACAGGCCTCCCAAGCAAGTTTCTCTGCCCCAGCAGGAGGGCCCTGGGCAGGAGACCCTTAGGCTGGTTAGTAATCTCATGGTGCTCAGCCCTGGCTGGGCAGCCACTTCTGTGCAGGTCAGCACCTCTTCCTGTTTTGACCTGTCCCTTTGTTTGCTGAAGAGGTGTCAAGCCCGTGTGCCAGTGCTGTGCTGGTGGCTGGGTGGATACAACGGAGGAGCTGTGGCACCTGCGTGCCCTCGGGGAGGTGGACGCAAGCCTGGAGCTGGAGTACAACAGATACAAAGTGTTGGGGGGCATGGAAGGAGGGGCTCTGGGGGGTTTCCACCAGGGCCATCTTGGACGGCAGCTGGAAAGATTGGGGGAAGCATGTCAGACAGATATGGCAGGTATGGGTGCCAGTGGGGAGAGAAACATTCCCAACAGGACAGAACGGCTGGCACAAAAGCATGAAGGGATGCTTCCCCACCAGTGAGGATGCCAGCGCAGCTCATCTGTTGAAAGCAACCTGAGGCTTCCTTAGCACCAACAGCCCCTCCTGAGCTGAAGCAAACCACACTGTGTTGTCCATCCCATCCACAGGAGGGCTGGCAGAACCTCAAGCAGCCAAGGCACTCAACCCCCAGAGCGCTAATGGCAGAGAGGCCCATCAGTCACCTCTGAATTCTCAAACCCACGTGGGAGAGGCCCAGCTCTGAGGAACAGAGGGATAGCTGTGCTCCCTGAATGTGAGATCTGATCTCCCTGCGCACCACTATCTCCCTAGCGTTATCTGCACCCTGCAATGACCTGGAGCTCAGGCAGGGTGTGGGACTCAACATCCAGTCTCTAAGTAATCGCATCAAAGTCAGTTAACCCAGGTGGGGAAGTGGGAGCTCTGCAGAATGCCAGGGAACTCTGACATGCAAGCAGCACAGCTTCCAGAGGGCCTGCACACACCCCAGCCCATGTGCTCTTACCACAGCCAGTGAGGGCGAGGCAGGGCTGGAATCGCTCTCATTTTACAGATAAGCAGCCTGAGGCTCACAGAGGTAGAGGAATTTCCCAGAGGTACACAGAGGTCCACATTGGGAGTGCTGGTGGCAGCATCTTTTGCTGCAGAGCAGGGCAGAGACCGGGTGGAGACATATTTATCATCCCCCTACAAATGTATAAGCTGCTCTAGCTGAGGTTGTCTGTCTCCTGGAGGCACAAGCCCAAACACTATCACTGGGGTCGCGGTGCATCACCAGGAAGCCTCAGATGCTGGGCCTGGCAGCCACATGCCTTCCAGCAGCAAGCAGGAATGTGAGACACGTTCCTCTCAGGGAGGGCAGTGTCTTTCTTCTACCTGGCCCTAAGGTGCAGGTGACCTGCCCAAGCCAGCAAATGACAGAGTTTGATTTTTTTTTCTTTTTTTTCGAGACAGAGTCTCGCTCTGTCGCTCAGGCTGGAGTGCAGTGGCATGATCCTGGCTGACTGCAACCTCCGCCTCCTGGGTTCAAGCAATTCTCCCACCTCAGCCTCCCGAGTAGCTGGGATTACAGGCGTACAATACCACACGCAGCTAATTTTGTATTTTTAGTAGAGACAGTGTTTCACCATGTTAGCCAGGATGGTCTTGAGCTCCCGACCTCAGGTGATCCACCTGCTTTGACCTCCCAAAGTGTTGGGATTACAGGTGCTGAGCCATGGTGCCCGGCCAGGGTTTGATTTCTTTCTCCTCTTTCTGCAGTGGTAGACAAGAGTAAAGGAATACATTAGCTAATCTTTTCTCTCAAATCCCACCGCCCATTCCCCTCAGCATTTCCAGAGGCCTATGGGTCTTCGTAGTTTTAAAAAGAAAAGAAAAGAAAAAGATTAAGAGAAAAGCCCCCACCTCTGTCAGTTACCCAAAATTGACGGACATGGTTGGCAGCTAAGCAAAGACCATGTTAAAGAGTGTCTGTGGGTGGGCAGCATGGGGCAGGCTTCCAAGCTCTCGCCTTACTCTGCAACCCCTGCAAAGAGCCCCAGAGTGGGCATGGGGGCCTCACCCAGACTGGCCCAGGGTGGGCATGGGGGTTCCTCACCCAGACTGTGGACAGGCCCTGGCCCAGGGGTGCCAGGCGCCAGGGTACCCCCATATGGTGGGTGAATGTGGATGAGCCACTGCTGGCCTGGGCAGGGGGGCACTTGAGTTGCTCGCTATGGTGAGAAGGAAACTCATTTCCATTTGCTACACTGACCCAGTTTGCGAACACCAGGAAAGGGGAGAGATGCTCTTCAAACACAATTTAAAAGCCCACCAGAGCCAGCTGGCCAGATGTGAGGCCCATTTTATGACGGGCCACATTTCCTCTCCTCCGCCACACTGAGAGGCTCCGTGCTAAGGGTCTCTTCTGGAAGAATTCAATTCCAGGCTCAGAGTCCAGGTAAAGAGGTTTCTTCGGGCAGGGAGGCCCCGAAATGAGCCCGTTTATCTCTGGCAGACCCTGGTTAAGCTTTCTCTTCCCTGAATGCCATTTGGGCACTTTGAAATAAGTGCAGCAAATTAGTCACGAGCTGCGGCAGACTCAGTGTCCGTGCTGCTGAGTGGCTTCTGCGAGGCAGCTTTGTGCAGCCCCCACCTCCAGGAAGCAGCAGCAGAGGCAGCTGGGCTCCTACCGGGCGGGCGAGGAAAAGCGATTCAAGCCTGGGGGTGGCAGCTCAAGGCAGCAGAGCGTTACCTGGATCACAGGGGCATGAAATTAGCAGCAGCGAGCAGGTTGGAGCCAAGAATAGTTTGCCATTGCAAACTTGCCGCTTTCGGATAGCTGAGTTCTGCGGCCTGGGATATTGCAGGGGAGGTGCCCTTGCCCTGGGCATCAGCCCAGATCATTCCTGAGCAAAATGAGGTGAGCAGAGGGCAGATGTCCCCATAAGGGGTGGGGCTGGTAACCTTTCTGCAAGTTCCAAGGCCCTGTGTTTGGAGCACTGGCTCAGGAAAGATAATGGGTGTGTGGCCAAGGGCAGGGACCAGCTGGGAGGGCTGGCTGGGCAGGGAAGGGGGGCAATGCCTGTTCCAGGGGCCAGGCAGGAGGCTAGATGCAGCCAGGCTGAAGGGGAGGCCAGAGGCCCAAGGGAAGGACAAATCTGGGGTCAGAATCAGACAGGTAAGCTCTGGAAAATGCTGGCCAGACAGACGAAGCCACTGTGGCCACCCTAAGGAAGAGGGTCCCCATCTGACCCTTGCATGCAACCGTCCCTCCTTTGGCCTCTCATGACAGCTCCAGGCCTGGGCTCACTGTAAATCTTGCTCTCTGAGCACCCCGGGGCTCTCCCCAGCCTTCAATCCTTTCTCACACCTCCTCAGGAATCCCTGCTGGACGATGAGCAAAGTTCCTGTCTTCTGGAATGAGCTTCCCCGCCTTCCTCCTTGCAGTGTGTGCAAGGCTTTCTGGAGCACACCTCCTTTCCACTCCGCAAAAAGGGCTCTTCCTCCAGCCTAAGCTGACTTCCTGGAGACTCACACCATGAATCCCACCTTTCTTGCCTGCATTTTCTCTTTCCCTCACTGCTGCTTGTTCCTTTCTCTGCTGGCCAAGAGACTCTCTTAGGTCTCCCTTTGGGTAAAGAAAAAAAAACTACTTTAACTTTGCTGCCTCCAGGAACCAGGCCCCTCCTCCCCTTCACTCCACACTCCTTGAAAATGTAGTCCATGTTGCCACTGCCAAAGCCGTGTCCCTCCCGGCTGCCCTGGGGAAACATTTCCTCTAAGGGTCCTCAGCGTCCTCCTCGCAGCCCACCTGTAACCAAGGCCTGGTCTTGTTCCTCACAATCCAGACACTGCATGCTACCCCGTCTAGAGGGGGCTGAATTCATGCCCCCAAAATTCATGTCTACCCAGAACCTCAGGATGTGACTTATCTGGACATAGGGTCTTTGCAGACATGCTTAGTTAAGAGGAGATCCTACTGGAGGAGGAATGACCCCTCAATCCACAGTATACGGGAAAAGAGGGAAGGACACACAGACACACAGGCAGAGGCTGCGTGAAGACAGAGCCACAGACTGCAGTGATGCTGCCATGAGCCAAAAAATGCCAAAGCAGCAGCAAGGAAATGTTATTCCCTAGAGCCTTGCTTTTCAGCTACCCAGTTTGTGGTACTTGGTGAAGGCAGCCACAAGAAACTAATGCAATGTCCTTCCAGCACTCCTCTCCTCCAGATTCACAAGGACACACCCGCCCCCACCTCCACACTTCCTCATCATCTCTGTCCACCTCTGGCTCCCTCCACCATCCCAAGGTGCCCCCTGAGCTCCATCCTTCGTTTCCTGCCCTCCTTTTGTAAGGGTGGGGGTGGTGGTAGGAGAAGCTCACCTCCCCTGGCTTCATGACCTCTACCCATACATCCGTCTCTTCATCCAGAACAACCGCTTGGGGGTCCTGCTGAGCCCAAACCCCAAGCTCCTCAAATCAAAGGCCTTCAAGAGAAGACTCCCAAGCAGCCCCTCTGAAGGCCCCATGGTCATCCTCCTTTTCTCAGCCCCTCTTCAAAGCTTCCTTGGTTTCTCCTTCACCCTCACCCCAGTCAATCACATCTACTGGCCCCGTCTCCACATCACCTGACTATGGCTCACGTGTCCACCCAGTCTCCCCTCGGGTTCTAGCCTCTCCCCCAGGCATCCCCTCCACGCCTTTGCTCAAGTTCCTCCCTGGGCCTGGCCACCCTCAGCCTCTGCGCCTTATAAATCAGCCTCCCTGTGACTGCCACGCCCCTCCTCCTTGCAGCCTCGCTTCCAGGCCCCTCCTGCACCTTGCTGCATTGTCCCCTCGCTTGGCTCCTTTGCCGGAAACCTTGGGGGCTCCACTTGGAGAAATGATGGGGCGCGTGGAGGCAAGGGTGGCTGAGGGCCGATTCGCGGGTGGTCTCAGGCAGCTGCCTAAAGAGGGGTTTTGTTTTGGAAGGTACTGGGGAGCTCTGGGGGCTTCTCAACGCCAAACAGTATGGGGGGCAGTGCTGGGTGTAGAAGGAATCACCTGGCAGAAATGGGTGGAGGGAGCAGATGGGAAGAAGCAGGTAGCAGTGGTTAATTTATTCATTCATCTATTCACTCACTAAAGGTGAAAGGCAGTTGACCTTCTAGAGCTCATTCACTCATTCAACAAATGATGGCCAAGCAGCTTGTATGTGCTCAATGTGTTCTAGGGGCTGGGAATGCCAGTGTTCTAGGGAGGGAGGCACAAAAAAAAAAAAAAAGAAAAAAAAAGAGTCAACAGCAAGTGGGGGGAAAAAAGACTGCAAATTAGGATAAATGCAATAAAACTAAAATACAAATAATTGGCTAACCTAGAGCCTGGACAGAGGGAACAGCGTACGGTTGGCCCTGAGTCGGGAATGAGCTTGATGTGCTCAAGCCTCCACAGGGGTGAGCTGGAGTATGAATGGGGATGGGGGGAGGCTGGGGCCCAGGCAGGTCCGGGTGTGCAGGCTGTGGTGGAGGTGCACTGCGGGATCACGGTGCACAATCCAGCGATGGCGGTTCTTCCTCCTGTCCCTGTCTCCTCTCCACAAATACTCAGAGATGGATTCATCCTTCTGCAAATATTTACTGAGCTCGCTAGATGTTGTAGACATGGGAGATTCAGCTCAAGTTCCTGCCTTTATGGAACTGCCCATCTAGTCAAAGAGATGGCTAGCAAATGCATAAACAAATAGATAATAGGCCAGGCAGTGGTCAGTGATATGAAGACAAATTCAGCAGGGTAGGTACCACTATAATAGATCACAGAACTGGGAAAGAGCTGTAAGTGAGTGTTCCCAGTCCAGAGGTTAGCAGCGGGTTACCCCCGGGCCAAATCTGCCCTCTTCCTTTGTGTGAACACTGGAACGCGGTCGGCCTTCGGTCAGCCCATTTGTTTACATGTTGTCAAGGGCAGCTTTCACTCTGCAAGGGCAGGGCTGAGTAGCAAACAGAGACTGTGGGGCCCACAAAGCCTAAAATACGAACCATCTGGCCCTTTGCGGGAAAAGTTTCTGGGTCCCAATCTACGGTCTCATATCTTCATTCCTCAAAGGAGGACATGGTCTCAAGTCACCCAGCAAGTTTGAAACACAGTCAGAAACAGAAGCCAGCTCTCCTGAATCCAGAGTCTTTCTGCCAGGCAGGGTGAGCAAGGAAGATGGAAACCTCATTTCTACCTACCTTTATACCCTGCCTCGGCCAAGCCTTCGCAAGGTCCCCTAGCAAGGGGCAAGCTGACTGCTCTGATTCTTATCCCCTTTATTCCCCTCATGTACTCTCAGGCTGTAACCAGAATAGGCAGAGTAAGGGCTCAGAAACCAAGGGGTCAGAGAAACAGGGAACCTCACGGATCCATGCACGAGTGACCCCAAGCTCCCTGAGGATGAGCTGATCAGAGGCTCAGCCACTGCTGATGCTCGGGCCAGCCAGTCTTTCCTCTTCTGCAGCCTGACTTCTGCCATGTGATAGGGAAAAGAGGAAGAAGGCCTTTCAAGAAAACACCCCACCTACTCTTGCCTGACCGGGCAGGCTTCTGCATCCCCCAGAGGGTCCCGTGCATCAGTGTCACAAGGCTGATGACCAGGGACAAGGGCCATGCCCTGTGGCCTGGTGGTAATGAGGAGGTGGTCTGGGGGTGCTCCAGCCTCTCTCTGTAGTAGAAAACCTTAGGGACCATCAGGAAGAGGGAGTCCTTAGCCAACCCCTGGCAGGCACTTCCTCAACAACAGACTGCTCCCGCCTTGGGAAGGCTGTTTCTCTTTGGAGGTGCATGTGGGCAGAAACCACAGGCTGCTCTAGGCCTCAGGTGCCTGCATGCAGACAGGCACAGACGTGCACAGAAACACAGGCACATAGGGAGAAACAGCAGCTGTCCTCTGCCTCCACTAGAGTACTCATTAACCCATTAAACAGGCAAAGGCTGTTACACAGTCCTCCCAGGCAGTGAGGACCGGCAAGAGGCCAGCAAGGAGGTCCCAGGCACCCAGTGCTGCAGACCCTTCCCAGGCTGCCTGCCTGTGTCAAAAGCGCTGGGCTCCTTGGTGGAGACTCTAATTTAGGTTCCGCTCTCTGGACACTTGTGATATCAATCATGTTAAAGAGACACTGGAGCACTTAAGGTCCAGGCCATCTTCTAATTTGTCCAGGAAATCGCCTCTGGATTTTAAGGATATATGCAGGAAGAAATAAAATCGAAGGCAGAGAGGGAGCAGTCAATAGCCTGGAGGGCAAGGGAGCGCAGCGCGGGTGGGGAAGAAGGGTCGTGAGCACTTAGGGAGAAAATAAGAAGAGAACTAGAGAAGCTGAGGCCACCAAAGGCATGACTGACAGCGTTTCAAACTAGGCTTTTTTCCCCTCTGCAGGATGCAGCAAGAGCTAAAAACAGAAGAAAAAGCCATCACAGGTGTATTATTTATTGGGAATGGCACGCTGGCTGGGCCCGCAGTTAGAATCAGAGGGTGGACAAGGGGATTTTAAAAAATGACTCACTTTTGGTTCTAATTTTTAAAAATGGTGTAGAGCAGTCATCCACGCCAGCCAAAGCAACTGGCAGCCACTCATGCACACCCAGTGGCAGAAAGCCTGAAGCCCATGCTGCCTGACCTCAGACTCCCCATCTCTTTTCCTAGGATGACAAAGCTCAGGCAAAATCCCACTTTAATACACTTCTTTCTATGCGGGGAGGAGGGGTGTTGTGCCCTTCTCCACTCTTGGGAATTCTGCTCTTAAACATTGGATTGCTGGTAGGGTGCAGTGGTTCACGCCTGTAATCCCAGCACTTTGAGAGGCCAAGGTGGGCGGATCACTTGAGGTCAGGAGTTCAAGACCAACCTGGCCAACATGGTGAAACCCCATCTCTACCAAAAATACAAAAATTAGCCAGGTGTGGTGGCGGGCGCCTGTAATCCCAGCTACTCAGGAGGCTGAGGCAGCAGAATCACTTGAACCCGGGAGGCAGAGTGAACCCAGGAGCCAAGATCGCACTACTGCACTCCAACCTCGGCGATACAATAAGAATGTGTCTCAAAAAAAAAAAAAAGAAAAAAAAGAAAAAGAAAAGAGAAGAAAAAAGAAAAAAAGAATAAAAGAGGATTGCAAAGGGAGTCTAAACATTGTTTCCATTTGGAGAGAGATCTGAGTAGCACTAAAACGGTTCTGCAGGAACACCACCTGGCACAAAGGAGAGACTCCTAGATACCTGCTCCCCTGGCCAGCTGGCAACAGGACCACCTGGCAACAGTGCCCAGGCCTCACCCAGGGAGATAAAGCCATCAGGGAAGGGTCTAGGAATCCGGGTATTTGGCAAGTGTCCCAGGAAATCTGATACTGATTCAGGTACCCTGGGCTGCCACCCCCCTTCTTATTAGCTATGTGGCACCAACGAGTTACTTACTGTCTCTACTTTCCTCCTCTGTGGAATGAGGACATGACGCATCCTCATAGATGGCTACAAAGTTAGGGGAAACAGGCAGAGCAGGGTTTTTCAAACTACAGGTTGCACAGCTCATTAAAGAATATGAAATTCATTTGATGGGTCACGACCAGAATTTTATTTTATTCTATTTAATCCTTTGTTGCCTTCTTTCTTACTAAAGGTGAGTGAGCTGTCTGCATCTTTTTCTGGAACCCTTCTCTGTGCACCTGAGCCCTCTGGCCTGCTCATGGACCTCGCTGAGCTATGCTCCCTCTTCTTCATCATGCGTTTTTCCTTCTCTGCTGGATCATTTGCTTCCACACACAAACTGCCTGCTATGTCTCTCGTATTAAAAATAAAAGAACAGAAAATTCTCCCCCTTCTGAATCACAGTTCCCTGCAGCTTGTGCCTCATTGTCCTGCTCCCATTTAAAGCAAAATTCCTTGAGTTTGCTGTCTCCTCTGTCTCTCCCCCCATCCTCCACGATGCTGCTCCCCAAGGTCACCATGAACCTGCACAAGGTCAAACTCAAGGACAAACTTTCCATCCTCATCCTGCATGGCTTACAACCAGCACTGCCACTGTTGCATCACTTGCTCCTCCTTGAAACTGCAGTCAGAGTGGAGTTTTCTTTTTTTAAGTACAGACGCAGCTTCATGAAACTGTTGTTTGCATTATAGACACAAATATCTTGCCAGGTGAGACAGCCATCATGCTCCAAAAAATTTCGAAAATGCTGATATAAAGCACTGGGGTTAAGATCACGGATACCTGGGTTGACAGGGCCCAGGTCTGAGTCCCAGTCATCACTTACTTTGTACCTGGGAGCAAATGACTTAAACTTTTCAACCTTGGTTTCCTTCTCTGTATAATGGGTATAATAAACCTATGTCTTTGGGCTGTAAAAAAAAAACAAACAAAAGATCATGAAAAAAAAAGCTTCTAGTACACAGTAGATTGCTTAATAAATATTGCTGAGTTAATGAATGAATCTGTGCCCTTAGCAGTGCCTGGCACATGGTAAGAGCTTAGTAAAGGCAGCGAATGTTGGGATTTAGTGAAGTCCTCATGCAGGAGCCACCATCTATAAGGCACACCATAACTGTCAGGACTTTCCACCCTACCTGTGTCTGCAGCGTTATGTAAATGCTGCCAGGTGGGTCTGTGGGCAAAAGGCCCAAGGGCGACAGAGCATGCCTCCAACCCACACAGTGGGTAAGGGCACTGCTAGACTAGAGTCCCTCTGTTGCCAAATCTGGGTTCCTCCCAGCTACCTTGTGGTCCTATGAGACAGGACCAATCCACCTTTCACCTAGCTGTGGAGCCTTTACCAAATAGATATCCTGTGACTTTTAAACCTCTGGGAACAGGGAGCCTCCACTCCCTGACACAGCACAGAGAGGTTACCCAGCTGGGTCAGGGCCTCAGGACTGCCTCTCTTCTGCTCTCCCAGTTTCACTTGCTCTTGCTTTGTGCCACCCCAGGTGTAGGATGCCCATGTTGAGCCCAGTTGGCCCTATCACTCCTTTTCCAGGAGCCTGGGAAATTGGAAGGAAGAGGAGGGTGGCTGTGGAGCCCCCATCTCCTAACTATATCCCTTGGCCCCCTGGCCCAGCAAAGGGGAGCATTACCAAGAGAAAGGGCAAAGGCTCTTCCAGGGGCCACCACTGGCTGGCGTGGAACTGTGGGCTTGCGGGTGGAGCTCAAGCCCAGAGCATTTCCGTTAGACAAGCACCGAACCCTCCAACCACCTACATTTGTAGGGAGTCCCATGAGGAACCCCACACTCGAGGTAGACTAGGCCAACTCCTTAGACTTCCCACAGGATGTGGCCCTAATTCTCCAAGGGGGAAACTGTCCCCTTCACTGCCAGGTTTGACAACTCGACTTGCATGGCAGGAAGTTCTCCCAGAAGGCTCACCTAAGTCTCTCATGATGTAGCCTTTGCCTGTTTAATGGGTTAATGGGTACTCTAGTGGAGGCAGAGGACAGCTGCTTTTTCTCCCTATGTGGTAACATTTTACTTGAATCATAGTCCTTTTTGTTTTGAGACTGGTGTTTCACTATGTTGCCAAGTCTGAACTCGAACTCCTGGGCTCAAGCTCACTGTTCTGTTCTCCCACCTCAGCCTCCTGAGTAGCTGGAACTACAGGCACACGCGACCACACCTGGCTTGGATCACGGTTCTTATCTGGCTACACATTAGCCTTATCTAGAGAACTTAAAATGCTTGTGCCCAGGCCCCTCAGAATGAATTAGAATTGGGTGAGTGGAACACGTGGGATGTGGGGTATTTTCTTTTCTTTTTTTTTTTTTTTTGAGACAGAGTCTTGCTCTGTTGCCCAGGCTGGAGTGCAGTGCCACGATCATGGCTCACTGCAGCCTCTGCCTCCCAGGTTCCAACGAATCTCCTGCCTCAGCCTCCTGGGTAGCTGGGATTACAGGCACACGCAGGTGGGGTATTTTCTAAAAGCTTCCCAGGTGATCCCGATGTGCAGCCAGGGCTGAGCGTGCCAAGGTAGACAGATAGCTTGGAGAACACGCTGGTTATAAGCATGGGCTCTGCAGTTCTATCACTTGCTAGCAAATAACCTTGGGTCAGTGGCCTAAAATCTGTGAGCCTTGGTTTCATTTGGCAACTGGAATGGCAGCACCTAGCTCACCAGGATGTCATGTGGAAAAAGAAGATGGCAGGTCAAGCGGGAGGTGGGTACAGGCTGCATGGCAGGGACTTGGTAACCTCTGATAACCTGTCCTCCAGTATCCTCTTCTCCACACAAGCTCATCCTGCTTCCTTTGAACACTTCCTCCTTGGATTGGGAGGTCAGCCCTTCAAGGGCAGATCCCAAGTATGCTATCTTGCTTCTTTGCAGGGCTGAGAGACTGGACCAGAACTAAGGAACTGGAAATAAGGGGAGGGGATGCCCTAGGTCCCCCACTTGCTGAACCAGGACAACCTGGCTACCTTCCCTATGGCAGGAACCCCACTTCATGTCTATGCCAACACACCTGAAAGATCAAAACTCCTTTACTGGTAGCCACTGTGACTCCCAGATCTTCTTCTGCTCCCTTGCAGAGCCATGGCATCACTATCATGGATTGGGTTGTGGAGCTTTCCTTCTCAGACTTACAATAACTAATGTGACAAATATTTATGTGCTATTATGTGTTGGGTGTCATGCCAGGTGTACCAGGGGCATAGGATGTAGAGTAAGAGAGTTTTATTCACCAGCGGGGGAGGCCTCCTCATCTGTCATGGTGGATGATAACAGTTCCTGACCTACGGGTGCTGCAGCGCTGCATGAGATAATGCAGGCAAAGTGCTGAGAGCAGGAGCTCCCACCCAGCCAGCGCTCGGTCTCCATGAGCTGTAGGGCAGGAACGTGATGGGGAAGTATGATGCAGCTCTGAAGACCCAGGCATGGAGCCCCTAACTCAGAGAGGTGGCTTCAGGGGACGTGCCCAGGGATGAGCTGCTTCTGTCTCCTGCCTCACCCCTGGGACTGAGTGTTGGGGTACCTCCTGGTCAGATGGGGGGATGGACAGGGGCATCAGTAGAGTGCCTAGCCCGGGTCCCAGCCCTGCTGACACTAAGTCGGGCTGTAGGTCCCACTCATGACCTGGCCGCATCCTGCAGTCCCTCAGAGAGGAGTCCCTGGGCAGACCGAGGTACACAGGAAGGAAGGTGTAGAGAGCGGCTGTGGGGGCCTTGCAGCAAGGAATGGCCAGGAGAAGGTGCAGACACTCTTCTCTCCGGGGTAGGAAGTAGGGCTTGTCCAGCTCACTGTTTTGTTCTTGGCCAAGGGCAGCCAATACAGGCCTGCAGGAGAGCCTGGGGGAGGGCAAGGAGGCCCCACAGGGCAGGGGATGGCTTACAACCCCAGAGCCGGGGAGGACCTCCAGCTAAACAGGTCAGGTAGGGAAGGGACAAGGGACGCTGGGTCCAGGACCCAGGTGTAGAACCCAGGCACCTGGGGTTTCAGGCTGGAAAAGGAGGCCAGACCAGGGGCAGGCTCTCCAAAGGAAGGAAGATGGTGTTTGGTGGAGTCAAAGTGTGGGGGTGGGGGGTGGGGAATCTCCAGGATAGTACCCTACATACCACTCTCTGAGTATGAATGAGTCTGTAATCATCTGTCCACCTCAATGCCCCGTGAAATTCCCTATAGCCCTTCCTAGCTGTGTAATCTCAGGCAGGTTACCTAGCCTCTCTGAGCCTCTGGCTTTTTGTCTTAAGAAAATGGTTACTAAGATCTGCATTGCAGGGCTGAGAAACAACACATGCAATACCCCTGCCAGGATGGTGGGCCCAGAGTCGGGCTCAGGCAATGGCGGCTGTTGCAGGCCCCTGTGCCATCTTCTCTTATCAATTCTTCCTCATTTATGCTCTAAATTTTGTTTTGCCCTGGGCCAATACACCTGTGATATATTTATTGGAGGTTCTTATTCCAGAGAATAGAGACAGGAGGGCAGAGTGAGCAGGATACTTTCTAAGCCATCCCCACATTTGTCCAGGCAGAAGGAAATGAGCCCGCTGACCTTGAAAGTGACATAATTTGGGGGAGAGGGTGTCTGGGTAAACCTTCCTCCTGGGTCAAGCTCCCCATCAAATGGCATCCATCCCCAGAAAATGTTCAAAGGAAAGTACAGGAAAGAATAAACATCTAGACCCACAGCTAATTGAGTTGCAGGTGGTGGCTAGAGACAGGCCAATTTGACTCTCCCCCTCCTTCCCCTAAAGTGGCCCTCAGGTGACAGGGCAGACGGGCAGCCTCTCACAGGGAAATCAGGAAGAGAGGAGGAAAGAGCTGGGGAGGTGGGTGGCTGGGATGAGGAATGAGGCAAAGAGAAATGGCCCGCAAAATGCAGAAATGCCTCAGCATGCTCGCTTCCCAATCCCGGCCCATGAATCGAGGGGTGACAGGTCTCTCATCTCCGATGCCAAGAGCCAGGAGCTCCGGGCAGCTGAAGGTACTACATCTGCACCTGCCAGCAGTTGGAGAGAGGCCATAAAGCATCGTAGCAGGGCTCAGAATGCCAAGTGCCTGCAGCTGGGAAGGGATCGCCTTGCGGTGAAAGCAGTACACGAGGCGAGGGCTGCTCCCAGAGCCAGGCCTGGACACCCCTCCCTCCAGAGGCTGCTTGATCCCGGGGACCTGGCAGTGGACAGAGGAGGGGCAGGGCAGGTGCACACGCAATCTAGCTCTGTGCCGGCCGAGACAGGCAGGGACCTTCTGGAGGAAGCCCAGTAGGCCAGGTGATTTACCACGGCTGGCAGAAAGCTGGGACGTTGGAGTCACTGGTAAATAAAAGCGGATTGTAAAGCACCCCGGCTAAGCCTGCGCCTGTGGAAATGCACCAGGGCTGCAGGCAGCTTAGAAGTATGGGCCCATCCCTCAAATGATCATCACAATAATAGTGTTTATAAAGCACTTCAGATAGGGGTGCCAGGCCCTGTCCTAAGTGCTTTTTAATACATATTAATTTACTTAATCCTCACAACAGCCCTAAGAAGTTGGTGGTGGTATTATAATATCTTCCTTTAACATACCAGAAAGATGGCCGGGTGTGGTGGCTCATGCCTGTAACCCCAGCACTTTGGGAGGCTGAGGCGGGCGGATCTCTTGAGCCCAGGAGTTTGAGACCAGCCTGGGCAACATAGTGAGACCCTGTCTCTACCAAAAATACAAAAAAACTGGTCAGGCATGGTGGTGTGTGCCTGTAGTCTCAGCTACTCAGGAGGCTGAGGCAAGAGCATCACTTGAGCCCAGGGAGGTTGAGGCTGCAGTGAGCCTTGACTGCACCACTGCACTCCAGCCTGGGTGACAGTGCAAGACCCTGTCTCAAAAAAAAAAAAAAAAAAAGTACTAATATAGTCCAGAAATATGAGGCAGCATGGAGAGTTCACACAGCCAAGCCCTGTCCAGTGCACCACAAACTCTACTGTGCCCTTCAGTCACCCGAGGGGCTTGGTAGCTCGAAGGCCCTGTCTCAATTGGCCTCGAGTGGGTGGGAGACTGCATCACTAACAAGCTCCCAGGTGAGGCTGCTGGTCCAAGGACACACCTTGAGTTGAGGGGCTGTAAACTACTCTGCGGCGTTCCTGTGGCACTTCCTCAGCTGTAGAAATGGTTTATATCCCATTGCTCTGGCCCTGGGAGGCATCTGTGAATTCCTCAGTTAACAGAAAAGGCCCTCACAGGTGTCAGATCATGGGGGGAGTTGAGGGGTGGAGTACAGGAGTGTGGAAGTGTGAAGTTGTAAACATATCAATGTTCACACCCCAGCTCAGGCTAATCCAGTCAGAATCCCTGGGGCGTGGCCCGCATTGGTATTTTTATTCCTTTTCATCGGACGGGTAATGTGCCGATGACATAACAAGGTTTGAGGGAGGCCCATCTCACACATGTGCGTGGAAACCCAGTCATCACACTCATGAACTACAAAAGGACTCTGGACTGGTATTTTTTAAGAAGCTGCCTGGGTGACCCACATGTGTAGCTGCAGTGAGTCCTTGAGATGGACAACAGGGATGCCTCCCTCACTATGGCAGATTCATGCCTATAAAACTGAGGACAGCTCCTCAGGGCGAGGCCAAGGATTTCCTTCTGGGAAGCAGTGATGAGCCACCTCCTGGGCCACTGGAAGGTGCGGCTGGGGTGCTAGCATACCCCCTTCTTGTTTCTGATGCTCCCCTGGAGAAGAAGGGCACAGCTGGGCAGCTGGCAACATCTCATCTCGGCATTTGTCGGAGAAGCCCTTGCCTCCCCGTGCTCTCAAGTGAGATCAGACACCAGCCTGGGGCAGCCGTGGAAACGGAGGCTCCTGACCAAGACTCTCATTGACCTAACTTTCGTCAGGCTCCTCTGAGCCCCATCCTCGACCTTGGCCCGACCCCCCAGTCCTGACTTCTGCCTGCCCAACTCAGTCTTAGCCAAGAATCCTTCAAAGTCAGATTAGCCAGCATCCCCCCACCTTTGAGATCTGATCAAGTTCCTCATTCCCCACCTCTGATGTATAGCTGTCCCTCCATATACTCAGGGCATTGGTCCAGGACTCCCACCTATACCCAAATCCACACATACTCAGGTCCCTAGCCAGCCTTGTGGAACCCAGCTCTCCCTGTAATCAGGTTTTGAACTCCACTAATAGTACATTTTCCATCAGCATTTGTTTGAAAAACTTCACATATAAATGAACCCCTGCAATTCAAACCCATATTGTTTAACAGTAGACTGTGTAAGTCCTAGACCTGCTTTCAACAAGAATTCTGTTGGGCCAGTTGAGCCAGAATATTCCCTTATCTCACATCTGATCAAGCGCCTCACCCCACTCAGTATACCCAAGGGATTGGTTCCAGGATCCCCCCATATACCAAAACCCAAGCATACTCAGTCGGTCTTACAGAACCAGGAATAGGAAATGTCGGCCCTCTGTATATGCAGGTTTCACAACTCACAAATACTGTATTTTCCATGTTTGGCTGAAACAAAAATCTGCATCTAAAGTGAACCCTTGTTGTTCAAGGGTTGACTGTGTAAGTCCTGGGCCTGCTTTCAGCAAGCAGAGGCCTCGCCTTGACGTCTCCTCTTAGAAATGTTCCATCCTCCAGCCCTCATGCTGCTCCTTGGCTATAAATCCCCATCTCCTCTTCAGAGTTGAGCTCCATTTATCTCCCCTACTACAATAGTCTTAAATAAAGCTTTCCTTACTGTTTTAACGAGTGTCAGTATAATTTTTTTCCTTAATCCTCTTCCCCTACTGCCCCCACCTCTCTGGAAAAGCCACCCAGCAAAGTGAGCAGCCCTGTCAACTAAACAAAATTGACTCCTCACCTGGACATTCAAGGCCCCAGGCAATGATCTCAAGACCTCTTGCTCTTACTTGTGCCCCAAACACAGCTTCACAGTTTGTCATACACACCTGAACTTTCCTCCCATTCTGCCGTTGCCCAGCCTTTTTCTTCTACCTGGATCGTTTCCTCCCCTTTCTTGAAACCCACCAACTCCCAAGTCACAGCAATCTCTCCCATGGTGATCAGACTAATTATCCCTTCGGATTCATTTTCCTTGTCTTCCATAACAGAACCTCCCATTTTAGCAGGCACATGGTTCTGAGATAAAGCTACATTGAAAGACTACATTTCCCAGCCTGCTCTGCAAGCTGATGTGGTCACATGCCTAAGTTTTGACCAATGCAATGTAAGAAGAGCAATGTATGTTACTTCCAGGAAGTGTTCGTACAGGCAACAGGCATTTCCTCCTTCTCCTCTTGCTTTTTCCTACTGATGTAATGGCTGGACTTACAACAGCCGTCTTGCACTATGAGGTGGCCTTGGCCATGAAAGCTGCACAGAAGTGAAGCAACTGGGTTCCTAATGCCATAGAACATCATACCAGCCTTGGGCTGTCCCGACCAGAATTGAACATGGGAGAAAAATGACCTTCCATCTCATTTTAGTTACTAGTCTTTTGGAATTTTCTGTAACTCATAGCTGAACATAACACTATTCAGTCCATACCTTCACATCCCTGGAGGCATGGACTCTGGATTTATGGGTTTACCATACACACCACATGGAACCATAATTTGCATCTTCTTCCCAAGCTAAACAGTAAGTGATCTAAAGGCTGGAAATGTGTCTGAAATCTCCATCTTCCCCTGCATGTGAGGCATGAGGCCTCTGTATGCTCCCACCAGCCTTGCAGGAGAAACATGCCCTTACCAGGATGTCTGAGCCCTCAGGGTCCTCCCCGGTGGCTGGGCTGGAGGAGTTGCGGAGTTTGAACATCCAGTACTCCTTGGCAGTGATAAAGAAGTTCCATGGCAGTAGACTGCCAATGCCCAGGCTGAAGAAGATGATGTATGTGCCACAGAAGCGGTCCTCGGGCCTCTGCAGGCCAGGGGGCGGGCGGTCCAGCAGCTTCTCAAGCAGTGCCTCCTGGTCAGCTCGGAGACTGCTGCTTGTGGTTCTGTAGGTGGAGTTTGAACTGTGCTGAAAGTCGTCCTCTGAGACAACGGCCACTATTGGAGCAAGGAGGGCAACAGAGACAGGGTAGGTGAGTAGAAACCAAGGCTGGGGGACAGCTGGGGACCCACCCAGCCTACAAAATGACCATGCCCCCTCACCCTGGGCTCTGTAAAGTCACCAAAGCCTGGTTGGAGAGCTTCATTTTAAGGATCAGGGAGAAAGACAAAAATCAGACCTGGAGAAGGGCAGGATGTCAGAACTGTAAGTGTCCTCAGAGGTCACCCCAACCATGCAAGGGCAACAGAGGTAGCAGTAGCACATAACTGTGGAACAGGCTGGGTTTTGTAAAACACTGCATGATAGTGGGGACTGTGGCAATGTACCCAGAAAGGCAAACCTGGTCTAAGGGCATTCACAGTTCTGTGCAGCCATAAAAAAGAATTAGGACCCTTAATGGGCAAAGAATGATCTCTAAACCCTTTTCGATTTCAGGTGAAAGAAATAAGGAGCAGGATGGTGTGTAGAATATGCTACTATGTGTGTAAAAAAAGTGGGGAGAGAAAATATACATACACATATGTATTTGTATATGCACAGAATATCTCTGGAAGGCTACATAAGAAGTTTCTAACAGTGGCTGTCTCTAAGGAGGGAAACTGGGATGGTGGGGGGCGGGGAGGGGGACTTCCCTGCATTCTTATTTGTGTCTCTTGAATTTTGAACTATGTGACTAGTTTATTACCGGTTCAAAAACAAAATTAAAAGTGTAAATTTAAAAAAATTCAAATTAAGTAATAATTGTTTAAAAAACTGGTAGTGTCCAGGGCTGCCTCCAGAAGCTGGTGTGTAGCCTCTGACAGTCCATTCCCATTTCATTTGTGAGGAAAGAGAGGTCCAAAGAACTGAAGGCCATAGGCCACGTAAATGGCCAAGCCTGGGTTTGCAGCTCCTGCCTGGGTCCCACCTCTGCTCATCACACCCTACAAGGAGCCAGCCACTTTCAATCTATGGTAGCGCCTAAGATAAATGGAAGAGCCTAGGCTGCCAGCAACTATTGCCTACATGGCCTTGGGCAAGTTACCACATTTCTGTGCCTCAATTTCCCCAAATGTAAACCCAGAGAAGCTGTTTTTATGATAGTTATGCAACTGCAACTGGCTGGCAATGCCTGGCCTATAAGCAGCTGTTGAACAAATGTCAGCATCTCCCTGGCATCCTGGGCCTGTCGCATGGCTGGCTGGCTGGCTGCTGAATTTGGCTGTAAGGTAGCATGCCTGCTTCTTTGCTCTACATAGCACCTAGGATGTGGCAGCAGCTTGATAAATGAGAAATGTCTCCAAAATGCTGAGGATGGGACACTTCAGAGTCCCTTCTGCAGTAGCCTCTTCCCCACCCAATAAACTAATAAATAAATGCATCTTGGTTTCTATAGGAGGCTAAGCCTAACTCAAAGCATCGTACCAAGAAGACTGGGGCCTTTATTCCCTGGTGGGATGGGAACACCTCCTCACATGGGTGCAGAACCTTATCCACTATTTCAGGAGAACCTCAGAGCATCCCTTGGAATTAGGCAGGGCAGAAAACATTGCCCCCTTTTTTCAGATGGAAAAACTGAGGTCTGGAAGGCACTTGCTATGTCCCACAAATAGAAAGAACTCCCAATAGCTAAACTTAAGTCCAGTGATCACAAATGCCAAGGTCTGTGCCTAACAGAGGTCACACTTGAGGCTGACAACAGCCTAATATATTAGGTACTACTCTAAGACCCATTTCACAGAGGGGTCTGAGGCTCAGAAAGGTTGAGTAACTTGCCCAGGGTCACATAACTAGTAGATGACAAGAGTGAAGTTACACAGCCAAGCAGACTGGGGCCCATGCTGGACTCCTCAGCACACCGGGGAGGACTGGCTGGGAATGGGAATCTGTGTCTGCTGGTTCCAAGTACAGGCATCCTTCCTGCAAGCCTTGAAGCCAGTGAGTCGGGAGGGGCCCAGGCACACTGCAGGCACCCTTGTCAATGTTTGCTGAATGAACGGACTCTGCACGACCAGGACATTCTCCCCTGCTGGGGTAGCATGTACCCTGGAGCCAGCAGGTGGGGGGCCACTGGATGCCCAAGTGCAATGCATCCAGCCAGCAAGTCTATTTTAAACTCCCCTGGTTAGCAGAGCCCCTCCCCAGCCTGGATTCGCATGGAGGCCAGCATTAACAAGCTCACTGTCTGGAAGCTCACTGTGTGGAAAATCGCTTTTTCCACATGCACCCACTCATAGAGGAAAAGCCATGTGAAGGCACAGCAAGAAGGAGGCTGTCTGCAAGCCAGGAAGAGAGCCCTCATCAGAAACCAAATCAACCAGCACCTTGATCTTGCCCTTCCCAGCCTCCAGATCCATGAGAAACAAATTTTGTTTAAGCCACCCAGTCTATGCTATTTTGTCTGGCACAAAATGGTACAAATGTAACAAGCTCACTTGTTACATTTTAAAAATTAGTGTTTAAAATGTAAAAAATAATCATGACCCACCCACATAGAACAAGAGAGAACCGGCAAGTGGTTCTTTCCAGAGGCTCCAGCTACCTGTGGGGGCGGCTAGAAGGTCCACCAGCCCTGTCACTCAGGACCACACCTGGCTAGGGCCCCCTTCTCAGTTCCTAGCGTCTATTTGTCAAGGCTTGACTGAGCTTCTGAAGAAGGAGCCAGGAATTTTCTCTAACCAGGGTCACAGGCCAGGGCACTGGAGTGAGCAAAGTCTTATTAGTCTTTATAAAAGCTAGCTGCTGGCTTCTGGATTAAAAAATAAAGAGAAAGGCAGGCAAGGAAGTGCCCAACCTTCCCCAAAACAAGCTGGCTGTGGCCTGGAACGTGCTCCTGGGTCACCTGCGGGAGCCCGGCCATGCACAGACAGACAGCCCCACACAAGGAGGCAGGCACTGCTGGGGCCGCGGCAAAACCTCATCTGGGCTGGGAAGCCTGGGTGCTGGTTCCAAGGAGGTTCCTGACTCTGGCTAGGTGGCTCGCCCCTCTGTGCCTCGATCTCCTGGGCTGTGAACCGGGGTGGGGAGCTGGTAGGGCTAACCTGTGGGAAGGCACTGGGAAGCGCAGGGCACCGCCTACTGGCCGCGGCAGAACCGGCTTTGCGGTGTAAACAGCCCCAGCCTCAGGCCCCGCAGCTGGGACCGAGAGAATCAGCCACCGTCTGGATACTTCGGGCCGACGGGTCCATACCAGGCCCCCACCATACAGGCGGTGAGGTCCAGTCTCAGGGAGGAGGAGGGGAGAGGATTTGGGGAAGAGAAGATAGAGACCCAGAAAGAGGGGTGGCAGAGAGCAAGGAGAGAGAGGAGGGACGGTGGGGAAGGGACCACGGATGGGGTAGGGTCCTGCGGCTCCCCTGGCAGCCCGCAGCCGCCCCCAGGGCCCGGGAGGGAGGTCGCTGAGCGCGAGTCTGGGGGCGGCCGGGACCGTAGCCGGAAGAGCCCGAGCCGGCCCGCACTTACTGTCGCCGCTGCGCCACGCCGCCGCTGCCTCCGGCGCACGGCCAGGACCACTGGGCTTGGCAGGCGGCAGGCGGGCTCCTCCCCCGGCCCCGCCCCGCCCCTCGCGGCAGCACGCCGCCGCTTCCCCGTTTGCAAACACGCTTTTTTCCTTTGTCTTCTGCCGGCGCGCCGGGGCTCCCCCTTCTGGCGCTGAGCTGGGGCCTGCGTGCGCCCATTTTATAGGAGAAAAAGTGAGTCACCCAGTCTTAAACGCACTGCCCATGCTTGCGATGGGTGCGCTGCGCATCAGGCCTTTTGGTTGCTGCTCCTTCTTTACCTTGGAGCCAGACCCCACTGTCTCAGACCTCCCCTTTAGCTACTATAACCTGCACCCCAGGACTCAAAGGAGCCCTCATCTTGTCCCCAGGCCGCTGCAGAGACCCCTCTCCAAAGGCCGCTTCTACCCTTACCGGCTGCCGCTGCTCTGGAGGTGAAGCGGGACCCACACCCGGACTGAACTGGGCCTCCCAGGCCAGGCAGCTATTTTCAGTAGACCCAGAACATGGCAGTCAGCAATTCCAGCCCTCACACTTGACCTCAGCCATAGCGTGTAACACACAGCTGCCGCGTGTTCTTTAAGAAAGCAGGGGCCGGGCGCGGTGGCTCACGCCTGTAATCCCAGCACTTTGGGAGGCCGAAGCAGGCGGATCACCTGAGGTCGGGAGTTTGAGACCAGCCTGGCCAACATGGCGAAACCTCGTCTCTACTGAAAATACAAAAGTAGCCGGGCATGGTGGTGCGTGCCAGTGATCCCAGCTATGTGGGAGGCTGAGGCAGGAGAATCGCTTGAACCCGGGAGGCGGAGATTTCAGTGAACCGAGATGGTGCCACTGCACTCCAGCCTGGAGCCTGGGCGACAGAGCAAGACTCCATCTCAAAAAAAAAAAAAAAAAAAAAAAGGCGGAAACCTTCCTGACTCCCGGTCCTGGCCCAGTTGGCCTATTCAGAGCGGGGATCTGGATGCTTCACAGGGCCTGAAGATCTGTGACCATGGATAGTAAATTCTTGCAGTTGCCATCCCAGGGCTCAGGGGTGCCACAGAACCCATTGAGGCTGTCAGTGTGTGGACAGGTTCTCAGAACATCCCCACTCCCTGCCCCAGCCTCTCATTTTATAACCACCATTCCCCAAACACTGGCCTGATCATAAAAGTCTCGAGTACACATCCAGATTCTGGGGACCTCTCCCCAGGAGGGTTGCTGCCACTCCCCAATCCCTGAGGGTGGTGCTGTATCTGCTTTGTTTGCTCTTCCCTCATCGTGGGCACATAATTTGTGTTCAATAAATACCTGGATTAATACAACCCATCACTCAGGGGGTGCAGAATGGGGATCCAGAATGGATCTATTTAACAAGCTCCACCAGCAGGCGAGTTTGGAGACTAGCACCCTAAATTGTCAGAAAGCCCCCCGGCCCAGGAGAGGAAGGGGCTTAGCTCCAGGCTTACAAGCTGAGGGATAATGGTAAAATTACTAAACCTCTCTGAAACCCAGGGTCGGCTTAGGACTGTCGGGAGAATTAAGTCAGGTGATCCATGCCAGGCACTCAATGCAAATTTCCATCACTTCCAAGGAAGACACTCCCCACCCCCAAAATGTGATAGTGTATATGTTAGTTTAGTCATCAGGCCTTATTTTTAGCCTCTTTACGTTGGAAAAAAATCCTCTAATATACAGAGCATTTTCATGAACAGTCTCCCATTTGATTCCACCCCCCCACCCCAGTACCCAGTGAAATGGGACTGTTGTCCCCATTTTACAGATGAGGAAAGCCAGGCTCAAAGAGGTCAAGTGGCTTCCCAGGGCACACAGCTGGCAGTGATGGAGTGGCAGAACCCAGAGCCAAGGCTCTTTTTGTCATGCCCGGTTACAGGCAGGCAGGTGAGGCTGAGGGGAGCTGGGACAGCACGAGGGACAAAGCCGTAGGATTCAGTGAGGGCAGCAGATCAGGGCTATTTCTGGTCCAGCCCCAAGACCATGACCCATGTCTGTGAAGCTCCGGTGCTTTGTCACTTGATTGCTTTTACTTCATGCAGAGTCCTGAGTTGTTTGTAGTCATTGTTATCTTTATCTTTGGAGAATGTGCATGTATGTGAGTGAGTGAGACAGTTTCAGGACACCTGCTTAGAGAATCAGAGGTGCCAGGAGCCCTCTTCCAGAGCTCTGAGGCTGAGGTCTTTCTCCAAATGGAGGAGGCGCCAGCCACTTGGGGATTTGCTGGTTGCTAGGGCTGAGTTCAGGAAGGGGCTCTGGGGATGGCCTCCATCATGAAAGCAGAAAGCCGTGGGAGGAAACAGGTTGCTAATGCATCCGTGGGGCTGCTTCCCGGACAATGTGGGCTTGTCTTCTCCTCCAGGATCTAGGCGGATGGCGGTGGTAATGTCTAGCTTGGGGACAAGATGAGTCAGGTACTGTTGGGCACACAGCTTCCCAGGGAATGTTTGAGGCTTTGGGGGATCAGGGAAGGAACAGGAGAATGGGGGTCCAGAGCCCTGAGCTCTGAGTCTGCCCTGGCCCCTGACCAGCAGGCCCTTCAGTGACCAGGTAATAAAAACATTTACCCTGACAGATGATCAGAAAAGAGGGAGATTGGGTCAAGAAAGGGAAGTAGAGAGGAAACAGAATAAAAGTGTTTTCACAATACCTACTTCATAGCAGCGGACTCCAGGGAGGGGAGGGATGGGGAGGCTGGGGTGGGCAGGCCTCAGAAATTGGCTGGGTTCCTGTCCCTTGCCTGAAGTTATCCTGAACATTGCTTTTGATAAGTGCTATAGGAGCGGAAAGGTAATTTTTTCTAGCCTTCATGAGGTAGGGTAGACACCTGAAACAATCTTGAGATTGAGAAGAGAAAAACAAACAGAAGTTTAGTAATGTGTATATGTCATGTGCACTTGGGAAATACTCAGAGAAATAAGTAAATCTCCAAAAACCACGGCTTTGAGTTCAGGCTTAAATGCCATCTTCAACTGAAACAAAGAAAGAAGGCCCAGCTGTGGGGATGTGGGCAGGAAAAGCTTAGTCAACAAGGGGAAGGTTGGTCTTGCAGACTGAAGTCCATGCCTTCTCCATTGGTGTTTCTAGTGATTAGAGACATCTTTCTCTTCCTGGTGCAGACAGGGAGACACCCTGATGTATGATTTCTTTTAAAGATGTAAGTTTCTCTTTCAAAGGGTAAGTTTTCCTTTTGTTCTTAGAGCTTCTCCTGTGTCTGCAGTTTCTCAAAATAACCAGCTCAGAATTATTCTTATGCCAAGGAGCCATATTTTGGGTGGCCTATTCTGGTCTGGTCTCCTACAGTCATAAGTTTGCGGTAGTGTGTCCTGAACCCCATCTGTGTCTAGGAATGCAGTGGCCATGCTTTTCTGCCTTGATAGCTCCCAACTCTGTATCTGGCTGGGGCATATGAGGCATTGCAACCGAGTGGATTCAATGACAACAACCATCTGTGCTCAAGTATTGTTGGAGAAGGTCAGGGAAAATATTTGTAAATGGTAAAGTACTACATCCATTAGGCATCTTTATTCTTATACATGAGGAGAAAAAGAGGAGGAGGATAAGAAGGAGAAGAGAAGGAAGGAAAACTCCAAATGGCCAAAGCACTTTCCACTGGATCGACATTTTACAATCCTTAATCCTTTGAAAAAGCACCCTGGCCGGGCGCAGTGGCTTGCGCCTGTAATCCCAAGCGCGATTATTTTGGGAGGCCAAGGCGGGCAGATCACGAGGTCAGGAGTTTGAGATCAGTATGGCCAACATGGTGAAACCCCATCTCTACTAAAACTACAAAAAAAAAAAAAATAGCTGAGCATGGTGGTGGGCACCTGTAATCCCAGCTACTCGGGGTGCTGATGCAGGAGAATTGCTTGAACCCAGGAAGGCGGAGGGTGCAGTGAGCCGAGATTGCGCTACTGCACTCCAGCCTGGGCAACAAGAGCGAGACTCTGTCTCAAAAAAAAAAAAAAAAAAGATAGAAAGAAAAAGAAAAAGAAAAGAAAAAGCACCTTGTTTCTCCTTGGTTTGGAAATGCCCTGAAAGGTTCTGAGTGCTGGCAGAAGCCATCCCAGTATCACAAGAGGACCAGCTCCAGGCCCAGGGAACTGGAGGATGAGATGCCAAGGCTGGCCAGGGTGGCCGATAGGGAAGCCTCTTGGCTTGGTGGTCAGAACTGGGCCCTGGAGCCAGACAGACCTGGGCTAGGATGCTTTTTATGTGGCCCTACGAAGTCAAGCCTCAGTTTTCTCATCTGTAAAGGGGGTGAGAATAACAACCTAACAGCCTTCTAGGAGGCACAGAGTAGGTGTATGGATTGCTGTTAAAGACGGTGAGCCAGAGGACACAGCTCCCGCTCTGCCTCCAGCCCCCTGACGGCCGCCCCCATCCCGTAGAATCCACCACACACCATGAGGTCGGTGCAATTGTCAGCCCCGTTTAGCTTATGCGGAAACTGGGGCACAAAGAGGTTAGTACCTCATTCAGAGTCACACAGCTAGTCAGCGGCAGAGCCAAAATTCACATGGTTGCCTTTCTGCCTCCAGAACCCACCCAGGAGACTCCATGAAAAGTGGTTGGGAGTGGGGGTCACACAAGCCCTCATCTTTAAGACTGGAGCCCTACAGGCTCTCCTCTTCTTCTCTTCCCCAGGGTCTGTTGACCTGCAGGCGACATAACAATCAGGAAGAGTCAGAATATTTTTCACAGGCTCCTTTTGGGGGAGGGTGCGGGGCGTTGGGGCGGGGGGGCGGTGCGACGGGCGGAGCGGAGAGCGCCAGGCATAAGGCTCATGGGCCGATGCTGCCATCTCGTGGAACTTCTCTATCAGTGCAATGCTCACAGATTGGGGTCACTCACTCACTACGGTCTTTCTTTCCAGGGTTACTGGATACCCGTGCGAGGCACGAGGATTCTGAGAGATAGGGTTAGTAGTTATGGTGATAAAGCCATAACTACGGACTCATAACTTCTCTGCTTCCACATCACTAATTTATTTTTTAAGAGCCAGGGTATTGCTCTGTCACCCAGGCTGGAGTGCAGTGGCATGATTGTAGCTCACAGCAGCGTCCAGCTCCTGAGCTCAAGTAATCCTCCCGTCTCAGCCTCCCCGAGTAGCTGGAACTACAGGTGCAGGCCACCACTCCCGGCTAATTAAAAAAAATTTTATTCAGAAATGGGGGTCTCACTATGTTGCCCAGGCTGGTCTCAAACTCTTGGCTTCAAGTGATCCTCCCACCTTAGCCCCCCAAGATGCTGGGATTACAGGCGTGAGCCACCACGGATGGCCCACATCACTGATTCGAATTCCAGTCCCCTTTCTGATTCTAGCCACCTCTCCTTGCTGTGTGCTGGTCAGTGGCTCCCTCCAGGAACGTTCTGGACTTCCGGGAGATGCCAGCACTGACTCCTCTGTCTTCCCTTCATCCATCAAGCATGTCCTTCCTTCTATCTTCAGGCAGCTTAGATCCCAAGGTTCACCATGTCAGTAACATCTTCGCAGTACCCTGAACTCCCATGTCCCTCATCTCCCCGTGGCAGCGTGGGCCCACCCTGGGGGAGCCCAGCTACAGCTGACAAATGATCCTCACTGGAGAGTCCCCAGCAGACCAGCGAGTCTGCTTGGAACTCACAGTTATCAACGCCAGATGGGCCTGAGGATTCCCTGCAGTTCTACCACGTGTCTTGGCTCCTGCTTGCTGTAAGAACTGTTGCCATCTTCCTCCTCCACTTGGCCCAGGGCCCTGAACACATCCCTCCCGGAGATGGTCTTTACGGAGAAAACAGAGTCCACCAGTTAGGGATGTTCCCATTTGTCAGCGCCAATCTATCTCTTGCTCCACAGTTACAACAGGGAAATTGCTCCACGTCCCCTCCCCGTTTTTCTTTGGTATCCTTGTTTGGGTTCTTTTTATGGAAGTACCACCTACATAGAGACTAGTGTGCAGATCGTAAGTGTAGAGTTCATGAATGATCACAGAATGGTGACGTCTGTTCCACCAGCACCCGGAACAAGAAAGTGAACGCTCTTAAAGCCCCAGAAGCTGCTCTCCTCTGATTACTATGTGTACAAAACAAACGACCCCCAAATGTAGTGGTGCCAAAAAAAATTTGTTATGGCACAGATTCTGTGGGTTGGGAAATGGACAGGGCAGGATGAGCATGCCTTGTCTCTGTGCTGCGCCCCCACTCGCCCCCCATGGCTGTGGCCTCGGCTGGAAGACCCAAAGGTTGGGAGTTGGAATCATCTGAAAGTGTCCTCCCTTTCTTGTGTCTGGCAGTTGATGCTGGTTGTTGGCTGGGCTTCCACTGGGATTACTGTCCACAGCTCCTTCAAGTGGCCTCTTTCTGTGCCTTCTTAGGCTTAAGGAAATACAGGGTGTTTTTAGGATCCAGCCTTGGGAGTTATGCATGGCCACTTCTGCTGTACTCTGTTGGTCAAGGAGTCACTGAGGTCCACCCAGGATCCAGGGGGAGGGGACATAGACTTCAACTCTTGATGGAAGAGTGCCAAGGTCAAGTTGGAAGAAAAGCATGTCAAGTGGTACATATTATTGCAGTGATAGTTGGAAAATATAATCTGCTATGATGGTCATATGATCTTTGTCTTTATTCTATTAATGTGGTAAATTTACATTAATTGATTTTCAAATGTTAAATCAGCCTTGCATTTCTGGAATAAACCCAGCTTGATTATGATGTATCGCTTTTTAAAAATATTACTCTGGCCAGGTGCAGTGACTCATGCCTGTAATCCCAGTGCTTTGGGAGACTGGAAAAAGAGGATTGCTTGAGGCCAGGAGTTTAAGACTACCCTGGCAGCATGGTAAGATTTTGTTTCTACAAAATAAATAAATAAATAAATAAATAAATAAACAAACAAATAAATAATTTAAACAATGTGTTGCTTAATTCTACCTGTTAGTATTTTGCTTGGGATTTTTGTATCTTTGTTCATGAGATAGTTTGGTCCATGGCTTTCTTTTCTTGTAATGTGTGTTTTGTTTTTGGTTTTTGCCTTAATGTGTATTTTCCTAATTTTAGTGGAATTACACTAGCTTCATTTTGAATAGTGTTTCTATGATATATCTTTCTTCATTCTTATAATTTTATCAGATATCCTTATATGTAGGGCATGTTTACGGTAAATGGGGCATATACTTAAGAAAAAATCCACTCTAACTATCTTTACCTTTAACTTGAAGTCTTTTGTCCATTTATATTTAATATAATTACTGGTAGACAGATATATTTGAGTTTAATGCTACTACTTTTTTCCCAACAGCACACCTTGTCTATGTTCCTTTTTTCCCCTCCTTTCTTGTCTCTTTTTGGATTGATCAATTTAAAAAACTATTTCTTTCTCACTTCTATAAGTTAAATATTCTCTAGAGCTTATATTTATCCATACATGATTTACTAGACTCTAATATCAATTAGTACATTTCCCACTTTCCCAGGTGTTGCAGGTACCTTAGAATACCTTAATTACACTTACCCTGACCCAACTTTTGTGTTACCATTTTAACATAATTTAATTTACATTATTTTAAAACTCATAAGATATTACTTTTTTTCTTTTTTACAGTTCATATTAATTTCTATTTACTCACATATTTACCCATTCTCATTGTTTCTCATTCCTTCCTGCATTTGCTTCTTCCTGGAGTCATTTCTGTAAGCGCAAAAGGCTCCCATTAGTATTTCTTTCTAATGTCAGTCTTTTAGCAATGAAGTTTCTCAATTTTTGTTGGCCTGGAAATGCCCTTTGCCCTATTTTCACCAGGTCTGGAATTCTAGATTGATGCTTATTTTCTTTTGGCACTTTAAAGATCATTTCACTGCCTTTTGCATTCCATGGCTTCCATTAAGAAGCTAGCTATGAGTCTTACTGTTCCTTTGAAGGTAAAGTCAGGCCAGGAGAGGATGCTCTGGTGCTGGCCCTGCCGCCCTCCCACTTCCCTGGAGAGAGAAACACAGTTTGAGGGGCACTGGGAAGGAGGTCGGCATCCGGGACTCTAACCAGCCTGGGGAATTCAGATCCTTCCTGGTCCCAGTCACATCAATTTTCAGATGCCACGTGGTGGCTGCTTTCATATTGTCCCACTGGACCTGTGGCCACACAGCATGGGATCCGATCCTGCTGCAGTGCCCAAAGGGCAAGAGTTCCAGGAGGCTGGTGGGTGACCTCTCTTTCACCCAAAGGTTGACCAGCTGTCTGGACCCTAGACTCTTTCTCCACCTTGTCCCCAGCCCCATATACATATGGTCTCAGATCAGCCAGATTTTGGGTGGAAGTAATGCTCTTGTCTGGGGCTCTGGACTCTGTATGTCTAGGACTTGGTTCAGGTATGTGTGAGGATTTCATGTCTCAAGTGAGGTGGGTAGGAGGACTCATTCTCTGTCCTCATGGGAGTCTGAACCTGCCAGTTCTTAGACTTTAGAGTCAATCAGGGGTCTAGACTTCCAGGGTCAACCAGATATCCGGTGGGGGTGAGATTCAAGTCTAGGGCTCTAGTCTCTGTGTGGTAAGGATTTATTCTTCATGTGAAAGTGGACTTAGCGTCTGTGAGAACAAGGATCTTCTGTCCAGTGTCAGGCTTGGGATATAGTCCCTGTTGTCAAAGATCTGGAATCTCTCTCTCTCTTTCTCTGGTCAGGTGGGGAGAACTGGGTCCTGAGTACACTAGGTGTCTGGACTCAGGGAATAAAAAGATGACCAGAATCAGGGCTCACTCAGATGTATGTATGTGTAGTTTCTATTATCTGTTATTTTTCTTGGTCCTGTCTATTGGGATGTCCAGTAATTTTTTACTGAATGTTAGACATTGTAAATGAAAACTTAGAGGCGTGCTGATCTTCCCACAAGGAGAATTACCTTTAGCTTCTGGTAGGGATTGGAGTGGGGATTAAGAACGGCTGGATTTCGGTCTTTTTAAGGCCTGATCTGCTTCCTGTTTGCTCTTATCCTAGGCTGTGGCCATTCCGAGACCCCAGGCCAAGGGCTGGGTTGTTGGCCAGGGCTCCCCCTTCACTCCCAGTGTTGCCCCCTGTAGCGGTGGGTCTGTCAAAAGCTCTGCCTGGCTTCTCAGCCCCTTAGCTGCTGCTTTCAGTTTGGCACTCACTGGTTAGAAATCAACAAGTGGCTTGGGCAGAGGGGCTGGGGTGGGGGAAGAAGGACAGAATATCAAATTTCTCTGAGCTTCCCTTCTCTCTAAGATACTGGTTTCTCAGTTCCCCTATCTGTTTTGGTAGTGCTGAAGTGATCTTCCCCTGACTTCCCCAGCTATCCTCACTCATAACCTGGCTTTATTTTTTGTGTATCTTTACATATCACGTTTTTAAATTGTCTGTCTTCCTTCCACCAACATGAGAACTGTAAACGTTTGTTTAGTGGAAGCAGGATTGTATTGAGCTGAGATTGAACCTGGCTAATCATCTACGCTAGCCCAGATGCTCTGGAGTTCTGGTTCTGACCCAGGTGGGCCAGGTACTAATTGTCCTGTGCTTTTCCATCTGTGAGGCCAAGAGGAGGGTCCCTGTCCTGACTATCTCCAGTGGTGTGGCAGTGGGATTAATTCTGGTAATCAAGGAGAGCATTGGTATGAAGGTGCTTGGGGAATGCCACAAAGGTACGTCAATGTCAGGAGCAGTACAGATTGTGGAGGAAGGGCTGCAGCTGGCTTGTGTTTCCCACTGTGTGGGGCTGTAGTGGGAGCACTGGACTGGGAGTCAGTGCTCTAGCCACGTGGCTCACTGGCCTTCTCCTAGCTACATAAAAAGAGAAAATGTGGGGCACATGGTGCTTTGTAATCTCAGGTGTCTGCAAATGCAAGGAGCATATTCCTCCCTCTTATCTTCATCTAATGGGAGAGAGGTGATAGTGATCATCCAGTGACACACCTGCAACTGCTATTGATCCCGATGATGACAAAATGGAAAGAGATTCATACTGATTACTCTCTTAATATTTACACATATTACCTCATTTAGTCCTTACAGGAAGTCTATAAGGAAGGGCTTGTCATCCTCATTGCTGGAAAATCTGAGGTTCCAGGAGTTTAGGCAATTGGCTCAAGGTCACATGGAGAGCAGATGGTAGAGTCTGGCCATAAACCAAGGTCAGGCTGACCCCAAAGCTTGTTCCCTTAAACCTGCAGCTGAGCTGGAACTATGGATAATGTTAGCTTCATAACTACCCTGTGGGAATTGAGGAAAGGGAGGCAAGCCACCAGAACCCAGAGGGAGCACCAATGGGCACATGGATGCTGAGCCCAGCCACGCGAGAGACTGGGAGCACTTAGGAGGAGGAGAAGAGGCAGTGTGGGCCAAGAAAGCTGTTTTCAAATATTTGAAAAGGTGGCATGGAGTGGAAGGCTTAGGCTTAACTCCCATTGATTCCTGTGGGTAAAATCAGCCCCTACAGTGAAAATAAGTAGTCATTTATTAAAATGCCAGCTATTATTACAATTAAGAAGTAGAGAGTTCCTCATCTCTGGAAGTATTCAAGGAGAAACTGGGGAAGCCCTTGTCTGAGTCACTGTGGAGGGACTTCTGGAATCAGATGAGGATGGATTAGATAGCAGCCAAGGACCCCCACCTCTGCCATCCTAGAAGCCTATGAAAGAGACCCCAATGAACCCCTGCAGTCCTTGGCCATAGCCTCTGCCTGGTGTACCCCCTTTGGGTAATTGCAGTATTTACTGAGGTGGGTGCTGGGCCTCTGTCCCTAGGTACCTGGTAGCAGGAGAATTGCTGCAACCTGAGGGCCTGGTAGCCAAGCCCTGCCCTGAATTTCATCAGGCATAGAAGAGGCTCGTGGGGAGAGGACCAGCCTCACCCACCATCCCACAGAGGAATGCAGGAGGGAGGTAGCTGGTGTGGGCATCATGGTCCCCTGATGCAACCCAGGGAAAGCAACACCTGGGCAGGGGCACCTGGTGATCTCTAGAGAGGGCCAGGGGCTCAGGACTGTGTCCCAGCTAGCAAACCCCTGAACCTAAGCCTGACCCTCCGCTGCTTCAAAACCTTCCCATAGCTTCCCATTGCCCAGCAGATCACAAACTGGATGGATCTTGTTTGGCCTGCAGTTTACAAACAATTTGAGCTAACAGTTACAAATAGAATGATTTCACATACGTTTCTGAATCCTGGTTTCTGGTTTCTAAAAGCAGGAGGTTGGAGCAGTCCTGGGCACTCACAGATTTGAGTAGTGAGGGCCTACCCCTTCCAGTGCACTCTGTGGTCACCATTTGGCTGTAGTCCCCACTTCTCCCTATCGCTTCCCTATAGCACTGCAGCCAAATGTGAGAGGCCACTGAACAGGACATCTATCCTCTATTTCACTCAAGTAGAGACCCGTGCTGCTAAGAGAAGTGAGGAATGAATGATATGCTGAGACAGCCTGATGTTTCAAGAAACAGCTGAGCAGGCACATTTCTCTGTGAAGTGAATTGCTGGTTTGGCGGCTTCTCTCATTCACGTGACTGAGCGGCCTGGACACATTCGTGTTTTTGACCCTTGGTCTGTGGACAAACTCCTGAGGACAAGCTTCTGTGAGCGGACCCCAATGCCCAGAAGCACATCTATGTGAACCTAGAGCAGGTGACCAATAGGGAGCCACACCCCTCTGTCCTTCCCAGACCCCAGGCTGCTCCTGTCCTCTCTCCCCATGCTGGGCTTCTCCACACTGCACCCAGGATAATGCTGTTGCCTGCATCCCTGCCCCAATCTCCACCTGCATGCACATCACCATCTCTCGAGGTGGGGCAGCTAGAGGGACCCCTTCCCATCTTCCTGCTCCCACACACTCTGCTGGTACCGTCTCAGGGTGTGTGGTACCAGCTATGTGAATTCAGTTTGTATTCTACTGTGAGCTGCTTGGGGGCTGAGTCCAGGCCTGATGTATCCCCTTCCCCCAGTGCTAGGCCCATCAGGGGATTAGGGCTGTATTGATTGAATTTCTAGGTATTGAGGACCCTCATGTTGAGGAAGCCTTTTAGGTTGAGAAACTAGGCTGTGCAGATTCGAGCCACCCCCAGTGGGCCTGGATGCCCAGCCCCTCCTGATTGCAGGAAAGCAGGAACTCACTTGTGCCCCTCCCCACATTCCCCAGCTCCTGGGTTGGGGTCACTGAGAGGACATCAACTTACATTCATATAAACAGGCGCGAGTAGGGCCTGTGACCATCTGAGCACCTCTGGCAGACAGCAGCCTTCATGTCTAGCCTGCTAAAGGGACATCAGCATCTTTTCTTAGTAAGAAGGGGTTTTTGTTATTTTTTTTAGAGAGAGGGTCTCAGTCTGTTACCCAGGCTGGAGTGCAGTGACCCCCTTATAGCTCACTGTAGCCTTCAACTCCTGGACTCAAGGGATCTTCTTGCCTCAGCTTCCCAAATAGCTGGGATTACAGGTGTGTGACACCTGGCAATTTTTTAAAACTTTTTTTTGTAGAGATGGAGTCTCACTGTGTTGTCCAGGCTGGTCTCCAACTACTGGCCTCAAGCAATCCTCCTGCCTTGGCTTCTCAAAGTGCTGGGATTACAGGTGTAAGCCACCATACCCAGCCAAGAAGTTTCATGAAAGAAAGCTATTGTAAACTTTTGCCTACAAGTGTCTCCCACAAAATGCATACCTGAGAAGCTATGACTCAGGGAAACCAACCCCAGTGTTGGAAAATACCGTCTCTTCCAGAAAGGCTTTCTGGACCCCCAGGCTTGGTCAGGAGCCGCTCCGAGTTTCCAAAGCCCCTCACCCTGTTGATGTGTCTCCTCTTTTGACTGTAGGCTCCCAAGGGCATTGTGTGCGACTTTTGTCCTTTACCCCGGAGGTGACCAATGCAATTGGCTGAATGGGTTGTTGAACTGGAGCACGGTTGTCCCCAACACTATTTGTGTTTTGAAAAATCAGGACTTGGGCCAGGCGCGGTGGCTCACGCCTGTAATCCCAGCACTTTGAGAGGCTGAGACGGGCGGATCATGAGGTCAGGAGTTCGAGACCAGCCTCACCAACATGGTGAAACCCTGTCTCATTTAAATACAAAAATTAGCTGGGCATGGTGGCGGGCACCTGCAATCCCAGTTACTCGGGAGGCTGAGGCAGGAAAATTGTTTGAACCTGGGAGGCGGAGGTTGCAGTGAACCCAGATCGTGCCATTGCACTCCAGCCTGGAGGACAGGGCGAGAATCCATCTCAAAAAAAAAAAAAAAGGAAAAAAAAAGAAAAGAAAAATCAGGACTTGGGAAGTCCTCATCTCCAGGTCCGCCTGTCCCTGGAATGTTCTATGCAGGCCAGGGGTTATGGTAGAAATAGCGTCTTGTTGGCCGGGCGTGGTGGCTCACACCTGTAATCCCAGCACTTTGGGAAGCCGAGGCTAGTGGATCACCTGAGGTCAGGAGTTCAAGACCAGCCTGACCAACATGGTGAAACCCAGTATCTACTAAAAATACAAAAATTAACTGGGCGTGGTGGTGGGCACTTGTAATCCCAGCTACTCAGGAGGCGGAGGCAGGAGAATCACTTGAACCCAGGAGGTGGAGGTTGCAGTGAGCCGAGATCGTGGCACTGCACTCCAGCCCGGGTGACAGAGCAAGACTCCGTCTCAAAAAAAAAAAAAAAAAAAAAAGAAAGAAAGAAATTAAAAGAAGAAAAGAAACAGTGTCTTGTTGATAACAAACAGTCACTGGATTCTCCAGGGCCCAGTTCTAAGGAGGCTGGGGTCTTGGTGTGAGATGCCTGTGCTGGTGCAGGAGACAGAAGCGTTTTGATGGCAGCTTTTCCTATCAAATGATGAAGGAGGGAGACATCGCTGTTGAGGGAGGGGAGGCAGGCAGCCCCAGCCTTCAGTGGCCTGCACTGGGGCTCTCAGAGAGCTTTAGTTAAAGGTGACGATGGAGTTCCAGGATGGCCTGGTTGAGCCTTAGCAACAAAATGAGACCGTCTTAGTAATAGCAAGCAAGGGAAAAGCCAGGGACCTCCACATGTCCTTAGGGAGCCTGCTAGCCAGTGGGAGGGATGGCGTTGACAAAATGAATTTCCGAGCAGTTATTGGAAAAATAAAACTGTTTCATGTTTATACCTCGAGGGTTTGAGGCTCCTGGATCAAATCCATTATATTTAAATATTTACATGTACAAATACGTGTATGTATATGCACAGATCTTCCTAGGAGGCTACAGAAGAAATGTAGCAATTGCCTCTATGGGAGTGGGGTGGGGACTAGGGACAGGGGTGGAGAGGAAAATGAAGTAGAGACAGAGGAAGGAGGGAAATCTACTTTTCACCGATTCTGTTGTACCTCTTGATTTTTTTTTTTTAAACGGTAGGCATGTGTCATTTTCAATTAAAATGGACAAAGGTTTTGAAAATTTGCTGGGCAGTACTGTGTCTGACCTCAAGCTGTCAGCTGCAGTTGGAGTGGATTTCCTCTTCTTAGGGTCCCTAGTGGAGAAGGGGGTACACTTTTATGAGTGACAGGCCTGCAGTGTGCTGGCTGTGCCAGGCTGGCCAGTTGGGAGGGTCTTGTGCCACTGGCTCTGACCCCTCACTGGGCACCCGCACAGCCCCAGGCTGCAACCAGCCCCTTTGCTGCCTTCTCCTGGTTGTCCCTCAACCATCCCCTGGGCTTGGCACAGAAAGTAGGGTTCAAGGGGTGCAGCTGTCACACTCCTGCCTAGAGCCAGGACCCCCCACCCCACACCCTGCCAATTACAGAATTACACCAGCCAGAGGGCTCTCACAGGGTAGCAGATCTATGCCCCACATTTCACAGATGGAGAAACTGAGGCTCAGGGAAGGATAGTGACTCCACAGCATCAGGGCTGGGACCCAGGACCCCTACCTTCAGCACCAGAGCTCTTTGCACCCCACCTGCTGCCCAACCTGGTTTTAGTTGAGATTCCAAGGGACAGTGGCAGGTAGAGAATGAAGTTTAAATGGGTCGCCTTGACTCCTGGGGGACCCCAGACTGTCTGCCTGCTTGTAGGGGCTACTTGCATGAAATAGCTGCCCCACACCTGGCTCTGCCCACCCCTTAGCTGGGCTGCTGCCCGCCTCCTGTATCCCTCCCTTCACCCCCCATCCTCATGAAGCTGTCCCTTTCCTCTTCTTCTCCCTTATAAATCCTTACCCCCAAATCATCTCTGCTAGGAAGGTCATGCTGAATGTGACCGCTCCAGGTCTTCTGGGTCCCCAGGGAAAGATGATGATCTGAGCCTGGGGGTCTGCATGCAGGTGGGTGCCATTGTGCCCTGCCTGCCCCACCTCCTCCGCCAGAGGACAGACATGGGTTTTCTCTTGTCTCGGTAACTTTCAGTCTCAGACCCAGCCCACAGGTGCTCCCCATTCCCAGGAGGACAGCTAGGTGATACAGCCACATAGAACCCAGAGCCACAGGTCCCAGAAAGTCAGGGCTGGCAGGGCCTATAGGCACCACATAGTCAGGCTGTGAAAACAAGTTCCAAGGCCAAATCTATCTGGGATGTCTGTGTTAATATGAGACCAGCTGCTTCCTGCAGGGCTTTTCAGAGCCTTTAACATGCTGATTGGGCAACATGACTGTCCAAGATGGGGCCAGAGGGTGCTCTCACCCCAAACTTAAGACACCGCAGAATCTACTCATGGAGCAGGCAATCCATGCTGGGAAATTCTCAGGCCAGACTCAACTCATAAAGGGAAAGACTTGAGGTCCACAGGGTGGAGGGGACCAGCTGAAATGGGACCCTTGCCAGTCTTCTTACAGCACGTCTGTGCACGTGAGAACAAGGCACCCTCTCCTCAATAGCAAGGTACTGCTTTTATTAGCACAAGACCCTTTACTGCCATCTGCTGGAAATATCTCAGCAAATACACAAATCTACAACATACATGGGAATGGAGCCACCCTCCCCTTTAGATATGGTACTCTTGCCCAGTGCGTTACCTGCCCAACCATGCCTGGCAGCCTGGGGCGGAGTCATATGATCCCAACCTGCCCATCACTCCCTTTCAGCCTGCACAATAGTCATATATCCTAGGTGAGGTTTCTGAACTGACCTCACAGCCTCAGCACCCTTGGGGATACCCCCTTCTGAACTCCTCAGAGACGGACAGGGATGCTGGGGCTTCATCTCTGTGTCATCCCTCTCAACCATTACCTAGCCCCTGGCAGACTCACATGACAAACTCCTGAACAGATCCGGATGCACAAGGACCGGGATCCAGATGGACCACAGGCTCCTCCTTGCTGTGTGACTCTAGGGAAGTCCTTACCCCTCTCTGAACCAGTTTTCCCTTCTATAAAATGAGGCAGTTGGGCTTGCTCATCTCCTGGGGGTCAGATAGCTCTGAACTGACAGTGACACCTCCACCTTCCATGGAATTTTGAGAAGAGCAACGGAGTCATTCCCAATTACCAACAGGAAGACAGCCAAATGCAACCCGGATTTTATTAGACTAGGAAATATAATTTATTTCATAAAAATTAATTTTGTTACAATAGGAATGCTAAAGGTTATTTATAGGTTGCAGTTTACAGAATAAACAGAGGTGGGATTGGGGGCCATCCCTGGGGCCCTGCACCCCCCTCTCCCGGGCATATAACCATGTCCACAGACCTGGCAGGGGTCCAGCCCTTTGCCCCACCAAGAGCTCCCTGCACCAAAGCTCCTGGTCACCTCCCCTAAGGGACCCGGCTCAGCTGCCTAGGAGCTGGGGAATAGGGACCAGAGTGCCCTGGAGGGTCCAGGAGATGAGAAGGATCCCCTGCACCCTCAGGAGAACCCCTACCCCTGAGCTCTGGAGCCGGGGGCACTGTGAGAGAAGGCAGAGGGAGAGGCACGTAGAAGATACATTGACTGACCCTGTGGGCTCAGGGAGGGCAGAAGACAGGCACACCAAACCCTAGACGTCCAAACCTGGGACGCAGAGGAGCACACACACACGCTCGCTCAGGTGGGGACACGTGCACATGCTCTCCGAGGGGCATCCTGATGTGCCCACAGAGAAAAGCATAGGCACGCACACGCGCACGCACACACGCACCCCAGAGAGGAGAGAGAGAGAAATACCTGCGTAAGGGCCCTGCAACCCCCAAGGGTACCTGAGCTGCTTCCCACCAGGTACATGCCCTCGGGGGCTACCTCTTGGGTCTGAATTGGAGGAGAAACCACCCATCCCACCCCGGAGGCAGGCAGCCTCCACAGACGGATGGAGTCGGCAAAGCCTTTCTGGGCATTTCTCATAGAGCTGATGGTTTGAACCCTCCCAGGAGGCTCCAGCCAATGGGTCTGTGCTCTAGGACATGGTGCACATTTCTGGAAGTCAGACTGGAAATGGCACCTGGGTGGCTGGCTGCACTTCATCCGTCAAGCTCCTGTCCTGGGGGCAGAGCAAGCAGCTTCTGAGGGTGGGGTGGGGAGGACAGAAAAGAACAGGGAGGAGGGGCACGGCAGATCACAAGGTCCCCTACAGAAGCCTAGAACAGTGTGTCTGAACCCAAAGAGCCTCAGACCGCAGACTTCTAGGTATGAAAAGGACACTGAAGCCCAGAGAAGGCAGTGATATGCCTGAAGTCGCACAGCAGTTTAATGGCAGATTTGCAAGTTGATTCTTGGTCTTTGGACTGCCAGGCTACATGTGGGCACATTAGAGCCTGCGAGGGGAATGGCACCCCCTGTCACGGCACGTGTGGTCTAGCCTGGTCAGACTGCCCTCAAAGCCACGTGACCGAGGCCCACACGTGTTCATGGGCTAACAGTGACCAGTGAGGCCGAGCCCATGGGATGGGCACTTTGGCAGGGAAGGCTCACTGCCTTTGTCTGAGGCAGCATCCACATGGAGGCACCAGGGTCGAAAGCCTTAGTCTCAGCCTCCGGGCCCAGCCAGAGCCTAGCCCCTGATGCAGGCCTGGCCCCTCAGCAGCCCTGGTAGAAGGAATCTTCTCTCAAATCTCCAGGCAAGTCCTCCTTTGCCCACAGCCAGGCCGCACCCCAGCGGGGCTGGTGGGTGGTAAGAAGCCCCACGAGCTACTGAGTCCATGGCAGGGAAGCCAGGCTGGGGACGCTGGCTGGAACTGCGGCCCTAAAACCTGCCCTCCTCTCAGGATATCAGACTTTCAAAGGCCAGGATGTGCTGAGACGGGTCCCAGTGGCTGCTCGGAGACCTGCTGGGGCATGCCCTAGGGTCACTGCCTGGAGGTGTTGGGGAAGCGGGCACCTGCCTTGCCTGGAGTGCCAAGAGGGAGAGGCCTTTGAAGAGGCCTCTGTGCTGGCTGCAAGATCCTTGTCCCAGCCACTGCCAGGCAGCTGCACAGGGCAGGGACTCATCCCGTGCCATGCAGGGCCCCTCGAACAGGTTGGGTGGGGGTGGTATGTGCTGTCCCCTCAACCCTGGCAACCCTGCCCACTGGGAAAGGTTATTTCAGATCTCTCAGACCGTAGCGGGGTGGGTGAGAGGAGGGTTATAGGAGGTGCCTGTGGAGATCAGAGCTGGGAAACCAGCTTCTCAGCCTCCTTCTCCACTCCTGGGCATATGAAGCACAGCCAGGCCACCCGCCTCCAAGGCTCCCACGTTGCAGAGCTGACTGACACCGGGAAGCTCAGGCTTCTGCAGCTAGAGAGGACTTCTCAGCCATCACTCTGCTTTACAGAAGGAGAAACCAAGGTTGGGGAAGGGCAGATTCTGGATTCCTGGCCATCAAGAGAGCACCACGCTGCTCTAGAGGCTGCTGGGCTGAGGAGGGGATGAGGGTGTCAGGGCTGGCCCCACCCTAGGGTAAAGCTATCCAGCCGCCAGGAGAGAGATGCCCGTGGAGGACTCCCCTCCCCTACTTCATCTCTCTGTTTGAGTCCCACTTCTGGGCCACATCCCTTTCTAGGAGCCACCAGACCAAAACCAGACTGGAACATTCTCCCTGGCTCACAACTGGCCTGAGCAGTCCTCCTCTTTCATCCCAACTTTCTTAATCCAGATTCCCAGGAGTCCAGATGTATCTCCCTGGGGCTGTGGGAGGGAGGGCCCACCCACTCCAGCCCTCAGCACTCCTTGGCTTTATGGATTCAGCATCTGCTTAAGATTTTAGAGGAAAATCTAACCAGCTAAATCTAGACAGTGAAAACCCTGTCTGACCTACTCCCTGCACAACTGGGGAAACTGAGGCCTTGTCAGAATTTAGTCCAAGATGGATTCGTTAGCAGCAAAGTACTCTCTGTTCAGTCTCTCTCTCCTCAATGCACACGCGTACATGTACACACACACACACACACACACACACACACACAGGCACATTCACTCCTGGCCAGAAGTGTGAGCGTGCCCATTCTCATCCACACTCAAGAAAAGAGTTTTCTATTTTTTTTGTGTTGTTTTTCATTTTCTTTTTTTTTCTTAAAAAGGACTTATCCAAATAATCTGGATAATAAATCGTTTGCGTTTCCTAAGAAACTGGGTTTTTCTTTTCCCTTGTGGTTTTGGTGTTTTTCTTCTTCTTTGAGCCTTACTAGCGGTCTGAAGCTTTCTTTCTTTCCTTTGCCTTTTTGCTTTTGGACAGGAGAAAGCAGTTTGTCTGAATTGTACTTGACTCTTCAAAGAGGAAAAGGGCGTGGAAGCAGAAGGGGGCTTAGGGAGAAAGGAGAAATCAATAACGGAGGAAGAAAACGAGAACGGAACTAAAACCCATGGAACCCAGAAGTTGCCGGGCTGAGGGTGGGGGGGTGGAGGGAGGGCCTCCTGCCTGCCCGCCCCCAACCAACTGCCTCCAGAGGCTTCAGCCCCATCTTGGTTCCTGCACAGAGATCTCAGGCCAAGAGAGAGAGAGCGGGGGTGGAGAAGGAACTCTGGGCCCTCTAACAACAGAGTACATGGATTTTCTAAGGCTGGTCATGGTCTGGGGGTTGGGGAAGAGGAGGAGGAGAGGCAACTCTGGCTGTGAACTGGGAGGAAGCAGAGGCCAAACATCCCCATCAGGAGGCTGCCCCAGGCCTCCCTGCACCTGCCTCCTGCCAGTCCCTGCCAGCCCGCTGTCCCAGGAGGCTCAGCAGTCCCCGTCGGTGGCCACAGCCACCAGCATCTCACTCTTGCCCATCTCCTCCAAGGCACTCGCCAGGCTGTTGAGGTCCCCATCGTCCTGCTGCAGAGCTTCCCAGAGGTCCAGGATCACACCCGTGGGGCTCGCTTTGGTGGCAAAGTAATTCAGGTACCTGGCAGAGGGAAGGAGGGCACTGAGGTTCCCAAGCACTTAGCCCCTCCCCGGAGCCTGGAGGTGAAGGGGCACAAGGGGAAGTGGGAAGGCTGTGAGCTTTGGTGTCCCACTGTCCTGGGTCTGAATTGCAGCTACTGTGCTGCAGTCTGTGTGGCTCTCGGCAATTCAGAACCTATGGCTCAGAATCTCAGTCTCCTTGTCTCTAAAATGGGAACAATGCCAGTTACCGCTCAGCAAGATCCAAGATCATATAAAGTAAGGGTCTAGCGTTGTCTCTAGCATGTAACCATCTTGTTCATCATCATCATTATTATCATTGAAAGACACTGGCCCCAAGAGAGAATGACCACGTCTAGCATGTGGTCATTCCTCCCACCCGTGTTCCCTCCTGCTCCCATGAACTCCCCTGATAGGAGGAATAAAGCCTTAGCCATCTTTGTAAGTCCTATTCATTTCTAGTAAAATGTCTTATCTAAAGCATATTTTATTTATTTATTTTTTGAGACTCAATGCAGGTTTATTACACATCTTTCAATAAGTATAATATTTATTATCATTGGCCTTATATTTATCCAGCACTTATCCAGCATTTGAGGTTCTCCAAAGGAGTTTTGACACCAAAGTGTATCTTGGTCAGTCAGCAAGCATCTCGCAGCACATTCTCTGTCCTAGATACCAGGTGCTGACAATGATGGCACCAAGCTGATGCCCTGGCTTTGAGTCTCCTGCTGTTCGGTGAGATGGGCAGGTGGAGCATTATCCCCACACAATGGGAAAAGAGCAGGGTCTGAGAGTCTGCCTGGCTCAAGGACCAGTGCTCTGAGCATGATGCTCCTCAAGGGAGCAGTATTCTTGAACTTTGCATATCCAATCCTGAGTTGCTGATTTGCCACAAATGGTGGCAAAAGGGCAGCTGGTCTGGGAGATGGTCGTGGCTGTCAGGCTGCCTGCCCTGCCTGCCCCTGTGAGACCTTGAGGACGAAGGCAGATGGGGATGGGCTGTGGTTTGGGATACTCACCGGTCCATAGAGAGCTTCTGTGCTAACATCCGCCAGTCATTGCCCCGTGAGTTGGGGGCATCTAGGCTGTTGCATATCTTCTGGCGGATGGACAGTGGGATCTTGAAGGCATAAGGTCCCAGCTGGGTGGTGACAGTGCTGCCAGGGGCAGAGCAGAGAGTGTCCAGGGAGCCAGCAGGTGTCTGCAAGGGTGGGGGCCAAGAGTGAGAGGGGCACAGTGCTGGGCATCTGCCCTCCAGCCTCCCTCCCCTTGGACTGTGAGCTCATTGAGCCTTGAGTCACTCCCACCTCCTCTGGACAGACTCCCACTGTTCAGGCAGGGGCTTCTCCCTTGAAGGGTCGGTTCCCAAGGGCAAGGCCTGCATGGCCACCCTTCAGGCCTCAGGGGGTGCACCATGCTTACCTAAGGCCCCAGGCAAATGCAGATGCAGCCTCATGGTTAGGAAGCCCCAAGGAGGCCCAGCCACAGTCTAATCCACATGCACCCTCTTGTACAGGTGGAAAGTGAAGTCTAGAAAAGGGGAGTGGCTTGCTCATGGCCACATGCCAAGTTAGTGGCAGACCTGGGTCCAGACCTGTATCCAGTGCTCTTTACAATGCCCCAAGAGGAGGATCTAGTGTTGTCACCCTGGGTGGCCTGGGTTTTTAAATCTCAATCCGGATTTTTAACGGTTGAGAACCACAGGCCTGGTCCTTGCATCAACCTGGGTTCGAATCCAGTCTTGCCACTGGTGTACTGTGTGCAAATCCTTGCCCTTCCTAAAACCTACTTTCTCACCTCCCAGGTGGGGATGATATCTGTCATGCATCTCCCGGTGCTTGTGAGATCATGTAAGTTTTTTGGTATATGCCAAGCATGTGAATGGCACTCAATCAATAAATGACACTTGTTAGAAAAACATGACCAGATACCCGCTCAGACTTGGGAGGTGAGAGGGAACTACAGGGTTCTGTGTGCTGCAGCCCAGCCCCAAACCCTAGAGGTATCCTCTGGCCCTCACCTCCACCAGCGTGGTGTGCAGCTGGAATATCTGGCGGCCCTTCCCTCACCTATGCCACAGTGCTGTGCAGCCGGAATATCTGGCCGCCCTTCCCTCACCTCCACCAGAGTGGTGTGCAGCCGGAATATCTGGCCGCCCTTCCCTCACCTCCGCCAGCGTGGTGTGCAGCTGGAATATCTGCCCCACCCTTCCCTCACCTCCGCCAGCGTGGTGTGCAGCTGGAATATCTGCCCCACCCTTCCCTCACCTCCGCCAGCGTGGTGTGCAGCTGGAATATCTGCCCCACCCTTCCCTCACCTCCGCCAGTGTGGTGTGCAGCTGGAATATGTGGCCCCGACTTCCCTCACCTCTGCCAGAGTGGTATGCAGCTGGAATATCTGGCCCTCCCCTTCCACTTGCCGCACGCAGATCTTGCAGGTGAGCTCTGTGGAGGCCAAGCTGTGCCTCTCCAGGGTGAAAGTGCAGTGGAGGGCCTTCTGGCTGCCACTCCAAATGTGATAGAAGGGGATCTCCTGCAGGAGGAGGGGGTCAGGACCAGGCAGGCAAGGCCAGCCTGCCCTGTCCTCATAGAAATGGAGGCTCAGGGAGGGTTGGGAGCTTTGGGGGGCAGTTCAGGCCTCTCCACCCAGATAGGGAGGGGTCAAGTGCCCTAAGCTAGCCAGCTGAGTTGGTGTCAGGCCCTCAGTTCCAGAAGGGAGCTGAGGGTGGGTAGGTGGGGGAGGGAAAGGCACAGGTGTGTGTGTGTCAGGGGCTAGGGGGCCTTGTGGTCTCAGGCGCTGCTGGGTGGGCAGCGGGCTGTGGCTGTCAGAGATGAGATGGGCAGTCTGCCAGGAGGGCATGCCCTGAAGGGTGAGGAGCCTCTGTGAGGATGAAGGGCATAGTCGTCTGTGCGTGTGAGGGTGTGACAGGGCAGAAGTGTGCATGTGGCTGCCCATTGCCCTGAATTTGGGGACGTGCCTGGGGATGGCTGAAAGCCTAGAGACTGGGGTGGGAGGAGACAGAGACAGTGAGAGATCCAGGGAGGGGTAAGGCCACAGGACAGAGCTAGGAGGCAGGGCCCGGGAGGGAGCTGGGCTTCCCGGGCAGCCCTTAAGTGGTGCCCCTCCCCATCCATCAGCCCAGCCCTCACCTGGTATTTGGCCAGCAGCTTGCTCCTCCAATGGGCATGGGGGAGGTCATGGAGGGAGAGGCGCAGGTTGTGGTAACTGTCCTTGAACATTAGCGGTTTCGGCTCCTCCACCAAGTATCCGCCCAGAGTCCGCTCCAGCTCCAGCACCTCCTGTGGGCCAGGGGCATGGGGAAGGGGAACCCATCACACCTGGCCAATGGGCCTCTTCTGTGGCACTGTGCGGGGCAGGGGGCAGGGGCCCATCTGAGTGCATGGCTGGGCATTTGCAAGAGCTCACAGAGGGCTTATGGTGTGAGAAGATGAATAGATGACGGATGGATAGACAGACAGTGGGAAAGATGACTAGATGAATGAATCTATAGATGACCGTATGGCTAGAGGGACTAATAAATGGACAGATGGATGGATAAACGGATTGATGGCTAGAAAGACAGACAGATGAATATACAGATGGATATACAAGGATGGGTATATGAATAGAAAGATGGAAGAAAAGATAAATGAATGGATAGACGAGCAATGACTGGGTAAACAGATGGGCTGCTGACTGAATGGGTATATGGTCAGATGAACAGAAAGACAGATGGATGGATGAACAGATGGACAGATGGATGGATGGAGGGTTGAATAAACAAAGAATGCCATCAGGCCCAAACCTGGTAACTTCTCTCTTGATTTCTATACCACTCTCTGGCCAAAGCTGGCCATTAGCCAACGCCCCAGGACCAAGAGATCCAGCTGCAGGAGCACTTCCCAGGCACCTTGCACCCATCACAGGGCCACTGGCATCTCAAGCCAGGGTCCTCCCAGCAGGGGACACTCCTTCTCCCATGGGCCTTTCACCTATGTTGTCTGCAGTGTGGGCTTTGGGACAAGTCCCATGAGCCTGGGAGATGAAGGAGCTGGACGGGGCCAGGGAGCAGGAACAGAAAGTGCATGGAGCCATGGGAAAGGACCATGAGGCGCTGAGGAGGGCAGATGGGAGGAGGGAGGGGAAGGGGCTCACACACGGCCAAGTGTCTGTATGCTTCCAGGGTTACATCAGGATGAGCCTGAGCTCCTGAGAATGGGAGGAGAACTTGGGGGAATGCACAAGGGCTCTGAGGCTGGCAGGGGACAGTGGTGCTAACACGGGGCTCCATACCTGCCATCATCAGGCTCTAGGTACTAAAAGACCCTTCCCTCCCCTTCCCTCCCTCCTGTCCCAACCACCCCTCATCTGCATGACCCTTCCTTCACTTGGGGCACCGCTCTCCATCCTTCTGCATATGCTAGGAGCCTGGCTGTCAGCCTTAACTTCCCTCTCCCACTGCCCATCCCATCAGTCACCGGTTCTGTCCATTTGACTGAGCACACGCAGCATCCAGCCCCGCCTCTCCTGGCTGCTGTCACTCCCTGTGGCCCAGGGTCCAACCCCAGCTTCCCAACAGGCCTCTCCACCTCTCATCTACCCACCCAAGTATAGCCACAGGGGCTTTCTAAAGAGCACCTGTGAACAGGTGTCTACCAGGTCCATTCCCCTTCCTGCCGGATGGATTCCAAATTCCTTGGCAAGGGGCCCTGAGGCTTCTGGGAAGCTGAGCCCTGCCCATCTCGCCCGCCCTCACATTCACACATTCCCTATGCCTTTTAGTTGGTCATGCTGAAACGCTTATGAAACGCAGTCATTTCTGTCGGTCTGGAATGCCCTTCACTCCTTTCTGCTGAAACTCCTACATGTCAGCCTTCTCAGAGTCCCTCCCTACCAGCCCAAGCCCCTCCCAGTCTGATGCTCCCTCAGTCCTGGGGCAGACCCCATCAGAGCCTTCAGGGATCCCTGGTCTGCCTCCCACCTCTAACCTGGATCTTGGTGAGGCAGGCCCTGTGCCCAAGGCTGTTTCAGTGTGTGAGGGTCGCAAGCGGGACCTAATAATGCTGGTGGCGGGGAGGGGTTCCTGGGAGGACCCATGAGCCTGGGGTGGGGGATTCTGGCAGGGATCATGCAGCTGGCCGGCCAGGGCTGTGTGGGCACCTGCAGCTGGCCCTACCTTCAGTGCTACAGGCGTGTCCTCCAGGCAGTAGACCCGGAGGCTGTACTCCAGGGAGGTGCAGAGGGCGGGGGCGAAGACGGCCAGCTGGAGCCGCTTGACTGCTGAGCGGGAATAGGACTCGCCCGTGAACACGTAGGTGCCCAGCTGGTCCAGCAGGATGTGACAGGCCCTGGGCTCCAGCTGGCAGTAGCAGGGTGTGTTCAGGGTCTCCTCATCCAGGGTCACCACCTCCTGTAGGGGACAGCAAGGGTGGGGTAGTGGTCACAGTTATTCAGGCTGGGCCAGAGGAAAAGGGCTTTCTTTTGCCTCCCTGGGCAGGTTGGGAGAGCTGGGCCAGCCTTCACCGTGGCTCCTCACCTCCCAGTGGCCCTGGTGGGCCTGGGTCTTGAGCTGAAAGATCCAGTCACGGGCACTGACTTCGGCACAGTGGGGCATGGTGAGGATGACGGGGCGGCACAGCAGGAGGCCTGTGGGTCCACAGGTCACCGAGGGGCTCAATACTGTCTGGGTCCCTTCTGAAAGCGGGCTGGAGGAGGACACAGGGTAGGAGAGAGGCAGTGAAGAGCTCGGCAAAGGTGCAGGCTCCTGCTGGGCTCCCAAGTCTGCCCAGGGCCCGGGAGGTGGAGGGCAGCTCTTTGCCACTCAGGGCTCTGCATTCCCAGAGGTCATGGGGGCAAAGGAGGCAAAGAAAATGGCATGAACCTTGAGGTTGTTTCCAGATTTTTGCTATTCCACTGCAACATTATCATAGCTCAAAATTCCTGGCTTATATTTTCCAAGGTTGTGTAATCTTGGAAGGTTTTCAATAGGTCACGCTAAAGTGCCCTCCAGGGAGCTGGTTCCAATCTATACTCCCGGCCACGTGCCACAGAAGGCCATGTTCCCACCCCCTTGCCAGCAAGAGGGTATTATCATTTGGGAAAAGGTCCTTGCAAATTCCTTAATAATAATAATTTAAAAATCCCAGTATACCTTGTGGTGGTTTTCATTAGTTTTCTCTGCAAATTAGACTAAACATTTTCTCATAACCTACTGGCCAGTGTGTTTGTGTGAGACAGTGTGTGTGAATCACGTGTTCATATCCTTTGCCCATTTTCACAGTGAGATGTTTACTTTTTCTTATTGATCTACAAAATCTCTTTACATAGTAAGGATATTCAGCCCTTTGTCACACTTGTAGCCAGCTTGTCAACCGCCTTTGAGTTTTACAATTTACGGTGTTGGTTCTGCAAGTTTTCAATATGGACACAGTAAGATTAATACTTTCCTTGGAGGACTGTTTGGTCTTGGCATCAGGCTTAGAAGGGGAGCCACGTGTGGGCAGGCAGCAAGGGATGGGAGGAAGAAAAAGGAGCAGCGGCTGGGGCTCTACTCACAGGGTACTTTCTGCCTTGTTGATGAGTAGATACATCTCGTAGAACTTGCCCTGGGGAATGGCTCCATTGGGCACCAGCAAGCTGACCCCTAGGGGGAGAGGGAAGTCAGCAGGGAGTCCAGGAGCTTAGGAGAACAAGTGTTTGGGAAGTTGGCCCCAGCTTGGGGCTGGGAGAGAAAGATATCTCCTGAGCTCCAGGTAGTCCCCAGCCAGGGGTGGGAGACAGGGTCTGGGGACTGGATGCAAGCAGAGGCCAGGCCACTGACCAGTGCTGGCTTGTCTAGGAAGACAGGGGTCTCTGACATTGCTATGGTGTCTGGAGGTCCAAGTGCCAGCTCTACTCCTAGCTTAGTATATGATGCTGGGAAGCTGTTAATTGCTGGCTTTGCAAACTAAAACAGGCGCCCCTGTCCCTCTGCTGCTAGTTCCAGGACAGTGCTTTGTAGGTCTGCTGAACTACGTTGGAATATTCTCTCTCACACAACAGAGACACTGAAGCTTAGAAGATGGCTGGCCCAAGGTTCCTCTGCCCTAGTGAGGGCATAGGCAGGCTTGAAGCCTAGCTTTTCTAGTCAGACCTCTCTATTTTATACTCACTTCCTGCCTTCAGGCCTCCCTTTCCCCATCTGTGAGATGGGATTAGGGCAGCCCTATCTTCTGCTGGATGGGTGTTGGGGCAGTCCACAGAGGAGGTGCTAAGGCCAGGCTGACGCACAAGCAGGGCAGGGGCTCACCTGTGCCGGGGATGCTGAGCCTCCCACCCAGGCAGCCAAAGGTGCCGCTGACGCTGCTCCCTGGGTCTCGGGGCAGGCCCAAGAGCTGCTGGGAACCGAGGCTGGCGCTGCGCAGGTGCAGGAAGTGGGTGTCCCGGGCGAAATCGCTAGGGTATGTGCCAGGCGGCAAGACCCCCAGCAGGTCAGCCCCATCTGCCAGGCCTGGCCCAGAGCCCGTGGTGCTGGAGCTGTAGACCTTGACCTTAAGGCTGGGTAAGGGGTCCAGCAGAGGAGAGTTGGTCATGGGGATTTTGTCGGTGGAGTCCTGCAGGGCATACACGGGTCCGCGGTAGATGCCGGCGCTGGCTGTCAGGTCAGGAGGCACAGAGGGGTGTAGGAGCTGCGGGTTGCCTGCAGGAGTAGGGGCTATAGTCAGACCCAGCTGTGCCTCAGCTCACTGGCCCAGCTCCCACTGCAAAATCCCACCCAAATGTCCAGCTGTGAAAGGCCCAATTGCTGCCAGCTGCAGGAAGCTTTGGGAATCCCGCAGCCTGGGTCACTCCCTTCCTTCTCGGTAGTTCTCTAATCCATACCCATCCACATAGTTATCTCTAGAGCAAACTCTGGAAAAACCCTGGGAGGGAGTCAGGAGCCTGGCTCTGGTCTGGGTACCACCAGAGCCCTCTGGGTATCCTGCCTCTGCCAACCACCCCAGACATCCTCGGGTTCTTACTGGGCCTTGCCGTCTTAAAGTTGACGGGGTGGAAACCACCAGTCAGGGCAGCAGATGAGTCAGTGATGTCTGTGTCGAAGTCACGGCAGTTGCGGCGGTACACCACCACCCCCACCGCCATGAGGATTGCCACGACCACGAAGATGGCCACCACGAGCCCCGCATACAGCGCCGCATCCCCTGAGGCCTCCAGCACTGCGGGGACAGGAGGACCACATAAGGGGCAGCAGAGACCAGGCCCTGGGGCAATCAGGGAGGCCCTGGGTCCCTGGAAAGGGCAGGGCCCAGGGCCAACCGGCCCGGTGCTGAGTTCCAGTCTGAGCCCTGCCTACACAGGCTGGCAACCTCGGGCTAGCCTTGAACCTCTCTATCGGTAAAATGGGCTCGAAGTCCCTGCCTTACTGCCCTCCTAGTTGTGGCATGAGAAACAAAAGAACAAACATGTTCATGCCATGTGTTAATTCATTGCTTGCTGCTGATGAGACAGGGTCTGTGGCTCAGAGTCACTGGGGCTACATAATTTGCCCTGTGAGTGCTGGGGCTGAAACCTCTGAGTCTGTAGCAATTTCCAGAGGACCAAAGGTCCTGGCTCTGTTATCTTTGTATGTAGATAAGGTCTTCTGGCTCTGTTATCTTTGTAAGTAGCTGTTCTGAACTCTTCTTCCATTCCATGCTCTGAGGGTGGGAAGTGGAGGGACGGGGAGCTGAAGAAGTGGAATGAGATGCACAACAATGCGGTGGAGAAGAGGTGAGCATGTGGGAAGAAGGATGGGCCCAGGGAGGCAACCCACGGCTACACTTTCCTCCCCCAGGCAAACATGGCCAGGCGGGAAGCCTCAAGGTCAAAGTGGCAGGGTCTGAAGTAGGGTTGTCTGGTGGAGCTTTCTACAGTGGTAGAAAATCCTATGGCTGCACTGTCCCGTATGCAGCCACTAGTCACATATGGCTCCTGAACAACTCAAATGTAGCCAGTACCGCTGAGGAACTGAATTTAAAAATTTATTTAATTTTAATTAAGCTAAGTATAAGTTTGAACGGCTTTCACACTGGGCAGTTCAGGGAGAGCAAAAATGGCGGCCAAGATGGCTGCTCTTCCCCTTGCTTCCTTTGGGAGCTCCAGGAAGCACCTGTCCACGCACTTCCTCCCTGGGGGGCCCTCAGAGAAGTAGCCCTGCTTCCTCTGCCTGGAGTCCTCCACACCCTGCACTTGGCGTCAGCCTAAGGCTTTCAGCAAGGCAGGGCATGGCTCCCAGCCCCGGATGTCTGCCCACTTCCGACTTCTGTCCCCCTGTATCTCTCCTCAGCAGCCCTCACTCTTGGGCTCCCCAGAGGACCCCTCAGGGCTGGGCTCCTGGTTCAGCAGAGAAATGGTTCCCCCAGCTTGGCTCTGCCTCCTAATGCCTTCACTGACACTGGGGCCACTTGCCTGGTGACTTACACTTGAATCATCCCCAGCCCGACCCCCAGTGAGCTCGGCCGAGGGCCTCACTGATTTTATGATTCCAGAACTAACTGGAAATTGTGGTTTAATTACCATGGGCCAACCTGCTCAAGTGGCTTTGCTGCTCTGATATGATTGCAGTGGTGGCGCAGCCTCTGGGGCTGGAGGGTGAGCCCTCCAGAGCTGACGCAGGGCAGCGGGCAACAGAGACAATTTGGGAGGCTTGGCCCAGCTGCTGGGGCAGAGAGGTACAGCAAGGGGCATGAGGGGGGACTGGAGTGGTGATGTCCCGGCCTTGGCCCAGAGAGGAGGGCCAAGGGCATATGGTTAAGAACAACAGCTTTGGCTATAAAAATATTTGGGTTCAAATCTTGGCTCTACTATTTCTTGCCTGTGTCTCTGGCCAAGTCCCTTCCTCTCTCTGTGACTCAGTTTCCCCTCTTATGAGAGGAGGCTCAGTAGGGTGCCCTAAGGCCTTTCTTTTCTGTCAGCCAAGGGTTTGCCTGTCTGCCGGTGATGGAGATGCAGACACATGCAGTGTCAGGTGTAGATGATCCCGTGGGGGGTGGGTAGGCACCTTCAGCTCTCCCTGCCCTGCACCCTGATCCCGGGAAAAGCCAGCCAAAGAGAACCAGGGATCCCCCAGAGGAAAGAGGACAGCCATGAAATGGGACTTACGGTGGCTGTTGGGGTCGCTTAGAGTTTTCTTATCTGTCAAGGGAAATAAAGGGAAAGACAATGACATAGGTGACAGGGAAAGGGTGGCAGAGAAGGCAATGGGAAGGATGAGATGAGATGATGGATGTGGTGGGGGGACAGAGGCCCTGAGGACTGCCGTGCTGCAGGCTGGGCACTGAGGCATGGGGCCGGGTTTGGGGGACCCTTACATGGCTCCAGAGTCCCCACCCCCAGGGCCCCACCTTCCCTGTGACTCACTTTGCATGCACAGCCCATCTGTGCAGTTCTTAGAGTCGAGCAGCGTCCCGCTGCAGTCACGGCCTCCGTTCTGGGGTGGGGGCGCCATGCACTCGCGGCTACGCCAGTGGGCACACTCAGTGCTGCAGGCTGACCACTTGCTCCACTCCGTCCACGCCCCATCGACTGTAAGAGCATGGCATACAGGAGCATGTGCACGCAGAGACATGTGCACACATAGTTATGTGTGCAGAACAGAGCAATGTGCCAACACACATGCATGCATACACACCATGGAAGGAAATGAGGAACCCAGAACACATGTGTGCCACACAGAGAAATCCACATGATATCCACATAACCCCATGCCAATGAACAGCCAGATGCACCTGGCAGGTGGACAAAGAGGGTACAGATAGATGTATAAGGTCATCAACACGATATAGCCCAGTGCACGATTTACACACACAGACACAAACCCAGGGTAAAGAAAAACAGCGTAGGCACAAACATACAACCCAAGGGAGAGAACACAGCACATGTGCGGGGGTAGGGGAGCAGAGGGGCTGCACAGAGGATGAGAGGAATAGGAGGACTGTCAGTATGAATAGGGTCTGTGGCCACGGTGTGTCTTAACAGTCAGGAGCAACAGGCTGTCCCTGAGGCCGGGGAGCTCTGAAACCTTGGCCTGGGGCTGACATGCTGACACTGAGAACCCTCAGCTTGGAGGGCAGAAGAGCCCAGGCTAGAGGGTCAGGGAGAAGGGGCTAACCCTCAAAGCCTCTGCCTCCATCTCACCAGCAGCCCAGGGCAGAATAAGGGGTCAGAGATCAGAGCATCTAGTCAGCCTGGGCAGCCGGCTGTGGGCTCGGGACAAGCACCTTCTGCTCCCCATGCTGGGGAGAGAATGGCTGTCCCGGCTCTGGCACACAAAACAGAAGGTGGGACAGGGTTCGGGGTGGGGCTGGACATGGACAAGGCTCCTTACCTGGGCAGATGGTGGTGCAGGCGGTCTTCTGGAATGCCTGGCCCTCGCAGAAGGCCCCTCCGTTGAGTGGAGCGGGGTTGGTGCAGGTCCGGGTGCGCTTCTGCCAGCCTCGGCCACAGCGGTTGGAGCAGGGTGACCACTCTGCCCAGCTGGACCAGCCGCCATTCACTGCAAGGCGGCAGCTGTCAACTGGATGGCTTGGCTCTGGAACCCTCTGCCCTCCCCCAAACCCGTCCCTCACCCTGACGAGGCCCCTCTGCTGAAGCCTGGCCTTCCTAGTGAGACCCCTTTTGCCTACAGTGTAGGGACTCAGAACTGGCAGATAGAGCTGGGCTGTAACCGTCAGCACCAGAGGGGATCCGGGAAGTCACTGTCTATGCCCCACCTCATTGTAAGACGGCAAAGAAGGTCCAGAAAGGGCTGCCACTTCCCCAGGGTCACCCTGGGAGTGATGGGGGCCTGGGACTGCCTGCAGCTGGAACCTAGCACAAGGTTCTTTCTAAAACTCTGTCAAGTCACCTCAGCTGTGGCTCCACTCCTCCCACCCATAGGGCCCAAGGGGGCAGCAGAGAATAGCTCACAAGCCTGGGCAATGGTCCTTAACTCTACCAGGACAACAGCCTTCTGGACATACTGACTGGGCCCTGCCTCAGCCCCCAGACTTGGAGAACTCCTTCAGAGTTAGGCAAGGCATCTTGAGAACTGGGGAGTGTTCCTGGCTGGGAACCCAGGAATGCCCAACTTGGCCATGAATTCTGCTGTGTTGTGATCTTGGTCAATTCACTTCCCCTCTCTGGGCTGCATCCTCCCTACCAATCCAGGGGTCCCCCCTACCCCCAGGCTCTCTCCTCCCTCCCTTGGCCGTGTCTGCCCCTCCCACTCCGAAAGGCCCGCACCGTAGACGATGACGGTGGCAGTGGTGCTCCGGCGTTTGGCCACGATGTTCTTGGCCACGCAGGTATAGTTGGCAGTGTCCGACAGGCGGGCCTGGCGGATGATGAGGTTGTGGTCGATGGTGAGCAGGAAGTTGGTGTCCTGGGTGGGGTCGATGACATCCTCATTCTTGAGCCATTCCACCTGCAAGAGTGGGGGTGAGGGGGCAGTGAGGGCCCAGGACAGGTTTGATCATAAACAGAAGAAGGGCAGTTCTACCTGGGTCCACGCCATAGTCGTGGCAGTGAGGCAGGGCCTTGGTGGGACTATAGCACTGGACACTGTACAGCTCTGGGGTTAAGAGCACCATTTGCCAGCTGGGTGGTCTTGGGAGGGGACTTACCACTCAGGGACTCAATTTCATCAACTGCAAGATGGAATTGAATAGCACCTACCCCATAGGGATCCATCGCGAGGATTACATGAGTTAGCATGTGTAAGGTGCCGAGAACAATGCTCAGAGGAAGTTGAGTTAAACTAACTAAATAGGTGCTAGCCAGGAGTATCTGTCTTCATCATTAACTCCTCCCAGCTCTGCTAGCCAGGAAGAAAAGCCTGGGAGGTGATACGAAGAAGGTCCCCGGGTCTGGCAGACCTGGGTCCAAACCCCAGCTCTGCCACTCACCAGCTGCCTCACCCTAGGTGGCCACTGGGCCCCTCCCAGCCCTGCTTCCTTGCTGTGGGATGGAATGGTAACATCCACTTTGCAGGGTTGTTGCAGAGACCAGCGTGCTAAGTGCCTAGCATATATGGGCCAGGGGTATTTGTCTGAGCCCACTACGCAGAGGAGGGTTTGGGCTGGGAGAGGCTGAATGATGAGTGCATGGTTTTGGGATCAGAGAGGGCTGATCCCAGGCTGGAAGTCAGGGTCCTGACTGCCCCAGCCGTCCACTCTGCTGGGCAAAGCTGAGATGCAGCTCTAATCCCTGGACCACCAGTGCAGGGAGTATGTCTGGAACATAGGTAAGGATGGCGAGAGAGGACAGCAATCCAAAGACTGTGGTTTCAGGAAGGGGTGATCAGCTCGTGGGGGAGAACACACTCACACACACGCATGATGGGATCCTTTCGCATCCAGAAAGCTGGGGCCTTGGGTTCTGGGTGGGGCAGGAGATAGAGACTGAGCTGGAGGTCTACCTAAGGAGCCCCTGAGTTCTGGGGATTTCTGCCTTAGCCACCCCATCCCGTGGGGTTATGCCTGTGGCAGACCCAGCTGGGATCTGGCATTGCTGCGTTCGACAGAGGTAACAGTTCTCTTCTCTGTGCTAAGCCTCGATCTCATCTGCGAAAGGGGCAGGGCTCTGGGAGACTAGCACCATGGCTGGTGGTAAATACCATGCCTGCCTGGCTTCTGCAGGCATGGCCACAGGGCCGTGCTCAGTGGTCCCTACGTCCCCGCTCACCTCGGCCACAGGCACCCCCTCCGGCGGGCGGCACTGCAGGAGAACCTCATGGTCCAGGGGCACCTCCTTGCCCAGAGGCTCCTGATCGAAGTTCTTGCGCAGGTCTGGGAGAAGCGAGAGGGTCCCAAGGCAGTCAGGTGCGGGCAGGATCAGAACCTGATGTGCTACACTGTAGCCACTGGGTGGCAGTGCAGACCCAGGGTACTGTTGATGGGCCCACCTGGCCTTTGCCTGGGAAATTTCCTCTTCTCCAAAGGAGGGGTCTCACTAGGCAGACTTGGGGGAACAGGGTTCCCTCCCTGACTCTGGGATCCTAAGCATATAGTGGCTCAGGATGGGGGAGGAAGCTGCCAGCTTCTTTTATACAGAAGTAGATGAAAAGAGGCCTAGGTTCTGGGTCTAGGAGCCCTCTCTGAGCTGGCATCCATGTGCTGGGATGTCTCTGCCGTGGGCATCCTCAGCCAGGGATGCTGGAGGAGGCCCCACAGATGTGAAGTTCCCTCTCCAGCATCCTCAGGGATGGGGAAGGTTCCTGCAGGGACAGGGTGGGGGTCAGGGTGGCGTACAGGCGATGCGGACGTAGGCTCGGCGACTCTTGGTGGTGCCCGCGGAGCTCCAGGCCACGCACTGGCACCAGTAATCCTCCAGCCCAAAGAGCTCCTCCACCTGCTGCCGCGACACCTCGATCTGCACCTCGCGCACCCGCAGGCCTGGGAGGAGAAGAGAGAGCCGTCAGGGGGCAGGGGCAAAGCAAGGATGTGAGGCACAGGACACCCCCGGCCTTCCACCTCGGATCCTGCTGGCACTCTTGCCCAAGTGCCTTTCCCTCCATTCCTCTTGTCTCCTGTCTCCACCCTGGCTCAAGCTTCATGGCCACTCACCTGCACATTGCAGTGGCTAACACAAGCCCTCTGCCCCACCAATGCATCTTCTACCTGGCAGCTAGTGTCATCTCCAAAATGCACAAGTGGTGTGTCATTCCCCCCGTTATGAGACCCTTCATGCGGGGTCTCAGTGGCCTGCAGGCGGGTAGGGTCATCCCCAGGAGTGGCTCTGAGCTGCACTGTGCATCCACCATCCCCATCCCACTGCAGCCTCACCGGGTGTCTTCCAGGCCCTCATGTTCCCTGGCTCTGCAGCCACGGGGCCCTTGCACATCAGTCCCCTGCCTGGAATCTTCTGTCTCCTCTGGGCCTGGTGGCCTCCCAGTCCCTGCCAGATTTCGGATCAGCCTCACTTCCCGAGGAAAGCCCCCTCCACCCTGCGCCTCCCCGACAGCTCTCCCAGCACTGCTCGGCACTCCCACCACTGTGCCCGGAAGTTCGTCTATGCAGCAGTCACTCCCCTACCCAGCTTCGTCTCCTCCCAGCACCCACCATTAGCTGGACTCAGATTATTTATGGACGCATTCATGTGTTAAATGTCTGTCTCCTGCAGGAGAACAAGATGGGGCTTTGTCCTGCTTGCTGCTGTGGCCCAGGGCTTGGCACAGAAAGGGGGCTCAGCACGTGCAGAGGTGGGATGCCTGCTCTCCCTGGTCACTACTCAGGCCCTGTGGGCCTGGAGCTGAGGAAGTCCCTCTCCCAGGGAGCCCCTGATCTCTCAATGGCTCCCCGGTCAGGGCCTGGGAAACTCCCTACATAACAGGACCTACCGGCCTACACAAGGGGGTCACTCGGTTTTCTGTTAACCATCCCTCAACGAAGCCCTCCATGCTCAGGAAAGGGGGGAACCTGCCAGGAAAGGGGACATTCATCTGAAGTTCCTCCCCAAAGGTTACAGAGCCCTCTTCCTCCTCCAGGAAGCCTCCCTGACTGCCTTGTGTCTCAGAATTTCTAAAGCTGCTCCTCCCTGCCACGATGTGTCCTATCTCATCCTCTCATTGCACCATGGATTGTTAAGGTACGCACAGCCGGTGGCATGGTGGGTAAGGACAGGGTTGGATGGCTGGACAGGTTTGTGTCCTGGCCCCACCCTCAAACCCCAGCTGGGTGACCTTTGTGAAGTTACTCAGTCTCTCTGAGCCTCAGATCCCTCATCATAGTAAACTCTCAAGGTAAACTCTAGACAAGTTATGGTGACTACTCCGCCACAGCGCCCAGCCCGGGCCAGACACAAATATACTCTGGCAGGTCATCTGGATCTCAACCAGCTTCTTCTGTTACCTTTGAAGAAACTGAGGCTCAGAGAGGGTAGGTGGCAGGCACCAAGTCCCCTAGCAAGCTGTTGCAGAGCAGAGGTCAGCTCCCTGGTGTCTTTCCCAGGTTAGAGCTTGGTCCCCTCACCCACAACTCCTCTCTTTTTTTTTTTGAGACGGAGTCTCGCTCTGTTGCCCAGGCTGGAGTGCAGCGGCGCAATCTCGGCTCACTGCAACCTCCGCCTCCTGGGTTCACACAATTCTCCTGCTTCAGCCTCCCGAGTAGCTGGGACTACAGGCGCCTGCCACCACGCCTGGCTAATTTTTTTTTGTATTTTTTTGTAGAGACACAGTTTCACTGTGTTAGCCAGGATGGTCTCGATCTCCTGACCTCGTGAATTGCCCGCCTCGGCCTCCCAAAGTGCTGGGATTACAGGCATGAGCCACTGCGCCCGGCCCCACAACTCCTCTCTGGACCTCTCCTGATGAAGTCATTGCTGTAACTCTCCTATTGTTGAGGAGGGTGGGGTCCTTGTGCAGGGAGTCCAGATGGGGGACAGCCCCGTCCTGATGGCCAAGGATGTAAATGGGAGGTGGCTAGGGGTATGCCATCCAGGGAAGAGGCTGCTTCAGGGGTGGGTGACAGTGCCTGCCTGCCATGGCTGCCCACAGGCTGGCTCCACAGTCAATGATGCATGACCCAGGGAGCACAGCCCCTGCCCCTTGCTTACCAGACTGTGAACCTGTAAGAGTGTGCCCTTTTAAGGGGGTCATCCATGCAAGAAGGTTTCAGCAGCACCAATAGCTGGATAGAAGGAAACAACCACCAGGGAGGAGGCGTGACACCTCATCCATGATCACCAGCAAGCAGAGATGCAGGGAGCATAGGACAGGGACCTTCGGTCTCCCAGGCTTGAGGCCCAGCATCAGACTGCCCTCCCAAGCATGGCAATGCCTGGCCCAGGACACCCAGGGTTGGGCTGCCTGCCCCAATCTGGCATAAGCTGGTGGGGGGCTGTTCTGCCTCTCCTGGCCCCCAGCTGTCCTCTTCTGTGTTTTCAGGCCTCAGACCAAGGCTAGAGAGTAGGAGGCTGAAGTGGAATCAGGCCCCACCACTGCCAAGGAAGCTCTGCCCATTATTTGCAGCTAATGGGGACAACAGTGCCCCAATTTCTAGGGCTGGCAGGGCCTGTGTGCCTGGTGGCAGGGTTTTGGTAAGGGCCATGCTGTTACTATTAGTAATAATCACAGGGTTATTATTACTATGCTAACGGCCTGTGAGGGGCCCCAGCAGGCACACTGTTCCCTCGCCTTGCCTGGACCCCGATGGCTGACCTCTGATACAGGCCAGAGGGGCTCAGTGGGCAGAGAGGTAAGGACCGTTTGAGAGAAAGAGGCCAAGGAAAGCCCGGAAAGAGGACAGAGGAAGCAGGTGTTTATCGACTGCCTGCTGGGCCCTGGCATGCTGTTCTGTGCTATGTGTACGCCACCTGGCTCTACCCTCACCAGGACCTTCAGTCAACTTCCCAGTTTACGAAGAGAAGAACTGGGGCTCAGAGAGGTTGAGTGACTTCCCCAGGGTCACTCAGAAAAAGAGTGGGGGCAGCTGGAAAATATGTGTTGTTTTGTTTCCCCTTAAAAATTCCTTTTTCTAGCTGGGTGTGGTGGCTCACGCCTGTAATCCCAGCACTTTGGGAGGCCAAGGCCGGGGGATCACGAGGTCAGGAGATTGAGACCATCCTGGCTAACACGGTGAAATCCCAACTTTACTAAAAATACAAAAAATTAGCCTGGCATGGTGGCACGCGCCTGTAGTCCCAGCTACTTGGGAGGCTGAGGTAGGAGAATTGCTTGAATCTGGGAGGCGGAGGTTGCAGTGAGCCGAGATTGCGCCACTGTACTCTAGCCCGGGTGACAGAGCGAGACTCTGTCTCCAAAAAAAAAAAAAAATTCCTTTTTCCATTTTTATATTTTGGGTGAGCATGGGACTCCAAATCTATTGTTTAAAATTATGTTTAAATTGTGGTAAAATACACATTCTATAAAACTTAGCATTTTAACCATTTGTAAGCATATGGTTCAGTGACCTCGAGTACATTCTAGAGTATGGTTTTAAGCCTGACTGTTTCTGAAATCTGTGAGCTTTACATGACAAAACAGAAACTAAAGAAGGGGGAAAGAAGGACAGTGAGACAGCATGTCAGGGAGACAGAGAGTGAGACAGAGAGAGGGGGATGAAGAGAAAAAGAAAGAAGCAAAACAGGCACATAGGGAAAAGAGAGAGAGAGAAATGAGCAGGGAGAGGCAGGGAAATAAACAGAGCTGAAGAAGGAGAAAGCAAAGGATCCAGAAAGAGACGGGAAAAACAAAACAAAACCCAGGAAGGCTACTCGGGAGCCCCCTGAGTCTGGGGTAGGCTGGCTCTGTCAGGTGACTGAAGGGGGGGTCCCATCTGCCTGTCTTAAGCCCCAGGAAGGGCTTTTCACCCCGAGGGCTCCTGCACTATCAACAGGGACCTGGTGACAAGTGAGCAAGAGCCCCTCACTTAGACTCGAGGGCACCCTGGGGGCAGGCCCAGTTCTGGGAGATGTGGGGAGCCCCAGGGCTCTGCCTCCTCCTCTGGGAGTACCGAGAGCTCCCCACATATCCGAGAAGGAAGGGACCCCAGGCTTCCTCGAGTTTCCCAGTTTCAGCTGCTCTCCTCTTTCCCTCCAGATTTGGTCTACATCCCAGCACCACTTGGATGGTTATTTACTTAATACTATCAACTTTTTCTTTTTAACCTAAAACAATTTATTTCAACACAGGAAATGCCATATCATTATTGTGAATGGAAACCAGTATCACTTTCCACAAACAGAAGGGAACTGTAAAAATAACGATTGCATTGAATTCTGGGTCGGTGCCGTGGGGTGCCAGGGCTGTGAGGCAGAGACCTGCCCTCTTTGTTAAACAGGGAGATTAGCAGGTGTTTGGGAGGGCTCAAGAACCCCCACCTGACGGGAACTTGCTCCCTAACAGAAGCAGAAAGATGGAAAGTGGAAAAGGGAGTGAGGGCTCACAGGGCACTCGGTGCTGTCCAATGCAGTGGAGATGGTCCCAAAGTCAGGCTGGGACATGTGGCCAGCACTTGGGGAAATGCTAATCCAAGGGGGCACCATGGCTGTGTGAAGTCTCACATGGAGCTAGGCCTGTGCCTCTGGGCCTGGGGTGTCCTGGGGTGCCCAGGCAAGTGGGGCGGGCTCACCGGTGGCCTCATCCAGGCCTTCCTGTGTGACGTGGTCGTTCTGGCTGACCCACTCGCCGTTGCACTTGAAGTAGATCTGTGTGGCGGGGAAGGCGCGGCAGCGGAGCTCCACAGGCTTGTTCTTCACAATGTAGGCGTCCTGTGGCTCCTGCAGGAAGTAGGGCAGCGGCTCTGCTGGCGCTGACGGGAAGGAGTCAGGGAGCACCTCGCTGCCAGAATCAGTGCCTGCAGAGTGAGTGGAGACCTCCATGAGGCTGTGTGCTGGGAGGGCCCTGTGGCACCCCTCGCCCACCCCGGGGGCCCACCGCAGACGAAGAGGACAGGGGAGGCAGAGGTGGGGCAGCCAGAGCCCTCCTGGGGACGTAATCTGCAACCGGGGTCAAGTCTGGCACTCCTGCGGCCTCAGTTTCCCATCTTGCCCTGCTTTTAAGAGGCTGGGCTTTATAAAGAGCCAGTTCCCACTCTGCAATGCTGTGTGACTGTACTTCATTACAGACAGAGAGGCCAAGGAGGTCCCGGGAGGGGAGGCGATCTGTCTGGGTGAGGACACCCCTTGGGCCCCCCCACAACGTCTGCTCCACTGTCCCTGCCCGGCTTCTATCCAGTTCCTCATGGTGACGCCACGAGATGCAATGGGCTGGAAACGGGGCTGGAGCTCAAACCAGGCCAGCTCTGCCCTGGAGTCACAGCTGCCCTTTGCAGCCCCTGCCAGGCTGGCAAGCGGGACAGGAGCCAGGGCTGCGGGGCAGGGGTGGGATGAGCCGGCTGAAGCAGGCCTGGACTCCATGGTGCTCAGCCCCCTGCAGGTCTCCTCTCCCAGGGGAAGCCCTCCTTCCCAGAAGCTTCCTCACAGAGCTCACCTCCCATGGTCTGTGGCTCTCACCCATCCCTTGGCCTCTTCTTCCCAACCCCCACCCCAGCCAGATCCAGCCCTCAGCACAGCAGATGAGGAGACTTCAGAGCAGATGGGGGCTGTGCCTGTGGCAGTCTCCTCCCACAAAGGGGGCCAGATGGAAATCCTGGCCCACCGTCTCCCTGGAAAGAACTGCACCTCAGGAGGTGAGACAAACAGGAAGGGGGGTGTGGCCACCGCCAGTGCCCAGAAGCGGGGGAAACCAGGCCATTGACCTGCTGGTTTACAATCCACCTAGAAAAATGAATTTTCCAGTGCCAAATGCCAAATGATCAGGTGGCTGGGCACAAGCCGTTGGGGGCTTGTCCTCTTCTGCTAACTGCCCAGAGGACACAGTGAATGAAGCTGTGGGGTGGCGCATGGCCGCCCAGCCCCTCCAGCTAGAGGCCCCACCTACAGCGGAGGGAGGGGAGCGGGTGGTGTCCCGGGAGGCCTGTGTGGCCACTGGGATCGTGCACTTGTTCTCTGGTCTAGGAGGCCACATCTGGCTCTAGGGAGTCCCCCCTACAGTCAGAGGGGCCAAGGGGACACCTGGTTTTCCAAGAACAGAATGTCTGACTATGCTTTCTCTTTGTGGACCAGGAGACCATGCTGAGACTGGGGAGCTTAGGAGAAAATGCATGAACTATCACTGGCTTGGGGCCTAGGCCCTGGGCAGTGTGTGTACGGGCGGTGGGGGTGGGGTAGCTAACAAGATGACACATGACTCCAGCTCCATCCAGCATGTTCTGTAGGGCCCAGGGAGAGAACCTTAACACCTACCTCGTTATGTCTGATGAGCACAAGAGGTGGACAACCTTACCCCGTCTCTGGGCTGCTCTGAGGATGAGACAAACATGCATGAACACCTAGGCGGTGCCTGGCACACAGTAGGTACGTACATGTTGCTGCATCGAACGAACAACTAAGGCTCACCCAGCATCAGGTGCTATGTTTGCAGGAATTTAAGTTGTTAACTTATCGAATTCTGGCACCAACCCTGTAAGGTATGTTCTATTAGACCCCATTTTAGAGATGGGTAAATGGGAGGCTCAGGGAGGTTAAGCAACTTGTCCAAGGTCATACAGCTAACAAGAGGCAGATCAAAAGTTTGAACCTGAGAAAAGACTTCAGCGTTTGGGCTGTTGCCCCAGACTCCACACCACCTATCATTGATCTACGTAGCTCTGTAATGGTGTAGGTGTCTCCACACCCAGGAATCCTAATAGCACCCTGACAGGGCCAGAACTCCACAGTCCACAGGGCTCTCTCATCAAGGGACCTGCAAGGCTGGAAATGTCCTCATTTCAAAGCAGAGGAAACTGAAGACCATTCAGATGGTTCCCATGACTTGCCCGAGGCCACCCGGTGAGTGGGTAGCTAATGTGGGAAGAGCAAGGCAGATTCCTGAGGCCAGGCCAGGGCTCCCTGACACCTGCTTCCCACTGCCAGGTACAGGGATACATTCACTATAGGCAAACTGGTAGCCCCCTAGGGCTGCTTGGGGATTTGATGAGGAGATGACACAGTGACTTGATCACAACCCAGGGAGCTGAACATTGGCTTTCAGTGGCCTGAGAGCTGGTTGCTGTGCATGCCCTGAGATGGCCACTGAGGCCTCCCTGCCAGGCCAGACAGCTCTGAGATAGCAGGATGGAGCCAGGAGGGCATCTGGGCAGCAGAGAACCTGCCAGGCTCCATGCCCACCACCCACCACCAGCATCTTGTCTCCGTCTCAGCCCTGAGGGGTGTGGGACAGAGCTCTGCCTTCAGACTCAAGAGGCCCCTGGGTCTGAACCAGCCCCTTGCTGGCCTCAGGCAGCTCATCTTTGAAATGGCAGGATTGAGCCTCCCTCTGGGGGCAGGTCATGGCCACAGGAGAAGGGGCATGGGGGCCCATGGGTGCATGTCACGTGCCTGCCCCCATCTTCTAACCGCACCACCCCCAGCCCCGGGGTGACAGCCGCCTCTGTGCTCTGCAGCACTGCAGGCTGTATTATGACTTTGTTTTATAACTCTAATGCAGACCATTTATTAAGTGGGTGCAGACATGACTGAGGAAAGCAAACATTAGACATCCATTAGTGCAGCAGGCCCTGCGTCTGGCAGCCCCACCGCCCTACTCTTCCTACCCCGCCCCTCCTCTCAGCCCTGGTGCAAAGATTCAGCTCTGGCCTTGGCAGGGGCGCAGGCCAAGTGTCCCCTCTGTGCCTCTCTGTTGCAGCAGTACCGGATGGCTCTTGATGTAGCTGTTGCCCTCTTGCTGTCCCTATACCCTAGGTGTCCTGGAGGCAGAGACTGCCAGGACATAAGGAAGAATGAGAGGCCCACCTGAGGTTCCTGCCTGGAGGGACCATGAGTGGACTCTGCTGGCCAGCACACAGCAGGTGCACAGTGAATGCAACTTCAGTAAGGGAGTAGGCCGGGCGCAGTGGCTCACGCCTGTAATCCCAGCATTTTGGGAGGCCGAGGTGGGTGGACTGCCTGAGCTCAGGAGCTCGAGACCAGCCAGGCCATCGCGGTGGAACCCCATCTCTACTAAAAATACAAAAATTAGCCGGGCATGGTGGTGTGCACCTCTAATCCCAGCTACTCGGGAGGCTGAGGTGGGAGAACTGCTTGAACCCGAGAGGCGGAGGTTGCAGTGAGTGGAGATCGCACCACTGCACTCCAGCCTGGGCGACAAAGTGAGACTCTGTTTCCAAAACAACGAGAGCCCTCACTTCTCCTTGGCCCTGGCTTGGGCCCCAGTGACTGAGGAAGGCTTGAAAGGTGGGCTAGATGAGAGCGACCTATGGCCAGGCTGCACGGATACCAGCTGGGTGGGAGAATAATGGGGTCTCGGGGTTCCTGGATGCTTACCCTGCCAGGCGCCGCTCAGAGAGTGGTTCATATGAACTCAATGAGCTCCATAATAACCCTAGACAGAGATGCACAAACGTTTTGATTTTTAGTGCCTCAGTAATTTTTTTTAAGCTATCCCAAGGCCAAAAAGAAGTCCCTAACAGGAATGTATTAGGTAATTAGATCCAAACAGCTTTGTAAATATTTATATCCTAAAATCTTAGGATAAATTGAAAGAAAAAATATATTTTTATCCCATTCCTAATAGCCACAAAGACTTACGAACAGGGATGTGTGCACCTGTCGGGCACTGCACAACTTCTCAAACTTTGGAATCCAAGCGGACACCACTATTCTTACTGTTTGTCATGGGTTACTCAAGTGCCACAATCCCAGCTTTGCAAAGATATGGTGCCAAATAAAGGAAAACAGAGTGATATGATGCTGAAACTGAGCTACCTGGAGCTACTTGTTGGTGCAGTGTCTGACAGCTATCTAGTATTACCGTGTCTCCCACATTAAAAATATCCCACAGCTTCCCTGTGAGTGTGCTGATGAACCCTGGGATAACTTGGCAGGTAGTTTGGGAACCACAAGCCTATGAGTTGGATATGATTATTATCCCCACAGTGCAGATGAGGAAACTGAGACCAAAAGCGTTTAAGTGACTGGCATAGAGCTATAAAGCTAGTAAGTGGCACCGCTAGGGGGCAAATTCAGGTGATCTGATACTAGAATCTGTCTTCCGAGCTCTGCTGAACTGGAAATGGGCATTTAGGTCTACTATGTGCTACTCCTTGCAATTCTTCCCATTTTACAAATGAAAACGAGGGGCAACAAGGGACATGAAGGGTCACCTGGTCGATGGCAGGAAGCAAGGCTTGAGCCATGTCTCTCAGCCCTGCCTCCCTGGCCTCTCTGCAGGACTTCCTGCTGCTCCGTCTCTACAGAGGAACCACATCTAAGACAGGCTCCCCTAGAAGTTCTTGCCTCAGCCAGGCCGGATCTGGGTTTCCTGCTGGCAGGAAAATTCCCACATGAAGTGTTTTTTCCCAAGAGTAGAACTCGTTTGGGCCTAAATTGCAAAAGTGCAGCCTGCCTTTAAAGCTGCATCCAAGAATGGTCCAGATATCCCGCCAAGAAGCTATGAAAGAAGACACATCCCTGCACAGATGTAATGACAAGACAGTCAAATGAAGGACACGAAAGATCGCTGGAGGCAGAGGCCCTGGGTTTGCATCCCAGCTGGGGACTGGCATTGCTGTGTGGCCATTCTCTCCCAGGCCCTGGAGTTTCTGTCTGTAAAATGAGGAGGTTGGCCAAGTCAGTCTCTCAAGCCCTCCTCTGCTTCTAACACTTTGAGGTTTAAAGATCCCTTATGGGGAATCTGTTCATGTGTGAAAATGTCCTGTTGAGTAAATTTTTTTCTTCAGAAAGCAAATTTGCTTAAATTAGGGTCACTTTCCTTGCCATTGCTATACGGTGGTCCTAAAGCAGAGCGTAGGTAGAACCCAGGGAAGGAGGAGGAGGAAACACTGTTGGGCTCGCCTAACCATGCTCCAGCCCACCCATCCCAGGCCTTAGATCAAAATGACCACCAGCACCTCTGGATGGGACCTCCGAGGGGTGCCATCCAAACTCTCACCTCTAATTTGCCTTTACCTGCCTCTTTATGAGGTCTCTTTATGAGGTCTCTACATGAGACCTCTTTATGAAGTCTCTATAGAAGTTACTTAAAGGGCCATCTCATCCAACGTCTCCCATCAACTCCTCAGCCAACCTTGACTCACATACCTGTGGGGATGGGGAATTCATCACTGCTTTTCTCAGCCAGGTTCTTCTTCGGACAGACCTAATAGTTAGAAAAGCCTTCCTTACTCACAGCTGCAATTTGAGATTCAGCCATTGCTAGACTTCTAATTTCTATTTTATTTTATTTTTTTTTTTTTTTGAGACAGAGTCTCGCTCTGTGGCCCAGCTGGAGTGCAGTGGTGCAATCTCGGCTCACTGCAACCTCCGCCTCCCGGGTTCAAGCAACTCTCTGCCTCAGCCCCCTGAGTAGCTGGGATTACAGGCACCCGCCACCACAACTGGCTAATTTTTGTATTTTTAGTAGAGACAGGGTTTCACTATCTTGGCCAGGCTGGTCTTGAACTCCTGATCTCATGATCCAACTGCCTTGGCCTCCCAAAGTGCTGGGATTACAGGCATGAGCCACCGCACCCAGCCTAGAATTCTAACTTCTAAACTAACTAAACAGCACACTTCTAACTAAACAGTGCACTTCCCAGTCTGGAGGTTGCAGCCTGGTCCCCCAGTCTGTCTTATCCAAATATTCTCTAGAAGACACAGTTTTGCACCTCTCACCTCCATGCTGGCTTCCTTATGGACAAGTTCCTCATGTCACCCACCCATTTAAAATGCAGGAGGGTGAGGTGACCAGGCTAGGGTCTAGAGGGCACCTTCCTGCTTCTGGCAAGTCTGTTTTGAGTCAGACAGCTCAAAGCCTCCTTTGCAGTTTTGGTGGCTGCTCCTGGAGGGCAGGGAACACACTATGTTCTTCCTGGTGTCCCCCATGGGCAACAGGGCGCCCGTCTAGGAGTGGAGTGGAGCTTGTCGGACAGCAGGCCCTGTGCCCGTCTGTAGGCTTCTTCCCAGGGGCTGGGCCTGTGCAGTGCCTGCTGTGGAGACACAAGCTTGTATAAGAGGTGTCAGAATCTGACCCACCTGGATGAGCAGGAGTGAGGGCCCAGGAGGCGAAGGAATGACTTCAGGACAAATGTAAAGACACTGTACCTCTCAGAGGGTCTTCTCAGAGGAGGGGGTGGCTCCAACATTCCTGAGAGGGAGATTGTCACTATCCCTAGGGGAAGCCAGAGGAGTGCTGTGGCCCTTACCATGACTCTGAGCCTGGGCCCAGGCTGACCCAAGAGCCAACAGTCCTGGTTCCAAGCCTCACCCAGCACTGTGAGACCTTGGGAGGTTGTTTGACCTCTCAGAGCCTCAGTTTCCCCATCTATAAAGAAGTGACTAGCAGTTCCTGCTCTGTCAACTTTGGGGTATTGCTGTGAAAGGTCAACTGAGAAAACAGATGCAAATATCTTTCTTAACAAGCACTGTGGGCCGGGCGCGGCGGCTCACGCCTATAATCCCAGCACTTTGGAAGTCCAAGGCGGGCGGATCACCTGAGGTCAGGAGTTCGAGACAAGCCTGGATAACATGGCGAAAGCCTGTCTCTACTAAAAATACAAAAATTAGCTGGGTGTGGTGGCGGATGCCTGTAATCCCAGCTACTCGGGGGGCTGAGGCACAAGAATTGCTTAAACCTGGGAGGTGGAAGTTGCAGTGAGTGAGATCTCACTATTGCATTCCAGCCTGGGCAATGGAGCAAGACTCCATCTCAAAACAAACAAACAAACAAACAAACAAACAGGCAGTGCATGTGCCTGGGAGTGGCAGCAGGCAGGAGCTGTTCTCTAGCTGAACTGTGTGTGGGAGGTCAGAAGCCCCACAGACTGTTTCCTTGGCCTGGCACCATCTGAGCCCACGTAGACCAGACACAGAAAGTCAACGTTCAGAGAGCCTGGAGCCCTTGGAGCCCCGCGTTCTACCGGATCAGAGAGGGGAAGTGACTAATGCAACACCACACAGCAAATTAACAGCCAAGCTGGACCAGAGCCCAGTTGCTGATTCAGGACTGAGGAGGGACAGGGGGCCCAGAAAGACAGCACAGCCACGGCAGGGTTGTGGGTGAAGGCTTGGGCTCTGTGATTCCCATGCCTGGGATGGAAATTCCTGCTATCCATCTCAGCCGGGTCCACTTCCGGTCAGCCCTGTTGCCCAGGGCGGAGACCTCAGAGGGAGGCTGCTGTGGTCTGGTAGGGAAGGCCTTGAAACCCCCACCGCTGGCTTTTGTCCACAGGCCTGGGACCCCCAGGCTTCCACCAGGGGTGGGCATCTGTAGCCATGCAGGGCTGTGTGTCTCCAGGGCTGACTGGCTCAGGACAGGGAGGGGAGGAGTCAGGCGGGAGGTGAGGACAGAGAAACGCCCCACGCTGGGCACATTTATCATCAGCAATCACAGTCTTTCTCTAGCCCCTGGACACCGGCTAATTCTCCCCAGACTTGACCTCCCACTGCATGGAAAATCTCTCCCATTCACTGCGTGGCTGATGTGCTCAGTGGGGAGTGGGGAGAGTTGGGGGAGAGGAGCCAATTTATTATTATGTTTTAAAAACACACAACCTCACATGGAAGGACCCCTCCCTGGACACAAAGCTCTTCCTCCATCTGGCCCTGGCTCCTTGCGGCTGTGGGGTTCAGGCAGGGGCCCCCTCGGAGGCGGTCACAATGGCCGTTACCGATGACAAATGGGGGCTGGCGGGCTCGGGGGACGCCAAGTCATTCCTAACAAAGGTGGCTCCTCACGCAGCCCTCTTCCCACACCCTCTGCACCCATCTGTGCCCTGACATCACTTCCTCTGCTGTCACAGGAAGCGGCTTCGCCAAGGTGGCCAGCTGGGGCAGGGGCCTGCATCCTGAAGGGGGTGTCCATCTGCTCCTGTGAAACGTCTCCCTCGAAGGACTGTGAGGCAGGTGAAGAAGTGGATGGGAGGCTGGGGTCGAGGCCCCAGGGCAGGTGCAGTGCTGGGATGAGCCCGGGCCTGGCTATGGGGGCCACGCTGCTTACAGAGCTGGAAAGGGCACTAGAGTCACTGGGTCACTGGCCACCCTGACTTCCACCCCCAAGGCCCTCCCTCCAGACCCTTCCTCTGGCTTTGGGTTCCTTTGGCTCAGTCTTGGGGCTAATTTTTGGTTCCTTTTCCAAGTTTCAGGTCCGATGGGGTCACTGTGATGGAGGCCTGGGCCCTGAGGAGGGGATATTCTGTTTCCCCTTCTTCTCCCAGACAAGGAGCTCAAAGCCCTTTCATCCATGCTCCTGCAGATAATAAGCATATTCCCACCACCTGGCACTGAAAATCCTGTGTGTTCCAACGAGACAGCGCACATTATTGTCAACACAATGACCCTGCGAAGCTGTTCCATTTTACAGATGCGAAAACGAGGCAGAAGAGTGAAAGGGCGTGTTCGAGGTCACAGCCACCAAAACCCAGCAGGGACAGCTATTGTTCTGTCCTCTCAGGAGCTCCCTAGCTTGCTGGAGGGGACGGGGTCTCAGCTTCCTGACTCCAGCACTTGGCTTCCCTTGCTCTGTGGACCTGCCCCTCCCAAACCGAGATCCAGGAGTAAGGCCTGGGGCCAGCCTGGCCCCCCACTCAGTGACAGGTGGCAAGCCCCCTCAGACACACACATGCCCAGCCAGGTTACATCCACAGCTATCTCTGGGGACACCCTGAGAGCCCCACCCAGGCTGGGACCACAGTGCCTTTCTCAGGGTGGGCCTTTGTTAATGCTGCTGTCCCCCTAAGGCAATGGCAGGCTCCCCACCTGTGACTCAGACCTGCTATTTTATAGGTCACCTCTCCCTGACCCAGGGTTGGCATGGGGTGAGTTTGAGCTGCAATCTTAGACTCCGCCAAGCACCCAGTTGTTCAGGTCCCATCTGGGAGGATGCCTGGTGGCTCCCTTTCCTTCACCCCACTTCCAGTCCGTGCTGCTGGAGGGACCTGGTGCTGCTAGATGAACCTGGAAGATGTGCCTCACACTGCACGACCACCCCCACCACCCGCTGCAGTCTCCAAGCCCAGGTCTTCCCGCCTGGACCCTTCCTCTCTCTGGGCTCCCTACCTTTCCTTTTGCCCCTAAAATCCACTTTCCTCTTAACACCAGAGTGATCTCATAAGAGAGAAACCCTGCCCTCTAGTGGTGTACAGCCTCCTGCGGCTTCTCTGTGACCCTGGAGAAAGTCCTAAGCTACCCAGAACCCTCTAACTTCATGGACTCACCAGTCTTCCCTCCCTCCCTCCCTGCCTCCCACCCTCCCTCCCTCCCTCCCTCCCTCCCTCCCTTCCGCAGAGTCTCATTCTGTCACCCAGGCTGGAGTGCAGCGGCATGATCTCAGCTCACTGCAACCTCCGCCTCCTGGGTTCTCCTGCATCAGCCTCCCAAGTATCTGAGATTACAGGCACATACCACCACGCCCAGCTAATTTTTGTGTCTTTAGTAGACACGGGGTTTCACCATGTTGCCCAGGCTGGTCTCGAACTCCTGACCTCAGGTGATCCACCTGCCTTGGCTTCCCAAAGTGCTGGGATTACAGGCGTGAGCCACTGCACCCGGCCAACTCACCTATCTTTCACTGTGCTCCAAGCCCCACCAGGCGTGTTTTCCTGGGACATGCCTTGCTTGTTCTAGCCTCAGCGCCTCTGCTGGTCTCTTGTTTTGGAGCGCCTCCCCCAACCCCTCCCACACACACATATTCTCTTGGCTGACTCTTTGTCATTGAGATCCCAACTCAAATGCCACCTCTCCAGTGAGGCCTTCCCTGACCACCCAGTGAAAATGCACCATTCTCTTTCCTCCCTGTGCTATCTCCCCAATGCCTTTTTTTTTCTCTTGGCAGGCTCACCTCCCTCTGGAATGACCTGCTTTGTGTATGTGTTTGTAAGCTTGCTGTCTGTTTCTGGACAGAAAGGAACTTGCCTTTCTGGAAGGCAAGTTCCTTGAGGGCCTGGGAATCTTGTTTGCGGTGTAGATGGGCCCACTGGGGACACAGGACAAGCACTGGGGTGGCAGGTGGAGGGGGAGGGAGCAGTCAGAGGGGGTTTGGGCAGCAGGAGCGGGTAGGAGGGCTGACCTGGGCTACAGGAGCCCATCCCTTGGGAAATTCCATGCTGCAGGACTCCACTAACTGATGGAACTTCACAGACCATCTAATCACTGCCCTCAAGGATGGAGACCAGAGAGGGTGTGGTCTGGCTCCAGATCACACAGCACCTGAGCAGCAGAGCCAGAAAGAGAAACTGTGCACCAGACTCCCAGGAAAGGAGAAGTTGTGGGGGGGGGACTTCATTTTTCTAAACTTTTTTTTTAATTGAAAACAGATGTTTGGGTTTATTCTGATTACAAAGGTAGTAGCCTCACTGTAAACAATCTAGAAAAAAAAAAGATGAAAATAAAAGCCGCCCCATTCCCACCCCAGCTGAGTTACACTGGATGTTGATCCTCTCTGACTTTTTTAGATGCATGAATATTTAGTTACCTAAATCTGGTCTCACCATGTAAGTTGCATATCCCATGCTTTCCCTTAAAGGCTATTGACTGAGGACTTTTGAATCATAAGCAGAACACGCTGGGCATCTCTCTCTGTCTCCCCCCACCAGCCCCCGCACGGTCACACGTGTCAGACGGGTGAGGGCCAGCTGGGCTGCCTGCTCCTGCCACGCGTTTCAGGTTGCTGGAGGAGCTGAAGGACGCAGAGCTGGCACGGGGAGTGAGGCTGGCAATGCTGTCAAGTTGGCTGTGTGTTTGGGTTCTGGGCAGGAAGATGCCCAGTGTCCTGTCACTTTCTCCCAGAAAAGTCCAAAATGCCTTGGTACAGTCTTGGGTCTAGGGGCTGCCCGGACGAGGCCAGACAGGACAGTGCTTACATCCCCATGCCGCCCTGAAAGCCCAGGGTTAAGGCTGTTCTTAGAGCACCAAGGGCACACAAATTTCCCCCGTCTCCCTCAGCGCCACGCTCTAGAACCGAACAACCCTTCCTCGCAAAGGGGAGGCAACTGCCAAACACATTTCCAAGTGGAAAAACTGCTGCAGTCCTTGCCTGTTGCCTGCTGTCAGCACCACCACCAGGAGGCAGCTCAGATCCTGGGCTATGGGGCCTTCAAAACTGCATCCAAGCCCTTCACCTCCAGTCGGGGACCCTTCACCTCCAGCTGGGGACCCTTCATCTCCAGCTGGGGACCCTGAGGCCAGACAGGGGCAATGACTTGTGCAAGGGCAAACAAACAGTCTGTGGCTGCAGCGTCACTCCTATCTTGGCATCACACTGGCATAAAAGAAGTCACAGAAAGGACAGAGAAAAAGGAGTGGCCAGACTCTGGCCTTTGCCAATCTGTGAAATGGGCATGAGAAGGAGAGGGCAAATGGGCGAGATAAACAGAGGTAGAGATGGTGCCACGAGGAGAGGGAGAAAGAGCCCCTGAGAGCGCCTGGCAGTAAGGGGTGAATAGAAGGGGTCCTTGGAACTGGGTAGGGGTTTCCCCTTGGATTTTCCTGAATGTGGAAGCCACTTGGATTCCTGCTCAGTCCCCAGGGGTGAGGGAGGAAGGCAGCCATCTCTGGCCTCCATTCCCAAGGCAGGACTGGGGCTCAGGTTCCATGGGCCCCGGGGAGGCCAGGCCTTGTAGACTCAGAGTCCCAGGAACATCCTGGGGACCTCAGAGGAGTAGTAACTTGCCTCAGATCACACAGCAGTTAGGAGGCCAAGCCAGGACTGGAATGTGGGCATCCTGGCATGCAGGCCATGGTTCCTGTGTTTGCCTCTCTGGTCCCAGTGCTGGGAAAGACCCCGGCCCTGGGTTTGGGTGAGCAGCTGAGTTGTCAGCTGGTGAGATATGGGGAGACAGGTGGCACTGGCCAAAGGGAAGGCCTGTGTGGCTGCACAGATGCACTTCAAGGGAGGCAGATGGTGAGCAAGCACTCACTCCCATTCATTCATTCATTCATTCACTCATTCATCAAACACTTCCTGGGGGCCTCCTCTTGACCATGCCTGTGGTGAGGCTCAGAGAGCAATAACCAAGCTTCAGTTCCACAAGTGGGAAGCTCACAGCAAATTTTCAAGGTTAAGAATCCAGACATCGAGACTTCTTAGACCAGTGCCCAGTCTGCCTCCAGCCTACCCCCATAGCCATGTAATGGTCCCTTTGCCTGCCCACCCACCATCAGTGCAGAAATCACTCCATAGCTCTTTCAGTAGCTGTCTCCTCCTCGGCCAAGGAATCAGCTCACTTTCTCTAGGAAGCAGGCTTTAACTACTTCCAACTTGATGACTATAGGGATTTTTCAATCTCCAGGCTCTTATAATCCCATGCGCTTCTTGAGGTGAAATGCGTTGGTGCTGTCAGTGACTCACAAGACAACCCCTGGGCAGCCACTTCCCTCTGGGCCTCAATTTTCCTTTCTGAGAAATGGGACCACTTTTACTTGCTTTGACTGACAGGGCTGTTGGAAACACCAAAGTCAGAAGTACAAAAATATTTTGCCAGCTGGGCAGCCCTATGCACTAGCTAATTTCTATTACAGGAGTCCCCGTATCTGTGGGGGATACGTTCCAAGACCCCCCGTGGATGCCTGAAAACTTGAATAGTACCAAGCTCTAGACAGATGATTTTTTTTTCGATCTGATAATGGAGACAGCCACTGAGTGACTAAGTGACGGATGGTGTATACAGTGTGGACACCCTGGACAAAGGGATGGTTCACATCCTGGGCAGGATGGAGTGAGACAGTGGGAGATTCCATCATGCTACTCAGAATCACACACAATTTAAAATGTGTGAACTGCTGATTTCTGGAATGTTCTGTTTAATATTTTGGTGTCACAGTTGGCCATGGGTAACTGAAACTGTGGACAGGGAGACCTCGAGTAAGGGGGGAATATTGTACTCCATTCTCAGGAAAAAACAGTGAGTGGACCTTCCAGGCTGCCAGGGTCCCGGCGAGCCCCACACCTCACCTCCACCCCTGCCCCAGCCTCCCAGCTGCTGCCTTGGCCCACTCTGTGATGACACAGAGCTGCAAAAGGCTGATGCAAGCTAGAAGGAGGGAATGAAACAGACTCGTGTGGGGCGGATGGAGTGCCGTCTCCAGCCCCGAGGGACGCCCGTCCCTGCTCCCGCCTGCTTGTTTGCACCTGCTGATGTAATCGCTGGGCCGCCTTGGCTCAGGGCTCGGCCCGCTCCCCATGTCCTCTGAGTGAGCAGCAGAGGAAGGGTGCAAGGGCCAGAGGGCAGGCATCCAGCTGAGGACACCGTGAGAGGGCTCCTCCAGGAGGGGCACCAGGAAGCGGGGAGGGTGAAGGGGAGCAAAAAGCCCAAAACCTGCAGGAGGTTAGCCAAGGAGAAGGCGCTCTGGAGTGCGTGGGACCTGCTTCAATCCCATCCTGCCCCCATTTGCTGGGGGAACCACCCCCTGCCTCTGAGCCTGGTTCCCCTCACAGCTGCAGGATCTCATGAAATGAGCCTGGTACATGTCAGGCACTAAGTTTGTCAGTTCCCTTCTAGGGATTTCTTGAGGAGGGATAAGGAAGTATGAGGTAGGGGTGAAAAAAGAAAGGATAGAAGCACGGCCTAGTGACAGGAAATACCAGAACACTTTTGGGCCACCAGTTCAGTGGGTGACTCTGGGCCCTAGTCTTAGCTCCTGGGACCTCGGTTTGTTTCTCTGTAGAATAGGTGCACCTTCACCGTTCCCACCTCACAGAGATAGCTAGAGGCCAGAGGTGTGAAAGAAAGTGTGGCATCACACTAAGGCATGTGGCCAGCATGGGGGACCTGGGGACAGCCAGCAGTGGGGGTGGGGTGGTGCCTCACCAAGAGCCTGGGGTTCCCAGAGGCTGGGCAGGCCCTTACCAAGCAGTGGAAGCACAGGGAAGGTGGAGCCCGTCCACTGTGCTCGCTGCCCGGCTGGCCCAGAGCCTCTCCTTAGGGAGGAAGAGGAGCGCACGGCTCCCCTGAGGCCTCCAATCACCATTGAAAACACACGGGTGGAGGGGAAGAGAGCAAAGACATGTTCCTGGAAGCTGCCAGGCCACAGCATGCAGCTGAAGCCCCCATGAGCCCAGGGTCTGGGGATCGCCACATCACCAGACCGTCATTCTCAGAGCTGGTTTCCCTGAGAAAGCGGCGGAGAAAAGTTCTTAGTTCACGCGTCTCTTTGGTTGGCATCATAAGCTCAGGGAAGACAGGGAGCCCCTGCTAGACAGGGCAGGCCAGGTGGGGAGGAAATGTCCATCCCAGACACCCCTGATGCCCTCAGCCTGCAAGGGTTACCTCTGTTACCCGGGCCCCCAGTCCCGCCAGGTTGCCCTAGAGGGGAAGCTTCACCCCAGCTGGGATTAAACGGCTTCCCTGGCCACAAAGAACCACCTTTCCCTTTAGTACCTCTTCAGTGCTAGCAGGTAATTCAGGTAATGAGTTAACAGCTACCATTTACAGTGCTAACTAGCTCTCAGGTTCTGCGCCAAGTACTTGGAATAATTATCTAACTGAACCCTCCCCGCAACTCTTTCTGGTAGGTATTCTTATCATTAGCCCCAGTTTGCAGGCACAGGGAGATTAAGTTACTTGTCTAATGTCACAGAGCAGGGTTGTCAGCATTTGAATCTGGGTCTCTTTGACTTTAAGCCCATACTCTTTTTTTTTTTTTTTTTTTTATAGAGACAGGGGTCTCACTATGTTGCCCAGGCTGGTCCCAAACTCCTGGGCTCCAGCAATCCTCCTATTTCGGCTTCCCAAAGTGCTGGGATTACAGGTACGAGCCATGGCGCCCGGCCAAGTCCATCCTCTTTAACCTTGGTGCCAGTGGTACTCAAACCATGGCCTGCACCAGGACCACCTGGAGTGCTCGCTAAAACCCAGGCTCCTGCCCCCAAGTTCTGATTCAGTCGGTGTGGGGTGGGCCTTGAGAATGTACATTTCTAAGAAATGTCTAGGTGCTGCCGCCAGTCCACACACGGCTCTATGCTCTCTTGCCTCCCGACAGAAATATCAAACGCTTAGTGCACATAATGGTGCTTAACATATGTCAGCTTCCTTTTCCTTAACACTTCTATGATTCAGCTGGAGACTTTTCAAAAGGAGCTGAAGGAATTACACAGCAGCATGGTGCCAGGCTTTCGCTATCTGAGCCGGAATCAGGACCTGCTGTGTGGCAATAACAATAAATGATGGCCATCACCTGTGTTCCTGCAAATTCGCCTCTCTGGGCCTCCATTTCCTTCTCTGCAGAATGGGGTAATAGTATTTCTAGCATGGATTAGACATGTTAATACACGCAATGAGCTTAGAGGAGTGCTGGGCATGTTAAAAAGACTTAATGAACAAAAGCGGCATTCTTGTTTTTATTATTACCATTGCTAATACCTATATCTTCTACATTATTTCATTTAATTGTTGCAGCAATCTTATGAGGTTGGTATCAATAGCCATCTCTATTGTTTATCTAAAGTTGTACAAAGTCAGACAGTTACTAAGTGGCAGAGGAAAGATTCTAAGCCAGGTTTGCCACCCCAATGGCAGGAACTATCCACCATTAGCAAATAGGGATGCCCATTCTGACTGCTTCCTCTGGAAAGGATAAAGAGTTATTTTCTTATATTTCCAGCAATTTCTTCTAGTTCAACATTCCCCATTCCCTGCCACCCATTTAGCTCAGAGTACATCAATATCACTGGTGAAGGAAGAATGTCTCAAATGGGGCAACCAGAAGCTGTGTCAGCCACCAATGCTTGGTGACTTTGGGCAGCTAGACTCCCTCCCTGTCTGTCTGTTTGTCCCCTGGTACCTTACTGGGCACCCCTGTGGCTCAAGGACTGGCTTGGTGTTGGCTAGCCCAGCCCCTGGGAGAGGGGATGGTCATTTGCTTCTCCTGAGAAGCCCTGCCCCCAAGTCCTCTGGGATTCCAAGTTCAAAACAATAGAGGCTTCAGGTTGCCCTTGATGTAAAGGTTTAGTAGGTGGCTAATTTTAGCTGAGAAATACTCGGCATTTTCCCAGCCGCTGTCACTGCCGCACTCCGTGTTGGACAAATGGCCTTGGTTTTCCTCTCTGATTGTTCTCGGCTGGGGGCTGGGGGCTGGCTCTATCTAGCTCAGGACAATTCTCTTTGTGTCTGCTTCCGGGTGGCTCTTAATAACTCAGAGAAGGGGATGGGATGTCTGGAGCTCTCAGCTCGAGCTCTCTGGCCCCCTCCCCCGTGCCCTGGCTGCCTTTCAGTCATCAGGGGCATCCCGAAAAGTGGCATTTGAACAGAACTTGCTGGACTCCTCAAAACCTCAGGCTTGGGGAGGGAGGGCTTGTGGCCTGAAGGGGCCTCCCTTTGGACAGATGAGGAAACTGAGGCCCACAGAGGGTGTGACTAGCCTGAGGCCACACAGTTCCTGGCAGAGCTGGGCCTGAGCACCAAGTCTACAGACTTAGTCCAGTGCTCTTTGTATGACATGCAGGAGAAACCCCACTGCCTCCACCCCGGTGTGGGGACACCTCAGAACGTAGGATGCCCAGGCTGCAAGCCTCCATGGAGACACCTGGAATGCTGCCTTCCCACCCCTACCTGGCTAAACCCTGTTCCTTCTCCAGGTATCACCTTAAAGTTCACTTCCCCAGAGAGCCCTGACTGCACCACTCCCACCTAAACCAGGGCCCTGGCTCTTCGTCTGGCATCTCTTTTCCTTATTACCCTCATTACCTTTTCAAGTTATATACTTATTTGTGTATTTCCTTTAATGTCTGTGCCCCCATCGACTGTGTGGTCCCAGGGCAGAGGCTCAGTGACAGCCACACATTTAACCTGCGTGGGCAGCCAACAGTCTGACAGGGTTCTGGGGGAGGGTCCTGGGGCCCTGCTGTGCCAAGTGAGGCCCAGGGGGTTCAGGGGAGTGACTGGGGTGACTAGAGGGTAATCAAGGCTCATGATGGTGGCCATTTGCCATCAATGTGGACTTCTTCAGATATTTCCAGCAGCAAGATGGCTTTAATGTGCTTTCTCCTTGAACATCATTTCTGGCTGGATGGCACCTGTTTACCCACTGCTGTAACCCAGTGCCAGCCTGGCACACAGTAGATGCTTAATAAATCCTTCGTGCATGAATGAATGAGTCTCCCGGGCGGGCTCCTCTGGGTCCTGTTCTCCCCAAGGAAGTGGCCTGGATTCGATCTATGCCCCATCCCTCCCAACGATGACTCTGAAAGCAAGACAAATGAGGAGCCCAGGACAGCCCCCCCACAATCCTGGCCCTGCCCCATCCCCCCAGCCAGCTCAGAGTCTCTCTCTGCCTACACAGGCCTCCACTGTGGTCTCCCTCCCCCAACCCACTCCAGCCCGGACCCAGTATGCTATAATTAGAGTCCTCCTTCCAGGCTCCGGTAATGAGGGGGTGTCGGGTGCCAGCCGTAATTACAGCCTGGTTAGAACGAACAGGAGCCACCTCCAAGCCAAATTACAAAGTCTGCAGCCAGACTCCCTCCTGCCCCACTCCCTTTTTATGGGGCTGGTTAAAGGAAGGGACCAGGAGTTTATGGAGAAGCCAGCTCAGGCTGGGGCTGCGGTCTCGGGAGAGTTGAGAGCGAACAGTCTGGGCCTGTGTTGCTTTGAAACTATCTTCCCACCTCCCCCCTACCCCATCCCACCCCCGTCCAAATTCCCATCCAAAGCCAAGGTCAGAATAGGCAAAGAAGTCAACTGAGGCCTCTCTTGTAACCCTTCCCGTCAGAGCCCCCATCTAAGGGCTGGGTGTTCTGTGCCAGGCCTGGGGTCACAGGCTTTATGTAGTTGTATTCAATGGGCACAGCAACCCTGTGGACAGGTACCATTACCCCTATTTTACTAACCAAGGTTCAGTGCTTAAAATAACTTGCCCCCAGTCACACAGCCAGTAAGAGGCAGATGCAGGGCTCCAGCCAGGCCTGCACAGGGCAAGACTCTAGAGTGTAGGTACACTCCATCTTGCACTCCTCACTGCACTGGGCACAAGGAGGGGCACAAGGAAGGACTCGGTTAATACTAAGAATGATGTGTTTTGCAGGTTGAGGCAGGTGAGAGGTCCAGCTGAGTCCTTCTCTCCCTTTGAAAGATGAAGAAATTGAGGCTCAGATTTCCACTGACGTCTCAGGGAAGGATGTCCTTTGGGGAAGTCAGGGCCAGCATTTGGGAGGTCTTTTGCATGCCAGCCTGGGCTTTGTCAGCCTCAGAATCTCAGGATATTAGAGTGTGCAAGGGCTATAGAGTCAATCTAGTCTAGGGGCAAATGCACGGCCACCTGGCCAATCCTGAGGCTGTGGCAAGCATCACTAATAAATTGTGGCACATCTGGACAAGGCCTCCTTCTCAGCACAGGACTATACTCAGCCACAACCAATCAAGTGATGAAGATATTCCACCCCCTCCCCATCTCATTAATCCCTATTCACCCTCACTCAACCCAAGGGAAAAACAGGGTCCAGAGAGTTGGGGTGACTTGCCTAAAGAACTGAGGGGCCCTTATTCCATAATGACAGCCTCTAGGTACTGCCAGCTTGCCACCCTCGGTGCAGCCCTGTCAATTATGGGCTTCCCAAATGGAAAGATTGGGACTCAAGGTCCCATCCTCTCCCCATTCCCACGCTGGCCCCTAATAGTGAACCAGCCGGCTGCTCTGCTGCCCTCACCAGAAGGTGGCTTTCGTAAGGGCTGCGGGGGAGCAGTCTTGCTCAGCAGCGGAGGTGTCCCAGCGCAACAGCAGCAACCTCTCCGCAGGGCTCCCAGCTGCCTGCCCGCCCCTTCCTGGGCCTCTTGGCTGGGCTTTCCTCCCAGCCTGAAAACCTGGCTCCAGCCACCCACTGCCCACTCATCACAATTGGCCTGCAGTGACTCAGTCTCCTTGCTACCTCCTCCTCCCGTCTTCTGGCCCTGGCGTCCCCCAGCTCTTAGGAGCCTCTTCAATAGTGCCTTTGATCCTGGCTGCCGAGGCTCTTTAATGAGGACGGCCTGCTGCCTTCAGCAATGGGATGGCAGAGAACAGCTTCTGGGAGCACAGTGACGATAACAGGGTGAACATAGCCCTGATGCCCCCCAGCCTCCCCCAGATGACCAAGGGCCCTGAGCCCAGAGGCCCTGCAGGGAAGACAGGAAAGCTGCTGAGATTTTTTGGGAGGTGCCTGCCTCACCCAGCAGCACTGGGCCTGGACCGGAGGGCATTTTCATAAGGGCACTTTAATTAGGAAACAAGGCAGCTAGCCAGCGGGACTATGGGCCACACCCGGTGCCATTAGAGGCCTCCGTGCTCCCGGGCCCAGCCCGCCTCTCTCGCCTCCACCCACTCCACCTCCTCCCTAGGGTTGTGGGGAAAGGCGGTCCCCGAGCACCCCTGCTTGCCTCCCCTATCCTGAGGCCCCTGGCAAGGAATGGAATGCCGGATTTCTCAGGTGTGGTTTCTCAAGCTGAGTTTTGGATCTCAGGCTGGAGACAGCTGGCAAAAGCAGAGAAGCCACCCCCTTGGGCAGTGGCCAGAGCGGTGGCCACCCCCATGCTGGGCCACAGGAAGGAGAGGGCATCAGTGCCTCTGCTCCTGATGCTTCATGCCCCCCCTACCTCTCTCCACCAGGAGCTACCATGATGAAGCTCCTGCCTGGCAGTTGGCTTGTTTGTCCCCTAGAGGCTCCAGCTTAAACCCAAACTGTGCTGTTCCAGGCACTGTCCCCAGCAGGCAGTGTTCCCACAGCCACGATGGGCAGACTCCGAGCTGCCCCTATCCAGTCCCCTGGGCTATCTACCCCAAACTCAGGAGGTGGGCAGAATACACCCTTGAGACCCTCAGCAAGTTGGGCAGGGACCCACGCCCACTGACCTGGCTGAGCCTGGCTATGGCTGAGCTACCGAACTCCACACTCCCTCCCTGTGGGGCCTGGGCAAGTCACGGGTCTATATTTCCTCCTCTATAAAATGGGACAATCCACAGGAATCTCCCAGGGCTGTCGTTATGGTAAACAGAGTCATGTATGTGAATGTATCAAGCACAGGGCCTGACTGCAGCGTTCAGTAAACTCACGCTGACCTTGTGTAGGCTGAAGTCCTCCCCACAGTCTAACTGGCTGTGTGACTGGGCTAGCCACTTTGCCTCTCTGAGCCTCGGTTTCTTAGTCTTTGAATGGGTGAACAGAACACATTCTCTTATAGATGCAGAAGTGCTTCATAAACTATGAAGGGCTGCCCAAGTCCAAGATTAGTCATTATTATTTTTCTCTTTTCCTTTTTTTTTTTTTTTTGAGATGGAGTCTCGCTATATCACCCAGGCTATAGGGCAGTGGCATATCGGCTCACTACAACCTCTGCCTCCCGGGTTCAAATGATTCTCCTGCCTCAGCCTCCTGAGTAGCTGGAATTACAGGCACACACCACCACACCTGGCTAGTTTTTGTATTTTCAGTAGAGAAGGGTTTTGCCATGTTGGCCAGGCTGGTCTTGAACTCCTGACCTCAGGCAATCCTATTGCATTGGCCTCCCAAAGTGCTGGGATTATAGGTGTGAGCCACTGCACCCGGCCCAGTCATTACTTTTCTAATGAATGGCCATACTTCACCTCCCTCCACCCTGCCCATGAGGAAAGGCTGGGCCATTCTATCCCAGTTCACCCGATGGGACCCTGGTGACATTGGGCTCACGTGGCCTCACACGGGCTGCCTGCCCTGAGGCTCAGCTCTTCCCTGTTGCCTGTCAGCTGCCTCCTGGACAGGGCAGTACCTGGCTGGCCACTGGGCGGGGAGGACAAGAGGGGATTGGGATGCTCAGTTCTTCAGCAGGAGGGTCTTTACCCATCTGGCAGCTCCTCTGCTGGGTTGGGAATCAACTCCTCGGGAAAAGGCAATGTTGGGGCAGGGTGGGGACCTTGGTGACTCTGGAGGCAAGTGGGTGCCAGCTTGGCCAAGCTCACCCTTGGCTCCTCCTGTCCTTTCTCTGAAGAGCTCCAGCAGGGCTGCTTGGGATGTCGCTAGCTGTGTGACCTTGGACAAGTCCCTTCCCCTCTCTGGACCTTCCTCCTCTGAAAGGACGCTGCCCAAGACCACGGCTTGTCCTGCTGCTCTCAGGTGCTCTGGAGTGGAGGTTCCAGAAGAAGCATAGAGAGCTGGCCACACAGCTCAGGAAGGGGCCAGGCTTCCTGGAGGAGCTACAGGGCTGGGCTTGGAGGAGGAATGGGTGGTCTTGGGACCCTCAAGAAACAAAAATGGCTGAGACCACCAGGTCTTCAGCCCAGAGTCTCCCAATTTGTGAGCCCTCTCTTTCTGTCCTGGACTTGGCCAGCAGGTGGGCAGAGACAAGCCTGAGGCAATACAGATTCCTGTATCCTAGGAGGGGAGTGGGGGGCCCTGCATCTGCCCTGCCCTGGCCCAGACTGAGGGCACCCCATGTGGCACTAGAGAGTGAGGGAACCTTACTCAGTGGAAAGAGCCCAACATCCGCAGGATAGAGTCTCGGCATCGATAGCTGTGGGGCCTTCAGGCAGGTGATTTTGTCTCCCTGGCCTTGGTTTCTCCGCCTGTAAAATGGGCTAACAGTCCCTAGCCTAGAGGATAAGTAATGCCTTAGCTCCTGTGCACCTGGCATCAGGTGAACTCTCAAAAACAGTTCCCAGTGAAAGCACGTGTTTCTTGGGCATGGCACTTCAAGCCTCTGGCCTCTGTTTCCCCACCTCTAAAGAGGGTATCAGAACATTGCCTACCTCCAGGAGCTCACATATATCAAACGGCTTTAGCACAGGCAGGTGCCTATGCACAGCACGGATTCTAGGTGTTTGTGGAAGCCACTGAGCCAGATGACCTGAAAGAGTTCCCTGCACACCTGGCCACAGCCTGCAGTGATTCCAGGGAGGGGACAGAGGTTCCTCTTTGCCCTACAACAGGCGCGGTTGTTTCCTCACTCCTTGTCAGGCCCCAGAGGGCTGCTGGGCCCCAAGCCATGGAAAACATCTTCCAAACCCACACAGCACCTCCAAGGAGCACCTGGCATGTACATCTCTCCACGGTGAGAATTCAGTCCAGGCTGGTGCAGCTCACCACCGAGGCGCTCCTCGAAGATGCTGTGTGGGCTTGGCATGCAGGAGGAAGCTCACCACCCAGTCAGGGATATGCCTTCTTGCCAGGGGCTGGGAGGGGAGCCCATTTCACAGATGGGATACACTGAGGCACTAGCAACCTATGTGACTCGCCTGGGTGGGCCTGGAGGGGGAAGGGGGCAAGAGAGGTGCCAGGGGTCCTGAGACATCTGAACTGAGGTGGGCGTCTCTTCTTCCCTTCGGCTTTCTCTCAACCTGAACTTCCCTATTCACTTACCTCCCACTTACCCTTTGAGGTAGGCATAACGGTCCCATTTAAGAAGACACAGAGAGAGGCTCAGGAGAGCTGAGTGGTGGGCCATGCTGGCTGGAGGACATCAGTGGAAAGGAGCTAGGTGGGATCCGGGGGTGCTCACCCCTCAGGGCCCAGCAGAGCCCCAGGAAGCACCTGCTGGCTCACAGAGGGAACCCAGTGGGGCTGTGGGTTTCCAGGTCCCCCTTAACCCTCCCTTACCAGGAGGGTCGATGCCAGCTGCTGCACCCCTTCCTCTGGGCCCCGCTGTTGGGGCTGTCCCAGCCTCCTCCTTAGCATCCTCTTTAATCCCTGACCATGACTGTCGTCTTCCTGCACCTTCCCTGCTCTGTGCTCACCCTCCTGCCCACCCTGCCCAAGGTCTTCCTCTCCACTCCACACCGGCTGCCGTGTTCTTGTGACATCCCAGGGTTCTTGTCTCAGCTCAGTAACTAACATGCTGTGTGACCCTGGACAAGTCCCTGACCCTTTCTGGGCCCCTGCTTCCCCATCTATCATTGAGGGGGTTAGGTGAGAAGCTTGGATGTTCTAAGAATATCAAAACCCACACACCAAATGCACGGGCAGGTGTGCTGCTAGGCCTCTGGGGCCTTGGGCTCCTGGCCCACCTCTTGGCTCCCTTCTGGGGGCCCTGGAGAAGCCAGTCTGGGGACTGGGCTGCCAGGAAGTGCCACCCTCTGCACGCCCGAGTCCCCACCTGGGCTCCATCTGCTCTCAGAGCCTTCAGCGCCTCTGCCTCTGGCCTCTGCCCAAGTCCCCTCTGTTCCCGAACCTATCCTTGCCCTGAGGCAATGGTGGTTGCCCCTGTCACTGGAGCCAGCTCCTGGCAGAATTATCTCCCTCCATTCGAGCTTCCATTAGTCCATAAGTACACTGGGCCCAGGCAGGGCACTGGGGAGACGCGGCAGCCATAAATCACCATGGCTCTCCTGAGCCCAGCTGCCAATGGCCTGAGAGCTCTGCTGGCTCAGCGGAGGGAGGCTCCCTTCCTGGAGGAGCTGGGGCCAGGGCTGGGAGTGGCTGTGTGAGTGGCAGCAGCATAGGGGTGTGGCGGGTACTCGTCCACTCACCTGTTCACCTCTGGGGTATGACATTGTGACAGCAGTGCCACAGCTCCATGTGCAATGTCACCTGGAGATCTTCCAAAGAAGGGGCTATGGTAGGGACCTTGACAAGTCATTGCAACTCAGAGCTTACAGATAAGTTTCCTTATCTGTAAAATGGGTGCTCATACCAATCTCACAGGGTTCACAGAAGGATCACTGAGAACATGCCCCCGCCCAACCGAACAAATGTCCAGCACGGAGCCTGCCAGGGCGTATGACTCAATACATAGTCGATTTCCTCCCCACCGTGGGGGCTCAGAGCAGGCAGTGGCAGCTGCTTGCCTATGTTTAAAGCCACAGCTTTTACACTATGCTCTTGCCTTTTGTTGTTGGACAGAGACAGCCCTTTGGCTTCGGATGCAAGCTGCTGGAGGCCAGACAAATCTCAGCAGAGCTTGCAGAAGTCCAGAGCCACTGTTTGGAAAGGGTGAGAATTCAGTCCGGGCTGGTGGAGTGCTTTTGGCTTCCTCTGTGAATGAAGTTTGGTTGAGAAAATTAAATGAGATCACAGGGGTGATATTAAAAGAGCAAATTACTTTAAAGGGCTTCCGCTCATTCCAGATCTGACTGGGGATGGATGGCGCTAATTACGAACAAGGAGTGGCCTCTTAGTAAAGCCTGTCCCTAAAGCCCGGGGGTGTTTCTAAGTTAGGGACCCTGGAAGTGAGAGCCCCAAGCTCCTTTTGTGTCAATTCACATTCCCTCCCCCCATAATCAGTGACAGCCGGTGACATTTGGAAGTCTGGGCTGTCTAGGAAATACTTCTTACCACCCTGTGGGCCCATGAACAACTGCTGGGACTTCGGAGAATGACAACTTGGTGACGACACTTGCATCAAATCCACAAAGCAATCTAGCAGCGTGTATGAATGAGGGCGTGTCTTTTTACCTAGAATTCTACTTTTGGGAATCTCTCCCAAGGAACCCAACCAAGCTGTGAGCATGGAGATGTTCAACGCAGTGTTATTTACCAGAGTAAGATACCCAACAAAGGGAGAACTGCTTGAGTAAATTAAAGTATATCCCCACTGTGGGTTCTTCTCGGGTATTAATGGCTAATTATGAAGTCTATGTAATTATACGAGAAAGATTCATGGAATAATGTTAAGTGTAGAGGCCTGAGCATGAAATGAAACCTGTAAGTATGTGATGACATCATAAAACAAACCTGGGCATGAGCCTGAAAGGAAACACACGAATATGCAAGTAGTAGTTGTGTCTGGGTGGGATTAAGGGTGATTATTTTTCAGAACTTAGTTCCCACCATTTGGGGAAATATGGCAACATTATCTGGACTGTAGAAACAAACAAACAAGCCACTTCCTGGACCCAGAAATAGTGGAGAAAGGGTCAGTGCCTGGTGTTGTTTCTAAGGGCGCCAGGCTGCTGTTCTGGAAGCAGGACCAATGGTGGAGGCTCACCACGTGCACAGCTGGAACCTATGGGGGCCTGGGTGGTGGTCATCCACCCTGCTCAGTGCACCTGTTGCCACAGGAAGGCCTCTCTGGGGATGTCCCATTGTTCTCCAGCCAGGAGGAAGGTGGGAGGCGGGAGAATGGCTGGTTTTAAAGCCAGGAAATAAATCTCCCTCCCCCCAACCCAGCCTCTCCATTCAGGCCAGCTTATTGATGGGGACCCAGGGGGCCTGGAGACAGTAAGCCGACTTCCCAGGACTCGTGAGAAAACCTCCCCAAGCCAGGCCCACACTGTCGTGTGGACTCTAGGGGCCTATCCAGAGGCTTCCTCTGGCCATTTCCTGGCATTGTCAGCCCTATGCCCCCCACGACAGCAGGACGCCAGGTACCCATGGTCCCAGAGCCATTTGTGCTCCTCCTGATCACCACAGAAGGTTGGGGCCCAGGCCCTGAGTCAGATAGTGGGTAAAACAATTACCACGAGCCCTTTCAGAACTGATAGTCTTGTGACGGGAGAAGACTCCCGCCAGCCCCAGTAGGGCACAAAACCCCCTCTGCTAGGCGTAGGTAGGAAGCCACAGACATTTGCATATAATTTACATTACTTTGCATAACCACCTGCTATAGGGGAAAGAGCATTGAACCAAGAGTCAGACTTCGGAGTCCAGTCCCAACAATACTGCTGACTTGATGTGACGTTGAGCTCATTTTTGTCCTCTCTACTAGGCATCCGTTTCCCCCTGTGCTGAGTTGGGAAACTGGACTGCTGGTTGGCGAGCGTGGACCTGGCTAAAGGTTGATGGAGTTGACATGATATAGTGAGCAGGAAGGACACGCCTGGAACCAGAAGGGGGTCCCTGGGACCCTCCACCTTGCAGCGATCCCCATCTTAACAAATGCTCCCTGAACACCTCCTGGGAGACATGCGTGAACCAGCTTTCCTAGTGTCCTGCGGACCCCTGCTCCCCTACTGACCAGGGGTACAGTGTCCACCTCTCACTCCCAGGCTATGGGGATCTCTGGGGAGGAGGACCCTCACACCCCCACCCAACTCTCCTGCCCCTCCTCCCCTTGGCAGCCCTGGCGATGCCAACAGCTTCTGACACCCTGGAAATGCTTTCAGCCAGGAACCAGGGAGCTTGGCAGGGGAGAGGGAGACAAAGCCCCAGCTTGCCCTGGGACTGAGTGGACTTAGCACACAGACATACACCCCACCCCCACTGTGGTCAGAACCAAAACAATGCTGGGGAGCAGTGACATCAGATGCGCCTGGCCTTCCCTGCCAGCCTGCCCACCTGCTACAGGTATTTCCAGGGCAATGGACGAGGAGAAGGTGGAAAGAAAGCCTCATTCCCAGGAAGCTGCACTGCTGCTGCTCCTCCTTGGGCATGGTGTCGGGGGAAGGGAAGGACACCCAAACTCGGGTACTGTCTACTCCTGGGCCTGGGCCTTGCAGTAGGGTGGCCAGCATCACTAAGACCAAGCTACGGGGAAAGGAGGTGGTGGCCCCCTTTAATGGCAGGGCTGTGGCACTTCTGATACTCAGTGCTGGGGAGGGTTGGGCCTTTGGGGTTCCCCCGAGGTTGGAGTCTGCAGCAAGGAAGTGTGAGAAGCAGAGGGTGCAGACCCAGAGTCCACAGGTGAGGAGGTGAAGTGTGGAAATGAGGGGAGGATTTTAGAGGTCTGAGCTGCAAGGAAGCAAAGAGCTAAGAGGGATGGAGGGAAATGCCTGGGGTCCTGAGAAATGACCAATGTCCTGGACACAGGTCCTGGGGCTTGTGCTCTGTCTCTCTTCTCTCCTCCTGTCCCTTGAGCTCTCTAAGAAAACCCCCTCTTCTCTGTCCTAACCCTCAAGCCTCACCTCCCCATCCACCGTCTACTCTCCTGGGGAGACCCGAACAGACTGCCAGGCTGAGTCAGGTCCTGGGGGTCTCTGGGGCTCCTGCTGTCACTCCCTGCCCGCTCTCTGGAATGGACTTCACTGCTACCAATGCCTTCCCTCTCCTTGCAGGTGCCGTCTCACAAGGCAGGTCTCTGTGAAGGGGTCTGGCCTTGGGCAAATCACTTCACCTCTCTGAGTCTGTTTCCTTCACAATAAGATGGGAGAAATGATGCCTACCTCATAGGGTTAGGGTTGCTCTGAAGAATAAATGAGGCAATGCATTCAACAAGCTCGCGCAGTGCCTGGCACATAATAAAAGCTGAAAAACTGCTAGTGGTTGTCATTATTAGCAATCTCTCCAAGCCCAGGTTTCTTTCCTCTTTTGTACAATGCAATACCAGTCCCGCCTTCACAGGGTAATTGTGAGATGAGAGGAATGAGAGATTTGAAAGCGCTCTCACAGAAGCAGGCAGTGAGGTGGAGGGCGTGGCTGCTATTAACTGCAGGGCTCTGGGACTCATGGCAGGACACTTGGTAGGCAGCAGGTCAAACTCTATCCTGCTCAATGCAGAGACACAAAAGGGAGCCACCCTCACAGCCTGGTGCTCTATCACGCTTCCTGCTGCTCAGGCCCAAAGTTAGCCCATTTGATAGATGGCAAAACAGGCCCAGAGAGGGCAAGAGATCAGCCTAGAGTCACTGTGAATGATCAACTATATAGGGACTAGACCTGGAAAAATAAAATTCAAGATTCAGATACCACTGAAGAGCATGTTAACTGTCCCTTCACCCATTTTTAAAGCACAGGCATTTGGGAAAATATTGTAATATATATATGTGACACTTATTTTTAACCCAGATTTCAAATCACTTTTTTGTTGGAGGAGGTGAAGGGGAACATTACACAGCACTTCATTTACTTACAAAGATGTCACACCTGGTACACTTAAAGAGGCAAAGTCCTAGAAAAGCAAGGTCAATTTGAGAGGAAATAAAATCAATGACTTGAGGTATACATCTCCAGCCTGTGGGTTTTTTTCCTGGGGGAAAACAACTTAAAGAAAAATAAATATCCTCAATTCTTCCCTGTGTGTGCTTCAGCCTGTGGCACTGAGACTCTCACAGGAGAGGAATTATCTTGGTTCATTCATTCCCCTATGTGGCAAGGGTTTCAGATATGGACCGAGAAGACCCCTTCTGGGTCTTTGCAGGAACCATGTATACTCTGCAACTTTAATCACTTTGTCTGCAGGCATGAGCGAAACGATCTCCAGAGACAGCCAGCATTTAAAAGCAAATTTATTAAAGTAGACACCACCTTCCTGACACAATGGCACATGATGGATTCTTATTTCCCATTGTGGAGCAAATGGAAAATCGCTCTTGCAGATGGGGAGATAAACTGTGCTCTGGGGCCTGCAAGTCTGAAGTCCAGGGTGGCTGCCAGAAGAAAATCCAATTTGCCTTTAAATGCCATGTACAGCGTTTCTATTGTACCTACCACCTACTATATCAAAAGGTGAAAGTTTAAAAGTTTAAAAACCGCATGAAGACATACAAAGACTACAGCTGTAGGAACCAGTCTCAGAAAGACACATCATCAGTTTGTCTATCCAGGCTTTGAAGATTCTACCTTCCTTACCCTGACCTCTGACAGGGAAACTCCTTTGGAAGGAGTGAGGATTCTCTAACCATCCAAGCAAGCAGCGGGGTAACCTCTGACAGATTACCCACTCTGAGTCCTAGTTTCCATATCAATATATTTGGAAGACTGAAATAAAACAGGGATAGCAATACCTTGGTACAACTACTACCATGGCTGAGCCCATGACAGACATCACTAATTGACCCAACTGAGCCAGATCTGAGTCTCTGAATCAGCACATCTCCTGAAAGTCATCACTGTTTGTTCAGGATTGGTAGCAAGAGGAGACCTACTTGCCATCCCTGAACTCAGTGATCTCTAGAATTCCTTCCACCTCTAGCATGCTGTAAGTATTCCCCTCTTCAGTGTCTACTATGTATCTAGATCTATATTAGAATCTGTAGGAGACAGAAGTATACTCCCATAGATTATAAATTAGAAAAGTTATAATCTCTACCCCAAAGTGCTGGGAGCTAGGAGGGGGATAACCCTTCAGGAAACCACTGCAGCGCAGCAACAATACTTTAGAATTTAGCCCTGGATCTGTTTTGGCATGTGCCCAGCCTGAGAGCCACCACCTCCCCATCCCACACCACAGCAGACATCACTAATTAATGCTGACTTCTGTAAATGAGTCCAGATGTGGCCCTAGATTTCTCAACACTACACCCTGGGAAGTCACCCTCAAACTTTCAAAACAGCCACCTGAGATAAACCGTTTGCCACTGCTGCCCTAGATTTTGAGGTACAGGCTATACAGGTCTGGGGAGGTTGGAGCTATCAGGAAAAGATTCCTCGGAAAGTCAGGAATTAAGCTGGGACTTGAGGAAGCATCCACACACCCAAGCCAGGCCAGACAGATGAAGAAGAGAGGCCAAGGCTGGGAGAGGGGCAATGATGGGGACTTCCAGAAGGGGCCTAGCTCATGCAACCCGGTAGGAAGTATCCCATTTGGACCCAGCAGAACGGCCGGAGGCTCGGGGTCATCCCTAGGGCCGGGGGGAAAGGAGTTCTGATGTCTCCCCCACCGGCACTGCCCCTTCATTCAAGGCATCCTGGGGAGCAGGGCCTGGGGCACCACCTGGTAAGAGGCCTTCAGCAGGCAGGTGGCTCAGGCCCAGCGGGGTTTGCCATGGGCTCCCAGCACCTCTGCCCTGCTCAAGAGTGGTGAGATGCCTGGTGTCATGGCAGTCTCCTGAAGAGGCACAGAGATGGGCACCTGTGGCCACACACTTTCCACTTAGCTCCTCTGGGCTGTTCTCCTGAGCCTAAACATATGCTTGGGGAGAGGAACCACGTCCCCACCCCATCCCAACCAGAACCACAGCCTGAGCACTGGAGTGGGAAGAGGGAAATCTGGGCTCCAAAAGCCCTCATGGCACTGGGATACGTGGCCAGTGCCCCTAAGAGGGACCTTTCCAGAAGATTCTCTAAGTAACCTATCTGTTCCATGCCCTAACCTCCTGCAGCCTTGGTTTTTCCTTCTGTATAATGGACTACCCCACCAATCAGATATCTGCACTGCCCACTGCATTACCTGCCTTCTACCTGCTCTGTGCTTTGTGGCTGTGGGAGAGAGATGAGGGTGGTAGGAGGAGCCAGGGACCATGCCAGGGGACTCTCCTGGAGTTAGAAATGACAGCTGGAAAGCCACATTCTCAGAGATGGCTCTGGATCCCAAGGGCCTCACCTGTATAGCATGGTCTCGGCACAGAGGTGCAAGGTGCGTTCCACAGAACCAGGGGCCCAACCCAGCTTAACAAGCTTGGAATATACACTCACACATAGGGTTATCACTCTCTGTCACTTTTGTCCCCACCCCCTGGGGAGCCCTCAATCCTTGCAAGCTGGTGCTGGGGCAGCTGGGCCAAGTTTTGAGGGGCAGCCAGGAATTGGCAATCCCAAATGGGGTCCCTTTGGCAGCCTAGCTATGTCAGGGCAATAGCTTAGGCCATGCCAGGTTACTGGTGCCCAGGCTGCAGGCTCTGGAGGGGAGCATGCCTGAGAAGCCCAGGAGGACTTTGTAGCTGGTGCCAGCCCACAGCATGTGAGCACACTGGAGCTGTGGCCGTGGTCACGTTCTCATGAGTGCGTTCAACCCTGGGGTGAGGTGCCTGTGTAGGGCTGTGCAAAAAGGGACTGAAAGCTTGGACACAGAATGGGACATCTGAATGTCATGCTGGGGCCCAGTAGCCTCTTTGCCAGAGGGAGCTATGTTTGGGATCACCTGGCCAACAGATGCAAATACAAGCATATGTGTACATACTGCCCACAGGAAGGAGTGGGGTGCAGGTGGGAGTGGAGATGGCTGGTCTGACATGGTGTGTGTTTTACATCTATGAGTGTGTGTGTGTGTGTGTGTGTGTGTGTGTGAGAGAGAGAGAGAGAGAGACAGAGAGAGGGAGGAGCCTGTACCCACTGCTTCAGTGTGCCTGCCTGTAAGTGGGTGCATGTCAATGTTCTCTATGAGTTCAGGCATCCTCTGCTGTGTACCCCTGAGCATGTACACAGGTCTGTGTAAAAGTGCATGCCTAGGAGCCACTTTGAAAACAAAGACCTTGGGCTGCAAAGAAAAATGATGAGATTCTTAAGAACGGTGAGTGCAGCAGATATTAGCCGGTCTACTGGGGGTTGTTACACTAACCGTGTGTCCATTCTGCCTAATACATAAATTACTAATGTAAATTAAAGGATAATTGAAGCCCTTTAGGCCCAAATATTTAAATTATTCAACAGGCTGTCAGGAATAGGAGAAAAAGGAAGAGCTGAGTTTAACACTCAAAGAGAAAAGTGCCAACTCAGGGGAAGAAGGGGAAAGTGGGCCCCCCTTCTCCCTGCCTCCCGCTAGCTCATTCTGCTCTGGAGGTGCGGGGGGCTTTTCTCCAGGGCGCTGTGTGTATTGCCTCCCTCCTGGCCGTATAGGCTCCCAGGGCGTCCCTGCTTGGGAAAGTGCTGCCAAGGCCAGAGGCAAGGCTGCCTACCTGAGAGGTGGAAGCAAGTGGGGGGAGCTCAACTCCTCTTCTGCTCCTCAGAGACAGGACCCAGGGAGGCCCCAAGACTGCTATCAAAGAGCTGAGAGCTGGTACCAGGGACCTGGGTGCTTGGATGGTTCCCAGGGTGAAACCAGTATCTCCTTCCCTGAGATACCACAAGCCTGGAAAGGCAGTGCTAGAAGTCAGAGGCTTTGGCAAAGGGGAGAGAGAAGGGGGCAATTGAGTCCACTCCTACCCATTATACAGAGTAGGAAAGTAAAGGCCACATAGGAGGAGGTGAATCAGCAGCTTGCCAAAGGCAGATGCGGCATTCCCATCCTTTCTCCTTTTCCCTGAGGCCTTGAGAGGGTTTTCCAGGTCTCAAGGACACAAGTAAGACCCCCAAATCACTAGGGAGCCTTACTTCACTTGGGTCCTACATCCCAGGGCAAAGCAAAAAAGGAAGCATGTCTTCCCTTAGCCCCCGGTCTGATTTCTATAGAACTCACTGCCTGGTTTCTCTTTGTTCTATGGCACAGAACTCCCAACCATGCAAAGGTCCCAGTGTGGGTGCTGTGGCTCGCTCACATCCATGCTGGGGCCTGGGGACTGGGGGTGTACAGCTGAGGAAGGCCCAGACTCAGACTCCTGAAACAGTCCAACTCAGCTGGGGCCAGGGTGCCAGGTTAAAGTGCAGAGGGTCAGGTCTGGGAGCTCAGAAGGTGAGGCCTCCAGCTGACTGCAACGTCTGGGAGCCTGTCCAACAGCGAGGCCTCAGTGGGCAAGAAAGAAACAAGCCAGGCCTGCTGAATCACCTCTCCTCTCCGCATGTTAGCCAGGTAGGGGCAGGGGTGGAGGGGACTGCTGCAAGGCTGGGTAGATGGAACAGTGCCTTCCCTACAGCCATGGCCCTCTCTGTACACCCAGTGCCAATGGCACCTGCTCCAGGGAGCCTTCCCTGATGTTCTGGATGTTCACTCTGCAGCCCAAGATGCTGTCACCTCTGAGTGACCTCTCTGTTCTGACTCCATAGGCACCTTCAGGGCAGGGATAGGCCTTTACTATCCTATTGTCTCAAGGAACCTCTGTGAATAAGCTGGTGGTCTATTATTGCTCAGTAGTGAGCTTCCTGGACAATGCTGCTGGGCCTGCACACGGCCCCAGTGAACAACCTGGGTCATGCACTTCCTCATTTGGTTTGCACTGGAATCTGGGCAAAGGCTGGAGGCTGAAAGCTCCTGGCGCTGACATTCTCCAGGTAGCAGGGGCGTGATCAGACAGGTCCTGGACGGCTTCAGGGTGGGGCTCTGGTCACACAGGGAGTGGGCAAGGGAGTGTGAATGACTCAGTGCCAAGCCCTCCCTGCTTCAGGGAGCACCGTGAACCCGGAGTGTTTAAAGAAGTGGTCGCCCCAGAGGGAGCCTGCCGGCTGGTCAGCCGCCCTCTGCTCCCCTCTCTGGCCTGGGTCTTAGTCTTATTGACACTACGAATATAGTCTCAGCTTTATCTCCTTCAAAGGATGGGTGTGGGATCAAAAGAATGTGGCTGGCTCTGAAAGGGTTTTGACAGATGTGGAGCGCTGGGGTGATTATATTCATTGTTCATCCTTCCTCCTTTCCTTCCATCTACTTATCCAGCCACCCATCCAACTGTCAGTTTGTCCCTCCCTCCCTCACTTCCCTCCCTTCTTCCTTCCCTCAACCCAGTCACTCACCAATCCTGTACCCACTGATTGTTGGTGAATAGATATTGAATATGTAGGACTCTGACCCACAGCTTGGTCCCTGTGCAGAGAGGGAGCTCAGAGAGCCCACAGGGTGCTTCCCTGATTCAGCCCCACCTCCCTCAGGTGGGCTCCCCTACCATCCTGGCCCCCCACCCCACTGTGATCTCACCTGCCCCTGGGTGTGGAGAGCCACAAAGCCATCCTTCTGGAAGGAACCTCTCGGATCCTCTCCCCTTGGGGTCCTCCGCCTTTCTGGGACCTCCATGCCTCCTCAGCGTCATACCTCTCCCAGCGTACAGTATGCAGCCCCCCAAGCCACGCCAGTCTTGTTGACGAATGAACTCCTACCAGGTCTCCCTTACCGAGGGCAGCCTTCACCAACTGCTGGGCTTCTGAACTGGGGGCTGGTTTCTCCTTAGGCTTCCACAGGCGGGAGTCTTGTTTCCCAGCTAAGCCACCAGCTGCCTGAGGACAGCCTGAGCTTCAGTTCTCTCGGGGCCGCCCCCACCTCCACCTCCAGCCAGGTGTGCCAGGCCTTCCGCACACCCTCGCTCAGATACAGAGAGGAGGGAGCCATGACGCCCAGAAATGAGGAGGGTGCTGGCGGTGTATCACCAGTAAGTCACAGCCCCGTGTCCTTGGGACTGCCCTGAGACCAACAGAGCTGATACGATTTGCTCTATTTTCACAGGAGGCAGGATGACAAGCCGGGTCACAATGGAACGGGAGGACACCAGCTTGTGGCACCCCACCTGAGCACCCAGAGTGCCTACAGAATAGACAGGGAGGGCCAGACCCATCTCCAGAGGGCAGCTGTGGGTGGAGCAGGGACTCACAGGAGCCCACAGAGCAGATCTAGGACTGGCCCAAACCTAGTGGCCATGTGGCACGGCGAGGCTGGCATGGGACCTAGTCTGTGGCCATGCTGGCTACCAGGGATGAGGTGGCATATTCTCTGGATGAATCCACCCCTTTGCCTCCCCACATCAGAGACTAGCTGGGCTGCCTCTCCCCGCCAGCCCACCCAGAAGGACAGTTCAGACCCCAAGCTCTGAGGGCTCAGGGCCTCTCAGTCTGTACCACCAGGCCCTACTGGGATTCTGCTAAAGAAGACCTGATAGAAGGGTCCCCCCTGCCAGACTCAGCCTCCATTACCCCATCAATAAGACAGAGCTAGGCTCACGGTAAACGCGAATGTAGGTGCGAATACCTTGGGATCTTGTCAAAACGCAGACTGATTGTGGTCTGGGACAGTGCTGAGGCCTCGAATTCCTAACAAGCTTCCAGGTGATGCTGGTAGCAAAGCTCTAAGGGGCTCCCAGCTCTAAGCCCTAGCTCCCAGAGAGATGGTGTTATGGAGAGAGCACACGTCATGTAGGATAAAAAGAAATCTTTTCAAAAGTGGTCCCCAGGGTTGGGGGAGAGGAGGTCAGAGAAGGGAGCCCGGGGACAATAGTGAATAGAATTGGGATTATTTCCTGAACTCTGATTCCTCGTGGGAACGAGGTTTTGAAAAGCTTTTCTTAAAATGGTTATTATTTAGTGGCCTGTCCAAAATAAACACACACATGCACTGCACGGAGCCAGGCAGGAAGTGAGGAACATCTGGGAGACATCTGGCTGCTGGAGAACTGAGAAGTGGGTTGGGGAGGGCCAGCGGGAGCTGGAGGCGGTCTGCGTGCCATGGTCGCCCACAGTCACACAAGCACGCCAGCACGCCCCCGCCGCCAACCAGTTCGGCGCACACAGGCATGCATGCATGCACACAGGGTGTCCCTAGGACCTGCAGGACCTTGCTGGCAGCGGCTGCAGATCGCGGGTTCTCGGAAGCGGACATCCTAGCTCTCAGGATCCGCCTTCCCTCCTCCCTCCTCTCCTCTTGGAGGTTGTGATATTTATGACTTGCCTCTCTACGTATGCAAGCTGAGTGTTTTCCTTCCACCTGCTCCCCGGCTAGCCTCAGAAAGAAGCAGGGGCCTGAGTAGGGGCAAACTTAGGGCAAGTCTCCAGGTTCCTCCAGATCTGTGCCCTCTGTAAGAAGGATATGACTCTTCTGCCTGGCTCACTGGAACACTAGAGGCCATTCACCCAACTGATATTTACTGTAAACCTTCTGCAGTGCCAGGCAACGTCCCAGGGGCTAGGTGTCATCTTAGGAGATTATAACCAAACCTTAACACCCAAGTTTAGGGTGTCGTCATAATGCCTGAGTGGCCCTGGGGTGGGGGGCCACCCTTACCCAGCAGGCATTGGCCCAGGCTGTAGGGATGAACCTGCCACCACCCTGTGAAGGCCAGGGCTCAGAGTCTCATGCTGATTATGCCTGGGGGCACCCTGCATCATTTCTGTTGTGGGCGTGTTGTGCAGGGAGTTCCTCCAAGGAGACTAAGAGGGCAGGAACCTTGTGTTGCACAATTCTCTGTCCCTAAAGATGCCTGGCCCAGTACTAGATACAGCAGAATAGGTGATGGCTAAATAAATGGAGAGACCTGGGCTTGTACAAAGGGCACAGTCTCTGCAGACAGACACACCCAGGTGCAGATCCTGGCACTACCACACACCAGCTGTGTGACCTCGGGCAAGTTGCTTCATCTCTCTGGGCCTCGGTGTACTCAATTATAAACTATGGAGAACAATGGTTAGCTCCAAGGGTTAAGCAGCCTGATACATAAGGTCCTTCACGCAGTGCCTGGTATTTGGTTAGAACTCAACCAATGTTATTATCACGAGGCACAGAAGAGATTTTAAAAGTAGTATTCACCCAGTGACCTTAGGTGATCCCTGTAGCTGTGGTTCTGATTTTCCTCCATGTTCCTTCCAGCCCACCCTGGACTGTCTAGTCTCTCCAACCTTGGCCATCCAGGTGGGGTGGCCTCTGAGGAGGGGGTGGCGAAGGCTTCCCAAGCCCCCCGGGGAACAGGGAAGGGAACTAACCCTGGCTGAGAACCTTGGTGTTGGGCACTTGATGGATGGCATCTTCCCAGAAGCCTTCAGAGCTGTGCCATCCAACACAGTGGCCACTAGCCATATGTGGCTGTTTAAACTTTAATTAAAATTAAAAGTTCAGTTCCTTCATCACCCTGGCCATATTTCCAGTGCTCAATAGCCACGTGTGGCTAGTGGCTACCAGACTGGGCAGTGCAGGCAGAAGACGTCCCCATCCCTGCAAGAAGTTTCACTGCACAGTGCTGCTGCAGGGAAGGTGTGACAGCCCCCACTGCACAGATGGGGAAACTGATCTGAAGCCCAGGCTCTTTCTGCTTGGCCCTAAAGCAGCCCCCAGACTCTTTTTCTTTTATTTTTCTTTTGAGACTGAGTCTCCCTCTGTCGCCCAGGCTGGAGTGCCGTGATGAGATCTGAGTTCACTGCAACCTCCGCCTCCTGGGTTCAAGCAATTCTCCTGCCTCAGCCTCCCAAGTAGCTGGGATTATAGGCGCGTGCCACCATGCCCGGCTAATTTTTGTATTTTTAATAGAAAATACAAAATACAGCCTGTTGGCCAGGCTGGCCTTGAACTCCTGACCTCAGGTGATCCGCCCGCTTCAGCCTCCCAAAGTGCTGGGATTACAGGCCTGAGCCACCGCGCCCGGCTCCCCAGACTCTTGAATGGGTGGGCTGAGGTCCTCATTGGGTGTTCCATGGCCCCACCTGCTGGAAGGCTGGGACACACCCAGTGCCCTGCTGCTGGCAGGGCCAAGCCCAGGACAGAGAGAGTGACACCGTGGCCCCGTCTCCCTCACCCAGGCATCATAAAGACACCTCCAACACGTGTGTGTGAGATTCTGGGGGCCGCCGACCAAGAGCCCAGACCCAATCATCTACAGGAACGGATGTGGCAGGAGAGGGCACTGGGCACTCCTGGCCTGCCATGGCAGACCGCCAACCCTCTGCAGGGACAGCCAGGGTCTCACACGGACAATGGCTATACAAGGGCCTGAACTGCAGGGTGACCACATTCCAGCTACAAAGTGGATCCCCCTGGAATCTTGGTGACCACAGGCTGTGTTGATGTCTCTAGAGGGTGGACAGGCCCTGCCCAGGGAGAGGGGGGCAGACCTGACTGTATTGGTGCAGGGCCCAGATGAAGAGGAAGCTGCCCACTCAGCTGCTGGAAAGAAGCCCACGCCAGGCTCTCCTCTCCCTCAGCAGTCTTTCCTCTCTGCTGAACTAGCTCGGGGGACCTCAAAGTACCTCACAATGAGCACTACCACTTTCTGGCCATGTCGTTTTGGGCACTGTGGGCCTCAGCTTCCTCATCCCTACAAAGGAGATCATCTCACCCAGGGGGAGGTGGGGCGAGGTCACATGTCATAGTAACAGACACAGGGTCTGGGCCACGGCCGACGGACGCCACGCAGGAAGGGAGTCACAGGGAGGGCCTGAGACAGACTGTGAGGGAATGCCACGCCCCCCCATGTCCTCTCCCCACTGCACTCCAGGGGGCTGGGGTTGGCCTAGGAAGAAGGGCCTCAGGCCTCCACAAAGCCGACCAGCAAGCTGGGCCTCTGTGCAGCCTCTCTGAGCACCAGGTCGTGTGTGGGCATCTCACTGGCAGCCAGGGACTGCTAGGCAAGTCTCACCTCCTTCTGTGGTGACTCTAGGCCAGCCCCACATTCCCTCCAGGCTGTAATCACATAGGAGGTGATACACAAGATAACTAACAGGCTGCTATTATCTCTATTGTTAGAAGTTTATTATTACTGTTAGCCTGGCCTTCACCCACTCTAATGGCCCAGGTGCACCATGATGATCCTGCGTCCTTGGGCGGCACTTAGAAGCACTGGGCCTCCACTTGGGCAATGGTAATGGGAGGCTCTTTCCAGTTCCGACAGCCTGTGATTTAAAGATAGAGATCTCCTGGGGAGATGCCAGGCCAAGGAGAAGACGGGCCTTCTGTCGTGGTGCCAGTTACTACTGTTATTGTTCAAGTACAGCTCAGCCTCCCAGGGACAGAGCTAGATGTGCCCGATAAGCACATTTCCCCTCTCTCTGCAGCCTCCCCCTGCTCAGATAATACATGTGTTCACCAGGGCCTCTGGCTCACTCCTGGAGCAGACTAGAGCCCTGGAGACAGCACTAACCCAGGACACGAGCTAGTTCTCTGACTGGAGAGGGCTACGCGGCAGTGGGGATATGGGGCATTTGAGGAGGTCTTCATGTGTCTTTACAAGCCAGGTGCCTGTAGGATGTTTCTGCGGGGCTCTTGCTGAAGCTACTCAGTTACAGACTCTCTGGGGGGGCCTTCGGCACTGGCAACCCACCAAGCTTCTCAGGCCTGCTTAGGCAACCTCTCCTCTAGCTAAAGTGAATCACAGCTAACTGAGTCTCAAGACAGGAGCCCTGGGAGGTCTGGAGCTAGGACATGAAACCCAGCTGGTTGCTTGACTTCTCTAAGCCTCAGTTTTCTCCTCTGTAAAATGGGGGCCTAGTTCTTGCCTAAGGAGGCTTTGAAGATGAATAGGGTCAATACAAGTAGAGTGATCTGACCAGTTCCTGGCATACATGTAGGCTACCATGATGATGGACTCTCAGACACATCAAGTCCAAAAACAACAACAACAACAAAATTATAGAATCTTGGATTCGCAGGCTGCTAATTACAAGAAGCTCAGCAGGCCATCCTGAACTTGCCCTTCAGGCAGGGATTCCTATTAAAGTCTTCTTCTTGGCCCTTGGGGACTGGTACCAAGGGGCCTGCCCCATCTTCTTCTAAGGGCCGTCAAAGGAACCTTTTGGTTTCTCAGCCACAGGCATTCTCAAGCTAGACAGATGGACAGCCAGAAATATCAGCTACGCCTCTGCTGTTCCTGCCCCCATCCTCCCCTCAGGTCTTTTAGAAATGAGACCGAGTAGTGGAGCGACAGTGGGGGAGGAGGAGCAGGCGGCGGGCAGCTGCTGGGCCGGGAGGAAATCATTGCTGGTAGCCTCTGCTCAGCCGTGACCCTAACAGGAAGCGATCGTGAGGGCCCCTTGGGAGGCTGGAGTCTGAAGACAGGGCGAGGGATGGGGTTTGGACCTTCCAGGCCTCATCACCCGTGTCCACCCTGCTGGCCCTGTGCCCACGGCCTGTGCCTATCAGAGGCAGGCCACGGGCATCACCACTATGGCTAGTCCACCCTGAGAGCCTGCCTTCCTTCCTGGGGTTACTGGGGTCCCCCCTACTGGGAGAAGGGGTATCACGCTCAAGAGGTTACATGAGAAGAGGAATTGAAGTATCCTTGGTGGTGAGTGGCTGGCCTGGGCCAGTGGGCAGAAGCCAGAGGATGCAGATTTGGGCCGGACACCAACAGCTGCCCAAGTCATCCAAAAAAATGCAGCAGGCCGCATGGCAGAAGAGTGAGCATGCCCATGGGGGGAGGGGGCACAGGTTGGCACACGAGAAGCGCGGCTCATAATCTCCGGGACTCCCTCCTGCAGCAGGGCTTCTGAGGTGGAGAATGGAGAGACCGTGAGGGTGGGTGGGGTAGGTGGGGAGGGAAGGAAGGCTCAGCAGGAACAGCAGCTAACATGCCACCTTCCCTCACCCGCCTGGAGCCCCAGCCCAGCCTTTCCTGCCTCCAGGCACCCCACACTGGGCACCTGTTTATTTCTCCATGAGCCCAAGGCCAGTCCCCTCACAGAATGGGCAGCCTCCCGAGGGCAGGCCCAGGGGTTTAGTATATATACAGGGTCTGCCAAATCCAGATGTGTGTGTGCTCACATGCAGATCACAGGAGGGAACCCTGTGAAGATGACCGGAGGAATCTGGGCTTCAGGGTCACCCAGGGGCCCTCTGGCACCAGCCACCATATGCTCTGCTTATAATCTCTGGGGCTCCCACCCATCCAGCAGGGGTGTGTGCCCACTGCCCGCCCCCGTGGATGCCCTGCTCTTGCACTGCTGAACAGAGGACTGGGGGTGGAGTGGGCTCTCCAGACTGGGCCACTGCAGCTAAGCACCAGAAGCTAACCTCAGCGCTGGGCAGGGCCTGGCATGGACCTTTTGACTAACATGCACAGCCTCCCATGAGGCTGGAACTATTAGTGATGGGGAAACAGGGCCCAAGAGGTTAAGTGATCAGCCAGTGACATGCATGAGGAGCCCCTAACTGCTCAGTCAGGACGGGCGACCCTCATCCCACCCACCCGAACTCGATGGCCACCCTCAGGCCCATTCCCTCCCTGTGCCTGGGGCCTCCTGCCACCTCAGGCACCCCCTCTTCATAACGAGGTTCTCCTGGGGGTGGGGCGTCACCTCTGTTAATGTTCCTTTATAGAAAATGTTTCCCCTTCCCAAGGCCGCTGCTAAAACCTGCCCCACTACCCCCAATGCCATCCCAACGCAAGTAAGCCCTGGACACTAAGGTATCTACTAGCTGAGAGGTTTTCTGGCACATTGAGGGAGATGATAAGTCAGTCTTCCCTGGGTCACTGGCACTGTGGGGGCAGAGGTTGGCTTAGGGTGGCTGGGAGACACGCCACTCAAATCTGAACCCACCCTCTCTTCCACCATCCCAGGACAGCTCAAGGGCAGGGAAATGAACAGGGTGTTACCAGGCCTCCATTTCTAAGTCTGAGCAGGCAGAAGCCTTAACTCCCTCGTCTAAAGCCTCTAGGGATTAGCCAGGCATGATGGTGCACACCTGTAGTCCTAGCTACTAGGGAGGCTGGGGCGGGAGATCATTTGAGCCCAGGAGGTCGAGGCTGCAGTGAGCTATGATTGCGCCATTGCACTCAAGCCTGGATAACAGAACAAGACCCTGTCTTTAAAATAGTAATAATAATTAAGCTTCTGAGGATATGTATAAGAGAGTGAAAATGCTGCCCAGGTGTGTAATCCCAGCACTTTGGGAGGCCTGAGGCAGACAGATCACCTGAGGTCAGGAGTTCAAGACCAGCCTGGCCAAGATGGTGAAACCCCATCTCTACTAAAAATACAAAAAGTAGCCGGGCCTGGTGGCTCATGCCTGTAATCCCAACTACTTGGGAAGCTGAACCCAGGAGGTGGAGGTGGCAATGAGCTGAGATCACGACTCTGAGCTCCAGCCTGGGTGACAGAGTGAGACTAAAAAAAAATAAATGCAAATGTAAGCATGGAGTCGAGGCCTCAGACGTCCAGCAGGGCCTATCGCTAATCAGAAACCACAAGACATTCTGAGTGACAGGATTGAGAACAGGAGTGAGTGTGAGCAACAAAACTTGGGGTCACTGGAAACTTTGGGAAGAAAAGAGCCACTCTGGAGAAGTGGGCCCTGGGCAGGGTGGGCGTTGTGGGGATTTTGCCTGACTTTCAGGACCCTTTGCACCCTCCAGAACAGTTTACCCCTGAGGTCTTCGAGCAACCCCTTCCTGTGGCTCCAAATGGTAGGGAGACTGGTGTTTCCAACAGGAAACGGGCTTTCCACCCAGGGCAGGGGGGCTCCCAGCACCTCTAGTTTTTAATGATCACACTCCTATTTATTTAGCTTCTGAACAGCTCCAGATTTCTGCCTGAGGGAGTTACAGGCTGTTGGGCTATTTGTGGCGAAGTTAATGAGGCGACTCAGTGGAAGCTGCCTTGTCTCCCGTCCCCTTCTGTGGGAAGACACAGGAAGCCCCTTGATCCCCAATTACCTGCCTGACAGGAGCCTCTCCCCACCTTCCTCATCTTCCCCAGCTCCAGGTACCACACCTCTTCCCCCAGGCTCACCTGGCTCATCACCAATGAGGGAAATGGACTGGCTGAGGTTTTACCATTTCCACTTGCCTTAAGGTGAGCATCAAATATTTCTTGAGACAGAATAAAGGACTTACAAAGTCCTAGTAAAGACCACTTCTGCTCCCAGTAAAACTACCTCCTTCCCGATCCTATAGAGGCCACAGGCTGGAGATGGAGGCAGGAGGCTTCCAATACGGACTTCACCGCACCTCCTTCACACTAGGTGCTGCAGGAACACCTTGCATAATAATAGTTAATGCACTCAGGATTGCCAGCTTTGTGCTGAGGACTTCCCGTGTATTTACTTATTGACGTCTCACTGCTCTTACCCCCACTTTACAGATGAGAGAACTGAGGTCTTAAGAGGTGACCCCAAGGGCACATGGTCAGTAAGAGGCAGAGCCGAGTTTCAGACCCAGGCTAACCAACTCCAAAAATGCCCAAGCACTGAGTGAGACGGCTCTCTCTCTAAAATCTCATTTAAACCTCATGGAGACGTTATGGGGTAGATTGCTATTAATTCCACTTTGTGGTTGAAGACGAGGCTCACATGGGCTAAACTGTCCAGGAACACGTGGTTTGGAAGCAGGGAGGGTAGTATTTGAACCCATGCTGTTGCCAGAGCTTTTCCACATAAACACGAGTCTTGGTGACCAGGCAAACAGGGGTCATTAGGGAACGTGCACTTGGTCCCCAGAGTGGGCCTCTGCTCACAGGCTCTGTGGCCTTTGCTATTCCACACCCAGCCTGGGATCCTAGCTACCCTCCGCCCAGGCAGGCCTGTTTGCCCACCACCTGTGCTTCCTGCCTCTTCTCCAAACCTCTGAATACCCTGGAGCCCCCATCTACACCTCCACCTCCTCCAGGAAGCCTTCCACATCCCAGCCGTGGAGCTCACTCCTCTGAGCTGGAGAAAATGTGGGCGTTCTCTTCAGGGGCATGCATCTTCTCTCATTCCTAAGTGGAATTTTGTGAGCTCCTTGGGGGTAGGTTCTGGGTCCCCTTGGAGCGAGGCACAGAGAAGGGAATGATAAATATGGGGGTTCACTGCTCTCAGGACCAGGGTCCCTCTGGCCTCTTGAGGGCTTCACTGGACCTCCCCATCCATTCTCCCAGAGGAGAAGCAGAGCAGACTTCCTTTGCACAGAGAGGAAACCAAGGCACAGCTAATGGCAAGAGCCAGGGAGTCTCCAGTGGGGGCTCGGGCAGGGAAGCCCAGCACCCATGAATGAGGAGGCCACTGCCGGTCAGTGTGGGGCGGGAGGGCCCTGGGTCCCAGCTCTGAGGAGCTCTGAGAAACGCTTTACGACTTTCTAAATGGGCCTCTGCTGACAGCTTAACAGCCAGCTCCTCCCTGCCCCGGCTTCATATTTACGAGCTGGCTCTGAAGGGGGGCTCAGGAATCCGGCCCACACCACCCGATCCTCAGCCCTCTGGCTCCAGGGCCAGGAAGCCATAAAAAATGATCTTGCATTGCTTCCCTTCCCCCACATGTTTTAGGTGAGGCAGGGCGGGCATGGCAAGGGATGCTGGGGGCAGGGAAGGTGTAGGGTCTTTCTCTAAGGCTACACAAGCACATTCTCACAGAGGGGAACTCAACTGCCCAGGCTTTGCCCAGTCCTGAGGTCCCTAGTCTGAGCTGTCAAGGGCTGGACATACTCATACTTATGGGGCACCTACTGTAAGCCAAGGTGTCACCTTCAATATCTCATTGAATCTTACAACAACCCTGAGGAGTTTGACAAAGTTTGGAAAGGTCTTTGGACTCAGATCTCCACTGTTCCCTCCTGCCCCGACCAGAAGGCCCCTTCAGTTTACAGTTGACGAGTGAGACCCAGAGATGGAAAGGAACTTGCCTAACGTCACACAGCGTATTAGTGGCAGAGTGTGGACCTGAACTAGGGCTCCCAGCTCCCAGGGCAGTAGGACCCATGCTGCAGGCTCCTGACATGCCAGTGGGCGAGGTGGGGATGATCCCTTTGCCTTCCACATGGGTCCCTCTGTCTATAGATGGCCCAGATGCGACCAGGTGCTCTCTAGGGCTCTCAGCGGCTTGGGCACTCTAAGGCTGGAATTCCACAATGGTGCCTGGTCTGAAGCCCAGTTGGTGGGGAGCTGCCCTTCCTTTTCAGGTTGAGGCCAAGAGGCCACACCAGCCCTGGCCATTCTCTAAGCTCAGTCCTCAGGGCTGGAGGCTGGGCTCCGGGAACCCCCTAGGACCCCCCTACCAGTCCCTAAGTGTCCTCCCACCGTCTGGCCTGGGAAGGGCCAATGTCTCCCACAGGATGTGGCCGTCTGGCTGGCTGAAGCCTCTACCACATCCCCTCTGGGTGCTCTCCAGGCCCAAGGCTGAGGAACGCTGACCACGGAAGGAACCCCACCCTCTGTCCCCATCCCAGCCCACGCTGGCACAACCTCCAGTCCACATACCCTCTTCTTCCCGCTGAAGTGGGTCAGTCCCACCCAGGGAAACCAGTCCTCAGCTCTCTGCTGAGTTCAGGGCTCTGGCTACAGTGGGGGCTCAGCAAATGACCATCAAGCCCCCAGAGGGGTTCAGAAGGGCTGGTGGCTGCAGGCCTGTTAGTCCCACCCCTCCTGTCTTTCTCTGTGGTCTGGGCCCCTTCCCTGGTGGCTCCCCTAGCGAGGGGCTGTCTGCAGATAATCAGGGAACAGATTTGGAAAGAAGGAGGAAAAAAAGCACTCCGGCGCCAGACAGGATCCTTATCTTCTGGGGCGGGATGTCTGTCAGAGGCAGAGGCAGAGGCAGAGGCAGAGTCAGAGGCAGCGGCAGCGAGTCCTGCAATAGGGGCCCGGCATTGCAGCCAGGCCGGGGGAGGAGGGGCCCCCCTGGGCGCTGGGGGTGGGAAGGGCTGGCCTCTCCTTCTGGGCCAGGAGACCAGTGGGAATCTATCTGGCCTGCTGGGGAGGGGATCTGGATGCCAAATCCTGTCCCCTCAACCCAGCTTTTAGGATGAGTCTCCCTGATGTGTTCAGAATGACCCTGGGACCTCTGCAAATAGAGCAGAGGAAGAGAGGCCCAGGTTTCCAAGTCTCCCAAGTTCCTAACAAGGCAGCAGGGCCCCCAGACCCAGCAGCCTGGAACTGGCTGGGGAACTGTCTTAGCCACAAGACTCTGGCCAAGTATTCTAGCTGCATCTAGGTGCTCTCACCTGTAGAATGGGGATGAAACCCCACACGCCTCTTGCACTGAGCTATTAGGCTTCTCCCCAGGGATTCCATCTAGAAAGTGCCTTGCAAAGGGAAGGTGTGTTCTGCCTGGGGCTTTGAGCTTCCCACCCCAGGGGCTCCCTGCTGGTTCTCACACAGCTTGACAGACCAAAGGAAGGTCATACAAGGGGCTTTGCTTCTTATGCTGGTCCCCAGAATACTTTTCAGTGAAACCCCACAACATGGTGAAGGTCCTTTTCATAGAGCAGAGAGCAGGTTTTCCGATGGGGTACTGTTTCCCCAGGGCAGTCCATAAACCTTGGGACCAAGAAGCTTCGATTCCCTGGCTTGGACTTCTCTGGGCCAGGCCTGAATCTCAAGAATGAAGCCTCATCTCCGTGAGGGCCCCAGCAAAAGCCCCTGGAGGGGGCGGTGTCAAGTGCGGGCCAAGGGCACAGGCCCTAATCAGGCTCCAAATCCAGGCTCTTTTGCTGCTTCCTGGCTGTGTGACCCTGGGCAAGTGTCCTTATCTCCGCCCCCCACCCCCGAGGTTAATTTCCTCATCTATAAAATGAGGAAGATATCTCTTCAGTGCTAACATTTTGTAACTTCACACTTGACCTAACCGGCTCTGCCCCTGAGAAACTTGAACCGTAAAAAGAAGGGAGCCATATAACACATATAACTGTACTTGCACACTCATCAGGCAGAGAAGCATCAAATCAAGTGTGCCTGTGTGGCCTGGAGCACCCTGGGACCAGGTTCCTTTGTGGACCCTGTTTCTAATCTCCTGGCGGCCTCAGCCAAGAGCAGTTAGAGTGGGCTGGCCTCCTGCAGGAGTTGGACCAGTTCATCTCCCAGGGATGGGCTGCAGGAGGAAATGCCAGCAAGGGTCCTGACAAAGAAGGAAAGGCTTCTGTCTGGTGCTGGGGATTAAAGGCACACTCCCCTGTGCCCCACCTCCAGTTCCCTGTGCCCCACCCCAGCCCCACCAGAACCTGGCTGGCCTGTCTCCCAGCTGCCATCTGTAGGGGTTGGTCCTCATTAACTGCTGTGGCAGCTGAGGGGCTGGGAGAGGGAGATGCAGGCTGCAGAGCTAGAAACTAAAGCCAGGCTGGGACGGTGGCCACCTCTGGAGCTAGAGTGATGGACCGTGGAGTGGGGAGGCAGAGGGAAGGGGGAGACAAGGGAGTATAGGGACGGGTGACAGGCTTGGCCAGTGGGAGAGGCAAAGGTGAGAGCTGGCTGAAGCCGCCAGCATCTTCCGGGCTGTTATTCTGGGCAACATTTTATTTATTCAGAGGCTAGGGATGCGGCTCAGCATTGGTTGGCTCAATATTTATTACAAGTGCATTGACCTTGTACTGTGGACCCCGTGATGGGGCCACCTCAGGACCCCGGGATGGGGCCACCTCAGGATCCTCATCTCCTCGGTGCTAGGACACACTTGAAAACCTGCAACGAAAAGCCGAGGGGTCCTACCTTCCTGGAAGACCACCCAGTCCAACTCTTGCTTTACCTTTGGGAAAATTGAGGTCTGAGGCAGAAACAACCTTGCTCAAGGTCACAGGGCACACTGGTCCTTGATCCCTGTTCTCTTGGCATTTAGGCCATCAGAATGGACAAGTGCTGTGGAAGTAGAAATACTGCAGACCACATTCAGAGGGACAGCGACCTGCCCACAAGTCCCCCATCAGGTGCAGACACAGCTGGCAGAAATCCTGGAGTAAGGTCGCAGCTTTGTGTACAAGGCACTCAAGCTCCCTGAGCTTTGGTTTCTTCCTCTCCACGAGCAAGGTAATCATGCCCATCTCACAGAGTGGTTGGGAGGACTGCATGAGAACACCCTGGAAACTGTCAAGCCCCATCCTACTGGAATTGGTTTATTCACTGACATGCTGCATGGCAGGCTGTGCTGGGAAGTGAGGCAGCATGGCCATGGGGGACTGGCATCCATCCATGGCCCCTAAACCCCTTCCTTATCACAGCTACCAAGGCTAGGCAGGCGGCAACTAATAAATCGGCAGTAAGAGCTCCTTCTTAACCAACTGAAGACATGTAAATGACCCAAAGCAAGGCCAGGGCTGCCAACTGGCGGAGCTCACGGTGACATCACATGCCCATTTGCTCCAAGCCTTCCAGCAGCTGAGGTCAGCTTGCAAAGTGGGAGCCCCTCCCCCTCCAGCCCCGTGCTGAGCCAAGAGGAGCATGGCACTGCCAGGGCTGGGGCTGGGGCCGGGGCTGGGCCACCAGCTCAGGTTCCACGAGTTCCTCCCTCCTTGTGCACTCCCTCTGCAATCGGCTCTCCTCCACCCTCCCTGACTGCATTTCCCTCATGAACACAAGATTGCTACTTCTCATATAACACATACGCGGTGGTGTGAACTTCTGGTAAATGAAGATCTTATTTAAAACTGTGTGCTATCAGAGGAGGAGATGAGATAGGTTTTGACACAGCTCAGCTGGCTTGCCAGGAAAAGGAGGTGCTGGGGGGCTGTGCACAGAGCCACAGGCCATTCCTGGGAGTTCCTGGGCAGTCATCGGAGATGGGCCACAAGGCTTCTGGCAATGCTTTCAACTCATCTATGAGGGTCAAAAAGGGTATCCCTTTCTTCATCTTTGCAGGAGGGTTCAACAAGGAGGTTTCCCCATTTGAGAATTCAGTTTGCTGTGTGGAACAAGTGGCTTAACCTTGCAGGGCTTTCCAAGAATGCAGAATTTTGGATCAGAGAGGCCTTGGAGATCCTCAGGTTCCAGGGTCCTCTACCTCAGCTACACAAGAGGACCACCTGGGGGACTTTTAAAGATCCTGACGGCCAGGCCAGAACCCAAGACCAATTAAGTCAGGATCTCTGGGTGGGACCTAGGTGCCAGGTGATCCCATTGTCCAGCTAAGGTTGAGAATGACCAAGCTAGTCTCTTTTTAACATAAGTGTGCCACAGAATCACCTGGGGTGTTTTGTCAAAATTCATATGCCCAAACCTGGCCCACAGTCCCTAAACCAGAACCTTTAGGGTAAAGGCCAGGCATGTGCATTAAAAAAAAAAAACTCTTAAGATTTTTACGTACGATTGTGGTTTTTCGTTTGCTAAGCACCTGTTCACAAGGGCCCACCGTGTGCTGGGCACCGTTCTGAGCATTTAGGGTACATTGCTGAGCGTACACAGCCCTGCGCTCCCAGGCTGGGGAGTCAACACATAAGTCTGTATTCAAACAACCATTCCAGATGGCAAGAAGTGCTGGAAGAAGAGTAAAAGAGGCAGGGGGCCAGGAAAGGACTCTCTGGGGAGGGGCCATTGGAGCCGAGACCTGGATGACAAGGAGCCAGCCACGCCAAGCTCAGTGCGAGAGCACTCCCTCCAGAGGCACGTTTGCTGATGTGTGAAATGACGACTCTAGCAATGGCCGAGCCCATACTCTCGCCAACCCCCACCTCACCCCTACTGTATTTTTAGGGTGCCCAGCAGGAAATGCTTGGAAGAGGCCAGTGGGTGTCACAATGGCACCTTCTGCCCCTCAGGAAATTCTATAGGCTGCTGGGCTAAGGGGACTTTACGATGCACAGCTTATATAGCTTTCATATAAGGAATCCTATGGTTCACTAGTCCAACCCCCTCATTTAACAGACAGGGAAACTGAGGCTCAGAGAGAGGAAGTGATTTGCCTTGCTGTAGCATCTCTGCTCTGACAGGGTTAAATGGGACAATGACTTCACCATGGAGGTGGCTTGCTGCTGTCAAGCCCATTGTCTTTACCCCCAGCCACACCCCAAATCCCTGTTCCTGGCTGCTCTCCATATAAACAACCTGTGTGTTCCAGCCATGGTACAAGTCTGTGACACATCCAGGGAGCTTGAGTGGTGGGAAGGTGGGGAACCCCCACTTCCCTGCTTCCCTGCCCCATAATCTTTCTGTGGGCGGGAGGTCCTTCCTCCCACACAAGGAAACCCATGAAAGGCCAGACAGAATGGTGCCAGATAAGGCCATGGAATTTGGAATTTGGTGGGATCTAGAATTTCCCTTATGGGGAAGGCTGGTCCCAGCTGTCCACCCATGGTGAGTATCCAAAGGGAGGCTGTGCCAGGCTCCAGGGATGTGGGGGGAGGCCCACATACCCAGGGCCGGAGGCCTGATGAGGTGGGGAGGGCAGAGAGAAGGTGGCTGGTTGTCTTTGGAATGTCCCTCCCCAGAGAGGCAGGCTAGGTCCACAGGTCACTTGGTGGACAGGACATTGAAAGCAATTTTGACCTTGGCCACTGGCCTGCTCTGCTCAGTCTGATGTCCACGTTTGTGGTATAGCCAGGAGGGCTAGAGGCTAGGGACTGCCTGTCTTCAACCTGCTTGGCCTTGGCTTCTCTGTGTGTTCAGGGGTCAGCAGCTTCCCTCGCTGAGCCATGGAGTGGAGGTAAGTTCCTGGCTCCCAAACAGGCCTGCACCCCTCCTCACTCTGACCAATCAGAGTGAGGGCCCTCAGGTTCCTCCTAATCACAGCTGAGTTCCCCTAGGGAAAACATGGAGGTAAGACAGGGTGTCCTTGAAGGACTATCTAGAATGGTCTACAATGCTTCTTTTCTTAATCTTTCTCAGCTACCAAACCAAGGCAAGAGCAGAGAGGAGGAGGTAGGGGTGAAAAGTCAGATGATAACAGTGTAGGTCAGGAGGTAGCTCTGTCTCAGTTTGCCCAGCCATAAAAGGGCAGTGAAAACACTCCCCCTGATGACTTCGTGGGGCTCTTGAGAAGCTCAGAGTCAATAAGAGGGTGTTTCTGCATGCCGCGCTCTGTGCCTGGGAGCAACAGGCATCACCCTGACCAGCGACGGTGGGACAGCCAGAGATGGCATGGGGCTGATTCTCACCACCAGCTCTTACTCAAGCCAAGGGACACGGGGCCCTCATGCACCCCTTTATAGGGTCTGCAAGACTGCGGTTCCTAAGAAGCTCTGAGAACTACACGCCCTGCCCCAGAAGCACAACAACTCCCTAGAAGGAGCCTTGGAAAGGAAGTCCAGGGAAGTGAGAGGGAGATGCCCCAAGGTCCCAGGGAATTTCTGTTTAGCCTGCCCTTCCAGCAGAGATCAGGGCCTCCGGGAGCTCGGGCAAGCGCTCTGGTCCAGTGGGCCGTGATGGGAAGGAGGGTGGATGGCTTGATCCACGCTTCCAGCGACCCCTTTCCCTTGAGAGGTCAGACCCTCAGCAGGCCCTGCCCCGCCCTCTGCAGGCTCCTCAGGATCCAGGGGCAGGGGCGGAGGAGGACACTGTCAAGGGTGTAATAAACAACTTACTGACTGGAAAGCAGAATTCTCAGGCTTGGAGCAGGACCTTCCGGCAATCATGCCCCCACCATCCTCCCAGGGTCTCCTCTGCTCTCTATAGGAGCTGAGGTCTGGCTCAGCCTCTTTTCCAGCAGACCAGCTGATCTGCCCCTGGGGCTTGTTGCTCCCCATGCACCCACAAACACCCACTCTCTCTGACCAATCCTTAAAATGGGAAAGGGGCTGACTGAGGCTGGCTGACTGGCCTGTGGGAAAGTGCCAGTTCCGTCCATCAATCAACAGCTCTTTAGCGAGACAACAATCACGTTGGTGGAGGAGTCTGCATTTTATAAAGCAGCTCCAAGTTCGATTCCCTCACCGCCCAGTCACTCCACAGGCAACTCCAGAGCATCCAGCACTCCCTGGGCATTGAGGGAGGTGCGCAGGGGATAAGGCCCAGTCCCTGCCTTGGGGAGTGGGTGTAGGGTGGGCTCATGGAAGGAGCACCGAATCTGGAGTCCAAAGGCTAGGGCTGAACCCAGATGAGGCCCTGACACTAAAAGCTAGATTAGGGTGGGTCACTTCACTTTCCTGAGCCCCAGTTTGCTCTTCTGCTAAGACCTTCCTCCCAGAGCCATCGCAAGGACTGAGTGAGACAATGCATACACAATGGCCAAGGTGGGCACAGAGGAGGCCCCGTGGGTGCCCCTCGGGTGCTCAAGCCCCCTCCACAACTGAATGTGAGGCCACAGTGTTTCATGTTTTCCCGTCTGGTAAATGAGAAATGGTATCTTGTAGTTGTTTTACAATATGTGTTTATCTAATTCTGAGTAAGTCTGTTCGAGGGTCATTGTTCTATTTTATTTTGTGCATTGTCTGTCCGTGTCTTTTTCTTCCACCTTTCTGTGAGGGCTTGATCCTTTGTTCCTTGATATTTAAAAGCACTTTATATACCATAAATATCAGCCCTTCGTCTGTGGCATATGTTAGGAATATTTCTCTCAGTTTGTCAAGTACTTTGTCTTCTGACTTTGTTTAAGGTGTTCTGTGATTTTTTTTTTTGTCGAAAATTTAAAAATGTTCATGTAATAAAACTGATCAGTTTTTTTATTTTATTGCCTCTAGATCTTAAGTCATAGTTAGAAAGCCTTTCCCACCCACAAGTTTAAAAAGGAATTTACCCATGTTTTCATTTAGTAGTTGTATCATTGTTTACATCTAGATCCCAAATCCACTTGGAGTTCATCTCTCTGTATGGTGTGAGACTTGAATCAAATTTCACCTTTTCCCACATAGCTACCCAGTAGTCCGAGCACCATTTATTAAAAAGTCTGTCTTAACCCCAGTGACCTGTGATACCACCTTTGTTATGTACTGTATTTCCGTAGACATTTGGGTCTAATTCTGAACTTACTATTATCTTTGGTCTATTTGCCAATTCACACACCAGTAAGCACACTGTTTTAATTACAGAGGCTTTCCAGTATGTTTTACTATCTGGCAGGAATAGTTTTACTTCTTCTTTACCCCTTTCTAATGCTTCTAATTGACTTCTCTCATTTAATCACATTTGCTAATACCTCTAGCGGTGAATACTAGCAGAGGTGAATACCAGCAGGGTATCTATTACTGATCTTACTGAAAGTACCTTTAGTGTTTCCCCATTAAATAAGATACCAGCTTTAGGACTAGGGTATGTATGTGTGTGTGTGTGTGTGTGTGTGTGTGTGTGTGTGTGTATATGTGTGTATATATATGTGTATATATATGTATATATGTGTATATATATGTATATATATGTATATGTGTATATATATGTATATATGTATATATATGTATATATGTATGTATACAAAATTTATTTTTATTTTTATTTTGTTTCAATAGTTTTTGGGAACAGGTGGTATTTGGTTACATGGATAATAAGTTATTTAGTGGTGATTTCTGAGATTTTGATGAACCCATCACATAAGCAATGCACACTGTACCCAATGTGTAGTCTTTTATCCCTCACCCCCTCCCACATTTCCCCCATCTCCCTAAAGTCCATTATATCATTCTTATGCTTTTGCATCCTCATAGCTTAGCTCCCACTTACAAGTGAGAACATATGATTTTTAGTTTTCCATTCCTGAGTTACTTCACTTAGAATAATGGTCTCTGGCTGGGTGCGATGGCTCACACCTGTAATCCCAGCACTTTGAGAGGCTGAGGCGGGCAGATCACCTGAGGTCAGGAGTTCGAGACCAGCCTGGCCAACATGGTGAAACCCCGTCTCTACTAAAAATACAAAAATTAGCTGGGCATGGTGGCACACACCTCTAATTCCAGCTACTCGGGAGGCTGAGGCAGGAGAATTGCTTGAACCCAGGAGGCGGAGGTTGTAGTGAGCCAATTTTGTGCCATTGAACTCCAGCCTGGGCAACAGAGCAAGACTCCGTTTCAAGGAAAAAAAAAAAAAAAGAAGAATGGTCTCCAACTCCATCCAGGTTGCTGTGAATGCCATTATTTCATTCCTTTTTATGACTGAGTAGTATTCCATGGTATATATATCTATCTATCTCATCTGAAAAGTATCCCTTAATTCCTATTTCTTTTAGTGTAGTATTTTATCCAAGCTTTGTTCAGCATCTATGAAGATAATAATATGATTTTGTTTCCTCAGATTCATTAATATGGAACATGATATTAATATGGCATGTTATTAATATTAGCGAATTCATTTGGAACCACTCTTGCATTCCTGCAATAAATCAGATCTGGTCATGATGTTAAAAAGAGAGAATGGAATTGGATGCTGCTGATCAGAGCTACCATCACTAAATACTTTCTCCATCCTCTCCAAGTATTATCTGATTCCATCCTTAAGGCAGCTCTGGGAAGCAGGCTTCATGATTCCCACTTCACTGATGAGGAAACCGGGACTAACAAGAGTGAAGTTGCCTGGCAAACATCATGCAGCCAGCAAATGAAGGAGACAGGATGGGATCTTGGGTCTCAGTGATTCCAAAGACCCTAATGATACATGGGTGGTGTTATCTGGCTGTTATTCAGTTATTAAAAATGCTTATGGGCTGGGCGAGGTGGCTCATGCCCGTAATCCCAGCACTTTGGGAGGCCGAGGCAAGCGGATCACTTGAGGTCAGGAGTTTGAGACCAGCCTGGCCAACTTGGTGAAACCCCATCTCTACTAAAAATACAAAAATTAGCCGAGTGTGGTGGCGGGCGCCTGTAATCCCAGCTACTTGAGAGGCTGAGGCATGAGAATCACTTGAACCTGGGAGGCAGAGATTGCAGTGAGCCGAGATGGTGCCACTGCACTCCAGCCTGGGTGATAGAGCAAGACTCAGTCTCAAAAATAAAAAATAAAATAAATAAAAATAAATAAAAACGCTTATGATCTGATAAGATTTTGGAAAGATAATATCTCTGTAGGAACTAGGGGGTGGGGAGGAGGAGACTCTATTTGTCCTAGAAGCTTGAGTGGTCCTCCTCAACCCACCACAGGCTCAGCAGAGGAGCCGTGTGAGGGGCTGGCAAGGTGTGGCCAGCCAGGTGTGCTGCCAGCAGGTAGTGTCTGCAGGGTGTCCTCAAGTCTGTGTGGCACGGTGGCAAGCAGTCCTCAAGACCCATGTCCCCTTCCAACTTGAGCTTCTCTCTGCCTTGGCACTTACGTCTCAGGCTCTGAACAGTGTGGGAGCAACTCAGAGAGTGAAGACTGGTCCAGGGATGTGGTGGGCTGGGAGGGAACAAAATGCAGAGAAGAAAACTCTAACTCTCTACTCCCTGCTGGTCCTGCCTGCCCCGTTTTCTAAGAATGGGCAGCCGGCCGAGGGATTATGTAACTTCTGGTGGGCATGGCAGATGGTGTGCTGGCTCAGACAGTATCAAACCCAGCACTGACACTAACCTTCTCTGACGTGGCACCCGGGCCTCCTCCGCTCTGGGATGTGGGGTGTGCAATGGGGTCAGGGTATGGGGGCACAAAGATGGATGAGAAGTGGCTAAAACTCTTGTCACTTAGCTCAACAGCTGTGGCCAGCCAGGCATGGGAGGTGCCAGGGAAATGGGCACGTGGGCCCTCTCATCCCTGCCACACAGGCAGCAGTTCCCAGGATGCACCGCATAGTCCAGGGACTGTTCTGCAGGCCTCCTGCTGCCTCAGATCAGCGACCCCCGTGGGTTTGGAGAACAGTTTCTGAAGCACCTCTCTGGGTGTTTTCTCACTTGGCCCTACCTGGCATTCAACTTCTTTTGTTCCTTTTGCTGATGGGTAAACTGAGGCTCAAAGAAGGTGGGTGAGATTTGCGTATCACACAGAGACAGATTTGGCCTTAGAGCTGGAGATTCCAGACTCCTAGTCCAGTGCTCTTTCCAAATGTGTCTAACAAGGCAGGCTCTCCCAAATGTGTATAACAAGGCAGGCTCTCCCCTCGCTGATAACCCTCAGACGATTACCAAGTCACCCCACAGGACTTCCTGAACTGTATCCACGGTGCTTTACAGCGATGGGCTTTGAAGGCTGGAAGGTATCTCAGAAGTCTGTAGGATAACCCTACTGTACCTTATGTCTAATATGCCCATGTCAAGAAGGCAATATCAGAAAGAAAGAAGGCGGGCTCTGTGGATTTGGGATCCAGCAATCCAAAATCCCACTAGAAGGCAGGATCCAGCAATTTGTGGATTTCCTTCTGGGTGGAAAGGAAAGAAAACCGACCTTCACTGACCATGCCCATTTCCTTTAATGTCCCCACAACCAATTGGGGGCCCAGTTTATAGTGAGGAGATGGAGGCTCATGAAATTGCAGTTAGTGATGGGGCCAGGACTTGAATCCAGGTTTTCTGATTCCAGGGCAGAACCTCTTCATTTGGACAGAGGAAGCTCAGAGAGGGAAAAGGACTGGCCCAATGTCACAAAGCAGATTAGCTACATGGCTAGGATTAGAATCCAGTTTTTTATTTCCAAAAAAAGAAAAAAAAGAATCCAGTTTTCCCAATCCTCAACTTGGGGCTTTTTCTGCTGTCATTTCGTGTGTGTGTGTGTGTGTGTGTGTGTGTGTGTGTGTGTGTGTGTGTGTGTGTCTACATACAGAAGTGGGATGGACCAGGAGGAAAATGTGGGGCTGGATCAAATTTGCAGCAGGGGTCACTGTGCCCAGCAGCCCCGGCTTTCCTGGTGTGTGTGTGTGTGTCTGTGTGTGTGTGTCTGTGTCTGTGTCTACATACAGAAGTGGGATGGACCAGGAGGAAAATGTGGGGCTGGATCAAATTTGCAGCAGGGGTCACTGTGCCCAGCAGCCCCGGCTTTCCTGGGCTGCCAGGGAGGAATTCCAGATCAGCCTCTGGCAGGGACTCCTGACAAGGACCAGTGAGCCACCAGCTGAGGATGGTCACTGGGCCAGGCTTGTTGCTGCCTGGGGATGTTTAATCTCCCAAAGATGTCAGTACTGGACATGATGCCACCCAGAGTCTATATCAGCCAGACCCCATGGCCAGAACTGCTCTCCTGCACCAAGCCCAGCTCCTGCTAAGAAGCTGGTAGCAGTTGCTATAGAGGGCTGAGGCCTGGAGTCAGATCTGGCCATGGCCTTTAGATACACCTGCTCAGCCCACACTTGCTCTCAGGCCTCACGGCCAGTTGTCCATGCGGTAAGCATTCTCTTGAGCCACAAGAAGGCAAGGTGGGGAGAAGTGATAATGGGCTTGTGGCTACAAGTAGGAAAGAAACATTTTAAAGTCGCCTGGACCAGCTGTGCCTTACAAGGGCCACCTTGCAGATAAGTACAAAATTTACCAGCCCAGCAAGTGTCTGCCAGTCTACTTTCTCTATGTAAAGGGGCCCAGGGCACTTGACTGCAAAACTTGGTTAATTCTCTGTGGCTCCGCTGGATTTAGTGAATAAATTCCTTCCTACCTAGGGGCTCTGATCACTGAAGATTTGGCTCTGGCTTCCACCATGTTGGGTACACAGTAAGTGCTCAAAGAAAGCAAGCAGCAGATAATGAAGGGAGGGAAGCAGGCAGGCAGGAGGGGAAGGCTGGAAGCAAAGGAATGAAAAAATCTTCTAATTCTTTGGTTACTCATCCACAGCAGCAGGTCCACGCACAGCTGGGACAAAATCACAGCTACTTCTCGGGTGAGTAAGGCCTGACCATGAGTTCTCATTCATCCATTCTACAGAGATTTATTCAGTACCTTCTGGGTGCCAGGAATCCACACGAGTGAGCCAAATCAGGCCCAGCCTCCCTAGTCACCTAGTGCCATGGCTGCTCTGCCATCACCTAGTCGTTTCAATCCATGCTGGCTGCCCCTGCTGAACCTGTCTCCCCAACCCTGGAGCCCTGGCTTGGTGACAAGGAAAAGGAAAGAACGCAGGCTGCCCCATCCGACAGACTCCCATCCCACCACAGGTCACTGCTCACTCCGAATGTCACTCTGCTCTGCTGTGTCACAGAATGACCAAAGGTGGGATAGGGATGGGGGAGGGGGTCAGGGACAACTTTCCTGGAATTCCTGACTCAATTTCTTGTAAGCTCTGCATCCTGCATGGGTGTCCAGGTCCCCAGCCAGGCAGGCGGACGCCTCTGATCGCATTACAGAGCTGCTTTCCTTTGGGCTTTGTCTCCTGAAGGCAGTAATGCCTCCAGATGCCGCTTGGGGCCTCTGGGGGTTGCAGGCTCCTGGGTGATCTCAGCAGAAGACTCCCTGGGGATGCCTCCTGGGTCAGGGCAGGCCCAGGTGAACACCAGGGACCAGAAAAAGCAGCCTCTCTCTTCCTGCCCCTCTCCTTGGCTCTCTGGCCAACCTGGAAACTGCCACTTTGGGACTCTCTGTCCCACTGTTCTGCCCAGAGATGCACAGGGAGAGAATCAGGGCCCAGGCCCAGCCCTAGCCCTATCCAGAGGTCAGCCAAATCGGGGGGTGGAGGAGGGGCAGGAAGAGAAGGGAAGGCAATGGAAATCCACAGAGCACCCACTCTGCCAAGACTGTATATGTGTGTGTTCACGTCACATCAGCACCTGGTGAAGGTGGTGGAATCATGCCTATCTCATGAATTGGGAAGCTGAGGCACAGAGAGTGAGCCACCTCTGGAAGATTCAAATCCTAAAGGCTGGGGCTCTTTCCACTAAGAGACCTCTGGCCCTAGAAGTCTTGAGTTGCTAGATGATCAGACACGAGTCAGAAGCTGAATGTAGAATTTGTCTCCTGGGTAGATGTGCCAGACATTCACACCCATACCTTCACGTACACATCCCCTACCAGGGCCACACTCTCCATTTACCCAAAGTCTCTCATCTTTCAAGGGCCAGTCAAGTGCAAACCTTCCCTCTTCCAGGAAGCCTTTTCTGACTGCCCAGACCACAAGAGCTTCTTCCTCTCAACATCCAGACATTTCCCTTCGTTCCACGCAATACATGGTGCCCATATGATGATGATGATGATGATGATGATGATGACAGTAGTGAATGTCACTGAGCACTTCAGAATATGCAACACACTTTTAAGCATGATCTCATTTATCCCCAAATCTAATGAGATTGGTGCTGTTACTACTCCCATTTTACAAATGAAGGAACTAAGCTCAGAACTAAGCTCAGAGAGGGTAAGCAACTTGCTCTAAGACACACAGCCAGATGGTGGCACTGCCAGGATTTGAACCCAAGTAATGTGACTGCACAGCCTGCCCTCTAAACATCGCGCAAGACCCCTCCCAAGACACACACATCTTGGCTCATGCTTGAATGATTCATATCTGTTGCATCATCCTAATCCCCCTTGCACCCCAGCATCACAGGCCAGGCACTTGGCCCATGCTTCAAGAAGCAGCACAAAGCCCATCAGTTCTTCAAGAGTCAGGCCCATGGTTTTTAAGCTTCTGACTGCGGAGCTCAGCACTTGCTCAGGCTGAATGAATGGGCATGTGCATCAGGTTTTAGGGTGGGCTGGTGTTCTGATACCCTACATGGAGACAGGAGTCCTCATTCCCCAACCCCCAAGATTGGCCTCCCCCTGCCTCTGAGAAATGAAGCTATGCATGACACGGGGGCCAGGCCTGCAAAGTCTGTCTCTAACACCCTCAGCAGGGCGCACTTGAGCTTCGGAGTGGGTGACAAGGGGGGGGACCACAGGCCCCTTCTCGCACATGCCCAGGCTGCCTCTGCCAGTGGGGCCCTTCTCTACCTCCTGGGCCCTGCTTGGCATCTGGGGTTCTCAGTTTCTGAAGCAGGAAATGCTTATGGAGCAGGAAAAAGGGACCGAGTTCCCAGAGGGTGATTTATGGCTTCGGTGAGAGAGACACCCAGGGCTGCATAATGCGTGCAAGGGCATTCCAGTCAATATACTGACTTTCCAGAGGGGCCTCTGTAAACACAAGTGGTTCTGGACCTCGGCTACCTCTGTTTCTTTCTGACTGCTGGAGCCTCTTCAGATAGAACCAGACAAAAACCCCACATCCTGTATGGATCATCCTTCCACCTCTGCCCCACTCCGGACTTACAGATGGGAAGGGAAACCAAACAATCAGAACCCAGAGAGGGAAAGGCACTTGCCTAGGGTCTCACAGCAAATGAAAATCAAGAGCCAGAGTCTACTAACTCCTCAGCCAGGAGCAGCTGAGACTCCTGGTCCTGACCTCCCAGCTTTCACTCCCGTGGAGGAAGATGATGATGCATTGCTAGGCTCTCTCCGGGGCAGGCTGCATGCCAACAGGCCCTGAGTGATCACTGTGTGCCGGGCACTGTGCTAAGGGCTTTACCATACATCAGCTCATGAGACTCTCAAGGCAATTCTGAGGATGATGTTATTATTACCCCCATTTTACAGATGAGAAAATGGAGGTACAGTCCAGTTAGGTGAGCTGCCCAACGTCACCAAGTTAGTCAGTGACAATGCTGGGAGGCCGTGTTAACCTCCTTAGAATTCCAATTGGCAATGCCATGCACTCTTCTGCACCCGCAGCTAAGGCCCCGGGGAGAGGTGTGTGTGGAAAGAGAGCAGCTGGGGGTTCCCAGAGGTGGTGATGACAAAGGATCTCCCCACCCCTACCCCTGCCAAATGGCTCACAGAAGTGCTAGGCAGATTCCATCCTTCCCCTTCTTACCCACTTTGTGTTCTCTGGTGGGGGCAGGGCAGAAAGTAGGGAGATACCTCCCCATGTCTCCACCCCCAATATGATCCCTACCAGTGCTTAGAAAGTATTTTCTGGGCTCGTTCCACCTTTGGGAGCCATACAGAGAGATCCAAGAAGAAGGCCTTTTGCCTCCAGGGCCTGCCATGGTCCTAGCCCACAGAGTCAGAAGCAGCTGAGAGGGTTCGTGACCCAAGCGCACACATTCAGTAGAACCTGGGATGCTGGGAGGTGGAATGGGGCCAGAGGGTTTGTTCTCCAAGGATTGGTGTCCACCTCAAGATAGTGAACACAGCAGATGCTAACAGGGGCAAATTTCCCAAGAGTAAGGAGAGGTCGGCTGGCACCCCTGCCCACATACCCAGCTAGCTAGCCCCCATCCCATCCTCTCTTCAGGACATGCTCTCAGAAGAACTGGAAAAGGACAGTCAAGGTCTGGCACTCATCACCTGCCCCAGGAAGCCCCATGCCTTAAAACCTTGGCTCTGCTATGCTCTTCCCTGCATATCATCTGTCACCCTCACATGGCATCTGCAATGCTCTGAATGCCACTTAACATTTCTAGAGTGGACATCAGCAACACTTACAGACAGCACCTCCTCGAGGGCTGTGGCCAGGGCTGCTTAGGAGTTCTGACCTTGTGATGGTTAATACTGAGTGTCAACTTGATTGGATGGAAGGATGCAAAGTATTGATCCTGGGTGTGTCTGTGAGGGTGTTGCCAAAGGAGATTAACATTTGAGTCAGTGGGCTGGGAAAGGCAGGCCCACCCTTAATCTGGGTGGGCACAATCTAATCAGCTGCCAGCAGGGCTAGAATATAAGCAGACAGAAAAACGTGAAAAGAGAGACTGGCCTAGCCTCCCAGCCTACATCTTTCTCCCGTGCTGGATGCTTTCTGCCCTCGAACATCAGACTAGAAGTTCTTCGGTTTTGGAACTCGGACTGGCTCTCCTTGCTCCTCAGCCAGCAGAAGGCCTATTGTGGGACCTTGTGATCGTGTGAGTTAATACTTACTAAACTCTCCTTTATATATATATTAGTTCTTTCCCTCTAGAGAACCCTGACTAATACAAACCTGGGTCCCAGTCCTGTCTCTTCAGCCTTCTAAGTGAGAGCTTCCACCTTCTCGGTGAGTTCTTACAAGGACAAAGTGAGACTGCACATATAAAAGGGTTTTGTAAACTGTAAAGCAACATGCACACCAGGGTGGGGCGAGGGACTGTGATTTTCCTATAGGCCTCCCTGCTCCAGAACAGTCCATCTTATCCTAGAGTTGAAGTGATGGAAGTCCTTCCTGTGGACAGCCCTGGGAAAGCAGGTAAGCGCTTCTGTGACCAAGAAAGTTGTAACGACAGTGGAGTCCAGCATGTGTGTGGGTGTGTCTGTCCTCTTTAAATTGCTACCGCTGAGAGTCCCAGGCCCCAGCCACGTCAGCCTGAGATGGGGTTCTCCACTGGGGATCCCACCCACTCAAGCTCTGCTGGCCCCTTCTCCAGCAAACTCTAGAGGAGAACTCACTCCCTTTGGGGGAGACAGGCTGAAGCATAAGCTGACCCAGGTCAGAGAGCAGATCTCCAAACCACAGCCGCTCCCATGCTCTGGGGAAGCTGGGAGTTGACTGCAGAAGACTCCAGGTCTGGGACTCTGATCTTCCTGGGGGCAGTAGCCCAAGCTGCTGGGCTGGCTTAGGGTCCATCTCTGCCAACCTTCCTCCCCCTGGAGCACCAGGACCCACCTGCAGGCAGGCCTATCCCATCTGCACTCAGCAGGGGAAGCTGTCCTCTGCCCTTCCAACAGCAGAACCTGGCACTCAGGCCAAACCCTGCTCACAGTGCAGGTGTGGGGCAAAATGAGGTCTCTTAAGTGCTGATGGGCAAATGGCCTGGGTCCCATCCTGAAGTGGAATCCCCAACGGAATACAATGGATGGAGCTTCCCATGCCTGGTGGTGACTCACTGTCTCCACATTACACATACCTATTTATACACAAACACACCACAAGTGTGCCCATGTGACATTGCCCACCCCACACACACCCAAACACAGACACAGCCTATACATCACACCTCCTGAGTTACAAAAGGCACAACCCTCCTCAAACACACATCCATCCTCCGGCACACACCCAGTCCATGCCTCGCCCCCACACACACCTGACACCCCAGTGCAACACCACACCCACCCTCCCCTCCCTGCAAACTCCCACCTCCGCCCACCTGCTTAATACACATTCTCACCCCCCACACACTCCTTAATACATACTCTCACACCCACAAGCCTGCCTTCTTGGAGAAGTGAGCCGAGCCGTGCAGCGCCGCGAAGGGGTAAGTTGCAAGCACTGGGGGCAGCCTGTTCTGGGAGGTGAGAAGGAGGGCGGCTCCGTGCACTCACTCGCTAGGCGGTGGCGTTAGAGCTCCCGGGGCTCCGCAGACCGATTTAGCTCGGCTGGGGAGGGAGGTGGAGATGGGGACTGGGGGTGGGGGACGCAGGAGAGGGTAGAATCCAGCCCCACAAGCGGCGGCGATGCTAATCAGGCCGCTAAGATGGAAAAGGTAAATTCTGGCGCCCAGCAGCCCAGCGCTTTTGGAGAGAAGGAAGAGGAAACAAAAGGGGTGGGGGTGGGGGAGCGGGGAGGCGGCTGATTTATGCCTGCACTTCAGCAAATATTTTCGCTGCCATTAGCATCCCCGAAGACCGGGAGGAACGCCGCGGGGACCTGTGGCTTAGCGCGCTCCGCCCGGGCTTGTCTGCCCGCGGGGGCGCAGCGGCTGAGGCGGCTCCGGGCCGGAGTTCCAATCAAGCGCCACCCAACTCCCAGTCGGGGGCCGAGGCCAGCGCCGGGATGCCAGCTTCCCCCAAAAAGATCCTGCCTCAGGGAAATGCATGGAGCCGGCGGAAAAGCCCGCGGCGCCCCCGGCGGATCGCAGACCCTAAGGGGGCGGGAGGTGGCGCCCCAGTCCCAACCTCTTGAGCCAACCCAGTGGGTGGGAAGTGCCCTTACCCTAGGCCTTCCGCAAAGTGTTCTCTCCTTGTATTATTCTAATTACGGTATTTTTAATTTCCTTAAAAAAATAAGAAACAGAAAAGCACAGAACGCACTTGTTTGGTTTCATTTTGCCTTCACAGCTTTAATGACTCTATTTGTGGAAGCTGTTTAGGAAACTGGTGAGGAGGAGAAGGAGGAGGACGCCAAGAGAAGCGCCAGCTCTGGCCTGAGCGCCGGCTTTCTCCTCCCTACCCTCTGGGGGCCATCTGCCCAGGCAGCAGTTTCCCTGGGCCCAGGCTCCCACCCCCAAGTCCCAGCCTATGACCCAGCCCCCTCTGCCCTTTCCTGAAGGCGGCAGTGGCCTCCAAACTGTCTCCTTTCCACCCAACCCCAACTCTGAGGGTCAAAAGACGGGCTGCCTGCAGGCCCTGGGGGAGGGAGGTACCAGCACTGTCTATTCAGAATCACTAACCTGGTCCGAGAGCACTTGGAATGGAAATGATCCATCTCCCCCCAGCCCATCCCCAAAGTCTTAGGCAGCCCACAAACCTCCTTAGAAAACCTCTGTGGCTCAGGGAATGGGGCGTAGGAGGCAGACCTCGTCTTAAGCCTGACACCCAGGAAAAGGGTCACTAGACCTGCGGTCCAGGAGAAACTCAACAACAAAGGTGGGGGAGGGCACTGGCTCCTAAAGCTTTGAATATAAGTAAAAAGTAAAAACATATTCTGTCCCCAACTCTACAAATGGGTGCAGAGCTATAAAATGCTAATGTTTATTTGGCCATGCAGCCCAAGGGAGCTTGGCTTGTGACCTGTCTCCCTTCCCCAGGTCAGGGCAGTTGCTCAGGAGGCCAATGCTGGGGGTTGGGGGAGCCACCTTTGGGCACTTGCCTGGTCTCAGAGCTTCACTCCTGACCTTTGGCTCTGCCCTGTTCCCCCTCTCCTGGAACACCTCTTCACCCTTCCAACTCTCAACCTCTTTCCTCCATCCTGCCATGAGTTCCAGTCTAAAGCAGCCATCAAAGCGATCTTATCTTTAGCTGCCTGCCTTAAGTGGTGCCTCAATTTCAGAGTCTCAAGCCCACACCCATGATGGTGGGTCTCCAGCCCAGATGGAATGAAGGAGCTAGAAGCACTAGATTGAGGTTGTGAGGCCTCAGTTCAAGTCCTGGCGCTACCGGTGAGTCCCAGTGTGACCTTGGGCAAGTTGGCCTGTCCCAAAGTGTCAACAGTTAAATAAATGGATTGGAAAAGAGGGGAACTGTTTTATCCTACAGAATTCCCTGTTTGTGGGGGAGGGGAGAGAGGTGGAGGAGAGAGATTACAGGAGAAATTCCTCCCCTGCAGTGGTACTTTCACTTTAATGAGAAAACCCATTAAGACACTTGATTTTCCATTTGTTTAAGTGAGATGGGTGTTTGCTACAGTGAGTGCAGAGGGAGACAAGGACAGGCTATCATTGTGTGTGCACAGGCGCATGCACGCGAGCACACACACACACACACACACACACACACACACACACCAAGCAGAGACACTACAAAAACTCTGATTTTAATTGCACCTTAAAAAGAAGTATTATCTTGACACCTCGACTCCTTCTCAACCATCCCAGCCAGAGGCCATGGAAAGGCTCATTAAAAGCTCCAGGAAGGGCTGAAAGGTGGGGTGGGAGGAGATTTCCAGGGCCAACCAGAGCTTTTGAAGTGGCCTTTTCTGGCTAGTCACTTGCTGACATTACCTTCTAAGGGTCTGGGGTTTTATGGTTCCAGTTTTGATTTCTCCAGCATCAGACTTTACAGCTTAAAAATATTCTCAGTGCTGTAAAGGGAGCTCATTCCCATATTCACCAGGGATGGGGTGGGGTGGGGAAAAGGAGAGAGAGGTGCCTGCCACTTGAGGGGAGCTTGGACACCCCCAGTAAAGATCCCTCTTTGCAGAGAGAGCCTCGCCTGCCTCAGTCTGTTATGAGTCTCATGGCAGAGGGGTGGGTGGATAAGAATAGGAGGGAGGGTCTGCTGGGCTTGAATCAGTCTGGCTATTGGACAGGAGCCCTTCACATGTCTTCAATCTGTGGCCAAGTGAAGGCAAGATTTGGAGAAAGCCAACACTCTGGCCTTGATTTTCCCCATCAGTGAAATGGAGCTTGTGAAGGATCCAATGGAAAAACCCAAAGAACATTCTGAAAGAATGATGCTCTGTGCCTGTGGCATTAGAGAAAAACAAGATTGTGTGGGAGGAAGGGACATGTTCTCCCTCCTGAAGGCAGGTTTCTAAGGGCCACACATTCTGGGCAATGAGAAGGCTGCAGGCCGACCCCACCAGTTGGCCCCTCTCCAGGCTGGTGGGCAGGCAGCTACTGCCGCACTAAGTAATGAGCACAATTCCAACACCGCTTCTGCTCGCTGGTGAGAAATCAAAGCCGGGTATTAGAGGCCATTTCTGACTGGGCACCATTCGTGCCCAAATCCATCAAAGCCCTGGGCCTGGGGTTTCTTCTGGGGAAGGTGGGGGCTGGATGCTTTGTTAAGCAGGAAATGCAGGCCACCCCCAGCCTTCTTGGCCAAGCCCACCCACCCAGAGAACTATAGGCCAACCAGTCTTGTCTTTCTCCTACAGCAGCCCCTCATTCCTGGTAACCTAAGTATTTATTCCTGATCCCACTGTCCTGCTGGTACAAAAGCAGCTTCCCAAGACACAACCCTGCCCATGTGCCATTTACAGAGACTTCACCCTACCCTTCAATCATCTCCTCAAACCCCCTCCAACCAGAAACCAGCACCCCAACCAAGCACCTCCCACGTCTAACTGCACCCTTTAAAACAAGGTTGGACATTCAGCAGCCTGCCTTCCCCATCCCCATCATTACCTTCCAACTTCAAAACACTGCTTTAAATACCAGAGTCTGCCCAAATCATAATTAACTTGGATCAAATGGTTGAGTGTTGTAACTCTACTGCACAGGACTTGCACCAGAAAAAAAAAAAAAAGTGGGGAATGTGCTAAAGCCAAGCCCTCACTCCTGGCCGTGGGAATCACTAATTCCAGAATGAGGAATCTTTGGCTATGGAGGGGGGAAGGGCGGATGTCAACTTCGCAGCAGGAGGTAGGAGGTGGGGAGGGCTGCGTCATCTCGTCCACTTTCTGCTCCAGTTTTCCTGCTCCATTCTCAGCCTCAACTCAGAGAGGACTCCGTGCAGGAGGCCCCGTCCCCACCTGGCTCCGGAGCCGAGCCGCCCGGCAGCCGTGGCCAGCCCACTTGCTTGGGTTCGGGTACCAGAGAGAGGCTGGCTCCATTCAGTCCACAGCCTCCCCGAGAAGACGCAGCCCAGCCAGCGACGCCGGGTCCAGCTACAGGACGAGCGAGAAACGTATTCATCCACGGCGAGAGAGGAGGGTTAGGGACTTTATTTCGGAGCCCACCAGTTCGCTGAAGTCATCTTGGTGGGTCCAGAGCGGGCGCTGTACCAAGGAGAGCGCACCTAGTCTGTTCCCCGGACAGCGAGAATGTCAGTGACCAATTTAAAAGGAAACTCCGCAGGATCGCTAAGAACCCCTACCCGCATCCAACACACACACACACACACACACACACACACACACTCTCCAACACTCAGAAAATTAATAATAATAATAATAATAATAATAATAATAATTCTTCCAGACCTGCGGGCCCAGCGATCTCGGGGAAAGCTATGTGTGCAAGACTTAGCCCTCCCCGCTTCAGGAGCCCTGCAAGCCGGCCTGCCGAGGCTACCGAAGCGCTTCCTGTGTTCAGCAGGTCTTTTCGCTCTCTCCCTCTAGTCTGCAGATTGCTGTCCCTATAGCGCGTAAGAGCCTAGGCGAGCCGGGACCAGACTAGTAAGTTACCGGCGTACGGCAGCGAGCGCACACCTTGCTTATGTAGCCAATGTTCTTTTTCGGGGCGGATGCCAGGCGCGCGGAGAGCCGGGCGTCCCCAGGAGGCGGATCCTCCCGGAGACTCAGACCCTGACTCCTACACCCCTTCCAGGGAGAAGAAGGGATCCCTTTCAGGAGCGAGCAGGGACCTTTCAGCTTACTGTGAAGCCCCTTCCCTGCTCCCCGCTCCCGCGATGTGGATGCGCCATTGCCCACTTTGGGAGGCAGTAAAATCTACATTCTAACTTGGGCGCCCTTGCCGCTTTTCCTGCGCGCATCGATGCGACGAAAGACCACCTCAACTTCAGGACAGAGTGAGGCGCAAGGGTCCCCTAGCCCCGCGCCCCCAGACCCGATCGCTTCCTACCTGCTTGGCTCAGCCTCGGGTCCCAGCAGAGCAGCAGTGCCAGCAGCAGCGCGCCCCGAGCTCCGCTCCGGGCCCCCATGCTCCCGCGGCCTGGTTCGGGCGCCTCTCCCCCAGGGCTGTCTCCCTGGCCCCAGTCTCGCCGCCGCCGTCTCCGCCGCCGCCGCCTCCTCCTCGCCGTCCTCCCCGGCGCCCGGCAGCGCCAGCCCGTGCCTTCCGTGGGGGCAGCGGAAGCCACGCTGCGCGGAGGGCCGCCTGGCACTCGGAGCGCGGTGGGTGCCTGGCGCCGGCTCTCGAACGAGGCTCCGGCGCGCCCCTCTGGCTCCGGGTCTCTGAGCGCTCGCCTGGCTCCGGCGCTGTGCCTCCGAAGTTGCGCGACCGCTCAGTGGCGCTCGCAGCGGCGGCGCCGCGCAGTCCCAGCCCCAGTGCGCGCCTCTCGGAGCCCCGCGGCTGCGTGCGGCTCCGGCGCCCTAGCCGGCCCCAGCCGCCTGCCACAATGCCGAGCGCCGCCGCTCGCTCGCCGGAGTGAGTTCGCCAACCGAGGGGACCGCGCGCGGCCGGGGCGGGGCCTGGGCGACCGAGGGCGGAGCCGACAGGGGGACCTTGAGGGGGGATCCGACGGCCATCTGGGCGCGGCCGCGGCAGAGCTGGGGGACCCGGGGGGAGGGTCCTCGCGAGACGCTGGGCGCAGCGTTTTGAAAAACCCGGCCGCTGGAGAATGGCTGGACGTGGAGGCGGCCCAATTTTCGCTCCCCCAAATTAAGGAAATCTGGCTTTGCGCCTTCATTTGGCTTGGCCATGTCAGCTTTCTCCTCTGATTAAACATAGGACTCTCACTTTTGGCTCCCCTGTCTGTAGTATGCGCTCTGCCTTCCACATGTGGGGGTCTTTCCAAAAAAAAGGCTCCCAAAATGAGAACACCCAAGTCCTGGTTACGCGGGGGCTTACAGCGATATGAAGCTGGGTATAGATTAGGATCATCCTGGCTGGCTCTGCTTGTCTGTATGATCTCCGGCAGAACTGTTAACCAGACCCCTGGAAACCCCTCCAGCACTCTGATCCTGCGTTGTTGTAAACTAGCCTCCTACCTGACAGTGGGACAGCCATTTTTGGCTCAGTGTAAACTTGGACTCTGCCCCTTATTTACTGTGTGACCTTGAACAAGTTACTTAACAATTCTATTGCTCCCTTCATCATCATCTGTAAAATGGAGGAAAAGGATAACTATTTCATAAGGGGGTATAGAATTAAATTTTAAAACTTGTGTGGAAATTGCAGTGCAAGTGTCAATAATCTCTTTCCAAGATTCTCCCCTCCCAGCCAGTCTGATTCCAGGGGGAAAGTCCTGACCACCCAAAGGTGGTCCAAGGAGCACGTGGGGACAGGTGAGGTTTGAAGGATGGGCAGTGTCTTGGGATTGAAACCCAGAGAGATCAGAACGAGCGGATCAGCTAACATAGGCAAAGACCTTCCCTGTGCCAGGCACAGGGCTAAGCACTCTGTATGCATCATGTCAGTTAATTCTCACAACCCTCTGAAGTAAGCACCATTTACATCCCATTTTACAGATGAAGGACCTGAGGCACAGAGGTGTAAAGCCACCTGCCGGAGATCACACTGCTTGGAGTGACTGAGTGACTGAGCAAAGGGGATGGGGGAGATGGGATTGGAAAGAAACCCTCTAAACGGGGGAGCCTCACTTGAACACCTTCCCTGGGGCTGGATTGGGCTGTGCGAAGGGGACTGTCCTAGCTGTTTCCCCAGAGGTGAGGTGAAGGCAGGACTAGTACCCTCTCCACACACACTCCCCTCACAAGCCGGGGTCTTGGAGTATCTAGGGGAGGTCGTGCATGCCATCAGCACATCTCCCTAACCCTCTCTGACTGGGCACCCAGCATCAGGAGGGTGGCAACAGGTGGACTGGGACTCCCTGGGGGAAGAACTTCCATCAATTGAGAAAGGCTGCTGTGGGCAAAGGTAGGTTGCTTAGCTTGGCCTCTGACAGCCCTAGCAAGGGCAGTGGATGAGACAGTCAACAGCTCAGCACACCCAAACCAACTCCACCTTGCAAATACACATGCACACACACAACTACCCACCCATACACACCTGCAAAGGTACACACACGAAAACATACAACAAAGACAACAGGTGCAATGTTTCACCTCCCATAAACATCACACCTACAAATAGGCACCCGACTCCAGAGACACCCACATACCAAAGATGTATGCCTAAAAAAAGCAAACACACAGGCGCACACAACTAAAAACACAAATAGGCAGATGACTCCCAAGACAAATAGATATTTGGATACTTAACTACTGCCAGGAAACACATACAGGCACGCCTGTGCCAAGACCCACATCTGACGGTCATCCCCTGGATGCAGGCACATGGTCAAGGTTGTGCCTGTGCTGGAGAGCTCAGCAGGGACCTCAGCAGAGACGGGCAGCATGCAGAGACCACAGCATGTTCTCTCTCTCTCCCCAACCTCTTTCTCTCTCTCCTTCAGGCCAGTGGGGTATTGGAGATTTTTCTAAAAAGTTCCACCCCTTGGAACTTTGCTGTTTAGGTGGTAAAGTGTACCCAGCAGGCCCTTCTAGTCCAAGTATCAGGTTTCACGGCTTTAATTCCTGGGTGGAGAGAAGGGGGACTGGAGATGGGGGCAAGCAAAAGGAAGACATTACCCCCTCTCCTGCCAGTCCCTGCCCCACTTCCCTTCTCAGCCTAACCACTCTCTCAACTCTTGAAATATACTCTTGGGAGGTCCCGGGCCCTGCTCTCCCTCCAGGACTCCAGCATCAGGGCATGGGATTTTGCATGTTGGGAATCTCTCTGTAACTGCTCTGTGCCCCTGCTCCTGTACCAAGTCTCTGAGCCTTCTCTAGCCACCTGCAGCTGAGCAGTTGCAGATGTGGTTCCTCTCCAGCCCTGGCATCTCAAGAGTGCAGGCTGTCAGTTGAGGCCAGGCAAGGGGCTTCAGAGGGAGTCAGACTCCCCCTGAGCCATACCTTTCCCCGGGATGGGTGAAGAATGGGCAGGGTCCCTGCCTGGGGGATGACACATTAGGATAGCAGGATTAAGATTTGCCAGGGTGTTCCCAAACCGAGTGCCATGGGCCTCACAGCAAAGGCATCCTGCTGGGAGTTAAGCATGAGGACGAAGCAGTGAGTTGCTTGAAGTCAGGTGCCCTGTGTTCCCTGTTCCCCATGATATATCTAGCACTGAAGACAGTTTCTGGCATAGCAGGGATGCAATCAACCTTGGTTGAGTGGGTACATCAATAAGGCTGGGGGGAAAGGGGTTGATGGTCAAAGGGCCTAAGAGTTGCTATGTGAGCCCCACCCTCCCCTCCCCTCTATTTCCTGGGGTCTGGGGGTTCTGAGGCTGAAAGTAGGGCAGGCTTTGTGGCATAGATCTGCTTTGAAATCAGTCCCAGAGCCAGTTCTCACCCTTGGTGGGGACTGCAGATGCTTCCAGCGGCTACCATCACTTGTCTCAAACCACAGGAGTGTGTAGGAAAGAGTTCTGGATCTGGAGGGCTGTGGCCCTAAACCTGGGGGCTGCTCTTACCTGCTGGCGGATCTTAAGCCAGTTACTGAAACTTTCCCAGCGTCAGTTTCCTCAACTGTAAAACAGGAATAATAATTACTTCACAGTATTAAGAAGAATAATAAGGCCAATAATCTGGCTGTATAAAAACCGCCTATTTGATAACAATTACGATTTAAAAGCAGCTGTAGGGGCTCCCGGCAGGAGTGGCTGCCGGCTTGGGGTTGACGCCTCCCGCTCCGTCGGGACCGTGTGCGCGAAGGTGCCACCAGGCGGCGCGCTGCCGCTTACGCCTCCCCGTGGCCGCCAGTCTCCCTCCTCCGGCGATGGGAGAATTGTCCTGGCCCCACCCCGCCTGGGGCCGCCCTGACAGAGTCCTTGTCCCGGGTTGTCAGGGGAAGTGGCACTCAGACGACTCCGTTTGCAGGATCTTGAGTGGGAAGGCTTGGGAATGAGTTCACGGTGCCTCCCCTGAGTCGTTCGGTCCAGAACGGACCCCAAAAACCTGGACCCTGGAGAAGGGAAGCGCCTAAAGCTGAAGTCCTTAACGCTTTACCATCTCTTTGTAATAATATTATCAGAGCTAAGGTTGAGTGCTTACTATATGCCAGGTACTATTCTAAATCTCTTCGGCCGGGCACAGTGGCTCCCGCCTGTAATGCCAGCACTTTGGGAGGCGGAGGCGGGCGGATCACTTGAGGTCAGGAGTTCAAGACCAGCCTGGCCAACATGGCGAAACCCCATCCCTACTAGCAATACAAAAATTAGCTAGACATGGTATCGTGCTCTGTTAATCCCAACTACTCGGGAGGCCGAGGCACGAGAATCGCTTGAACCCAGAAGGCAGAGGTTTTCTGTGAGCCGAGATCGTGCCACTGCACTCCAGCCTGGGCGACAGAGTGATACTCTGTCTCAAAAAAAAAAAAAAAAAAAAAAAAGTACCGCTTTAAACATTTTAAAGTGCACAATCCAGTGGTTTTTAGTATATTCCCAATGTTGTGCAGCCATCACCACTACCTAATTGGAGAACATTTTTATCACCTCCAAAAGAAACCCCATACCATTAACCCCATTCTCCCCTCCCCCAGCCCCTGGCACCCACTAATCTACTTTCTATCCTATTCTGGACATTTCATATAAATGGAATCATACTATATGTGGCCTGGGTCATTAAACTTGGACTCTTAACCTCTACTAAGTACTGTGACAACCTTCTTCCTTCCATCCTTCTTACCCAGTCTTTTCCACCAACCCCTCCAGGGTCTTCTCACTGCTGTTCAGGCAATGCAAGCCGTTGGTCACAAAAGCCTTGGGCTCAGGCAGATCCGGGTTCAAATCTCAATTCTGTCTTGGACATTATAACTTATTTATCGCCTCTGCTGTCACCTTCTCAAAATTCTTTTATTGTTGTAAATGTTTAAAAGGCCATCTTTTCATTTTAGAAGAGTTTTAGTTTTACAGAAAAATTGCAAATATAGTACAGAAAGTTCCCATATGCCCCTCACCCAGTCTCCTTAATTATTAACCTCTTACATTAGCATGGTACCTTTACTACAATTAATGAACCACTGATACATTATTATGTGCTAAAGTTCATTCAGATCTCCTTAGTTTTTACCTAATGTCCTTCTGTTTTCTGTTCCAGGATCCCATTCAGGATCCCACATTGCATACAGTCATTGTGACTCCTCAGGCTCCCCTTGGCTGTGACAGTTTCTCAGTCTTTCCTTGTTTTTGATGACCTTGACACTTTTGAGAATTATTCATTGGGTATTTTGTAGAATGTCCCTCAACTAGGATTTATCCATTTCATAATTCTTAATAATTTGGAAAAAAGGGCTCTGATTTCCACTTTATACTGGGCCCTGGAGATTATGTATCCAGTCCTGCTTATGCTTTATGGGGCAGAGAAAAGGCAGGCTGAGCCAGAGCTGGCACATGCAGCAGGCTGTAGCTAGCATGCCCTGGCATTGCCGGGGGTGGGGATTGGGGGGCTTATCTGAGTGGGGGATGCTGGAAGCTAGACCTAGGAGTGAGAAGGAAACCTTAAACATGGAGAACTCAGGAGGGAGTCCAGGCAGAGCAAACCACGTGAGCAAAGGCCTAGAGTTATGTATGTGATGGTATGGTCAGGAGGTGGCCACATCCTCATACTGCCCCTCAAACAGCACACCAGAAGGCCAAGAAGGGAAAAATCTCTACACAAGGGCAAGGCCTGCAGTGCTAGAGATGAGATTTGATTCTGTAAGAAACAGGAGTCATGGGTGCTGATTGAGCTGGAGAGAGGCCTCATTGGAGCTGTGCCATGGGAGCTTCCTTGCAGCTGGATGTCAGGGCAGACTGAGCAGGAGCCAACAAGGTGGCCACTGCATGCTCCTGGGACAATGGGGCCTTGGCCCAGGGATTCAGGTGGCAGAAAGTAGGGACTCTGCAGAGGGAGAAAGAGTTCCCCAGATTTGGTGCCTGAGGGAGGGTGGGTACTTAGGGATGGAGGAAGGGAGGGGAGCTGGGTCGAGTGGCAGAGGTTGCAAGGAGAGACATGGTGAAAGGAGGAGGATGGCTGGGCTGGGGAGAGGGTGGTGGATTTGGGTTTGGACTTGGTGAGTTAAAGGTCCCTGTGGACTTCCCAGCACATAGCAGTGAGCACAGGACTGACTGATGCTACAGGAGTGGTCAATATCTTAAGAAATAAGCATGCTAGCTAGTGTATGCTGGGTGTATTAGTCAGGGTTCTCCAGAGGGACGGAACCCATAGGATATATGTATGTATATAGGGAGAATAGGCTCACATGCTCACAAGACGAAGTCCCATGATAGGCCGTCTGCAAGCTGGGGAAGAGAGAAGCTGGTAGCAGCTCAGTCCGAGTCCGAAAGCCTCAAAACCAGGGAAGCAGATGATGCAGCCTTCAGTCTGTGGCCAAAGGTGTGAGAGCCCCCGGCAAGCCACTGGTGCAAGTCCCACAGTCCAAAGGTTGAAGAATCTGGAGTCTGATGTCCGAGGGCAGCAGGAGCCAAGGGAAGCATCCAGCACAGGGGAAAAAGAAGGGAGCTAGAAGACCCAGCAAGTAAGGTTATCCCACCTCCTTCCTCCTGCTTTGTTTTGGCCACACTGGCAGCTGATTGGATGGTGCTCACCCACATCGAGAGTGGGTCTTTCTTTTCCAGTCCACTGTCTCAGATGTTAATCTCCTCTGGCAACACCCTCACAGATACCCCCAGAAACAATGCTATATCAGTCTTCTAGGCATCCCTCAATCCAATCAAGTTGGCACCTAATATTAACCATCGCACAGGCAACTATAGCAAGCTAGAAACCCTGCCAAGAGCTCCGTCTGAGTTAGCTCCTTCATTCTCCATGATTACCCATGAGGAGATGTTATGATTTTCCCCATTAAAAAGTAGTTCTCATTGCTGGTATCTTTTAAGCAGGACTAGAAGCCATTAGTATGTACAGAAGTTCCCCACCCTTATCTGCGGTTTTCCTTTCCATGGTTTCAGTTATCCACAGTCGAATGAAGTCCAAAAATATTAAATGAAAAATTCCAAAAGCAAAACAATTCATAAGTCTTAAATTCTGTGACTTTCTGAGTGATGAAATCATCCCTTTGTCCATCCCTTTTAAAAATGGGAAAACAGACTTGGTTTCCCTGCTTAGCTAGAAACTGAGGCTAGAATCAAACCTAGGCTGTTGGCTTCTAAGCTTATATGTTAAACAAACACAAGACGCTGCCTCTTTAAATCCCCTGTGTGTAGTTCTTTTATCTTAATGACATGATTTCCCACTGATCATCTCAATTGTTCCTAGAGGCTGGTGTTAATCATGGCCTATGACAAAGGAAACCACAGCTCCAAAAGGGAAAATGACTTGTCTAAGGTCAGCTGGTAAGTACTGACCCTGAGCTTTTAGACGCACATTCTTATGACTAGTCCACGTTACCAACCTTTTCAAGGTTCTGCCTGGACTTACGGATGGGGAGTTATCTGTGTAGGGGGATGAGGAAGGGCAGAGGCTACATATAGTCTAACAGGGCTTAAAATAATGAGATAGTCCTATTAAACTTTCTCACTCTCAATTGTTTTAAACATTCCAATTTAAATGTATTCAGGTAAATATCAAGTTAATTTGTCTAATAAAAACATCAGGCCACTTCACATTTGTCCTAAAACTACAATGAAACACCTTTTGACATATAAAAATGTCTTTTGCCATTTCAAATATATTCAATTTCAGCATTGTGCATGTGATACTTCCAGTATTGTTCATGTGTCATGGACCCTTAATCAAATTAAACACAATATTTATACTATCCAGAGAGTACAAGATAAAGTAAATAATTCACTCAATGGGATTAATATGTAAATCAGCTTTATTTACAAAACACTAGCTCAAGAATTATAATACTGTGAAGCTTTCATTTAGGCAGAAGTGTAATCACTGAAGGTATAGCACTTCCTTAAACTAAAAATGAGAGATAATTAAAAATAAATTTGGAAGAGACAAAATTCCCACGTTTCTTGTTGTAGTTCTGGATTTTCAGTAGCAGGCTCTTTTGAAAGCTGAGTCAGCACTGAAGATAATTCACTATTATTTTCAGGATAAATGCCAAAGATATCTTCCAGTGGCAAGTATGCTGAAGGTGATTCACAGATGCTTTCTGAAAGACCAGGAGGAAGAGGAGGTCCCCGTGCTGTGGACTGTCCTCCTGGATACATTGGCTATAAAGATCTTTACTGAAGGAAGAGGCAGAGGAAAGAAACCCTATAGCAAAGTGGAGTATGCGTGTGTGCGGGAGGAGAGGTAGGTGAAAAACTCTTTTCTGTTGTCTTCTGACTCCTTGATGAATGGCCGTATGGGGAGTGCCCCTTGTCAAATATCCCATCCTTCTTGAAATTTCAGCAGCCAACCTCTGGTTTAGAATATTTAGATTTCTCTTTGTTCAACTCTTTTGTTATCAAATCGATTTCTTCTGAACTAAAAGTTGGATCTGGTTAGCTTTTTATTAATTGCTTCTAGATCTGCTGTTCCTAATGACTCTTCATCATTGCTGGCATCGTGTAAGCAGGACTCAAAGCTGTCACTATGTGCAGAAGTCCCCCCTTATCCAAGGTTTCACGTACCCACAGTCAGCTGAAGTCCAAAAATATTAAATAGAAAATTCCAGAAACAATTCATGTCTTTTGTTTTTGAGATAGGGTCTCTGTCACCCAGGCTGGAATGCAGTTATGTGAACAAGGCTTACTGCAGCTTCGACCTTCTGGGCTCAAATGATCCTCCCATCTCAGCTAAGCCTCCTGAGCAGCTGAGACCACAGGCATATGCCACCACACCTGGCGATTTTAATTTTTTTTTTGTAGTGACACGGTTTCACCATGTCACTCTGTGACACCATGTCAGTCTGTGGCCAAAGGCCTGAGACCGGTCTCGAGCTCCTAGACTCGAGCAATGCTCCTGCCTCAGCCTCCCACGGTGCTGGGATTACAGGCATGAGCCACTGTACCTGGCTTTCAAAAGTCTTAAACTGCGACTTTCTGAGTACAGTGATGAAATTTCACACCATCCCACTCTGTCCCACCTAGGACATGAATCATCCATTTGCCTAGTGTATGGACACTGTCTACCTTACCTGCCTGTTAGTAACTCAGTAGTCATCTTTATTATCAGATCCACTGTGGTGGTATCTTAATGCTTGTGTTCAAGTAATTCTTATTTGACATAATAATGGCCCCAAAACACAAGAGTAGCAATGCTGGCTAATTGGTATAATTGCTGTATTTTATTATTCATTATTATTCATCTCTTACTGTGCCTAATTTATAAATTAAACTTTTTCATAGGTGTGTATGTATAGGAAAAAACAGTATATAATAGGGTTTGGGACTATCCAAGCTTTCAGGCATCCACCAGGGTCTAGGAATGTAGACTCCAGGTTAAGTGGGGGGACTACCATATGCGTTTGTAGAGATAAGAGTTCTCTCTTAATATGGCGAAACTTTTTAAGAATTCTACGTTTTCTTTAAATTAATTTTGTAAGTTGTATGTTGAGTTATTTTTAAACAAGTGACAACTTCTGCTCCAAATTGAGAAAGCTGTGAAAAATTCAGTGATTGTTGCCCAGAACATTATCACCCAAGGACATGTAGGAAACAGGACCTAGGCTGATGCTGGCTGGGGAGTGTTGACTGTTGGAATGAGGGGAACCCAGTGGTGGAGAAGGTCAAGGACAGGAAAGTTAAAGAGCTAGCATACCCATGTTCCTGCTCTGTTTCCTCTTCTCTCTCTTTTTAGAAAGTTGAATGAGGTGTGATTTACATACAATGAGATACACAGGTCTAAAGTGTAAGATTCTATGAAATTTGACAAGTAAAGACATCTAGTAACCACAATCCTAACCAAGATAGGAACATTTCCATCATCTCAGAAAATTCCCTTGAGCTCCTTCCCAGGTAATCGTCATCCTGCAGAGGCAGCCACTATTCTGATTTCTAACATCATAGGTGAGTTTTGCTAATTCCAGAACGTCACATAAATGGAAACAGATAATATGTACAGTAGTCCTACCTTATCTACTGGAGATGTATTCCATGACCCCCAGTGGACACCTGAAATTGGATAGTATCAAGCCCTCTATATATAGTTGGCCCCCTGTATCTGTGGGTTCCTAATCCATGGGTTCAACCATCTGCAGATCAAAAGTATTTTTTTAAAAAAGCAATAGAAAATAACAATAACAAACTACAAATTTTAAAAATACAGTCTAACAACGGTTTATATAGCATATACATTGTATTAGGTATTATAAATAATATAGAGATGTTTAAAGTATATGGGAGGATGTGCATAGATTATTTGTGTTAACTTTAAAAATCATGAGATCTGTAAATATAGAAAAGGTGACTTTATTTCCTGTAAAAGGTTACAGCCTGTGAAGTGGCCATCCTGCAGGCTGGAACGCATAGCCTCAGGCAAAGACCAGAGTCTGGCACTTTGAAGGAGGAGGGGTTGGGGTAGCAGCTTTGTATAGAAAGGGTTGGCTAAATATACATATTCAACAGGTTACAGGGGAAATTATGAATATTCATGAGGGTAGTCCTGAATGCAGGTATATAGAACATGCATGTAACATACAACCCATGTTCACCTTGGGGTGGAGACTTAATATTTAAATGTATTACAGTAAGGCCCTATAAGTCAAAAGGCAGGCAGAGACACAAAGGCACTCAACTCACAGCCTCTGTAACTGGGCCAGAACCAGTCCACGGTCAGTGGTCTCCTTAATCAGAAGGTTACTGGAATCAGCAGTCCAATCAAAGCTATAGTTGTGGTGGAACAGGGGCTGGGGTCATTTACTCAGCATCTGATGGAGCTACAAATTGTGTTAATCTTGCTTATCTCCAGGCCAGTGCTTGTTTAGCTGCTAGAGAGAAAGAAAAGCCTGTGGCAGTTATAACACAGCTTCTCCTTTAAGTGTAGGGGGTATGCAACTTAACATATTTCTGGCATGGCCTAAGGTCCTGTTTATAATTTGTTATCTTATTGCCACAAAGAGTCTGTTCTGTCAGTCTTACAGTCTCTATTTTAATATCAATGGTGGTCAGTTGTTGTGTCTAAACTCTAAAAGGGAGGAGGTATAATGAGGAGTGTCTGACCTCCCGTCCTGTCATTTCCAGGAACTCAGTTTTTAAGGCTTTTCCAGGGTCCCCTTGGGCAAGAGGCAGTCCATTCAGTTGGTAGGGGACTTAGGATTTTATTTTTAGTTTACATATGCAAATACTATGCCATTTTATATAAGGGACTTGAGCAACCATAGATTTTGGTATCCATGGGGGCTGGGGAGGGGGCTGTCCTAGAACCAATCCTCTGAGAATACCAAGAGACAACTTTCCTATAGATACATATCCACGAAAAAGTTTAATTTATAAATTAGTTACAGTAAGACAACAAATAATAAGATGGAACAATGATAACAACATGCCAGCATCACTGCTCCTGTGTCTTGGGACCATTATTAAGTCAGAGAAGGGCTGCTTGAACCCATGCACTGCAATGTAGTACAGTGGATCTGATAACCAAGATGGCTATGAAGTTAGTAATGGGTTCGTCACATATATAGGATGGGTATGCTGGACAAATGGATGACTGAGATTTCATTACGCTACTCAGAAAGGTGTGTGTGCAATTTAAAACTTGCTTGTTGTTTATTTCTGGAAATTTTTCTTTTTTCTTTTTTGAGACAGAGTCTCTTGCTCTGTCTCCCAGGCTGGAGTGCGGTGGTGCGATATCAGCTCACTGCAACCTCTCCCTCCTGGGTTCAAGCAATTCTCCTGCCTCAGCCTCCCGAGTAGCTGGGATTACAGGCGTGTGACACCACAGCCAGCTAATTTTTGTATTTTTAGTAGAGATGAGGTTTCGCCATGTTGGCCAGGCTGGTCTCTCTTCTGATCTCAGGTGATCCGCCCATCTCGGCCTCCCAAAGCTTTGGGATTACAGGCGTGAGCCACCACGCCCGGCCTGGAATTTTTCATTTAATATTTTTGGACCCCAGGTAACTGAAACTGTGGACATTAAAACTGTGAATAAGAGGGGGCTACTGTGTACTTTTCATTTTCGTCTTTCCAAGTTCAATTTGGGTCTTTTTAATGTCTTTCATGTCTCTGACTTTTTAACAAACAGAATACATTTATAAGAACTGTTTAAGTTGACAATATAAGAATTGGTAAATTTTTTATTGACTGATTACTCCATGAATCGTATTTTCCACTTCTCTTCAGCATGGTAAATTTTGATTGTCTAGCAGACATTATGAATTATCCTTTTAGGGTGCTGAAAATTTTGTTTTTCTATAAATATTCTTGAACTTTGTTTTGGGACACAATTAAGTTACTTGGAAAGTTATTCAGGTCTTGTTTTTGAGATATTTTTAGACAGGACCAGCAGTGTTTAGTTGAGAGCTAGTTATGTCCTGTCACTAGGGTAAGACCCTTCTCAGTGCTCTACCCAATGTCCATAACTGTGAGGTTTTCCAGTCTGGCTGGTGGAAGGAGGCACTGTTCCCAGCCCTGTGTGGGCTTTAGACACTGTTCCCTTGAATCATCTCAAGTGGTTCCTTGCCGATCAGTACCCTGCTGGCTAGTCTATGGGTGCTCTCTGCAGATCTCTTGAGTCCCTCCTCTGTGCCATCTTCTCCTCTCTGGTGCTCTGTCTTGCAAACTCTAGATGCCTCAGTCTCCCTGGACTCTCATCTCTATCTCCTCAACTCAGGGTGTCTACCAGGCTCTACCTGAAACCCCCCTCTTGCCCCAGTACCCTGGAAACTCTAAAACAGTATGCTGGGGCAATCATAGGTCTCCCTCATTTGTTCCCATATCTCAGGAATCACTGTTCTTCACTTTTTGATGTCCAGTGTCTTGAAAAGCATATTTCATATATTTTGTCATTTTTTGTTACTGTTTCACATGGCAGGGTATATGCAGCCCCCGTTACTGCATCTTGTCTAAAAGCAGAATTTATTTTCTCTTATTAGAAAATTTACAAATTTACAAGGCCAGGCACAGTGGCTCATGCCTGTAATCCCAGCATTTTGGGAGGCTGAGGCAGGTGGATCACGAGGTCGAGTTCAAGACCTGCCTGGCCAACATGGTGAAACCCCATCTCTACTAAAAATACAAAAATTAGCTGGGCATGGTGGCTAATCCCATTACAGTGCCTGTAATCCCAGCTACTCCGGAGGCTGAGGCAGGAGAATTGCTTGAACCAGGACCCAGGAGGCAGAGGTAGCAGTGAGTGAGATCGTGCCATTGCACTCCAGCCTGGGCTACAGTGCAAGACTCTGTCTCAAAAAAAAAAAAAAAAAAAATTACGAATTTACAGAATTTACAAATTTCTCTTGATTTATTTAAAAAGAAAAAGAGTATTTTATAGTTAGCTATTTTCATTCCTTTCTATAGATGTGAGTTTCCTTCAGCCATAATTTCCCATTAGTCTGATGAGCATCCTCTATCATGTCTTTTAATGTGACTATAATGGCAATAAATTCTTTCGTATTCTACTTATCTGAAAAATGCTTTATTTTGATGTTATTTTTAAAGCCTACTTTTGCAGCATATAGAATTGTAAGTTGACAGGTTTGTTTGTTTTCTTTTTTAAACCATGGTAAAAATCTTATTATATTCTAGTTTGCATTGTTTCTTTTTGGAAGTAATGTTATTTCTTACTGTTGTTCCTCTGAATATAATGAGTCATTTTCCCCTATTTGCTTTCAGGTTTTCTCTTTGCATTAGGTATCTATTGCTGTGTAACAAATTATCCTCCAAACTTAGTGATTTACAAATTAAACAACTATTTTATAGTATCTGTGGGTCAGGAATGTGGGAGCAGCTTAGTTTCATGGCACTTGCTTAGGATCTTTCACGAGACTGTAATCAAGATGTTGGCTGGAACTACCATCGTCTAAAGGTTGAATTGAGATTGGAGGATCCACCTCTGGATGGCTCACTCATAAGGCCATTGGCAGGAGGCATTAGTTCTTTGCTAATTGTTGGCAAGAACCCTCATTGTTTTCTTTTACTATGTGGACCTCACCATGGGTCTGCTTGAGTCTCCTCACTATATGACATCTGACTTCTCCTAGGGTGAGTAATCTAAGGGTGAGCACAGAGGCAGCCACAGCACCTTTTATGACCTTGTCTTAACTTACACACTGTCTCTTTTGCCACCCGCTTTACCAGAAGGAAGTCACTAAGTTAGACCTACACTTACGGGGAGAAGAATTAGGCATCACTTCTTGAAGGGATAGGTATCAAAGAATTTGTAGATATCTTATAAAACCACCATACTCTACATTTTTTTAAATCAAGTTGACTATGATATGCCTAGGATGTTTTGTCTGTTTTTGTTTTTGACTTATCCTGCTTGGGGTTCACTGAACATCTTAGATCTACAAGTTAATATTTCTCTTCGTGCAACATTATTTCTTCAAATATGTTTTTTTCTGCCACATTATCTATCCTTTCCTTCTGGGACTCCAAATAGTGTACACATCGGATAGTTTAGTATTAACCCAGAGGTTACTGATGCTCTATTCATTATTTTTCAATTATTTTTCTTTATCTGCTTTTGTTTGCATAATTGGCATTGATCTAGCTTCAAGTTTCACTCATCCTTTCTTCTGTAGTGTCTAAGACCATAAATGAATCCTTTATTTCAGATAATAAAATTTTTATTTCTATTATATCCACTTAGTTCACTTTAGAGTTACTATTTCTCTTCTGAAAAACTCCATCTCTTCACCCTTTGTGCCCATATTTTTCTGTATATTCCCTAAAATATTTATAATAGCTACTTTAAAGTCCCTTTCTGCTTAATAACTAGGCCATCTATTGATCTGCTTCTAGTGACTGTTTTTTCTCTTGATTATAGGTCATATTTTCATTGGTATGTATAAATGTTTAACAATCAGCTCTCTGAAGAGGCAGCAGCAGCAAGTCAACAATGCAGCAGCCCTGATTTGTAGCATTTGCCAATTATCATTGTATAAATACCCTCACTATAGCTGAGTTCAAGCTACTAGCACAATTTAACATGACAGAACAGACAATTAGGAAAAGATATGCACAATTGGCTTTTGTGAACAGAACTGGCTCCAGTACACCACTACGTATTTTCCTACTTCCTCATACATAAGAATATTTTTTAAAACTTTATCTGAATATAGTCTATAAAAAAGAAATATAATTTTTCCTTTATTTGCTTGTTTCTCTCACATAGCATATAAGCATTTTTCTCTGTTGGGTAGTATTTTAGTCTGTTTTCATACTGCTATAAAGAACTGCCTGAGACTGGGTAATTTATAAAGGAAAGAGGTTTAACTGACTCACAGTTCAGCATGGCTGGGGAGGATTCAGAAAACTTACAATCATGGTAGAAGGCAAAGGGGAAGACAGGCACCTACTTTACAAGGTGGCAGGAAGGAGAGATGCCAAGTGAAGGGGGAAGAGCCCCTTATAAAACCATCAGATCTTGTGCAAACTCACTATCATGAGAGCACCATGGGGGAACCGCCCCCATGATTAAATTACCTCCACCTGGTCTCTCCCTTGACGTGTGAGGATTTATGGGGATTACAATTCAAGATGAGATTTGGGGACAAAGAGCCTAACTATATTAGGTGGTTAGGGTGAGGGGCAGATCAACCAGATTCTTCTTGGGTTGAGTTGATTTGTTCTGGGCTTCAGTTGTAATTAGACTGAGTTCACCTATGCTTAACCAACCTCAAGGGCCATGAGCAGCTTTTTGATCTTGTTATATGAACTGGGGAAAGGTTTGGCTGCAGTCTTAGATGATCTTTTGGCTTCCCTTTGAATTCAAGTCCTAGAGGAATGCCTAGCACCGTATGATTTATTCATTCATTCTGTCTCTCTCTCTCAAAGGTGAGGTGGTGAAACTCAGAGGCTGTGGAGTCAGATTGCTTGGACTGGGATCAAGCTCCTCTCTTTGACAGTTGTGTGAATTTCAACAAGACACAGCCTGTCCCAGCCTCAGTTTCCCATGTGGGAAATGAGGGTGATGCCTGCCTGGTGGGGTTGCTGTGAGGAGGAAATGAGCCAAGCACTGTGATGTGACTAGCGCAGTGCCTGGCTGTAGGGTAAATGCCCCTGACAGCAATAACAAGCATACCCTTAGAATGACCCTGCATGGCAGATGCACCTGAGTGTGTGTTCCGAACTAGGGGATCCCAACGTGGCCAACCAGGAGATTGGTTCCTTGTCTATGAGGAACATTTGAGCCCCTGGCCTGTCCTGTGGAACACGGGCCATACAGGAGATTGAGGCCCTGAGTTTGGGGTTAAATGAAGGTTACTAGGTGGAGGCTGTTAAGAGGAAGGTGTTAAGTGAAAATGCGATGTAAACTGCACGCTGTTTCAAGCTGTTGTAGTTTTCCTGTCCAGCTGCTGCTGGGCTATGCAGCTATGCTGTCCAGCCTGCTGCCACTGGGCTGTGGGAAGGTGGATCTCTTTTCCAGCTTGCCGCCGCTGGACTGTAGATGTAAGGCGGTTCCCCTGTCCAGTCCACCACCTCTGGCCTCTCTGTATGTAGGCCCCTAATAACACCCCATGCCTCCTTTGCTGGCTCCAGGTCTCTTCTTCGGCCTTCTTCTTCTTCTCAAACCTTATACCTTCCCTATTGAGGCTAACAGGGTTTCACCACAGCACTGACACGCAGTGGCCTCCCATTAAATGGTGGGTAATCCAGTCCTCTGAGGTCAGAGTACTCCTCTCTTATGGAGGGGCTGCCTCAGGCCCATCTTTTGCCAGTGGCAACACCAAAAGGGGGCCCTGTATGGGGCTTTAATCCCCCCATAATTTCTACCTGCCCTTCGCCAAAGCCATCACCCAAAATAATACTGCTTGATATGGACAACTGGTATTTTTTTCTGAAACTTATATAAAAGCATGATGAAGAGCCCTGGAATGGGTTGAATTGTCTCCCCCAATTGTCTCCTTGTTGATCGTGTGTCTTTGTCTGGGGCTGGAGGCTTTGTCTGTCCTCTCATGGCTGAATCTCCAGCCCAGAGAATAGCACCTGCACACAGTAGGTGCTTGGTCAGTTGTTGTTGTTGGAGTTGAATGGGAACAGCATGCTGGCTGGGTTAGGAGTCAGGGATGGGGTGGGGGTGGGAGGTGAGTTTGTAGGGGAAGCTTGGCTGCACTGGGTGAATCTTGCCTGTGTCAGTTGCAGAAAGTTATGAAGTTGGTAAAGTTGGTCTTTGATTCTTAGGCTGTTGACTCTCTAGACTGGCATCCCAATCCCATATCTGCCAGATGGCAGCTCATGCTCACTAAGGTCTTATCTGATGAGCTGTCTCTGCCTCTTACAGATACACACCTGTAGTTTAACAAGATCCAAGGGGAATATAAAGTACTGAGGATCCAAAGGGAAGTGCTAATGGTATTTCAGACATTGTGAAACACTACGGGAGACATATTTTGGGGCGATTAGTGTGTAAGCAGGTGCACAAAGCCCTCCAGGTGTGCAGTGACTCACTCCAGAGGAGGACAGCTACCTGACGTTCAGACCCACCCATCTCGACCTTCTCATTTGACCAAAATGGTCCTAAAGCCCAGAGAGGGGAGTGACTTGCCTGAAGTCAATGGCAAGACAATGGCCTGTGCTATTTGGCCCAATCCTTCTGGCTCCCAGTCATTTCTGCGCCTCAGTTATTTTTCAATCTGTGCTGCCCAGAGAGGGCTGCGGGGAGGGGTGTTGAGTAGGAGGATTCTAGACACCCCACCTCCCTCCTTCAGAGGAGCTGGTTTACACATTGGGATCTGTTTAAAGAAAGGGTCCCACTACTAAATGTTTGGAAACCACAGTGAGCCTGGGTAAGGGGAGTGCGTGGGTGGGGACTTTGGAAAGGTGGAGGGGGCAGGAGGCTGGTCTCTTTGTGAGGTTGTAGCATCCCTGAGATGGTTTGGACCAGGGAGGGAATATTTAGTGGGTGACATCTCAGGGAAGACCTTGGTCTATGGAGGAAGAATATGCTCAGAATCTGGTGTAGAGGAAAAATTAGAGCGTGCTTTAGGAATTGTAAAACTTTGAAAAATTGCATTTTTCATCACAGATGTGTTTGACTGAATGTATTAGCAAGATAGGTCTATTCCTATAGACAGACAGATGAGGTGCCCCAAGTGTTCAAAGAGAGAGGAGTCTTTGAAGAGAAACGGGAAGCAGAATGTTAGCAACGTTCCCTTACCATCTTGATTTGCAAACCCAGCTTGCCACAGGACAGCTGTCTTCTTTTCTTTTCTTTTCTTTTTTTTTTTTTTTTGAGACAGAGTCTTGTTCTGTTGCCCAGGCTGGAGTACAGTGGCGTGATCTTGGCTCACTGCAACCTCTGCCTCCCGGGTTCAAGCAATTCTCCTGCCTCAGCCTCCTGAGTAGCTGGGATTACAGATGTGCACCACCATGCCTGGCTAACTTTTGTATTTTTAGTGGAGACGGGGTTTCGCCATGTTGGCCAGACTGGTCTCAAACTCCTGACCTCAGGTGATCTACCCACCTTGGCTTCCCAAAGTGCTAGCATTACGGGCATGAGCCACCACGCCCAGCCAGGACAGCCATTTTCTTACTGGGTCTGGGATCCAGCTGCCAGGTACTGAGAGCTCCTATCTCTGCATGCTTGCACACACACAGTACTTTTTTTTTTTTTTTCCCCCAGCTTGCTTTCCCTCTGTAAAGGTGTGGGACATAAGAGGGGATTCCAGGAGAGTGTTCCTACTTGGTAAAGCAGGCACAGAGAAGCCAAGTGACTCTCCCAAGGCCACCCAGCAATTCCAGTCCAGCTCTCCAGCCCCTAGAAACTGCCTTGTTTAGAATTTCCCCCTTTAGATTCTCTCCTTGTGACAAGGACCAGGTCAAAGATGATTTCAAGGACTGATTAAAATCCTGTGCCATGAAAAGGATCCACAGAGACTGGGGACAGAGAGAAATGTAACAGGCCAGGGAAGCTGATCTGGTTCCTCCCTAGACCTGGGGAAGGGGGATGTGGCCCTAGCTTCATCTTCCCTTGGGCAAATCTGTGTTGGGCTGGGGAGCTTTGAGCAGAGCTGGGAGCCTGAGGTGGGCTCTACATGCAGGTGGCCAAGTCCAGACATTTTGAGACAGGAACTGGGGTCATATTTTACTGGCCTGTGTCTTCCTTCTGTGGCTTCAGATCTAACAGGTCTGATGGGTGTCACCTTTGAGGAGCTATCCCCAGCTTTGTGCTCCCCTGGGCGCCCCCTGCCAGCACCAGCTGCAGGAAGCTTGTAGAGGCCTAGGCCCATGATGCCTGCCCTGGGCCTGCCTGAGCTGAGATTAGGCCAGGGGAAGGGAGGTGGGAAGGGTGGGCGATGTCTGCTTTCCATGCCTGGCTGGACCAAGGACTTCTCTGGGTACCATAGGGCGGGGGTGGGGGACACTGCTGCCTAGAAACAGAACTCCAACTCACACATCTTAGTCACAGACTCTAGGCATCTTGAATAAAACAGACTTAAAGACTTAAAATCATAGCACCTTTTTTTCTAATGTTGAGGTGAACCTGGGGTACTCCGAGAGCACACAGAAGGAGTCCTATTTACTCTTGGGGAGCAGGAAGACCTCCCAGGGCACTTACATCTGAGTCACTTAAGGGCTCGTACAGATTCTAATGCTAAATTCAGGCCAGCATTCAAGACCTTCCACACTGTCAGTAGAAACATAATGCAAGTCACATATGTGATGTTTTTAATCTGAAGGTATTAATACATACTTTAGTGAGGAAATAGTTTCAATATGTGACAAATCTTCCAAAGCATAAAGAAGACACGAGCATGCTGCACACATTTTATCAGGCTAGCGGGAGATTGACCACAAAATCTGTCAAGGACAATAGGAGAAACAAAATTCATGGATGAATCTTAATTATAAGCATACATGTGAAACCTTAGGAAAAGATGAACAAAGTAAACCTAAGTTAAAAAGAAGGCGTAAAATAATAAAGGGTAGAACCAAACAAAATCAGAGCCAGACAAACAAAACAGAAAATTCACAAAGTCAAACGGAAAATATCAATTGAATAAACACGTAACTATACTGATTAGCAAAAAAGAGAACACATACCACCAAAGTTAGAATTTAAAGAGGTATTATCAATGTGGGTTTCACAGATATTAAAATGAATTAGACATGTAATATTACATTTTCTAGTTGCTACATTAAAAAAGCAAAAAGAGTTAAGGTGGAAATAATTTTGGTATATTTAACTCAATATGGTCCATATATTAATATTTCAACACGTAATTGATATAAATATTATTCATCATTATAACGTTCTTTTTATACTAAGTCTTTGAAATTGCATGTATATTTTCACTCTTAGGGCACATCTCAATTTGGAGGCTAAATTTTCTTAATACTTTTTTTTTTTTTGAGACAAGATCTCTCTCTGTTGCCGAGGCTGGAGGTCAGTGGTGTGATCCTGGCTCACTGCAGCCTCAAACTCCTGTGCTCAAGGGATCCTCCCACCTCAGCCCCCTAGAGTAGCTGGGACCACAGGCACACACCACCAAGCCCAGCTAATTAAAAAAATTTTTTTTGTAGAGACAGGTCTCGCTATGTTGCCCAGGCTGGTCTCAAACTCCTGGACTCAAACAAGCCTCCTGCCTTGGCCTCCCAAAGTGCTAGAATCACAGGCATGAGCCACCCCATCTGGCTGGATGCTAAATTTTCATTAGAAATGCTTGATGAGTGTTTAGATTTCATAAAACTTATAGCAAAAAATAGTACACACATCGTTCCAAACATATTAAAAAATTTTCTAGTAACTGACTCAGGTACCGGTTTTAAAACTTAAATGAATTCAAATTAAATAAAAGTAAAATTTCAGGCCCTCAGTGACTAGCCTCACGGCAAGGGCTCAGCAGCCACCGTGGCCCCGGCTACTGCATTGGACAGTGCAGATATCACCGGGATCTTAAATTTGCCTCCAGCTGCATGCTCACTGGTCCCCTCTCCTCCTGCCTCTCTGGAGCTCCCTCGTCACCGCCTTCCTGTCTCTTCACAGACCATTCCCCAGGATGCCTTGTCCTCATCCGCACCTCTAGGCTCCGCCCCTTCTCAGACCCCACCTCTTGCAGGAATCCTTCTGTTAAATGACCACAGAAGGGGCTCCCACCCCCACTCCCATCTCTGAGCCGACTTTTCATCCATACAGGAGGGGATTGGAGTAGCCGGGCATCCCCACCCTGACAGTCCCTGCCTCTCACTGTGCCTCTGTCACTTCCTGACCCTACAGCCTGTGAGGACAGCCTGTCGCCGCATGGGAAGTTGGCAGCAGAGCAGGGGCAAGACCCTCCCTTCCCTTTCCCAGATCTCTTCCCATGCCCCCCTGCCCCTCACCCTCCTGGCGCTATGCCAAGGCATTCAGGGAGGCAGATACGGTCATGACGCTCCGAGCACTGATGCCATTGCCCTTCCTGACCCCCTTCTCTGGGGCTTTTCAGGCTTTGCCATGGGAGGGGGGCAGGCCCACAGCCTTGTTCTCCCTCTTCAGAGAGCTGAACTCAGGAGCAGAAAAGGAGCTGCCAGGGAGTCACAGGAGGATGGGTCAAGTGCACCAGGGCTTGTCCAGAGCAGGAACGGTAACTGCTCCAGGAGAGACCCTGCCTCGACTCAAACCCTGAGCCTCCCAAGCACTCTGAGCCTGTTTTCCCATCTGCCCAAAGAGATCTCCTAATTCTTTAAAGATGGTGACCTTTGAGAGGACAGCAGGGTGAGCTTGCCAAATTTAACGCACCCCTGGGCCGCCTCTGTTAACCCCTGGAGCACTTGCTCAGCCATGCCCTGGGGCATGTTCTAGATGCTGAGTTCCATCCAGCAGGGCTGTGTGGCACCCTAGCCTCATAAAGACCCCATATCACCACCTGCTCCTCTCCTGCCAATTCCCCACAAAAGAAGGGCCAGTTCTCTCTGTCCCTTGGTTTCTTTCCCTTGGGAGACTTTTTGCCCCATTCTGTCCTATGAGCTCAATCATTGAATGGAATGATGTTTCCACCTCCTTTGAGAAAACACACTCTCCATCTTCTGTGGCTCCTGCCAGCCAATATCTCCTCAAACATATCTTTCTGCAGTTTGCATTGCAAAAACAATAGATATGTTACATGTGCATTTCCAAATTGGACAGGCCTATCCCATCCCAGATAGAGTCCTATGTCTGTCCCATTCCTTCCTCTCAGAAAAGAGGTACATACCCGTGTCAAGATGAGGAAATGGAGACACCCAGCATAGTGCCTGGCACACACCAGGGGCTCGAGCTGTCGAAGAAGGCACGGACGAAGAGTAGGTCAGAGGGCCCTCTCTTCAGTGTGGGTCCTTTAGGGCACAGAGTGGAAATGTGATAGAAGGATCCAGAAAGGGAGGTGAGCATTTAAAGGTATCTGACATAATTGTTTGTTGCTGTTGTTGTTTTTGGGACAGTCTCTCTCTGTTGCCCAGGCTGGGGTGCAGTGGCACTATCTGAGCTCGCTGCAACCTCCGCCTCCCAGGTTGAAGCGATTCTTGTGCTGCAGCCTCCCGAGTAGCTGGGATTACAGGCATGCGCCACCATACCCTGCTAATTTTTGTAATTTTAGTAGGGATAGGGTTTCGCCATGTTGGCCAGGCTGGTCTCGAACTTTTGGCCTCAGGTCATCCACCTGCCTCGGCCTCCCAAAGTGCTGGGATTACAGGCATGAGCCACCATAACTGGCCCTGATATAATTGTTGAATGAATGATCAAGTCTTCCCAAAGACAGGGACGGTTCTGCAAAGAAGCCCTGGGCACTGGTCCGTGGTGACCACCGGCCAGCGGTTGCCAGGGGTGTGCCTGATACTGCTTGGAGAAGGACACCATCCCAGGGCAGGAAGGGCCACAGGAGTGTTCCACATCTGATGTGCAGCTGCTGTGAAAGTCTGGAAGCATGGAGGTGCCCACCATGTTTAGTTCTTTTTTTTTTCTTTTTCTTTTCTTTTCTTTTCTTTTCTTTTTTTTTTTGAGACAGAGTCTTGCTCTGGAGTTCAGTGGCGCAGTCTTAGCTCACTGCAACCTCTGCCTCCCGGGCTCAAGCAATTCTCCCACCTTGTCATCCCGAGTAGCTGGTACTACAGACGTATGCCACCACACCCAGCTAATTTTTGTATTTTTGGTAGAGACAGGGTTTTGCCATGTTGCCCAGGCTGGTCTCGAACTCCTGGACTCAAGTGATCTGCCCTCCTCAGACTCCCAGAGTGCTAACATTCCAGGGGTGAGTCACTGTGCCTGTCTCATGTTTAGTTTTTTTTGAAGTTTTACTTATTATGGGTAGGAAAATAAATAACCCATAATCTCATCACCTCCTTTTGGGATTATGTAAAACAAGATGAGTTAATGTCCTCCTGGCCAGCTCTTACCCAGTCACCACAGATAACCAAATTCTTAGCCTCTGTTAACAGTTCGGGGGAAGGTTTCTCAATCATGTCCTAAGATTATAGCGACAGGTCAATTTCTATCAACATAATGAAAATATCTATTTTTAAAAATAAAAATAGGTATATGGGGCCAGGCGCAGTGGCTCACGCCTGTAACCCCAATATTTTGGGAGACCATGGCAGGCAGATCACCTGAGGTCAGGAGTTCAAGACCAGCCTGGCCAACATGGTGAAACCACGTCTCTACTAAAAATACAAAAATTATCCAGGTTTGGTGGCAGGCACTTGTAGTCCCAGCTACTTGGGAGGCTGAGGCAGGAGAATCAGTTGAACCTGGGAGGCAGAGTTTGCAGTGAGCCAAGATCCCACCATTGCACTTGAGCCTGGGTGACAGAGCGAGACTGTTTTTCAATAAATAAATAAATAGGTATACAGATTTTTTTTTTTTTGCAACCAGCTTTCTCAGGTTGAAGTATTTGCTTTATGTTGGTGTACAACTTGCTTTTCTACTTACTATAACATTGATGCTATTCTAAGTCAATATGCAAAAATCTACGTCCTCTTTTCAATGCCTACGTGGTAGTTTATAGAATTGGAGGCACCATAATTTGCTCAGCCAGTCATCCACCAATGGGTGTTTGAGTTGTTTTTAGGCGTGGAGTGTGGGTATGAACATAAACAATGCCTCAAGGCCATCTAGGCCAGGGGGCTTTAGGAGAAATGCCATCTCTTGGCCACACTTGGTGCCCCTGCCACCAGCTTTGTTGTAAATCCCCGGGGGCTGGAGGCCTGAATAATGAGAATGTGGAGGAGGAAATGCCTTCTGCCCACTGCTGGGGAGGTGGCAGGCAGTGTGCAGAGTGGTGGTAGACCCCAGCTTTCCCCTTGAGACTCTATCCCCTGTCATCGGTGCTGGCACCCTCCTACCCTCCTCACCCTAATCTTTCCAGGAGAGAACCAGGAGTGGGCAGGCATAGGAAATCTCTTACCTGGAGCATGAGGATGAAATAAAGCAGCATCCTTGTGTGGTCCCAGTCTGGGAAGATGAACTAATCCAGGGAAACCTGGTACCAAGAGAGGGAGGCCTTCCAGGAGGCAGAGGGAGTGCTAGGAATGGCTTATGACAGTCCCTTCTGTGGTACCAGCCTGGCCCTGGCCCAACTACCAGCCCAGCTGCTGTAGGCAGATAGAGCTGAGCTTGTGGGGTGGCTTGGACTGACCCCCAGTCCCTGAGGAACCAAAGGAGAAGCTGCCAGGCCTGGCAGAGAGGCCAGTGGGGAGTCCCACAGTCAATGCCCACAGCTACCACTCTGGACTTGGTCTAGGTGAAGAGAGCAGACCGCACCATGATGACATCCCTCCCACTCCCCCCACTCCATAGGAAGGGAGTAAATATCGGGTCAGCGGCCTTCTTTCTCCTCCTCCCCTCTGCTGGGAGGATGGCCCTGGGGTTGCCAAGGAATTGGAGAGGGGATAGGTTAGAAGCATCTAGGGACTTGGGAGGAGGAGAAATGCTATTAAAAATATAATTTGTTATGTGTGTTTTTTCTGATTACAAAAGCAATGCATATTCATTGCAGAAAATTTGGAAAATAGAGATAAGCACAAAAAGCAAATAAAATCCCCTCGTAATCTCCCCATTCAGGGCCAGCCACTCATATATCCAATGTGATGGTTAAGAACACAGGCTCAGGGCCTGAATACTGGCTCGAATCCCAGTTTTGCCACTAACTAGCTGTGTGACCTTGGACGAGTGCCTTAACCTCCTGTACTTCTGAAAATAGTAATAGCATCTCTCTCCTGGCATTGCTGTGCTGTAAGTGAAATGTCTGAAGTTCTTGGCTCAAGTGTGTTAGCCATGATTATGATAATGAACTCCCTCTCTACCTCCACCTGATGGCTGGCAGTTTTCTCAAACTTTTTTTGTTTTGTTTGATACAGAGTCACTCTGTCACCCAGGCTGGAGTACAGTGGTGCAATCTCGGTTCACTGCAAACTCCACCTCCCAGGTTCAAGGATTTCACTGCCTCAACCTCCAGAGTAGCTGAGATTACAAACACCTGCCACCATCCCCGGCTAATTTTTACTAGAGACGGGGTTTCACCAGGTTAGCCAGGCTGGTCTCAAAATCCTGACCTCAAGTGATCCGTCCGCCTCGGCCTCCCTAAGTGTTGGGATTACAGGCGTGAGCCACTGCACCTGGCCAGTGTTCTCAAACAGCCTAGCTATAACAGGATTCTTGGCGCCACCCATTATCCGCCCAAAATGTTTGCCCTTGAGCTTTCTCCTCTCTTGGAGAAAGGTACCCCCAGTGCCTGGATGTCCGGGCACTCGGGGTTGTCCTTGAGGCTTCTTTGGATGTCAGCCCACCCACCAGAAGTCTTCCAGGTCAGGAAGGAAGCGGAGAAGGAGAAAGAAGGAAGATGAGCCAGAGAGGGAGAGGAGAAGAGTGGGGAAGAGATGTTGGCACCCAGGAAAGGGCAAGTCGAGGAAAGAGCGAGCAGCAAGAGAGAAACACTCTCATATACCCTCCTTCCCAGGGGTGAGCACATGCAGACTCCTCCCCGCACCTCAGGCCCACCTGCCCAAGCCCACCATAGCTACCCTCACAGGCACAGTGCAGGATCTGGCCCCAGCCCACCTCCGCCCAGGCCAGAGCCTTGCCACTCTCTCTGTCCTGTCGATAATTTATTGCCTGCAGGGTACACTATCAATAATGCACAGACAATAATCAAGCTCTCTGCACAATCATGTTACTCCTAATGTATGCAGGGCTGGGTCCTGGCTCCAAGCCTGCTCACCGTTCCTTCCCCAGAAGGACCCCCAGTGGCTCAGGAGAAGAGCGAGGCTGGCCCAGGGGGAGAGTGTCAGGTGGGGTGGCCAGCTGTGTCCCATCTCACAGAACTGCCTCCTCCAAGCCGTGGGGAGAGGCCAGGTCGCATGGTCCCCCAAGAAGGGCCCATTTTTTTCCTGCCTCTTTGTTCTAATAGTCAAACTAGAAGGCAGGGGGTGCCCCAAAGCCCACCCAGTGGGTAGCTGCCAGTTTACTTAGTTCTAATCCCACCACCTCACTTGCTAACAGTTTCCTCATCTGTAACGGGACAGCTAACCTCCCTCCCCCGACTTCATGCTGGCTTGGAAAGCTGTGGCAGCACTTTGCAAGCCCCCACTGTCAGGACTGATGGCTAGGCATGGTGATTTTCACCATCTGGGCAGCACCTGGGCCAGACATTTTGGGGGCTGGATAGAAGCAGAGTGGGGACACAGAAACGCAGACTCTGCTCTCAGTGGACTTGCTGTAGGAGACAGGCAGGTAACTGTGAGGCTGTAGGGAGCGGTGGGGACTGTGGAGAAGTGGAGATGTAGCTCCTATATAAAATAGGTACTATTGGATAACAGCAGACAACAATACCACGTGGGTTCATGGGTCTAGTGTTGCCACATTTACTTACCTGTCAAGGAGAACTGAGAGTGTGGATGTTTATGAAAAACTCTCTTGATTTTTAAACATGGGTTGAAAATTTAAAATATTGATTTACTGGCAAAGCAAATCTACCAGTGGGCCATTCAGGCCCCAGGCCCCAGGCCCCAGGCTAAGCCTTCAAACTGGTTGTTTTCTCCTTTTCCAGGAAAAGAACAATCCTAGCAGCAGAGAGTGATGGAAGGAGCTTTGGGCTGGGAGTCAGGAAGCCTCAGCTGTGGGAGTTGTGTGGCTTCCTTCTGTGTCTTGTTTCCTCCTCTGTAAAATAGGAGTGCTGGACTAGACGGCTCATGAGCTCTTCCCAGCTTTAGGGCTAGTGTGGGAATGTATTGTTATTATTCCTAGTTCCAGACAGAGGCTGACGTCTAGGGGCTTGGCTTTCAGCAGGTGTCACAGGCTGGGCAGTTTGGGATGGTGGAAGGAAAGGCTTAGGGGTGCCCCTAAAGGGCAGGGCCACAAGCACAGGCTTCACTAGAGTCTGTAGGACACAGCCCACGGGGTCACTCTTTAATAGCGTCTCATCAGTGGACCACCTGGGTTCAGAGCCTCTTTGGTCTTTGGTAGTGAGGCCATCTGGGTAGGGTCTAAGCCAAGCTTTCCATGGCTAGACTTTGTCTATGGCAAATTGATGCTGCCAACACTAATGTCAGTGGTCGGACTGCCACCTGTTGAGCTTGTTATTTCACTATCATGTTGAAGCCTCACAACATCCCTGTGAGGTAGCATTATCCTTGCATAAGAGAGAAAACAAAAAAGTGAAAAAAAAAAAAAACTAAACTAAACTAAACCAGCTCACTAAGGCTCAGAGAGGTTAAGCAACTTGCCCAAGGTCACATAGACAACGAATGTGGAAGCCATAACTCAAATTTAAGTGTATGAAACTCCACATCTCAATCCCACACTACACTCCCCTGCTCCAAAGGGGGTATTATTATTTTGAGACAGAGTCTGGCTCTGTCGTCCAGGCTGGAATGCAGTGGCACAATCCCAGCTCACTGCAATTTCAGCCTCCCGGGTTCAAGTGATTCTCCTGCCTCAGCTTCCCAAGTAGCTGGGATTACAGGCATGTGCCGCCACACCCGGCTAATTTTTGTATTTTTAGTAGAGATGGGGTTTCACCATGTTGGCCAGGCTGGTCTCAAACTCCTGACCTCAGGTGATCCATCGTCCTTGGCCTCCCAAAGTGCTCGGACTGCAGGTGTGAGCCACTGTGCCTGGCACCAAAGTGGGTTTTAAAGGTTTCCTGGCATGTGGCTTTCATCAAATCTGGAGTGGTACTTGCTCCCATAGCTGCAGGGGAGAGGGAGCTGTGGAGTGAAACTTTCCCGCTGCTGTCTGCAGAGCTGGGATAAGCCACAGGGAACTTGGTGAGGTTCTCAGGTCACCCTTCCTGAGCTCCTCCTGACCACCCTGATGAAGGCTGAGCAGAACAAAGTACACGCATTATCTAGGGGGACTTTGAGGCCAGAGAGGAGCTCAGTCCTGCCGGTGGCAAAGCTGTGGACTGCTGGGGAAAAGCACAGCCCGGCATGGGGATCCTGGCTCTGCCCTTCTACAACTCCAGATCAGTGGCCCAGAGCCTCAGGTGCACCTCTTTTGCTGGGCTATGGGGCGAGTGCAGGCAGAGGCCATCGTGGAAGCACCTGGCTCCTCTTGAGCACTTGAGCATGTGTGTGACGAAAATAGGAGACACACTTCTTAATCACCACGCTGTTTCCCTGCTATCTTGGTTAGGGGACAGGGGCATTGCAGTTGCTACATTACCATGACCTGCACTATCTGATGCTACTGTAGATCGTTGTTGTGACTAAATTTAAAAAAGAAAAGCAGCCAAGTTGAGGCTGTGGTTCTAGACCCCCAGCAGAATTGAGGGTGTGGACATAGGGAAGTGGAGCATGGGAGGCTGGAGTGTGGGTCTGGGGCCTGACAGCCTTACCTGTACTCCTTGGCTCCATAGTTACCAGTGGGCCCATCCTTGGGGACAATAATTTCACCTAGGTAAAGCCAGTCCCTAAAGCTAGGGCTTAAAAGGTGGACTTGTCCCAAGCCAGGAACTAGAGGTGGGTGGGTAGGACGGGACCAGCAGCATGGGCTGCCCTGGGCTGAGAACCTGGGCGGAGTGGGGCAGTTCAGAGGCTCAGGGACTGAGGCTGAGATGGGGCTGGGAGCCAGGAATCACTTTGAAGGACACTTGTTATTTAAATTACTCCTTCATTTCTCATCACCCATCTTAGGCTCATCTCACCACTTTGCACCACCAATTTGATCAGAGCAATGTCTTCATGACCCTAGCAAGGGTCCAGTTCTTACCTAATTAGGGGGAACTGGTAAATTAGCACTGATGAGGCCCAGAGAGGTATCAGTATGTGTCCAGGTCACACAGCAAAATTGGGACTTGAATTCAGAAGAAGAAACTCCTCCTCATAACCCTCTACTCCACACCCCCCTACTCCGGTTCTCAGGTGATTCCCCTTAAAACGTGTGCAATTGCATCTTTCCAGATAGGCCTCATCTGGGAGGGGCCCCTGAGGGTCTGGCCTCCCCTCTCCACACCTGTGGCTGGGCCGCTCCTGAAATCATTATCTGGCTCTTTCCAATGTTTCATCTGTTTTCTATTTCACATCACCCCTGCTACCTCCTTCTCACATTTGAGCTTGGGATCATGAAAAACAGATGTGCTGACCCTACCTGTCCTTACGCTTTGCCCAGGTTTGGGACTTAACAGGAAGTGATCTTCTTCAAATGTTCTTCCAGTCACTTGATTCCTTGGTCCCTTAGCCCTGCCTGTCCAGCTGGGCTTATCAAAGGATACTAAGGAAAGAAAACAACAGTTACCTGAGGAATGTGAGCCTTTTCAAATTATTAGGCACAGCACTGGGCGCAGCGGCTCACGCAGCAGGTGGATCACTTGATGTCAGGTGTTCGAGACCAGCCTGACCAATATGGTGAAACCCCGTCTCTACTAAAAATACAAAAATTAGCTGGGCGTGGTGGTGTGCGCCTGTAGTCCCAGCTTCTCAGAAGGCTGAGACAGTAGAATTGCCTGAACCCAGGAGGCAGAGGTTGCAGTGAGCTGAGATCGCGCCACTGCACTCCAGCCTGGGCCACAGAGCGAGACTCAGTCTCAAAAAAACCAAATTATTAGGCCCAGAGAGGCACTAAAATGAGACAGCAACCATGCCCTACTTCCCCTGTTCATCTGTTGAAACTGCTTGCTGTTGCCCCAGGTAACTATGAATTAACCTAAAAATGCCTCACTGGACGCTACGTCCCACACTCTGTAGCTTAATGTATAGCCAGTCGCTAATCAAGTTATTTCTGTAAACTAACGAGAATTCCTGATAACTTTGTATCAGTCCGCTCCCTGTTCTCTTATTTTTTTGCCTTTAAAAACCTGCCTGTAAGGTGAACTGGAGCTCATAACCAAGCTTCCTTGGGTCTGAGTCTTCCAGGCAGCTGTCCTCACTTTGGCTCAAGTAAACTTTTTGAAATCACATTTTGTGCTTTAGCTTCTTCCTTTTACGTTGACCTTGCTTCTGAGTCCAGCTCTCACCTTTTCAAAGTGTGCTTCTGTACATTGTGTATTCCTGGGCAGGCAGGAATTTGGCCGCCGGGGCTGAGAGACGCTGACCTACTTGCCCAAGGCCACACAGAAATTGTCAATGGTTTTGAAGGGGCAGGACTCTGGGGCCCCCTTCCTTTCTTGCTGGTCCACCAATATACACCCCAAACCTGCATTTTCTAACAGAACGGGCTGCAAGGCCCAAGCGCTTTTCTTTTTGTCACATGGTGGAAGTAGAATCTAGGAGTAAGGGAAGAGGCAGGAGGAAGCAGAGGCTGCCATGGCTGGTACTCAGCTTTGAACATATCATATCCTTCCTTGGGGGCCTTCAATGGCTCCCTGTTAACCATGAAAAACAGCCTAGCACCTCAGTTTTGTAAGGAAGGTCCTTGGGGAAACTGGCTGAAGCCACCTTCCCACCTGCCTCTCACTCCTCGCCCGTCTCCAGCAGTCGCGTGGGGTGCTTTACCTTCCTTGGACCCCTGCCGGAGTTGCACTGCCTCTTCCGGGCTTTTGGAAGACTTTTTCCTCCCAATCTAGATCAATGGTTCTCCAGCCAACCAAGGGTTCTGCACAGAGAACCCCTTGATTCTGCTTCTATTGCCTTGGGCTGGAGCCTGGGCATCAGCATCTTGACCTGTGACACTTGGTAGCCGATAAACAGATAAATGATGAAAACAGACCCACCTCCCACAGGCTCACAGTCTACCTTAGATTGAGCCTCCCCGGGGTAGTAGAGAGTTTTAAAAGCTTGATTTTGCATCTCATTTAAATATTACCCCATATCGAAATATCTCATAGGCCACATACATATATATACCTGCTATGTACCCATGAACATGTTTTTTAAAAGTCAAAAAAATATATATCCCTCTGTCCCTGTGAAAGCTGGTGTGGGTGTTTTCCAGAGCTGGGGAGACCCCTTGCCCCACACCAGGTCTGGGGCTGGAAAGAACCCCAGGGGACCACAGGAGAGCCTCCCCAGGGCTCTCACCAGTGCACTCCCCACCCTGCATGGATCCTGATCACTGCTTCCCTGTCACGCCCCCACCAGGCTGCAAACTCTTCCAGAGCAAAGGGCTCCATCTTTTACCTCTACCTTTTAGCACCAAGCACAGTGCTTGACACTCAAATAGCACTCAATAATAAATGTTGCCCGAACTCATCAAAAATATGGTCCAGTCTCAGCACTCTGTCTGAGGCAAGACAAGATTCAAGGACGGCAAGTAACTGACAGTGTCCCCAAAGGTGTTGGTGGCAGAGCTGGGCCTAGACCCCAGCTCCTGGATTTCCAGGATGTGCTCCACACTCCCGCAACCTCTTCTGCCTTCCTTCTCCCACCTGCCTGGACCCTAATCCAGGAATCAGACAACCAGCACTGCCTTCCCATTCCCAAGAGACAGTAGGACTCCCTGAGTTTTGCTGAGGTCCTAGGGGACCCCAAAGCCCTTCAAAATCAATGCGGGCCACTCTCCTTAGCCAATCCCAAGGAATCAACCCTAAAGTACTAAAGCTATTCCCATGAGCCCAGCTCCGCCCATGCCTTCATTAAAGGGGCGGCACTGGCCCTTTCCACCTCCAGAGGCTCCAGAACAGTGGTTCTCAATGTGTGGGCTGCAAACTAGCAATAGTGGAACCACCTGGGAGCATGTTTGAAATGAAAATTCTCCAGGTCTAGCCCATACTTACTGATTCAGAAACTCTGGGGATGAGGCCCAGCAGTCTTGGTTTAACAAGCCCTCCAGGGTATTCTGATGCATGCCAAAGGTTTGAAACACCTGATCTAGAAGGAGGTGGAGGATCTGGGCCCTATAAAAACCTTCATGCAGCAAGCACCCTGGCTGGACAGATGGATGTAGGGGCTGCTTGCCCAAGATACATCCTCAGCTGTCTAAATTCTAGGCCAAAGCGGGTCTCCGATGAAGGGCTGATGTGGTCTGTGTCTGGGTGAAACCAGTTAGGTTCTTAGGCTGAGGCCCACTAGCAGGAACGAACTCACTTGGGAGGATGGCCATACCTGCTGCATCTGGAGGTGACCCCTGTCTCCAGGAGAACTGTGAGGTTCCACCATCACGCGTACTGCTGGCCAATGGGGATGAAGTTCTGACTGAAGGCTCTGTCCACCAGGCCTGGTGCTCTGGCAGGAGGAGCTGGGCCTTGGGCTGCTTCTCCAGGTGACACCCTCACTCTGGATGGGGTGAGGTCCACTGGCCTGGTGACTGCGATGCTCTTGACTTGGGCCTGGGATAAGGACTGCGTGGAAGCTCTGAGGACCAGCCTGCCCTCAGCGTGGGGTTATCTAGGGGCTAGGGCTTGGGGGAGGTGGCTACTTGCTGGTCTCCCACAGGTCCTGAGGGTTTGTGGGTCCTGGCAGCCTTCCCTAGAGGAGGAAATTGAAGCACCCCTGCTTGGGGAAGACGGGGTGGGTGTCGTGCTTAGCCAGGTAGGCCCTGGGGAGAAAGGATTGGGGATGAGACGTTTCTAGAGTGCAGCTTTGCACCCCCATTACTTGATGAAGGGTGAAATGGGAGGAAACGGGGTGCTGGTGCTTGGATAGCCTCTGGTCTGGGCTAGAAAGAAACCTGATGTTTGGCTGTGGAGTATGTGACAAAAAGGGAACTCCAGAGCCGAGCACGGCTGTCTTTGTTCAATCCTGGGCTCTGGGTCCTAGGCCTGTCTGGGTTCCTGAGCTGGGTGGATTTTGGATGGTTTGGAGGTTGGCTAGGAAAAGAGGCAAGGTCTTGGCCTTGCTCATAGCAATGAGGCCCCTATGCCCTGCCTCCAGCACCTGGGAGGGCTGCACCTGGCTGCTGCCCCCACAGCAGGGCTGGGTTCTGGAAAGGAGACCAGAGTCTTTAAGCAGCAGCTTGGCTGGCTGGGAAGCCAGTGGCCAGGTGCTGTGAAATCCTTTGGCAGCCACTGCAGCACCTGACCCCTTGGGATCAGAGTCTGGCTTGGGCTGGTGGCTCAGGAAGAAGCTAGCAGGCAAAAGCTCCAAGTGCCTGTGTGGACAACACGAGCTTGGTGCGCTCCTAACCTCTCACTTTCGCTTGAACTTGTCCTACTTGGGGATGTTGTCTACTGTCCCATGGTGCCTATGGGGAGAGGCTAGAGCCCAGTCCTTCAGGCCTCCCTGAATGCAGGAAGTCACAGGGGGATGAGCCCTCGGGGAGAACACCTAGGTGCTGGGGACAAGTAAATCATCCTTTATCACCCCATACAGTGACTTCCTGGGGCAGGGCCTCCTAAGACAAGGATGACTAGGATGGAGTCCTACTCAGCTCAAGGCCTCTAGTCTAGCAGGGGTGGAGGGAAAGAGGAGAGAACAGACACTGGCCCAGCGCTGAGGGGGAAAGAAGGCATACTGAGCCATGGGGAGGTGTGTAGTAGAAGAGGCGTGGGCTGCAGGTGGGAAGCAATGAGGATATTAATGTCTTGCTTGCATTGGAAAGAAGCTGGGCTGTGATGAAGACTGGACCCAGGGCTGAGGAGGCTGGTGGCTGTCTAGGGAGGGAGGAGGGGTGGGCCAGGTATGGAGAATGAGGGGCTGGAGTGGGGCTGGCACCAATTAAGTGGTAGCAGCTGGTTAAGTGGCTGTGGAGCAGCCTTTACGTGGGCTGCCCTGGCTCCCCACCCACATCCAACAGCTGAGCTTTGTGGGCCGGATAGCTCCGCCCAAACTACTGTCCCCCCGACTGCTGTAGCTGTTATGGGGGAGCTGGGGTGCTCCTGTCCTGTCCCAGGACACCTCCTCCATGAGAATCCTGTCCCCGTGATGGGTCATGTCTCTACTGTGCCCTGGGATCCTGTTCTTGTCTCTGCTGCTCCCTCAGGAGGCAGTGTCCCCAGGCAGGGGCACCTCTATGTACCCTGAGAGCAGCCCCTCCTGGCCCTGGCCTCTGAAAGGCTTTCTCCAAAAAGCCTCAGCCCTCTACCCAGGGCCACTGATCTCAATGGTCTTTTTGTTCCTTTGCCTGTTGTCTGCCTTTCTTCAACTTCTTTCTCTTCACAGAAAAAGTGTAAGAATGTTGGAGCCAAATCACCTAGGGAATGGGGTTTCCTTCTCTCCCGTCTGTGGGTCTTTCCACTCCGCCTTCAGTCTCCCTAAGCCTTGGGATGTCCCCCTTAGATGTCTCTTTTGAGACCCCTCTCCTCTGGATGCCCATCCTCTGTGCCTCAGCTGTGCTTCTCGCATGATCTCTGCCCTCTCCTGGGAGATTTCCTTGATCCCGACCTCGGTGAGCTACCCTGTTCCTTGGTTAGATCGGTCCTGCTCTCACAGCAGCTGGATCCTAGCTACTCATGCCTAATCTAGTGTTGCCAATATCCTTAATACTCTCGGCCTGTTTTAATATTTGTGACTCTGAAATCTGATGAGGTAAATAATGGGAACTAGTTACACTCCTGGTGTCTGGCTTGTACTCCCTCTTCCTGGGGGTGTTGGCCGCTGTCTGGCGATGTCTGTGGGGGAGGGCCAGACCTCACTCCTTGAAGGACTCCTGACCACAGTGAGGATGAGTGGGGTGGGGGTGTGGTGGGGAAAAATGAGCCATAGTGTAGAGCACCTGGGAGTGCCAGCAAGCTAGCTAATACTGCTCTCCACCCCACAAAATGACTCTGCCTCTGCTTTGCCTACTGGGCAGAAACAGTGATAGGAAGCATCAGCCTGTGACTCTCCAGCCCCAGGGAGAGAGTGGCAAAGGTGGGAGGTTTCCTTGCCTGGGGACTGGAAAGCAACTCCCCATCTGTGACTTCTTAGCTCAGGGTTTTTGTTTTTTTTTTTTTTCCTCTTGTGAACTTGCATAGAGAATGAAGCTCAGGACTCTTTGCCTCGTCCTGATTTTAGTCCTGAAGACACCTGGCCCAGAGGTGAGTTCCTGCAGGCATCAGGCAGGCCCTGTCCCAGTGTAATGGGAGAGGTGAGAGCAGAACTCAAATACCTTGGCCCCTAATTAATCTTCCACAGCTGTGCCAGGCTGCTTTCTGCCCCAGGAGAGAGCCAGTCCCCTAGTGCCAGGTCAAAGCTGCCCCTATGCTGGAGACTTCTAGTCTTTTTCCTCTGGTTTATTGTCCTTCTTTCTCTCAGCTTGATCCTGGTGGAAGGAGTTAGCAACTGGGGTCAACCTCCTTAGAGCTAGGAATGGATCCGATCTCCTTGTTTCCCAAAGCTTTAAGGTACTCATAGGTTACAACTTTGGACTGATTTCATTTTTTGGTAGTCATAGTGAATAGAAACAAACTGAGTATGCAAAATGGACCCAGGAAGGCCATGATGAAACTCCTGAGTCCATGCTGCTCTCAAAACTGTTCTTTCAGGCTATGTGTTCCCCAAAGCCCTTGCCTTCCCTGCCTCATTGCCAAGGCCGTCTATCTTGATTGTCCTCCAGTCTTTCCTTGCTTGGTTTACTTTCTCTTCTAATATCTTCCTAAGTCACCCTCTCTGGAAGAGCTGTGAGTTCATTCAGATCCACTCCTGGGATCATCTGTCAGATATAAAGACTCACTGACAGGTATTGGGCCAATGTACAGACCAAAAAGGGCTATACTGCAGAAACTCACCTGTGCCACCAGGCCCAGCTCTCTTAGGAAAGATGCCAAGTCATCTGCAAGATCCAGAGTACTTAAAAGTGGCCTTTCCTGTTGCAAGCCTCCTGGGGTCTCCTGTCAGACCTGTTGACCTGTCACAGCAGCTCGCATTCCTGGGATGGGAAGTGATTCTAGTAACCAGCTACTGAATATGCAGCTTGTCAGCCTTAACTAGGGACTGCTGTGCTCAAGCAAGGCTTCTTTCCGCCTTGTTTGTGTACAAACCTTTCCTCTGAATCTCAACTCATTTCTTCTGACTTTCACCTTTCCTGTGTACTTGATTCCTGCCAGCTGACCTGCAATTCTATCTGGAATGACCTGCCTTCTCACTAAAGAATTTCCCTCAGTATTAAGTATGACTCTGCTGGTAACATCCTAAGCTTTTGTCTGTATCTCTGTCTCACATCAACTTCTAAAGGGGATTTTTTTTTTTTTTATTGGTCAGATATAGAGCTCTGGGTTCTCTCCCTCGGCACTGTTTAGATGGTTACTGTCTTCTGGCTTCTTGTGGGTTTGAGAGATGAGCCATGATCCATAGTGTGTCTTCCTGGCTGTTCCTGGGATTTTTATCTCGGTGGTTATCCAAGCTGACATGGCCTATCTTTTATTAACCTACTTGGTTTGAGGTTTGAACTTCTTGGGTCTCTGGGTTTGTGTCTTAGTTGGAAAACTCTTGGTTACTCCCTTCAAACTCTTGTCCCACCCTTTCTTCCTTTTGAGTCGGACTTTACTAATTAGGCTATCTGCTATGATCCTTCTGGTGTAGAGCAGTAGCTTATGGGAAGTTACTGCAGGCATGAAGAAGGCAGCCTCTGACCCTGGTTCTTGCTGAGCCTGTCTCCTTGAGGATGAAAGTTGGCTAGCCTCTCCCTGAGCCATGCTTCGGCTGTGATACTAGGGTGAGCTTGGGGCTGCTGCGAAGCTCAGCTTTGTGCTCAGAGCTGCTCTGGCACCAGGATGGGACTGTTGGCCCGGGAGGTGCCCCCTCACTGGGAAGGCATGGAGGGAAATACAAGGTCTAGGCCCGGGTCCAGTGCCTCTGGAGACCATGGGAAATGGCTCACTTATCTGCTTGTCTTGGTTTTTCTAGAGAACGGGTAGGGTAGAACAGAAGTCCTGTATGCCTGGTGGGACCCAGCCTTTCAAGGAAGGGGAAAAAAGGTTAGCATGGGCTCAACTAGACCTCATGGGCTTCTTCCTGGGCATTTTTAGGGAAGGGGTCAGACTATGGCATCTGTGACTGAGATCAGAAGTCTGTGGATCAATTCAGGGTCTATCTTTACTCATGAATGTCCCTGGTCCCTACCCAGGGGTATCTATACTAGGCATAGAAGACGGTTCTACCCCAAGGTCGCCTAGCTCAGGTTTTGTCAAGGACTAGCCCTCCTCATACCATTGACATACTGTTTCTTGCTCTTTAATACCTGGAGGAAGACTTTCCTATCTAAAAACACTGGGCTTTTTTAATCTCCAAAGGCACTGATACTTCCTAATTCTTACCTTGTTTATCTTGAATCTTCCAGCTTAAGAATTCCTAGCTTTTAAAGTCAGATCATAGGTGATCTGAGATGCTGCCTTACTGACAAGAAGGGCAGATTCCTGTTGCAAACTACAAGGGTCTACTAGGGAAGGGGACCAGGTTAAAGTCTCTCAGCTAAGACTTATGGCACCATTCTTGGTGACTCCTGGCCATCTAGCCGTCCCTTGCTTTGAGAGAGGCTCTGGAAAATAGTGTGAGGTGTCTCTGGGCCTGTCTCAGCCCAAGCTTCACAGTGGCCCCAAGCTGGCCCTAGTATCACAGCCGGAGCATGGCTTAGAGAGAGGCTGCCCGTCATTCAGCCTGTCAAGGAGACAGGCTCAGCAAGAACCAGGGCAGGGCTTGAGGGCATCCTGGTAGAGTAACAGGTATACTTAGGGGTAAATTTAATGGCCTTGGAAGGCACTTAAGCCTTCCTGATATCATCTCAGGGGAGGATGCCTCACTGGGCTGAGAAGGCTTAGGTGGCGGTTCTGAACTTGCCTAAGTAGGAGGCCTCACAAAGGCCTCTGTTCTTTCTTCTGAAGAAAAGGCTGGCAGAAAATAGCCCAGCCCTGGCCAAAGTGGGAGACCAGGGCTTGGCAGGGAAACCAAGCTGGCTGCCAGGTATGGCAGGAGGGACAGTGATGTGTGGAAAATGAGAAGGCTCTAGAATTCTGCCTCTGGGCAGTGGACAGGACTTGGCAATGCCTTGGATGAAGAACCTAATATGCAGGTGGTCCAGGAATGCTAAGTCCGTAGTGGGGGGAAGACTAACCCTGAACACCTGCTAGAATTTGGGAAGCTAAGCCCTGCCTGTCAGAAACCCTGGTCAGATTAATTTCTCTGTGCCCTTTACTTTGGGAATCTTCTACTGCAGTAGTTTCAAGCTCACTAATTCTTCCCTTGGAGGTGTCCAGTCTACTGATCCCATCAAAAGCATTTTCAGTCTAAGAATCTGACTTCTAGCATTTCTTCAGTCCTTTCTTACAGCTTCCATCTGTTTATATTGTCCATCTGCCCTTGTATGTTGCCTGTCTTAAATTCCTTATCTGATAATTTCAAGATCTGTCCTGAGTCTTATAATGCTTTTCTCATGTCTCTTAGCATATGCTGTAGCATTCAATGAGCTGGGTTAAATATGTTAGCTGTAGGGGCAAGAGACTAGCTTCCTCTGTCCTGTCTGAATCTTCCTAGGAACCCCTTAAGTAGGATCTGTATCTTGGGGCTCACTTGTAATCCGCTGGTACACTACAGCCCTGTTGAGATGGTTGGGTGTAAGGGAGGAAAGACAGTTTTCTAAACCTGTGCCCACCCCCTCTTTCCCTTGTGAAACAGGAAGGCTGGAGGGGGTTGAAGCTAACTATGCTTCTCCCAGGGCAGAAGGCTCCAGTAATACGGCTTCCTCAGAAAATGGCTTCATAATGGAGAATGGTCTCAGCACACTTTAAAATGTTTACTACCCATCCTGGCCTACAACCCTGAAGGTCTGAAATAGGGTTTTCCTCTAACCCTCACCATAAGAACCTGATAGGGCTCCTGGAGGTAGAACCCACAAATCTATAAGCCTTCTACCATTATGGTCCCTGGAGTTCCTCACTCAAGCTGGTTCAGAAACCCCACCTCCAGCAACCTCTCAGTTACCATTCAAGTGTCTTTTGTAAGCTACTGGCTTCAGCAGCTTCTGCAGAAGTTAATCTTGGTTGAAAGTCCACATATTTGCCTGTCTCAATTTCTGGGTGACAGTATGTCCTATGACCACACTCTTAAGAGAAATTGCTTGTTCAGTGTTGTTGGGAGAGGAGTGACCTCAAAGCTCTCAGCACATTGGGGCTAGTTTCCATCTAAGCCTTTCTCTGTTCAGCTGGTCACAGAACATGCCTGCAGTGTTTCCCACCATGAACTACTTAGGCCTCATATAGCAGAAGGACTGTCAGCTGTCTAGGCTGTGACTTTGGGCCTCTTGGGAGTTGGTGGGGGGGCCTTCCTTTGAAGTCTGAGACAAACTCATAGCTTAGTCACCTGTAGGCTTGTTGCAGAAGCTAGTGCAGCAAGAGGTGTTCTTGCCTCCCACCTAACCTGTGGCGTAAGACAGGCCCAGTCTTGGGTGTAGCATGCTGACAATACTGGGGCCATGATCGTGCTCACTTGGCTCACTCATGAAGTAGAGGTTCCATGCCAGGAAACCCAAGCTAAGATGATCAGATACTGTCGCTGTCCGTGTCAAACATCCCGAGCCCTTTGGATAGGGTTCTTCTACCTATGATTTTAAATCTGGGATCGGAACCTCCCAGGTCAGTGAAGGGAAGAATGGTTTCTAGATTGGATGGAGTTGGCCTCCTCAGCTTAGTGTCTTCAGAGGATCTGGTGTTCCCTGCTGATCCCACCTCTTCCTGTGCTCTGGGTGAGGCACCAAGCAACATGACATCAAACCAACTTCAAGTACTTGGTGACTTGTTTGACAGCAGGTGAAGTTATAAATAGGTATGTGGCCATCTCTTGCTCATGCCATACGTGGATTCGCTTTGAGATTCTGGATTCTAGGGTCCAACTGGTATGGTCTAGATGAATCTATTTCATTAAAAGTAAATTTTTAAATTTAGTTTTATTCTTTTATTATTTTTATTATATTATTCAATTATTCTTGACTCCTATAGGAATGTCAGGAATGTATGGCCATCATGAGAACCTCAAATACCAGACAACCAATTTTAGAGACTGTGGTCCTAGAAAGCTGGGCCTGGGTCTATAAAGCTTGGGATCTGAGCCTCAGTGGGTTTTCCTCCAGGTTCAATGAAAAGGGCTGGTCAGGTTTGGTCACAGGCTACCCTAGCAACAGGACTGCTGAGATCTCTCCCTAATACCTTGGAGCAGTCAGGGATTGCTGCCCCATTCGATTGTTCCTAGGGGGTACTAGAAGCTCATGGGTTGTGGGGTGGTGGGGAGCGATAAAATCTCTGCTAGGAAGAGTCCTCTGGACTAAAGGTGAAGCTTTCCCTGCTCTTACAAGGCTGAGGTGGCATGGCTGGGTTCCAATCTACCTGCTGTGGGTTGAGTTCCCTAGCAAGCAGACTCAGATGGAGATCAACGTGAAGATTTATTAGGACATGTTCTTGGGACTAATGCCTATTGAAGAAAAGTGATGCAGGACTGGGCAGGGAAGCTGACTTGGGATGTGGTCTCAACTGAAGCCTCAGCCACCTCACTGGAGTGCTCTGAAAGTACAGCACCCATCTTCAGAGCTGTTCCAACTCGGGGCAAAAGGATTAGGCCTTTCTAATGTCATGTGGATCCTTCTATAATTATGGGTATGGTGGCTCTCCTCTAAGGCAATTCCCAAGGGTGATACTAGAACTTTATACTGGTGGCTGGGGTAAGCCCTACTCCTGAGGAAGGATCTAGAAGCCTATCAGTGTTCAATATGCTTCCTGACCTGTACCCTGCAGTAGTAGAATGTGAAAACCTCGAAGAATCTGTCTAGGACATAGCAAAATGACTGACTGTAACAGGGCCCTTCTGATACTGCCTTTCCTTTTTCCCAACATCTTCCATCCCCATTCACCCTGTTCCCTCGAGCATTGTGTTCTGCCATGCTTATACTGGGGAGTGGTTGGTTGTTAGTGTGCTCATCTTTGTAAATGGCACATACCTATCACTTCTAGTTAAGCGCTTCTGAGACTTAGCCACATTGTTGCTATATAAGTCTAGGCAACCACTTATGGCACAGCGTGCCATTTGGTGCAGATACATGTGCTTGTCTGGCTATAGTGTGAAGAGCTGACATCCTGTCTCCTATGGGCCAGGCATAGTGCTCACACCTATAATCCCAGCACTTTGGGTGGCTGAGGTGGGAGAACAGCTTGAGTCCAAGAGCTCAAGACCTGGGCAAAAGGATAAACCCTGTCTCTACCAAAAAATGCAAAAATTGGCCAGGTGTGGTGGCATGCATCTGTAGTCCCAGCTACTTGGAGGGCTGAGGTGGATCAACTGAGCCCAAGGAGGTTGAGGCTGCAGTGATCTATGTTCGTGCCATGGCACTTCAGCTTGAGCGACAAGAGAGCCTGTCTCAAAGTTTCTTATGTACTTATCAGGCAGAGGTATCTACCTCTCCATGGGATCACTGGGGCACAGGCATACTCAAGGTCACTAAGCACAACTCCAAGCTGAAGGTGTTCGTATTTCTTCCACAACTCCACTAGAACCTAGACTTCCTAACTTGATAGGTTAAATCATGACCACAAACCTGTAGTTCTGATTAGTAGAACAACATATTTCACTTGTAAGTCACTTGTCTCTCTTTTCTGAGCTACCTGTTAATATACTTAATATTACTGGCATTTTAATCTCACTTTGTAGGTATTCCCTACATCTTCTAGATACTGCCTGCCTTCCGTGTTATCTGACTTATCTTCCAATCAAATTCTGATATGACCAGAAGGGAGCAGACCTAAACCCTTGTTCTATCTTTTTATTCCCTTGTCTCATGACTTTAGTGTTGAAGGATTTCTTAACCTCAGGGTCAAACTAATAGCCTGAACTTCCCCATATGGAAACTTCAAACACATACAAAAGTAGAACATTCTAGCTTCTGAAATCCTAACTCTTAGCAGCAAAACCTGGCTTACAAGCTTCTATGTGAACATCATGTGGTTTTTATTCCCTATGGGGGAAAATGTCAGATTCTGTTCAAACCAGAGCCTTTTGAACAGAATCTGTAGCACTTTTTTCCATCAGGGAGAACCAGAATGTCTCTAACCCATAAATCTGGGTTTAGAAGCCACAATCAAAGGAAAACAAGGGTGAGAGAAAAGACCCTCTGTAAATACTGGGAAACCTAGAGCTAGTGTCTTGAAGTCCCTTGGGATTAACAGTCTGAAGGCTCTTCTGTAATTCCCACCTTGTTGCTGTGCTACAGCCCTCACCAGACAAGCCCACGACTGGGCCAGTGGCAGGACTCCATAGCTCAATAGCTAGCAATCGGCTACAAAGGCAATTGAAGGTATTGGAACTTGCATCCTTTTCAAAGCACCTGTAGGCTTCTATGACTTGGATCTAAGGACAAAGCAGAGACTGGCTACCAGCCTTTTGAGCTCTGACTCTTCCATTTGAGAAGTCCAGCCTAGGCTGACAATGTGGGCTCCTGAGGGGCCAGGGAGATGTGTGCTATATGGGATCCAAAGGCCTTGGGAGAACAGGGCCTCCAGCATGTTGGGGTGCCATGGCTTGCTTTCATTTAGCTGGGTAGGCTTGAGCTTGAAGTCTTATTTTCTCACTTTTCATTTAACTTGACAGTTCTTGAACCAAACACTACCTTAAATTGTAAACAGATTCTTGATGCCAGCAACTGCTGGGTGAAATAATCAAGTCAAACGAAACAGGGCTTCCAGCTCTGCCTTCAGATCAGTGGTGACTGAGGTACCTTCTCAGCTTCAGTTCAGCTGGTGAGAGGGCTGCCTTTCCTGCTTGGCCAGTCAGGAGTTTCTGTAGGCATGCTATTTGCCTCAACTATGGTTCCAGCTTGCCCTAGAACTTATAGGTATTAGGATGGAAAAATCCTCTATTAGCTTCTGACTATAACATCCCAAATGCTCCAGCTGAGTGCTGGCCTTCTCATCTTCTTGCTTACTGTGAGACCTGTATCTAGTATCTTACAGATGTTTCCAGAGTTTGCCTGTCTCTAAGTATGATCCATTTCAAATAGGTCACAGAAACATGGACTTAGTTTATCTAAAACATCTTTGGGCTATGTTTTTCTTTGAGCTTTAGGAACTTATTTAGGCATCTTAGGCCTGTGTAAGAGTTAGATTTCTGAGATAACATGATATAGGACTTGGATGTACTCCATCTGTAGGAAAGAACACACAGATCTGACTCTTCAAAAAGCTTACTGTTGGAGACTAGACTGTCCAAAGGTCTAAAAAATTGGGTCTCCTATAGTAAAAACAGGCTTACGTCCTGTCTTATTCTTTAATCAATTTCTATGAATGCAGTAGGCTATAAACCTTTTTAGTCTACAGAGTGAGCAGAAAGGTAAAGAGCTCAATCTTCAGACCACCCATGCCATAAGTATCAAGACAAAATATCAAGCCCCATGAAAGTTTAGTTTTCTTCTAGGTATACCTAGTGATTGAAAGTGAATACACTAAACTGTCCTATATCTCCCACCACTTGACCTGCTCTGCCAGCTCAAGTGAGCTAATCTTGTAATTAGCCAGTAGTGGCAAGTCTTTGAAATAAGCACGTAAACTTAAGATACAGTTCCAGCGAGCCAAGGCTGCAGGGGCTGTGGTGTGGTACCTCCCTGCCTGTCTGCTTGTTCACATGCAGTAATCCATAACCTGTTTAATGACTGAATCCTTCCTTCACTTTGGAAGTGCTTGAGGAATAGCTTAGAGAAGTCACAAGAGACCACTTGAAAAGCAAATGAAGGCCACTGAATCAGGTAAGTGTGATATCTGGGCATCATGCAACTCCTCCCAGCCTAAATTAGCTTTTGTCCAGTTTTTGTTCCTTACCAGCTAAACTCAAAGGCAGACTATCCAGATTTGTATTTGAAGATATGACCCTATACAACATCCTGCCTGCCTGAGGTTGAGTGAGATCTTATACTACTTTCATTTAGAGAAAGAGAAAATTAGATAATATAAATTTAAAGAAATACACTGCTATAATAGAACAGGCTGGGAGTTTTATAGGTCTTTCCCTGCCTCTTAAAATAGAGGTCAGCAAGCCTTGACTACAAACAGCCGGATAGTTACTATCTTAGGTACTGTGAACAAGAGACAAAATTGCAGATATTATGGAGGTACTTATGGGAACTTCAAGGCTTCTATTGATCCAATTCTAAGACATAACTGAATACAACTTGCCTTATAGGTCTAATAAGGAAAAATAGAACTAGTTGAGATACCTACTTGAGTTCAGTTAGTGTTCCTCATAATATCAATTGCAAGTGTTCATCTGTTGACAGTTTATTCTTCACTGTGTCCAAAGACCTAAAAATGAGGTCTCATTTGTAGTCAAATGCTCATCTATAAGACTTCATGTATTTTTGTAAGACCCTTCAGGCAGGAAAGTGCTACCAAACCCTAACTTATTAGTAGACCAGTATTATAAGATCATACACTATCCTCTTTAATGTTAGCAATAAAATCATTTAGCTAAACTTGTCCCTTAGGAGGAGGGTTCAGGAGCACAGTAGGTAAGAAGGCAGTAAAGACAGAGATAGAACAGAAACAAGGGGCACATGTACTGTGAAGGATCCAAAGGGACTGACATAATCTGAGCACACTGCATAGCCCCCAAATAAGACAGTGAGTGTTGGCAAAGATATAGGGTAACTGACACCCTTATTTTACTGGGAGGATGTAAAATGGTACAGTTGCTGTTAAACAGGCTGAAGTTCTCTAAACAGAACTGTTATAATTAGAAAGCATCTGGGTATCTCTGACCATCAGGGTGAAGTCTTTAGATAGCTCTTCTACCCCAAAGAGTAGCAAAACCATAACCATCCTGGGCCATGGAACAACTATTGGACTGCTAGGATCTAAAAGACCAGTCTAAATATAATAGGACACTCTGGTCTTTGACCTAGTCTTGCTGGTAAGTATTAAGGATATTTGGGAAGTCTCAGACACCCCTACATCCAATCTTCCAGGCTGGTCCAGTCACTGACTTTGAGAGTTCAAAAGCCAATCTAACTTTTATCTCAGGTATAAAGATTCTAGGCGTGCCTATGTTGGGAGTAGTGGTGGCAGCCGTATAAACTAGAATCTTACAAGAAGCACAAGTAAAGCTAAAATGCAAATAGGGACAATGTCAGACCACATAGTAAGTATGGTAAATCACCTTCCTTGTTGACCATGCCACCTTCCCGTACTGATGGAAGACTTATTTTCCAGATTTATCTTCCTACATTCTTATAGGTAAGATTAGATGCAATTAGATTCTGCCAACTAGATGAGCTTGAAGCTACCATCTAATGGCAAGCCAGTAATGGGGATGGTCTCCTGTTTGCAGAGATGTTCTACTATTCAGCACTAGCTTTGGAGTCGAGGAAGTTGTGGCAATGGCTTCCTGCTTCCCCATATCCTAAGTCATGACAAAGGTATCAGCTCCTCTGGTGGGCAAGTTCTATGGTGCTACTCTGGCAATAATTCTTGGAAGCCAGATAAACTTACAATAGCATGTTCTGCTTAAGAGATCTAGGTGTTAGGATCTAGAGATCCTAAGTCTTAAGGCCATGTTAGAACTACATAGCTATTTAAACAAGTAGATGTCAGACTTCTTGAAGGTTGCTCTAGTTGGGGGGAAAAAAAAAAAAACATTGTAGGGGTAAACACAAGTTAAGAAACCAGTTAACCAAAAATGGTGATTAACAATGGAGACTAGACCGTACATGAGTTTAAGACTTTGGTAGAAATGACAGGACTTGGTAACCAGGTCATGGAGAAAAGGAACAAATAAGCCTAAGTATCTGGCAGTCACCAACTAAGTACACAAATGCATTGTTATGTGAGTTAGAGAACATTAGAAGAGTATCAGTTGGGATTCATGGGAAAAATTATCCGGCCTTGGGTAAGCTTAGTCTGCACTGCTTATGATATAAACATCAAACAGGTAATTAGGAGAATGAACTTGGAGCTCCCGAGAACAAGACCAGTGCCAGGAAAATAGACCTGGGATCCACTGGCTAGGAAAGATACAGCTATCAAATAACTATAATAACTGCCTGTGTGACAATGGGGTAACCTGAAGTGCCCTAACAATTAATGGCTGGGCAGAAACATAGGCAAAAGGGGACTGAGAAGCAAGAGATTGCAGTGATAAAGCAATCAAAAGTGGAAGCTTCAAGAGTCAATCCTTGAAGGGCTTAGTAAGGCAAACATAGAATAGCATCTGTCCCATTTTCAGGAACCAAATAACTGGTAACTTGGTGTCCTTAGCTGTTAATAGTAAAAGCAAGCTTGACTATGTAAAGTAATGAATATGGAGTACAGACAACTTATTAACACTTTAAGTTCAGGGGTATGTGTGCAGGTTTGTTACATAGGTAGACTTGGGTCATGGGGGTTTATATAGATTTTGTCACCCAGGTATTAAGCCTACTACCCGTTAGTTATTTTTACCTGATCCTCTCCTTCCTCCCACCCTCTATTAAGCCCCAGTGTGTGGTGTTCCCCTGTGTCATGTGTCCTCATTTAGCTCCCACTTACAAGTGAATATGCAGTATCTGGTCTTCTGTTCCTGAATTTGCTAAGGATAATGGCCTCCAGCTCATCCATGTTACTGCAAAGAGCATGATCTTGTTCTTTTGTGGCTGCCTAGTATTCCATGGTGTATATGTACCACACTCTTTATCCAGTCTATCATTGGTCATTTAAGTGGATTTCGTGTCTTTGCTATTGTGAAGAGTGCTGCAGTGAACATACATGTGCATGTGTCTTTGATAGAATGACTTATATGTCTCTGGGTCTATACCTGGTAATGGGTTTCCTGGGTTGAATAGTATTTGTCTTTAGACCTTTGAGGAATCGCCACTGTCTTCCACAGTGGCTGAACTAATTCACACTCCCAACAGTGTATAAGCATTCTTTTTCTCCACAATCTTTCCAGCATCTGTTATCTTTTTAACTTTTTAATAGCTGTTCTGACTGGTATGAGATAGCATCTCATTGTGGTTTTGATTTGCATTTCTCTAATGATCAGTGATGTTGAGCTTATGCTTTTTGGCCACATGTATGTCTACTTTTGAAAGGTATCTGTTCATGTCCTTTGCCTACTTTTTTCTTTTTTGAGATAGAGTCTTGCTCTTGTCACTCAGGCTGGGGTACAATGGTGCAATCTTGGTTCACTGCAACCTCTGCCACCCGAGTTCCAGCAATTCTCCTGCCTCAGCCTCCTGAGTAGCTGGGATTACAGGTGCCCACCACCATGCCAGCCTAATTCTTTGTATTTTTAGTAGAGATGGGGTTTCACCATGTTGGCCAGGCTAGTCTTGAACTCCTGACCTCAGGTGATTCACCCACTCGGCCTCCCAAAGTGCTGGGATTACAGGTGTGAGCCACGGCACCCAGCCCTTTGCCCACTTTTTAATGGGGTTTTTCATGTAAGTGTAAGTTCCTTATAGATGCTGGATATTAGATCTTTGTCAGATGCACAATTTGCAAATATCTTCTCCCATTCTATAGGTTGTCTGCTACTCTGACAGTTTTTTACTATGCAGAAACTCTTTAGTTTAGTTAGATCCCACTTACCAATTTTTGTTTTTGTTGCAGTTGCTTTTGGCATCTTTATCATGAGACATTTGCCTGTTCCTATGTCTAGAATGGTATTGCCTAGGTTGTCTTCCAGGATTCTTACAGTTCCTGAGTTTTACACTTAAGTCTCTAATCCATCTTCAGTTGATTTTTGTATATGGTACAAGGAGGGGGTCCAGTTTCAATTTTCTACATATGGCTAGCCACCAATTATCCCAGCACCATTTATTGAATAGGGAATCCTTTCCCTGTTGCTTGTCAGGTTAAAGATCAGATAGTTGTAGGTGTGAAGCCTTATTTCTGGGTTCTCTGTTCTGTTCCATTGCTGTATTTGTGTTTTATACCAGTACCGTGCTGTTTTGGTTACTGTAGCCCTGTAGTACAGTTCAAAATTGGGTAGCGTGATGGCACCAGCTTTGTTCTTTTTGCTTAGAATTGCCTGGGCTATTCAGGCTCTCTTGGTTCCATGTGAATTTTAAAAGTTTTTTCTAGGTCTGAAATCTCAATGGTAGTCTAATAGGAATAATACTGAATTTATGAACTGCTTTGGGTGATATGGCCATTTTAATGATATTCTTTCTATCCATGAGCATATAATATTCTTCTACTTGTTTGTCATCTGAATTCTTTGAGCAGTGTTTTATAGCTTTCCTTGTGGAGATCTCTTGCCTCCCTAGTTAGCTGTATTCCTAGGTATTGTATTCTTTTCGTGGCAGTTGTGAATGGGAGTACATTCCTGACTTGGCTCTTGGCTTGACTGTTGGTATGTAGGAAGGCCTGTGACTCTTGTACATCTTTTGTATTTTGAGACTTTCAAATTTATCCACTTGAGCTTTTGGGCTGAGACTATGGTGTTTTCTAGACAGAGGATCATGTTTGCAAATGGGGGTGGCTTGACGTCCTCTCTTCCTACTTGGATGCCCTTTCATTCCCTTGCCTGATTGTTCTGTCCAGGACTTCTAAAACTATGTTGAATAGGAGTAGTAAGAGAGGGTATCCTTGTCTCTTGCCAGTTTTCAAGGGCAATGCTTCCAGCTTTTGCCCATTCAGTATGATGTTGTCTATGGGTTTGTCATAGATGGCTCTTATTCTGAGGTATGTTCTCTCAATACCTAGTTTGAGTTTTTTACGTGAAGGGATGTCAAATTTTATGAAAAGCATCATCTATTGAGATAATATCGTTTGTCTCTAGTTCTGCTTATATAACATTTATTGATTTGTATATTGAACCAACCTTGCATCCCAGGGACAAAACCTACTTGATCACAATAGACAAGCTTTTGATGTGTTGCCTGGGTAACCCCAGGGTTTCCTTGTTCTTACTCCTTGGCTCCTTGCTAGGCTTGTTGCTGGTCATAGGATCTTTTCTCCTGGATTCTTCTATCCCTTTGTTCCTGTTCCCTCTCTCTAATGGGACTGCTCATTGTTCTTAAATATATAGTATATAGTAGCTGGTTTAGTGGCCACATCCCATGGTACTAGGTCAGGTTAAAGGCTGGTGACTGGCCCAAGTATGGGCCAAGTGCCATCAGTCAAAGTATTCACCTCATTGGGTCTGTTTCTGGACATGTCTCCACTGGCACTGATGTCTACACTATAGATAAACTGAAGCTTTGGTATCTGGAGTCTGGCAGTAAGATGAGTTTTCCTACTTTACCTGTGTGGGCTGGTAGTGCTGCTCATAGACTAACTTGGAACGCTTTTCTGGCATGTGATATAGTAATGGTCTTCCTCTTAACATCTCTCCTGTCTGGACCTTGGTCTGTCCTAAAAACCCTTAACTGCATCTGCTTGAGGGCAACGTCCCTCACCATTTCCTCTGACCAGAGCCTTTGGGCAGGAACAACTTCTGACCTCTGCTTTACTCTTAGGTAGCCATAATTATCCCTGGGATCTGTTTGGTTCCCCTTTGCTGGGGTCTATCACTATTCATGATTGGAAGTGTGACCTGGGAAACTAGCTGGCTATAGGCCTCCATCGTGCTGAATAACGCTGGGATTTGGCTCTAAGCATGTCTGGCGGAGGCTGGTCGTGTGGGAAACCCAGTACAGTAAGCCTTAAGACAAACATGAGTCTGCAGTCTATGCTTAGGGTCTCCATCCTGGATACCTATAGTCCTCGGGCTATAGGTATAAGTCATGTTGGGCTCTTATATAGTTTATGGTTAGATCTAATGCCATGCTGGGCTTGCTTGCAAAGTTTCCTAGGACCTGGTAGGGCTATTTTTTTTTTTTAACCTTTCTCTTATTAAGAAGTAGTATTCTATCCAGGGGCTGCAGACAGATTCTGGCAGTCTTACTGATCACACCCTGGATCCTCGACTTGATCCTGTCTGAAGCATCATCTTCAGAAGCCTTTCCCGATTGATGGCCTATTACCCCTTCTGCTCGGGATGGCCATTCCCATCAACTAGGCAACAGAATTATAGTGGCAGCTGAAATGATAATGAAAGCAGTTTGTAGCCTCCTTGCTATGTCCAGGATCTCCTGTCTGTTCTCCAGTGAGGTCTTCTGATCTGACACCTCTTGTCTTTGGGCATGAAGTTTTGATAGTGAGGTGTCTTACCATACATACAAGGATATCTGGGTCTTAACGAGTGTCAGTATTGGGCATGATGCTTGGCTCTCTTGCCACATCCACCTGTATGGCTGGGCTCTCAGCTGAGAATGGGCTTTGGGCTACTCTAGAGGCTTAAGATCCCAGAATGAAGGTCTCTGATAGCCTCTGGTCCCATACTACACCTTGGCGACCCCTCTGTATATAGGTTAGACTCTCATCCCTCTCTTCTACCTACTTTCTTTTCTAATGATTGTACATGGTCAGATGGACAGCCTTGGAAGCCTCTTGGGGGGCCATCCCTGCACTGGAGGACTAGAGAACAGTCAGGACTTGGCAGTTAGAGGCCCTGAAGCCAGCTGCTATCATGTAGGTCCCAGGCAGAAAAGTCTGAGTGAGAAACTAAGGGTGGCACATAAGAAGTCAAGCTAGTACCTTCTCCAGTCTGTCCTTGGATCCAAGCTCATATGTAGAGCCCAGTTCTAGGTCTTTCCAAGACCAGATAGGACCATCTTCTCCGTGCTGAGGATGTTACTTTTCCCACTGCCAGCAGCTATAGCAGGATGTCCTAGACGTTCCTGCTACTCATGCACTGGGCCCGTGTTCCGTTCTGCGTGTAGAAATCCTTTCCTGGTCTAAGACCTGTCCCCTCTCTCTCCTTCCTGGGAACTCATCCCTGGGATTTCTGGAGAAGAGCAATGGCACCTGCAGCCACTGGCATCAGGACACGGCTTATGCTCTGATTCTTGCTTGGTTGAACACAGGACCTCTTTCAGGGAAGTTTCTCCTGGGTCCTGAGAAGACTGTTTCTTTGACCTTTGACTTTAAGGAGTTCGTTTTCTTAGAATCCAGGCTCCATTTAAGTTACTTATAGAACAGGCTCTTGGCGTCTATCAGAAACGACTCAGTCAGGTTCGTGTCTGGCTTCTCTGTCATTTGATGCCCAGGAGTCTGGCCAGTGCCCTGCTGAGAGGGATAGGTATAAACAGAGTTGCCTTTGCCATAGTTCTCCTGGCTGAGCATGACAGGGGCTCTCTTCCTGTTGAGTCATTCTCTTCTGCATGCAAATTTGCTAGGGCTGCCATGAAGTAGCATAAACTAAGTGCCTCAAACAGAAGTCTGTCTTGATTCAGGAAGTTAGTCTGATATCAAGGTGTTAGTGGGGCTGCTTCCTCCCAAGAATGTGAAGGCATATTCTGCAGCTCTTACCTAGCTTCAGGTGGCTTGCTGGCCATCTGAGCTTCCTTAGCTTGAAGCGTCACTCCATCTGTCCTTACCTTCACACGGCATCCTCCATGTATGTCTGCCCAAATCTCTAAGGAGGATATCCTTCATATGAGACTAGAGCCTACCATAATGACTTCCTTTAACTTTACCTCTGTAAAGACCTCATCTTCAAACAAGGTAATATTCTAAGGTATGGTGGGTTTAAGGCCTCAATCTGTTTAGAGGGACCTGATTCAACCCACAACACTATAATCACCTTCAACTTAAAGCCCAAGGTCTGCTAAGTCTAACTGTAACCTAGAGTTGAACTCATAGGTACAGCAATAAATGTTAGGCCTCTTGTTTAGGGACTACCATATTAAGGCAGTGGGCTCAGGTGAGTTGACCATCCAGTCTCAGTCTAACTCTGGTCCATGGTGGTTATTCTGTAACTCATTTGGCTTGACTTTCCTAGGTCGGGTGACACATAACCCTAGATAGTGGTATGGGGTATGTCCAAGGGCATCCCCCACAGAGCTAGGATCTGCTTGGCTACAGAGTTCCTGCAGCTTGAGCGGGGCTCATGTTTTCACAGAAGGTGGCTCAGACATCCCAGACTGCTGTCTGGATGCAACCTGAGTTGGAGTTTAGGAGATACTAAGAAACCACTAAGCCATGGAGGCTGGTTCCTGCCAGGCTTCCCAGAGGGGTTGATAGAACTGAACTGCTTCCCTATCATTCTCACCTCTCGACTGAGGCAGGACTGCAGGATGCACCAAGATGAGGGGCAGCATTCGGATTCTGGTGGATTGGGGTCACTTAGATTTAAAAATTCAGGGATCTTCTTCTAAGCCTCTCCTTCCCAGGGACCAGAGCTGGAATTAGTCCTTGGGAGGGGATTTAAAGAAAAAAACCAAGAGTCTGACTTGTCTCAAGCCAGATATCTGTTATACAAAGACCTCAGATAGGATCTAAAGCTCTGCCAGAAACCAGACCCTCACCCTACCTGAGGGCATCTTAGCAACTAGATAATTAAGCAAGGGTAATTCTAGATACCTTCTAAAATCCTGGGCTAGATCTGTCAGTTGGCCTCATTAGGGTAGCTCTTAGACTAAAGAGCATGAAGAAGGAACAAACTTAACCCAGCTGAAGTCGTGGTTTTTTGGGAGTTTGTCTTTCCCATCACCCAGGTAAGTCAGGCTTGTTTCAGAAGATCAGTTGTTTTTGAGAGCTTCTATTTAAACATCGACCCTGCTGCTGAGAACAGATATGATGAAATCCAATGGATCATATGGTGGTGTGAGGCAAGGCATGCGGCTTGTGGCGCCTGGTTGTATAGATACCTCCAGAAAGTGTCATGTGACCCTGACATCTTTCTCTTGGGTCACTGCTTTTCCTCCCCTTTTGTCAAAAAGGCTTCCTGAGGATCTGCCTTTGTGTGGCATGGTGGCACTGCCTCTCTTCTGGAAGACGTAAATCCTAAATGGCATTTCTCTCTTCCAGTTCCTCTCTTGATCCTGGGGCCCATCCCCCCAGACTTTCCCCCTCCTGGTCTGCTGTGCTCCTGGGCAGCATGTATTCATTTCAATTTCTGTGTTTAAGTGGCCCCAGGTATGCTGCAGGTTTTTAGAATCTTCTTAGCTTTGGCCTGGCCTTGAGCTGCCTATCCCAGATCCTGCAGTTTGCCTTCAAGGTATTTGACCTTGCCTCAACTCAGCTCTGCTTAGTTCAGCTCAGCTATAGTCACCTTACTAGTTGGGTTAGCATGTTCCCCAAGCTGTCTATCCTCATCCTGACCATGCAATCTACTTCTAGGATCTAATATCTTATAAAATCCTCTCTACTTGTTCTATAGCTATTATCTACTCGCTGTCTAAAACTACTCGCTGTTCATCTTTCTTACTATGATCAGGGCCTTCTCCCAAAACTAGCTATTAATCAATCAGACTCATGACTATTGAAGACTATTGAGGCATTCCTTTGTGTGGCCTCAGAAGGACTAAAGTGATGAGAACCTAAGGAACACGTGACCCCAGGAGTATCTTCTCATCATCTCTTACCCTCCAAATCTGAGGTCTATGGGAATAAGACCCTCCAAATCTGAGGTCTATGGGAATAAGACCCTCCAAATCTGAGGTCTATTGAATATGAAGTTGAGATGCTGCTAGCCTAATAAGTCAGTGATAGCATAGCAGGTAGGACATGGTGTGTAGAAAGAATAAACGGCTCTGCCTTTGAAATCCTAACTGTATTGGCTGGGTAGAAGAGGCTCCTGGTACTCTGCCAGGCCCCTAAGGAAGCTTGCCAGTAGGTGAAATGCAAGTCATTTGGCTCTACTTGTATTGACTCTAGCGATATCCTTGGGACTCTCATAGGCTTGAGATCCCAGGATCTCTGGTACACCTAACTTTTAGGTGTTAGTCTTCTAGTATCCTTGGAAAAGCAGACATAAGAGAATTCCTGGATGTGTGGGACCCTATGAGAAAGATGTCATGTTTAGGTGTATTGCATCAACAGGAAAAGGCTAAGTTTGAGGCCAGGGATCTCTGGGAGATGGGTTAATTTCCTGGGTCTAGATGTACAACAGACAGTCCTAAGTCCTTAAGATATCACTTTGATCTGTGCACCTACAGATGACAGCCATTATCTGGCTTTGCCTCAAACTAGGGATCTATCCAGGCCTGACTGCTTCTAGACACTATCTAGAAGCCATGTGGAAATAAGCCAACTCAGGAAGGCCATATTGACCATAGAGGTCAACCAGGGACAGGTTTCACTCTTATTCCCATTCTAGCAGCCCTGGGATTCTGGGGGGTAGGTGTCAGGGTCAACCTTCAGGAAAAACCTGGGACTTCTGGCTCAGCCCTTCCTCATGGCACCATTACAGGAAGGTTCATAGAGGAAAGGCTGGCACTAGTGACTAGAGGGAACTTGTGCCAACCAAAGGAGTCACAGGTGCCAGCTCTGCAGGAAGACCATGGAGAAGACCAGGACTTGCATGGCAAGGCCAGGAATGGGACCTGGGATTATTCTTTGATAGGGATATAACTTACAGGTATATATGACCCTTTCTGGGTCAGTGGAGGAAGAACTTAATTCTACAGTCCTTTCCCAAGCTTGGCTATCAGGTCTACTGGTTAGCCTGGCCCAGTTAGGATATCATGTGAGTTTCTCTTGTCACACCTGAAGGATGACTTCCAGAATTGGCATCTAGGGATGACAAAGTGGGTGAAGCAGACCTGTCCTTTGATAGCCTTAAAGTCCAGTCTTATGTTTTACCATTGACTTGTTCCTGTCCTTAAGGTGGCCAGTTATATGGCCAACCCCAGAGAAGTCCTGAGGTCTACAGTGTCACTCTTTCCTTTTGGGCCACAGGTGCTTTTCTGTAGATTTCACTTGAGCCACTGGGTCTCCTTATTGGTGCCTGACCTGTTTCCAGGGAAGTCTGGTGGGAAGGTTCAGTTTGCTGGTGTCCCAGGGTGCCTTCCCCATTCTAAGGCCTGTCCTACCTGCATTCCCTTACTGCCTTATGAAATGGGCCTGTTGAGGCCATTGTCTGTTTTCTCTGATTCTATTTCCAGTCTAGAGATGTTCTGCTTTGGTGCTGCCTCTTTATAACCATGTTTCAACTGCAGTTTTGCCACTGCCTCCTTTAGGCCAGCTGCAGCCATCTGTTAGGTGAATGTGACTGACCTTGGTCCTGCCTGGCCCCCATGCTATAACCTGGCAAGGGCTTCCCGACCATGTTGAACTCCATAGCCTTTGTGCTCCCTGGCTCAGTCCCTAAGGCCTGTGAGTCCTTAACCTGAGTCTACTCTCCCAGGACCCTGTCTATAGTGTCCACCACTGTTCCCTGGGTCAGCTTTCCTACTGCATCTGCATATGAAATTTTTTTCCATAAGAAACCACTTATCTTCCAGTTGTATGAAGCTTTCCTGTGACTGCTTATAATACCATTTAAGGGTAATCTTCCAGTGATGTTGACTACTATACCAAGAATATAACATGACATTTTTTATATTAGAACATCTTTGTCATGAATATATTCCCCCTTTCTGAGACAGTCTTGCTCTGTCACCCATGCTGGAGTACAGTGGCACAATCACGGCTCACTGCAGCCTTGACCACCTAGTGATCCTCCTGTCTCATCCTCCTGAGCAGCTGGGACTACAGGTGCACACTACCATACCTGGCTAACTTACGTAATTTTTGCAGAGGTGGGGTTTTGCCATGTTGTCCAGGCTGGCCTAACTCCCAGACTGGAGTGATCCAACCGTCTCAGCCTCCCATGCCTACTGGGATTGTAGACATGAGCCACTGTGCCCAGCCAAATTGTTTTCTAACTTCAAGAATGTATTGGTTACAAGCTCTTTAACAGGCATGTACTACTACAATGAAAGAACAGAATGCAACCACTTCCATGTGGAACATGCTCCAGACCTAGCCCTAAACTTAGTTCATATAAACTATGATGGTGTGGTGGTAGATATCTGCATGTATGCTGACCATGTTAATCTTAGTTTCCAGGTGATATATTGACAGATTGTATTGGTGTTGGATTCTGTGAAGGGATAAACATGCTTATAAACATTTTCCTATCTCTTATCTACTTTATTGCATAGAAGAATGGCCTGGGAGCTGGCCAAATGGGCCTCCCTCATGACTGAAAATTCCTGGGATTCAGTCGAATACCAAAAGTTTTCTCCAGACTTAAGACCTCATGGAATTTCTCTCAGCAGCTTTGTGACAGTTTTAGATCACAAATCATTGTGTGGTTTGACTCCTAATATATTCGAAGTTGTACAATCACTGCAACTCTAGAACATTTATCATCCCCAAATAAACTCCATGCCTGCTAATAGTCACTCTTCATTTTTCCCCCCAACATCTCTTTCCTGCAGCCATGAGTCTATTACTCTGATAGAACTTCTTTCACTTTCACTGGGGCCTCATTCTCCTGGAGTGACTAGCCTCACTTGGCAACTGTGGCGCTTGGGCATCCTTGCCATTTAGGCCCTGGTTTTTTGCTTTTCTCCAGGCTGTTTTTCTGCAGGGTTGTTACCTCTGATGTAAGGCCTGCTCTTAACTCCTCTACCTGAGGCCTCCATTGCCAACAACTGAGGGGAACAGACATAGTAGCTGTGGCCACTGACATTGAGACTGGCTATGTTGTTCCGAGTGTGGGAACTGACCCTTCTCCGGGAATATCCTTAACCTGATAAGGTTGGTCTCCTTTAGAACTTTGAATGTGAGGTCTTATTTTTTCCTTGGAATCTAAGACCCTATTTACATTCTTGCCTACACATAAAGAATGGACCTCTGGCATTTGTTAGAAAAAGTTGTTGCATACCTTACCTGAATCTGCCATTTCTGGCTGGCAGGGAAAATACAAATAAACCTTTATCCCTCACTGCCGTGGTCATCTTCTCCTGCCCCTGCTTGACTGGATCTTGTCTGCTCTATAGCTTTCAGTCTCCTGTAATACAAGGATGTCCTTGGGCTCTTGCCTCCATGGAGTTGAGCTCACAGGTCTAGTGGGGACCACTGGAGTGTAGTGGCCTGCAGGTTAGTGATGACCTGCCCTATCACCTGGTTGACTTTGATCTCCATTCTCTATGCTGCTGCTTGGCCCTAGTTTCCTGGGCTCATAGAATGAGGGGCTCATAGAAGAAGGGACCCATAAAAATAGTATCTGTCTCTGGTAGAATTTGGGGCCCCCAAGTAGAATCCAACTAGCCCATGGCCTGGCTTTTTTTTTCTTTTTTTTTAATAGCAGGTGGTCAGGGTTTCAGGTTATATGGGAAGTGAAGGATTTGTGCTTGAAGATGAATGCTGCCAACTAATCATAATGCCTGGTCACTTGTTATGAAGGCATTGAAGAATTGCCTAGTAGGTGAGACAGATTTAGGCTGTTTCACTATAGACTTCAATATGGAAACTGCAAAGCACCGTTGGGGTTCAGGGCGTAGTCCAGATCAGGCTACATCTGGGAAGAAGGGACAAACCAAGGATCCTGCTTTGGTCCCTCCCAGGAACATGGTATAAAAGCTGCTGGAAGAGAACTGGCATTGGCCCTCAGGGGGGACGTACTAACCAAGGAAGTCAGCCAGGAAGTTCACCTTCAAGTTAGCACTGGAGAGGGGTATTTGAGCTCATGCAGCAGAGCCCAGGTTGTGACCAAGGACAGGGCTTCTTGGGCCTTTATCTTTTGGGGATGTAATGTACAGTTATATAGATGTCAGGTGGCCTGTCGGGGGCCACCTTAGTCCTGAATCATGGGATTCCTATTCCTGGATACCTAAGCTTGGGCATTAGGTCTGCTACTCAGCCTGGTCAAGTTCAACTTGGACAATATGGCACATGGGAGTGAACATTTATCCCCTACATGCTGGCTCAGGTGTGATAATACATAATACATAGATGTTCCTTAGATCTATATCTTGGCCTATCTGTCTTGGAAGGCACTACTCAATAGCTGCATGGCAGTATGGGGATGTGGCCACAGTGGCTCCTAGAAGACTTCTCTTTGGACTTGGTCCTGGAGGGATGACACACATCTTAGGTTTTTGTCCCTCTAGCTTCTCCTAAAACCACCTTCTCCAGCTTCTGGTCCCTATGCCCTTGGGTTAAGATGGCTCTGTCTCTTCCTATCACTTCTCATGTGGCTCCTTCTGAATTCCCACAGACACTAGAGTCTGCCACAATAATCAATGGGGAAGGACAGCCTCTGCTTAAATTGACCCCAAGGTGGGTAGAAGACCAAGGGTTTAAGGGGACATTCCTTCTGTGACCTATAATGCTGAAGAAAGCTAGAACTAGATGAGAATGTGTTCATAGAAAAGCATGGGATGTAGTTGTAGGCATGTACAGAGTACGCTTGGTCAAGGTGTCCATGCTGAGAATAGCACTGTTTGGCTAGGGGACTTGGACAGATGCCAAAGCAAGGGGCCTGGGAATCTTAGAATAAGAGACAAACAAGTCCATAGCATAGCCTTATTTCTGTTAGTATCTTCATGCTTCTGAAGCCTGAAAATCTCCCAAGAGGGTAGCTCTTAAGTTTCTGGAACCTACAGTAGAGATGGTTGAATCAATGATGCTGGTTGGTTTATTTATTTTTTGGACAGTTTGGCTCTGTTGCCCAGGCTGGAGTGCAGTGGCGCGATCTCTGCTCACTGCAACCTCCACCTCCCGGGTTCAAGTGATTCTCCTGCCTCAGCCTCCCAAGTAGCTGGGATTTATATGCACGTGCCACCACACCCGGCTTTTTGTATTTTTAGTAGAAATGGGGTTTCACCATGTTGGCCAGGCTGGTCTTGAACTCCTGACCTCAGGTGGTCTGCCTGCCTCAGCCTCCTAAAGTGCTGGGGCTACAGACATTGAGCCACTGCATCTGGCACAATGATGCTGTTAATTTGTGGTATGCTAACATCCTTGGACTACAGGTGAGTGCTTCTACTTATTCCATCTCCCTGCTGTCATTCCCGCCAACCCCAGTCACCCACAATCAAATATACAAGGTCTGTTCCCTTGCACTGTCAAAGTGTCATGTGCATACATTAACTACACACCATCTTTGCTCTGCTCGGTCACACCTGACACACACCTATGTAGACATCTAGTCTCTACTGCATGTGGTACTCCATGGCATGCTGCCACCACACCATTTCCTGCCGCTCTTCCAGGAACAGGCACCCAATTACCGCCATCTCTGTCACTACAAACAACCCTGAGAACAGCTGTATATAGGTACCCTCATTTACCTCTAGGACAAATTTTTTTACTCCCAGGCATAGAACAGCTTAACTTGACTAAGGTGATACCAGATAGTTCTCCGGAATGTTCCCAGGATGATGCATGAGTATTCCTGTACCCCGACTCCTCCATGTAACCCAGCTGTCTAGCACTTGGTAGCCCAATGGGTGTGAAGGGATCTTATCGTGTTGCTTGCATTTGACTTTGAACACTTTCTGATGACAGCAATTTGAGTGTCCCTCACTTTTCTTTTGGGGTTCTCCTCTGTCTCCTTTTAGAGGAATTCTTCTCAGAGAATTCCTTATTGGCTTCAGATATGACACCTTAATCTATCTGAGCTTTATTCACAGTACCTTCCATTGAACAGAAGCTTCATTTTGATGCTGCTCAAGTCTTTGCTTATGGCTTGTGCTATTAGGGTCTGATGAAGCTGTGTCCTATCTTCGGGTCATATCATTTGTATTCTCTATTCTCTTCATTTTACAGAAATAACTCTGGCTAAGAAGCTTTCCTGAAAAGATTAGGAACATACAATGTGATGGTATCCAGTTACATTTTTCTTCTAGAGAAGCTGGCTTCCCTATACAAATTTGTCCTTCACCATTGATTCATGGTAGCTCTTTCATCATAGTTAATGGCCGTGGACACTTGGGCCTTGCTGCTTTGGTCCATTTGCCCTTGTGCAAATACCCCAATAGCTCTAGCGTGACCCTAAACGGACAGAGCCGGTCCCCTTCTTTCATACTGTGGTTGGTTTTGCTACTTATGGGTTGTCTTCCTCATGTGAATTTTAGAGTAAGCTTGTGCTCTTAAATTAAGCAAGATCTAACCTCACTGGAAACAAAAAACTAAGCAAGGATTTTAGAATTATTTTAAGGTTATAAACTTCTCTAGGAGGAACTAAGTCTTAGTCTGTATTCTAGGAACTGATTTTACCTGGATTGTCCTATTAGAACCTTTTCTAACTCCTAGGAACCATATAGATAAGAACACTCCCTTATATTGACTTGCTAAGTCTGCTAGATACTGAATGGCTGGATTACTTAGATCTTTGGAAAGTGCCTTTTCCTTCTTCACATATGAATGTAGGAAGACACTTGGGTAGATTTTTCTGAAGTCCTAAGATAAAAGCTAGTTGATCATGGTATAATCCTAAATACACTGTTAGACTCAGTTAGCTTACTTCTAGCTTAGTTTTTTATATCCATGTGTATAAGTGAAATGGGCTTAAGACACTACTTCTGGCTGGGAGTTGTGACTTCCGTAGTGGTGAAAGAATCATTCTGCCACAAATCAAGTCTGCAAGCTCTACCTTCTGGAATGACTGGGACACAACCAGGCCTGGAAATAATTTCTTCCAACTCCTCACACAAGCCCAGGATTGACTTTACCCATCGTGGTGATCTTCCTGTCAGCAGAGCTGATGTGTCCAAGTCAGGCTGATTCCAGAGCACTTCCCCTGGCACCCCCCAACACCCACACCCCTCCCACCTCAGGGGTTGTCTGGCAAATATCTTCTCCAGCATTATCTCCAGAGGAGTTTTTCAGGTTCAGACATAGCAAGGGTCTGAACTTATGGGACCATTTAAGAGCTTAGTGCCCATTATGTCTCTGGCTTTAGTCAAATAAGAACAGACTATGCTTTTCTAGATTATTCTGTACTTACAACGTTTTAGTAGCTTTTTTATAGCAGTATATTACTACATAAAGTAGACATGCAAAAACATGTTCCTATCACTAGAGATCACTACTATAATGGCTTAGTACTTTTCATATATAAAGATATCTGAAATGATACCAAACCGCAGGTACTCTCCTAACCTACTTATGTCTTTCACGTCAGTGAGTGCTCGTTCATATTCTAGACTTTCCCACTGACCTCTTAAGTATCCTTTATGGTTCATTCAGTTCTGAATCCAGTAACATGCCTTATATCTGGCTATATCTAGTCTCAATCTAGTTCCTTTAGATCTTTGGAGTCAGGGAAATAGTCCTGCAGATGTCTCACCTTCTAGATTGGTTTCAATGCTGCTCAATGTTGTCTAGCTTGTCCTTCTCTTATATCCTAGAGCCTAGAATTAGCATCTAAATGCTCAATGTAGTCTAGCTGAAAGTCTTGAATGTGAATCTATTACAGATGTTAGTGTTCTGTGTTGTATTATGTTAGACACTAATGACAGTACCTCTACTGGATTAGAGAACCAAGAGTCTGATCCCTCAGTTTAAATCATCGCCATGTGATTAGGAAGGAATTCAAAATGTTATTCCAGCATTGGACAAATATCCAGTGTCCAACCTCTGGCAAGCTATCTATATAAACTGATGATCCTTGCCTGAATGTGGGGTGCTATGCTTTTTAGAGACAACTCTAGCCCCAGCTACTTCTGCAGAGGGTTTGAGATACTTGCAGAAAGAGGTACGTCCTGGTTCTCCTGGGCAATTTACCATATTTCCTGCTTCTCCTGAATGAACAGTAGCTACTTCACAAAGTGATCCAATAGTAAGTGAATCTGCTCAGACTACGTGTGAGCAGAGGCCTGATAAGGACCTAGTTGACTCCCAGTAGCCTCTCTTAATAGAGCTTCTCAGTGGTTTTTATGCTTAAATTATCACTGAGATTCCCAAGGGTGCTCTCCTAGGAAAGACAGCTGCTTTGGAACAGATGGTTGCTTACAGCTGACTGTGCTACTCAACATCCTCTAAACATGGAGTCTCCATGCTGGAGTACTACTTCGTATGTGGCAGGGAATGGTAGGCCTGTGCCTCAGGTGAATGACTGTATGGGAATTGCAGACTTATGATCATGCCACTGACTTGGGTCAAGCCAACTTTTGAGAGTTTCACAGAATTTCACTCAGATCTGCTGCGGCTCACATCAGGCTGGTGCTCTGATTGCACCTATGAAGCCTCTGCAGCTGGCCCTCTTGACTCTGACTTCAGGTCCTGATGCTTTGGGAATGAGGACCTGTCACAGAAGCTGCTGAGAAGCAGATGCCCCTAGTAAATGACATAGGCTGCAAAACTCTGAGCTTTGCCTTGACAGTGACTTATCCCTGTGTCAAAGGGAGGAACTTTCTCTTTGATCTCTGTACAAGGCTATTCCTGAATGTTTCTGGCCCTCAAATGTCTTCCTGTGCTGGTATCTCTAGTACTTGGTGATGGGTAAAGCCTACCATGTATGGGAGGCCACAGTTGGCATCTCTGCCTGGCTTTTGGGGGCTGTTCCCCAGAAGCTGTCTTCACCGATCTTTCAGTGTGGTGGTAGTACTGTCTCTTACAAGTCCAGCATGTAGTGGCTGGGCCAAGAGAATAAGGACCTTGCTGTCATTGATCTTCATGACCATCTATATGCCTTCTCTATTTCCTAGTCCCCGTGCTTCTGGTCACATGACTGATCTCCCCCAACATGATATGAGTAAAGGCAATGTTGCTTCTGGCTTGAGGAATTGGAGTGGCTCTGCCTTCCCCAGGCTTTTGCCATGCAGAAGTGACCCTGCCTGGAGGCTCCACCTATTCTAGACAATGCAGCTGAAGACAGGCCATACCTAGGCCTACACTAGGAAGAGCCTTGCGCATACCACCTTACCCCCTTGATGTGAACAAAAGAAACCTTTGTCACACTGCCTGGATCTGAATCTGTTATGATGGCACTGCTTACTATTACCTGGACTGACGCTTGTCCTCATGGACTGGGAAGTTGTCTCCCTACCAACTTCATCACTGCCCATCTCCTTGCCTCAGCTGTGACAGGGAATCATTGCTGTTCCTGTGAACCTAGTTGCTCCCTGCAGCTATGACTTTGGGGCCCTTCTAAGCTTGGGGGTTGAATGCCCCAGTGAGACATGTCTCCTTTATCAGGTCCCTCCCATCCATGCTAGATCTCTGATGCTTAGTTTCTTTCTGGACTTTGTCGATGTTGGGCACCAGAGAACTACTTGTCATATTAACCTTGCTTCATTTGTCCTTGTTCCTGGGAAACAGTACATAGTCTTGTTTTCCTGGGTTCTTTCTTCTAAGCTCTTAGGCCACCTTCAGAAAGAGTTTAGACATTGTCATCTTCTTTGGTACAAACTAAAGACAGAACACCACTGGTTTTTCCATAGATATCTTGAGCTAACAAATATTACTTTCTCATACTTCTAAAGATGTCATCTTTATCTGTTAAACACCAAAGTTAGACCTTGGATTAAAATTTTTAAGGGAAAAACACTTGAGGGTTCTGCCACAAGAATATGGATAGAAAAGCACACTGTTTAAAAACTGATATTCCGTCTGCTTGATGTTCTGATGTTGCTTCTAGCCTTCATTTAGCGTATGGGGACTTAGCCAGGCATGGATCTGGTTCTATGACACACATGTAGACCTGGGGGCTGTTCAGCCAGTCATAGGAGCCCAAACAGTGCTCTTGGCCATTTGAATTGGTGTCTTGGCCTTATCAGAGGTAAAGACCTCTATCAGTACCTCCTGACCTGCCACTAGCTCACTGCTGCTCAAGGTTTCTCCCTGGGGCCTGCCCATAAGCTGGCCTGGGGCCTTCCTACTCCATGGAGAACCCCTGGAACTCCACTGATGGAGAATGACTGAGGCTGGATAACCAGGTCAACCAGCTCCTGCCTAGAAGGTACCACAGAGTGTGTACTTTATGCCCCAGGGGCCATCCTGTGGCCCAGGGCAGAAGAGCCTTTAGAAAAGCAGGAGGCTGTGGTGGGATTCCCGGGATTACTGCCTGAAGCCTTGCTATTGGGAGCCCCCAGCTGCCTGGGTGTAGGGGTAAGGGGCTGGGGATGCCCTGGGCTTGGATCCTTACCTCGCTCTTCCTGCACCATGTTTGGAGCCCTGCCCAGGCAACTTCTCTCACCTTTCCTTTGAGTCTCCATTCCTTAAAGGGGGAGGGCAGGAAAGGACACAGCAGGCAGCACCTGGAGATCCCTCCTTATGCCCTGGCTCACTGCCCTGCTCAGCATGTATGTGTGTGGGGGCTTGTCTTTGAGGATCATTGTCCTGGTCCCCCTGGCCTGTTCTGTCTTCTCCCAGGTGGGACTTCCTGACATCCTCTAACTCGGGGTTATCTCCATGGCCAGCAGCATGGAGGAAGATGTTTTGTGTCTTTGTCTGTGTTCTGGGTCTCCCAGTGACTGCTCTCCCTAATCTTGACAGGCTGCTGCTTCACTTAGACTCTAACCTCTCCCGTTTGCTCACATCAGTATTCATCAAGACTGATCTGATGGATGTTCCTTGTACTGGTTTTGGATGTCTAGGTACTAAACTGGCCTTGGACTACTAGGGTATGGGGCTGTGGTGGCTGTGGATGAGACACTTCAGTGTTTTCTCTGAACCCACTCTGAATACACAGATGGGGCAAATGTGGGTAAGACCCTGCATTTCTCATGATCTCACTCCTGGTTACCTACATGCAAACTTTCTTCCTCTTTTTGACATCAATTACCATCCTGAACTTTGGGTCACGTAGCTGAGCACTCTCCCCTCCCTGAAGGAGGCAGTTGTGTGACTGTAGCAGGGAAGGATTAATCCTCAGGCAGGGAAGCATCCCTAGGCAGTGGCTCACCAGCCTTCTTTCTGGCATCTGGCCTGTTCTGCCTCATATTGTTGAGGTTCTTATCTCTGGTGTTAGTTGGGGTACAATGGTGACCAGGGAAAATAAGCTGAGTTGATGGGATACTAGGAGTCCCCATCACTCCCTGAGGGTGGCCCAATCAGCCAGGTAGGATATATGGACATGCTTAACACTACATGTATAGTGATGCCAGGCAAGCTGCCCACAGGACTCTTATAACTGAGGCCACAGATCACCTACGTATAGAGGTTCTTAGACTAAGTCAAGGCATAGCACTATCAGATGCAGAGAGAAACTAGGGGTGATATTGGAGAAGGAGCTTATTTCATTCTTTCCCAACTTACAAGATTCACCAGAAGATAGGTTTAAGTGCTCAAATCCTCCACCTTGAGTCTCTTTGGAGAGACTGGGATGTTCTGTGGCAACTCCAGAGGCTTGGAAGGCTTTGGAAGCTGAAGGTCCACTTGCTGGCACTTGTCCTGAGCTGGTCCAGACTTTGGGACTCCTCTTTGAGATCCAGTGTCTGATTTCATGGGCATCAAGTCATGCCCATATAAAATATGCCAATCCTCGTGTCTAGACTGTCATTTCTATCCAGAAATAAGGCTGAAATTCCCTATGTCTGCAGGGAGAAAGCAAGTTATAGCCTTGCTGGAAGCACTGGTGGTTCTGAGTGGCATAACTCTTTCCTGTGACACTAAGTCAGCTGGTGCTAGGACCCTAGCAGCTAAAGTTTTCCAACTGGGCTATCCAGGGAGGACTGGGGCCAGATACAAAGGGGGCTGGGTGTTAGCCAGGAATCTGAGGATGTCTTTATCACATTGTATAAGGGGAGAACAAACGGTCTTGCCTGTATAGTATCCTTGGGCCTCTTGAGTCTTGTTCCTTCTCTTTTCTACCACCTCAAACGGGAGTGGCCTTGGGGATATAAGAAAGAAAAGTGGCTGTGGGGATGGGATTGCTGAACAGGGCTACATCGAGGTAGAAGCTGCTTTGCCTACAGTGTTCTAGACTAATATCCTAGGAAACAAGCATGAGAAGCCTAGAGGGTTCTGGGAAGATGTTAACTTCTGTGGGCTTCCTCACCCTAGCCCTAGGATGTGCTGAGGTAGAAACAAATGACCCAGGCAGAGGGCCTCTGCTGGGTATGGGTGACAAAGCAGGGCAGGGCGGTAAGACACTGGATCTCATGGGATCTGACTCTGGGTCCAGGCAGCATTTCTGGGGATGATGGAATCTGTTTAGACAGCAGAAATTGGGGAAAGAAAAGGGGAAAGAGGCCAGTAAACACCCAATGGTTGGTGTAGAAGTTTGAAGCTCTCTATAAGGACCTGAGGTCTAGCTTAACACAAAATAATGCAGAACTGTGGCATGGAACTAGCTTCAAACGGCTTAAGCCCAGACGGTTTTGTAGAGAAAACTGTGGGGAAATCGGGTCCATCTAGGTTCTCACGTGGCCCTCCCAGCCCTGAGACCTGTTAGTGACAGACAAACTTCAAGCATTATAACATCATAGTCTAGGAGATGGGAATAGGCTCCCAGGGCCAGACTGTCTATGGAGAGAAGTCTTGGGGTATCTCTCCTGGGTACTGTGGCCTCCCTAACTCTCTGCCTCCTCACAGGGAGATCTGTACTATTGGGAAGCCGTGACTATGCTCTCACAACATCCTAGTAGCATGGCTCTGGAGCTGGTCCTCTGTCCTGAGCAGAAGGTGGCTCTACATGAGGCTGTCCAAGCCATCACTTGTTCCTGGCCTGACCACATCTAAGACTAGGCTGAGATCACAAGTACATATATCCTACAAATACAGGGGTTCCTTATTTTCTCCAACTCGAGCCCCTTGAAAGGATAAGAGGCCCTGTGGGGAGAATAGGTAGGAGGCTATAGGTTAGAGTAGGGAGAACCAACCCCCTGCAACAGCTAGGTCTGAGGGTAAAGGTTAGAATGGTAGAGGGGGAAGTGCTGCTGTCTTAGACTGTGCCCAACTTGTGGGCATTCTTCAGAGCCATGCAAAGACTAGGTGGACTGATCTGGTCTGAAGCACTGGCAGCTATGAGATGCCACCCAACGTTAGAACTTTCCAGATTCTTTGTAAAAGGTTTTGGTGTTTCAAGTCAACAGTATGTGTTCCTACTTAAACCAGAATTTGTGTTGGACCAAGCTGGAGTTTGAAGCCAGACACTGCTGAGCTTGGTTGGGGGCCCTGATCTCTATGTAGACCTCAGCAGAGGATGACACTGGCCAGTTGTGGCCCTGCAGCTGGGCATCCTCACCCTGACACTGAACGGAACACGTGAGCAGTAGATTCCCCAACAGTCATTGCTGTGGAGCAGCCAGGAAATCTTCCCAGCAGGCATGCAGCTGGCACAGGAGAAAACTAGGGATCTTTCTTATCTTTCTCTGGGAGCACTGGTCTTTCCCACAAGCAGCATCTGATTCTCCCCTTGGAGTCCAGGACACACAGGGAACTAGAGACCCACATGACTGAGTAATGTGGGCTCCATTCAACTCTGAACCTGTCCAGGCTGGCCCATGGGATAGGTGGGGCTGTCTGGCTCTGGGAAGACATGCTGAGAAGACCAAGCCACCTCTGCTCAAAGGACTTACAGTTCTTGCGTGGGGCTCATCCCTATACTACATGACTTGGTTACTATTCCTTCTGAGAATCTGCAGTTGCCTCACAGACTAAACCTCTTGCTAAAACAAGACTTCAGCCTCAAGGCCCCTGGTTCATACTCAGCAGAAGTATCTTCCCACATCTGCCTTAAAGCCTCCCACATTCTTGTTACAGCTCCTGGACGTCTATTCAGGTAAAACCTCCCCTATCCACAGTGGCATTTGGGTTTCTGCTTGTACCTAGTTAGGTGTGGACCTACGTTGAGTACTGTCGCCCATTCTATCAGGGGTCCTGAGGGCACTGAGCAGCCCCTTCAGGCTGACCAGGCCAGTAGCTGAGTCCTTGTCTCTACAGAACCCAGGGCTCTACCAGGGGTGACTTTTCTGACCCCCCTTTTACCTCTGTAGGTTCCAGGACTCCTGGGGAAGAGTTGGCAGACTTGGGCCAAAGCCAACATGAAGAACCAGAAGTAGCAAACACGTATGTCTGCTAGAGGCAGATCAGGGCCTAGACTACTTATGCTACCCACTGGCTACCCGTGACAGGTTGAGGGGTGGGGTGAGATGTGCCTACAGGGCCTGAGGCTGTGATGTAGCCCTGGGGGCCCAAAGTCTTCATGCCTTCGCTATGGCTGAAGGTCAAGCCTCTTCTCTTGGGAGAGATGAGACCAGGAGAGTAGAAGACAATGTATTATATACTCCTGTTCCTGGACTAGCCTCTGAGGCCTGTGGCTAGAAGGGGTGCAGATGATCACAAAGGGTAAAGGGATGAGGGGGGCTGACAATTGCAATCTAGACTCCAGTGTGCCATCCTAACAAAGCCATGAAAGTCTTTTTCTTTTTGCTCAGAAGCAGGTACTGCCCCATTAGCCTAGTAGCAGTAGCCCTGCAGCCCAGGCTTTGTGTGGAAGCTGGCCTTCTCATGGTGGCTATGGTTTGGCATAGGGACATTCCCTCGGTGGCTCTTGAGTGAAGGCACTCCCAAGCATTTGCCTTGGAGACTGGATTATCTCTCCCTTAGCTGTGGTACAAGAGACTTCGGGGCTTTCATCCTATGTGAACAGGGTAAGGACCAAACCTGGGAAAGTCAAGGTTATATAGACAAAACTAGCCTTGCTTGCTATCCCTGGCCACCTGGATCTGAGTCCCTCTGCCTGTGTTTGGGGTATTCTTTACCCTCTATCTTAGTGGGAAGTAGCACTCACTTGCTCTTATAGCAACAGAAATTCCAATAACCTTTCTCCCAGTCCCTCTTGCAGGTAGAGAATAGACACGTGACCTAGGCTCCGTGGATCAGACGAATCCTTCCCAGACTTGGAATAGAAGCCAATGAGGCAAAGTTTCTAGGACTGGATACCTTCCCAACTGACAGTTGCAACAAGACCAAGCTTTGGGCAGCTCTGGCAATGGCCACACCTACATCCTGCCAGTGGGACAGCGTTTAGTGCTTGGTGGGGCCAATGTATCCTCAACCAGGCAGGTCTGTGGTGTGGCCTCGGAACCTCGGGCCCTAGTATTCCTGTGAGTTCTGCGGGCCACCCCTAGTTTTCATCATGAGTTCTTTCTGCTTAATCTGGCAAAACTGTTTTGTTGCTGGTGACAAAGAATGCTGGCTGAGAAGTTGCTAGCTGGGCTGGCTGCAGGAAACTGTCTTCAGGGAAATGACTGGTATGCTGGCCTGGTTGGGGCTGAAGTTGGTGACAATCCAGCTGGTACTAAGTTGAGGCTCCCACAGCCTGTGGCATGTGGAAACTAAACAAATTCTCACTGAGAATGAGATGTCCTTAAAGCTGTTCTGCCATCACCAGCTTAATCACCTTTGTCACACCTTTCATGTTTTAAAGGAGTAGCTTGCCACTCAAAGCCTCGCCTTTAGTAGACTGGTGGCTGCTGGGCCTCACTTCTCTTTAGAAGGCACCACAGTACCCTGGGCTGCTTTGGTTTTTGAAAATGGTTTATGTCACACTCAAGCCTCATCGGTGGTGATGTGACAGACTGGCAGCTTCGAGTGGTTCTCAGAGTAAGCAGAGACTTGGCCGGCACAGGATGGAGCTGCAAAGCCCTGCCACTTGGTTCCTGTGTCCCAGCAGGATGCTGGCATCCAAGCCTCTAGCGAACGAGGCCACTGTTTGGAACTTCCAGCAAGCCCCCAGCAGCAGGGGAATCTTGGTGGAGGCCTCCAGGGTTTGAGGGTAGAGCCAAGCTGCCTTCCACCTGTAGCTGCTCTTGAAGTGTGGTGCTTGCTATTTGGTCCCTACAGAAAGTGAATACTGCCTATGTGATCAGGGTATGAGTTGACACACCTCGCCATCACCGGGCATGCCCAGTGGTCTCAATTGAAGTCTTTTGTAGGAGGGCACCAGCAGTCCCTAAAATCATGTAAGTAGCATGAACAGTTGGCTGATGTGTACGCCTAATTCTATTGCACTGTTACCCACACCTACAACTCGTGCAGAAAGCCTAGGGACTCATAAGTGGCTCTAGACAACACACTGGTATCAGCTGGATAGACTGCTATGGCATTCTAGCCCCATTCAAGGTGACCCTGAAGGACCATCGGGAAGGGATCTTCCTAAAGGGCAGGACTTTGCACAGGCCACTGTCTCTTGCCTAGAAGGGTGCAGTCTAAAATGAAGATCTACATAGATCTATGGTTGGAGGCTAAAGATGTGACTGGCTGGTCATGGACTTGGAGCAAGATTACATGAATAGTGACAAGGAGGTTTAGGAAAGGAATGTACAGATTGGGGGCCTTAGAACCGATTCCAAGTGTGAGATCTCTTGTGAAAGCTCATGAAGGTATGACTCTAGACAAGGATCTTGCTAAATGAGTGGGGCTCCTGCCCTTAAAATGGTCAGCTTCCTTCCCTAGTCAACCCTGTCCTTGCTTGAAGGAGTCATGGATGAGCAACCATGGGAGGAAGGAGTTAAGGTGCCCCGCATGGCATCTGTAACTTGCCTTTCTCCCAAGGGCTGAACTCTCAGCTGCTAAGACCAACTTGAAACAGCGACCCTGGGCCCCCTAGTAAAGCATCTTAATACTGGGAGACACAGCCATCTACCAGTCCCCATTTGCCTTCTACCATGGAGTGGGAGGGTACTGGCCATTTGTCATGACCCAATATTCCTTGGATTTATACCTGTCCCTGCCTGACAGGCTTGCTTGAAAAATACGATCTGTGAATTTGACATTCAGCTTCATTGTTCACCATACAGCATTGCAACTGACAAAGGGACTCCTGCCTCAGCACAAGTGAATCGATAGGCAGAAGCCCATGGCTATTGTGCACCTCGACTCCCAGGAGCAGCTGACTCTATAGAATGGTGAGAAGTCTTCCGAAACCTCCATTATGGTGCTACCTGGGATTCACTGCTTTGGGAGGCTGGAGTACTGTTAATAGAAGGGGTGGCATGTGTTCTGAACCAATGACTGTGATAGTATATTCCTCATATACAGACTGCTTGGACCCAGATACTCAACAGTAGAAACAAGGTACCTCTCAATGTAACAGCTAAAGTCCTACTCCTAACTTGACTTGCCCTCCTGGGTTTGTGGATTCTGCTAGTTTTAGAAGTCTTAGTAACTTAGGGAAGAATGCTTCTACCAAGGGAACACAACTTTATCACTAAAGCAGAAGTGGGGACAGCCTCTGGTCACTTGCACCTGCCGCTTTGAACAGGCAAATGATGGTTACAGAGCTGGCTGGGGAGTTTGCGTCAAAGATCGCCCTCTCCGCAGTAGAGGCAGGGGAAGTAGTCCAGGGAGTCCCAGGCCAACCTTCTGCCACTCAGGGGTGGGTGAATAGATGACAGCCTAACCCTGGCCATACTACCAAGGGTATACATCAGTAGAAAGACTTCAGATCATTCCACCACCTAAATTAGCTGAAGATGTAGATTAAGGGAAAGGAAACAAATAACCTAGAACTGTTCCTTCTAGGGCTCCTGGGGGTTGTGGGAAGTTTGAACAGTAAGAATCCAGTATTCTTTGCCTCCTTGTCCTGAGGAACAGCCAGGACAGTGCCTGGCCTGCCCTCCTCACTCCAGCAGTGCTTTGCTTAGTCCCCCAGACACAAACCTACTTCGGCCTGTGGTAAGGAATACCACTCCTGTCTTTGACCTCAGTGCCAGGTGGGCTAGAGGGCTCTGATGGAAACTTAGCCATGGTGTGAACTTGATTGCCAAACTTCAGCTGGAGGTGGAGGTACCAGCTGGCGATAAGGCCTTGGATAAGACGATCCAGGAGAGGACAGTCACACGCTCTCTATTCACTGCTGCCTCTTGTGTCTGCCCTGAATATCTAGGGCAGAGCTGGATAGAGCTGCCCAGATGCAGCTCATGTCTTTAAAAGCTTCCTAATTGGTCTCTGGGTTTTCATTCCTGTTCTCTTCCCATCTATCCTCAATGTTTCAAGTGTAATTGTTATAAGCACACAACATGGGTCTTCCCTGACAGCCCATGACTCCTAGTAGAAATTCAGATACTGTCTAGCAGAGCCCTGACTCCAATCACTTGCTTCCAGAAACAATTGTCTCACCCCTTTATATCACCTGGGTTATTCACTGTGCATAGAACTCCAAGGCACCCTGGTGCCCAGGAGATAAGAGCAGCAGTGCTTAGTATGGGCTGGGTGTGAAGTCTGGAAGACTCAATCCACTGTTTCCGACTGAGGAAGGTAAGGTAGGAACTGCACCATGCCTCGCTGTGATGCTCCTGTGAGTGGGGCTTGTCGAGAGAAGGTGACTATTAGCAGGGTATGGTGGCTCATGCCTGTAATCCCAGCACTTTGGGAGGCTGAGGTGGGTAGATCATGAGGTCAGGAGTTTAAGACCAGACCGACCAACATGGTAAACCCCCTCCCCCGTCTCTAGCAAAAATACAAAATTTAGCCAGATGTGGTGGGGTGCACCTATAATCCCAGCTACTTAGGAGGCTGAGGCAGGAGAATCACTTGAATCTGGGAGGCAGAGGTTGCAGTGAGCTGAGATCATTCCACTGCACTCCAAGCCTGGGCAACAGACTCCGTTCCCCCCCAGAAAAAGTGACCATCGCTAATACCTACCTGGCACTTAGGGTGCTGTTATGCATTTGCCATGTATGAACTCATTTGGTCCTCACAGCCACATGGAAAGTACTGTCCTCTTACAAGCGAGGACACAGAAGCCTAGAGGAGTCATTTGCCTAGGCTTACATGGTTGGGAAGTGGTAGAGCCAAGACTTTATTTCAGGCTGTCTAGTCCCAGGGTATATACTTCTTCCCCAATATCTTATGAGAACTCAAATATAGAGCCCAGTTGACAGAACCTTAGCACCCATCTCTTAACATTTCACAAAGCTTGTTTTGTCACTTTATACCCTATCACCCATTAATATTTTTTTTTTTGTTTGTTTTTGAGATGGAGTTTCACTCTGTCACCCAGCCTGGAGTGCAGTTGTGTGACCTTGGCTCACTCCAACCTCCATCTCCTGGGTTGAAGTGATTCTCCTCACTCAGCCTCCCAAGTAGCTGGGATCACAGGTATGTGCCACCATGCTGGCTAATTTTTGTATTTTTAGTAGAGGTGGGGTTTTGCCATGTTGGCCAGGCTGGTTGCATTTCAAAATAAGTTGCAGTCGTCTGTATACTTTCCCTAAATACTTCAGCATACATATGAACTGGAGTTTGAGATTTCAGTTTTGTTTTTTGATGTAAAATTGACATGAACTTATGCTTTCAACCACCATGCTCTACTGCTGTGCTCAGGGAACACAAGACAGGCTAGGCCATCAGATGGTAATTTTGCAAGTGTTCACTGAACTGTCATATGCAAGAGGACTCATGGTTATGAAGGTACAAGAAACTCCCTGCTACGGGAGCTCACACCAGATGCAAAATTGAGCAGCACCCAGTTTGGAACACGGAGACACAATGGAAGAACAAGCATGAGGCAATCCACACAAAATCAGGGAAGGTTTCGCGGAGAAGGTGCTGGGTGGAGTTTTGAAGTAGGACACAACTGGCCGGGAATGGCATCTCAGGTGGCAGGCACTGCAAAGCCAGGGAGGTGTGAAGTGGGGTGGCTTACACAGCTGCAGGTAGCCTGGTGTTGCTGGAACATAGAATGGGCATGGGAATGTGGTTCTCTATTGCTGCAAGAAATTACAAACGATGACTGCAGACTTGGCTCAAAACAACGTGTACTTGTAGTTTTGGGGGTCAGAAGTCTGAAGTGGGTCTCACTGGGCCAAAATAAAGGTGATACCAGGGATCCCTTCTGGAGCCCCAAGGGAGAGATCTGTTTCCTTACATTTTCCAGGATCTAAAAACTTTCTGCAGTCTTGGCACTCGGCCCCCTCCTGTCTTCAAAGCCAGTGATGCTGGTGGCATCCTATGCTGCATCATGTTGGCATTGCTTTCTCTGTCACATGGTATTTAGCTCTCTTCTTCCATTATGAGGACCCTGGTGATTACACCTAGGGCTCACCTGGATAATCCAGATCATCTCAAGATCTGAGCCCCTTTTGCCATGTGAAGTAACACAAGCCTGGGTTCCAGTTGTCAGGATGTGAACATCTTTGTGGGAGCCAGTATTCCACTGGCCATGGAGGGACTGGGTGGCAGGGACACTTAGGGCTATGTGAGCTTGGTCTTGGGCTGAGCCTCCTGGGAGGAGGCAGCTTTGGATGGACTTGACCTGGCAGAGAAAGGGCTGAGTGGCATGAGGAGAGGGGAATAGTCCAAGTCTTCTCTACTTGTCAGGCTTGGCATGGAGGATGAATTTGCAAACTGAACAAAGAATGAGGTGAGCCTGGCTGGCGGCCAGGTGCAGTGCGGGGAGCAGCCAGTGTTGAGCTGAGTGGGAGATCTTCCAGGGAGTGAGCCGGGGACCACAGCAGGAGGGCGGGGCTCTCTACTCGTGAGGGTTAAGACAAGTCTATTACTGTTTCCTTGTCACTCTGTCACCCATCTAATGGCCATCGATACTAGTTGAATGAGAATTGATGGGGAGATATAGATTTAATTAACCCCAGTGTCAGCGGCTGCCGGGCCACCAGTTTGTGTGTTAATAGAGCTGCTGCCCGGCCTCTCCTGGGCTTTGGCTGGGAGCCCGAGGCCAGAGGAGCAATTCTGCTCGGCAGCGGAGGTGGCCCGGCAGAGGGAGGAGAAGCAGGAGCTTGGCTTGGGCTGCTGCTGTCTTCCACTGAGACCTGGCAGCCACCTTGTCGGTCATGACTGGGCCACCTGGCTCTGCTCTCTTGGCTGGAGATCTGAGCAGGGTGAGGAGGAGGACCCAGAGCCCACTGTGCCTCCTTGGCCTGAAGACGAGCGCCCTGGAGGTTCTACCTGGCATCCAAGTCACTCAGTGCAGCTCTGTTCTTGGTGGCCCCCTGCTCAGTGCCTGGGACTGAGACCCCCAGCATAGTGTACATTCTCCATGCCTGAACTCTCCCTGTCCCTCTGTTTTTCTTGGTCTAGATGCCACCCATGCTCGCAGCATGCTCCTTGGGTACCCGCCCTCCTGTGTTACCCACCCCAGCCCCACCTTCACTTTATTTCTTGATGGGCTTTTTCATAGCTGCCTTGTGTGCTGGCTTGACCCCTCAGCTGTGCAATCAACTGAGCATGACTGTGCTGGCAGTGGTGCCAGGAGGCTGCCCCTGCCTTGGACACCCATCCTTTGTGTAACAGCAGGGCCCATCTTCCCATTCTATAAAATGGGAGTTTGCATAAGATGAGTGGCCCCAAGCAGGCAGTGCTGCTGGGCACCCAGCTCCTGAGGCCCACTGTCTGGGCTTCTGACTTTCTCTTGTGTAAGGTCCCATGGTGGTGACTGGTAATGAGGGGACAGGAGGGGGAAGGACTCTGTTCTCTTTGGGATGGTAAACTCGCAGCACAGGAACCCTGTTGGTTTCACTGAGGACCGTGTGCCCAGCATGGTGGAAGCTCCATATTTGTTGAATGCACACTGCGATTGGGCCTGCCCCAGGGGCTGACCATGGAGAGTCAGGCCTCTTGAAGATCTGGATCACGCCTATGGCCTGGATGAGACTGGCTCCCTTGGCAGGGAGAATCTATTTCTAACAATCTCAGCTTTCCACTCACGGTTCTTTGCCTCCACAGCTGTGTGACCTTGGGCAAGTCACTTTATCACCCTAAGTCTCAGGTTGTGGGCACAAAAATAGTCTTTCTCCCAGGTGTGACACAAGATTCAATGAGGTGGTGAACAGGCCAGGCTCTAGGATGTGCGTTTTGGTCAGTGTCAAGCCCCTTTTCCCTGGAACTGGTTCCCTACAGTAACTGCCACCCACCGGCTTTGGCAGGGAGGGGATGCTGGAGCCTGGAATCCAGAGCCCACTCAGGCTCTGTCCTCCAAGGACCCCAGACCACTCCTGATGAGCAGGCATTGGCCTACCCTGTGGCATCACAATAGGGAATATCTGTGTGTGGACTTTGACAGTGCTTAAGAACTGACAGACTGATGCATACATCTCCTTGTCAAATCAGGCCTGGGTCGGGGCCTGCTCTTTGAGTTGAGGGGTGTGCTCGTAGCTCCCACTGGCCACTTGCTTCCTAGAGTGTCTGGGCACTGGGGCAGGGGCCACGCTGACTCTGAGGCAGGTGTGTGGCAGCAACCACTTGGCCCGCTAGCACCCAGTGTCTGTCTGGCAGCCTCCTTCCCTGCTTCACACTTCTGCTGCCTTTCATTTTCAGCTCTGATTGGTTTTCTTGTTTTAACACATACCCCAGGCTCTGTCTTTGACCCCGATGATGTATTCAGCTGCTCCCTGGGACTCCAGCTGCCAAGCTCGTCTGGAGCTGCTGGGAGTAGGGGAGAGAGGGGCAGTGGTGGAAATTACCCTCTATTCCAGGCTCAGTGGGGGTGGGGGACGCCTTCCTCAGAGTCTGGAGGTGGCTTGTGGCAAAGCAGTGAAGAGCAGGTCCCCTGGTGTGGAAGGATGGGGGGTTGGGGACTGTCAGGCTGTCACAGGAAATGGATTTTCCCTCCCTGGGCCTCCGATTCCTCTTCCATACAAGAGGATGTGGTGGTTGTGGACTGCTCATGTCTAAGAGATGGAAAGTCAGAGTCCTCGAATGAATGGGACATTGATTTCCCTTCGTGCCCCCTGGATGTGCCTGCTGCAAATGTCTGCCTGCTGCCGTGAGGCGGCCTCTGGAGAATGGGCCAAGCAACAGCATTGAATGCCCTGGGGCTGCAACTGGAGGGAGGGCCTAGGCTGGGGAGGGCAACAGAATGACCAGGGGTGACCTCCTCTGGACATTTGGTGGGAGGTCAGGGTGTGATTTGCATGAGTAAAGCACCTCCTGGACCTGTAGCCCTCAGAACAAAATGGAGCCCCTGTCCTGGTTCCTGCCAGGCTGAGGATGGCTATACCCAGATGTGGGGGCCAGGGTGTCCAGTGCCCCATGGTGCTGTGGAGGCATCGGATATCTGGCTGAATGGCCTCTCTTCAGACAGGTGTCTGTGCTTGCTGTCTGAGCCTGGAGACCAGGGAGGTCATTAAGTCTGGGGGGGTGGGGCTTTTCATGCTTCATGTTCTCTCCCACTTCTCTCCTGATTTTTTTTTTCCTTAAGTTTAAAATGTATAACCAATACATTGTTGTGGTAACAGATGACACAATCCAATAATAAAGCAGTTGAGAAAATACCAAATTCACCCTTAAACACACCACGGGCACATACATACACGCTGGTTATATATTTGTTACGGATCGTTTGTCCCCTCCAAAATTCATATGCTGAAGCCCTAAGCCTTTGTGTGGGTGTATTTGAAAATGGGGCCTCAAAGGAAGAAATTAAGGTTAAGATTATAAAGGTGGGGCCCTGATCTGATAGGATTGATGTCCTTGAAAGAAGACACAAGAGCTCACTCACAGAGGCAAAGCCGGGGGAGGACACAGCATGAAGATGGCCGTCTACCAGCCAGGAAGAGCCCTCCCAGAACCCGAATTTGCTGGTACCTTGATCTTGGAATTCCCAGCCTCCACAGCTGAGAAAATAAGTTTGTTTACACAACCTAGTCTGCAGTATTTTATTGGAGCAGTCTGAGCTAAGACAACATGTGTATATAAATAAAACTAAATGGAAATATACTTTATCCTGTAACTTGCTTTTGTCAAGGCAATAGTAAACTTGTAGGCATTCATACATTCTGATGTTTTTCTTCTAATGAAACACCCAGAGACAGGTGCTGTGATACACCCTTGGTTGCGTACACACGTCTCACAGCACCCAGGAGTAACCTGTCATGTGCTCTCCTTGTCTCCTGTACATGATGCCCCTCTCCCACACTGCCTCCTTCAGGCTCTGCACCTGCGGTAATAACCCCGCAGTAGGGGGAAGCTGGGAGGAGCCCAAGTGCTTTGCAACTCTGCTACCAGTTGTCTGTTTGGCCTTGGGCCAGATGCTGCCCACCCTGGCCTGTTTCACCATCTGTGAAGACCCTTCTGTGTCTGACAGACTATGATTCAACATGCACAGGTGTGTACTTTTGAGGGTATTTCCCACAGGTGAGCTGGGCCAGCCCTGATCCTGGGGACAAGGGACTGGTGTTGAAAGCTATGTGACCATGCAGGGGCTGTGACAGAGCTCCAAGCAAGTGGGGGGAGCAGCTGGGCTCACGTCCATCTGAGACCCTGCTCAATTTGGCAGTGGCCCTGAGCGGTCCATGTTCAACCCTCATCCCTTCTGCATGTGGGGCTGGGGCTGGCACTGGGTGGGGCCCAGGGACAGAGAGGAAAGAATCTGAGGACTTGGTGTTCTAGGCCAATTCTCTTCTTTCTAGCTGTGGGACTTCTGGAAAGCCTCTCTGAGCCTCATTTACTTCCTCCTGAAAGTTGGAGCATTGGCGACGCATAATACCCAGGTAGTTATTAAATGCCTTGTTAATTGCAAGGGGCCGTTTGGCTATTTTCTTCAGTATAGAACCTCAGTGGCAGCACCATGGTCTCAGGCAGGGCCCAGCTGGCTTTGTCTCCTCCCTGCTGTGGGTCCTTCAGTAGGAACCATGATAATGGTAAGAGCCCCAAATGCTAAGTCCTCACATGCGTCAGGGACTAAGCTCAGGAAGGGGGTTGCCAGTGGGATGTCAGACAGGCTCCTGCATTCTGGGGCTTGATGCCTGACCTAAGAGGCCAGATCTATATCCTGAGTTGGCAGAGAACTGACAAGTACAAGATATGCTGTTCCAATGGCCCAGCCCTTAGAAACTCAAGGAGATGGAAGGGCACCCAGGCCAAGGAGGCTTCTCGCTGTGGGGTAACACTGAGCTAGGGCTTGAGGGACAAATAGCACTTAGACGTGGGGAAAGAAGCAGAGAGGGGGCTCCTGGTAGAGTGGGGAGGCAAGTATATCCCAGGAGGGCCTGGTGGTGGAAATGACATGGCCTGCTATTCATGCAGAGAGAAGAGAAAGGCTTGTCTCATTAAGTCCTGGTACTGTGGGGTGCCTGGGGCTTGGAGGATGAAAGCAAAACTCCCAGCTGTCCCCTGCTCCTCAGCAGGACTGTCCCTACCCCTCATGCAAAAGGACCACCCCCTGTTCCTGGGCCCTGGTCCTTTAAGCCCTTGCCTCCAGGCAGCCAGTCTACCCTACCCTGCCCTTCCCAGGGTACACGTGCAGACTCTGTCAGAACATCTCAGTCCAAGTCAGTAGAAAATGGCTAAAAAAGTGAATAATAGCAACAAAATCATGTCATTTTGAAAGATGAAAGTAAACACCAAGAGAAACAGCTATGAGCATTAGATGTGGCTGCCTCTGGGCAGCTGGACTAAGGGGCGGGGACGAGGGGGGAGCAGGGGGCCACCCCCTGGTGTGGCTCAGGGAAGGAGATTCTCATTAACTTCAACAAAAATTAACAAATCTCTCTGGTTAACCTAAATCCCTATTAGGTGGGAAGGCCATCTCTTGGTGTCCTTAGAACAAAGTTGGGTGGCAATATTATAGCTTTGTTGGGGGGGGGGTCCCTTGGAGACTCTCCCCTGGCTGACAATGGGGAGAAGTCCTCAGCCCTTGAGCTTATGGCCAACAGAGGGAAGAGTTGCCTTTGCTCTTCTAGGCTCCAATCCTGATCAACACAAATAAGGTGGAAGCCCAGAGCTCAGGAATCTCCTGGGATCCTCCCCCAAGCCTCGCTGTGACGTGGGAGGGCTATGTGTGGTCTCGGAGCCATGCCATACCTGGCTTCAGCCTTGGTTCTCCAGCCACCAGCTCATTCATTTTGGGCAAGTTATGTCACCGCTCAGTGCTTCCTCAGTTTCCCCATGGGTGAAGCAGGTCTGCTCACTTTCCCCCCTCAGGGTTTCAGGAGGCATAAACAAGATGCAGCCTATGACACACGGAGCCTGGTATGTCACAGGCACTTGACACATGTGAGCTGTTTGCTCTCTAGATTTTGGAAGTGCAGATGTTTATGAAATACTAGGATATCGATGCTGCACATAAAAGGAATCGGAGAGATCCTCTTCGTTTTGTGTGGAGGCAACCAAGGTTCTGAAAAGCCTGAGGAGAGGAACCTGGAGAGCGATATTCAATCCCCCTACCACACTCCCCAGCAGACAGGTGGAGCTGGGGACGCTGGGAAGTGACTTCGGAGCTGTGCGTGGACTTGGGGCTGTTGGGACAGGGGAGAAGAGGGAGGATGGAAGAGAGGGAAGGAAGCAGGAAGCAGGTGCCATGGAGGGTGGAAATGGGCTGCCCTGAGCTTAAAGGACGCTGGGCTGCTGAGTGTGTGGCAGGAAGTGGCTGGAGGGGGTGTGTGCTGCAGCCTGTTCAGTGCAAGGCCAGAGCTGGCTGGGCAGACAGAGCCTTCCCAACTGCCCACACCCTCAAACTATGCCCAAGCCTGGGATGGGGACTGAGCAGCAGCTGCGCTGGGGCCTGAGGGGCGTTGTGGGCAGGTGTGGGTGTGTGGTGTGGGGGCTGCTGTCACAAATTCTGAAGGTTGCAGAGCACCCTGGGGGCTTGTGGCCTGGGGGTGTCACGTGATGTGAGTGACCTCCAGCCACAGAAAGGGGTGCCTGTAGGGACAGACATAAGTTTCCTTCAGAAGTCAGCTGCCCTCCCAGCCAGTCCCACAAGGCCTGCCTAGTCTCAGAGCTCAGAAGACAGGTGCTGGAGTCTTCTCTGTGACTGGGCCAGTACCAGGCCCCCAAATGTCTTTGGGACTCCCAAAGCGGGCAAGGAGGAAAGAATGTGTCTGAGGAGCAAAATGTGTGTAGGGCAAGGAGGGGGTCCAGGATTTCTACACAGGAGGGTTCAAGGACAGCAGCTAACCCCGGGGCTGGTAGATGCTTGTCTTGAAGCTGCGTTTGTGTATTCATTCAGGGGGACTTGGGGGCCTGATGGAGATTGAAGGAGATAATGGAGCCCACTGAAGGGGAAGGGCTTTTATATATGTCCCGAGTGCTAGGGTGAGGGGTGGCTTTCAAATCTCCAGAGCTTGGCAAACCCTCATGCTTCTCCTTGCCTAGGAGCTAGGAGGAATCTGGCTGGTGGGACCGGGTCACTCCTCCCATGCTGCCCTACCCTTCAGGGCTGGCCCCACCTTAGGAGGAGGGAGAGCAGAGGCTGCATGGAGGTGGGAAGAGGTGGCTCTGTGCTGGAACTAAGAACATTTTGCCACCCACTTGCTGTATGACCTTGGGTTTGTCACCATCCCCCCGTACCCTGCCCTGGGACCCTATTTCTCAGACTAACATGAAGGCAGGTACACTTGAATACCTCCAGGAACTCTACCAGTCCAAGTCCAGCCCAGAGAGGGGCACCAAAAGGGACAAGGCAGGCCCAGGGCACGACTGGTAGCTGCCCACCTTGCAGGCATCAGGAGGTAGGCAGGGGCAGGAGCCATCTGTGGGCTCATCTGAGCAGGCATCTTCTCTTCCTGGAGTCCTTGGGAGATCTAGGTGACTTTGAACATGAATCTCAGAATCATGGAATCCAAATCGATAGCAGAGTGATCTGCTGCAGCCTTGTACCCAGGTCAGAAGCTAGCCAGGCAGCTCCCAGCCTGGGTGTGGACCTTGTAACTCTTAGGCAGCCCGCGGCTTAGAAAGTTCTTTTCTGTGAGCCTCAGCTTCCCTTTGGTAATTATATCGGCTGAGTCTCGTCTAGTTGGCTGCAGCCAGAGGCACCGGTCTGATCTCTGTTCTCAGGCCAGCCCTGCCACGGCTAGTATCAGTGTCACATCCCCTGGAGTCCTCTCCAGGTGAACATCGGGCTTTTCCTCATGATGACAGCAGGACGGAGCGGAGTGGAACCAATCCCTCTTGGGACCTAAGACTTTTCCTTGGCAACCAGGCACATCTTGAATTGGCATGTATTTTTCCGCATAAATTACTGCTTTTAACTCGTTATCTCTCCCAAGCTCTGCTTATTCACATTCTTTCCCCCAGAAAAGTGCAGGATTTTACATTTACCCTTCTTAACCCTGTTTCAAGCTGTCGAAATTTTTTTGTATCTTGATTCCAGCATGCCACCATATGAGCTTTTTCACTCCCACCCTTGTGTCCTCTGTAAATCTGATAAGTGGCCTTCTGTGCCTTTATTCAAGCCACTGATGAAAACATTAAACAAGACCTGGTCAAGTTCATAGAGAGCCCTGTCATCTCTAGAGAACCCTCCAATTTCATATTGATTCATTCATTAGGTCTCTTTGGACATGGTTGTTCAACCAGCTATGGATCTAGCTAACATCCTTGTCCACAGGAAAATCTTGAAAGACTTTATCAAACACCCTGCTGAAACCCAGAAATTCTGGATGTATAGCAATCTTCTGATTTATGTGTCCAGTGACCTTAACAAAAATGGGGACTGAGTGGGTTTGGCATGACTTCCTCCTGGTGCCCACATGCCCTTTGGTCGTTGTTCTTGAACTACCAGCTTAGTGATCAGTTCTACAGTTTTACTCAGAACTAGCATAAAATTAACTTGCCTGACATTTCTGGAATCTATCTTTCTCTTTTTTGGAAAACTGGGACATTCATTGACCTCCTTTTGCCCCTTTTGTTTTCCATGTTTTTTCAAGCATTGTTGTTTCAGGTTCTGCAAACATGTCTGCTAGTTCTTCCCAAAGCTTCAAAGATAGCTTATTCATACTAAGAAGCAAACTTGTTTAAAGCAGCTAGCTGTCTGGCAAACAAAAAGAAAAAAAAACATTGTGTTTGGCTCCACAAACAACTTTAAACACATTGATGGAAAAAATGCCTCTCCAAAATAAAACATAGTTATAAAAATGTTTGCTTCAAATATGACAAGTGATTAATTTTTCTATCATAAAAACAGATCTTAAAAATCAGCCGGGTGCAGTGGTTCATGGCTGTAATCCCAGCACTTTGGGAGGCTGAGGCCGGCAGATCACCTGAGGCCAGGAATTGGAGACCAGCCTGGCCAACATGGTGAAACCCCATCTCTACTAAAACACAAAAAAATTAAGCAGGCGTGGTGGTGCACGCCTGTAATCCCAGCTACTCAGCAGGCTGAAGCAGGAGAATTGCTTGAACCCGGGAGGTGGGGGTTGTAGTGAGCTGAGATCGCGCCACTGCACTCCAGCCTGGGTGACAGAGCAAGACTCCATCTCAAAAAAAAAAAAAAAAAAAATTAAAAAAAGATATACAGCCCATGAAAAATGGATAAAGGATATGAATAGATATACAAAAGACCAATAAACGTATGAAAATATGCTCAATCTTTCATGATTAATGCAAATCAACAATGACATTTAATCTGTAGATCATCAGATTAGCAAAAATTAAAATCTGATAAAACTTAATGCTGGCAAGGATATGGAGACAGGGGCACTTGCCTATATGGTTGTTGAATGTGTAAATTGCTATATTTGAAGTGTAGTTTAATAATATTGATCAAAAATTTAAATGCCTGTGCCTTTGCATTTAGGGATCTGATCACATAACACAAATATATATGTACTAGGATATTCATTGCAAGATTGAGAAAGCATTAGAAACAAATTAAACATTAGTCACTAGGTGGCTGGTCACACTGGCTTACCTGTTAACTGAACTAGCATTAGCCACTAGAAAGAATGAAATAGACTTACCTGCGCTTATATAAAAAGAGCTCCGACACATTTGGTGGAAAAAAGCTACAAAACAGCCTGGCAATATGGCTGTGTGTGTGTGTGTGTCTGTGTGTGTGCATGCTATGGATTTATAAAAATATATATCTTGAAAGATATATAAGAAATGCAAATACCTCTGAAGAATAGGACTGGGGTTTGGGGAGGGGGGAAATTTTGATTCTTTAAAAATATCTTTGCATATGGCTTTGATTTCTTTAATCAAATGCATGCATTTATTTCATCATGTGTCTTGTCCTCCCCGCCATTCAGGTGCTCACCAAAAGCCCTGCAGGTTTCGTCTATTCTCTTTATTAAAGAAGGATGCAAGACAGGATTTGAGGGTTCTGCTTTCTCTGTCCCGGTTTCACTCTGCACCATCAAGACCTTCCAGTCTGCATGTGGTTAAAAGTCCCTTTGTGGCTGTTATTTTGTTATTTTTTTAGTGGAGCTTTTTCTCCATAATTTATCCTCATTCCGGGTGCCAGCCTGCAAACTACACATCCATTTTGGCCCTTTTGCCTCTCGGTGTTGATTGTGTCTCTCTTTCCAGCCTCTGCCTGGGTCCTTAGTAAATCTGTAACCACCCGACAGGTTCTTCCTGCCTGCTGCACAGACAAAATCTACTCACTGAGACCATGGCATTGTAGGAAAGAGAGTTTAATAGACATGAGGCTGATCATACCGTGCAGAAGACGGAGTTATTGCTGAAATCAATCTCCCTGAAGGCTCAGAGGTTAGGGGTTTTTCAAAGATAGCTTGGTGAGCAGGGGGCTAGGGTAGGGGGCATGTTTATTTGTTAGGTTGGAGATAAAATCATAGGGAATTGAAGCTGTCCTCTTGTGCTGAATCACTTCCTGGATGGGGGCCACAGGACTGGTTGCTGGGTGGGGCCACCCGATTGTTGGAAACATAAAAACTTGAAAAGACATCTCAAAAGGCCAATCTTGGGTTCCACAATAGTGATGTTATCTGCAGGAGTAACTGGGAAGTTGCAAATCTTATGACCTCCGGAATAATGGCTGGTAGTTATTTAGAATCCAAGTGCCTCTCATTTTCCTAACCTGTTGGCCTTTCATTAGTTTTACAAGAACAGATTAGTTTTGGGGAAGGACTATTATTTAAACTATAAACTACTCCCAAAGTTAGCTTGGCCCACACCCAGGAATGAGTAAAGACAGCCAACCTGTGAGGCTAGAAGCAAGATGGAGTCAACCATGTCAGATTTTTCTTACTGTCATAGTTTTATAAAGGCTAAGGTTTCAAAGCATAGTCTACATGTTAGAACCTCTCCTTGTCTTCCTTGATAGCAGCTGTGTTCCAAGGTCAGCATCAGCACAGGATGAGGGGCCATATCCGTCTTTGCTCTGAACATGTTCACCTCGGTTTTCCTGAAGTGCAAGGGATCTTTATTCAGCACAACCCCACTGGGCCCCAGGGTGCTAGGGAGCCACAGCAGGGAATCAGACAGGAAGCCAGCCCTCAAAGGGTGTAAATCACACCAGGAGCGATGTGTATGCTGATGAATTATAATACAGATTTAAACCATCAGTGTGTCCAAAGTAATGCCTCAACATACCCTTGACTGTCCTTGCACAGGTTTAAGTCTTTCAGGAGGTGGAAGGGCAAGGAAAATGTATTATCTGGCCTGTTTTCTCCATCCCACTCCTAATCTGATTGTAATGCTATGGAGATAGCATTTGAAAGAAAACGGTGTTCCATTTCTGGTTCTTGGGAAAACTTGGGCCACAAAGAATTGGTAAGGACATGATTGTTCCATTTCAGTTGGGGGTTAGAAAACAGAGTCATTAAAAGCTCTCTGAGCTTGGGAGACTCGTATGTGTGTATACACATGTGTGCACGTAAGCACACACGTGCGCACACGGAAACAGAATGAGGGGATATCTGCTTTCATGAAGCAATGGGTGTAGGAGGTGGTGGAGGAATGTAAAGGGGGAGTTTGGAATCCCCTCCCCCACTAGAATAAAAATTGCAGTAACTGCAGATTAAGTGCTGCTGACCCCAGGTGACAAGCCAGTCTGTTTCCAAGGGAACCACATGCCTCAATCAAGGCCCCTGAAAAGGAGGGTGAACCAGGGTGGAGCAGCCCTTCAGCCTTCCTGGAGCAGCTGCCCCCATCGCAGAGCCCTCAGCCCGCTGCTCCAGCCTGCTCAGAGACCCTGAGCAGGTCACCTCAACCCTCCTGGCTGAACTTTCACTGGCAGGGGTGCTAGGTGCAGCTGGAGTCTCTTAGGCTGTGTCCTAGCAGGAATGGGCAGGTGACTGGGGAACTTGGCTACTCCCATTCCTCTAGGTCTCTGAATAGCCTTGGGATAGTTCCTTGGCTTCTCTGGGTGTGGCTCCTCCAACCCCACAATAAAAGCATTGGGTAAATAGTCTCTAAGGATCCTGCTAGCTCTATGATCACCTCTGAAAGCAACCCCATCTCCTGTCATGTCCAACTCTCCTGACCAAAAGTGTGACAGGGGCGGAGGACCCAGGGAAACCATTCCCCCTTGCCAGTCTGCCCTTACCAAGTAGCTCTAGCTGCGCCATCCCTGGAGCAGTGGAGCAGCTCCTCATCTTCATGGAATGAGGAGAGCCCTCCGAGAGGCCAGCAGTGCTTTCTCAGCAGCTTCAAGCAAGAGCAGAGATGGGAACAGAAGGGTCGGGAAGGCTCTGAGCTGAGGGACAGGTGAGAAAGGGCCTCCACAGCCCACAGCCCTTCAGTGGGGCCCCTGGAAAGTCAGGAGCCGAGCCCAGCTCTTGTCCAGGACCTCCTGGCCAGGGGCCTGCCCAGCCTCCATAGGACCCAGTGTAAGGCAGCCCAGCCTCTGATCTGCAGTGTCAGAAGACACGGCGGTGCCAGGGAGTAGAAAGAGCTGTTGGAGTCAGGCAGCTGGTTTCATATCCCAGCTCTTCTTCTTACTGCTGGCGTGACTGGGGGCAGGTCACTAACCACCCTGCACCTCAGCCTCCATAGTACCCATGTCATAGGGTTATTACGAGGATTCGGTGAGATAAGTAAAATACCCAGCAGAACTCCTGACACGTGGTAAGTGCTCTGCAAATGGCAGATTCTTTCTATGAATAGGTGTTTTTATAGATGATCCACGTTAACAGTTCTCAGCTGTGGCTGCACATTAGAATTATAAAGGGAGCTTTTTAAATTCCCAGTATCATAACAGAGGGCAAAATGGCTGACTAGACGCAGCCAGGTGGAGCAGCTGCCACTGAGGGACCGAGAGCCTGGCGCACTAACAGATCTTCAGAGGGAAGACACTGAGAATGGACGGAGGGAAGAACGAAAGCTGGGCCGAAGCATGAGGAAGCTGGGAACACTGCATGGGGCTACCACACAGCAGGACTTGTTCCTGACCCCCAGTGACTCCAGGGGAATGGATGAGTTGAACTGACAAGGAGCAACCTGCTCTCACCACAAGCCTCTGGAATCCCACCAGGAGGAGGAGACCCCTTGACCCCCACAGACACTCGAATTGGCAGGGAGAGCAGCTTAGAGAAGTGATAGGAATAGCAAGCCAGCTGATATGGAGCCCAGGGGGTTTGATGTGGGAGCCTCTGTAGTGGAGCACAGCCATGGATGGCCATGCCCCTAGGCTTGACTGCTTCAGTAGGATACTTCAGCCCAAGGGAAACTGTTGGGGCTGAACTCTGCAGGGCAGTCTTGCTCATCAGATAAGCCTGGTCAGCCCTGAGCACCCCTTGGTCTGCTGGCTTCGCCTGGGGCCCCAGCCTGGCTGCGCCTGCTTCCAGGGCAGCCTCAGGTGCCTTGGGGGCCTACATCATAGCTTCTGTGCTGGTGGACAGTGCCTTACTGGTGGAAAGCTCCAGCAGGTCGGCCCCCACATCCACACACCAGCACACAAGCTCCTTCCCCACACTGCAGTTTCCCCCAGGCCCACGGCAACCCCTCACATTGATTTGCTGATGTATGTGTGTACGGGCAGTATTTACTTTCCTTGCCCTGCCAGCGTGCCTGTGTGCCTGCACCCTGCCCAGCCACTGCTGCATCAGGAGTGTAGTCTGCCCCCGCTCCCCCTGCCAACTGCCACTGTAGTCAGAGCCTTGGGCACAGAACCAGCCACCAGTGCCCCACCCTTGCACCAACACTGCCATGGGAGTGAAACCAGACACAGAGAACAGTGGATCTTCCTCCACGCTAAGCAACCACCCCTGCCTGCTGGCAAAAGGAATGTACACAGACCTGCATCTGCCAGTGCTCTTCTCCCCATGTCAACACAACCACCAGTGTGATGGTCACCAGCCAGCAGGGGCCCCCCTTCCCTGCCAGCTGCATTGCCTCCACCACTGTGGCGAATGCGCACATGGTGTCAGGCACCCCAGCACCTGCTAGCACCCTACCGCAGCTGATGAGCATCCACCCTGCTGCACCGCTACTGCAACTGGCGTGTACAAACAAGGACAGATTTTGCTGTCACATTACAAAACACTTTGATACCACCCATTGGAGTGTAGTGACCAGTGGTCTGAGAGCACCTCAGCCCCAACCCAGGGCAGTGGATTCTTAAGGAGCCAGAGAACAAATTTGGGGCCCAATACAAGTCCCCCAGAGTTAAAGCACACAGACCAGGAGTTGGGAGCTGAGCATTGGCCCCCTAAAATCTTCCAGAAACAAAGCCAGTTGGCCAAATCCATCTTATACCACAATCAAACCCCCAAGGTCATCAAATAAGATAAAAATATCGAAGGGCAGCAACTTTAAAGATCGAAGGAACATAAGCCAACGCAGATGAGAAAGAACCAGTGCAAAACCCTGACAACTCAAAAAGCCAGAGTGCCTTCTTTCCTCCAAACAACTGCCCCATCTCTCCAGTAGGGGTTCTGAACTGGGCTGAGATGGCTGAAATGACAGAAATAGAATTCAGAATATGGAGAGGTATGAAGACCATTGAGATGTAGGAATATATCGAAACCCAATCCAAGGAAGCTAAGAATCAGAATAAAATGATATAGGAGCTGAAAGACAAAATAGCCAGTATAGAAAAGAACATAACTGACCTGATAGAGCTTAAAATACATAATATAAGAATTTCATACTGCAATCGCAAGTATTAATAACAGAATAGGCCAAATGAAAGAAACTCAGAGCTTGAAGATAAGACAGTCAGACAAGCATAGAGAAAAAAGAATGAAAAAGAATAAACAAAATCTCTGAAAAATATAAGACTATGCAAAGAGACCAAATATATGACTCACTGGTGTCATGAAAGAGATGGCGAGAATGTAAGCAACTTGGAAAACATGTGTCAGGATATCATCCATGAGAACTTCTCCAACCTAGCTAGGGAGGCCAACATTCAAATAGAGGGAAATGCAGAGAACCCCAGTAAGATACTTCACAAGAAGATCATCCCCAAGACACATAATCATCAGATTCTCCAAGGTTGAAATGAAAGGAAAAAATGTGAAAGGCAGCTAGAGAGAAAGGTTAGGTCCCCTACAAAGGGAAGTCCGTCAGACTAACAGTAGACCTCTCAGCAGAAACCCTACAAGCCAGAAGAGATTGGGGGTCAATATTCAACATTTTTTTTTTTTTGACATGGAGTCTCGCTCTGTCACCAGGCTGCAGTGCAGTGGCACAATCTTGGCTCACTGCAACCTCTGCCTCCCAGGTTCAAGTGATTATCCTGCCTCAGCCTCCTGAGTAGCTGGGACTACAGGCATGCACCACCATGCCCAGCTAATTTTTGTATTTTTAGTAGAGATGGGATTTCACCATGTTGGCCAGGCTGGTCTTGATCTCTTGACCTCGTGATCCACCTGTCTTGGCCTCCCAAAGTGCTGGGATTACAGGCATAAGATGCCGCTCCTGACCTCAACATTCTTAAAAGAAATTCCAACCCAGAATTTCATATCTGGCCAAACTAAGCTTCATAAGCAAAGGAAAAATAAGATCCTTCCCAGACAAGCAAATGCTCTGAGAATTCATTACCACCAGAACTTACAAAAGCTCCTGAAGGAAGCACTAAATATGGAAAGGAAAGATTGTTACCAGGCACTACACAAATACACTGAAGTACACAGATCAGTGACACTATAAAGCAACCATATAAAAAGTCTTCATAATAACCAGCTAACATAATGATGACAGGATCAAATCCACATATATCAATATTAACTTTGAATGTAAATGGGCTAAATGCCCCCAGTTAAAAGGCACAGAGTGGTAAGCTGGATAAAGAACCAAGACCCATTGGCATGCTGTCTTCAAGACATCCATCTCACATGTAATGACAGCCATAGGCTCAAAATAAAGGGACAGAGAAAAATCTACCAAGCAAATGGAAAACAGAAAAAATGAGGGATTACAATCCTAATAGCAGACAAACTTTAAGCCAACCAATATTTAAAAGGACAAAGAATGGTAAAGGGTTCAATTCAACAAGCAGACCTAACTATCCTAAACATATATGCACCCAACACAGGAGCAACCAGATTCATAAAGCAAGTCCTTAGAGACCTTCAAAGAGACTTAGACTCCCACACAGTAACAGTGGGAGATTTCAACACCCCACTGACAGATCATCAAAGCAGAAAATTAGCAAAGATATTCAGGACCCGAACTCAGCACTGGATCAAATGAACCTGATAGATAGCCACAGAACTGTCCACCCAAAAACAACAGAATATATATTCTTCCCATCACCCCACTGCACATACTCTAAAATAATCACATAATTGGAAATAAAACACTCCCCAGCAAATGCAGAAGAGCTGAAATCATAACAACCAATCTCTCAGACCACAGCACAATCAAATGAGCTATCAAGACTAAGAAATTCACTGAAAACCATACAATTATGTGGAAATTGAATAACCTGCTTTTGAATGACTTTTGGGTAAATAATGAAATTAAGGCAGAAATTAAGTTCTTTGAAACTACTGGGAGCAAAGATACAACATACCAGAATCCCTGGGACACAGTTAAGGTGGTGTTAAGATGGAAATTCATAGCACTAAATGCCCACATCAAAATGTTAGAAAGATCCCAAATTAACAACCTAACATCACAACTAGAAGAACTAGAGAACCAAGAGAAAACCAACCTCAAAGCCAGCAGGAGACAAGAAATGACCAAAATCAGAGCTGAACTGAAGCAGATTGAGACACAAAAAACCATTAAAAAGATTAACAAATCCAAGAGTTGGCTTTTTGAAAAATATTAATAAAATGGAGAGACTACTTGCTACACTAATAAAGAAGAAAGGAGGGAAGATCCAAATAAATATTATCAAAAATGACAAAGGGGATATTACCATAGACCCCACAGAAGTACAAATAACCATCAGAGAATACTATGAGCACCCTATGCACATAAACAAGAAAATCTAGAAGAAATGGATAAATTCCCAGACATATACACCCTCCCAAAACTGAGGCAGGAAGAAATTGAACCCCTGAACAAACCAATAAAGAGCTCCAAAATTGAATCAGTAATAAATAGCCTACCAACCAAAAAAAGCCCAGGACCACTCAGATTCACAGCTGAATTCTACCAGATGTACAAAGAGCTGGTACTATTCCTGCTAAAACTATTCAAAAAAAGTTAAGGAGGAAGGACTCTACCATAGCTCATGTTATGAGGTCAGCATCATCCTGGTACCAAAGCTTGGCAGAGACACAACGAAAAAAGAAAACTTCAGGCCAATATCCTTGATGAACATCATTGCAAAAATTTTAAACAAAATACTGGCAAACTGAATCTAGCACATCAAAAACCTTATCCACCATGATCAAACAGGCTTTATCCCTGAGATGCAAGATTGGTTCAACATACACAAATCAATAAACGTAATTCATCACATAAACAGAACTAAAGACAAAAACCACATGATTATCTCAGTAGATGCAGAAAAGGCTTTTGATAAAATTTAACACTCCTTCATGTTAAAAACTCTCAATAAACTAGGTATTGAAGGAACATATCTCAGAATAATAAGAGCCATCTATGACAAACCGATAGCCAACATCATACTGAATGGGCAAAAGCTGGAAGCATTCCCCTTGAAAACTGGCACAAGGCAATGATGCCCTCTCTCACCACTCCTATTCAACATAGTATTGGAAGTCCTGGCCAGAGCAATTAGGCAAGAGACAGAAATAAAGAGCATCCAAATAGAAAGAGAGGAAGTCAAAGTATCCCTATTTGCAGACATGATCCCCATAGTCTCGGCCCAAAAGCTCCTTAAACTGTTAAACAACTTCAGCGAAGTCTCAGGATACAAAATCAATGTACAAAAATTACTAGCATTCCTATACATCAATCACAGTCAAGCAGAGAGCCAAGTCAGGAATGTACTCCCTTTCACAATTGCCACAAAAAGAATAAAATACCTAGAATACAGCTAACTAGGGAGGTGAGAGATCTCTACAAGTAGAACTACAAAACACTGCTCAAAGAAATCAGAGATGACACAAACAAATGAAAAAATATTCGATGCTCATGGATAGGAAGAATCAATGTTGTTAAAATGGTGATACTCCCCAAAGCCATTTATAGATTCAACGCGATTCCTATTAAACTACCAATGACATTATTCGTGGAACTGGAAAAAACTATTTTAAAATTCACTTGGAACCAAAAAGAACCCCAATAGCCAAGGCAATCCTAACCCAAAAGAACAAAGCTGGAGGCATCATGCTACCTGACTTCAAACTATACTACAGAGCTATGATAACCAAAACAGCATGGTGCTGTTATAAATACAGATACTTAGATGAATGAAACAGAATAGAGTCCAGAAATAAGACCACACACCTACAACTATCTGATCTTTGACAAAGCTGACAAAAACAAGCAATGGGGAAAAGACTCCATATTCAATAAATGGTGCTGTGATAACTGGCTAGCCATATACAGAAGATGGAAACTGGACCCCTTCCCTGCACCATATACAAAAATCATTCAAGATGGATTAAAGACTTAAATGTAAAACCCAAAACTATAAAAACCCTGGAAGACAACCTAGGCAATACCATTCTGGACATAGAAATGGGCAAAGCACTCATGACAAAGATGCCAAAAGCAATTGCAATAAAAGCAAAAATTGACAAATGAGATCTAACTAAACTAAAGAGCTTCTGCACAACAAAAGAAACTATCAACACAGTAAACAGACAACCTACAGAATGGGAGAAGATATTTGCAAACTATGCATCTGACAAAGGTCTAATATTTAGCATCTATAAGGAACTTACATTTACATGAAAACAAGCAACCGCATTAAAAAGTGGGTAAAGGACATGAACATACACTTTTCTAAAGGAAACATGTATGCAGCCACGAAGCATATGAAAATAATAAAATACCTAGGAATTTTAAATACCTTGGAAGGTAACCTCACAAGGCTCAAATCAAGGTGTCAATTTTTTGCATTTTCATCTGGATGTTGGGATCATCAAAAGTTCAACATCACTGATCATTACAGAATGCAAACCAAAACCACAATGAGATACTGTCTCATACCAGTCAGAATGGCTGTTATTAAAAAGTCAAAAAATAACAGATGCTGGTGAGGTTATGGAGAAAGAGGAATGCTTTTACACTCTTCGTGGGAATGTAAATTAGTTCAACCATTGTGGAAAACAGTGTGGCAATTTGTCAAAGACCTAAAAACAGACATACCATTTTAGCCAGCAATACTGGGTATATATCCAAAGGAAAATAAATCAGTCTGTCATAAAAACACATGTACGTGCATGTTTATTGCTGCAGTATTCACAATAGCAAAGACATGGAATCAACCTAAACGTCCATCAATGGTAGACTGTGTAAAGAAAACGTGGTACACATACACCATGGAATACTATGCAGCCATAAAAAAGAATGGGATCATGTCCTTTTCAGGAGCATGGGTGGAGCTGGAGGCCATTGTCCTTAGCAAACTAATGTGGGAACAGAAAACCAAATACTGCATGTTCTCACTTATAATTAGGTGCTAAATGATGAGGACACATGGATACATAGATGGAAATAACATACATTGGGGCCTATTGGAGGGTGAAGGGTGGGAGTAGGGAGAGAATCAGATATCTAATGAGTACTAGGCTTAACACTTGGGTGACAAAATAATCTCTACAACAAACCCTAATGACACAAGTTTACTTATAACTAACTTGCACATGTACCCCTGAACTTAAAAGTTAAATAAAAATCAATCAATAAATACCCAATGTCCAGGTCTGCCCCCAGAACACCCTGGTATGGGATTCATGTTTCAATATTTAAAAGGCTCCCCAGGGATGTCTGTTTCCAGCTGTATTAGCCCATTTTCACACTGCTGATAAAGATATACCTGAGACTGGGCAATTTACAAAAGAAAGAGGTTTAATTGACTTACAGTTCCATGTGGCTGGGGAAGCCTCACAATCATGGAAGAAAGCAAGGAGGACCAAGTCATGTCTTACATAGATGGCAGCAGGCAAAGAGAGAGAGCTCATGCGGGGAAACTCCCTCTTATAGAACCATCAGATCTTGTGAGACCCATCTACTATCACAAGAACAGCATGGGAAAGACCTGCCCCCATGATCAATCACCTCCCACTGGGTCCCTCCCACAACATGTGGGGATTCAAGATGAGATTTGGATGGAGACACAGCCAAACCATTCTGCCCCTGGCTCCTCCCAAATCTCATGTCCTCACATTTCAAAACCAATCATGCCTTCCCAAAAGTCCCCCAGAGTCTTAATTCATTTCAGCATTAACTCAATATTCCACAGTCCTAAATCTCATCTGAGACAAGGTAAGGCAAGTCCCTTCTACCTATGAGTCTGTAAAATCAAAAGCAAGTTAGTTACTTCTTAGATACAATGGGGATACAGGCATTGGGTAAATACAACCATTCTGAATGGGAGAAATTGGCCAAAGGGATAAAGGCTCCATGCAAGTTCGAATTCCAGCAGGGTAGACAAATTTTAAAGCTCCAAAGTGATCTCCTTTGACTCCATGTCTCACATCTAGATCATACTGATGCAAGAGGTGGGTTCCCATGGTCTTGGGCAGCTCCAGCCCAGTGGCTTTGCAGGGTACAGCTACCCTCCCAGCTGCCTACATGAGCTGGCATTGAGTGTGGCTTTTCCAAGTGCATGGTGCAAGCTGTCAGTAAATCTACCAGTCTAGGGTCTAGAGGACAGTGGCCCTCTTCTCACAGCTCCACTAGGCAGTGCCCCAGTAGGGACTCTGTGTGGGGGTTCTGACCCCACATTTCCCTTCTGCACTGCTTTAGCAGAGGTCATCCATGAGAGCCCTGCCCCTGCAACAAACTTCAGCCTGGATATCCAGGCATTTCCATACAACTTGTGAAATCTAAGCAGAGGTTCCCAAACCTCAATTCTTGACTTCTGTGCACTTGCAGGGTCAACACCATGTGGAAGTTGTGAAGGTTTGGGGTTTGCACCCTCTGAAGCCACGGCCCAAGCTCTACGTTGGCCCCTTTCAGCATGGCTGGAGTGGCTGAGACTCAGGGCACCAAGTCCCTAGGCTGCACACAGCACAGAGACCCTGGGCTTGGCTCATGAAACCACTTTTTCCTCCTAGGCCTCCAGGCCTGTGATGGAAGGGGTTGCCAGGAAGACCTCTGACATGGCCTGGAGACATTTCCGCCATTGTCTTGGTGATTAACATTTGGCACCTCGTTACTTATGCAAATTTCTGCAGCTGACTTGAATTTCTCCTCAGAAAATGGGATTTTCTTTTCTATTGCATTGTCAGGCTGCAAATTTTCTGAACTTTTATGCTCTACTTCCCTTATAAAACTGAATGCCTTTAACAGCACCCAAGTCACCTCTTGAATGCTTTGCTGCTTAGAAATTTCTTCTGCCAGATAACCTAAATCATCTCTCTCAAGTTCAAAGTTCCACAAATCTCTAGGGCAGGAGCAAAATGCTGCCAGTCTCTTTGCTAAAACATAACAAGAGTCACCTTTGCTCCAGTTCCCAACAAGTTCCTCACCTCTATCTGAGACCACCTTAGCCTGGATTTCATTGTCCATATCATTATCAGCATTTTGGTCAAAGTCATTCTAACAAGTCTCTAGGAAGTTCCAAACCTTCCAACATTTTCCTGTCTTCTTCTGAGCTCTCCCAACTGTTCCAACCTCTAAGGCTTTGGGTAGCTCTGCCCCTTGCCTGGCACATGCCTGTAACCCCAGCTACTCAGGAGGCTGAGGTAGGAGGATCCCTTAAACCCAGGAGTTCAAGGCTTCAAGGGTGAGTTGGCCAGGTGCAGCCTCTATGGCTGCTCTCAAGGTTGGAATTGAGTGCCTTAGGCTTTTTGAGGCTTAGGGTGCAAGCTACCAGTGGCTCTACCCTTCTGGGTCTGGAGGTGACAGGTCCCTTCCCATAGCTCCAGTAGTCAGTGCCCTGTGTGGGGGGGTTCCACCCCTGCAACAGGCTTCTGTCTGAGCACCCAGGCTTTCCTGTTCATCCTCTGAAATCTAGGGAGAAGCTGCCAAGCCTCCTTAACTCTTGCATTCTGTGCTCCTGCAAACTAAACACCATGTGAAAATCGCCAGGGTTCATGGTGGTTTGCAGTCTCCAAAGTGGCAGCCCAAGCTTTATCTGGGGCTCTTTGAGCTATGGCTGGAGCTGGGGCTCCCAGAATGTGGGGAGCAGCCTCCTGAGACTGAGCAGGGCAGCAGGGCCCCAGGCCTAATGCCTGAAACCATTTTTTCCTCCTAGGCCTCTTGGCCTGTGATGGGAGAGCTGCCTTGGAGATTTCTGAAATTCCTTCAAGGCTCTTTTCCCATTGTTTTGACCTTTAGCACTTGGCTGCCTTTAGTTATGCAAATCTCTCCAGCAAATGGTTGCTCCTCAGGCTGCTTGAATTCCTTTCCTGAAAGCACCTTTTCTTGCTCTATCACATAGGCTGCAAATTTTCTAAACTTTTATGCTCTGCTTCCCATTTAATTATAAGTTCCAACCTTAGGTCATTTCTTTGCTCTTATATCTGATTGTAGGCTATTAGAAGCAGCCACATTGTTTCTTAAATGCCTTGCTACTTAGAAATTTGTTCTGCCAGATACCTTAAGTTCAGCCTTCTACAAAGCCCTAGGACATGGACACAAGGCAGCCAAGCTCTTTGCTAGGGCATAACAAGTGTGACCTTTACTCCAGTTCCCAATAAATTCCTTCATTTCCATCTGAGAAGCCATCAGCCTGGACTTCACTGTCCATACCACTATCAGCATTTTGGTCATAACTGCTTACAAATCTCTAAGAAGTTCCAAAAGTTTCCTCGCCTTCCTGTCTTCTTCTGAGCCCTCCAAATTATTCCAACCTCTGCTGCTTCCACACCTTCAGGTATCTTTATATCAATACCCTACTCCTTGGTATCAGTTTTCTATGTTAGGCCATTTTGGGTCACTCAAAAGGAATACCTGAGGGTGGGTAATTTATGAAGAAAAGAGGTTTCTTTTGGCTCACAGTTCTACAGGCTACATGAGAAGCATGGTACTGGCATCTGCTTCTGGTAAGGTCTCAGGAAGCTTCCAATCATGGCAGAAGGCAAAGGAGGAGTGGGCATGTCACATGATGAGAGAGGGAGCAAGAACGGAGAAGTGCCACACTCTCAAACAACCAGGTCTTGCATGAACACAGAGCAAGAACTCACTCATTACTGTGAGGATGATATTAAGCCATTAATGAGGGATCTGCCCCCATGACCCAAACACCTCCCACTAGGCCCCACCTTCAACACTGGAAATTACATTTCAACATGAGATTTGGAGGGGATATACATCAAAACCATATCAGTCAGTCTTTTCAACATTTATAATTCCAATAAGTATGTAGTGGTACCTAATTGTGATTTTAACTTGCATTTTCCTAATGACTAATAATGTTGAGCATCTTTTCATGTGCTTATGTGCTATCCAGATTTCCTCGTTAGTGGAATATCAATTTCACAAATACCTTTTGCAAATTTTATGTCAGATTTTTTTCATATTATGGAATTTTGAGTTCTCTGTGTATGTTCTGGAAACAAGTCCCTTATCATACATATGCTTTGCAAAGATTTTCTCCAAGATTCATTCTTTTAAGTGCATATTTTGAAGAAAAGACGTTTTAAATTTTCATGAGGTTCAATTTGTCAATTTATTCTTTTATGGATAATGCTTTTGGTGATCCATAAGATTTTAGCAAATCTTTGCCTGACTGAAGGTAACAAAGATTTTCTTTTAACTTTCCTTCTAGATGTTCTATAGTTTTGGATTTTACAGTTTTAGGTGCATAATTCATTTTGAGTTAATTTGTGTATGACATGAATTATAGATCAAAGTTTTTTGCATATGAATATCCAGTTGTCCCAGTATCATTTACTAAAAAGATTATCAGTTTTCCATTGAATTGCCTTTGTGCCTTAGTAAAAAATCAATTATCCATATATGTGTGGTTTCACTTCTGGACTTTCTATTCTGGTCAACTTAACTATTCTCTGTTTTTAAGGCTATAGTATAGTGTTTTGATTATTGTAGCTTTATAATGTCTTGAAATCAGATAGTATTAGCTCTCTAACTTTGTTCTTTTTTCAAAGTTTTTTGCTTTTTAAGGTCTTTGCATTTTCATATACAATTTGGATTTAATTGTTCAATTTCTATCAAAAGCCTGATAGGATTTTGACTGAGATTTTATGCAACTGATAGAAAAATGTGGAGAAAACTGATGTTTTAACAATATTGACCCTTGTGATTCATGAACATAATATGTCTTTCATTGAGGTATTCTTTAATTTATTTGAGCAATATATCATAGTTTCTAGTGTAGAAGAATTGCACACATTTTACTAAATCTATTCCAGAGTATTTTATATTACTGTTGCTGTTATAAACAATATTTTAAATTTGAATTCTCAATTGTTCATTCTTAGTATACAGAAACACGATAGATTTTTATATTCTGTTACTATGTCTCTCGTCAATTCTAATAGCTTTTTTTCCAATCCCTTAGGATTTTCTACATAAATGTGATCATGTTATCTGTGAACAAGACAGCTTTAATTTTTCCTTTCCAATCTGTATGCTTTTTATTTCTTTTTATTGCCTGCTTGCCTGGTTGCACTGGCTAGTACCTCCATTATAATGCTCAACAGAAATGGTGAGGGTGGAAATCCTTGCCCTGTTTTTTAACATTAGGGAAAACATTCAGCCTTTCACCATTAAGTGTGATTTTAGTGCTTAGTTTTTCCATAGATGCCTTTTATCAGGTTGAAAAAATTTCCTTTTATCCCCAGTTTGCTGAGAGTTTGCTTTTTAACATCATGAATGCATGTTCAATTTTCTCAAATGCCTTTTCTGTACCCATTTAGGTAACTATAATGTTCTTTCTCTTTTTCAGTCTTTTGAGCTAGTTAAATACTTTGTTTTTTGAATGCTGAACAACTTTGCATTTTTAGGATAACCTCCACTAGTCATGGTATAATTCATTTTCATGTATTGCTAGATTTGGTTTACTAGTATTTTGTTAAGGTGTTTTGCCTTTTATTGATATGAGATATTGGACTATAGCTTTCCTTTCTTATCTTTGATTTTGGTATTAGGGCAATGCTTGTCTCATAAAATGAGACAGGAAGTATTCTCTCTTCTTCTATTTTCTGCAAGAGTTTTCTGTAGAATTGAAGTTACTTTGTCAATCAATTCCTGGTAGAATTCAATAGTGAAGACACCTGAACCTAGAGTTTTCTCTATGGGAAGGAATTAAATTCCTTTAATAGATATAAGGCAATTCAGGATATCTATTTCTTTTTGAGTGATCTTTGGTAATCTGTCTTTCAAGGAATTTGTCAATTTCATCTATGTTAAATTTATTGACAGAAAAGTTTTCATAATATTCCCTTATTGGGTTCCAAAATGGTGGCATAGAAGCAAGCTGGCTTTACAACTCACCCCCACAAAAAGCCCCAAAACAAGTATACAGTACCAAGACTATCACCAGCCATATATCAGAACTGAAATATGAGAATGAGACTCTTCTTGGGGCCACAGAGAAGTGAAAAAACTGAGAAGATGATAAAAGAATCAAACTTACACATCCACAATGCCTCTCACCTCAGTCTGCCCAGCACTAACCATGTGGAAAATTTCCCCTGACTCACAGTTTCTACACTGGAATAAGTGAGGTCAAGTTGGGCAATTAGTTTCCTCATTATTTTGGGTTCCCTGGCAGGTGACCTGTCTCTACTTCAACCCATGGGAAGAATTGCAAGTGTCTGAGGTGAGAAATACCCCTAAGGTCACCCAGAACAATGGGGGATATAGGACTACCATTCCCAGCCCTGGAAACTCTGTTCTGTAACTTGTGCAAAGGAGATGCCAAGTCAGAGTGGCTGTTCAGCAGCACCATGCTGTAGGAGTTCTCCTAGGCATGAACTCCTAGTTAGTCTCCCCACACAGCTGGGATATTCCCTCTGGGTGCTCCCCCATTTGAGATTAGCATCATGCTGATTGTTTACTAGAGCTGAGGCAAACCTGGGCTTAAGGCACCATCAGAGGCCAACAAGGAGGCAGAGACCTTGTGAAAAAAATTCAACAGGTAAATTACAAAGACTCTCTATGCTGACATATTTAATAAAATTTTAAAAAGCCAGATAGAGAACACTGGAATAAATAAATAATCATTCAATGCAAGACATAGATTTATATCCATAAGGAACAACAGCAAACAGGGGCCCATGACATCCCTGAATGGACAAAGTAAGGAACTGATGACTAACCCTAATGAAACAACAATTTGTGAGGTATCTGACCAGGAATTTGAAATAGCAGTTTTAAGGAAATGCAGTGATCTTCGAGATAACACAGAGAAGCAATTCAGACAGTTATCAGGGAAATTTAACAAAGAGATTAAAATAATTTTTAAAAAATCAAACAGGAATATTAAAACAGAAATACATTTGCTGAACTGGAAAATTCATTAGAGGCTTTCAATAGCAGAATGAATCAAGTGGAGAAAAGAATCAGTGATCTCGAAGATAGGCTATTTGAAAATGCACAGTCAGCAGAGAAATAAGAAAAAAAAAAGAGAAAAGAATGAAGATTGCCTAAAAGATATAGAAAATTACCTCAAAAGGCCAAATCCAAAAAAATACAATTATTGGTGTTTGAGAGGGAGCTGAGCAAGAGCAAAGGGTAGAAAGCTTATTCAAAGAAATAATTAAAATTTTACAAAACTTGAGAAAAAATATATATCTAGGTACAAGAAGGTCAGAAGGACCAAACAGATTCAACCAAAATAAAACTATACCCAGGCATATAATAACCAATTTTCAAAGGTCAAGAAGAAAGAGAGGATCCTAAAAGCAGCAGAGAAAAGAGGTAAATAACATATAAAGGAGCTCCAATTTATCTTGCAACACACTTCTCAACAAAAACAGGAGTGGGATGATGTTTTCAAAGTGCTGAAAGAAAGAGACCTCTGCCATTCTAGAATACTATAGCCTGGGTCGGGTGTGGTGGCTCACGCTTATAATCCCAGCACTTTGGGAGGCTGAGGTGGGCGGATCACAAGTTCAGGAGCTTGAGACCATCCTGGCTAACACAGTGAAACCTCATCTCTACTAAAAATACAAACAATTAGCCAGGCATGGTGATGCGTGCCTGTAGTCCCAGCTACTTGGGAGGCTGAGGCAGGAGAATCACTTGAACCCAGGAGGCAGAGGTTGTAGTGAGCTGAGATCGCACCACTGCACTCCAGTCTGGGCGACAGAGAGTAAGACTCCGTCTCAAAATAAATAAATAAATAAATAAATAAATAATACTATACCCAGCAAATTTATCCTTCAAATGTGAAGGAGAGTAAAGTCTTTCACAGACAAACAAAAGCTGAGAGAATTCACCACCACCAGACCTATCTTACAAGAAATACTAAAGCACATTCTTCAGTCTGAAAGAAGAAAAAAAAGTTTAATGTGCAAAAAGAAAACACTTGAAGGTATAAAATCCACTGGCTAAATGAAGTATATAGACAAACAGAATACTCTACTGTAATTGTAGTGTGCAACCCATTCGTAACTGTAGTATGAAGCCTAAAAGACAAATCTATCAAAAACAGTAAAAACTAGAGCAACTTGTTAAGGGATAGGCAATATAAAACATATAAATTGAAAAAGAAAGAAGGTCAAAAAGTGGGAGAGATGAAGTTAAAATGTAGCGTTATTTTTAAAGTTTTATAGTTTCTATTTTTGTGTGTGTGATATAAGTTGTCACTTCTTTAAAATAACTTGTTGTACCTATATGATGTTTTTTGTAAGTCTCTTGGTAACCACAGTGCAAAAACCTATAATATAGTTAATAAAAATCAAAAGCAGTGAATTAAAACATACCACAAGAGAAAATCACTTAACCACAAAGGAAGACGGTAAAAAAAAATAAAAAATAAAAGAAAGAAAGGGAAAGAGGAGTTACAAGACAACCAGAAAACAAGCAACAAAATGGCAGTAGTAAATCCTTACTAATCAATAGTAACAGAGGCTGGACATGGTGGCTCACAGCTGTGATCCCAGCACTTGGGGAGGCTGAGGCAGGAGGACTGCTTGAGCCCCATAGTTCAAGACCAGCCTGGGCAACATGGTGAAACCCCGTTTAAATTAGCCATGAGTGGTAGCACATGCCTGTAGTCCCAGCTACCCAGGAGGCTGAAGTGGGAGGATTGCTTGAGCCCAGGATGCAGAGGCTGCAGCAAGCTGTAATTGCACCACTACATTCCAGCCTGGGTGGCAGGGCAAGACCCTGTCTCTAAAAAAAAACAAAACCAACCAACCAAAGAAACAAAAATTGAATGTAAGTCAACTCATTTCTCCAGTTAAAAGACACAGAATGGCTAAATAGATAAAGAAACATGACCCAACCATATGCTACCTACGAAAATGTACTTCACCTATAAAGACACACATACACTGAAATTGAAGGGATGGAAAAAGATTACATGCAAGTGGAAACCAAAAAAAAAGCAGGAGTAACTATGCTTATATCAGATAAAATAGACTATAGACTACAAGTTAAAGACTGTAATAAAAGACAAAGTCACTATATCATGATAAAGGGGTCAATTCAGCAACAGAATAAAACAATTATAAACATCTATGCCCCCAATACCACAGCACCCAAGTAAATAAATCAAACTTTAATAGATCTAAAGGGAGAGAGAGACTGCAATACACTAACATTAGGGAATTTTAGCACCCCACTCTCAGCAATGGACAGATCATGTAGACAGAAAATCAACAAACCTCAGATTTAAACTGCATTATAGACCAAATGGAGCTTACAGACATTTAAGAATATTTTACCCAACTTCTGCAGAATACATATTCTTTTCATCAGCATATGGCATGTTCTCCGTAATAGACCATATTTAAGGCTACAAAACAAATCTCAACAAATTTTAAAAAGTCAAAACCATTTCAAGTATCTTTTCTGACCACAATGGAATTAAACTAGAAATCAATAACAAAAGGAACCTCAGAAACTATACGAGCACCTGGAAATTAAACAACATGCTCCTGCACAACCAATGGGTCAATGAAGAAATTAAGAAGGAAATTAAAAAATTTAATGAAACAAATGAAAATGGAACTACAACATACCCAAATCTATGCGATATAGCAAAAGCATTAGTAAGAGGGAAGTTTATAGCAATATATGCATACATGAAAAAAGTAAAAAGTCTAACAACTAACACCCTAACAATGCACCTTAAGGGATTAGAAAAGCAAGAACAAGCCAAACCCCAAATTACTAAAAGAAAATAAACAATAAAGAGTAGAGCAGAAATAAAAGAAATTGAGACTGAAAAATACAAAAGATCAATGAAATGAAAAGTCGGTTTTATGAAAAGATAAACAATATTGACAAACCTTTGGTTAGACTAAGAAAAAAGAGAGATGACTCAGATAAAGAACATCAGAAATGAAAAGAGACATAACAATTGAGACCACAAAAATACAAAGAATCATTAGAGGCTATCACAAACAACAAATTGGAAAACCTAGAAGAAACGGGTAAATTTTTGGACACATACAACCTACCAAGATTGAATCATGAATAAACAGAAAATCTCAACAAACCAATAACTAGTAACAAGATCAAAGCCATAATAAAATGTCTCCATCAAAGAAAAGCTCAGGACCTGAAGCGTTCACATTTGAATTCTACCAAACATTTAAAGAACTAATACCAATTCTACTCAAACTCCTTGAAAAAATGGAAGAGAAGAGAATATTTCCAAACTCATTCTAAAAGGCCAGCATTGCCCTGATACCAAAATCAGACAAAAACAAACAAAAAAGAAACTATTGGCTAATATCACTGATGCACATAATGCAAAATCCTCAACAAAATACTAGCAAACAGAATTCAACAACACATTAGAAAGATTATTTACCAGCTGGGCACAGTGGCTCACGCCTATAATCCTACCACTTTGGCAGGTTGAGGTGGGTGGATTGCTTGAGCCCAGGAGTTCAAGACCAGCCTGGGCAACATGGTGAAACTCTGCCCCTACTAAAAATACAAAAAATTAGCCAGGCATGGTGGTGTGCACCTGTAGTCTCAGCTACTCAAGAGGATCGAGCCATGGCACTCTAGCCTGGGTGACAGAGCCAGACCCCATTTCAAAAAAAAAAAAAATTATTCACCATTATAGTGTGATAAGTCCCCCACCTGGTTATTTAAGCATGTTTGTCCATCGCTTGAACCCTGAAGTCTGATCAATGTGCAAAGGCCATGGTGCCCACCCAAGGAGCAGGTGTCTCTGAGAACCTATACATCCTGGGGCATAACTGGGAACGTACCAAGGAAAGAATTTCATCTCTCACACACACAGTAGGCAAAGAGTCATAAAATTAGCTTAATATCAGCTTAGAGATGGGAGGTAGAGCAGATCTCTGGAGTGGTCCAGCTGTCACCCAGGAATGCTGCTGATAAAGACACACCCAAAAGTGGGAACAAAAAGAGGTTTCATTGGACTCAGAGTTCCACATGGCTGAGGAGGCCTCAGGATCATGGCAGGAGGAAAAAAGAGACTTCTTACATGGCAGCAGCAGGAGAAAATGAGGAAGAAGCAAAAGCAGAAGCTGCTGATAAACCCATCAGATTTCATGAAACTTACTCACTATGATGAAACTAGCACAACAAAGACTGGCCCACATGATTCAATTACCTCCCCCTGTGTCCCTCCCATAACACGTGGGAATTCTGGAAGATACAATTCAAGTTGAGATTTGGGTGAGGACACAGCCAAACCATATCATTCCACCCTGGCCCCTCCAAATCTCATGTCCTCACATTTCAAAATCAATCATGCCTTCCCAACAGTCCCCCAGAGTTTTAACTCATTTTAGCATTAACCCAAAAGTCCACAGTCCAAAGTCTCATTTGAGACAAGGCAAGTCCCTTCTGCTTATAAGCCTGTAAAATAAAAAGCAAGCTAGTTACTTCCTAGATACAATGGGGGTACAGGTATTGGGTAAATGCAGCCATTCCAAATGGGAGAAGTTGGCCAAATCAAAGGCATTATAGGCCCCATGCAAGTTTGAAATCCAACAGGGCAGTCAAATTTTAAAGCTCCAGAGTGACCCCCTTTGACTCTATGTCTCACATCCAGGTCACACTGATGCCAGACGTGGATTTCCATGGTCTTGGGCAGTTCCACCCTTGTGGCTTTGCAGGGTGCCTCTCTCCTGCCTGCTTTCACAGGCTGGCACTGAGTGTCTGTGGCTTTTCCAGGTACATGGTGCAAGCTGTCTGTGGATCTGCCATTCTGGGGTCTGGAGGATGGTGGCCCTATTCTCACAGCTCCACTAGGCAGTGCCCTAGTAGGGACTCTATATGGGTGTTCTGACCCCACATTTCCCTTCTGCACTGCCCTAGCAGACGTTCGCCATGAGGGCCCCACCCCACCGTGAACTTTTGCCTGGGCATCCAGGTGTTTCCATACATCTGAAATCTAGGCGGAGGTTCCCAAACCCCAATTCTTGACTTCTGTGCACCCACAGGCTCAACACCACATGGAAGCCAACGCTTGGGGCTTCCACCCTCTGGAGCCACAGCCTGAGCTCCACGTTGGCCCCTTTCAGCCATGGCTGGAGTGACTGGGACATAGAGCACCAAGTCCCTAGGCTGCACACAGCATGGGGACCCTGGGCCTGGCCCACGAAACCACTTTTTCCTTCTGGGCCTCTGGGCCTGTGATGGGAGGGGCTGCCATGAAGGTCCCTGACATGCCCTGGAGACATTTTCCCCATTGTCTTGGGGATTAACATTAGGCTCCTTGCTACTTATGCAAATTTCTGTAGCCGGCTTGAATTTCTCCTAAGAAAATGGGTTTTTCTTTTCGACTGCATCATCAGGCTGCAAATTTTCTGAACTTTTATGCTCTGTTTCTCTTTTAAAATGGGATGCTTTTAACAGCACCCAAGTCACCTTTTGAACACTTTGCTGTTTAGAAATTTCTTCTGCCAGATACCCTAAATCATCTCTCTCAAGTTCAAAGTTCCACAAATCTCTAGGGCAGAGACAAAATCCTGCCAGTCTTTTTGCTAAAACATAACAAGAGTCACCTTTGCTGCACTCTCCAAGTTTCTCATCTCCATCTGAGACTACCTCAGCCTGGACTTTACTGTTCATATCACTATCAGCATATTTGTCAAAGCCATTCAACAAGTTTCTAGGAGGTTCCAAACTTTCCCACATTTTCCTGTCTTCTTCTGAGCCCTCCAAACTGTTTGAACCGCTGCCTGTTACCCAGTTCCAAAGTCACTTCCACATTTTCGGGTATCTTTTCGGCAATGTCCCACTCTACTGGTACCAATTTATTGTATTAGTCTATTTTCATGTGGCTGATAAAGATATACCTGAAACTGGGAAAAAAAGAGGTTTGATTGGACTTACAGTTCCACATGGCTGGGGAGGCCTCAGAATCATGCGGAAGGCAAAAGTCACTTCTTACATAGTGGTGGCAAGAGAAAATGAGGAAGAAGCAAAAGCGGAAACCCCAGATAAAACCATCAGACCTTGTGAGACTTATTCACTACCACAAGAATAGCACAGGAAAGGCTGGCCCCCATGATTCAATTACCTCTCACTGGGTCCCTCCCACAACACGTGGGAATTCTGGGAGATACAATTAAAGTTGAGATTTGGGTGGGGACACAGCCAAACCATATCATGTACCTAGCATAAAGAAAAGGTAAATATTTAAGGTGATAGATATCCCAATGACCTTGACTTTATCTTTACACATTATATAAATGTATCACATTACCACATATACTATAAGAATATGTACAGATATTATTTATCAATAAAAATATATTCTCATTACCTTTTAATATCTTTAGAATTTGTAGTGATATCAAGTCTGATTACTGATATTGGTCATTTGTGTATATTCCCTGCTTTTTTTTTCCTGAATGTTCTTGCTGGAGTTTAGCAACTTTATTGATCTTCTAAAACAACAAAATTTTGGTTTCATTAAATTTTTCTATTCTTTTTGTTTTCTGTTTCATTGATATGCACTTTAATGTTTATTATTTTCTTTCTTTGGGTTTTATTTGCTCTTCTTTTTCTAGTGTCCTAAAATTGGAAGCTGAAGCTATTGATTTGAAAACTTTCTCCTTTTCCAATATAAAGAGATGTAGTTTATTGCTATAAACTTCCCAAGTACTGCTTTAGCAGCCTTCCACAAATTCTGATATGCTATCAAATTCCCTTTTTAAAAATAAACTTTTTTTTTTTTAGATAGAGTCTCACTCTGTCGCCAGGCAGGAGTGCAGTGGCACTATCTCAGCTCACTGCAACCTCCGACTCCCTGGTTCAAGCAATTATCCTGCCTCAGCCTCCCAAATAGCTGGGATTACAGGCATGTGTCACCAGGCCCAGCTAATTTTTGTAGTTTTTCGTAGACACGGGGTTTCACCATGTTGGCCAGGATGGTCTCGATCTCCTGACCTCGTGACCCGCCCGCCTCGGCTTCCCAAAGTGCCGGGATTATAGGCGTGAGCCACCATGCCCAGCCATAAATTTTATTTTTTAGAACATTTTAACTTTACAGAAAAATTAAGTAGTACACAGAGTTTTGCACCATGCAAGTTTGAAATCCAGCAGGGCAGTCAACACAGATCCCCATGCTGTGTGCAGTCTAGGGACTTGGTGCCCCATGTCTCAGTCACTCCAGCTGTGGCTGAAAGGGGCCAACATAGAGCTCAGGCTGTGGCTTCAGAGGGTGGAAGCCCCAAGCCTTGGCAGCTTCCACGTGGTGTTCAGCCTGTGGGTGCACAGAAGTCAAACTGCATCTAGTTTTTCCTATTAACATCTTACAGTACTATAATTAATGAGCCAATATTCATATGTTATTATTAACTGAAGTCTACAGTTTATTTAGATTTTCTTAATTTTTACTAGTGCCCTTTTTCTGTTCCAGGATCCCATCCACAATACTACATTGCATTTAGTTGTCATATCTCCTTAGGTTTCTTGGCGATGTCAATTTCTCATGCTTTTCTTTTTTTTTTTCCTTTCATTCTCAAAGGAGGTGAAACTTTTCTTGTTTTCAATGACCTTGACAGTTTTGAGGAGTTTTGCCACATATGTTGTAGGACGCCTCTCTACTCTACTCAGTCAGAATTTGTGTGATGATTTTCTCATCATTATACTGGAGTTATGGATTATTAAGAGGAAGACAGAAAGGTAAAGAGCCATTTTCATCACAGCATATCAAAAGTTGAATTGTGTCCCTCCAAAAGAGATCTGTTTAGGCTCCAACTCACAGTACCTCAGAATGTGACCTTATTTGGAAATAAGGTGTTCACAGAGATAATGAAATTATTCAACGATATCCCCTGGCTGTAATCCAATATGGCTGGTGTCCTTATAGAAAAGGGAACGTTGGACACAGAAACAGGTACAGAGAGAAGATTATGTGAAGATACACAGGGAGAAGACAGCCGTATGATTTGAGTGGTGCATGTAGAATGAACATCATGAATTGCTGGCAAGCACCAAAAGCTAGAATAGTCAAGGACGGATTCTCCCCTAGAGCTGTCAGAGAGAGCATGACACTGTCGACATCTTGATTTCAAACTTCTAGCCTCCAGAACTGTGAAACAATAAATTTCTGTTTTTTTAAGCCTCCCAGTCTTTGGTACTTGTTACGGCAGCCTAGGAAATGGATACAGGTCCATACTATCAGCATGATTTATGACTGTAGATATTGGCCTTAATCACTTAGCTGAGGCAGTGTCTGTAAAGTTCCCAGGTGATTTTATGTCACAGAAACAGGAGGCAATGGAGAGAAGGCCTTCAGGCTCTTTACTGGTGACAACTCTGGCTTTTAAGTTGTTGCTGAAGAGAAGGTACCACAGCAAGCAAACAGCTCACCCACAAGGAGCTTGTCTTCCATGCCAGGCACTGATAAACCTAGATCTCTCAGTTCTGCTGTGAGCTGCAGGCTGCCTCAGAGGCAATGCTGTGTGAAGGTGAGAGCATTGGTGGTTGGGGCCTCCTTCTTTACAGGGGACAGATGAGACAAGAGACATTCAAGTGCTTCTGTTTAAGGCCTAAACTGGAGCTTTAGTCAGAGGCCAACTCCCTGTTTCTGGCCCAAGTATTATGAAGGGGGAAATACCTAGAATGGATAGAAGTTAAAAGACAACCAGCTCCTCCATTGGTCCCTCTAAAAATAAAGGTACACATGGGGCAAGGTATCCAGAGCCTAGAGAAAGAAAATTGGCAGGAACAAAGGCTAAAGAAGTAAGTTTGGGGTTTTTTTTGGTAATTTTGTTCAGGATATTAGATATTTTGACCCTCTATGTGCTTTATTTACCCAATCCCTTACTGACGGACAGCGATAATATTTTCTATTTTTTACTATATAATACAGCTATGAGTCTCTACATACCTATTAATTTCTACAACCATACTGGAAGATAGATTCCTGAAAGTGAAACTGCTGGATCGGAGGGCAAGGGCCTTTTAAATTTTGATATATACCTCCAAATAACTCCTAAAAAATCACACAGTTTCATATTCCTGCCAACATCATAATGCCCCTTTCCTTACATAAAATAGGCTTCTTAGAGCAACACATAGTTTGGTCTTGCCTTTTTAATCCTACCTTAACATGTCTGCCTTTTAACTGGAGTGTTTAGATGACCTTAAATTTTATGTAATTATTGATATCTCTAAATTTAAACTTACATCAATGCTATTTTAATTTTTTTGCCAAGCAGTTTTTTTTGGTTGTAATTTCCTGTATGAGCTTTTGCTTTTTTGTTTTATTTTTTCTTAGTTGCTCTAGGATTTACATTATACATGTTAAACTTATCACAGTCTACCTTCAAGCAATATTACAGCACTTCACTTATATTGTAAGAATCTTACAACAGTATACTTCCATTTCTCCTCTCTCGGCCTTTGTGTATTTTTGCCATACATGTTATTTCTGCATATCTTTTAAACCCCAAATATGTTATTATTATTTTATCTTGAAATAGTCAATTATAGGCCCAAGAAAGAGTATCAGGAACCAGATTTACCCTCCCATCCAACACAATAAATTTTTAAAAACATACACAAAATATAAAAAACAACACTTTGAAAGACATTGGACACCAGGCACTTAAGGAGTATTATCTCTGGGGAAGGTTTCAATAACAGAAATATGAAAAATCTCCAAATATTTGAAAAATAATATATGTCAAAATAACCTTTGGGTCAAAGAAGAAATCAAAATGGGAATTTGATGACAGAAAATGAGATGATTTGACTTATCTTTCAGAGTAGACAAATCAGTAAAAAGATAACATCTAGTATTGGTAATGATGTAAGTCCCCAGGACTCATGCTTTTTGTTATTTAGTTTTTAATGGAAGGTTTTCTTTTTTTTAACTGTTGCTGCAGTAATAAAATCAGGCCTCTCACTTCTCAATGTATGGACTTTTGACAATTCTATCATGTTTCTAAAGATTAAGATGTTAGCTTTGTCTTCTGAACTTAGGGAGTCCACTAGGTTCTGCCTGGATTCTTCCTCCCTGCATCAAAGCCTGAAAACTCTTTCAGGGAAATAAGCTGCAGCAAAGGGAGGGCTCGCCTGCTTTATTTCCTGTTTCCCAGAGATAATACTTCTTAAGTGCCTGGTGTCCAATGTCTTTCAAAGTGTTGTTTTTTATATTTTGTGTATGTTTTAAAAAATTTATTGTGTTGGATGGGAGGGTAAATCTGGTTCCTGATATTCCTTCTTGGGCTTATAATTGACTATTTCAAGATAAAATAATAATAACATATTTGGGGTTTAAAAGATATGCAGAAATAACATGTATGGCAACAATACACAAAGCCTGAGAGAGGAGAAATGGAAGTATACTATTGTAAGATTCTTAAGTAATATAAGTGAAGTGCTATAATATTACTTGAAGGTAGACTATGATAAGTTTAACATGTATAATGTAAATCCTAGAGCAACTAAGAAAAAATAAAACAAAAAAGCAAAAGCTCATACAGGAAATTACAACCAAAAAACAAAAAACCACATGGCAAAAAAATTAAAATAGCATTGATGTAAGTTTAAATTTAGAGATATCAATAATTACATAAAATTTAAGGTCATCTAAACACTCCAATTAAAAGGCAGACATGTTAAGGTAGGATTAAAAAGGCAAGACCAAACTATGTGTTGCTATAAGAAGCCTATTTTACGTTTGAGGATGAGGATAGGTTAAAAGTAAAAAGATGGACAAACATATACCACGTAAGCCTTAATCTAAAGAACGCTAGTGTGGTTATATCATACAAAGCAGACTTCAGAACAAGGAATATTACCAGGCATAAAGAGAGACATTTCATAATGATAAATGGATCAATTAATCAAAAGGACATTGCAATCCCAAGTGTGTATGCATTGAACATTAGTGCTTCAAAATATATGAAATAAAAACTGATAGAGATAAAAAATAGATTTACAGTTAAAGTTGGAAATGTCAACATTCTTCTCTCAGTAGTTGCTAGAACATGTACACAAAAAATCAGTAAGAATAGAGAAAAATTTAACAACACTATCAATCAACTTGACCTAATTGACCTTTATAGAACACCTAACAACAGCAGAATGCCCATTCTTTTCGAGTGCTCATGGAACATTTACCAAGATAGAGCAAGCATATTCTGGACCATAAAACAAAACCAAGAAGGCTGAAATCATACAAAGTATGTTCTTTGAACATGACAGAAATAGATTTTAAGTCAATGACAGAAACATGTCTGGAAAATCTCCAAATATTTGGTAATTAAGTGATGTACTCCTAAATAAACAAGGAGTCAAAGAAGAAATTACAAGGGAAATCACAAGATATTTTGCACTGGAAGAAAATGAAAGCAAAGCATATCAAAATTTGCAGGATACATCTCAAACAGTGTTTAGAAGGAAATGTAGAGCATTAAATGGTTGTATTAGAAAAAGAAAAAAGATCTTAAATCAATGATGTAAGTTTTACTTCAAGAAACTAGAGAAAGAAAAGAAAATTAAATCAAAAGTAAACGGGAGAAAAATAATAAAAATAAGAGAAGAAAGTTTTAAAAATAGAGGTGGGAAGGAGAGTGGGATAGGAGGGAGAGTGAGACGGAGGGAGGGAAAGAGGCAGAGAGAGAGAGAGAAAGAGAGAGAGAGAATGAGGGACTGACTTAGTGAAAGCAAAAGCTGGTTCTTTGCAAATATGAATAAAATTTACAAACCCCTAGCCATACTAGTCAGGAAAAAATAAGGGAGAAAGAGAGGAGACATAAATTACCAAAATCAAGAATGAAAAAGGTACTATCACAATGAGTTCTATAGTTAATAAAAGAATAATACAGGAATATTATAAACAAACTTTGCCCAATAAATTTTACAACTTAGATGAAATAGACAAAATACTTGAAATGCACAAATGATCAAGGTTTACATTAGAAGAAATCAAATTCCGAATAGCCCTTTATTTTTTTACTGAGATAATTTATATAATAAAATTTTATGTAACATAAAATTCACCATCTTAAGGTGTACATTTCAATGGTTTTCAACATATTCACAAGGTTGTGCAACCATCACCTCCATCTAGTTCCAACATTTTCATCAACCTAAAAAGAATCCCCATACCTGTTAGCAATCACTATCCATACTCTCCTATCCCAGCCTCTGATATCACTAATCTACTTTCTGTCTCTATGGCAGATTCTGAACATTCCACATAAACGGAATCATATAATATATGACCTTTTGTGTCTGGCTTCTTTCACTGAGAATAACTTTTCAAGATTCATCCATGTTGCAGCATGTATCAGTACTTCATTCTTGTTTGTGACTAATATTCCATTGAATGGACATGCCACATTTTGTTTATTCAGTCATTAGTTGATGGACATTTAGGTTGTTTTGCCTTTTCAACTATTATGAATAATGCTGCTACTAACATTCCTTAACAAGTATTTGTGTAAGCATATGCTTTTTACTTCTCTTGGTTATTGTATTAGTCAGAGTTCTCTTAGAAGGACAGAACTAATAGGATATATATATGTTTATTAAGTATTGGCTTACATGATCACAAGGTGCCACAATAGGCTGTCTGCAAGCTGAAAAGCAAGGAAAGCCAGTCTGAATCCAAAAACTGAAGAACTTGGAGTCTGATGTTTGAGGGCAGGAAGCATCAAGCATGGGAGAAAGATGTAGACCTGGAGGCAGGGCCGTCTCCCTTTTCCACACTTTTCTGCCTGCTTTATATTTGTTGGAAGCGGATTAAATTGTGCCCACCAGATGAAGGGTAGATCTGCCTTCCCCAGCCCACTGACTCAAATGTTAATCTCTTTTGGCAACACCCACACAGACACACCCAGGATTAATATTTTGTTTCCCTCAATCCATTCAAGTTGACACTCAGTATTAACCATCACAGTTACATATACCTTGAAGTAAAATTTCTGGGTCATATAGTAACCCATGTTTAACTTTTTGAAGAACTACCAAACTGTTTTCCAAAGCAGCAGCACTGTTTTACACTCTCACTAGCAATGAATGAGTGTTCCAGTTTCTCCACATCTTGTTATTTCTGTTTTTTGTATTTGTTTTTATAGCCATCTTAGTAGGTGTGAAGTGGTATCTCATTGTGATTTTGATTTGCATTTCCCTAATGGCTAATGATGTTAAGCATCTTTTCATATGCTTGTTGGCCATTTATATATCTTTGGAGAAATGTCTATTCAAATCTTTTGCTCATTTATAAGATTGAGTTGTCTTTTTGTTGTTGAGTTGTAATAGTTCTTTATATATTCTGGATACTAGGTCCTTATCAGACATATAATTTGCGAATACTTCCTCCCGTTCTGTGGATTGTCTTTGCACTTTCTTGATAGTGTCTTTTTATGCACATTTATTATTTTTATGAAATACAATTTTTCTATTTTTTCTTAGGTTGTTTGTGCTTTTGGTGTCACATCTAAGAAACCAACACCTAATCCAAGGTCAAGAAAATGCAAACCTATGCTTCCTTTTAAGAGTTTTATAATTTTCACCTTTATATTTTGGTCTTTGATGTATTTTAAGTCAATTTTTATGTATGGCATGAGATAGGATTCATCCATTCTTTTGCATGTGGATATCCAGTTGTTTCAGCACCTTTTGTTAAAAAACTCAGTCTTTCAACCCCCATTGAATGATATTTGTACCCTTGTTGAAAATCAATTGACCATAGATGTATGGGTTTATTTCTAGACCCTCAATTATATTCTGTTGTTCTATATGTCTGTCTTTATATCAGTACCACACTGTCTTGATTACTGTGGCTTTGTAATAAGTTTTAAAATCAGATAGTGTGATTTTTAAGCTTTCTTCAAGCTTGTTCTTCTTTATCTACTCTGCCTTGACTGTTTTGAGTCCCTTGCATTTTTCATATGAATTTTAGGATCAGCTTGTCCATTTCCACAAAAAAAAAAGGCAATTTGAATTTTGATAGAAATTTCACTGAGGATCAACTCCAGGAGTACTGCTATCCTAGTAATATTAAGTGTTCCAATCCAGGAGCATGGGATATCTTTCCATTTATTTAGGTTCCCTTTCATTGCTTTTAATAATGTTCTGTCATTTTTAGTGTACAAATCTTTAACTTTTTGGTTGCATTTATTTCTAAGTATTTTATTCTTCTTGATGGTATTGTAGGTGGAATTATTTTTAAATTTTATATTCTGATAATTGTTTGCTAGACTACAGAAATACAATCGATTTCTATATTTGGATTTTGTATCCCACATTTTTCCTAGTCATTTACTAGCTCCAGTAGTTTGTGTGTATGTGTGCGTGTGTGCATATTCTTTAGAATATTCTGCCTACAGGATCATGTCATCTGCAAATAGAGATAGTTTCACATCTTCCTTCCAACATGGATGCCTTTTATTTCTTTTTCCTCCCTAGTTTCTCTGGCTAGAATCTCTAGTACAATGTTGAAAAGAAGTAGTGGATGCAGACAACATTGTTCTTCTTCCTGATTTTAGAGCCCAGTTCGTATTTGTTTGTTTGTTTTTAAAATCAATTCTGTAGTTAAAAAACATTCCTATAGAGAAAATGCCAGGCCCAGATGGCTTACCTGGTTAATTATATCAAACATTTAAAGACAAAATAATACCAATTCTACAGAAACTCTTCCAGAAAACACAAGAGGAGGGAATACTTAATTTCTTTTATGAGGCAAGCATTATCCTGATACCTAAACCAAAGACATTATAAGAAAGGAAAGTTACAGTCTGATATCCCACATCAACAAAAAGCAAAATACCTTAACAAAGTATTAGTGAACTGCATCTGGCAATATATGAAAAAATTAACATATCATGACTAAGTGGAGTTCATCTCAAGAATGCAAGGTTATTTTAGCATTCAAAAATCAGTATATTTCACCAGCTTAATAGACCATGAGAAGGAAACATGATTATCTTAATAGATATAGAAAAGGCATTAGAGAAAATTTGCATATTCATTCATAATTTTAAAAGACTGAAAAACCAAAAACAATCTCAGCAAAGCAGGAGTAGAACTTTCTCACACCCTGAGAACGGGCATATATAATAAATTGAGAGCTAATGTCACACTTAATGGTGAAAGAGTGTATGTTTCCCCCTAAGATTAAAAACAAGGCAAGGCTTTTTATTCTCATCATTTCTGTTGACCAGTGTAAGAGAGGTCCTAGTCAGTGTAAGCAAGCAAAAAGTGAAAAATAAGAAACAATAGCAGGCTTACAGATTGGAAAGAAAAAACTATCTTTTCTTGCAGATTACATAATCATCTGTCTATGCAGAAAATCCTGAATGATCGACAAAAAATCTACTAGAATTGATTAGTGGGGTTAGCACAGTAACAAGATTCAAGGTTAATATACAAAAACTGATTGTATTTCTGTATACCAGAAATAAATAATTGGAAATTGAAATTTAAAAATACTATTTACAATAGCATGAAAAGTATGAAATACTTTGGAATAAATGTGATAAAATATGTGCAATTCCTGTACATTAAAACTATAAATTATTGCTTACAGTAATTTAAAAAATGATCTAAATAAACAGAGAGACAGTCTATGTTCATGAATCAGAAGATGCAGTAGTGTTAAAAGAGTCATTGTGTTTGCTATCAAAATCCCACTAGGATATTTAAAGAAATTGACAAGCCCATTCTAAAATTCACATGGAAATACAAAGGATTTCTAATAGCCCAAACAATTTTCAGAAAGAAAACAGATCACTTGGAGATATTACCGTATCAGATTTCAAGACTTAATATTAAGCTACAATAAAGAAGACCCTGAGGCATTGGCACAATTATAGATAATTAGCTCAGTGGAACACAATAGATAGTTCAGAAATAGACCTAAAATAGATGGTCAGTTGATTTTGACAAAGGTAAAGTAAGCCAATGGGGAGAGAATAACCTTTTCAACAAATAATACTAAAGTAATTAGATATTCATGGGCCAAAACATAAACCCTTACCTCACACCACACACACACACACACACACACACACACACACACTTAACACACACACACACACACACACACACTTAAGGTGGATCACAGAGCTAAATGTGGGAGCTAAATCTCTAAACTTATATGACAAAACATAGGAGAAAGTTAGTGTGATCTTCGGTTCATCAGAGATTTCCTAAATCTCTAATTTTAAAAAAAGCACAAACCATAAAAGAAAAAACTTAAATAAGGTGGACTTAACCAAAGTTAAACAAAAGCATACCTTTTGTTCTTCAAAATTTAATAAGAAGTTAAAAAGGCAAGCTATAGATTGTAAAAAATATTTGTATAATAAGATATTTATAAAGGACTTGTAACCAGGATGTATAAATTCTTACAACTGAATAATAAGATGGCAAACAGTTGAATAAAATGCGAGCAAAAGATTTAAATAGACTCTTCAGCAAGGATACAAAAATGGAAGATAAAGTATTAGTGACAGTGCTATGATGCTCATGAAAAGATGCTCAAGCATGAAAAGATGCTCAACATCATTAATCATCAGGGAGATTCAAACTAAATTACAATATTATTCTATACACTCACCAGAATGGTGAAATTGATGAAGTCTGGCAATATCGAGTGTTGGCAAGGCTGTGAAATGCTCATTTATTGCTGATGGGGGTATAAGATGGTGCAGTTACTTTGGAAAGACCATTTGGTAGTTACTCATAAAATTAAGCATATACCCAACGTGACCTAGCAATCTCACCCCTAGGTATTTATGCAAGAGAAATGCAAACAAATGTTCATGTTCACGCAAATAATTTACTTGAATGTTCGTAACAGTCTTGTGCCTAATGGGCAACCCCAGATATTCCTCAACTGGTGAATGGATAAACAAATTGTGGCGCATCCACACAATGGAATACTAGTCAGCAGTAGAAAGGAATAAACTACCCATGCACACAGCATGGGTGAATTTAGAATGCATTATGCTAAGTTAAAGAAACCAGACACAAAAGACTACATTTTGTATGATTCCATTTTTAGGAAATTTCAGAAACATTGAAACCATAATGTCAAAAAGCTAACCAGTGGTTGTCAGAGGCTGGTGTTGAAGTGGGTGTGGACTGCCAGAGGGTGTGGTTTGTGGTGATGGAAATGTTCTATATGTTGATCGTGGTGGTGGTACATGACTATATATATTTGGCACAACTGATCAAATGGTACATTTAAAGTTGGTGACTCTTATTGTCTGTAAATTATATCTCAATAAAGCAAATTAGCTCCCTAGGTAATTTCAGTAATTTCAATATGCAGCCAGGGTGGAGATCACTAATCCAGACTCACTCCCTTATTGTACTGGTGGGAAACCACCAAGGCTCGGGGAGGGAAAGTACCCAGAAGACTGAGTCAATGTCTTTTCAGTGAGTGGTGAATGAATTGGTGAATAACATGACTGAATAAGATCATGGCAGATTAAACACTAGAATTACGTCATCTTGTATTCAGAAGATCTTTTTCCTTGCTTTAAAATTAAAGAAGATTTGAGAATTGGCTCTTAATGGAGGTAGGTAAATACAGGGTCAGAGCAGCCTCGGAGACAATGTGTGGCCCTCATCAGGGTAGGTGGGGACCAGGTCAGGAATCTGAGCTACTGGCCTGGTATGGTGGACCTGGCCACCTCTAAACTTCCCCACCAAGCTTTGGGTCCCCAGCTAGGTGAGGCTGAATGGATGGATTAGGACTCGTGAGAAGGAGTAGAACTCTGCTACTCAGAGTGTCATCTGGATCAGAAGCATCCACGTCAGCTGGGAGCTTGCTGGAAATGTGACCCTCAAGCCTCACCCCAGACTACTGAATCAGAATCTGCATTTTAGAGCTTGAGAAGTACTCTAGTAGAAGACTATATTAGTCCTTTTTCACACTGCTATAAAGACATACCCAAGACTGGGTAATGTATAAAGAAAAGAGGTTTAATTGACTCACAGTTCTACGTGGCTAGGGAGGCCTCAGGAAACAAACAATCATGGCAGAAGGGGAAGAGGCACGTCTCACATGGTGGCAGGCAAGACAGAGTGAGCAAGAGCAGGGAAAGAGCAGGGAAAACCACATTATGAAACTCTCAGATCTCATGGGAACTCACTCACTATCATGAGAACTGCATGGGGGAAACCATGCCCATGATCCAACCACCTCCCACCTGGTCCCTCCCTTGACATATGGGGATTATGGGGATTACCATTCAAGATGAGTTTTGGGTGGGGACACAGAGCCAAACCATAACAAAGACTTTGCAAAATTTGAGGGGCTTGAGGAGGGAACCAAGGCCAGGGATCACGTCTGATTCTTCTCCAGAGGCAGCAAGCCATAAAGAGAAGAATGCTGGACTGGGGGAGTCAAGAGCCAGTCACCTTGGGTTGGTTACTTCCCTTTCCTGAGCTTTACTGTTCTCATCTGTAACATGGGCACAAGGAGAGTTCCTGTTAGCCTACCTAACATAATAGAGAAAAGGAAAAGGCAGGTGTGAAATAACCCCGAAGCTGCTGGCTGCTGGCACATACTGTCCTGCCCCTCCCTGCTCCCTCCTTGCCCCATGATCTGCTGCTTCCACTCTGGCACGTACTGGCCTCTCAAGCTCCCAGGTCAGGCCCAGACCCACAGTTGGTGCTCAGAAAGTCCTCAGGGCCTGATGGTGGTTTTTTGGCCATCTGATCCCCCTTTTACATTTCTCCTCTTCCTGGTTCCTGAAAGTAGGTGAGAACAAGTGAGGGCCCCATCCCAGGTGTGTTAAGGGGAGGAGGAAAGTTGGAACTTTTTCCAGGACCCTTGAACCTCCTCTCACTCCAGTAGTTGGTTCCTGGGAGAGCTGATCCCCTCTGAGCAGGGGCCTGTCTTGCTCAGGCACATGGAAATGGTTCCAGAGACAGGAAGGGTCTTTGCAATTCGAGCTTCTTCTGAAAAGGGAGGACACAGGGGTGAGGCAGGAAAGCAGCAGCCCTGGGCTCTCAGAGCCAGGTGTTGACAGACCCCTGCTTGGCTCAGGCAGCTGGGATCTCACTCCTGCTGCATCCATGGCTAGTCCAATGGCACATGGCCTGTCCCAGGCTTATTCCTTGACCCCTCTGGTTCCCTCACATGCCAGGTCACTCCCCTGACATACAAAGTCACTCCCTGCATTCACTATCCTCCCCAACATGCCAAAGCTACTCCTTTGTTACTCCTCTCAGCTTCTATTGTCTGTCTTCTGGCATGCACTGCTACATCCCTAGTATCAAGTTAACTTGCCTAGCATTCATTGTGACCCCCTGGCACCGACTGTTATTTCTGGAATGCCTGGGGACAGCCCTGGCATGAGCCGGCACTTGCTCTGGTGCAGGAAGAATTCCCTTCTTGCACATGCACAGACATTTGGTATGCTCTGGACAAGGGCCTCCGAATCTTTCTAGTTCTCTTTCCTTGCATAACCAGTAGGCATTACCCTGTGGCTTTTTCAAGGCCCTGCATGGACATTTGGGCTTAGATTTCATCAGGCCGTGCCATTTTTAGCAGCAATGGTGTCTCACATTCCTCTCAAGCCTAATGGAGCCAAAACAGAACTTTTGATCCTGCTACCAAAACCTACTCCCCATCTCAGTAAGCGGCACTGTCACCCACTTCCTTATGCTGAAAAACTCAGGTGTCATCCTTGACTCCCCTTTCCTTTCTTCGCCACATCCAAACCTCCTGGTTCCCCAACAACTCCCATGCCATCTAACACAGTGATTGCCTTTCTATACAAATCTTCTTTCGAGAGAGAGACAGGGTCTCAGGCTGTCACTGAGGCAGGAGTGCAGTGGTGCACACAGCTCACTGCAGTCTCAACCTCCTGGGATCAAGCAATTCTCCTGCCTTAACCTTCCAAGTAGCTGGGACCACAGGTGCCCACCACCATGCCCGGCCAATTTAAATTTTGTGTGTGTGTGTGTGTGTGTGTGTGTGTGTGTGTGTGGAGATGGAGTCTTGCTTTGTTGTCCAAGTTGGTCTCAAACTCCTGGGCTCAAGTGATCGTTCTGCCTCTGCCTCCCAAAGTGCTGGGATTACAGGCATGAGCCACTGTGCCCAGCCACAAATCTGTATTAGCTTCCTATGGTTGCTGTGACACATTCCCACCAGCGTCGTGGCTTAAAAACAACAAGAATTTATCCTCCTGCAGTGCTGGAGGCCAGATGTCTGAGATCAGTTTCACTGGGCTGAAAACAAGGTGTCAGCAGGGACACACAGCCTCGGGAGGCTCTAGGGGAGAATTTGTTCCATGCCTTTTCCAGCTTCTGGTGGCTGCTGGCATTCCTTGGAGGTTTAGGCCCTCCCCCAGATAATCCAAGATAATCTCTCCATCTCAAAATCCTTAATTTAATCACACCTGCAATGTCCTCTTGTGCCATATAAAGTAATATTTGCAGGCTGCAGGAATTAGGATGTGGACATCTTTTGGGGGGCCATTATTCAGGCTGCCACACTATCTTTTTCAGCAGTTGATCCTGTCTTTGAAGATCTCTCCTCTCTTTGTTTCCGTGCATCTCCTTCCCCACTGGTCACCCCTTCTCAATCACTTTTGAAGACTCCACAAGCAGGGTTTCTGCCATTCATTCCATTTCTCAGGGTGAAAACCCGTGGGCTTTTTTTTGGTTTGGGGGCACAGAGTTTTGTTATTGTCGCCCAGGCTGGAGTGCAGTGGTGCGATCTCGGCTCACTGCAACCTCCGCCTCCCAGGTTCAAGCAATTATCCTGCCTCAGCCTCCCGAATAGCTGGGATTACAGGCGCCCACTACCACGCCTAGCTAACTTTTTTTTTTTTTAGTAAAGATGGGGTTTTACCATGTTGGACAGGCTGGTCTCAAACTTCTGACCTCAGGTGATCTGCCTGCCTCCCAAAGTGCTGGGATTACAGACATGAGCCACCATGCCTGGCCTGTCGGCCATTTTGATTCCACTTCCCCCTCATCCCCTTCCACAGATGCTTTATCAGCCAGTCCTGTTGGCCCAACCTCCAAAATACAGCCCAAACCTTCCATCTTCACATCTCCTAACTCATTTCTGTCTGCACAGCCACCCTCCTTCCTCACCCTCAGTAGGCTCTGCAGCCAAAGCAGTGTCTCAGAGTCTCTGCTGAACAGCCTCTCAGCCTGTCTCTGACTCCCACCATCATAGAAATGGCAGCCTCCATGTCCATGATAGTTTCCGCCAAGAATATCTTACCTCAAGGACAGGATGTGTGATGTTTGCTTTCTGCGCTAGGGCTTCTCTGATGCCACAGCATGGGACCCCAGCAGGAGCCTACATGGCATGGGCATGTGCAGTCTGGACGCACGTGGGGTAGTCCACCGCCCTGGGGAACCCTTGGTCAATGCGGGACAGGAGCCGATGCATGAATGCATCCCCCCATGGGTCGCGGTGTGGACAACTCCAAGAGGCATTCAATGTCCTGCACAGAGGTAGGTACAGGGATCACCTGGCCCTATGATGGCGAACAGTCCTGGTTTCCCATGATGGGGAACATCTCAGTAATGCACCCTTGGATTGGCTTTTCTCCTCCCTCTTTTCCTCTCCCTCATCCCTCATCTTAGATACCTGGGATCACCTTCCACATCAACTGCCTGCACACAGTTCCTTCCTTCAGGCCCTGCTTTGGAGGGTACCCAGGCGGAAACAGTGAACTTCCCAAAATGCCCCTCTCCCACCCCATTGAGAAGCTTTCAGTAGCTCCCAGCGTTCCTGTGTTAAGGAGGCAGCTCTTTCTGTGACCGATGAGGGTCTGAGATGTCTGGTCCCTGCCTGCCTTTCCAGCCCCACTCCCGCACCCTTCCCACTCCTATCCCAGCCTCACTGGCCTCCTTTCATGGCCCATAGCTCTCTTGAGTTGTCCCTTCCCAGGGCTTTTGTGCAAGCTGTTCCTTCTTCCTGGGGCTCTCTTGCCACCCCACTCCTCTTCCGGGTGACTCCAGTCTCTTCCTCACCTCTCAGCTCAGCATCATTTTCTCAGGGATGCGTCCCTTACACTCTGCACTGTGCATTCTCCTAGCGTACCTTTGGGTAACTTTTCCTTCTCTGAAATGTTAGTTATGGTTGCAGTTTTTATTTGTGTTACTATCTGATTAATGCCTGTCTCCATTCATTGATAAGCCCCAGGAGGATGGAGACTGTGTCAGGTTTTTTGTTTGTTTGTTTGAGACGGAGTCTCACTCTGTCGCCAGGCTGGAGTGCGGTGGCGCGGTCTCAGCTCACTGCAACCTCCGCCTCCTGGGTTCAAGCGATTCTCCTGCCTCAGCCTCCTGAGTAGCTGGGATTACAGGCATGCACCACCACACCTGGCTGATTTTTGAATTTTTAGTAGAGATGGGGTTTCACCATGTTGCCCACGCTGGTCTCGAACTCCTGGCCTCAGGTGATCCACCCACCTCAGCCTCCCAAAGTGCTGGGATTACAGGCATAAGCCTCCACCCCTGGTGAGGCTGTGCCAGTTTTTGCTCCCCAGGTATCCTCAAGGCCAGGCATACATTGTAAATATTCAGTATTTGTTGAATGAATGAAACGATGTATAATTATTCCACAATGCTAAAGGTATACCTAGTGCCACATTTATTTAGCCTTTCTAAACCAAATTAAATCCAGCTTCTGTGACCACCAAATAATACCAATAACCTTCCAGATTTCCTCCCAAGCCTTGGGCTGAACATATGTCCCAGGCTTATAAGAGTCCTGCAACAGCAGGCTGGGCCCCACGGCTTTGCTAGATGTATGGAGTCTTCACCACCATTCCTCCTTGCTTAGCCTTAATCAAGTACACACTCCCTTCCAAGGTTGGTGGCTCTACTGGAGAGTCCATCCCTTCACTGCCAGGTAGGCCAAAGGTCCTTGGCCTTGCCATACAGTGACCATACAGTCATCACAGCCTCGCCTAGTGAGCCTGTGGGAGGTCCATGTTCTCTCCCTTCCTGGGAGGCTGAAGGACTGTTCCCATCACAATAACACTCAGGTGCCAATTGTCCTGTGCCTCTCAATCCCAACACACATAGTCTTCCTTCCCACTGCTCTTTTCTTTCTCAAAGTGCTGGATGATCCTGAGCATCATGTCCCAGCCTAGAACCTTGGAGGAGCTTGTTTACCTTTACTGGGGAGGTGAGTGGCATGGAAACACAGCAGTTAGTTTCTCCCCTCTGCATGGTGGTAAGCTCTCTGCCTCCAAGGTCATCCTCTCCTGAGGATAGACAGAAAATACTAAAGCATCTACAATATTGAATTCTTTTTTTTTTCCTTTTTTTTTGTGAGACAGAGTCTCCCTCTGTTGCCCAGGCTGGAGTGCAGTGGTGTGATCTTGGCTTACTGCAATCTCCACCTCCCAGGTTCTAAGCGATTCTCCTGCCTCAGCCTCCTGAGTAGCTGGGATTACAGGCACGCACCACAACTCCCGGCTAATTTTGTATTTTTAGTAGAGACAGGCTTTTGCCATGTTGGCCAGGCTGGTTTCTAACTCCTGACCTCTGGTGATCCACCCATCTCGGCCTCCCAAAGTGTTGGGATTACAGGCATGAACCACTGTGCCTGGCCTACAATACCGAATTCTTAATGACTCAGCCTATTATACGACTTTGCATACAGCTGCAGGTGGCTGACAGTTATCTTCTACTGTGAGCCCATGATGCTGCATGACGAAATGTTTTGCCACCTTTTTTGGTGTATTGCTGTCCATGATGCTGAAGCATCCTTTGGTTCAGGGGTGAGTGGTTTCTCTTATTCTTTGTCTACTCCTCTCCAACCTTCCCCAGGACTCATGCTTTTTGTTATTTAGTTTTTTAATGGAAGATTTTTTTTTAAACTGTTGCCGCAGAAATAAAATCAGGCCTCTCGCTTCTCAATGTATGGGCTTTTGACAATTCTATCATGTTTCTAAAGATTAAACTTTTCCTTCTGGGATGTTATGGGAGGGCTGAGGCCCGTGTCCCCTCTGCACACTGTTTTCAGGTATCGGCGTGACCGGGAGAGATGCTGAGGCCTGGATGGGGGAGGCAGCGTATGCTTGGCCTGTCGGAAGCATGGCTGATTTCATTCATTTTCTTTGGCAAAATGCGGAGTAGATTCTTTCCACTTGGTTGCCTTAGCTAGAGGCCTCTGCGTCATCTTCAACTCCTCCATCCTTTCCCCTCTACAGCCTGTGAATCACCAATGCTAGCTCAGAATTGTGTTCATTCACTTATTTCCATACCACCGCTGTGGCTTTTATCAGACCTTCATCTCTGAATCAAGGTACCAGCTTCTCACAGATCTCTCTGCTGCCACATTAAACCTGCCAATCCCCCACACCACTTGGAGGTTCCCCATTGTACTCAAGTGTCTAGACCAAGCTCATTAACATGGCCTCAGGTTGACCAGCCCTGGTCCATCCCTCCCCTATGCCTCTGCAAATGCCCTACCCACCTTCACTCCCTCCACTCCTCTGTCTGGCAAAGTGCCCCGTCTTCCACACCCAGTCCAACGGCCCCCTTTCCTGGAGACTTTCCTGACCCTCTGGGCTCCCACAGGTCCACAGCCCCACACCACACAGCTCCTCTCTCCTCCCTCAGCTACAGCAGCCTCACCTTTCTATCCCAGACTCTCTGCACCAGGCCCAGCAAACGATACATGCTCAAGAATTTGCTGAACGCATATCTGGCTGGTAGATTTTATCTGGTCTGGCCTATCATTTAAGTCATCCTCAGAAATCAGCCTCTCTCCTGTCTACCTGCCAGCCATGACGGAGCTTCTCTTAGCCTCACTCCCTCTCACCAAAACGTGCATTCACTTCTTTAGAAGCATATAGTAGCTGTCCCCACCATCCTAGCTCCTGGCTTTCCAAAGCCTGAAGCCTGTGTTTGCACCATCTCTAACCCACTGTGGTTCCAATCTCTGGAAAAAAGGATTCCATTCCCTTTTGCCTGGAATAGCAATGGTTTCTGTGCAGGGCATTACTCACCTTTCAGTTACAAGGAGCTGAGAGTTTATGGTAGATCCAGCACAGCTGGTCTCAGACCCACATTTTGCTTGCTAGAGGATCTCATAGACTGTTTAATTCAAGGGTGATGCTTTATTTTAACATGGCAGTTTTTGGTCAGGGAGCCTGAATTACCTGCACAGTTCACAAGGCCTGGAAGCTGGAAATATTCTTCCCTAGGCCAGTACTCTGCTCTCTCCATTTTTCCTTCTCCTGCCATCCAGGAGCTGAGATCTCCCAGCATCTGCCCAACCCTCAGCCTGCCTAAAATGCTCCATGAATCATGCTCAGAACTAGGAAATTAAGCAAATATTTACTTCATGCATAGAAGAGAAGGAAATCTCCTCGGTTGGAAATGAGTCCTAATATCCCCCTGCAGGTGTGTCTCATTCACTCGGGCAGAGCCCGAAAGCACTTTTTCCCTAGGGCATGGGGAGGGACATGGGTCTGGAGGAGCCAGCGCTCAGGGTGGGAGGCAAGAAGACGAGGGGGCTCAGGCTTTCCGGGGTCCTGTTTTATGTGCAGGGGGAAGGGCAATATTCCCAGTATTGTGGATTTGGGGTTTGAGATGATGACTCCGTGTGGATGTAGGAGCCAGATGTGATAATAGAGGGAGAGGGAGATGTTACAGATGTGGGGGGCATGGTTCCAGGAGTGAGGAGAGGGACGGTGTCCCAAAGCAATGCAGAAGTAGTGAGACGGGGAAAAGGTTCCAGTGTGCATAAGGCTGAATGGAAGGCTCTAGGTGTGGGGCAATTTTAGATGTGGGTGGAGCACTCAAATTTAGATGTGGGTGGGGACATTCTGGGTCCGTGTACTGGGAATAGAATTCTAGATGTGGGATATCTGTGGAGAGGGTAGAATTCTAGGTGTGCTGAATGGGGACACGAAGGTAAGTGTGTCTGTGTTTGTGTGCATGTGTGTATTTGTGTGCGTGTGTGTCTATGTCTGGCCCGTGGGCCACCCGTTTGAGGCCCCAAGGGAATAGCGAGTGCTTTGGCTGACTAAAGGCATATGACAAAGGCCTTGAATGCCCAGCCCAACTGAAGCAGGAAATTCTTTAATAACACAGGGTGTCGCCTGCCAAGGATCACAAGGGAACAGTCGTTTCTGGATGGGGTATTACCCACCATCTTGTTATTAATACAAAGAGCTAATAGTTGATTGTAGCCTCAGCACCGTTGGCCTTGGCCTCCTATTTTGCTTGCTAGAGGACCTCTTTCCCTCTTTTTCAAGGCCTTCAACCTGAGGACCCATCTACAAAGTCCCCCTCCCCAACTTGCTCCCAGGCTGTTTTGCTTTATGTCCAGACCTGTCATCTCCCAGCCCAACACAGCACTCCAGCGAGCATTTCCAAGCTGCCCTGGCCCCGCCTGCTTCCTGCAGGGCTGGTCCTTTGGGGTATGACCCTCCCACCCGCTTCCAGAGTCACCTAATCCCCTTTCATCCCCCTCTGGCAAGGTAGACAGAGGAGGGGTCCAGGCACCCCAGCTCCCATTGTCTGTGCTCCTTGAAACGTTTAAAGGGATTAGGGGTTGGGGGCTGGGCGCAGGCCGCCTTCAGGGACACGTGTTCAGTGGCCGAGAAGATGAGATTCCTCTTTCTTCCATCCTGCTCGTCCAGAGGGCTGGCGAGTGCAAGATAGATGGCGTGGATAAGGAGGCATCCAATTAATTCCAATTTAAACCCAATTTGGTCTCCTTTATAATTAGAACAGCAGGTGTGTTTCAATAGTGGATTATCTCTCCCAGGCAGTTGTTTGTCATCACTCTGTCTTTACCGTGTCTTCCTGGACCACCCCACCCGATGGGAGAGATGGAGATGGGATGCAGGGCAGGGCATCGAATGGGGAGACTGCTGGGTAATGGTGCAGACAGGAGTGGCCACAGATGCTCTGCCTCATCTCAGCCCAGCTCTCACCTGAGAGAGCCCTGCTCTGTGCCTCAGTTTCCCTGTCTGTCAAATGGGGGAGGAGCATGTCAATGAACATTCTTTACTCCAACAGCCATAGCTCAGGAAGGGGAAGACACTGATGGGAGATCTAGAAGGTGAGGCCACAGGAGCTCAGCAGGGGAATTGGAGAAACGGGCACTGCTGTGTGACCCCGGGTGAGTCACTGACCTTTCTGTGCTTCCGTTTTCTCACCTGCCAAACAGGACAGTGATAATGATCATCTGATACAAGATATCACTTAATAAAAATGTCTGAAAATGGCCCCACAGCTAAAGGTTTTCAAGTGAACTCTCACACAGAAGGCCCCAGCATCCCTCCCCACCCCTTCCCTACAGAAGTGCTTTGGGAACACACTAGTCAAAAACCACAGTCAGAAAATAGGAAGTGGGTGGCCCTACCTTAGCTCTGCCAGGGATTCAGGAGGTTTCCAGGGGAACTTCAGATATGATCCTGAAGATTCCAAAACCCTCCTGGGAAAAACGCAGTTCCTGCAGCAGTTGCAGGGTTCCCATGATTGAGTTTGAGTTGAGTCACATGGGTGGGAGGCCTGGGGTGGCTGCCCCCAACTCTTCCGACTGTGTGGGCCCTCTGCAGTCTGGCATGTACATTTCCAGTCTGTGTTTGTTTGGGCCTTGGCCCCCCACAACCTATCAAGTTGACAAGGCAATTGCCATCATTGCCATTGGCGGGTAAGGAAACTGAGGCTCAGGGAGGAAAAAGTAATTGCTTAAGGCCAGCGTGTTCTTTCAAGGCAGAGCAAGCTCAATGGCCCTGAGTCCTGAGTCTAGCCATGCCCTGGCACCCATTCCTCATTTTGCAGATGACACACCCCAGGCACCCAGCTCCAGCACTGGACCACTGGCTGGTGGCTTTTTCCCAGGCTCTGGGGATCTATCCACAAGGGTCAGGGTCTGCTCTGGGCAACACAGAACCCCTTGCCCACAAACTCCGCCACCCTCTCCCTCCCCACCGCTCAGCACCAGGGCCTTAGCCACCACCTGCAGCCTCACAAATCCTCCCAGGGACGTCTGGGTAATTAGGAGATTCTTCATTTACTGATGACGCTTCTCATTACCCAGCATGAACACACACTTGTTCCCTTCACAGCGCCCAGGCGGGGCTGTGGGATTGGTGGGATTGATGGGTTGGGCAGGCCTGGTGCCTCCTCCCCCAGGCTGTAAGATGGCTGTCTTTGCCCATAGGTGAGAGATCCTGAGGGCACTGGCTCTCTGCCTTCTCCGAGGGCTGGGCCTTGTGCTTGGCATCCCTGCATTGAACCCACATAGTCACCACCCTCTGCTTGACTGTCACTGCCTTCTCTTTTACACGAGGAGATGGAGGCTCAGAGAGGCCAAACCACTTTCCCAAAGTCACAAAGTGGGTGGGTGAAAAAAATATAGGCGCCTCCCCCCTACCCCTGCCTAGAGCCCCATATATATATATATACACGCACAGTTCACTGGATCCAACAATTTGAAAATTCCTAATTTTACAACTAAATGTGAAAGGAAAGCCAAAATACCTGATTCAGGAACAGCCAACTTGCCCTCAGAGGAGCGGTCTCAGAGTTTGTGGTGAGAGGCCACTGCAAGGGTCGAGTCACCACTCGGCACTGGGCCTCCAGCTTCCCCAAGACAGGGCTCTGGAAAGGCTCTGAAGCTCTGGTACTGGCGTGGACACTCCCCAGGCAGCCTGGCTTGGAGAGTTTGGGTTTCTTTGCTGACCTATCTGCTGAACTTCTGCGTATGGATGCATCACAGAGTCTCTGGAACCAGAGGGTGGGACGGGAGGCCCCTGAGTCTCCTTCCCCACACTCAGGCTTGCTGTCACTCTAAGGCACTGAAACTTGCCTAGGGAAGTTCCTGCTTAGAGCTAATATGAGTTTCTCCAACTGCACTGGAGAGGAACTCCTGTACTAAACCAGAGGAAAGTCCTGAATTGCGGGGGGAAGGGATGCTGGGGAGTGAAGATGGGGAACTTAACGTGTCAACATCTCTCAAAGGCTGGAAACATGAGGCTCTTGCCAGAAAAGGTTTTTGTGTCCTGAGGGAATTACATAACAGCAGTATAGTTTATTTATATATGTAAATATACATATGTATATATATATATATACATGCATGCACACACATTTTGTGGTATTTGTGTGAACTTAGAGTGCAGTATGAAAGCTTAAAGCTGACAAGTGAAATTGAGTTAGCAGGGCGATCCTTATTCCTGATTCATGACTTCACCAGGCACTTGTGCAGGCTGCAGGGCTGGAGAACCGGTGGCAGCGGGAGCCGGCGACCCAGGCACCAGTTGAATTATGAGCCACAATTTATAAACCATTACGTGCTGTGGGTTCCAGGGATATTTATTGCAGTCTGACCACTTGCAATTCAAAACTCAGTTTTGCAAATGGGGAGGAGAAAGACACCTTAAAAATGTGTCTTAGAGCCAGGCCTCCCCTGAGGCTGCCTTAAGTCAGCCTGCAGTCTACAGGCCTGGGGATAGATAGACGCCCATCCCCTAACCTCTCCCTCCACATACCCCAGTCCCCCTGACAGTAGCACCCAAGAGGCTCAGTCCATTTTGTTGGAGTAAAGACTTCATCCTATTTTTATGGATAGAATCCAAAAGGAAGATAAAAGAAATCCACCATTTATTAACCTCCTACTATGTACTAGGCACCACGGGGAGGTGCTTGCTTCATAACAAGCCTGAGAAAGAAGTATCCTTAATCCCCCATTGACAGCTGAGAAGTTGAGGCCCAGAGAGAGGCATTGATTTATTCCTAGAGGCTGTACAACATTATGGTTAGCAGCATGGGCTTTGGAGCCAGACTGCAGGAGGATCCAATAATGTTTGTGACATTGGGCAAGAGACTCAAGCTCTCTGAGCCTGTTTCCCCAACAGAAAAAAAAAAATAGGGATTATGACCGACAATATGTGGGATGGAACTTTAGGAAGACTGAATGCATGGTAACTATTTATTAGGATGAGTACATCTGGTAGAACGAATGGCAGACTTGAGACCAGGTTTGTGGCACTCCAAAGCTCCAGCTCTTTCCACTCCATTACCTTGCCCATCAAGTTGAGTGACTTACTCAGGCCCACAGCCAAGGAGGGCATCACCAGGGAGCCTAGCCACACTCTTCCTACTTCTCTTCCCTTGGGGTCATCACCCAAGCAGCTCCTTTACTTGGCCACTTGCCAGTTGCATTTGGTGGGGAGCAGATTGATAGGATCTCAGCTTGTTCCTCGAAAAGTCCCACAGAACCCAGTGAGATCTGGGGTCTGCAGAACACAGTGAGTCTCAAGCATTCCACCATCAAACAATTTGAGACACCCTGGGTCTGTCACAGCTGCACTGGTTTCTCCCCTGCAGACCTTCTCAGAGCCTTCACTACACCATGAGGCATCTTGTGGCTCCCTGAGAAGGTGCTACGGTCTGAATATGTGTGTCCTTTCAAAATTCATAGTTGAAAATTAATACCAAATTCAATATTGTATTAAGAGGTGGGACCTTTGGGAGGTGATTGGGGCATGAGGGCTCTAACAACATGAATGGAATTAATGCCCTTCGAAAAGAGGCTTGGGAGATCCTGCATGTCCCTCTGCCATGTAGGGGTGCAGCAACCAGGTGCCGTCCATGAAGAATGGGCCCTCACCAAACACCAAAGCTGCTGGCGCCTTGATCTCAGACTTTACAGCCCTTAGAACCATGCGCAATAAATGTATGCTGTTTATAAATTACCCAGTCTAAGGTATTTTTGTTATAGTAGCCCAAACAGACTAAGGCAGAAAGTCTGTGGTTTGAAGTGTTTCCTAACTTACTGACCAGAGGCGTTTTTGGTGGGAGAGACCCTTGTTAACGTGAAGAGGCTTGGGAAACTAGTCTGGTGGATGGGGCTGTTTCTTGGTCATCACGATGCAATCTCTGCTTTCTGTATCACTCGGTTGTGACCTTGTAAAGCCCACTTGACCCCTCATGACTCGTAGGGCGTCCCCTGGGTGTATTTGGGTCAGTTAGAGCAGCAGGATGGAGGATGTCAAACAGAAAAGAGAGGGTCAGAGCCATGTGGCTGATGGAAGATCAAGTGTCCTGGGAAGAGCTGAGCACAGACCACTGTTTGCCCTTGGCAGGCACCGTCCCCTCTCTGGGCCTCAGTTTCCCTATCTGTTATTAATAGGTCTTCAAGACCCCTGATCTTGAAGGGTCCTTTGGTTCAGGCTTTGTGCACTTAGGGCGTCTGCAGGGCTGGAGTCCTGGCTTCTCTTGAACTCTCTGCCTCAGTGCCTCCAGCCCCAACCACTGCCTCCTGCACCCCAGGGAGAATGATGAAGCAGCCAACAGACCAACCCAGGCTTAATGTAGCTGGAGCAAATTAATAATTGATGCACGAAGAGACAAAATCTGTCTCAGAGGGATGTGAGGGAGGGGAGCCCAGGAGGAGGGGGCCAGCCACATGCAGGAGGACTGTGCTGTTCAGGCCAGGCTGGGAACAGGGTGGGCCCTTGTGGCCACATGACATGGCTCAGGCACCTGGAGGGGTGGCTTCCCTGGAGACCTTTGTCAGGCTCTGCCCAGAAAGACCTGAGGATGTGGCCCTGGGAACAGAGCGCTACCTTGGCTGTCAGTGAGCAGAGGGTATTAGGGAGTTCTGACAAAGAGGATGTTGAGGGTTGTTTTTATTTTGAGACCACAGGGCCTAGGGTGGGTGGAGCCTGGCCACACCCAGTGGATTCTTGAGGTTGGACAATCCCGGCTTTATGTTACTAGAACATGTGATGATGGAAAGCAGATGGGCTGAGGGGACCCTTCGGGGAGGCCAGCCTGGGCTGGTCAAGATGTCCTGTGATGGCTGCTTATCCCCCTGCCATGCAGTGAGTCCTGGACCCTGATGTGGGGAGCCTGGAGGCCTGGGCTAGCCTATGACCTTGCAGGGTGTGACAGGTCAGTCTCTTCGTCTCTCTGGGTCTCTGCCACATATGAGGGATGGGCAGGTGACTGCGAGGCTCTTCATGCTTGCTCAGAGACCAGCCCTGAGCCTGAGGGCTGGTCTGGCACAGCCACCATCCCAGGGACAAAGGTGGGGAGTGGGAGAGGACAGCAGAGCCTGAGCCTCCCAGAGGATCCCAGCCCAGCCAACACTCAGCTGACTGGTCCTTTGGGGCCTCCAGAGTTGGCAAACCCTCACGTGCTCAACCCCTTACTCTCAGGATTCCAGGAGCGAAGGGGGTTGTCAGGACACATCAGCTGCCAGCCCCAAGACTGTCACTGTCAGACACATCAGCACAACTCAAAGAGGCCTTTGCATTCACGCGCTGTGCTGTCTGTGTTCTTGGGAAGCTGTGTGGCCCACCCGGGGCAGCATGCGGAGCCTCTCCTCTGACGGACCTGCCCTCCCAGGGCCTTGCTGCCCCTCTGTGGGGGGCAGCCGTGACGGTTGGTCCTCCCTGCTGTCCTCCTGGGAAGGCCGCAGTGATATTCAGATCTCTCCAGCTGCTTGGGCAGGACTCTGCCAGGCTGAGGGGAGAGGGAGGCCAATGGCCAACAGCAGTGTTTCTCTGGCCAGCCCCAGAGAGGATGGGGCCAAGGGAGGACCCGCATCACACCCGACACCAGAAGACCTAGATCACCTCATTTAAACCCACTAGCACCCCAAAAGATGCATATGGTCTCTCTCATCTCATGTCAGGCAATGGAGGCTTAAAGAAGTCACCTGTCCCAAAGTGACCACATCTTCTTGTCTAGAGTCTGCTAACTTCATCCATCCAGTCACCCAAAGCAGAACCCTAGGGTCACGCTTGACTTTCCCACCTGCAGCTAAGTGCAGGGCCAGGATGTGTCCTGTTGGACTCCCTCTGATGCTGGAGCCTGAGTTCTTAACTCCTTGGTGGTGCTGCCCCTTTCACACCCTCACCCAACATTCGCTTGCTAAGGAAGCATTTTGTAATGACTGCTCCACACTTACTCACCTCTGATAGCACATGAGGGTTTGGGGAATTATTAGGAAGTCCCAAGGCCCAGGCATTCAGAGGAAAGGGAACAGCAAATGCAAAGCCCTGTAGGTGAGAAAGCGTGGCCCACTCAGAGGAAAGAATGGCTGGAGTGTGGAGTCAGGGTCAGGGCGCCATGGGAGGAGGCTGCGCTGCCAAATAGGACATGCCAAGGAGCTTGGACTTCATCCTTGGTCAAGAGTCTATTATCGAAGGGTTTTCAAAAGAAGGTGATGTTTTGGAAAGACCTTCAGCTCTGATGTGTCATACAGAGTGAAAGGGAATGGGAACAGGGGCAAGGCTTAAGTTAGGGGGAGGCCAAGGCATTTATTCAAGTGAAGGTGATGAGGACGCGCGCTAGGGGTGTGGTCACAGAGGTGACAAGATGAGGACGGACATCTAACAGGGGAGACATGCATACTGTGCCGCTGGGCTGGGGAGCAGGTGGGAAAGTCAAGAGTGGTCCTCGGGTTCCGCTTTGGGTGACCAGATGGATGGTGCACGAAGTTAGCAGACTTTGGACAAGGAGAGGATGTGGTCACCTGGGGACAGGTGGGGTTGGAGGTTGCTGAGGGACCTCCAGGTAGAGATGTCTCCTTACCGCCAAATATGTGGGGTCTGAAGGTGAAGAGATTTGAGGCCATCCGCATGGCAGGTGGTGAGGTCAAGAGTAGAAGAGCTTGCCAAGGAAGAAGGCAGGAGATAGAGTGAGGAGAGGAGAAAGGCCGGCCTGGCCTTCTGAGGGAAATGCAGCAGATGAGGTGAGCAGAAAGAGGGAATCTGAGAAGCCTCGGCCACTCAAGGTCAACAAACCCTGGGGAACCCCCAGCCAGGACCCAGGAGGTGACCGAAGCCTTCTTCCTTATACAGGTTGGCTCCCGGGATGGTGCTAAGTAGCTGCCAGTTCATGTGTCTTTGCCTCCCCTAATAGTGTGGAAGCTCAGGTCCCTCTGACTCAATGCCATCTTGTGAAGGTTGCAGGGGGTCCCATCTGTCCTCTCACTGGCCTGTGAGAAGGCAGCGTGGGACTGAGGCCCAGGGCAGCCATGGATTCCCAGGCCCACATTGTGGCTGGGAGCAAAGCCCTCTGGCTCCCCTGACTTTTCAGGGCTAGAGCCCTGCAGGGAAGTGTACTCTACACCCCTAGACCCACTGTTCAAAAGCACTGCCTCCCCTTTAAGGGCCCTGGCCTTGCAGGGGTGTCCACCTGAGCACAAACTTCCAGAGGTGTCTTTGAATCCCCGACACTGCAGTCTGTTATCACTGGAGGGTGGTGGATTTTGGAGAGGGTACAGCACACACCACGGTGCCAGGCCTAGGGTGCAGAAGCTGTGGGGAAAGGGGTGGGCACACCCCAGCCCTCTGTACACTCCAGGGAAGAGCCAGCTGGGAAGGGTAACAGTCCCTGTCCCCTCCAGCATATCGCCAACTGGTTACCTCCTGGTCCATCCACTGCAACTCCAGGTGGACCCTGGATCACACACATTCTCCTTCTGTATCTGACCCAGAACAGGCCCCCTGAAACCTATTCATTCATTCACTCATTTAAGAAAAATTATGATGAGGCAGATGTGGCAATGAACTCTGAGGATACCCTGGTGAGTGAAGTTTTGATTTATTTCTGTTGAGCTCAGGTTCTGCAGGAGGAATGCATGGCCTTGTGATGGTTCATAATATGCTTGACCCAATCTGGAGCATCAAGGAGGGCTCTCAGAGGAGGTGACATTAAGACAGAGCCCCGAGGAATGCCCAGGAGTTAATTAGGTGAAGGGACTAGGGGTGAGGAGGGGAGGGGAGTGGGAGAGCGTTGTCCGGGCAGAAGGGACAGCCTGAAAGAAGATGCAGGGCTGAGGGGAGCATGGTGTCCAGCGGGGCTGACATCCGCCTTGAGCCACGTGCTGAGCCGCATGCTGTGATTCTCTTATCATATTCAAGAGCCTGGCCAGTGGCTTCAGCTCAGAGTTGGTTCCTGTAAGCCCAGAGGCTCTAATCCAGAAGTCGTCCTGCTTCCTCCTCCTATGTGTGCACTGCTGTTTTGGGAGCCAGTGGCAGAAGCTGTCCATGCCGGCCCATCGGGTTCCCCTGGGTGTCATGGGCAGGCAGTTCCCAAGCATGCAATTGGCTCCCAGAGTCTCCCTGACTCAGGGCTCTCACTCTGCCAGGGCAAGCCCAGGGCAAGCCAGAAGTGCCAGAAAAGCTGCAGCCCTCACCTATGAGGGTGGAAGTTGGTGGGTTAGCAACACAGCTTCATCGACCTTCCAGAGAGAAAGCTCTGAGGTTGCTTCCACATAGGCTCTCAGAGGGCACTCCCTGGGGGCCCAAGCCAGGACCTGAGCTGTAACCTCCTTACCACACATTTTCATGGCTCTCCCTGCTTCCTGCCTCCCTGCCTGCCTTCTGCCTCTCTCGTAGCACTTCCTGGGGGCATCTCCTAAGCAAATTACTTGCAGTTGAATCTTTGACCCAGAGTCTGCTTTGGGGAGCTCCTGCTATAAGACAAGACACAGTTGCGAGACTGGAACTCTATTCCCATTCAGGGTCCCTGTGACTCCCCTCCTCATCCCAGGCTGCCAAGAGCTCTGTGCCTACTGACTCTGACTCTGTCCCTGGCTCCTCCTCCCTGTGTGCTCCTTGAACTTGCTCAGGGTCAGGCACTTCAGGGGCCCCAGGAAACAACAGCAAGAACATGGCACCTGGGGGATTGGAGAAGCTCCTTGTTGGCTGAGGTCTGCAGCGCCTCAGCTAGTTTGAGCTGGGCGGCGTGGAATCGTCAGGCTGATTGCAGAGCTCTGTGTGTAGCTGGAGGAGGAGTAGCAATTAGCTGCTGCAGTGACAGCTGAGACAGGGCTGCTAAATGGGCCCATTAGAGGGCATTAGCGAAACTACAGGATGGTGGCTGAGCAGAGACACAACGCTCTTGCTGGCTGGGACTGGGGCTGGGGCCTGAGGGAGGTTTACCTGAGAATGTCAGGGAGGCTGGGGCCCCCAAGGTGAGCACTACTTTAAAAGGGGAGGGATGCCCCTGTCCTGCAGCCACAGCCCTCCGTCGGGTGCCCATCTGTGGTCACTCAGAGTCCACTTGCAAAGTGGTGCCCGCTCAGCCGGCAGATTATGGCTTTAATGGGGGCCCTGCACGTAGTGTACTTAACACGTTTCTGAGGTCCTGGTCCCAGCCATTAGCTCATTAGCTCCAGCCTTCGAGGCCCATTTTGCAGACGGGGGTGGGGCAGGGACCCATGAAGTGATATGTTAAAGGTCAACTGGTGGGTTGATCTGAACAGAATTCCACAAGTTCCTTATCCAAAACCAAACCTACATGGCCTTGCCCCAGAGATTTAACCCCCTTGAGACTTGAGACTGGATTTTACTTGTCACTGACACCCCAGCGTCCGGTGTCAGGGCTGGCATAGAGCAGGTCTTTTTAAAAAATGGTTATTTAGGAGGAAGATGAAGACCCAGCAGCTACTGCAGCCCCCAGCCCAGGCTCCCCTATGCCTCAGCCATGTGGGGCCACCGTCACAGAGGCCGGCAGACATGGGCTGGGCTCCTGGATGCGTCACTCCACTGTGTGGTCTCAGCCGAGTTACTGAACCTCCCAGAGCCTCGGTTTCCTCATCTATAGAATGGGGCTAATAATAGGACCAGCTCATGGGGTTGTGTGAGGATTTGATGAGACATTTCATTTTTACCCATCCATGTGGTGGGCTGCATTGGGAGCCCTTGTCTAAACAACAGCAGCTGTGCCTCCTGGAAGGTGACCCAGGACTGGACTTGCTGAGGCAGCAGGAAAGAACAGGACAAAGCCCAGTTGGCAAGTGCAGGCAGGCTCCGTGGCAAGGATTCTGGGCTTCAGTTTCTCTTAAACATGTAGAAGTTGGGGCTTGATAATTTCTAAGGGTGCTTTCAGCTCTAAAAGCCTCTTGGCTCTGTCCAGGGAAGGGTTACTGTGTGTCAAGTATGGGCTGGCACTGCTGAGGATGGGGGCACAGTGGGGACAGCCCAGAGGACCAGGTTTCCTGGAAGAGGGCCAGATCCTGGGCTGATAAATGTCGGCGGCTCTAAAGCCATCCCCTGCTTGACACCGTGTGCCCAGCCCATTCATCACTAAGTAGAGCAGCAGGGGCCTGGGGACGGAGCACTGGCTCAGAGACAGGCCTGCCTTGTCCTTAGCTGCACCCTCTGGGAGGTGGGGAGGGGTGAGGCGGTGCAGTCTTGCTGTATTTGGGCTGTGACTGCAGCAAGAGCATCTCTGCTACTGGGCAGCTCAGAGAGAACCCCGGCCCCAGCTCTGCCACCTCCCACAACTCCAGGGGGAGCCACGCCTGCTATGAATACAGAGCGAACCTGCCAGCCCCTTACTAATCGCCCCTTGTTTGCTTTCTGGGGCTTGATATCCTCTGTACCCATTATTGAATTCTGGCTGCATCTGGAGAAACAGAGATGGGGCCCTCTCTCCAGTGCACGGAATGGGAAACTGAGGCAGAGAAAAGCTGGGTGACTTGCATGCGGCTGATACTCACTGCAGTTCTGTGGGGGAACTGAGAGGAGATGGGCATAGAGAGGAACAAGACAGAGTCCTGGAGAGCAGAATGGAGTGCACCTGGGGCCCCGCTTCAGCTCCCAGCCTGTTTCCAGGCACCTCTTGTCATCTGCGGCTGTCAGCAGCCCCAGAGTGGAGGCAGAACAGGAGAATTAAATAGGCCTATCTTACAGATGAGGAAATGGAGGCCCACAGAGGAGCTATAAGGTATTGAAAGCTTTTACTGAGCACTGCTTATTTGTAATGAAAATCATGAGCAGAAAGCCACAGAGATAGTATCTTGAATGCCCTGGGGCTGGAAGGAGTGGTTTTGTTGTTTGACCACCTTCCGAGGCTGTGGAGTTTCCAGAATTTGTCAGTGCAGGGTCAGGCACAGTTTCTGCTGTGGCTCTGTTAACCAGCTTAGGGGCCAACAGTGGGAAAAGCCCATTGCAAGGGACACTCTGATGGCTTGGTCATTTGTCACTCCAGCTTTCTGACCCCGAAGACCAAGGGGCACGGACTGGATCTCCCCAGGCACTAGTTAGTGTGGCTCTGCCTCCTTCCCACACTGGAGCAGCTCAGCCTTGACCGCTATGGGGCACTCCCAACCCCACCTGCAGAGACCCCTCCCTCCCACCCTCCCTTCCTGTAAGTTGCGCATGCCCAGTGCCAAGGAGCATCACTGACACAGATCAGGATGCGAATGCACCCTGGAGTCGCCCAGGGCACACTGGTGGGACCCTGGCAGCCACCATTCCCACCTGGCTTTGAAGGCATTTGTGCCCAAGGCAGACTCTGCCCCTGGATTTCTAAGCTGACTCTTAATCCCACACCCTGGTTGTCATGCAGTCCCTGAGCACCTGAATCCCTATCCATAAGAAGTGGGGATGACAATAGCACCTACCTACCAGGACTCGGATCGTGGCTGAGAGAAGGCCTGCAGGGAGAGCACTGAGCCCAGTGCCTGGCGGGGAGCACTCTGCAAAGAGCAGCCGCGTGTGGCATTATCTGTCCTGGCGTCACTGCCCTGTGCCACGGCACTGGGAAGTGAGCACAGATGCACAGTCCCTGCTCTCCAGGAGCGCAAAGTCTGCTCCCCCAACATGGCCAGCTCACAAGTGGCCTCTTCTGAAGTCCCCACCCCACTGCAGCTTGCAGGTAAGGGTCCTCCTGCTGTGTCTATCATAGCTGGTGTTGCTGCTCCATGGCTGCCTGCTCTTCCAGGTGCTGAGACCCAAAAGCCAGGGCCAGGGATGGATTTTGGCTGTGTCCCCAGCATGCATCACAGACCAGGACCTGAAGAAATCAGCGTGAAATGAGTGCACATTGAACTCCTGTCTTCCTCCAGCATCCATTAGCCCTCACTCTGTGTGTGTTGAGCCCAGCGCTGCATGTTTGAATCCATTGCCAAATTTCTTCCTCAGGACAACGTTGAGGGAGGTGCTGTCCACTTGGTACAGGTGAAGAAGCAAGCTAGGAAGCCACACTATTTGTTGTTCCAGTCTGGTTCTAACTAGGAAAAGAGGCAGAAAAGACAGGGGAGTTATGTGCAGGAAATCCATTTCACAGGTGATGGAGGAGCTGAGAGGCAAATTCGCATGGACGTATCCCCATGCAGCCTTTAAAACAGATCAGCGATGGCACGAGGCCACCGCCACCCTATACCGGAGGGATGCAAGGAGAGTTGGAGTCTCATGGGTTTGTTTTGTGGAGCTGGAGTCACAGAGAAGACAGCTGCTGTGGGGCCTACTGCCCAAGGCAGAGAGGGAGGGGAGAAGCCCTGGGCTTCCCTTTCTCCAGCCCTCAGCCTCCCCCTGTGCCTCTCATGGTTGGAAGGCAGCTGAGCCAGGGCCTGGGAGACACAGCCTGCAGGAGTCAGTGCCCCAGCAATGGAGAGTAAAGCTGGGTGAGGCTGAAGGGCTGCCTCAGAAGAGTTCGGTGGTCTTCCCACAGGTCCGCCAGTAGGAAGTGGCGCTGTCCGGCTTTGCTCCAGGCACTCTGGCACACCTGGCCCCAGGCGTCCTGCCTCTGCCCTCCCTGACCTAGACTCTGTCATTCCTGTTGGCTCCCACCCCTTCCTCAGCTCCCAGAGAACCAGCTATCTACCCAGGACTATCCTAGTGGCCTCCTGGGCCCAGAGTCCCAGCAGAGCAGCCTGGATCCTGAGTGTGGCAGGAGCGGCCACAGTCTATCCCCTCCTTCAGGCCCTGCTGTCCCTGGGACCCAATATGTTCAGCACCTTCACCCCTGGACTCCTTGACAGCCCAAGAAAGATGCTCATCTCCACCCCTCCCGGCTTCAGCGTCCCATTCACCGCCTTCCGTGACTCCCCTGATCCTCCCAGCCTCCACCTCCAGTGCTGCCCTCTCTCCGGCTCCACAAGTCTCTTTCTTGCCCTTGGCTCATTCTCTTTGGCCTTTGCAGGTGCTCTGCTCCTCCTCCTAACAATAGCTCTCCACTGGCCCTGGGTTCCCCTTCCACTGTCTGGACAGCAGCACGTCGCCTGCAGTCATCTCTGGAATCTCTGGCTCCTAATCCCCGCTCCTCCTTCTCCTCCCTCACTGCAGTGAATGTGGGTTCTTGTCGAGATCTCCAGTCACTGGAGGTTGCCCCACCCAATGCTCCCGCTGCTGTCCTCATGATCTCTGATGTCCAGCAATGTCCTGCTCAGTTGACCACTCCCTCCTTCTGGGCAGTCTTCCTTGGCTTCTTGCTCTGGTCCTCCTCCTGCCTCACTGCCTCCTGGGTGATCCTTGTGGATTTTCCCCTGCCCAGCCTCTCAGTGTTGGGAAGCACCAGGCCCCAGTCCGAGTCCTTCTCCTCTATCCCAGCCACACTCCTCCTGGATCAGCTCACACAGTTTCATCCTTTTCCTCTATCCCAGCCACTCTCCTCCCAGATCAGCTCACACAGTTTCATGGTTTTAAAGACCACCCCCTCCGTGATGGCTTCCAAACTTGGTTTGCAGCTCAAGCCACGACACTTAACTCCACATTCATTGCTATAATACCTGCCCAGTGTATTCACACGGACGCATCCCCATGCAGCCTTGAAAGTCATCCTAGTCAAAACAGAACTTTCAGCGCACCCATCACCTCTCAATGGAAAGAGCCTCCGCCTTTTGGTAACGGGCACTGCCATCCACCCTACTGCTTAGCCCAAACCTGGTGGATATCCTCAGTTCCTCTCTCCCCACCTCCACCACATCCCATCCATCAGAAGGCTGTGGCTCAATTTCTGAGGTATAGCTCCAAACCATCCTCTCCTCTCCATTGTCACTGCCTTCACCCCCGTCCAGGCCGCTGCCATTTCTCCTCATGACTGTAGGAATAACCCCCCTCAATACACCTGAGTCAGGGCACGTCACTCCCATCCTTAGCACCCTCCAGTGACTTCCCATGGCACCTAGAATAACAGGCCAACTCCTCCCTGGAGCCTACGTGGCTCTCCTGGATCTGACCCAGCTGCTTCTACAAACAGCCCCTCTTTCCCAGCTCATGCACGGGGTCCCAGACACAGAGGCCTTCCTTCTCACTGTCTCCTGAGCATGCCTGGTCCCTTCCTGCCTATGGGCTTCCTTTGCTGAGAGGCTTCTGCCCCGGTTCTTCAGGCCTGCCCTGTCCCCCAGGCTAGAGGGGCTTTTCCCTGCCGCTTGAGGACGTAACCCTGCTCTCACATGCACAGACATACGTTCCGTGAGAACAGAGGGTTTGTCCTTCTTGTTTCCAATGGCTTCTCCAGCACACAGTAGACACTCAATATAAGCTGAGTAAATGAATAACCCCATTGTACAGGTGAAAAAAACTGAGTCCCAAGCAAAGACTGCCATTTGGTGATGGTTACACAGCTGGGGGCAGCCAAGCTGGCCCAGCTCCCCCACGTGGCCTGCTCTATCTCCATCTAGTCCAAGGGGCTGGTGGCAGTGGCCAGGGCCTGCTTGCTCAGCAAGCTGAGAGGGAGGGCTGGGGACAGGAGACCTGAGAGCCCCTTTGCTATGCCCACAGACCCTCCCTTCTAGTGCCTGTCTGCCTGTGATGGATGCTCAGCTCTGGGATTTTTTCCCCTTCATTCCTCCTCTTTTTTTCCCCACTGGGTCTTTTTAGGCAGTATTTACAGCCGAAGTGGACAATCTGTCTTTTTTATTTTTAGGCTTTGTGGCTCAGACACCAGGCCCTGGACAGAAAGTGCTGCCTAGAAATAGGTGGCTGGTGCCTGAGCAGGGTTCTGCCGGGGCTGGCAGTGAGCAGGGGTGGTGGGCTGAGGTCGGGGTGTTGATGTGCACATCCCTGCCATGGGCTGGGGTGTGAGGAGAGCCACGTCTGCTCTGTGACCTTGGGCAAGTCCCTGGCCCTCTCTGTGCCTCACCTTCCGGCCCAGACACAATGGAGGTTAGGACTAAATGAGCTCCCCAATCTCCGAGGTTTCCAGCGGCGGGGGCCATAGGGCTGGCCCGGAGGGAGGGGTGTTCCTGGCGTCACGGCGCTGAGATAACGGGAAGGATGCGCCGCCTGGAGAGCCACCTGGACAGCCGTCCCGCTGATGAGTGATGGTCCTTCACACCTTTCCTGTCCTCCTCTGCTTCTTCCTGTGGCCTTCGCTTTCTCATTGTCCCAAAGTTAGATGTGGCTCATCCTTCCTCCTCCGACTGCCCCCACCCAGTTTCCCTATTCTCTTAGGGCTCAGGGGACCTGGCCGTCACCCGCAGGGGCTGACAAACAGGAGGTGGCAGGCCCAGGGCCCAGCTCCAACAGGCCCAGCTGTTTCCTGGGGTGCCCTGGCCTCTGCCTGGCCGGCCTGACCCCTGCCTCTGCAGGCTGCGCTGGCGGCCATCTCCTCAGGGGCTTCCTCCATATGTCTATCCACTCATTTACTTACCTACTCATTTACAAAATTCCTCGGGAGCCAGGTGCTGAGGCTGTGGCAGTGAACAGATGAGCAGCTTTCCTTCTCATTGGAGGAAACAGACCACAACACCACAACCAAATAGAGAAGTTTCAGATAAAGATAAGTGCTATGAAGACACAAGAAAAGGCTTATAGCATTGAGGTGGGCAGCAGGGTGGCTGCTTCTGAGAAGATGGTGAGGGACAGCATGGGTGAGCTGAGGCCTACGTGATGGGAGGGAGGGCGGGTTAGGACATGGGACACTGTGACTGACAGGGAGGGCTGTGTGCCCCTCCTGGAGGACTGGGCTTCTGGGGGTGAGGAGCCTCACTGTGTTGAGGACAGACTGGGGGAACCCTGGGGATTCAGGAACTCGGCCCACACCATTCTCCCCTCTGTAGGGCTGAGGAAGCTTCTGGGAGCTTTAGGAGAAATCTGAGCTGGAGTCCAAGACTTCACGGGACTGACGTTTCTGAGCCAATTGGCTCCTCTGGGTAAATAAATGCAGACCTGCAATGGTGGCTTTTCCTTCTTGGCCCTTTGGGAGTTGATTTTGGAATCCCAAAGGGCTGAGCTACAAGGCGGCTCCTAGAGAAGAGCCCAGTTCTTGTAGACAGGGCTGGACATGACCGAGGTCACACAGCCAGCCAGCAGCAGGGCAGGCACTGTCCAGGGGTCCCTGCCCCCACGTAGAGTGCTTCCCACTGGCTCCCTGCCTTCTGCAGACAAAGGTTTAGGGAGTGCAAAGGGAGGTGTTGTGGGGAATACAGCTCAGCAGGCAGCCTTTCTGGAGGGCAGCAGGGACACCAGGAGTCACTGAAGCCTGAGTGGTGGGAAAGAGGCCAGGAGACAGGATGGGGCATCATCCCAACAACCCCAGGCCTGCTCTGTCCTGGAGAGCCCGCATCCCTGACTCCCAACTACAGGGATTAGTCGGGACTTATTTCGCAGGCAATTCCCCAGGCCTCTGGCAGGGATTGGCAGCTGACTCATTAGGCAGGAGGAAATGGCCTGTCCTGGAAGCTGTGGGCACCGAAAGTATTGCTGGGAGCCCAGCTGGGAGGATCCTGGCACTGCGGCCCCTGGGTCTCCGGTCTGAAGGGTGGAGGCCTGACCTGGCAGCCTGAAAGCTGCTCTTGCCCAGTTATCTGGGATGCTCAGAGAAGGAGGTATTTTCGCTCATGGCAAGGCCTCTTCCCTATGCAACACAACTAAACAGAATCTTTATTTTGCATTATTTTGGCCCACGAGAAGCCATCGCTCCAAAAGGTGTTTATCCCACTTTCTTTTTTAATCCTGTGTGTATGTGTGTGCGCGTGTGCATGCACCCGTGAGCATGGTTGGATACTTAGACCCCTAGGATAAGAAGGGACCCACAGGTCCCATTCTGTCTCCCCTCTACTGCCACACCCAGTTCAGAAATCCCCTCCACATCATCTCTGACCTGTGTTCCCTCAGGCCTCGCTCACCTGCCTCCCATGACAAGAAGCGTGTCCCCTCCAAAGGCAGCCTGTCACCTACTGAGAGGCCCTGGCTCTTAGAAGGAACTTCCCTGTGCCTTCCTTCCTCCCTTCACCTGAGGGCCCCAAGTCAGTGCAGGCTTGCTGGCAAGGAGGAAGGGTCTGAGCGAAGCCCCTGCCTCTCCCAGGAACCCATCCTGGGTCACCCCGGCCCACCAAACTGTCTCCCTCCTCTGACTTTCCCACTGATAGCAACTGTCTCCCCTTAAGAACGTTTCTGTTTCTCACCAGGTCTCCTGTCACATGGGTCCTGTTTCCCCAGCCAGACAAGGAGCCTCACGAGGACAGAGGCCTGCCTTCTTCCTCACACCCTCGGCCCTGAGTGAGAAGAGAAAGAGAGAGAGAGAGTGCTTAGAACAGTGCCTGGCCCGTGATAAGCGGGTGCCAGCTATTATAATAAGAAATACTGTTGTTACTCTTCTTATTTCCATCATCATAATCTCCATCCCCATCTACCATGGCCCCCCTATGGTACAAGTGAGTGCACTCCATGGGGACCTCACAATCCTGCCCCTCATTCAGCCAGGCGGGCAACAACAGGGGCAGAGCTACGGGGCCCTCCCCACCTACCAGGTCCTGTTCTAAACATCAATCCTTGCACCCGATAATGCTTCCCTTTTACAGATGAGTAGACTGAGGCACAGAGCGTTCAGATCACTTGCCCGAGGTGGCATAGCTGCAATGGCAGAGCCGGCAGGCTGTAGCTAGAGTCCATGCTTCTAATCACATCTCTCCCTGCCACCACAAGTACTCAGAGCTGCAGCCACACCTCCTGAAGGTAAGAGAATGCATGTTATGTGGCATTGTAGCACAAGACACACAGTGAGTGTCTGCGGCCTGCATCTTCATTCCTGGGGCCCCTGAACATCCTTGGCTTTCCCTGAGGAAGGTGGGAGCGGGCCGGTCCAGGCAGCTCTCATGTCTGCTGGATCCTCCGGCCTCCTTTGTGCAGTGGGTCCTGGCTGCAGCTCTGAGCGCCCCAGCTTTCAGTTGGCTCCTTTCCAAGTTCTTTTATTAATTCCCTCACTCTCCAGCAAGAGAACTTTAATTAGCCCGGCCGATTTATCTATATAAATACAAACGGCAAGCACTCCACGGTGGGGTGGGGAAGTAAAAGGGGAGCTGGCAGCGGGTTGCCTGGGGCAGGGGAAGTGACGACCGCGCCTCCCCAGCAACCAAAAATATGACTTTAATATCACCCACACGTGTGTGGGTGTGTGCGCTTTCTGGGCTGGCTGATGGCGCTGGTAGAGCAGTGTCTGCAGGTCGGGTGCAGGCTGTCACCGTGTGATGGGGAACATGTTTCCAGAGCTGGACTGTTTCTGCTTTCCCAGGAAGGTCTTAATCTCCTCACCTAGGAGCGACATTGACACATTCCCACTCATCGAACTCCCCTCCCTCTCACACCTCCCCCAGGGAGGCAGGGGACACATGACAAAGTCACCCTGTTCCAAAGGCTCCCTTTGGACTTCCAGGACTTTTACCAGGATTGGGGCAGGAGGATGAGCCCAATGACAGCTCAATTCCAGTCCAGGCTCAGGAGACTCAGTGTTGGAGAACCGGCCCTAAGTGTTGGATGCACCTCTGTCTTGCTTACACGTGGTCTCCCGAGGGCCAAACCTTTCTCTGAGCACTTGCAGTGGTGGAGAGAGATGTGGTTATAAGCACGGACTCTAGCTACGGCCTGCCGGCTCTGCCACTATAGCCGCCCACCTCAGGCAAGTGATTTCACCACTTTGTGCCTCAGTCTACTCATCTGTGAAATGGAAGTATTCTCAGGGGCGAGGACCGATGCTTAGAACAGGACCTGGCAGGTGGGGAGGGCCCCATAGCTCCACCCCTATTGTTGCCCGCCTGGCTGAATGAGGGGCAGGATGGGAGCTCACCATGGGGCGCACTGATTTATGCCACTGGGGAGACCATGGCAGATGGGGGTGGAGGTTATGATGATGGAAATAAGAAGAGTAACAACAGTATTTCTTATTATAATAGCTGGCACCCGCTTATCACGGGCCAGGCACTGTTCTAAGCACTCTCTCTCTCTCTTTCTCTTCTCACTCAGGGCCGAGGGTGTGAGGAAGAAGGCAGGCCTCTGTCCTCGTGAGGCTCCTTGTCTGGCTGGGGAAACAGGACCCATGTGACAGGAGACCTGGTGAGAAACAGAAACGTTCTTAAGGGGAGACAGTTGCTATCAGTGGGAAAGTCAGAGGAGGGAGACAGTTTGGCGGGCCGGGGTGACCCAGGATGGGTTCCTGGGAGAGGCAGGGGCTTCGCTCAGACCCTTCCTCCTTGCCAGCAAGCCTGCACTGACTTGGGGCCCTCAGGTGAAGGGAGGAAGGAAGGCACAGGGAAGTTCCTTCTAAGAGCCAGGGCCTCTCAGTAGGTGACAGGCTGCCTTTGGAGGGGACACGCTTCTTGTCATGGGAGGCAGGTGAGCGAGGCCTGAGGGAACACAGGTCAGAGATGATGTGGAGGGGATTTCTGAACTGGGTGTGGCAGTAGAGGGGAGATAGGATGTGACCCCCCCGGGGTCTCTTCTCATTCTAGGAGTCTAAGTATCCAACCATGCTCACAGGTGCATGTACACAGGCAGGCACACACACACACACACACACACACACACACGCACACACACACACTGGCTGCTACTGCCCAGTCATCCAGGAAGCTTGGAGAAGGAGGCTTCTTTGTGCCTGGCCAGCCCCTCTCTGTGCACCACTACCACACAGGGACTTGACACTGTGTACCCTCATTCTGCCAACCAAGCAGTAGTAACAGAGCACAGAGATGTGGGGCCCTCTGTTAATCCTCACAACCTAGAACGCTCCCATTTTACAGTTGTCAACTGAGTAAAATAAGGCACGGAGTGGTGAAATAACTCACCCAAAGTTACACAGCTCTAAGTGGTAGAGCCAGGATTCCAACCCAGCTAATCTGCAATTGGAGTCTGTGCTCCTAACCGCCTCGCACACACCGCCACCATGAAAATGTTCATCCGCCCAGACAAGGTTTCTATGGTCTTGCTGTCGACCAAACCTGGCCTTCATTGTCAGGGTCACTGGCAAGTGTTGGGGTGGGATGGAGAAAGGGCAGTAAGGAGGCTGCAACTGGGCAGTGGAGAGGTGAAAAGGAAACCCAGTTTCACTTTGTGGGTGTTGCCTCCACGAAAGGAACGAGCCCTGGGGTCAAATCCTGGCTCCTCCATTTAGCAGCTGGGGGACCTCAGACATGTCCCTTGCCTCTCTGACTCAATTGCCTCTGCCGAGCAATGGGCTGAGAGGATCCGATGCACAAAGGGCACTCGGGTTGTCCTGGTGCACGCGGAGGGACTCTCAATAGTGTCTGTTCAAATAGTCCAAATCACCAAGTTTTCTGAGGTGGCGAGTTCCCCCTTGTTTACTCCTCCTGGGCCCCATTTGGGCTTCAGAAGCAGGCTGACATGGTGCTGGCCTTCAGCCTCATGGCCTGGTGAGGCTGAGGAGGAGGCTCCAGGGCCCTGGACCTGGGACACCGAGGAGCGGCAGACATGGAAAACTCTTGTGTCATGGCAGCGTTTCCGAGCAGAGCCCAGGAGTGGTAAACTCTATTCTTAGTCAGTGTCCCATCACGTGGAGGGAAGCTTGTCGTTAGTGGGGAGTGAGGGAGGAGCTGCTGCATTTAACCCTGCAAGGGCCAGAGTGCTGCAAAGAACTGGAGAAGAAACCTGCTGCCTCTTGGGGAGGGGTGGAAATGTGAGTTGGACGGAGCTGGAGTCGAAGGGGCACCCCACGGGAGACACTCGTCAATACCTATGGGATGGATGCAATAACTAAGGCTCCCCAAGCAGGAATTGCAGGGGGAGCTAGGTGGCTTTCTAAGGGGACAGCAGCCAAGCATGCTCTGCAGGAAGTTTCCAGAAGGAGGCACTCTAAGAGAATATGCAAAGAGTCCTGATGGGCATCAGGAGACCAAATCCACTCCTGTCTCTACCACAGATAAGCTACGTGGCTGGGGACAAACCACAGCCCTTCTCTGGCCTTTGGTCTACGAATGAGGCAGTTAAACTCCCTAACTCCTCTGCTCAACCCCACGTGGGGTAAGAGCTGAGAGCAACACCCAAGACTGTGACCCCCTAGCGTGAGCTGCCAGGTCATTTATTTTTGCCACTAGAAGTCATTGATCGAACGAGTGTTTATTCCCTGTTCTTACTTAACCCTGATGTGCCCCTTGCCATATTATCCTTTTATTTTTATTTTTGAGGCAGGGTCTCTCCCAGGCTGCAGTGCAGTGGCACGATCTCAGCTCACTGCATCTTCTGCCTCCTGGGCTCAAAACATCCTCTCACCTCAGCCTCCCGAGTAGCTGGGACTACAGGCGCACACCACCACACCTGGCTAATTTTTGTATTTTTTTGTAGAGATGGGGTTACCCAGGCTGGTCTTGAACTTCTGAGTTCAAAGGATCCTCCCGCTTTGGCCTCCCAAAGTGCCGGGATTACAGGCGTGAGCCACCACGCCTGGCCTCACATTATCCTTCTAATATCATTTGTCAGGGAATGGCACAAGAGGGCCTGGGATCTAAGTGAGAGTAGTGTGACAATGCTGGATGGGGCAAAGCTAGATGTAAAGGCAAGAGAAGCATCTGGACAAGGCAGGACCTGGAGGAGATGCTGGTGGCCTGGGACCTGGGTGGGCAGCAAGTGGACATCCTGGAAGGAAATGTCCGGGCTCCCTGCACACCCTCCTGCCTCCTCCTCTCAGCCTCGGGTCTCGCCTGCTCTGTGTGAGTGTGTCCTCTCTGCCTCCTGGAGGCCGGCCCCTGTGTCCCTTGGTCCGCCAGGCAGGCACTCCTTGAGCTCAGCCTGCACTTGTTCAGGCCTCCCTGGGCCCTGGTGCTGCCAAGCCAGCCCCAAGCCCACCCTCCTGTCCCTGCCTCCCGCCCCAAGCCCTGGCTGTGCTGGCCACTCATTTCCTTTGTAATTAATCACTGCTGGTCTCCAGCGGTGTCTTCCCCTCTCCAGCTCATTTGCCTAAAGAAATGAGTTGCTTTGTGGAGGAAAAACAAATGCTCCCAGCTCTATGTCCTCTGTTTCCTCTCTCTCCTCCTCAGCCCTGAGAAATGTAGGGGCCAGGGTTTTCTCTGGCCATCTCTAGGACAAAGAGGAGGAGGCACTTGATTGCAGGGAAAACAGCCTCAGTTTCCCCACGTAAATTAAGATAAGCAATTCCCAGGAAGCCCTGGAAAGAGAAAAGTGCTTTCAGGCCCTGGTGGGGGTGGGAGGGAGAGAGTGGTGAAGCTCAGGCCTTCCACATGTTCACTGTCTCCTGGAACGCACCCCACCTGTGCCTGTCCCACCAGACCAAAGCAGCTAGAATGTTCTGTGAAGTTAATGAGCTTTGGATCCCCAAACAGAACAGAACTTGTCAGCTGGTCTCTCTCAAGCAGATACGCAAAGCCCGCCGTGCAGGCCATGACTCGTGTTGTCATGGGGGAAGAAGAGGGAAGGAAGATAGTATTTGAGTGGCTGAAACAGATAGGGAGCGAAAGGCTGTTGGGAGGAGGCAGGGGCTCCACCATGGAGGGGCTCCCCGGACTCTGGCACTGCCCAGGGAACTGCAGGGGGGCCGGGCCTTCTATCAAGACCTCCAGCACGGTGACCCTCCCAAGTGCAGCGCACACTGTGGCACTGGGTCAGAAACAGTTTCTGGAGTCTTCCTGGACTCCACCCAGTGACTGAGAGGCCTGGGTCCAAACCCTATTGCAGCTGCTGGCAAGGGTGATGCCTCTGAGACTGTGTTCCCATCTGAAGAATGGGGGTAGCAGTAGTCACTGCCTTTCAGCATTGTTAGAGGAAGAGTCAAGATCCTGCAGACAGAGCACTCAGCATAGTGACTGGCACGGAGTAAGTACCCCATAAATACCAGCTATTGCTTATTATCGCTATTATCAAGGTCTCCCGTGTTAGCATCAGAATGCAAGCAGTTGAGAGGGGCAGCATTCCAGGGGTGGCCTTGAATCAACTCTAATTTATTTTTCAAAAGTAAATTATATGCTAACTCTGCCATTCTGTGATTGCTGGTGAGCATGGCACTGAAACCCCTCATGGCTGATGGAGAGCCGGCATAGGGCCCAGCACCGGGGCTGAGGGCCAGGCTGGCTGCCCCAGGCCACCAGAGAGCCAGGGGTTGTGAGCTACAGCTTCAGAAAGGAAACCACCCAGCAGCCCTGAAATCCTCAGTGTCCCCAGGTGGCTGCATTGCTTTGGCCATCCCAGCTGGGCGTGGGGGTCCTGGAGGGGCTTGCCTGGGTCTGTGATGAAGCAAGCTGCATCGACAGAGACCAGGCCTGAGTGAGATGCAGCTGGCTGACCCCAGTCCTGAATGGGGATTTGGCCAGCCCATCTACCTGTTCTGAGCCTGGGGTGTCCTTCCTTCCCCCACAATGGAAGCCCAGGTTTGAGTTTCTGGGAACATCCCAGAGCCCTCTGCAATGCCTCAGGGCTGGGCTAAAGTAAGCAGAGAGACTCTGAGCTCTGGAATTAGACTGGAAGACACTGAAACAGATTTCTGCTGAGAAAAGTGACATCTTCTTGTGGCCCTGCCCTGGAGGAGTCCCCGGAGCTGCAGAAAGAGCAGGGCTCTTGGTCAGGGCCTGGGCTCCGGTCTTCACTCCGTGGTGGGACCGTATGCTCCCTCTACTCTACTGCCCTGACTCTAGAAGGAAAGATTGGACTACGGCTCCCCTGTGATTTCAGATCCCCTCCAGCCGAAACCGCTGAGGAGCTGTGGCAGCAAAGGCTGAGAGAGGAGGGGCGGCAGATTTGAGGAGGTCACTGCTGGGGGTGGGGTGGACCTGACCTGGCAGGCAGGGGCCTGGCTTTCCTGCCTGGGAAAGGGAGCTGTCCCTGTCCTTCCTCAGTGTGGCCACGATGGAGAATGACACAGGGACTTCAGCTTCCTGGCTTCTGTGAGTTTAGTGACCCCAGCCTGCTGACAGGGGAGACCTGAGCTGGGCTGGGTCTTCTGGGATGAAACCTGGTAGACACACCCTGGAGCGTGGCAGGTACAGGTCTGAGAAGGAGCATGTGGGTGACCAGCTCTAACCAAAATTAATATTTATGTAGCACTTTGTAGTTTAAAACGTAGAAACATCTAGCATCTCATCAAATCAGCCCAACTACCTCTTATCACACCCTGTTTACACATCAGAAAACTCATGCCAGAGGGGGTTAAGGGTTCTTCCCAGAATCAAGAGGACCCTCCTGCTTTTACCATTTTACCAGAGGCCCTCGTCTGGCTGGGAGAGACCTCAGGACCAACCTGGGCAGTTAGTTTCGACAGCAAGCCTGCCACATACAGTTGGGCAGGTTGTTAACTGCACAAAGCTGCTTGTCTGAGGGGGTGATTATGGGGGCTGGAATCCAGCTTCACTCTTGTCGCCAAGCCACACTCCCCAGTGTGGGACAATCTACCGAGAGCACAAAGGTACCATGTGGGCCAGTGGTGCCATAGGGGGCCACCCAGTGGAGCTGCCCCCAGCCTCAGCTTGCTGAATTGAAACACAAGGGTAATCCTCTCTCCTCCAAACTCCTCATCCCTCAAGGGAAGTGGGGCCAGTGAGTGGTTGAGAAAATCAATACACTACAAGTGCTTTGAGCTCCTTGAAGATAAGCTTTGTGACCAAGAGGGAGGTGATTAAAGGCAGGAGCTCTTTCTCTGTGGCACTGATAGGGATGGAGGAACGGGTCAGGCTGTCTGGGATGGGGATTTGCATGTGTGCATGGCAGATACTGGCCTCTGGACACTGGCGTTAGCATCCATCCCTCCTGCTGGACTGGGGGCTGAAGCTTGTGTCTCCCTTGTTTCTGAGCCCCTCCATGTCTCTCCCCGTGACTTGCACTTTGCAGAAGATCAATACACATTTGTTCTCGCTGAATTCAATTTTCTGTACATCCTATCATCGCGCTCCTCCATTCTGCTCCCTGTACAAACATGCAGTCATTCATGAGCACACACCCAACCTCGGGCTGGGAATCCCGAGACCTGTGTCCAAAGCCTGACTCTGCCCCCACGATGCTGCAACCTATGTACACTGCCTCTGCCCGAACCTCAGTTTCCCCATGTGCCAAGCGAGGCATTGGATAATATGGGTGGCAGGCTCCTTACCGCACAACGCAGGCTGGAGTCGCGGATGCCTCATGGCTATGCGCCTATGCAGAGCCCCCCTTTTGTCTCTGAAGGAGCGGAGATAAAACGGAGCCTAATCCGCACCAGGGAGACGAGTTCTCTGCCCGAGGGGCCAAGGGCACAAATTGGGCCGTCGTGTTGCATTACTTCCGCCAAGCTGGGCTCCACCATCTCACCTCTGTACCCCTGCAGACAGGGACAGTGATGGGCAGACAGCGCAGTGGGGGCAGGGGACCTGAGCCACCACGAGGCCCCCTGTCTCCACCATCAAAGGCAATGGGCGAGGGAGGGGGCCCAGCCCAGGAGGATTTTTAATGACCCCAAATCCTGGCAACTCATTATGTCTCTGATAAGGCAATGGGAGCTGTCATTCTGAGATGCAGCCAAGGAGGCTCCCTAGAGAAATTTTGCCGCCTTCTCGCTAATCTTCTTATAAACATTGTTATTTATTTTTTCTTATTTTATCCGACATGTGTCAAGCAGCCCCTGCTAAACCTGTGACATCTCCAGGGAGGCTGGCAGAGGTTTGGGGTTGGCCTGTCCCTCCCCAGCCCTCTCCAGCCCTGGCGCACAGCCCCTATAGGCCTGTTCTCTGGGCAGCCCACGTTCTGTCCACGCTGGCAGCTTTGAGATGCCCACAGGAGCTGGGTCTTGGGCCAGGAGACACAGGCCATCTGGGAGCTGGCCGTCAAGTGAGTGGATCACAGACTATGCCAGTTGGGGCTGGTTCCAAGGAGAAGGCAGGGCTGCCGCCACCACTGGCATCACAGAGTGCCACACCGCTGTGCTGGGAAGCCCCAGGCTTGCTGTGGGGCGCTCGGTCAACACCAAAGTAGCTATCACTGTATCTGCCACTGATGGCAACCACCTTCTCCCAGGCACCGTGCTCAGCCTTCTGAACACAAGAGAGCTCATTCACTCCCCGTGAAGTGGGTATTGATGTCAGCCCCACTTGTAGGTGAGGAAACTGAGGCCCAGAGGTTAAACCACTCACTAATGGTGTCCAGGCAGGAAGGGGCAAACTAGGGTTTTGAATCCTGGTGCTCAGAGGTAGAGCTGATGTCATATTTTCCTCATGGCCAGCCTACTTTGGAACCTCCAGGGGTCCCGGGAGAGAAGCAAAGCCTGAAATCATCTCTGCATTTCACAGATGAAGAAACAGGCTCAGAGAGAGCACGTGGCTTCCCTTAGGGATGCATTGCCAGGTCTCCTGACTTCTGGCTCAGAGTCTTTTTTTTTTTTTTTTTTTTTCAGGAAGTTCTCAGGACAGCTCCCAGACAGCATCTCCAGGATTTTGTCCTGTGTTATGGGGTGCTGATCTCTATAACATGGGCTGGGGCAATGCTAGGTGGGGAGGCCACAGAACTTCCACAGAGCACAAGGAGGTTTCCAGAAAGTCTTGGAGAGCCCCTCTAAACTGTAGTCCCTGGCAACGTTTGTGATAAACCTTACGGATCTCTCACAATGGTTTGTTACTAATAAAGCAGGCTGTAAAACAGTGCATATAGCATGATCCCATTTTACTGATACATAGTTATATGTATGCAAAGTATATATTGCAGAGGGAACCAAAGATTGGATTTACTGCTTTTGAAATAGCCTGGCTATTTTTTTTTTTTTTTTACATTCTTCTCCTCATTTAAGGCCAATATTTCAACCTTTTGGAGATCCTGAACCCAGAACAAGGCATGTGTTTCTTTAAAATGTTTTATTCTAAAATAATTTTAGATTTACAGAAGGGTTCAAAGATAGCACAGAGTTCCTGTGCACTCTTCACCCAGCTCCCCCTAATGCTCCTGCTAATGTTCACAGTGTTTCTCCTGGTGCAACACTGTGGGTTTCACTGTGGATCTCTTTCACATCACAGCAGGGGTGCACACATCAACAGGACTTAGCACTGGTGACGCTAACCTTGATCGCTGGGCTAAGCCGTATCTGCCAGCTTTCTCCACTGCGGTGTTGTTTTCCCCTCTTCTTATTCTATTATTAGAAGCAAGTTGCTAAGAGTAGCCCACACTCAAGAATAGAGGAATTAAGCTTCAGCTCTACTTCTACCTTCGTATATATTAATGCGTACACATCTGTTAAAACTACCGCAGTGATTAATATGTTTGGGGGAGACACTTGGAGGCTCTGCAGTGTCCTGCTTCTCCTTGAAGATTTGCCCACTAACTTTACCTTCCACTGCTGGATCCGGCCTGCAGACGTTCCTACTGTGTGTCCTAATGGTGACTTTTGATTTCTCATTCCTTCTACATTATTTGTTAGGATTCAGTACTCTTGTTATATATTGTGTTGCTCAGATTGTTGCAGCTTGGGCCTTCAAAACTCTTGCAGATGGATTCCTCTGTTCTTTTGACATGAGCCCCATCATATATATACATATATGTCAATCATACTGCTGCTTTTCATTTGTTTTTTTTTTTTTTTTTGTATTTTTGTTTGTTTTTGCACTACCTTACTTTCTGGCCCCACAAAATCCTCCAGGGTCATCTAGTACAATCTCTTACCAGCCCTAGGACCAGCCATCTCTCCAAGGAGTCCTGGTTCCTTTTATTGGCAAACAGTATTTGGAAACCAAGACCTGGGTGCTAGGAAGGCACATATTTTTGGACTTTTTTTTTTTTTTTAGATGGAGTCTCACACCGTCGCCCAGGCTGGAGTGCAGTGGCGCAATCTCGGCTCACTGAAAGCTCCGCCTCCCAGGTTCAAGCGATTTTCCTGCCTCAGCCTCCCATGTAGCTGGGATTACAGGCACCCGCCACCACGCCTGGCCAATTTTTGTATTTTTAGTAGAAACAGGGTTTCACCATGTTGGCCAGGCTGGTTTCAAACTCCTGACCTCAGGTGATCCACCTGCCTCGGCCTCCCAAAGTGCTGAGATTACAGGCGTGAGCCACTATGCCCGGCCAGGAAGGCACATATTTTTGAAGTCAGTTTTTATACTGAAAGACATCTGGAACTTGATATCTAGAAATGGATTGGCATCAGTCATAATCAGGTGTTCTTATACCTTTGCAATTAAGTATGCTTATGTAAACACATCTGGATCTCCATGTCCCACTTGAGCCTCACCCATAGAATGAACTTGAAAGGTCACTGCAAGGGTGAGGAGTGTTGCTCTGGGTTCAAATCTGTGCTGCTGGCATTTTAGTGCCGCTCAGCAGCTCGCCTCCAGTATAAACATCCAACTTTTCATCTGCACTCTCAGGATGTGCAAGCCGTAGAATTCGACATGTCTTTAAAATGTCGATGAACCATTTGGGAAATATTAGATCATGATTTAACGATTCTCCCCAGGTTTTACTCAATTATAAATTTAATATTCTTGACATTTTCCTTCACTCCTATGACACCTCTGAGACTCCAGAGACTGGGGAGAGAGCTCCAGAAACAAGGGTGTGATTGCAAAGGAACTAAGCAGGGCAAGGTACCTCAGCTCTCTGGCTAGTGTCCACCTTCTAAAATGGGAACAATGAAAACAAATGAGAGCACGATGAAAAAAATGCAGTGTTTATCACTATGAATGGTTATTGTTCTGTTTGCATGGCATGTGGTGTTCAGGCTCTGGACCCAGACAAACCTTGGTTCAAATCCTAGCTCTATCACTGACACCTGTGCAACTGTGGGCATGTCGGCTCACCTCTCTAGGCATCAGTTGTTTCATCTATAAAGTGGGGCACCAGTTCCGACCTCAGGGCACGTTATGAGGGTCAGATTAGATGATCAGAGTCAACTGCTTAGCACAGTGCCTGACAGATAATTCAATAACTTAGTAATAATAATCCCAGCAGGAATAATAGAGTTCCAATGACCTGTCAGAGGAAATGTTACTGGGTCATGTTGCATGGATTTAAGATCAAAACAGGAATCAAATTTAAGTATATTTAATGCAATAATTTTTTAAAATAGACTTTATTTTCAAAAGCAGTTTAAGACTCAACAGCAAAATTGAGCAGAAGGTACAGAGATTTTCCATATACCTCCTGTCCCTTCCACCTTCCCCACCATCAAAATCCCACTCCAGAGTGGTACATTTGTTGTGATCGATGAACCTATGATGACATGTCATCATCACCCAGAGTCCACAGTTTACAGCAGGCTTCGCTCTTGGTGTTGTACATTCCAGGGGTTTTGGAAAATGTATAATGACACGCAATCACAATTATTTTATCATGCAAGGTAATTTCACTTTCCTAAAAATCCTTTGTGCTCTCCCTGTTCATCCCTCCCTTTCCCCAACCTCAGCAACCACTGATCTTTTTTTCTTTTCTTTTTTTTCTTGTTTTCTTTGAGACAGAGTCTCATTCTGGAGTGCAGTGGCGCAATCTTGGCTCACTGCAACCTCCACCTCCTGGGTTCAAGCGATTCTCCTGCCTCAGCCTCCCGAGTACCTGGGACTACAGGCGCGCACCACCAGCCCAGCTAATTTTTGTATTTTTAGTGGAGACGGGGTTTCACCATGTTGGCCAGGATGGTCTCAATCTCTTGATCCACTCACCTTGGCCTCCCAAAGTGCTGGGATTACAGGCGTGAGCCACGGCGCCTGGCCCCACTGATCTTTTTACTGTCTCCATAGTTTTGCCTTTTCCAGAATGGCATGTAGCTGGAATCTTACAATACGTGGCCTTTTCAGATTGTTTTCTTTCACTTATTAAAATGCACTTCAGTTTCCTCCATGTCTTTTCATGGCTTCATAACTCATTCTTTTTTAGTGCTGAATAATATTTTCATTGTTTGAATGTATCACAGTTTATCCATTCACTTACTCAAAGACATCTTAGTTGCTTCCAAATTTTGACACATATGAATAAAGCTGCTATAAATAGCCATGTGCAAGTTTTTGTGCAGACATAAGTTTTCAATTCATTTCAGTAAATATCAAAGAGCACGATTGCTGGATATATGATAAAAGTGCGTTTAGTTTGATAAGAAACTGTCAAAACTGTCTTCCAAAGTAGCTGTAGCTTTTTGCATTCCTACCAGCAATGAATGAGAGTTTCTGTTACTCTACATCCTTGCCAGCATTTGGTGTTGTCAGTGTTTTTGGATTTTTGCCATGCTAAGAGGTGTGGAGTGGTATCTTATTGTTGGTTTAGTTTGCAATTCCTTAATAATGTATGATTTTGAACATCTTTTCATATGCTTATTTGATATTTGTACATCTTCTTTGGTGAGGTGTCTGTTCAGGTCTTTTGCCCATTTTTAAAATGGGTTGTTTCCTTCCTCCCTTCCTCCCTTCCTCCCTTCCTCCCTCCCTCTCTCTCTCTTTCTTTCTTCTTTCTTTCTCTTTCTTTCTTTCTTTCTTCTTTCCTTTCTTTCTCCTTTCTTTCCTTTCTTTTCTTTCTTTCTTTCTTTCTTTCTTTCTTTCTTTCTTTCTTTCTTTCTTTCTTTCTTTCTTTCTTTCTCTTTCTTTCTTTCTTTCCCTCCCTTCCTTCCTTCCTTCCTTCCTTCCTTCCTTTCTTTCTTTCTTTTTTTCTTTCTTTCTTTCTTTCTTTCTTTCTTTCTTTCTTTCTTTCTTTCTTTCTCTCTCTCTCTCTCTCTCTCTCTCTCTCTCTCTCTCTCTTTCTTTCTTTCTTTCTTTCTTCTCTTCCTTTCTTCCTTTCTTTCTCTCTTTCTGAGACAGGGTTTCAGTTCCATCACCCAGACTGGAGTGTGGTGGCACGAAGTTGACTCACTGCAGCCTCTATCTATCTCCTGGGCTCAAACGATCCTCCCACCTCAGCCTCCTGAGTAGCTGGGACTACAGGCACATGTCACCATGCCTGGCTAATTTTTTTTTTTTTTTGCATTTTTTTGTAGAGATTTTGGGGGTTTGCCATGTTGCCCAGGTCCTGAGCTCAAGTAATCCACCTGCCTCAGCCTTCTAAATTGCTGGGATTACAGGCATGAGCCACCATGCCTGGCCATTGTTTGTGTTTCCTTATTGTTGAGTTCTAAGAGTTCTTTGTATATTTTGGATACCAGTCCTTTATCAACTGTGTCTTTTGCAAATGTTTTCTCCCAGTTTGTAGCTGGTCTTCTCATTCTCTTGGCAGTGTCTTTCACAGGGCAGAAGTTTTTATTTTAATTCTAATGAAGACCAACTTATCAATTATTTCTTTCATGGACTATGCCTCCAGTTTCATATCTAAAAAGTTATTGCCATACCCAAGGTCATCTAGGTTTTCTTCTATGTTATCTTCTAGGAGTTTTATAGTTTTGCATTTTACATTTAAGTCTTTAATCGGTTTTGAGTTAATTTTTTGAACAGTATAAGATTTGTGTCTAGATCCTTTTTTTTCTTTTTTTTGCGTGTGGATGGTCCAGTTATTCCAGCACCATTTGTTGAAAAGACTATCTTTGCTCCATTCACATATGTTTTTATCTTGAGATTTTCAAGGACATCCCTGAACAGAGTCCCCAGCTTTCCCCCAAATGCCCCCACATCCACACACCATTCCAGTGAGAAAGGGACCTCCGGAGAGAAGACCTGGGCCTGATAGCCAGAGCCCTGACTGTAATCAAGCATCCCCTCAAGGTCAAGGATTAGCTGGAGCTGTGTGCGGGGCCAGGTGACTGAGGTTGGGGGCAGGTGGCTCTCAGTACAAGGCTGCAGAGGGGTGACCAATTTCTAGGTTGGAAGCGGGGAGACTGACCAAGGGGGCCCTGTGGTAGGGGAGCTGGTAGCCTCGGGCTCCGTGGAGATTACAGAGCCGGGGGGTGGGTGACCCTGCAATTAGATGCATGAGCACATTCACAACTCACACCCCACCTTCCCCAGGAACACAGACAGAGGCTTATCAGGCCATACCAGGCCCGGCCAATTAACCTCTCCTGTTGCCACCTCCCTTCCTGGGGTTTAATTAGGGGCACCTGGATCCTCAGTGGGCTGGGGGCAGGGGGAAGGTTTCTGCTCTGTGCCATTCTCAGGAGGCCACTGGGGAGACAAGGCCTGTGGACACAGGGCTGCTTCCTCCTGCCCCTGGTCAGCACCCTGGGGTGGAACGTGCTTCAGGGCTGTGTTCTGAAGGCTTCAGTGTCTGTTTTCACCACGGTGAAGGGGATAGTATAAGACCCGATCCTCCCTTGGGACCCCACCCTCAGCCCTCATCTCAGCCCAGTCCTCATCCAGGTTGAGGCAGCTAGCAAGTGGGGCTCCCAGAGGTCCAGGCCTCCTTCCTTCCTCCCAGGGCCTCTCCTACCCAGAGGAGCCCGGGGCCACTCACAGCATGGTCACTGAGAGCCAGGTTCCGTGCTGGCCCCTCCCCACCCACAGTGTCTCATTCAGCCCAAGACAAGTCCACCAAGCTGACATCACTACTCTCATTCCGCAGATGTGAAGCCCAGGAAGGCAGCTCAGCAGGTGGTCAGAGCCACCCCTTAGCTCAGAGCATGTCACTGAGGCATTTTCAGTCTCAGTTTTCCCACCTATAAAATGGGACTAATTCTACCTTCCTCCTTGAGCTGTTGGGAGATGCACATGAGGTGGTGGAGGTAGAGCACTCAGCTGCAGCTCAGAGTGAGTGCTGGGGTGGTGGTTAGGTGATGGCTTCAGTTCGTATTACTGTGAGCAGTGGTCCTGGGGTCTGAACCAGGAATGCCTGGCTCGGAGGCTCATTGCCTTTCTTCTACCCACACTCCTGCATGCCAATTGACTGCTAGTGCAAGTCCTTAAGATGGCTCCATGGGCCCTCCTGGGAAGACCCACAGCCTGTGGGAGTGGGTGCCTGTCTAGACAGAGCCCAAAGCTGAGGATGTGGACCTGGAAAAGGCCATGCCTGTGGTTCCGGTCTCTCCTGCCAGTCTTGTTTCTCTGCATCCTTCTCTCACTTGGGCAAACAGCCAAGCCCAGAGAGGGCCAGAGACCAGGCCAAGGTCACACAGTAGGCTTCTGGCTCCCAGCCGTGGTGCTCCCCAGAGGAGCCATCACTCCTGATAAGCAAAGTCAGCATGCCAGCTGCTCTGTAACCACTGACCACGCCATGCACTTGTCCCCCTGGGCTGGATGCAATGTCCCCAGGGAATAAAATTCATTTTCTTTATGTCTCACGGAGGATTGAATGCTCGGCTGAAATCCAGCAAATCATAGTGATTGCAAAAACAAGCAGAGCACGGCTCTGGTGATGTGCAGTGCACGCTCAAACCCACATGCGCTGTCACAGTCCCCTGCAGGCTCACACACTCAGCCACACGGGCATGCACACTCATGCACATTCAAATCCAAACACATATACCAGTTCACACTCACACAGCCTCAGCCTCACACACATATGCACACTGCATGCACACACTAGCTCACAGATTCATGCACTCTCACATGCATTTGTGCTCCCAATCTCACACACTCACATATACTTGCACTTGCTCTTGCTCACACACACACAGTTTTACGCACCTATGCACACTGCATACTTATACACTAATGTAAAACACACGCAAGCTCACACTGTCATGCACTTGCTGTCATATCAGTGACATGCACTGAGACTCCCAGTCCTGTCATATCAGTGATAACCTCCCAAGGATGGACACATCCCAGCAGAAGCCACTTCTCATCTCCCTCCCCAAATCTCATCACCGGGCAGAATCCCTCCAAGCCCAGCACAGATTTGCTTCCCCGAGGAAGGCTCCCAGCTGCCTGCCAGCCTGCTGGGGACTCTCCTTCCTCCCTGGGCCCCTGTGAAGTTAATAGCAGCACATATCTCTGCTCTTGCCCAGCAGCCACATTTGATGAGCACCTACTATGTTAAGGCACAGTGAATCTCATGGCCTCCTTCCCTGGACAGAGAGAACCCCTTGAGGGTAGGGCGGGTGTCATGTCATCTGTGCCCACCACTCAGGAGGGCCTGGGCACGGGGTACCTATTTAAATGCCTGTGCAGAGTAGATGAAAGCTCATCTTTTCCAGGCTCCTGTTGGCCAACGCTCTGCCGGTGACCAAGTGTTTCCCAAACCCAGCTCTTACTCACACAGTTCCCTCTTGGAGCACCCTTTCCCTCCGCACCCATGTCCTCCTGCACATCTGTGCAGATCCCCCCAGGTGCCATCTCCTCCGGGAGGCCTTTGGTGCATTGCCTCCCAGAGATGGTCTGCTCTAGGCTAGCCCTTGTCTGTCCAGCACAGGATTCCCGACAGTTGCCTCCAGGGCAGGGCTGGGGGCCAAGCAGCTTTGTGTCTACAGGGCCTCCAGGAGTAGCTTCAGTTAGGTTTTGAGTTGGACACCGCAAGACATGCTTTTTCTCATGGAAAACATATCTCTCCAGAGCAGCAAGAGCCAGGACAGCCTCCAGACTCCCCTCTTCTGCTGAAGCCCAGGTCCCAGGGATGCTGCAGTTTGCAGACTCTCAGAGAAACTTCCCTTCAGCTGAAGCTCCCACAGTGATGATGCTTCAATTTTGGGGAGAAAACTGCAGGGCTAGCAGCACAGAGCTGGGAAGGCAGGGCGGGGCTGTGGTATGAGTCCAGGTTAGGCCTGGCCTGCCTCAGGCAGGATCAAGGGTGGAGGGGAGGGCAAAGGAAGGAGCAGCCTGGGCTGCTGGGATTTTCCTAAAGCCAGCTTTGGAGGGAGGTGGAGGCAGCCGCGGAAGGCAGGTAATCGAAGGAGGCAGAAGCAGCATCGTCGCTGGTGACCACAGTCCAGGGAATTAGGGGATTTGCCTGAATTGGTTCTCCCCAGGTCAAGAGTCTCCTGGGCATGGGGTCTGCTTGTCCTACCTGTTCCTAGAACAGCCTCTGCATAACCTGGCCTTCAGCACAGATGATCAGATTGGGGGCACTCAGGACTCTAGAGCATGCCGGGGGCAGGGGACAGCTGGGGAGCTAGGACTAAAGGTCTCAGAGAAGGGACAAGACTCACAGGACCAGGAAAGCTCAAGGTGGCCACCAACCTGGGAGGAAAGGGAAAAACAAGAATTCGATAGACACTAGATATGTTGCTCCTCCTTTGCTGCCTGTAGCATTTATTGCACACCTGCTGTGTACCAAACACCATGCTAGGCCCTGGAGATGCTACAGGGATCAGGCCAGGTAAAACATCTGTCTTCTCAGCATGCACAGGCTAGGATGACAGATGCAGAACAGCAAACCTACAGAACAGGGTGGGGCTATAACAGGGCCGGCGGACCCAAAGGAGGGCCGCTGAATAGATGTGGGGCAACAGAGGAGGTCTCCTGGGGAAAGGGACATAAAAACTGAGACATGAAGGAGGAAGTAGCGGGGTTGCAGGCCTAAGGTAAAAGAATCGTCGGAGGGAGTGGCAGGGGTTCAAGGTGACAGGAACAGCATGTGTGTGTGTGTGTGTGTGCATGTGTGTGTGTGTGCATTCATGAGAGTGTGTATGTATGTGTGTGTGTATAAGAGTATGTGTGTGGGAGTGTGAGAGTGTGTGTGTAGGATCATGGATCTCAGCATGGGACTGGCTAACATGGCACTCTCAAAGTCAGGCGAGAGCTTGGCAAGGCCCATTCCCAGGAGGCCCTGCCCTTGGCTGCCTCTCTTTCCTGGGTTCCTAGACAAACAAGAGTGCCCATTGCCTTATTTCCACCTCTGCAACCGGTGTCCAGTTCCTCTCCCATCTCTCCCCTCCCATGCTGGAAGCCCAACTCCCTGCCCACAAACTTACTTCTTGCCCACTTTTCTCCGTGTTCCGGGGGAACCTCTGCCCCCTCCCTGCAAATCTGCTGGCTCTTTAGATGCTGCCCTGGGAAATAAAGGCGGAACAGGCCTCTTTGCCTCTGGGGACTAGATGGGGGCTGGAGAAGGCAGCTGCTACCCCTTCATGAGGTTTTGGAGCCAAAGGGAGTGACAGGAACCGGGAAGGTGAGAGGTCACTAGGAAGCCTGCATCCTGACAGCACAGGCAAGCACACCCACTGACCCAGTGTCCAAGCCCTGGCTCTGAGTCTCCCTCACTGTGTGACCTTCAGCGAGTCTGATAACTTTGTGCATCCCCCGGCATGTCATTCAAGGGCCTCCACCCAGAACAGTCTTTGCATAATCCTTATGACTTTCCTTGGCAATCCCTGGAAAGCAAATTCCCAAACATGCCGGGCAATTTCTGCCTACAGACTTTGTTCGTTGCAACTGCCTCTGCTGGAGCATCTCACTCCCAAATTCAAATGGTGTAAATACTCCCCCTCCTTTGAGCTCCAGGGCAAATGTCACCGCCTCCAGGGAGACTTCTCTGACTGCCCCAAGTGCTGCAATCTCCACCTCTGCTGAATTCTCAGAGGTTCCTCTCTGTGGCTCATGTACAGCCTTGTCCATATTCTCTCTGGCCTTGCAAAGTGTGTATGGCTGTGAAGACTGTAAACTGAACAACTCTAGGGGGTACCTGTGACATTGTGCCCTGTGTAAATTGTACCACCTGGAGTTGGGCAGTGTCTAACATGTGTGACTATACACGGCAGCCCTGCCTGTCTCCTGCCCCTCAGGACTGCTCCAAGGATCCCATAAGATTATGAAACTGTGGGCACCCAGGGAGTTTAGGAAACCTGGGCAGATCCACGAAGCTGGGCTAAGTCTCCAGGCTCAGATGAAGGGGCTCCCTTCCTTTTGTTTAACCTGCATTTGTTCTCCATCGATTCACTCTCCTGGGTGCTCTCACCTAGGCCCATGGCTTAAAATACCATTTCTAAGCTGATGACTGGACTCAGATTGATTGTCTGTAGCCTTAACCTCTGCTCCAAGCTCTAGACTCGTATCTCTGGCTGCCTCTTGGGAATCTCCACTGAGAGATCTCACAGACATTGCAAATTTAATACCGCCCAGACCAACCTCTTGAGTTTCCCTACTGTACACCTGTTCTTCTGCCAGTTGTCTTTTTTTTTTTTTTTTTTTTTTTTTTTTTTTTTTTTTGAGATGGGGTTTCACTCTTGTTGCCCAGGCTGGAATGTAATGGCATGATCTTGGCTCACTGCAACCTCCGCCCCCGCTGGGTTCAAGTGATTCTCCTGCCTCAGCCTCCCGAGTAGCTGGGATTACAGGCACCCACCACCACGCCCGGCTAATTTTTTGTATTTCAGTAGAGACGGGTTTTCACCATGTTGGCCAGGCTGGTCTCAAACTCCTGACCTCAGGTGATCTGCCTGCCTTGGCCTCCCAAAGTTCTGGGATTACAGGCGTGAGCCAGCAAGCCTGGCCCAGTCTTCTTAATTTTAGTAAACCTTCAACCTTCAAGCCAAAGTCCTCAGAGTCATCCTTGATTCCTCCCCTTTCCTCATCCTCTATAGCAAATCCACTGGCTTGTCCTATTGCCTGGATGGCATAGTATATCCTGGGTCCATCTCTGGATTCTCTGCCCTCCACAGCCATCACCTCCTCCAAGCCACCATCATCTCTCCTTTGTCTGTCTTACTTTAGGTTCCCTCAAGAGCAGAGTGTGAAACAAATATTTGAATGCAGGTTGTTTATTTGGGAGGCAATCACAGAAAACACAGATGAGCACAAGCAAGACAGGAGAAAGGAAAGGCTACCTTAGTCTGTGTGGGCTGCTATATAACAAAATACCATGGACCGGGTGACTTATAAACAACAGAAATGTATTTCTCACGGTTCTGGAGATGGGGGGGTCCATGATCAAGGCACCAGAAGATTCAGTGTCTAGTGAGGGCCTGTTCCTCATAGACAGAGGCTTCTGACAGCATTCTTCCACTGCAAGAGGGGCAAGGTGGCTCTCTGGGGCCTCTTTCATAAGGACACTGGTCCCCTTCTTGAAGGCTCTGCCCCCGACCTCATCACTTCCCCAAAGCCTCACCTCCTAACAATATCACCTTAGGGGCTGGGATTTCAACATATGCATTTTGGTGCAACACATTCAGCTCATAGCACCATCCCGGTGTGTGTTTCTGAATCACTGATGCTGCTGAGGGCAAGTGTAGCTCATTCCTACAGAAACTGTGTGGCCCACTTCTCAGAACTGTCCCTCCAAAGGACAGAGGCTGGGGCTTTTGTTTATTGACTCTCGATCCCCACTGATGGATGGTTGTCCCCAGAGGCCTTGACTCCCTGTCCTCCTAATACTCCCAGGGTGTCTTATGCAGGTCGAGTAAGCCCTTGGAGCTCCCCCAAAAGCCCCATAGAAGAAAAGCAGAGAGGAGAAGCAAGCATTTGAGGATGTTTGTCCTTGACTCATCAGCTGCAGGTAAAATCACAAATGGGCTGTGGCATAGGGCACCAGAAGCATCAGTTTCAACTCCCGTGGTCCCCACCCTGTACCTTGCCCATCTAGGCAGGACCACCAGGTTGACCTTTTAAAACTAGGGGTCAGATCCTATCATTCCATTGCCTGACCTCCTTTCCAAGGTCCCTATTGCCCTTGGAATGGAGCCTTTGCCATGGCTGGCCAGGTCACACCCTCTCTGCCCTCATGCCCTGCCCGCTAAGTTCCATGCACACTGGCCTTTCAGGGCCTCAAAGTTCACAGGCTTAGTCCAGCCTTGGGGTGTTTGCACGTGCCAGCTGTCTAACTGCACCCTTCCCCATGGTCTTCACGTGCCTGGTTCCTCCTAGTCACCAAGTCCTAACTCACAGGCCACTTCCTTAGAGAGACCTTCCCTGCCCACCTAATCCCAAGTAGTCCCCCCCGCACCCATTCCCCACCCCAATGCCTTCTCCTGTCCTCAGCTCTCGTGTCTAACCCATTTACCTATTTGTTTACCTGCTTGTCACCTTTCTCCCCCGCTGGCAGTCATTATCACTGTGCACCTCCAGGGTCTAGCCCAGTGCCTGGCATGTGATAAATGTACAATAAATACCTGCCAAATGAATGAATTGAATGCGTCCAGTTCTCCCAGGGGCAAGCAGAGCCTGAGTTAGGGTTTTGTGCACATAACGAGGAGGGGCTGCCCTCAGGTGAGCCCCATAATGGGATGAAGGGAGAAGATTAGGGCAAGAAGAAAAACTAGGCAAAGATGAGGGTGCAGCTGAGGCCTAGCCACAGATTTACCCCATGGGGGCTTCCAGAGCATCGGGAGCCCCCTTTAGGCCAGGGCACCAGCCTTTTGTACCCCATCTCAGTCAGTCATCACATGAGGGCTACCCTGTGGAGGCATAAACTCCAGAGCATTTCCAGATGAGCTGGCTTCCTTCTGCCCAGTACAGAGGGTTAGGGGAGGCATGAGCTAAAGCTCCCAGCAGCTGGGGAGAGTCATGGGCCTGGTGACAGGATCTGGGAGGGGCAGCCACACCAGTCACCTCAAGAAGGGGCCGTCTCCCTGCCACTCACAGACCCCAGGGCCGAAGAGAGCTCTGCAGCCTGGGTACCTCGGGGAGCAGAAGTCTCATGTGAGTAGGCAGGTCGGGCTTCTGATGACCCATCTCTGTGTCCAGATGCCTGTTCATATCTGCCCCACATCCTGCTTGCTGCCTCAGCCCATTCTCTCTTGTGTTTTCTCACTGGTTCTGAGAAGGATGGGTGAGCATTTTCCCCAAAATGAAAAGGTTCAGAGAGACACTGCAGGGTCCCCAGCCCCACCTGCAGGTCTCTCTGAAGCCGTGTGATCCTAGCAGTGGATGGCCGTACCGACAGCCTGTCACTGACCGCAGGAGTGCCTCACTACAGCCTCAGTTCAATTCTGCACATTTCCTGACAAATGAAGGCCCAGGAGACAGAGTTGCCAAGGCCAAAAGTCTGAGAAGCCACAGGAAGATGCACTGCCTCCCAGTTCCTCTTCTGGGTACATCCAACGCTGTGAGAGCAGGCCAGGCGAGCAGAGCTTGGCATTGACAAATGGCCTGGCCCACTGACCCTGCACTTCCCCTTGCTCAACAGCTATTGACAGCTGCTGGGCACTTGAGTTTTTCTCTTTTCTCTGTTGGCTCTTTTAATTGGAAAATATAAAGAAAATGCCTATTGATTCCACGTAACTGATAAGCTCCCCACTCCTGGGCCTTTGTAATCAGGAGCCGGAGCCTGACCCTGGCTTGAAGCCCGAAGGAGGAGGAGTGGGAGGGGAGGAACACAGCCAGTCCAGCTCTGGGGGGCTCCCCTGCCCCTCCCGACAAACTCATACACAGGCCTCCAGGACTGGGGATACAAGAAAATTTAAGAACCTTCCCCGCTTCTAAGGAAGTTCGCTGCTCCGAATTTTCAAAGCATATAATTTTCCCTAACATTTACACACACTGTGTTTACAAAGCAATTTACATTTGCAAAGCCCTTCAACATTTATTGTCTCATTTGATCAAGTTATTTACTGCGGAGGACAACTAGCCCTGTAGTCCCCCCTGCACTCACCAAGCTGTGCCTGTGGGAAACTGAAGCCCTGCTCCCAACAGTCGTACGAAGTGGTCTGGAAAGATTACCGTCCCGTTTTATAGATGAGGGCATTGAAGTTCAGCGACATTGTAACTTACAAGGTCACACAATTGGAAATGGGTCAAAGTGAGACCTCTGAGCCCAGCCAGGTGTTCTACTCCCTAGGAATGAGGTTCTTTGGTCATGTGGTTGTCAAGATACGGGGCCTGCCTGGCAGACTCCTGCTTAATGTGAACCACAGTCGGATTTGAAGAAGAGCTTCCTAAGAGAAAGGGTGATTGATAATTGTGATGAGCAAACCAGATGATATCCCCTGCCATGGAGAATGCTCATCTCAGGCAGGCTAGGGCCTGCAGCAGGGGGCTGGACAAGATGACCTCCCTAAGCCCCTTTGGCACAAGAAGGCTGTGATTCCCAGAGTGCCAGGGAAATGGATGCCCATCAGCCTAAATGGAACCACCCCGGCCTACTTGTCTTCCTTTCGGCACACACCAAGACATGAGTCATAGAAGGTCCATGGAAAATTTATTGTATTATCAATATTTAATATCTCCAGAGAGGTGACATCAGCAAAATTGCCTGGCCTGGCCCAGCCATCTAGATGGACAGTGGGACAGGCCCTTCATCTCCCCAGACACCTTATCCTCCCCACATGGGGGACAGGTACAATTTATGGGCTTCTGGAAGTGGAGGGTGGCATGTTCCTCCAGCACTGTGTGTGCTGGGGTGAATGGCTCATTCCTTAGGATTGAAACTTGGGGTCTCTGGCTGTTCTGAAATGCCAGTGAAGGGTGAGATGCTTTGGAGGTACTGTGTGGTTCCCTGCACCAGGGTCCCAGACCACGCAGCTGTGATCCCCTGCCCAGCACATGTACCCAGGGCGCTGATGTCACCAAAGCCTGAGAAAAACTTGGCAGGTGGCAGAAGACATAGAATAAGGCAGAGTTAACTCCTCATGGCCACCTTCACGCCAGTCCTGCCTGGCTGCACCATTCCTCTTCATCAGCCAAGTAAGTGAAACTCTGGGCCTCAGTTTCCTCCTCTGTAAAATGGGTTATGCTCTCTGCCTGACAGGCTTGTTGCAAGGATGGAAATATGGTTCCATTTGATATATGCCTGGCCCAGATTGGCCCAAGAGGGGTCCAATTCACCCGTGGTCTCAGCCCCCTCCACCCTGCCCCAGGGGAGAAGGGGAGGGCACAAGGCATGATGGCAGCAGGCAGACTTTGGGGGACCAGGACATACAAGAAAGGGCAGCACTGTGAATGAGGCTGCATGCTGTTTCTGGCTCTCCAGTGCCTCTCATTTAGCCCCCATTATTCATAGCTGGGGAGAGGGAGGCTCCGAGAGACCGAATGATGTGTCCAAGCTGACATGTAGCAGAGCTGAAATCTGAACCTATTGGATCTTTTTTGCATCTTTAAAGTGCCCGAGGTCTGGGTGAGATGGGGAAACTGAGGCAATGGCAGAGGCAGTTCAAAGCTGTACAGGCTGATCTCAGGGAGCATCCCAGAACCCAGAGTGTCTATGTCCCAGAGGGGATTCTCCTCCCATGAGCTCTTGTCCTGCCCGGGGTATGGTAACCTCTGCCCAGTCTGACCGGTGCACCATGGCTCCTCCAGCAGGAGCAAGACCTCCCACCCCAGCCCTCAGGACTCTACCTGCCCAACCCCATGGGCCCCTTAAGGCCTGAGAGTCAGAAAGTTCTGAGGTGCCCAAGAAGTGGTTGCTGCCTCTCTTGGGGCACCAAAAGAACACTCCCAGATGCTGTTTTGACAGCAGGAAGAACCTCAGCCTTGGTCCTGCTTGGATGTATAACTTTAGGCAAGTTTCTTCTACTTTCTGGGCCTCAATTATCCCATCCCTAAAGAGAGGGGCTGGGATGGATTATCCCTATGTGACAAGCTTTCCTGGAGAGCACAGCATGGTCTCTGCCCATGGAGAGTTCCATCCAGGGGCAGAGATTCCCAAATAAATGGCGGTGACAGTGCTGCACGAAACAAGCTAGGCACAAGTGCTACTCAGGGCTCTGGGGACATCCACATCCATTCGAGGGATTCTCAGCCCAGCCTGCCAGGCCAGGTGAGGCCCATGGGGCAGGGCACCCACTGGAGAAGATGTGGAGTTTTGGAGCATGGGAATGACTCAGCCAGACAAGGAGGGGACAGGGAAAGAGGAGCTGGCCAGGGAGCAGCTGGGGACATACAGGGAGCTGTCTGGGGTTGTGGGGGATCCCCAGCAGTTCTGGGCCCCGAGGTGAGAGGATCAGTTGGTGACACTGGAAGTGATCAGAAGTGGAGGTCGAGGTGACAGAAATAGCAGACAAGGGACTTGGGGTCAAGTTCTAAAGTGGGGGGTCGGCAGCTTGCACCCATCCCACTTGAGGGCAGGAATGACCACGATGGGGAGAGGTAGGCACATGATCCCAGCTGTGTGGAGAAGAGGCATATTACTTTCCTAGGACTGCCACAACAAACTATTACCAACTAGCGGCTTAAAACAACAAGAGCTTATTCCTCACAGTTCTGGAGGCCAGAAGTCCAAAACCAAGGTGTCAGGAAGGTCATGCTCTCTCCAAAGTCTCCAAGGATGCTCCTTCCTTGCCTCCTCCAGCCTCTGGTCGTGGCCAACATCCCGAGGGTTCCTTGGCTTGCAGATGAATCACTTAATCCCACCCCCATCATCACATGGCAGTCCCCCTGTGTAGCTCAGCTCTGTCCAAATTTCCCCTTTCCTACAAGGACATTAGTCACTGGATTATGACACAGCTCATCTTAACTGGATTATATCTGCAAAGACCCTGTTATATCTGCAAAGACGAGTTAACATTCACATGTTCCAGGGGAGATATGAATTTTAAGGGGACAGTATTGGACCCAGTATAGGAGGGCAGGCAGCAGCGAGGGAGCCAGGGAGGGCTGGCCTGACTTGAGCCTGTTTGAAAAGCATCATCCTCCTACCAAGACTGGGGGCTGCTGGTTCTGACAAGGTTTGCAGGATCAGCTGGGATGATGGGTTGCAACCACTCCTTCGAGCTACGTTGGACCCCTGGGCCCACTTACAGCAAGGAGCTTGCCCCTCCGTGTAGCTCTCCGTCAGTGTGGGAAAATCTGAGTGAGCCAGAGAAGGGTGAGATTCCCCCTGCAGAGCAGGCAGTACTGAGCAAATCCAGGATCCAGGAACTCCAGTTCTAATCCTGGCTCTTGCCTGCTTTCCTGTGTGACCCTGGGGAAGTGGTTTTCCCTCTCTGAGACTCTCCTTCCCCATGTGAGTCACAAGGGCTGGGCCTAGCTGACCCCCAAGGCCCTTACATGAGTGGATAGTTGCATTTTAAACCTGGTGCTCCCCAGGATAAGGGAGTCAACCCCAAGGAGACTGGGGTTTCTCCTGAGCCTGGCCCCTGGGGATGAGCACTCACTGTGGAAAAAGCTGGCCACTTCTTAGCCCTTGTCATGGGCAGAAAACATGCCCCTCCAGCCCCACCAGCACCAACACACAGCCAAGCTCACTGTTTCATTTTTAGAGAGAAATCAGGGCTTTCGGTGCAGCTGAGTGACACAGACAAGGGGCGGGGGGACATGAAAGGGAGCGGGCAAGGACGGAAATTACACTTCTCCTAGCAACCTGGTTCTGCAGCTCCTAGGCCTGGGGCCGCGTGATACATGCCATTCCCAATTAACGGGATGTTAAATATACCCCGGCTCAGCCTGCCCCATGCTGAGCCCCGCCTGGGGCAGTGCAGGGAGCCATGTGATGGTGTAGAGCACTCTGCAACACCCCATATTCATGTTCCCACTCCTAGGGCCCCGCTCGGTCCCCAGGAGGCCAGAGCGGTCCTGCCCTCTGCCCTGAGCATGGCTCAGCTCCAGCCTCCACTTGCCCTCCCCTATGCTGGCCAGCTCGGGGGTCTGCAGGCAGCCTGTGGGGCAGGGCCAGTTGGCCAAACTCTCCAAGCCAGAAGCCCCTCGAGTTTACATGGAAACACACGTATATACACACACACACACAGACACACACACACACACACACGGTCATGCGTATCCTCCCACATTTACATATGTACAGACACGCCTGCCTACCCACAGCTGTCACACTCACATGTGTCCCATGACCCCCATGACCAGTCCCTAGATCAGTGTAGGTATGCTCTAATACGGGCTCCAAGCATGTGCCCAGGAGGATGTGGGGCTCATCCTGCACACCCTGCTGCTGGGAGGGGAGCTGGTACAGGCGGGGCCCCTCTTTGCTTAGGAAACCTGTGCAGCTTCTGAGAGGCTGTTTCTCAGCCCTTCCCCCCCACACCCCCATGTAGGGCACACTAGCAGACCCGACCCAGCCCCCGATGCCACCCTGTCTTAATTTGAGTATCTGTATAAACAGCCTGGGACAAGAAATTTGGGTGCAAGTGGTTTGAGAGGGGATCCCAGGAGACTTGTTGGGGAAGTGAGACATCAGGCATGGAGGGAAAGGCAATAAGGGTGTGTTCACCAATGCGTTCCAGCTGGGGGCAACCAGAGTGCAATCCTATTTGGAATATTCTGGACGACTGAATAGGACACACCTTAAAACCACTCCCCTGTATACAGGATCCTAGTATTTACCTTCCCATGTGGGCTCTGGGGACAAAGGAGATGTTTACAAGGTCCTTTGGGAGGGAGATGCTGCACCCAGCTCAGTGGCCAGCACTGCCCTCGTCCTGTGCATCTGTGCCCATGAGCACCTCCTCTGGGCAGCTGCCAGGAGGGGTCTATCTGAGGCCACTGCCCATCCAGGCTGCCATCCATCTGTCTGCCAATCTTTCTGTGAGCACTTACCAGAAATACCTGGTATTTACCTGTCCCTTCTTATTCTTCATTGCTTGAGGATTGTCCACCCCCTGGGACATCCGTCCTACCCACCTGGAGGGCCAGGCTGCTCCCTTAGCCAGAGGAGAGAGGTGGGAACTGTGGTCAGGGCAGCAGGTGACGGCTGGGGTGACTGAGGGGAGCCATCCCACTGTCTGTTTGTCTGTGTCCCCTTGTGTAAACATCTGCACACACACACAGCACACATCTTAGCCATTCTCCCTCCTCTCCCCCGCTAGGTCCTCTGTTCCCAACACCCTGTTCACTGTGGGACCCAGGGAAGCAGGGACCTGGGCATTTCCCCAGATCTAGGAGCCCTCCTTCCCCAAAACCCTCCCCACCACCACTTGGCTCTTGGGTTTCAGCACCTGGCTTTAGCCCAGTCTATCAGCCGCAACCTCAGGCTTTGGAGCCAGAGACTCCCCAGGCAGACAAAGGGGCGGCTGCGAGGCGGGGGCCTCTGGGGTGCCAGTCCAGGTGTGCGGCGATTATCTTGAGGGCCTAATCAAGGTGCCTTGTCCCTAGCTCGGCGAGTGAATGACTGCCCCCCCGCCCCTCCTACCTCTTTCCCCATGCTGGCTGCCAGGATGGTGACAGACACCTGCTAGGCCATGGGCCCCTTCCCTCCCCTGCCTGGGTTCTTTTTGTGCTATCACAAAGGGGGACAAAGCCACAGCCCACCTGTTGAGGGGAGGCCTCAGGGCTCCCTATTTTTCAGCTGTGACCAGGCTCCCCCAGGTACAAGTCAGAGGGAGTGGACTGAAACTGCCTGTGAAAACCAGAAAATGGTATTGAGTGAGGGGTACCCATGGAGAGATTGGCAGAGAGATGGATGGCAGCCCAGATGGGCATCGGCATCAGAAGACCCCTTCTGGCAGCTGCCCAGAGGAGGTGCTTATGGGTGCGGGTGCACAAGACGAGGGACATGTTGGTCACTGAGCTGGGGGCAGTCTCCCTCCCAAAGGACCCTGTCAAGACCTTTGTCCCCAGGGCCCACATGGGTAGCTGAGCCAGAACCAGCCCTATCTTCTATAGAAGCAGCTGGGGGAGAAATAAAGCTCAGAAAAACAGATGGAACAGCCATAGTCACTCCACGCTGGGCCCCAAACTAGGTGCTGAGTGCCTGGGTGCCTGGCTGGGACACCTCCTTCAGACACCTGTCTTAGTGCCTGAGGTAAGTTGCCCTCTGCAGGGTGGGCACATAGAGGGAGCTGGCATCACAGACTGGCCCAAGCTGTCCATGAGCAGTCTCCTGGTCAGTTGCCTTCCCCTGGGGCCAGTGATATCCAGGCCCTTGCCTCCCCTTCCTCCCCACAATTTCCAAACTGTGTCTAAGCCTGCTGCCCAGCAGGGCTGTTGATTCCCACATACAATATGAGCAGTGCAGGCATGTGACACAGTGGACTGCAACTTTTCCTTGCAGGCTGGGGGAGAGAGAAAGAAACAAATGCATGTAGAGGGAGGGAGAGAGAGATCATCTGGAGAATAGTTAGAGACCATGAGTAAGACAGAAACAGAGAGAAGCCAAGTTTCTCTGATGGGAAGTGATGATTGCTGGTAAGACTGGCTTGCTAGGCCCCACAGTGCCCAGGCCATTAAGATGAGCCATGGCTTCCCCAGGACCATCCTTCAGAGCTGGGGGGTTGCCGAGGGGAGGGAACACATTATTCACAGCTAAAGAAAGACTCATTACTTTCCACCAACCTTTGGCTGGTATTGAATATACCATCGCTCCCCTGTTAACAAATGGCTTCTGGAGGGTTTAATTAACTTCTTAGCACCCTCCGGCAGGCAGCCTGTCCCCTACCACTGGGCAAAGGCTGAGTCAGCCATGTTGAGGGGCAGGGATGGCCTTCAGGAGAGGCAACTCCCACCCATGTGGCAGGGACAGGGAGGGGCAGTGTCCCTGTCTGACCTTGGCCAATCTACTGTTGTTACAGATGGGATGACCAAAGCCTAGATAGGAGAAGGTGGGCTGGGCAACTTGCCTGAGGTTACACAGCAAAAGGGAGGTTTAACCAGGCCTAGAATCCAAGCCTTGACAAACAGAGGGACCATTCTGGAACCTTAGCCATTCTTTCCCTGCCAAGGTCATCAGGTGTGATGAATCCACAGCACAGTGATTCTGTAATGACAGTCAGATGTCACTTAATGATGGAAATACATTCTAAGAAATGCATCATTAGGTGATTTTGTCATTGTATGAACATCACAGAGTGGACTTGCACAAACCTAGATGGTACACCCTCCTACACACCTAGGCTATACTATATTGCTCCCAGGCTACAAACCTGTACTACAAGTCACTGTATGGAATACTGCAAGCAACGGTAACACAATGGTAAGAATTTGTATATCTAGGCCAGGTGTGGTGGCACACGCCTGTAATACCAGCACTTTGGGAGGCCAAGACGGGTGGATCACGAGGTCAGGAGATCGAGACCATCCTGGCTAACACGGTGAAACCCTGTCTCCACTAAAAATACAAAAAAAAAAAAAAAAATTAGCCAGGCATTTTTTTAGTGGTGGGTGCCTGTAGTCCCAGCTACTCGGGAGGCTGAGGCAGGAGAATGGCGTGAACGCGGGAGACAGAGCTTGCAGTGAGCCAAGATCGCGCCACTGCACTCCAGCCTGGGTGACAGAACGAGACTCCATCTCAAAAAACAAACAAACAAAAAAAAGAATTTGTATACCTAAACAGAAAAGGTAATGCATTTTGCTGCGATGTTACAACATCACTAGGCAATAGGAAGTTTTCAGTTCCATTATCATCTTACAGGACCACCATCAAATATGTGGTTTGTCGTTGACTGAAATGTCACTATGTGGCGCACAACTATAATGGAGTAACTTGATCAAGACTCACGGCAAAGCTGTCCTGAAACTAACTCCTTTCAAATCCTCCTCCTCCTCATCACCAACATTTATCAAGCCTTCCCTAAGTGTCAGACACTGTGCTCACCCCTTTCATGTATAATTTCATTTAATCCTCACATGAACCCCATAGGGTATTATTACTATCCCCGTTTTTCAGATGAGGAAACTGAGGCTCAGAAAGATTAACTCCCTAGAGGTCACCTTTCCAGGACCACTAGGCTATACAGCCTCTCTTGAGAAGAACCCACATTATTGGACCCAATCTTCCCACTGAAAGGGAAACTGAGGTCTTGCCCAAAGTCACTTAGTTCATAAGTGGCCTCAAACTCATGGCTTCTGATTCCATGTTCAGCAAAGGCCCCTTTGACCTCATCACATACCCATCCTCTCTGCTTTACTCCAGGCCTCCTGCCCAACTTACCATCCTTCCTTTCTCGTGGGGCCAGGCCCCCAGCTTCCTGAGCCACACTAAACAGCCCCTTTATTAAAACTCAACCCAGACTTGGGAGTCAGACAGATCCAGGTTGAAATTCTACTCTACCATTTTGTGCTGTGGTTCTTGGACAAGCCACTCCCCCTAGCAGAGCCTCAATTTCTTCATCTGGCAAATAAAAACGCGCCCCATGGGACGTTTGTGAGAATTAAATATGTGCTCTAAGCATTTAGCCCAGTGTCTGACACATCATAGAATGCACTCAATAATAGTATCATTAGGATAAGGGTTCCACCTGGCCAGGAATACCCTCCTCCCTTCTACACCCAGCAATTGCAGTGCCCCTCCTCAGGAGGGTCTTCCCAATACCTCCCCCAGTTAGAATTGAGACAGAAAAGCTCTGGAGGACACTAGATGCTGGAACAGAGCCCTCTCCACCCAGGGGTGTGTGAGAGCTGCCTTTCCGGCTGCGGGCTAATTAATTGTGCAGGGCTGACAGCAAAGAGGGGCTACGCTTCTTGCCGGCAAGTCCAGAGCAATGATGGAATAATGGGCTTTAATGCACTGGGCTTCTCCAGGGACCTGTCTTTCATCCCCAACAAAACTAATTAATGATAGCAATAAATAAACCAATCCAGCCCCCACTACCTGGAGCAGCCAGGGCTCTTGGAGAAAAGCCTGTTGCTGGCTAGGGCAGGGAGTGCTGTGGCCCAGGGTTTTCTGCATGGTTCAGGGAGGGGTGAGGGCCCTATGATGTCAGGTGGGCTGGGGTAAGGGGAATCAGGTCCAAAAGATGCACTTGAATGCTGGCTGAAAACTTGGAAGATGTGAGTTCTAATTCCAGAGAAACTACCACACTGCCGTGTGACCTTGCCGGGTCATTCCACATATCTGAGCTTGGGGATGTCAACCTCATTGAGATAAAACACATGTAGCCTATAAGCCAGGAGGGGTCATGTTTCCTCTTATGGCTTAGAAAGCAGGATATTGCCAGGCACATCTCAGGAGGGGCCTCATTCATGGGCCTCCAGTCAGTGAATGCTGAAACACAAAAGCACTCTGGTTGATGGTTCTCAGCTTCAGCGCACATCAGAATCCCCCAGAGGACTCAGTGGAACCCAGACTATGGGCCCTGTCCCCAGAGTTTCAGAGTCAGTGGGGCCTGAGAAGTTATGTTTCCAACAAGTTTCCAGGGCTTGCTGAGGCTGCTGGTGGGGGACCCCACTCCGAGAACCACTGCCCTAGACTAAGTGTCAAAGACTTGGGTTCTCATCCCATTCCACTTCCAGCTGCCTTGGGGCCCCTTGCTCCCCCTCTCTGCACCTCAGTTTCTCCATTGGTAAGCTAGAGTGCACACGTGTGTAGAGGCGCAGGACTGTGTTGGGGGCAGGATTCTTTATGACTCTGGGGCTTTTCTCTACCTCTCGAGGCAGCTCAAGGCACCCCATTTAAAATCAGGCCACTTTATGTGGATCTCTGTCCTCTTGGCCAAACGCTCAAAGCAGAGGGACAACAGAGATCACAAGACAGGCATTTTTCAGGAAGCTTTCAGCTCCATTTATAGAGACCCACTGGCCCCCAGGAGACGGCAGCCCCTATAGTCAGTAGAAATCCTTGCCCCTCAGTGCATCTGCACCCAGTGATTCCCACCTCTTCCACCTTTCCTTACATACCTCTACTAACAGGGAGCTCACTCTCTCCCATGGCAGGGTGTCCCATTCCAAAGTCATAAGAGAGTATTTTGGGGGGTCTTTTTTTCATTTTTTTTTAAATTTTATTATTATTATACTTTAAGTTTTAGGGTACATGTGCACAATGTGCAGGTTAGTTACATATGTATACATGTGCCATGCTGGTGTGCTGCACCCATTAACTTGTCATTTAGCATTAGGTATATCTCCTAAAGCTATCCCTCTCCCCTCCCCCCACCCCACAACAGTCCCCAGAGTGTGATATTCCCCTTCCTGTGTCCATGTGTTCTCATTGTTTAATTCCCACCTATGAGTGAGAATATGCGGTGTTTGGTTTTTTGTTCTTGCGATAGTTTACTGAGAATGATGATTTCCAATTTCATCCATGTCCCTACAAAGGACATGAACTCATCATTTTTTATGGCTGCATAGTATTCCATGGTGTATATGTGCCACATTTTCTTAATCCAGTCTATCATTGTTGGACATTTGGGTTGGTTCCAAGTCTTTGCTGTTGTGAATAATGCCACAAAGTTCAAAATCTGAGTCCCTGTGATAGGCTCCCTTGGCCACCCCTGTCCTGGGCCTCAGTGTCCTCCAACATTCCTTTCAGCCTTGACATTAAACACCTGGGTTGGGACTGGTCTCTACTTGTCATTGCTATGGGACCTTGGGAAAGCCAGTGGGAGCCTCTGAGCTCCCACTTCCCCTCTGTAGGATGGGTAGAAATGAGAAAACAGGGGAAAAGGTACAGCTGAGTGTAAACACCAGAGGCTCTCATCACTGTTCTGTGATAACACAGCCCTTGCTCAGGCTGGAGTTAGGCAGGAATTCTACTCCTAGGCCAGCTGCCTTTCCCAAGGTCTTTCTGTCTGCAGGTGGTCGTGAGCTACAGCCCCTTCCTGGATTCAGGGCATTTTTAATCATAAGTGACCCCCTGATGTTGGAGTTTGTGCCTGACCCTTCTGGGGGCCATGGCCGGTGCTCTGGAGTGGCCTCCACTGGGTTCCTCTGATGGAAGTGCAGGGTGGCCACAGATGTGGTGCTCACACCATCAGCAGTGTGTGTCCTGGCTCTGGCTCCCCTCAGCCGCAGCTGAGCCTGAGGGGCCTGGTCCAGGATCTCACCAGTGTCTGAGTCCAGCAATGGGTATGATAGAGACTCCACCCTCCTCTGAATAATGTAGAGTCCTAGATGCAGCCAGAAGAAATCAACACCGATTGAACAGAAATAGGATGTACTGAACGTAATCCAGGGACTCACAGAATCACTGGGAAGGACTGGAAAGCACTGCGGCCAGACCGAAGACCAAACAGCCATGCCACTAAACCAGTCTAAGGACATTGCCAGCCTCCAGGGGAAGCCACCCCTTGCTCTGCCTCCAGGGCCATGGGAGCCGCACGTGCTGCCCACTGCCATGCTGCCCTGGAGGCTCAGGGAGCTGCTCTGCTGCCTACCACCAGAAAGGCTTTTCCAGGGTCCCGCTGGTGTGCATCCTGGCCCGCTCGACAGGCAGACCTCAGGGAACGGGTCTGCACCTGTGCTGTAAGGGAGGCTGGGAAACCGAGGAGCCGGAATTTTCTATAGCAGCAGATAGACACGGAATAGCCTCCAAATACAAAAGGAGGGCTCAGATCTGGGGCAGGAAAAACATCCTAGTGGTCACTCCTATTCACTGCAGCCCACCTTTGGCAAGCATCCACATGCAGAAAGGTCACGGGCAAGATGCAGAGAAAAATACTAGCTCGCCCTGAGCGCTTGCTCTGTGTCAGCCACTCTTCTGAGCAATTGTTGAGGATCACCCCCTCCACGCCTCTCAGCACCTCGTGGGCAAGGAGCTTTATCATTATAATCATCTCTCTTTCATCAACAAGAAAACTGAGGCCCAGAGAGGTTGCTTGCAGTCACGCAGCTAGTAGAAAGCAGAACCTGGCTTGAACCCGGCTGTCCAGTCCCTGGGTCGGCAGTGAGCCGAGATCGTGCCATTGCACACCAGCCTGGGTGACAGAGCGAGACTCTGTCTCAAAAAAAGAAAAGTGATAGCTACCATCATCATCATCATCACCATTATTATCATCACCATCATTATCATCACCATAATCATCATCACCATCATCATCACCATCATTATCATCTTCATCATCACCATCTTCATCATTATTATCATCTTCATCAGCACCATCATCCCCACTCTCATCACCACCACCACCACCATCACTATCATCACCATCATTATCATCTTTATCACCATTACCATCATTATCACCACCACCATCATCATTATTATCATCTTCATCACCACCACCATCATTGCCATCACCATCATCATCATTGTTATCATCGCTACCACCATTGATGCCTTTGCTTATTCTGGCCCTTCCTCCTGGATTGCCCTTCATTCCTTTCTGCTCCATGTATAGAGAAGGTTAAGTGAGCATAGATCCTACTCACTGTCCATGGCCCAGCTCAAATTACTCATCCTCCATGGCCCAGTTTAAATGCAGCCTCCATGATGTCCACAGTTAAGGAATGCAGGAAGCCTACCACTTCCCCCTGTCTGCTGTGTGTGCGTGCGTGTGTGTGTGTGTCTTTATATTCTTCTCTCTTGTACCAAACTACCAAACTTCCCAGTTCACCAGCCCCTGCTCATGTAACACTGTCTTTCCTTCCCTTCATCTCCTCCCAGCTCCTTTAAGCAGCTTTCTTTCCCTGGGTTCATTGCTATATCCCAGTCCTGTCTCCCTGGACCCTATTAACTGCCTCACCCTCTATGTCCCTTCCCTACCTGTGCACCATAATTCCTCTTCTGTCTTAGATGATGGCACAGTTCATAGGCCATACATCTGGGTTTGAGTCTGGATTCTGTCGCTTTCTGGGCATATCTTCTTGGATGAGTTGCCCCCCTTTGGGCCCCTGAGTTGTCTCTGCATCCACAGAATATGTAGGTGCTTGAATGGATTTCTCAGCCCCTTTCTCACTCAAGCATTCTGAGTTTCAGCCTAGGTAGGTAAAGGGTTTGTGCCATACTCACGTGGCTCTCCTCCTTTCCTAAATAATAGATGTTGCATGGTGGTTTGAGGACTCCTTTAATTTGGTTCTGCATGGATCAGGTCTCCTCTCTACCCGGAAAGGTAGTGGCAGTCTCTCCTCTGCTCTGGGGTGGTGGGCTGGGCTGGGGTGTAAGGCAGACTGCATGTGAGGCACCCTCGGCACCCCTCTCAGCTGAGAGGCTCAGAGCTCTTGGCCCAAGAGCCTGAGGGGAGGGATATTTACGGTTTAATAACTGGCCTATTGATTCTCATTTATATGCTTCCAGTAGGGCTTACAGAGGAAGAGAAGGCAAAAGGGCTATGTTTGTAAATAAGCCTGCAGTTGGCCCCATCACTCAGCCTGCCATGCTTGCTTCTGGACAGGGAGGTGAGCTGGGTTAATATACTGCACTGCCCTCTGCTTAGCAGAGCCCTGACATGCAGCTGCAGGGACACTCACCCTCGGGCCAATCCCCAGACCCTCCTGAGCCCAGCCCCTTTTTATGCTCCTTCTAGTTAGCAATGTACTTCCCTATGTATTACTTGTGACTGCCTCCTTTGAAGGAGGAAGAGCAGGATTTAGTAGCCCCACTTAACAGATGAGAACACGGAGACTTCCAGAGATTCTATGGTTTATCTGAAGTCACACTGCTAGGAAAGGGAGAAGCAAGGCTGAACCTTGGAGAGTTTTGAGTGTCTTTCTTAGTGAGCTATTGCTGTGTAACGAACTGCCCCCAAATTTAGTCGCTGAAAATAACAACTGTCATTTCTCATGAGTCTCTGGGTCAGCTGGGCAGTTTGGCTAATCTGAACCAGCCTCAGTTGATATGGATTGGGCTCACTCAGGTGTCTGTGGTGAGCTGGAGGATGAGCTGGTGCTGGCTGCTGTAGGATGACTTTGGCTGGGACACATGAGCTCTTCTCCATGTGTCTCTCGCATCCCTCGAGCAGGCTGTCCAGGGCTTGTTCTCAGGAGGTGGCCGGGGTCCAGGAAAGAATGTGGAAAAAACTAGGCATCTTTACAAGCCTCTGCTTACATCAAGTTTGCTGCTATCCCACTGCCCGAAGTAAGTCAATGTTGGAGGGTGCCACTTAAACCCATGGATACAGCAAGTGCTAAACTGAGGCCACTAGTGCCAGCAGTCTACCACACTGACCCAAGAGCCTTGCTCTTTGTTTCCACTCTTCTCCAGCATTTTTTCCCTTGCACGCAACTGAAACAACTGACGAACAGGAAATCCTGTTGTCTTTCCCCAAGTCTGAATAGCAGGGCAGCCCTCTTAAGAAGCATGAGGCTTAATCTGGGTGGCACCAAAATGCAGAACTGAGACCTAAAGGTATGGGCCTAGGATGTGGAGTGACTTTACGAGGGCCGAGGCTGCCCCACAATAGAAAAGGCTCCTAGAGGTAGTGAGCTCCCTGTCACTGGGAATGTATAAGCACAGATAGGTGCTGACTACATGGTTGCAGGAAAGATTTTGCTTCTGATGAGACCGGATGCAGACCAAGTAAGCGTTAAGCTCCCTTTGGCTCCATAAGTCTAGAAGCTTATAAAAGAGTGGGCCCATTACCCCAGACCCAAGGCCGAGGAACGCTGCTCTCCAGCCCCTACCTCTGCTTCTGGTCTGGTCCCAGGCATAGCATGTTCCAACAGCAAGTTCATAAGAGAACATACGTCCAGCAGAGAACATTAGAGCATGAGAGACCTCAGAAATCTCCTCTCCAGCCCCATGGAAAAGAAGGGGAGATTGAAGCTAGGAACGGAAAGCCCTCTGCCAGCACCGGAGAGGCAGCCCAGTAAGGAGAAGCTGTGCACGCTGGGGTCACGCGCACCTGGATGGAATCCACCTGGGGCAAACGCTTCTCATTCCGAACCTCAGTGCATACAGGGGGATGCTGCTACCTTTCAGGAGGCTGTGATCTGAAATACAATCGCAGACGGGAACTTCCATGAACGGAAAAGTAGACTCTGCAACTGTGTTTTCTCCTTTCTTTTTGAGTCACAGCAGATAAACACAACAGCTGACATCAAATCCCTGTGCCCTGTGTGGACCTTAGCTGCACGCCCACCGCCTGGCTTGTTCAGAGACGGCAGCTCAGAGGGGGACACAGACCCTGAAGGCAGGCAGGGCCAGGCCAGGGAGAAGCGGCTCCTGTTCAGTCCCCACTCCCACCCACCCCCCCATGGGGATGGCAGCAGGGCTGACTGGAACCACTCCCCCACCCCCTGCCCCCTCCTCCAATTCCGGCCTCCGGGAAGCGCCCCTTCTCTGTGGCAGGAACCTCATTAATGGAGAGAGAGGTGTGGAGGGGGAAGCAGGACAGGGCTATTGATGGCCTTTTCCACTTTCCGGAGCCTCCGGAGCGCTCTTCGCTAATAATAGTAACAGAGCCTCACTGCTGTTGAACAGGGCCTTGGAGTTCTCCCCAGTCTGCAGGGTTCTTAATGAACTGGCTCAGCATGGAGAGGGTGAGCTGGCCCTGCAGCTGCCTGGCTGGGTGGCTGGGGTGCGGCCTGACTCACAGCTACCTGCATGACAGACATACAGACAGACAGCCAGACAGACCGTGCAGGGACTGTGGGCAGAGCATGTCTGAGTGAAGCCCTGGGCATCAACTAAGGCTGTCTCCCCAACTGGCTGAGGTGCTGGCGTGGTGACTGGCCCATTCATTGACTGACTGATGGAGCTAACTGTCAGCCTGGGGCTGCTTGACCCACGTGTGAGACCTGGCTGTCTCACACGACTCAGGCCTGACAAGTTATCTGTCTGACTAGGGTCTGACTGACAGACTCAGGGGTTTCCTGACTAAAGACTGTCTCACCAACAGGCTGGCTGAAGTAGAGAAAGTCTGTCTGGCAGGCTGCTGGCTGGCTGCTTCATTGCTGACTGACTCTCTCACCAATTGCCATTCTGACTGACCTACTGACTGGCTGAGCGGCTGACTTGCCAATGACTGAGCCCTCCATGGACCCATGGGCCTTTCCCACCAACCCTTGCAACCACAGTTGGCAGTGGGGTTGGGTAGTGGTAACTCCCCGATACCTGACAACAATGACTACACGTTGACGGACAGAGGAACAACCACCGTCCTAACAAGCGGATGCCCTAGCTGACTGGGAATAGGAAGCACTAACTGCTCAGGGACTCAAACTGACTTGCTGGCTGCTGGACTGACCCACAGCTTAACTTACCGTGCTGTTGCCTGGCTGACCCTGACTATCACAGATAGGGAGCTGACTGGCCAACAACACGACGGCTGCCGGCTGTGCCCACCAATAGGCCTAACAGTCGACAGGATTCTTTGCTGTGGACTAAAGTGGTTTTTAAGAGTCTTGTTAATTTTTTATTATTTGAGATGGGATCTCGCTCTGTTGCCCAGGCTGGAGTGCAGTGGCGCCATCACAGCTCACAGCAGCCTCAAACTCCCCAGACTTAGGTGATCCTCCTGCTTCAGCCTCCCAAGTAGCTGGGATTGCAGGTGCATGCCACCACACCCGGCTAATTTTTAATTTTTTTGTAGAGATGAGGTTTCGGCATGTTGCCCAGGCTGGTCTTGAACTCCTGGGCTCAAGTGATCCGCCCGCCTCAGCCTCCCGAAGTGTTGGGATTATAGGAATGAGCCACTGCGCCTGGCCTAAGAATCCTTTTTAGTTGCTTGTTCTTTTTCCTCCCTGACCCCATAGATCTGGATTATTATTTTTTTTAATTTGCACTCTTTTAAAAAACATTTTATATTTTGTGTGTGCCTTATACATACAAAGGAACACAGATAGCATACATGAAAAGCCTAAAAGATGAAGAGAAAATGAACACCTGTATATCCCCCAGTCCAGACTGGAGTAGGGGCCTCTACCTGCTTCACCGTGCAGCCCCTGGGAGCTGTTCACAAAGCCACGCCTGGGCTCCGCGCCCAGGGCTGCTCATATTGCTGGTCTCCAGGGGACCTGGCGTCAGTGCTTTTGAGAAGCTCCTGGAGTGAGTCCGATGTGTGGTGAGGGTCAAGCATCCCCAGGCTGGGCCATCGCCGCCTCTTGGCTCATCCTCACTACCCAAAATGTGGTCTGGATCCACAGGGTCAACCTCACCTGGAAGCCTGTAGAAGACACAGACTCTCAGGCCCTACCTGAAACCCACCGAATGAGAATCAAATCGCATGTTAACCAGACCCCTGTGTGATGTGTGCCCATTAATGTTTGAGAAGCACTGCTTAGACAGTCCCTTTCTGCTTCTGCCCAGCTGCCCTGCAGAGGTGGCCACGGTTTCCAATTTGGCCTGTCATTCCCTTGCCTTTCTTTCCAAACCCCTAAACCATCATGTTGCACTCACCCACGCAGATTCTTTATATCAACAAGATCACTGCAGGTATTCTTCTACAGTACCTTTCCTGCCCACATTGTATTTTGTAGATTTTTTCCATCTTGTATGCAGTTACGACTCCATTTTTCACTTCCATATGGTATTCCAGTGTGTGGCTATACCACCATTATTTACCCATCCTCAAAATGCACAACGGTTGTTTCTAATGGTTGTTATTAGGAGCTATTGGATGGTTTGTTGCTTGCTGCTACATACATTCCTATACATCTCTCTTGGTGCCCTCATGGCCAGTGGGAAGACATATCCAGCAGGATATGCAAACCCCTGGCTTGTTCAGGAAGGGCAAACTGCTCCCCCCACAACACACACACAGAGAACATTTGCTCCACCTCTCCCTGTTGGTGACAGCCTGGTTTAGAAGCCACAGCCTTCAGCCCTTCCTGACACCCCTTCCAGTGGGACAAGTGAAACCACAGGGGAAGGAGCGACTCTCCCCAAGAGGCCTGGGAGCATGTCACAGAGAAGGTCAACCCTGAGTATGGTAGTTTTCTGTAGCTGCTATAACTAGTTCACAAACTCAGTGGCTTCAAACAATGGCTATTTATTATCTCGTGGTTTTGGAGGCCAGAGGTCTGAAATCGAGGTGTCAGCAAGGCAGTGCTTCTTTGGAGGCTCAGGGGCAGAATTCTTCCTTGACTCTTCCAGCTTCCTCCAGTCTTCCAGTGGTGGCTGGTAGTCCTTGACTTGTGGCCACGTCACTCCAGCCCTTGCCTCTGAAGTCATGTTGCCTCCTCCCTATCTCTGTCAAATCTCCCTCTGCCTCATCTTACAAGGATACTTGTTATTGGATTTAGGGCCCACCTGGATAATCCAGATCGATGTCTTTATCTGAAGATCTTATTTTAATTACACCTCCAAAGGCTTTTTCTCCCCCATTCATAGGTTCTAGAGATTAGGTATGGAGCCCAGCATTCTGCGCACTACCTGGGGATTAGCCAGGCAAAAGCAGGCGGGTGAGGGATGAGGAGAGCATCCCAATGGAAAGGAGCTGCATGAGCAGGGCTCCATCAGGAGTAGCCAGGCAGTGTGGGGTAGATGGCGAAGCTGGAGCTACAGGCTGGGGCCAGGCAGCAAAGGCCTCGTTGATGGAAGTAAAGACATTGGCCATTTTCTCACCAAGCAAGGACGAATCCAGATGGGTTCACCTGCGGGGTGAGGCTCCATCAGATCACGTTTTGGTGGTCCTGTGGAGGACAGGCCAGAGTCCAGGGCACCTCCCATAGGTAGTAAGGACTAGACCTCAGCAGTGGCTGAAAGGACACGAAAAAGAAAATGCATTCAAGAGCGTTTCCAGAAGCAGATCTGGCTGTGGAGGGAGAGATGGGGGGAAGCCAGGTGGGCTTCAGGTTTCTGACGTAGGAGACAGAAATAATGGGGAACAGGGGAAGGGGCAGGTGATTTCAAGGAAAGAAGAGATCAGTTTGGAGTGGATTGGTTTTGAAGATATTGAGGAATCTCCCAGTGCAACTCTCTAGCCCTGTAGGTCTGGAGCATAAAAGTGATTGGTGGGAAAGAGAAGTTAGGGGAGCTATCGGCATGAAAGTGACTCTTATTAAACAAGGGGGGAAACACTAAATAGCATCCTGGAGCCTGGAGGTGGGGGACAGGGGAGTGGAGCAAACCTGCTTGTGAGTGCTGATGGGAATGGTCCCACGTTTCAGGTCAGGGGGCTGGCTTCCAGTCCTGACCCTTCCATTAACTTCCAGAATAACAGGGCATCCTTCTGAGCCTTGATCTCCCAATGTTTCCAATGGGGTGACTGAGCAAGAAGATTCAGAGACATTTATTATCTCCCACGGTGGCTGTTCCAAGTCAGCCACTGCCCACTTCCCAGGTCATATGGAGGGCACCCAGGCCTGGAAGACAAGATGAGCTCCTGGTTGAGCATCTTCCTGGGGAGCGCTCCCATAAAGGACAGAAAGAAAGAATGGAAGGAACCAAGGGAGGAAGGAAGGAAAAAAAAAAAAGAAAAGGAGGGAGGATCTGAGAGTAGCCATGGAGCCACAGAGGCCCGAGGATCCTGGCCCTTACCTTCGAGAAACTTTTGTTTTGATTTGGGAGCTCAAGGTGTGATTGGTGGAAAGGCCCAAGCTTTGTTGCTAAGCAACAGGTGAGTACTGGACTCAGGAATGCAGCCATCAAACTGTGATGCTTGGATCACCTGAGAGGTTTTTTCTTTTTTAATTCATTTTACTTCAAAATTATCATACGTAGAATTGGTGTGCAGTTCTGTAGATTTTTTCCAGCTTTATTAAGGTATAATTGGCAATTAAAATCATTATATGTTTAAGCTTTATAACTTGATAATTTGATATATCTATGCATTGTGAAATAATCACCAGTTTTGTGAACTTTCACATATATAGATTCATGTAACCACCACCACAATCAGAGTACAGAACAGTCCTATCACTCCCCAAAACCCCTTCATGCTGTGCCTTTATAGTCACAACCCTATGGCAACCGCTGATCTGCCCTCCAACGCTATACTCTCGGCTTTTCGAGAAGGTAGTATAGATAAAATCATGCAGAAGGTAACCTTGTGATAGTGGCTTCTGCTCAGCATAAGCCTTTGCGATTCATACAAGTTGCTGCATGCAGTTCGAGTAGCCTGGTCCTTTTTATCGCTGACTAGTATTCTATTGCATGGCTCTACGGCAGTTTGTTTATCCATTCCGCCACTGCAGAATATTTGGACTGAGTCCAGTTTGGGCAATTGTGAAGTAGAGTTTCTACTAATATTCACATACAGGTTTTTCTGTGAACATAAGTTTCCATTTCTCTAGGGTAAAGGCTCAAGTATTGGCTTGTTTGGTGAAATGGCCGTTGTATGTTTCCCTTTATAAGACCATGCCGAACTGTTTTCTGGAGTGGCTGCACTATTTTTTATTCTCGCTAGAATTGTATAAGAATTCCAGTTGCTCCACATATTTGTCAGGACTTGGTATGGTTGTTTTTTTAAATTATTTTACTCATTCTTATAGATGTTGTCCATTTCATGTTGTTATCACAGAACATAGACCGGGTGGTTTATTAAAAAAAAATTATTTCTCATGAATTTTTTTAGTTCTGGAGCCTGAGAAGTCCAATACCAAGGCGACAGCATCTGAGGAGGGCCTTTTTGCTGTGTCATCCCATGTGGAAGGTGGAAGGGCAAAGGAGCACACATGAAAGAGAAAGCAAGAGGGAATCACACTCACTTTTTATAACAAACCCAGTCTCACAATAACTAACCCACTCCTGTGATAACAGCATTAGTCCATTCATAAGGGCAGAGCCCCCACGACCTAATCATTTCTTAATGGTCTTGCCTCTCCACACGGTTGCACTGGGGATTGTTTCCAGCACATGAATTAGGCGAGGAGGGGTGCACATTCTTCTTTTGTTTGTTTGTTTGAGCCAGGGTCTCACTCTGTTGCCCAGGCTGGCATGCAGTGGCACGATAACAGCTCACTGCAGCCTCAACCTTCTGGGTTCAAACAATCGTTCCACCTCAGCCTCCTGAGTAGCTGAGACCACAGGCGTGTGCCACCATACCGGGCTAATTTTTTTATTTTTGTAGAGATGAGGTCTCATTATGTATCCCAGGTTGGTCTCGAACTCCTATGCTCAAGCAATCTGCCCCCCTCAGCCTCCCAAAGTGTTGGGATTACAGGCATGAGCCACCATGCGTGGCTGTTTGTATTTCTTTAATGACTAGAGACATTGAACATTTTTTCATTCCCTTATTTGACACTGTGTGGGTTAATACTGAGCGTCAGCCTGATTGGATGGAAGGATAGAAGGTATTCATCTTGGGTGTGTCTGTGAGGGTGTTGCCCAAAGGAGATTAGCATTTGAGTCAGTGGGCTGGGAAAGGCAGATCCACCCTTAATCTGGGTGGGCACAATGTAATCAGCTGCCAGCACAGCTAGAATATAAGCAGACAGAAACATGTGAAAAGAGAGACTGGCCTAGCCTCCTAGCCTACTTCTTTCTCCCGTGCTGGATGCTTCCCACCCTGAATATCAGACTCCAGGTTCTTCAGTTTTGAAACATGGATTGGCTCTTCTTGCGCCTCAGCCTGAAGGTGGCCTATAGTGGGACCTTGTGATAATATATAATATATATATAATATTATATATATAAATATATAATGTATATTTTTATATATTTATATATTTATATATAAATATATAAATATATATAAATATATATAAATATATTTTTATAATAATTACATATAATTATTATTTTAAAAATTATATATATTATATAAATATATGTTATATATATTTATATAATATATATAATTTTATATATATAAAATAATTATATATAATTTTATATATATAAAATAATTATATATAAAAATATAATTTTTATAATATATATAAAATATATAAATATATATAAAAATATATAAAAAGTAAATATATATATTTATAAAATATAAATATATAAATATATTTACAAATATATAAATAGATATATAAAATATATAAATATATAATATATAATATATATTTATATTTACAAATCTATAAATATATAAATATGTATTTATATATTAATATATAAATATGTATTTATATATTTATATATAAATATATATTTACAACATAGTTATATATAAATATATATACAATATATTTATATATATATTTACAATATATTTATATATATATTTACAACATATTTATATATATATTTACAATATATTTATATATAAATCTATATTTACAATATATTTATATAGATATAAATTTATATATTCACAATGCCTTGTGAAATATATATATATATCATATATATATTCTGTTAGTTCTATCCCTCTAGAGAACCCTGACTAATACAGATTTTGGTGCCAGGAGTGTTCTAGAGGAACAGAACATTAACGATGGAGTTCTTTCATTGGTTTGGGGGCTCCTGGAGTTGGCTGCTTCATATGACTAGACCCCAAAATGCTAAGGATTCTACTTCTAATAGTATAGAGAACACTGATAGTCCTTGGTGTGAACTGTTTAGAGAGTTATGCAAAGTAAATGCGTTTGGCACTCCTAATTCCTCACTTGTGAGAGGCAAGGAGTTTAGTGACTCATACATAATATCTTTGACATATGTGGAGAACTAAGGAACATAATGAAGCTAAATTCAGTGGACAAAGTGATGAAAAAAAATGATAAACTCAGGGATTCTATCTCCCAGCTTCAGAAGCAGATACTGAGCCACAAATCTGCTAAGATTGTCCTGAGAGTCTTATCTCCTGTAGGGAAAGAGCTGAAATTGTGGAAAAACAGACACAAGCTTTTACCATGCAAGTGGCTGACCTGCAACAAAAGTGCATGCACAGCCTCGCCAGGTGTCTACTGTTAAAGTCGGGGCATTGATTGGAAAAGAATGGGACCCTGCAACTTGGAATGGGGATGTGTGGGAGGACCCTGATGAAGTTGGGGACAGTGAGTTTGTAAACTCTGATGAAGCTTTTTTTGCCAGAAGAAACGGCTTCCCCATCCCCAGTAGTGGCAACATCCCCTCCCCAATCCAAGCTGCCATCAGCCTTTCCACCTTTGTCTGAGGAGATAAACCTTGCACTGCCTAAGGCAACACTGATGGCCTCCCCTGGGGCAGTTGCCAGGCAAAATAATGTTGGTTCTCCTCAGGGCCACGCCCAACACCCTTATTTGCTTCTGGACTTATAACTAAAGTCCCTGTGGGCCCCTAGAGGTGAGGTTGAGAGTGTGACCCACGAGGAGGTGTGCTACACTTAAAAAGAACTGCTTGAGTTTTCTAATTTATATAAACAGAAATCTCGAGAACAAGCATGGGAATGGATATTACGGGTGTGGGATAATGGTAGAAGGAACATAGAGTTGGATCAGGCTGAATTTAATTGATTTGGGCCCACTAAGTAGGGACTCTGCATTTAATGTTGTAGCTCAAGGAGTTAAAAAAAGGTTCTAATAGTTTATTTGCTTGGTTAGCTGAAATACGGATTAAAAGATGGCCCACTGTGAGCGAGCTGGAAATGCCCGATCTCCCTTGGTTTAACGTAGAGGAAGGGATCCAAGGGCTTAGGCAGACTGGGATGGTGGAGTGGATTAATCAGTTTAGACATACTCATCCCAGCTGGGAGGGTCCAGAAGATATACTCTTGACCAATGCTTTGTGAAATAGTTTTGTGAGGGTAGCACCTGCATCTTTGAAGAGCCCTATAATTGCTCTTCTCTTGTATGTCAGATCTAACGGTGGGAACCGCAGTCACTCAACTACAAAGTGGCAGTTGCCAGGCAAAATAATGTTGATTTTCCCCAGGGCCATCCCCAATACCCCTGTTTGCTTCTGGACTTATAACTAGACTAAAGTCCCTGCAGGCCCCTAGAAGTGAGGTTGACAGTGTGACCCATGAGGAGGTGTGCTACACTTAAATAGCCCTTAAATACAATGGGAATAATTGGATCTTGAAGTAGAAGGGGCCAAGTGGCAGCACTCAACTGTCAAAGGCAAGGTGGTCATACCTACTGTAATGGACAGCAGAGGAAAAACGGCAATCAGAATAGTCTGACTCATGTAGAGCTCTGGTATTGGCTAACTAATCACTGTGTTCCTAGAAGTGAAATTGATAGGAAGCCTACTGCATTCCTACTTAAATTATACAAACAGAAAACTTCTAGGTCAAATGGATAAAAACTAATTTGAGTTATAAAAATAGAGAATAATGGCCCCTCAATCAATTTCCAGACTTGAGCCAGTTTACAGACCCAGAACCCCTTGAATGAAGCGGAGGCCGAGTTTCCCTGAGGAAGGACCCCACTACATTATCAACAATTTACACAGTGAATCTTTCTCCCATCTTTCCCCAAGGAGACCTCTGGCCTTTTACCAGGGTAACTGTGCATTGGGGAAAGGGAAATGATCTGACATTTCGGGGAATGCTGGACACCAGCTCTGAGCTGACATTGATTCCAGAGTACCCAAAACATCATTGTGGTCCTCCAGTTAAAGTAGGGGCTTACAGAGGTCAGGTAATTAATGGAGTTTTAGCTCAGGTCTGACTTACAGTGGGTCTAGTGGGTTCCCGGACTCATCCTATGATCATTTCCTTAGTGCCAGAATGCATAATTGGCATAGACATGCTTAGCAGCTGGCAGAACCCCCACATTGGCCCCCTGACTGGTAGGGTGAGGGCTATTACAGTGGAAAAGGCCAAATGGAAGCCATTAGAGCTACCTCTACCTAGAAAAATAGTAAATCAAAAAAATATATATATCGCATCCCTGGAGGGATTGCGGAGATTAGTGCCACCATCAAGGACTTGAAAGACACAGGGGTGGTGATTCCCACCACATGCATTTTCAACTCTCCCATTTAGCCTGTGAAAAAGACAGATAGATCTTGGAGAACGACCATGGATTCTCATAAGCTTAACCAAGTGGTGACTCCAATTGCAGCTGCTGTACCAGATGTGGTTTCATTGCCTCAGAAAATATAACACATCTCCTGGTATGCAGCCATTGACTTGGCAAATGCCTTTTTCTCCATTTCTGCCCATAAGGCCCACCAGAAGCAATTTGTCTTCAGCTGGCAAGGCCAGCAATATACCTTCACTGTCCTACCTCAGGGGTATATCAACTCTCCAGCTTTGTGTCATAATCTTGTTTGGAGAGACCTTGATCTCTTTTCACTTCTGAAAGATATCACACTGAACCATTACACTGATGACATTATGCTGATTGGATCCAATCAGCAAGAAGTAGCAAACACATTGGACTTATTGGTGAGAAATTTGTGTGTCAGAGGATGGGAAATAAATCTGACTAAAATTCAGGGAACTTCTACCTAAGTAAAATTTCTAGGGGTCCAGTGGTGTGGAGCCTGTCAAGATATTCCTTCTAAGGTAAAGAATAAGTTGCTACACTTGGCCCCTCCTACAACCAAGAAAGAGGCACAATGCCTACTGGGCCTATTTGGATTTTGGAGGCAACACATTCCTCACTGGGTGTGTTCCCCTAGCCCATTTATCAAGTGACCCGAAAGGCTGCCAGTTTTGAGGGAGGTCCAGAACAGGAGAAGGCTCTGCAACAGGTACAGGCTGCTATGTAAGCTGCTCTGCCACGTGGGCCATAAGACCCAACAAATTCAGTGGTGCTTGAGGTGTGGCAGATAGGGATGCTGTTTGTAGCCTTTGGCAGGCCCCCCTAGGTGAATCACAGCGGAGGCCTCTAGGATTTTGGAGCAAGGCCCTGCCATCTTCTGCAGATAACTATTCTCCTTTTGAGAGACAGCCCTTGGCCTGTTACTGGGCTTTGGTGGAAACTGAACGTTTGACTATGGGTCATCAAGTCACCATGCAACCTGAACTGCCTATCATGAACTGGGTGCTTTCTGACCCATCTAGCCATAAAGTGGGTCATGCACAGTAGCATTCCATCATCAAATGGAAGTGGTATATACATTACTGGACTCTAGCAGGTCCTGAGGCACAAGTAAGTTACATGAAGAAGTGGCTCAAGTGGCCATGGTCTCCACTCATGCCACCCTGCCTTCTCTCCCCCAGCCTGCACTGATAGCCTCATGGGGAGTTCCCTATGATCAGTTGACAGAGGAAGAGAAGACTAGGGCCTGGTTCACAGGTGGATCTGCATGATATGCAGGCACCACCTGAAAGTGGACAGCTGCAGCACTACAGCCCCTTTCCAGGACATCCCTGAAGGACAGTTGTGAAGAAAAATCTTCCTAGCGGGCAGAACTTCGAGCAGTGCACCTGGCTGTGCGCTTTGCATGGAAAGAGAAACGGCCAGATATGCAATTATGTACTGATTCATGGGCTGTAGTCAATGATTTGGCTGGAAGGTTAGGGACTTGGAAGAAGCATGATTGGAAAATTGGTGACAAAGAAATTTTGGGAAGAGGTATGTGGATGGACATCTCTGAGTGGTCAAAAAGTGTGAAGATATTTGTATCCCATGTGAGTGCTCACCAATGGGTGACCTCAGTAGAGAAATGTTTAATAATCAAGTGGATAGGATGACCCATTCTGTGGACACCACTCAGCCTCTTTCCCTAGCCACCCCTGTCATCGCCCAATGGGCCCATGAGCAAAGGGCCGTGGTAACAGGGATGGAGGTTATGCATGGGCTCAGCAACATAGACTTCCACTCAGCAAAGCTGACCTGGCTACAGCCACTGCTAAGCGCCCAATTTGCCAGCAGCAGAGACCAACACTGAACCCTCTATATGGCACCATTCCTAGGGGTGATCAGCCAGCTACCTGGTGGCAGGTTGATTATATTGGACCTCTTCCATTATGAAAGGGGCAGAGGTTTGTCCTCACTGGAATAGACACTTACTCCGGATATGGGTTTTCCTATCCTGCACACAATGCTTCTGCCAAGACTACCATCCGTAGACTCACGGAATGCCTTATCCACCATCATGATATTCCACACAGCATTGCCTCTGACCAAGGCACTTGCTTTACAGCTAAAGAAGTTCAGCAGCTCGCTCATGCTCATGGAATTCACTGGTCTTACCATGTTCCCCATCATCCCGAAGCACCTGGATTGATGGAAAGGTGGAGTGTCCTTTTGAAGTCACAATTACAATACCAACTAGGTGACAGTACTTTGCAGGGCTGGAGCAAAGTTCTCCAGAAGGCCATGTATGCTCTGAATCAGCGTCCAATATATGGTACTCTTTCTCCCATAGCCAGGATTCATGGGTCCAGGAATCAAGGAGTGGAAGTGGAAGTGGCACCACTCAGCATCACCCCTAGTTATCCACTAGCAAAATGTTCCCTTCCTCTTCCCATGACATTATGTTCTGCTGGCCTGGAGGTCTTAGTTCCAGAGGGAGGAACATTCCCACCAGGAGACACAACAACGATTCCATTAAACTGGAAGTTAAGGTTGCCACCTGGACAGTTTGGGATCCTCCTACCTTTAAGTCAACAGGCTGAGAAGGGAGTTACAGTGTTGGCTGGGGTGACTGATCCAGACTATCAAGTAGAAATCAGTCTATTACTCCACAACGGAGGTAGGGAAGAGTATGCATGGAATACAGGAGATCCATTAGGGTGTCTCTTAGTATTACCATGCCCTGTGATTAAGGTCGAAAGGAAACTACAACATCCCAATCCAGGCAGGACTACAAAAGACCCAGACTCTTCAGAAATGAAGGTTTGTGTCACTCCACCAGGAAAAAAACCAAGACCTGCTGAGATGCTTGCTAAAGGCAAAGGGAATACAGAATGGGTAGTAGAAGAAGGTAGTCATCAATAACAGCCACAACCAAGTGACCAGTTGCAGAAACGGGGACTGTAATTGTCCTTCTTTTGTTAAAAACATGTTTGTGCATGTATACACTTGTACTAAGAAAATATCTTCATTTTATCACCTTTCTCCTTTATCATGTGACATAGGATTTGTTGACTTAGCATCAGCATTTAGTATCATTCACTTTATGTAATGGTATTTGGGTTGGAGATTGGTGTGTTTCCAGTTGTACAAAGGATAGTTGTATTATGTTAGGCGTAATTAAGACCTCATTATTGTCTTTCTTAGAAGATTATGTATGATCTCAGGAGATACGTATGGGTTCAAATTGACAAACGGTGGACTTGTGATGGTTAATACTGAGTGTCAACTTGATTGGATTGAAGGATACAAAGTATTAATCCTGGGTGTATCTGTGAGGGTGTTGCCAAAGGAGATTAACATTTGAGTCAGTGGGCTGGGAAAGGCAGTCCCACCCTTAATATGGGTGGGCATGACCTAATCAGCTGCCAGAATGGCTACAATAGAAGCAGGCAGAAAAATGTGAAAAGAGAGACTGGCTTAGCCTGCTAGCCTACATCTTTATCCCATGCTGGATGCTTCCTGCCCTCCATCATCGGACTCCAAGTTCTTCAGTTTCGGAACTTGTACTGGCTCTCCTTGCTCCTCGGCCTGCAGATGGCCTATTGTGGGACTTTGTGATTGTGAATATATACACATATATATATATTCACCTAATATATAATATATAATGAATATATATATGCATTATATATAATTATATATATAATGCATATATATATATACACACATTAGTTCTGTCCCTCTAGAGAACCCTGACTAATACAGCCAGGCTCATGTCCTTTTTAGTGATGTATCTGTTCAATTCTTTTATCCATTTCTTAGTTGGTCTGTTTATTTTCTTACTGTGGAGTTTTTAGAGCTTTTTAAATATATTCTGGATATAGATCCTTTGGCAAGTACTATATGTGATTTCTCTCAGTCTGTAGTATGTCTTTGAATTCTTTTAACAGTGCCTCTTTAATTCTGATGCCATCCAAGTTATCAGCTTTTGCTGTTCTAGATGTTTCTTTGGGCATCATCCCTAAGAGCTCTTTGGCTATTCCTAGATCACCTATGTTTTCTCCTATGTTTTATTTTTCTAAACATTTTAGATTAGATCTATGATCTCTTTGGGTTAATTTTTGTATAAGCTATGAGGTTTAGGTTGAAGTTCATTTTTCTCGTGTGGATGTTCAGTTGTTCCAGCACCATTTGTTGAAAAGACTATCCCTTCTCAATGGAATCACCTTTACACCTTTGTTAGAAATCAATTGGCTATATTTATGTGGGTCTATTTTTAAACTCTCTATTCTGTTCCATTACTCTATGTGTCTATATTTTTGCCAATACCATATTGCCTTACTGTAGTTTTTTTTTTTTTTTTTTTTTTTACAAATTCTGATTTCTGGGTCCCACCCCAGCCAAATAGAGTATCTGTAAGTGGGGGTATGGGGATCTGCATTTCCGCAAGCTCCCTGGGGGATTCCTGAAGACCTTAAGAGCTTGCACTCATGATCACAGACCTTTAGAACCATGTTACAGAGATTGGCTGCATCTTCATGCTATATAACTATTTCCTCTCCGGCTGCCTAACCAAGTGGTGGCCCACCTCTGCTGGGATGTCTGATGTAATGGTGAGATCACCACTTCCTCAGGAAATTAGCTGTAATGGTGCTTGCTTCTTCTACACTGAGTTCCATCTTCCTGAAACTTCCAGCTGTAGGTCTGGGTTTCTTTGTCGCCTCCCGAGGCCCCTGACGTGGTGGGCACCATCTGGGGATGCAGTCAGAGCCCCTGTGCGGCTTTACCAGCATACGACCTCCTATTGCCCCCCAAAACCTATGCTGGCTTCCTCTCATTTATAACCCATCCTCTTCTCAAGTGTTGTTCATGCAAATGTCCTTTCCAGAGAGGCTTCAAGGTAGAGTGGGAAGCAACTTAGGAGTCAGATGTCAAATGATAACAACAGTAAGCTTTAAGTGAGAGTTTACTATGTAACAGACATTGTACCAAGTATTTTATAAACATCATCTCCTTTTGTCTGCACAAGGTCTTTATAATGAATTAGGTCATATTCTATGCATACACATGAATGTGTGTGTGTGTGTGTGTATGTGTGCGTGTGCATGTGCGTGTGTATTTCTAACCAAAAGGTAGTACACTTTACATGCTGTTCCGCACCTTGATGTTTTTTTCTCTCAACAATATACCTTTAGATTATTCCATTTCATTACATATAGAGTATTCCAGTGCATGGTTGTACTATAATTTAGAAAATAAACGTCTTTGACGGATATTTAGATTTTTTCCGATATTTCTTTTACTTGGTTCATTTTGGGAATAAATTCTTAAAAGGTGAATCTCAGCATCACTGTAAGTAACTCAAGGAATTGGAGCCACTGGGGTGGGGTTCAGGTGGGAAGGAAAGTCAGACTGTGATTCTTAGAGGAGGAAGGGATGAGAAAGAGGGGGAAGTTGAGAGGATCAAGGAGGACAGATAGTAAAAGAGCTGCTGGAGGGGTCCCATTTCTGGAGGCAGCAGCATGGAGCTGGGGCTGGGCAGAGCTGTGCGCTGCATGCCCCAGGGATGCCTTGGGGCTGTGCAGGTGGGTAGGGTTGAGGAGGGAGTAGAAGGCCCAAGGTCTGCTCCAAACTGCCATGCCCCACCTCTCCCTTTACCTCCCCACCCCCACCATACTTCCCTCCTGCTCTCCTTTCCTCCCCAGCCTGGGAAAATTCTGTCAGAATTAATAAACGCAGCAGATTGCTTGGAGATGGAGGGTGAGGGATGGAGACAGTCTGGGGCTCTGATATTTCCCTCATGTGCAATAATCTGGTGGTGAGATCTGGAATTAAAACCTCTTTCCTGGAGCCTTTATTAACATTAGCTCCTAATGCATAATTACCCGGCAAGCCCAGGGGGCTGATGCTTGTGTCGCCCCATCTATGCCTCTCTCCTTGAACAGGCCACCTGCTCCTTGGGGCCAGGAGAGCAGAGGCCCTGGTGGAGAAGGAAGGGCTGGCTCTTCCAGCACAGGTGGAGCCAGTCTGGTGGCCTGGGTTCCTGAGCTACTAGCCTGCTGGTGACCTTGAGCATTTCACTGTCCCTCCATAACCTCAGAGGGACTGTGGGGTCCAGGTATAGGTGGGGGTTCAGACGGAGCAGCCAGTATCAGACACAGCTTGGCTGCCTGTTCCTTTCAGCCCTCCTGGCTATTGAAGCGGTCACCATGGTAGTGGTGGGGTTATAACCAGCACAAGTGGGTGGCTGTGAGTTCTGACTGGCCCATCTCCAGGGCAGCCATCATCGTATCCTCCTGACTGTGACTACTAGAAACCTCTCAGGCCTGAGTAGGGCTGGGGAACAGCTAGAACTTGTTTTCTTCTCTGAAGGCAGGAGGCTTGTTGCTGCACGGCAGGGCCTCAGCTCTGCAGTGGTTGTTCCCACGTGGACTTGGTGGGCTTTGGCAAATGCTTGTCTTCTCTGTCCTTGGTTTCTCTAGCCCGACAATAAGGGTGTCGCCCAGGGCTCCTCCTCTGCTCCTCATATTCAGAGTCTGTGGAGGTGTCAGGAGTCCCAGAGTTGGCAAAAACACAGTCTGAGCAGATGAAAACCAAGGATAGGGTGTTCTGAGAGCCCCACTCTCCTGGGTCCCCATGTTAATTACCAGCAGATGTACTGGCTGCAGTCCTGGCTCCCAGCTGGATTAAGCAGGCAGTTTGCACACAACAGGAGGAAGTACCTCATTGTTTCTCCCATCAAGCTCTGCCTGCCATAGGGCCTTTGCACATGCTGTTCCTCCTGTCTATAATATTCTTTCCACCCTCTTATTTCCTACTCTTCCTTCAGAACTCAGGCCAATCATCATTTCTTACAGGAAGCCTTCCCTGACTTCCCCACTGAGGTCAGATTCGTGGCGCCCCATAAGTCTCCTTCATGGTGATTCTGAGTTGCTGAAATCAGGGCATGAAAAAAGTGGCTGTATTTTTGTGTCACTGAACTTAAGTTCTACTATAAGTGCCCATTCTGCCAGGAGGCAGGAATGTAATCGAAAGCCATTCAGGGTCCTCCTGCTTTCCCTGGCATTTCGTGTGCTGAGCCTCCCACGCCTCAGTGTTGGCTGCTCCCTGGCATCCTTGAACCGGCTCTTCTAGCACAGGTGCACATCCTTGTTCCTGTCCCATCTCTGCACCCACAGCCCCTACTGCATCATTACCAGCCTGACCTGAGTCCCCTGCTACGACCCATGCTGCTCCCATTTCTTCTGCTCCCATGTGATGCTGGGCACAGGGAAACTTGGGGGACCCCACCAGGTAGGGTGAACAGGGGAGGGGCGGATGCAGATTCTCTCTGTCCTGAAAGTCCCCAAGTGGGTGGGGGTGGGGGAGGAAGGGAAACAGTGACAGGCGTACCTCCTTGGGGGCCTACCAATCCTCAGTGCTTTTTCTGGTCCTTTCACTCTCCTCTCCCCCTCCCTGCCAGGCGCTGAGGCTCTTCCTGGAGTCTGGGGAGAGGGAGAGGTGCCATCTAGCAAAGGTCTGCAGCAACACCTGCAAACATGCTGCTTCTGCCCTGCACTGCTCAAGAACAAACTCTGTTCTGCTGCAGCATCCTGGTGGTAAGAAGAGGGGGCAGGGAGAGAACAAGATATACCAGAGAGGGCAGACTGTGGTGGGCACATGAGGAGGCAGGGTCATTCCGTGGTTACAGTAAGGTGATATTCTGGAGCCAGATGGCCTGGGTTCAAGCCCAGCTCTGCTGCCTGCCTGCTGTGCAAACTTGGGCAAGTTACTTTATCTCTCTGGTCCTCGGTTTCCTGTGGGACACTGACAATGTCCACCTGAGTCAGGATGAACCAAGGTAATGTGCACAAAGTGACTGGCACATAGGAAACATTCAGGAGATAATTGCTGTTCCCTTAAAAACAGCACTTTCCTTCTCCCCACGCCACCCCCATCCCCAGTAAAGCTTATCATTGCTTGGTGAGTTTGTGATTAGAGTCAGTCTCCCCCACCACACTGTGCACTCCAGGAGGGTGGAGCCAAGGCTGCATTGTGGACTGCTTGCTGGTCTGGGGTAACATTGTGTAGGCCCAGTGCTGGCACACTCTGTATGCTGCGGTTCCGGTTTGCATCCCTGATAGCCCTGCACACACCTGACCATGGCCTTGCCCACCTGTCCTGCCCATGGTTCTTCCAGGAAGCCTTCCCTGATACCCCCACTTAGAAAACTCTCCCCCAACCTCAGGGCTCTCCACAGCCCCCATCGAGAGTGTGGCTCCATCTTCCCCGGCAAGAAGTGCAAGTCCCTTGAGGCCGGGAGCTGCACCCAGCTCACCTGTTTCCCGAACTGGGCCCAGCTGAGGGGCTCCAGGTAAGGTTGGTCTCAGTTCTCTTTAGTGTACTTGAGCCCAGAGAAGAAGGCAAAGCAGGCCTTATCCCCATCTTGTGGCTAGAACTGAGACTCAGAGAGGTTAATCAGCTTACTCATATCACACAGCTGCCGAGGGGAGAGGTTGGGACTGGGACTTGGGGGACAGGACACCCAGCCTCTGTTTCCCCTCTTGACCCAGGGAGCTCACACTCTAACTGGGGGAACATAGGATGGGGCAAAGGAATCACTCAGAAGACAATGACAGATAAAAACAAAGTCACCATGAGCTAGTGCAGTCCTGAGACCTCTGGAGATCTTTTGTAAGAATGAGTGAGGAAATCACTGCAGGCCTCAGTGCCAGGATGAGGCAGGGCCAGGATCTCCCAGAGTCCCTGACAGTGACCTGAGGTACTGGCCCACCTGCCCATGGCTAAGGTCAAGGAAACAGGGCACCGCAGCCTTCACCCCGAGCTGGGGCAGCTTCATCATCAGCTGAGTTCCTGAGGACCTGCTATGTGCACATCTCCATCCTCCCACACCCTCCCCAGTTCTCACCATGACAACAATCACGTCTAAGGCCCAGAGAGGGGAAGGGACTCATCCAGAGCACGCAGCCTGGTGCCACAGCCCTTAGATTGGATCTGCAAGGAGCCAGGAGCCCCAGTGGCTCTGTTCTCAACTTCCAGACCATTATCTCAAGGTCCTTATCAAGACCTCCCCACTCTGGGCAACCAGGAGCCAGGATACAAAGTTTTAAGCTAGCCCCTCTCCAGCCGCAAACCCAGGTTGGTTTCTTGGGTTCTTCACCCTGCAACAAGTTGGGCCACCTGCTTTTTTGCAGCTAGACTGAAAGGCAATTGATATGGTTTGTCTCCAGCCAAATCTCATCTGGAACTGTAATCCCCAAGTGTGGAGGGAGGGACCTTGTGGGAGGTGATTGGATAATGGGGACGGTTTCCCCCATGCTGTTCTTGTGATGGTGAGTGAGTGCTCATGAGATCCGATGTTTTAAAAGTTTTTGGCGTTTCCCCTCACTGTTCTCTCTCCTGGGGCCATGAGAAGACGTGCCTTGCTTCCCCTTTGCCTTCTGCCATGATTGCAAGTTTCCTGAGGCCTCCCCAGTCATGCAGACTATGAGTTAATTAAACCTTTTTCCTTTATAAAGTACCCAGTCTCAGGTATTCTTTACAGCTGTGTGAAAATGGACTAATACAGCAACTCACACTGCCCTCTGGCTGGGCTGACCTAGATCAGCAGAAAATAACTCCTTCCAGGAAAAATAACCCAAACGCACCACCAGCTCCCTGTTCTATCCCTCAGGAAGCCACTGAGCCCAGCCGGGGCCCAGGCCCTCAACACTGAAGGAGCTGGGAGGGCAAAGAGGACAAGGACCCCTGGGTGAGGACCATGGCCTGAGATGGAAGCCCCCCTTCCCTGTCTCTCCCATGGCTCTCAAGCTGGCATTTAGTCTCATTTCATCTTCACGGTATCGGGAAGTGGCCATTATTGGCCCCAGTTGTCTGGGAAGGAACCTGAGGCTCCAAGAGGTAAAGTGATTCACCCAAGCTCACACAGCAAGGAAACAGCAAGGACAATGCTGGTTCTGGCTCCAGAGTAGGAGCTGGTTTCATGGCCTGCACTGTGTCTCTGAAGGTCCTGGAAGTCCTGCTCAGGCCCACTTCTTCCAAGAGATGCTGATCCCTGGCCCCATGGGGACTTGGTCTGCTCAAGCAACTGCACCTCTGCTTCTTTCTCCTGCCAACCCCCTAAACTCACTCTGGTAGGCTAGGGTGGTGGCTAAGGGTTCAAGCTCCAGACTCTGACTGCCTGGTGTTGGATCCTAACTCTACTTCTTAGGAACTGATTTGGGCCAGTCATAACCTCAGTTACCTCATCTGTAAAATGGGACTGATAATAATGGCGACTGCTTCCTGGGGTTGTTTTCAGGAGCTTGTAAAGTTGCCTGTGGCATATGGGAAGGGCACAGTGGGTGCTGGCTTCTGCAGGTAGTTTTCTTCTCATGACCGTGAGCTGCCTTTAAAGCAAGGTAACTGGTACCCAGGGACTCCCCAGTCACTTTCCCTTTTCTGCCCCCTTCCAGCTGGGTTGCATCCTCAGTTTCTATCCCAGCCAACCAGAGACTCCTTTTGTTCAAAGAGAATCAGCAGGAACGAGAAGGACCCGGGTCCACATCCCACATTTCCTGGCCGAAGCCAGAGCACTGGACTGGGGCAGGGACACCCGGGTCCTGCTCCCCACTTTGTGATTTATCAGCACCCTGGCATTCAGCAGGTCACTTAATTTCTGAGTTTCAGTTTCTATATCATCTAGCTCTAGCTAGCTAGCTGATTAAAAGCCCTTATTGGTCTCGAGGGGTTGTTATGACCATCAAATAGGAAAATAGACACAAATTGTAAAGTGATGCCCCTATAAATGGAGTTATCATTGTGTGTTTATGTATGGAGAGAATTCCAGATAGCGAATGGATGAGATGTGGGACCTTGGGGAAGGCCCTACCCTCTCTTAGCCTCAGTTTCCCTGTCCGTGCAGCTCATCTAGCTCTAAAACACCAGGCAGTGGATTCCTCCATGAGAAAATGGACAAGCCAACAGGACTTCTGTGTCTGCAACATGATCTCCCCTCTCTCAGGGGACACAAACTCCCTGCCGGCGTGGCTAGTGATTAATAGGCTCTGAGTGGGGCCCCTGACCCCTTGTCAGGGCCATCAAGGTAAGTGCCCATCCACAAGCTGAGGGCTCCATCGATGAATAAATAATAACAGCAGTGAAGTAATGGGATCCGGGGAGGCCGCTTAGGATAATGGAGCAACAGACGCGGTGTTCAAGCCCCAGGGACCGGAGCATCCGGAAGAGCTGCCGGAATAGCGGCAGGAGCCTGGGCGTGTGCACATCCTGGCTGATGTTCGTCTGTGACCGTGACGACAATCAGGCTCTGTCCCAGCCTGGGTGACTTTGCAGCAGTGTGGTTCATACTGAAGTGACGAGCACAGGCTTTGGAGCCACATGGACCTGGTGTCACTTGGCCTGGCTGAGACCCAGTCCCCACATTTGCACACTAGACATGACAATAAGCATTTCTTGGGGCTGAAGATAGAGCAAATAGGAGCCGGTGTGGGTTGTCATGGGCCCCCACTAGTCCCAGTGCTGAATGTCCTGAAAGCAATTCCATTACTTGTCAGCTCATTCAATTTTTAATGCAAACCTGCCCTATGGACCAGGCAGGTCAAGGATGGTGCCCATTTGCCAGATGAGGAAACTGAGGCTCAGAAAGATCCCTCTCTCTTTCCAAAAACACCCTAGCTCTGCCTCTGGCCACTTTTCCCCAACACTGGTGGGCCCTCAGGTGACACTGGTGAGTCAATCCGTGTCCCAGAAGATCTCACAGTCATGAGGTCAGGGCAGTCAAGGCAAGGGGTGGGTCCCCAAAATAGGCTCCCAAATGAAAACGACAACGAAATCTCAATATACATACATTAGAATGGCCCATACACTAGGTTGATGAGGATGTGGGTCAACTGGAACTCTCGCTCATTGCTGGTGACAGCATAAGATGACCCAACCACTTGGGAAAAGGCGCGACAGCTTCTAATAAGTCTAAACATAGGACTGTCCTTTACCCAGCAATTCCACTCCTAGATATTAGCCAAGAGAAAAGAAAACATATGTCTACACAAAGACTTGTACACAAATCGCCAAACCCTAGAAACAACCCAAATGTCCACGCAGGTGAAGGGAGAAATAGATTGCAGTATGCAGTGGGATGCTACGAAACTGCTGACACAGGAAACGACGTGGATCAATCTCAAAAATATGATGTGAAGCAAAAGAACCCAGACACGATAGAGTACATACCGTATGCTTTCATTTCTGTGAAATCCTAGAAATCTAGAGAGTCACTAGTAACAGGACGGAGACCAGAGGTTGCTCTCTGGGTTCACATCGGGTGGAGGCATGACTGCAAAGGGCTGTAATAGAAATGTTCTATATCCTGACTGTGGTGCTGGTTACATGAGTGTACACATTTGTCAAACCCCACAGAACTGTACATTTTTATGGGTGCATTTTGTTGTATTTAAATTTTACTTCAATAAAGTTGATTTAACAGCAGGTCAAAACAAAACACAAGCACCAAAAAGAAAATTGCCAACTAGAGAGTAATCCAAATAGCTGGTACTCCCCCGAGAGCATATGACTCTAAAGAGTCACCAACTGGAAGACCCAGTGCAGACAACCCACTTGGCATGCGGTTGGTGGCTGGCCTGGCGGGAGGGAGACACTTTGCCATCCCTGGGCTGGCTGAGCCGTGGTGCCATAGAGCCTGGGGTCTCTCCCTCCTGGCCCAGTCTCCTGCCTACTCCTCTCCAGGGGCTCTCTTTGAGCTGAAGATCAGCTCAGGGCTGCCAATAGCCTGCATAGCTTCTCCCTGAGAATCCCAAAACGCAGGCCCTGGGCTGGGGTCCTACCTTACCAAGATAGCATGCCAAAGAAAAAGGCTCCTCTTCTCTGAGCAGGCACAGCTCTCCACCACTTGGTGGGCACAGCAAGGACTGGATTTCAGCCCCCACTTGCCCTTCAGTCTAGGCCTTGTGCACAATCCCACCTGCAGGTTTCATACTGAGCCTCCATCCTGGAAACCGCTCTGCTCTGTCTGTCCTTGAGCAAGTCCCTGCTTCTCCCTGGGTCCCATTTTTCCCATTTGTCAAATGGGGCCAAACAGCTGGGAAGATCCAATGAGATAAGAGAAAGAAAGTTGCTTTGAAAAGTAAGATATGCGTGACAAATGTCAGTTTCTTCCTGGCCCACTGGATGAATGGGTGGATGAATGGTTGGTCAGATGGATGGATGTGTAGATGGATGGATGTGTGGATGGAGGGATGGTTGGATGGGTAGATGGATGATGGATGAATGGGTGGTTGGACAGATGGATGGATGGTTAGATAACAAGATAATCTCTGAATTCCAGTTCTATGCTCTCTGCACTTTCTAGAGCAGTGAAAAGCCCGAGATTTGGGGCCCAAACGTTAGTGTCTTCTGACCACCCTTTTGTCCCCCCAGTTATCCCCAACTATGTCACTCCCCAGCTCTGTACCATTTGGACCACCAATGCTATGGATAAACCTCTTCTTCACGCTGATAGGAATGAGTTTGGCATGAGGCTGAAGGACTGAGCCCCTTCCTCCCCCTACCGAGCCCCTCCCTCCATGGGGTGGAGGACCCTAGTTGAGGAGTTCCCCTTTCTAGGCCTTGATCTATAATGAGATAACTGATTGTTCTTGCCTCTTAGTCTCTTTCTCGATAAAGGGATAGACAGAGATGAGACAATTAAAAGACAGGCTCCCAACCACCCTGGAGAGATTCAATGAATATTAACAGACTTCCAGCTGCCGTCTGGCTGAGGCCTTGGGAACAGACAGCTCCAAAAAGGCTTAAGGGGCCCAGCGGGATGACTTAATTTTCAAGAGAACAATGGCCACAGGAGAGGGAGGGTCACTGAGTATCTCCTTCAGGAGGGGCTGCAGTTCTCCAGCCTGCCCAGCCTTCTGCCCTATGCCAGGCTCAGAAGGCAGGGTGGGGAGATTCTGAAGTCAGGTGCATTAGGGTCGTGTCCCAGCTGTGGCCCTGCCCAAGCTGTGTGGCCTCAGGTACATGTGTGAGCCTCTCTGAGCCTCTGTTTCTGCCCGTGGGAGATGGGGTGACAATGAAGCAACCCTCACAGGCGTTTCCCACCTGAGCTCAGGTGAGGTGCTCTGCTGTGTCTGGAGGCAGCTAAGACCAATGGGTCAGTAGAGGCAGAGCCAGTGGGCATGCAAAGGGCTGGGATCTGCATGCTCAGGGTCATCAGGCCCCTTGTTGCCTGGGGGTCTTTCTTTAGAGAGCAGGGGGCAGGGTCAGGGAGGGGGCTGCCCGTCCCATGCACATGCATGCCCCAAATCTCCTCTTCTCTCCACCCACAGCCCCGGCCCCATCGGCTTACTGAGAGCCTGAGTCCAGCCCTGAGGTTCAGCACAGATGACTGAGGCCCAGGAACTCAGGCCAGGGAGTCAGGGCTTGCCTGCAGGCAGCGTAGCACTTGTGCCTTTGTTTCGTGGACTGAGAACCAGAGGGAGAAATGGCTTGCCCAAGGTCCCACAGCTACTGAGTGGCGGAGGGAGGGCACTGGAGCTCACTGAGCTAAACCAAATGTCCTTTGCAACATAGTACTGCTATTGGGGTGGGGAACAGTGGCCAGAAGTGCCCATAGGCAGGCCGTGGACTTCCGGGTGGCAGCAATCAAGCCCAGCCCTAACTCGGCCCCAGCCTAGCTGCACTGGCTCCCCCGCCCAGTGGAATGCTTACTGGGAAGTGCAAAAATAGCTGCACAGTGGAGCCATGGCAGCAAGGTGAAGACGGATGGAGCGCGATGGAGAGCCGGGTGAGCGATGAGCTCATTAGGGAGGTGAGCGACGAGCCCACGCACAGGTGTTTACTTAGTGAGCGGGAGCTTGGGAGGCTGAGGACGGACCTGTGCATCTGTCCCACTCTGGCGCTTGGCTCGAGTTTTAGCCCATGATAGGCTCTAGTGTCACCAAGGACATAGGAGAGGCCTGCTCCAGCCTCACCCACCCTGGCTCTGCCCTGGGCTAGGCCTGCTGGGGCCTCTGTCACTCTGGGAACCATATGGGGAACTTCCCCACAGAGGTCAAGCATCCAGGGCTCATCCCCATGAACTTTTTCATCCTTCGTCACCCCATTCCTCATCTCTGAGGCTCTCAAACTCAGCCAGGGCCTGAAGAGCTGAGGAAGGAGCACTGTTCTGGGAGCCCAGAGTCCCAGATTTCAGGTCCGGTGCCTGGCTTCAGTCAGCACAGCACTTGACGGCTGGCAGAGATCATGCAAACAGGATCTCATCAGAACCAGACCCACACTGCGTTTTAGGCAGGTCTGGGACTGTGATCTCCATTCTAGAGACAAGGAAAGCTGAGACCCAGAAGGCGGAAGTCAGCGTGAGATGGGGCTGGGTACACACCCAGGTCTGTGGGCTTCCAGGCCAGTTCCATTTCCTCATCTGATCTCTGCTGCCATATCGCCTGCCCCTCCTGGGGCCTCAGTTTCCCCATTTACACAAGAGGGTTCCCTAAGGGAGCATCAGCTTCCCTCATCCTTCCTGTCACCAGCTCCTTGCTGACACAGCCCAGGAGAGCACAGGGCTGTCAAGAGGGTAAGGCCCCAGCCACAGCCACGGGCCCAGGATGGGCATGAAGGTGCACACAAAGGCAGGGCTGTGGGGATGCCAGTCAGCCTCCACCTGGGACCCTAGGATCTCCTGGGACTGGCCAAACAGGGGGGCCACACAGGGATGGGCTTGGGAGAGGGCAGCTAAGACCAATGGGTGAGTAGAGGCAGAGCCAGTGGGCAGAGGATCTGGGCTCTCAGCTCACAGAGGAGAGAGGAGGCGCCATCTGCCTCCCAGCTTTAAGCTTTTCTCCTTAGGGAGAGTGAGCACAAAGAGAAACCTCTCCTTTCTTCTCAGGTCTCTCATCTTGACCCTTTCCAGGTCAGGTGGGGACAGCCCGGAGTTTTGAGAGGTGGATGAACACTGGTCTGGCTGTGACAGGTGCTCCATCTGGGGCTGCTGGGGAAGGGGCAAGGCTGCCCTCCCCAAGGTAGGTTCCCTGCAGGACGGCCACCTTGCTGCCGGCAGAGCAGGAGCCTGCCTGGCTGAGAACTACCCTACTCCTGATACATGGTCCCCCTCGTCTTGTCTGTCTTTCAGACCCAAATACACGCAGACCTGGCAACAGTGAGAAACAGGACTGGCTTTCTCCTCATGGGGCCATGAAAGGGGCAGGTCTGGCTCCAGGTCACAGAGCAAGACAGTGGCAGAGGCAGGACCAGGGGATGGCCAGGACCCAGATGCTGCCTGTCCACACAGCATGCGGCAGGGACCTGGAAGGGAGCACCATGGGCTCCGCAGCCAGCTGGGCTTGGGGGCAAATCACAGCTCCTGCTTCCCCAACAGGAGGACACAGGCCAAGCTCCCTGAAGGGCGCTCCTAGAAAACAGTCCTCAGGAAAGTGTGGGAGATCACTAACTAGCACCAGTAAAGTAGTCAGGCCCACGGGGAAAGCCTTTGGAACCATCTGGAGCGATCGGAGTGAGAGAGAGAGATGGGACCACTGTTGTAAGAATAGCAGAAGGAGCCACTCATGTCGGAGAAGCCTCCCCGTGTGGAAACGACCCTTGTGTGGGTAACTCAGGGTCCCTTGGGGGCCCTCTTTCTGGGAAGAGGCTGTATTACCTTCAGTTTTCTGCTGCTGGGTCTCTGTTTCCATGATCTTTGCCATTAGAGAAATTTTACTTTCCATCAGGGACCATCTCATCGTGACCCCCCCACGTGCTAACTTCTCTGAGCCCAGTTTCCTGATGAGGCATGGGGGCCACAGGACACAGGCCTGGAAGCAGTGAGAAGCAGTTTCAAGAGGGAGTGCATCCAGGTGCAGAGATCTGGGACCGAGATCTCTTTCTTTGCCTCCCCCACTTCACCTGGGTACCCCTGTGATGGTTACTATTGAGTGTCAACTTGACTGGATTGAAGGATGCAAAGTATTGTTCCTGGGTGTGTCTGTGAGGGTGTTGCCAAAGGAGATTAACCTTTGAGTCAGTGGACTGGGAAAGGCAGACCCACCCCCAGTCTGGGTGGGCACAATCTAATCAGCTGCCAGAGTGGCCAGAATAAAAGCAGGTAGAAGAACGTGGAAATTCTAGACTGGTTTAGTCTTCCAGCCTACATCTTTCTCCCGTACTGGATGCTTCCTGCCCGCGAACATCAGACTCCAAGTTCTTCAGCTTTGGGACTCTTGGACCTTCGACCACAGACTGAAGGCTGCACTGTTGGCTTCCCTACTTTTGGGGTTTTGGGATTCGGACTGGCTTTCTTGCACCTCAGCTTGCAGATGGCCTATTGTAGGACCTCACCTTGTGATCATGTGAGTCAATACTCCGTAATAAACTCCCCTTCATCTATACATCTATCCTGTTAGCACTGTCCCTTTAGAGAACCCTAACTAATACAACCTACCCATCCTTCAGAAGGTGGCTGAGTCATCACCTCCTCAAGGAAACCTTCCCTGACGTTCCAAGCTAGGGGAGTCCCACATAGTATCTGTCCTCAGAGAATCATGGAATTCTTCCTAGCACTAATCCCAAGGGTAATTTTATATTTATTTGTGTGATCATTTGATTAATGTCTACCTCTCCCCAAAGACTATAATAATCTCCACAAGGGTAGGGTCACAACCATTTTCATTCGCTCCTGCATATTCAGAGCCTTTATGTAGGGTGTGGAGCACGGAAGCTTGATAAGTATCTGTTGTGTACATGAATGAATGAATGAATGAGTGAATGAATGAATAGCACATGGCCAAGAAGGAGAGGATCACTGAGGGCTTTCTGGACTATGGCAGGACTTTGGGAGTCTGGGCTGGCAAGAGTAAGTTTTATGTTGGGTAGAAAAGAGCTCTCCCTAAAGCAGGGGCCAAACCAGTCCGCTAGGGCTGTGTTTACAGCTAGGGTGGAATTGGTGAGATGGGGAGAGATGCCTTGGGGGTGAATTCAGTTTACCCCCCTACATCCTACTCTCAAGGAAATGCATCTATTCTATTCTCCCTGGTCCCCAGACTCTTCCAGATGTAGGCTGCTAGCCCTGGGCCCATGCCTAAAATTAGTAATCTCCCTGGAGTGGCCATGAAGAGGAACTCCTCCATAGAACCAGTCATCCTGTTCACCGGATTGTTGAGGGCCCTTGTAGAAGGCCCACATTGTTGAAGGCCCTCAACAATGTGAGACTCAAAGATCCACACACTTTGGGCTCATTCCCATTGGCCCATCCATAGGCTTTCTCCAGCCTTCCTTGTATCCAGTCATCCAGTCTTGCTCCCTTCTGTGATCTTGACCAATCAGCTAAGCTATTTGTCACTTACCCAGTCTTCTTAGAAAGGAGCTAAGTGATCATTAATAGAATGTTCATAGAAATATGGATGGTAATGGCCATTCTGATGAAGTCTCAGATAGAAATGAGGAATATGTTATTGGAAACTGGAGGAAAAGTGATCCTTGTTATAAAATGGCAAAGAATTTGGTAGTATTGTGTTCCTGTCCTAGTGCTTTGTGGAAGCTAGAACTTCTGAGCAATGAAACAAGACATTCAGTGGAAGAAATCTCTAAACAAAGTTATTGAGGATGTGGCATGGCTTCTCTTGACTGTGGTAAAAACACAAGAAGATATAAATTAATTAAAGATGCAATTTATAGTCAAAAGGGAAGCAGAACTTAAAGATTTGGAAAATTCTTAGCCTGGCCAGGTTGTAAAGAATGTAAAAGTGTGTTTGAGAGATAACACCAACAGTGTGTGGCCAAGTGAAGGTTGGCCAGATGCTATTCATCAAGACAATGGATGAATAATCCCCAAAATATTTTGGCAGTCTTCAAGACTGCCACTCCCTTTACCAGAATGCCCGGGCATCGGGGGCAGAATGGTTTCAAAGCTCTTCTCCCCAAATTCTTGTACAATGCTCCTTGGTCACCCAGCTGTGGCTCAAGAGAGCTCAGGTGTGGCTTGGGCCAACTATCAGGTAGGCACAGATGAGGAACCATGGTGGCATCAACACAGTGCCAACTCCAGGAGTGTGCAGAGTGAACAAGTTGTGGGGACATGGCTACCTCCACCTAGATTTCAAGGGATGCCCTGGAGAACCTCAGGTCCCAGCCCAAGAACTGCCACAGGGGTGGGGCCACCACAGAGATCCTCCACTAGAGTGATGTCCAGTGGACCCACAGGGGCAGAGCTAGAGCTGCCCCTTAGACTACAGGCCAGTAGAGCCACCAGCAGGTAATTCTACCTTGGGAGAACCACATACATGTGATTCCAACCCATTAGGGCTGCAGTGTGGGCTGTGCTTAGCACAGCCATGGGAGCACGGCCACCCAAAGCCACGTGAGCCAACCCCTACCACAGTTTGTCCAGAAGTAGGACAACAAGTCTAAGACATTATTTGCAGGCTTTAAGATTTAATGTTGTTTTCCCTGTTGGGTTTTGGACTTACTTGGGACCAGTTACCTCTTTCTTCTTACTTCTCTTTTTTGTAATGGACATGTCTATCCTATGCCTGTCCCACTGTTGCATTTTGAAAGCACATAAATTGTTTAATTTCACAGGTTCACAGCTGGAAAGCAATTTGCTTCAGGATGGAGGTACCTTAAGTCTCAGCCATATCTGATTTAGATGATATTTAGATAAGACTCTGGACTTTAGACTTCTGAGCTGATGCTGAAATGAGTTATTGTTTGTGGGGCTACTGGGATGGAATGAATGTATTTTGCCTGTGAGAGGGACGTGAATTTTGGGGGAGCAAGGGAGGAATACTATGGTTTAAACGTTTTTGTCCCCCCGCACACAAAATTCATATGTTGAAACCTACCATCCAAGGTGGTGGTATTAAGAAGGGGGACCTTAGGCCGGGCGCGGTGGCTCACACCTGTAATCCCAGGACTTTGGGAGGCCGAGGCAGAAAGATCACGAGGTCAGGAGATTGAGACAATCCTGGCTAACACAGTGAAACCCTGCCTCTACTAAAAATACAAAAAATTAGCCAGGCGTGGTGGCGGGATCCTGTAATCCCAGCTACTCGGGAGGCTGAGGCAGGAGAATGGCATGAACCCAGGAGTTTGCAGTGAGCCAAGATTGCACCACTGCACTCCAGCCTGGGTGACAGAGCAAGACTCTGTCTCAAAAAAAAAAAAAAAAAAAAAAAAGAAGGGGGACCTTTGAGAGGTGATTAGGTCATGAGGGCTTCCCCACCCCTCATAAATGAAATTAGTGCCCTAATAAAAGCTTGAGGGAGCTCATTTACCCCATCTGCCATATGAGGACACAGCAACAGGCGTCATCTTTGAAGCAGAGACCAAGCCCTTGCCACGACACTGATTCTGTTGGCACACTTGATCTTGGACTTCCCAGCCTCCAGAACTGTGAACGATAACTTTCTCTTGTAAATTACCTAGCCTAAGGTATTTTGTTATAGCAGCCTGAACTAAGACAGGCCCCGAGGGCAATAAACACAGGAAGTATTTATTCATTAGTTTTCATCTCCCATTGGTCAAAGGTTGCCTGTGGGCATTAACTGCCCTCTACACACACACACACACACACACACACACACACAAGAGGCATGTGCACACACACATACAGAGACAGAGGGAGACACAAGAGACATGCACGCACACACCTATGCAGAGACGGAGAGAGACATAAGAGACATGTGCACACACACAGAGACAGAGACACGAGAGACATGTGCAGACACACAGAGACAGAGACAGGAGAGACATGTGCACACACACACAGAGACACAGAGAGGCACGAGAGACATGCGTGCACACACACACAGACACGAGAGATGTGCACACACACAGAGACAGAGGAAGACACAAGAGGCATGTGCACACACACAGAGACATAGGGAGACACAAGAGATATGTACACACACACAGAGACATGAGAGATGTGCACACACACAGAGACAGAGACAGGAGAGACATATTCACACACAGAGATGGAGGGAGACATGAGAGACATGTGCACACACACAGAGACAGAGACAGGAGAGACATATGCACACACACACACAGAGACAGAGGGAGACATGAGAGACATGTGCACACACACAGAGACAGAGACAGGAGAGACATATGCACACACACAGAGACAGAGGGAGACATGAGAGACGTGCACACACACACAGGTGTCTGCACACATATTGACACATTTCCGATTTGCACATGCAGAAGTGCCACCTAGATTCCTGCAGATGTCTCACGTCATGACAAGGGGGCCTCATTCGCACCTGGAGTAAGGTGAGTCACTGTCAGGTTGCACCTGAGGGAGGTCTATCAGTCTGTTTTGTGTTGCTATAAAGGAATACCTGAGGCTGGGTAATTTATTTTAAAAAGGAGTTTATTTGGTTTATGGTTCCGCAGGCTGTACAAGAAGCATGGCACCAGCATCTGCATCTAGTGAGGCCTCAGCGAGTTTTTACTTATGGCAGAGGATGAAGAGGAGATGGCATCACATGGCTAGAGGGGGAGCAAGAGAGAGGAAGGAGGTGCCACATTGCTTTTTTAACAACCAGCTCTCGGGTTAACTAATAGAGCAAGAACTCCTTCATTACCGAGGGGAGGGCACCAAGCCATTCATGTGGGATCCACCCCCATGACCCAAACACCTCCCACTAAACCCACCTCCAACATTTGGGGATCACAGTTCAACGTGAGATTTGGAAGGGCCAAGCCTCCAAACTATATCAGGAGGCTACCAGCCTGTGTAGAGCTGGTCAGCCCAGGAGGGAGAGGTATGGCTGAGTGACCTGAGGTGTCTGATAGCATTACCTGCTTCAAGGTGTGCAGGCAGAACTCAAACTGGATGTTTTCAGTACAGGCAAAGGCTGGGCCCAAAGAGTGAACCCATCCATTCCTGGGTCCACCCATCCCTGTGACCATAATACCTCTGTGCAAAGAGGTCCCATGAGTGGTTTAGGGATGGGGGAGGGTAGCCAGGGTCTGAGCAGAGGGTCTGAGCTGGGCCCTGTGGTAGGCATAGGGGGTGTTTCTGAAGTCCCTGGAGGAGGGACCCCCGTCTGATTTGAAAAATGGTCTCGTTCTCCCTGCCTCACCATAACAAAGGTATCCTGGTCAGGAGACACGAGTGCGGCTTGCACATGTCAACTGTGAGGCTGGGACACTCCCAGAAAAGCTTTCCTGCCTGCCACAGCATCCCTGTCCTGCTGGTGTAATTAACCCTGAGCTAATGGGGCGAGGCCTGCAAGGAAGCAGTGTGCCATACCATAAGGTGGGTCTCAGCACTCCTTCCCGGCCCCTCCACATGCTTTCCCTTTCCTCTGCCCCCTGATTCATGGACGCCTCCCAGCCCCAGCCCCACTGAGAGTTCCTGGGCCAGGAGGAGCAACAGCGAGGATCCCAGGGCATCATGGACGTGGCCCAGAAAGCCCCCTGGACCCCCTTCCTCAAATCCAACAAGAGCCATTGATCAGGAGATTCTTTCTTGTTCTGGCCTAAATGTGCTGGTGGTATTCCTAGCCCAGAACCTAGAGACCCTGCTCCTTGCCCTAGGGGTTTCAGGGTATAGGGAGTCTCATCTCAACATTCCTCTTTCCTGACCCTCCTGGGGAAAGAGGGGCTTTGAGGGTAGAGCACGCTCCTGGGGGACCCCTGATAAAAGCCAGCTCTCCCACCACATGGAGAACCAGCCCCACACTCAGCCACAGAGGCTTTGTGGAGCTTGGGCCTTGGAAGTGGGCAGGCCTGGGTATAAATGCTGCTTCTGAGAGGCCTTGAGCAAGTTGCTACACCTCCTAAGTGTGCATTTTCTCACCTGTGAAATGCGGAAAAACTAGGACTAGCTCACAGGGTTGTCATCAGCACGAGCACTGAGGTGTGAACAGCACTTGGCACATAGTACACTCTCAGTAAATGATGGTTCTTATGACGATGATGCCAGGATGGAGATAGTGGACAGGGGCATCCTGCTGTCCAGAGGATGATGTTCAAGGCTGCAGCTGGGAAGAGAGGAGAGCAAGGGCTCACGTGGACGTCCACAGGACCACCAATGTGGGGCCCAGCTCCCCACAGGGCCTCCCAGACAAGCCCAGGCAGCCAACCCTCCACTGCCTGCCCCATCCTGCCCAACCCCACCACCCACCAATATCAGAAGAGACTGGAATCTAGAAAGGAGGGGAGTGTTTTCCCTCCTGGATGTCAAAGATGGGGAGTAGGACAGCAAGAGCCTTGAATTAAATGGGAGCCTGCAGGATTTAAATAAACAGAACTGGCTTTTAGAGAACGGGAGTAAGACTACTTAATAAACAAGTCAGGAAGCTGTGGTTAATGGAGCTCGATCCTCCAGGGTGGGTGTGTTAACAGGGTATCGACAGTTACTGGGGGGAAAACTAGCCGCTTCATGTTCACATCTCCATGAGCTGGGATGCCTGACTGGACATTGTTATCATCCTTTTCATTCATTAGGCGAACAGTATTATTTGTTGAGTACCTGCTGGTACAACTACCTCCCTTCACCAAGTGCCCTGAGGATGCATAGTCAGGGAACTTAGCTGGGTGCCTCTCAGGTCCCTGTTCCCCTGGGAAGGAGGCTCTGACTCAGTGCCTCAGGGGCACAAGTCAAGCAGGTCACATCCTAAAGCATGGGGAACCAAGGACCTGACAAGAGTGGCCTCCTGCAGTGCTAAAGGCATGAAGCCCACCTGAGTGTGAAGAGGGCAGCAAAGGGCCACAGCCCACAGCCAGCTTGGCAGTAGGAGGTGACATGCCCACAGTCCTGCAGCAGGGTCAGCTGAGTTGGGCTGGTCCCCAGGTCCCCAAGGTTCATGGTACAACCATCTCAGGTGAAACTGGCTCATGGCAGCTCATTCTGCCCCACACTTGAGTCCTGCCTCCCTCTTTCTTTCTCTCTGTCTCTCTCTCTGTCCCTACAAGTAGGATGGTGGGTGAGCAAACATCCTCCAAATGCAGGGGAGCCTGGGTCTGTCTGTGTCCCACTCCCCATCCCGCTTTGTAGCCCCTCCAGAACACTACCTCCCCTCATCTCTGGCCAGCTGACATCTTACCATCCCTCCCTGCCAAGGTAAGTCGGTGTCAGATGGTTTAATTCATAGCAATGAACCCACCTACCTGTACAAAAATAATGCCTGGGAGGTACCCTCGGCCTTTATTCACCTCAGTTCTAATTCTATCTTTACTACTGTCTGGCTTGGTGACCTTGGCAAGTCACTTTGTCACTGGGCCTCAGTTTCCCCATCTGGCCCATCATGAGATTGAACTAAGTCACTTCTAAAGTTCTTTCTAGAATTGAGCCTTCCCCACCCAGCACCCCTTAACAACAAGCAGCAGCAACACTTCTCTCCCCTCTCTACAATGTCAGCTCCACCAGAGGACAGGGACTTGTGTCTGTCTTGTTCACTCCAGCATCCTAAGACACAGAACAGTGCCTGGGACATAATTGCCATTCAAGAAATATCTGTCAAGTGAATGGAAGAATCAGCCACAGCTCCTATTTATTAAGGGTGTACTGAGTCCAACACCGGCCTAAACGCTCTGCAGGCATGGCCAGAGGACAAGCTATTCAGGTGGCTGTGCATCACGGTGGGGAGCAGCAGGGCTGGGTGGGTCAAGCTGGGAGCCCAGAGACAGACTGTGAGTGGCCCAGGATCACTCACTCTCTTTAAAATCTGGAAAGCCCTGTAACTGAAGTCCTTCCTAAGTCATTGTCAGATCTTGCTTTTCTCCCTTCAATTTCATTTTTTCTGTTTGATTCTCAGAAAAGGGGGAAAGTACCATTTTATATCAGCTATTTATATACCCCAAAATCTTATTACATTCTTCCCAAGAACGCTGTGACAAAGCCAAAAGGCAAATAACAAACTGGAAAAAAAACATTTTTACCATATATGAAAGACAAAGGGTTAACAGTCTTAATACAAAGAGCACTTCAAACCATTGGGAAAAGATAAACTAGGAATTCACAAATTCAAAGAGCCAATAAACCAGAAGGAAAATTAGAAAAATTGTCAACTTCACTAATAATTCATGACATGCAAACTCAAATAATAGTAAGATGCAACTTAACACGTAGCAAATTAGCAAAGATTCGCTCAATCCAGTGTTGGTTTGTGTGTCGGGAAAAGCGCATCATGATGGTATACTGTGGGTATGAGTGAGAAGTGGCACATCCTTCTCCAGGTGGGGGCGATTGGGCTGTCAAACCTGAGACTCTTTAACACAGGCATACTCTTCAACCCAGTGATCCTACTCCTAAGTATTAATCTGAAGAAATGCCTCAAGGATGTGTATCTAAATGTTAATCAAGTGTTCTTAAGAAGTGCCTGGTTGCCCAGTGATTAAGCTTTAGTCAAATGATTCCAGGTGCCGCCACACAATGGAATACCTTGAGCCATGAAGAATGATGCATACACACCATCACGTCTTTAGACCATCTTTAGACAGACTCAGAAAACTGCTAATAGTGGGGGTCCCTTCAGAGGCAAATGAGGGGTGGAGAGACAGGGATGGGAGGGGAATTCATTTTCCATTCTGTTCTCTTTTGTACTGTTAGACTTATTTATCACATGCATGTATTAACCAGTGAAAATAAAATTAATTACAAATGATATAGAAATCTATTTTTGTCAAAAGATAATAAAGTTTGGATGGCTGTCTATAAAGTGTGAGCCAGAGTTATTGGTGGAGGGAACTCCCACCTGTCTCTACACTTTGGCCCCTCTTCCCACCCTCTCCTCTCCTCCACCTCATAAGCGAGGAGGAGTTTAACTGAGAGTGGTCCAAGCCTAGGATATTTGGGGGCCACCTTCACTAGGGGGCAAGGTCACTGCACTGAACAGCCACTAGTGAAGCACTTCTTCCACCCCTGTCCCAGGCTGCAGAAGGCAGGTCGGTCCTGCCCCAAAGAGGCTGCCGGCTTTGATTTCGTGGGAAAGGGGTAGAAAGCCCCTCAAAGGCTTCAGGCCTGGGCCATATTCTCCATCCTATCCCTTACCAGGGTTCCACATTCATTCATAAATCTACTCATAGAGTAGCAATTGGAATCTCATCCGGCCACTGTTTCTTGTATACAAGTTCCTCGATCAGAATTCCGCACGGGGTTGGGGAAGGGGAGTTGTGATCTGGGAATTTCTGGGTGCTTGGCTCTATCTAGTATCATAACAACCCAGAAACTTCACCCAGAACTCAGAACCATTCTCTCTGGGTAATGGGATATTATAGGATATTTTAATTTTCATGTTTGTGCCAGTCTGCTTTTCCTAATCTTTTCAATATTTAGTAATTCTTAAATTTTTTTTCCAAAGAAAAAGAACGGGAAAATCCCCTCTGGGACAACCTTGCTGAAGACAGGGCCCTGGTCAATGTTTTTCGCAAGATAGACACCTGCCCCACAACTTCCTTTTAATCAGGTCATCGAATTCTCCCAAGAAGTCTTTTGTGGACATCAAATTGCCTCTGTGCTTGGAAGGGATTAGGAAATGCCAGTTTTTATCCCAGGGGATTGGTTTTTGGAAGAACCATGTCTTCTGAAGACCAGAGGGGCTGTGAGAGAGAGTATTCGAGTCAACACGTATTAATGCCTGACATTTGTACAACATCCTGCGATTTACAGAGATCGTCCACATCCATTATCCCCTTTGATCCTCCTACAAACCCTGGGAGAAGGAGACCTTCCTCCTGGGAATGGGAAATAAATTATTAGTAATCCCATTTGACTCACAAGGAAACTGAGGCACAGAGAGGTTAATTGCCCTAGGTGGTAGAGCCCGGCTATAGACACAAGCACTCTGCCTCTGAATCCCACACCCTTGCACTGTATTCTCCCCAAGCTGAGTGAGGTGAGCAAAGTGCCTAACCCTCCTGAACCTCAGTTTTTCCATCTGACAAGTGGGAAAAATAATAGTACCTTCTGCCCTAGGGTTGTTGTTAGAGTTAATTGAGTTAATATGTGTGATGTCTTTTTTTAAAAAAAAACAGATTTAGGGGATACAAGAGCACTTTTGTTATATGAATATATTGCATAGTGATGAAAGCCGGGAATATGTGTCATATCTTAAGACTGCGTCTAGCAGGTAGTAAGTATTCAATAACTGAACGATTATTAAAGGTGGAATCTCCCAGGTGTGTGCCACACCAAGTCCTAGTCTTGCTCACCATGCCGGTCTGCAGCCTGCCTATTTGCTGAGTGCCTCCTCTGCACAGGGCTCTGCAGGGAGAGAGAACTAGACAAGGTAGAGGGACTGCCTATAAGAAGTTCACCCTCTAGCAGGACAGAGGCATTTACACACCCCAGCCCAGTAACTAGGCACAACAAAGGCATTGAGACTGCGGGGCAGAAGGCTTTATTCTTCTTTGGAAGAAGGATTCTGGGAAGGCTTCCTGGAGGAGGTGCTGAGGCACCTGGCTGATGTGATCCTCCAGGATGAGGACTGAGTTCCAGTAATGGAAGGATAGAGGGTGGCCTGACAGATGTGGTCCATTTCTGGCCACAGTAAGGATGTTTTCCCCTTCTCCACCCAGCACAAAATGGGAGGCAAATAATAGCTTGGGAGATGTCGCTTCTTGGAGCCACTTCCCCTGTTGCAAATCAGATAGCCAGGCCAGGTGTAGTGATGTAGGGTCTATGGGGTTGGATAGAGAGGAAAGGAAACATACCAGCAGCCTCTCCCTGCCGTCTCCCGCCACAGCCTTGCCATGCCCAGCAAGCTTTCCAAAGTCAGGCTACCCTGTACAGGTGCCAAAGTCTGTGGACGGAGGCTCTCAACAAAGAGACAGAATGGTGAGCGGGTGGAAGCTGCCTTCCCCTCCCTATGCCACCACACCCCGTTGTTCCCATCCTCACCATGGGCACTCCAGGCCTTCACCCTTCAGAACTGGCTCTCAGGAAAGGCTCCAAAGAGCTGGATGCCACTGAGGGAAAAGTGTCCGCAACCCCTGTGACTCCAGAGGAGTCTGTAGATCCAGGGGAACACGCACACCTACCCTTAGTCAGCCCGAGAACACTGCTTCCCTGTGGAGCCCAGAGGAGCACTCAGTCCTGCTTGCAGCTGTGGGGCCTTGAGCAAGTCAGCGAACCTCTCCAGGGTCCGTGCTCCTCACCTACGGGGGCTGGGAAGGAGCCTGCTTACTCCTGTTGCCCTAGCATAACAGGTACTGCCTGACAGCCTCAAAACTGTTCCGGTTTGGATGATAAAGTGCACAGTCTCGCTAGATTACCTGTGAAGTGGGACTAGTCACACTCTGTATTGGGGAATCCAATGAGATAATCATGGAAATACTTTGCGCTGGCCAACTGTGATACATTCTGTTTTGGAAGGGGTTAAAATAGTATTGGATGTTTTTAAAAAGTCAGTCTTAATTTAATATCTGAAAGAGGCACTTTTGAAATAATGATAACTAGTGTGCTCTCTAATTCTGCTGGTACTTTTTCTGAACAAGAATATTCCATGCAGCCGGGCACTGTGGCTCACACCTGTATTCCAGCACTTTGGGAGGCCGAGGTGGGTGGATCACTTGAGCCGCCCGAGTCCAAGACCGGCTTGACAAACATGGCAAAACCTTGTCTCTACTAAAAAATACAAAAATTAGCTGGGCGTGGTGGCGCATGCCTGTGATCACAGCTACTTAGGATTTGCTTGAACCTGGGAGGCAGAAGCTGCAGTAAGCTGAGATCGTGCCTCTGCACTCCAGCCTGGGCAACAGAGTGAGACTCTGTCTCGAAAAACAAAAAAAAAAAAAAAAAAAAGAAAGAAAGAAAAAGAAAAAAGAATATTCCATGTGTTTAGTTCAACCCTACTTGCAACTCCTTCATACTGTAGGCAAAGTTAGCGGAAGAGCCTTGGGAAAAGCACAGGGGCACACTATACATCTTGGTCTAAGAGAATATGTTGCAACCTCTATTGTATGTTTTACTGTGGCCTTGCAGACAAATTCCAAAACCTGCTAGCTTGTGGAGGGTTCAAAGGCCAGTCCCCTCCCCAGGACTTGCTGCTGGAGCCAGGTTACACCTGTGCAAGAGAGCTGGTTGTTAAAACTTCAGAAATTTCAAGAACCAGTTGATGGTTGGTAGCTGGAAACTGGCCGTGGTGGGAGCATTTACACCACAGAAATTGGCACACATGACAAAGCAGGGCTTCCCCTCCGCCTCCTGGAGATCAGACTGTTAAATATTTAGCCACATGCCACTACTGAACGCCCACAATATTTAGCAATCTGTGACAAGAGACTGAGAAGGAGGTCCCATCTTAATCCCAGGGCTAACATGTGTGCTGCCTCATTTCATTTCCTCTCCCCACTATTTCTTTCCAGCCCTGGACCGGTGAGGCCCAGGAGCTCCCACTTTGCTGTGGGATCGCGAGGGAGGAGACTGCAGTTTGATGTAAAACATGTTTAGCTGCAGGAACTCTCCAGGGTGTAGAGGCCTGAATTAATGGCATCTGGGGTGCCCAGTGTCTAGCGGGGTGCCCTTCCCCCAGCTCTCCTGTCTGCCCAAGTGTCCACACTGCCTGAGATGTACAATGTGTGCCTGCAGGCTCATCTCCTCAAACAAATAAGCCTGGGTGTGGGTGCTTAGGCATTTCTTTCCCAACAGACCTCCTGCCAGGGATGCAAACCCTGGGTAAGGAAACAGCATCCGGCCACAACCCGACCACCGCCCGCCCTGGACCCAGGCGCTAGAGAGGAGGCAGCACTAGATGCCCAGAGCAGGGATCCTGGCTCTGGTCCCATCTTGGCCAGTGCCATGCCCACCACCCTCCCTCCCCAATCCTCTGTCTGCCTTTCTGTAAAACAAGACAAAGGAGAAGGAGGCACTTTTACTTTCTCAACAGTCACCCCGGGAATTCCTCTTGGGGACCACGCTGTATTTATTTGGAGAAATAATATGTTGGTCTGCCTCTTGGGTTGAGGAATGAGACTCCGAGGAACATGTTAATATCACAAAATATGGTCCCTGAGCTGCCTTCTCACAGAGCCTGGGTCCTATTCACAGTGCCCTTTGGTGCGCTGCGCCTGATGCTGGGTCTGAGTTTGTTATTTGGGGGCAGGAGCCTCGTCAAACATAAAATGCTCTACATAATTAGCGGGCAGGAAATGGCAGATCCTGGGGGGATGTGGAGGGCCAGGGGGCAGGCTTGTGAAGAGGAAGCTTGAGAGTCTGACACTTGGTGGAGACAGAGGAGATAAAAACAGACCATCGTCCGGCCGCAGTGGTTCACACCTGTAATCCCAGCACTTTGGGAGGCCGAGATGGGCAGATCATGAGGTCAGGAGATTGAGACCATCCTGGCTAACATGGTGAAACCCCATCTCTACTAAAAATACAAAAAAATTAGCTGGACATGGTGGCGGGCGCCTGTAGTCCCAGCTATTTGGGAGGCTGAGGCAGGAGAATGGCGTGAACCCAGGAGGCGGAGCTTGCAATGAGCCGAGATCACGCCACTGCACTCCAGCCTGGGCGACAGAGAGAGACTCCGTCTCGGAAAACAAACAAACAAACAAACAAACAAACAAAACAACAACAACAAAAAAACCAGACCATCGAACCCAGTGGTGCCAAGTCAGAGAAGGAACTTCAGCTAGGGAAGACAAAGCTCATGGGGGTTTTCTTTTAAATGTCCTATTGAAGGATAACACACAAAGACAAAGCACACAATCACACTGCCACCGTTCAATGGATCGTGGCAAAGTGAAGACGTGCAGAGCAAACTTCCAGGTCAGACACAGGACACTGCGGGATTTGCATGCCTTTCCCAGGAAACTATCTCCCCACAAAGCAACCGCCGCAGAGATTGTCTTTGCCTGCCTCTAACGTCGCAGAAACAGAATCATACAGGTGTGTTATTTCGTGTCTGGCTTCTTTATCTCAGCGTTTTCTCTGTGAGTTTCAGCCATGTTGCTGCACTGTAGCTATAGCTTTTTTATCCTCATCCCATGGAGTATTCCACTGGCTGAGTAGCTCACGGTTTACTTACCTATTCTACCTGGAAGAGAATGTGGGTCATTCCCATTTTTGACAATTATGCACAGTGCTGCTGCTCTGAACGTTCTTTTGTTGAACACATGTACACGCTGCTGCTGGCGCGTGCTCAGGAGTGGAAGGCCTGGCTCATGGTCTGTGTATGTGCAGCTTGCAGGACAGTTTTTCTAAAGTTGCTGTGCAAGTTCACATCCCACCAGCTGTGAGGGAAAGACCCAGCTGCGGTATGCACCAACCCACACTGGGCCTTGTCTGTCTCTCTCATGATCATCTTCCTGGTGGGTCTAAGGAGGTGACTGCTGTCACCTCCATTACATTTCCAGGGAAGTCCATGGAGCTCACAGACACCCTTGGACAAGGGATTCTTTCCGGTAAGTCAAAGGGGTGCCAAGCTAAACCTTCAACTAGGCCATGGAGGGAAGGCAGAGGCCGTTCTCATGGAAGTGGGAGCAGAGGCTGAGAAGGGGTCTGACCTCTGGATTCCAGAGGGGAGTGGCTCCATGAACCCCACCCTCCAACTCCTAAGTTCCCAGGACTCCTGAAATTCCTGCCTCGCACACACAGCTGGCTCTCAGGAAACTGCCTCTTGTCTCTGATTGCCACACCCAGTCTGTGGGGTGCACTCATCTCTCTATCTCCTGCCCCTCCTTGATACCCTCAATCTCTGCAACCCCAGACCCAGGCCCAGAGTAGGAGGCAGTAACGGCCAAGCCCAGTGCCTGCCAGTCATCATGATGATGTGCAGCTGAAACTCCAGCGGGACCTCAGGCTGCATAAATAGAGGCACAGTACCCAGAACAAGGAGGGGACAGACCCACTCTCCACCTCTCAGGCCCAGGACCAGACTCCCCTCTGCCTGAGACGCACACAGACTACCCAAAAGACACCCAAGGTGGAGCGGCCATGACGTCACTCGAGTAGGCAGTACTTCCTGAGCTCATTCTGGGTGCCAGGCCCAGCTCCAGGTGCTAGGGACACCTCTGAACAACAGGGACCAGTACCATGCCTTTGTGGGAGATAGGGCCTAGTGATGCAGAGCTTTAAAACCCCGGAATAAGGTTACTTCTGGAATTACTGAGAACTGTGAAGTAATTGAAGAAGAATGGTGGAAAAGAGCGTGGCTAGAGTGCGAGGGGTGGCACAGCAGCTGGAAGTAGGAAGGTCAGGGGAAATGTCATCTCTCAGGAGGTGACATTGGGAGGGAAATCCAGAGAGGAGGAGCCAGAGAGAAGAGGCTGGGGAAAGCATTCCAGGCAGAAGGAACTACAAGTGCAGAGGCCTGGAGGCAGGAAAAAGCTTGGAATTTTCTGGAATCTGACAGAAGGCTAAAGGGTAGGGGTGTGGGGACAGTGGTGAGGAGTGAGGAGAGAAGGTATTTAGAGGCCTGATTGGGCAGAGCCTCAAAGGCTGCCTTAAGAGGTTAAATTTCATTCTAAGGTCAACAGAAAGCCTCTGAAGGAAACATTTAGAAAAGATGTGGCAGACACCCGGCATCCTGGCCTTGCTATCTCAGCTGCAGCCTGGTAGGCCTCATGCTGGCGGGGTCCATCCTCGGGACACCTGCACACCCTCAGGACGTGTTCAGCCTCAGGGCTTTCTCTGACACCTGGGGAGCCCCTGCGCCTGCACGGGAGCTTAGTCCCCAAATGCAGGGGAATAAGCTCCTGCACAGCCACACTCAAACACAGGACCAAGCCCATGGATAAACGCTCCAGTGCCCATGCTGCTTCAGGGGCAACCCTGGAGGCCTTCTGCATGTTTCTTGAGAGACCCGGCAGAAGCAAGCCCCCCAGCTCATGGCGGCAGCCTCAATAACACACTCTTCCATCAGCTCCTCCTCCTTCCCCTCCTCACGCTCCAGATACTTCCATGATACCTCCCGGGATCACCGCCCAGCTCAGCCACCTGCACCCAAACCGCTGCCATGGTCTCTTCTTGATGGGAGGCCATGGCGCCATCCCACTGATGCTCTTGTTGATGCAGAGTGGGCAGTGGGTAGGAGGGGGAAGGTGGGAAGCCCAGAGGCCGGTCAGGGGCTCCCCTGGTCGTGCAGGAAGAAATGGGGTGGCCTGGATCACAGTAGTGGAGGTGGAGTGGAGGTTGCATCCAGGCTGTGTTTTAAAGACTGTACTTGGTGATGGTTTGGATGTGCTCAACCAACAAGACTTTGAGGATCCAGGACTGTTTTGCTTGAGCAAGTGGAGATTCGGGTAGCACTTACCGCCTGCACCCTCCACCCCAGCCACAGTGTGAAAGATTGTCCTGGAGAAGAGACTCGACCATAGGCAGACAGGCCATAGGCTTCAGCAATGAGGACAGGGGACTGGCAGGTAATGAGTGTCAAGCTTATGCCAAGCACACACTCATCTGCCTATCCCCAGCCTCATGTGGTCCCTGGGTGCTTGACTGCAAGGTGCTTAGTGACACACCAGGTCTCAAAGGCTTAGAATAAGAAGAGAATGAGAAATATCTTGTTAATGCTTTTTTACATTAAATATATTTTGAAATAATATTTTAGATATATTAGATTAAATGCATGTATTATTAGAAATTAATTTCACCTGTTTGTTTCTTTTCACTTCTTTAATTGGGCCCCTGGACAATATAACACTACGCACCTGCCTTACATCTGAGGCCCACATCCTATTTCTATAGGCTGGAGCTGGGCTAGAGGGTGTGCGTCCACTGAACACTCAGGCCACGCGACATCATGTGAGGAGACTGCTCCTGCCCATTTCCAAGCAGCAAGGCTGAAGTTCAGAGAAAGCAAAGCTCCGAAGTCCAAGCTTCTTTCTACACTGCGTGCCCCTTAAGGGGCAGTAGCTTTTTATACTAGAGTTTCTACACTGCCAGGGTAAGGGCTCAAGCACCGGACAGAGGAGGCAAGTTTAGGGTGATTGACCTTGAAGGTCACTTCCAGCCCTGACACTGTGCTTGGGTGTCGGTGGAGGGACGTAAGGACCCTTCTCCCCTCCCCCATCACTCTCCAGGGGCCTCCTGACCCCAGGACGACTAATGGTTCCTCAGCCCCACCTTCCCACCCACTGGGCTCCACCCGCCCTCTTCCCACTGTATCAATCCCCTGAGTAATTTATGAGAGCCATCAAAGTTAATTAATGCCGTAGTTACGAAGCCATCCCAATGTAATTATTGTGTAATTGGATTATAACTTAGGTAATTTCTGACAAAGCACCTAATACTTATGCAAGAAAGCCAGGGATTTTTGCCGAGTGATTGATGGGGGTGTCCGGGCCAGATGGGGAGGTTAGGGGCTGTGTATGAGGTTGGGGAGGCTCCCCGGGAGGAAATCACAGCTTTCAGGCTGAGGCATCCTGTCTGAGCTGGAGGGGAGAAAGGCAGGTGTGTGTGGGCTCCTCACCCTCAGCCTCAGGCCTTCCCTCAAGGCGGGACTGGTTTGGGCCCACCTGCAGCCTCCTTCCTCCCTGTTAGCTCTGCCTCCACCTTCAGGCTAATTTGCAGCAGCTTTAGTCCCACCCAACACCACAGTGACCTGTTTATTCAAACTCAACTGCCAAGTCACCTTCCCCACCCAGCCCTGCTCTGGCCTGTTCCATGAGCGAGGCCCTATTTGGTCTGGCATGACTCTGCCTGCCAGCTGCTCCAGGGCCACAGGTGGTTGGACAGTCAGCGACAGGAAGGAAAGTGGTCAGCCACACGCAGAGAGAAGCAGACACAAGGTGGAAGTGGCTGAGCTGTAATCCTTAAACTCTTGAAGGTGTTACCAGAAAGGGGCCTGATCAGACCCCAAGAGAGGGTTCTTGGATCTCGCACAAGAAAGAATTCTGGGCGGGTCCATACAGTAAACTAAAAGCAAATTTATTAGGAAAGTAAATGAATAAAAGAATGGCTACTCCGTAAGCCCTCAGGGCTACTGGTCACTCATTTTTATGGTTACTTCTTGATTATATGCTAAACAAAGGGTGGATTATTCATGAGTTTTCAGGGAAAGGAGTGGGCAATTCCTCGAACTGAGGGTTTCTCCCTTTCTTAGACCATGTAGGGTAACTTCCTGACATTGCCGTGGCATTTGGAAAATGTCATGGTGCTGGTGGGAGTGTAGCAGTGAGGACAACCAGAGGTCACTCTTGTTGCCATCTTGGTTTTGGTAGGATTTAGCCGGCTTCTTTACTCCAACTTGTTTTATCAGCAAGATCTTTATGACCTGTATCTTATGTTGACCCCCTTTCTCATCCTGTGACTTAGAATGCTAACTTACTGGAGTAAATGTTCTTTACTCCAGCCTGTTTTATCAGCAAGATCTTTACGACTGTATCTTATGTTGACCCCTTTCTCATCCTGTGACTTAGAATGCTAACTCGCTGGGAATGAAGCCCAGCAGGTTTTAGCCTTATTTTACCCAGGCCCTATTCAAGATGGAGTTGCTCTGGTTTAAACGCCTCTGACAAAAAGGTGACCCAGGCCCTCCACTGCCTGGGACCAACAGCCTTCTAGACCCCCATGTGCCCAGCTGCTCTATGCTAAGAGCTTTAAGCACAGCCAGAGCAGCCTTCACAACCTGACTCATGCAGGCCACTGCCAGCCTATATGATCTGACAACACCAAAACTTCTGGGAGCCTCAGTTTCCTTGTTAAAGGGAATAATACTACCATGATGCCTGGTGTGGTTTGGATCTGTGTCCCCACTCAAATCTCATGTCGAAATGTAATCCCCAGTGCTGGAGGTAGGGCCTGGTGGGAGGTGATGGGATCATGGAGGCAGTTTCTCATGAATGGTTTAGCACCATCCTTCTTGGTGTTGTTGTGAGTTCTCATAAGATCTGGTTGTTTAAAAGTGTGTAGCACCTCCTCCCTTGCTCTGTCTTGCTCCTGCTCTCACCAAGTGAGACACCTTACTCCCCTTTTGCCTCCCACCATGATTGGAAAGCTTCCTGAGGCCTCCCCAGAAGCAGAAGCTGCTACGCTTCCTGGACAGCCTGCAGAACCATGTGCCAATTACCTCTTTTCTTTATAAATTACCCAGTCTCAGGTATTTCCTTATAGCAATGCAAGAACGGACTAATATAATGCCTTGTAGAGTTTGTGGTTGTAAGCAACAGAAAGCACCTCTAGCTAACTTAAGCAAAACAAGATCTCCTAAAAGCCTACAGGGAAATTTGGATGATCAACAGATTTCCAAGAAAATGTAAGAAACAGAAACCAGCAAACTAGCAATGACCTTGTGCCAGACAATGTGCATTCACTGCCACCACCCACTACCTAGGAAGTGTCCTAGGAGGATGGAGGGTGGCGGGACACAGAAGGAAGGGCAAGAGCTCCTTGGATGGGCCCCTCTACCAAGGCCATAGCTTCCACTGTGCGGCCGCTCCTACAGCTTTTCTCTACAGAGGTATGGCCATGCCTTCCCTTTGCCCCTCATATTGGGGTGGTGAGAGCTCCCACTGTTAGCCTCAGGGTACTGTATCACCCTTGATGGTTTTCCTTAGCCCTGCTCATACACTAATTCACTGTCCTCATCGAATTCTCCTCCAATAGCCCCTAGGAGTGTGCCACATGTTTCCTGCTGGAACCCCAGCACACAAAGGCTCCTACCAATGCTGTGATATCAACTCTACCCACTTCCGTCCATCCCAGCTTCACCTCCTGGGTATCCAAAGTCCTGGGAGGGTGTCTGATACCGGCTCACCTCCTGACTGTCCCTAGGGTGGGAAGAGGAAAGATCTGCCCCCGCTTAGTGTCTGACAATGAATACCTGGAATTGCCCTTCTCCCAAGGACTTGACATAATAAGGATGGGTTGGTGTCCTAGAGGGCCACCAGGAAGGGGGTTAGATGTCGAGCATTAAAACCTGCTCCTTTGTATTCTTTGCAATGGTAAACTAGTGTGTAGAAAATGCTTAGCCAGTGCCTGGTACACAGTCCGTGATCCCAGTAAATGATAGCTGCTGTTATTTGGCTTGTTCAGGTGGGATCCTGAACACAGTTTACCTTGATATCCTTAGATAAACTTTGTCCCTTGTGGCAGCCTAAGCAAGCCTCTGTCCCTTGCCACCCTGAGGCCCTGGCAGGCTCACTTTACAGCCTCTTCTCACCACATGTCATTGGCCCAGCACATGTGAGGAAGACAAGAGGCCTGTCTGTGTGCAGTATCCTCCCTTGTCTGGGTGTGGGCCACTTCTCAAGATGTTCTCCCATTTCACAAGCATTGATTGAGTGACTTCTGTGTACCAGGCTCTGTCCTGGGCACTAGGATAGGGCAGAGAGCAGGACTAACAGAGCTCCAGCCTGCAGACCAACAGACACTGGACATGTGGTCAGAGGAGGATGCATGACTTGGGAGGATGTCTGCCCTGTGACCTGAGGGAAGACTAAGAATTCAGGGCATGTCTGATGGCCCAAGTCATCCCGCTCTGAAGGTGTGTATTTCTCCAGCATTTCCTTTCTACTGTGTGCCCATCCTGTGCACACGGATGGGGCCAAAAAGTGTCCCAAACTCTGTTCCCAGCTGCTCATAATGGAGCCAGCTGAAGCCTGCTGACAGTCAGGGAGGGAGAAGCTAAGAGGATAGAACATGTCTGTGGGCTTCCTGGAGGAGGCTGAGGTTTGAAAGGTGATGAGAAGGGATTGGGGCAAAAACATTGCACTTGGTGCTGCCTGAGCCAACAGCCATTCCCTGTGACCGGGGGAATTCCCTGTGGGTTCTAGGAGCAAGACCTGGAAGGACTCTGGGGTGCTGGCCCCAGCAAGGGGCTGTCAGAGGCTGGGCACAGGCTTGACCAATACTGCCTGTACCACAGGCTGGAGTCCAGTAGACACTGCCTGGAACATGCCATGCCAAAGTTTGATTCGTGTTCTCTCTGAGTGCAGCACAGACCTAATCTTTGTCACGTGTGCATCTGCCGTGAATGTATGTTAGCTCCAGCCAGGCTTGTAAAACCAGAAAATTTCTAGGTTTCACTTTCAGTCCAGTCTTTAGCATGTTTTCTGATAGGTTCAAGTTATTTTCTCTTGCTAAAAATAATGTGCTTGGAAGCTTTTCTATTTAGGGCAGAGCCTCCAATGTGTAGTGTTTATGCCTGTTATATTTAGCTAAGGCATGTCAGGATTTGAGGCGACATGACATGTTCCCTCAAGGCAGAGCCTGAGGCAGGGATTCGAGGCACAAGATTTTCTGAAGGAGCAGCTTCTTCAGTAAAGCCCTCATGGGAGGGAGGTTGGGGAGCAGGATAGGAAGGGAAGGGAAGGTCTTAGGGAAGGCCTGGCCTTGACCCGACACACTGAGAGCCTTTAGAGAGTAAATCATGGCACAGTGAAGTTGTTCTGTTTACGGAAGGGGCCAAGTAGGCTGACAGCAGGAGAGACTGTCACCTTCGGCTGTTTGTGGGCAGCAGCTCTGGCCCCCAGGGAAGTCGCTGGAGTTGTAAGCGCTGGTCACCCAGCAGCAGCTGGGGAACGGGCCCATCTTCAGGCAAAGGGAGCCCTGGGTGAGGCCCAACAGCACCTTCTGCAGCATCTTCTCACCACACTGAGCCACTTTTATTATTTTCTTCCCATACACCTGAAAGATTGTATCAGTCTCTGCCTCTGCAGCTTTCCCCCAAAACAATTCCAGCCTCTATCTAGCCTGGAGCCGCACAGAGCAAAAGCATACAAAGCATGTGGAGAGAGAACGATGAATAGAAAATATGAGTGCACAGGACTGCTCCCTGAGTGCCCCCCAAGTACCTGACTCTATTGGCTTGACGTCCCTCCCTCCGCTGAGGGGCTGGTGGGGATGACCAGAGGGCCAGGGGGCAGAACTAGGCCTGGGGGCTCAGCCTAACTCAGTGACCACAGGATTCAGAGCAGGCCACCTCCCATCACTGGGGCTCACTTCCCTCCCTCAGAGAGTGGGTAAAAATTTCCCCAGCCCTGCCAGGAGGGGCCTGTGGGGTAATGGAGGAAGCAAAGACGCAGAGAGGAGGTGTGACTGGCCCATCCTCCACTGCAAGGAGGTGGGAGGAGAGGACAGGGCAGGCCCAGCCTCAGCCTGACCCGAGTCCTCCACAGGTGGCAGGCAGGCAGCCCCCCTGCAGCCCTGAGACTCCCTAAGGAGTCAGATAAAGTCCATAATAGGTGCTGAGGGCCTGTTGCCTTCTGGCTGGGCCTTGGCCCTGGAGCCACACCTGGTGCACTCTCCGCATCGGGCCACTCCTCTGGTCCTGCAGGGGCTGGGGAGGCAGGGATGCTGGGAACACCCTAGACAGCCCCAGCCACAGCATCACCCACAGCTGCATTCTCCCTCTGTGTGTAGGCAATGCTAAGCCCAGCCCCGGGCAGGCAGAGATGACCCAAAGGGATAGAAGGGCAGGCCTGAGGCTGGGGGTGGGGGGGCAGGCCCACCCATATTCCTGTGCGCTGCAGTGTGTGAGACGCTGCACTGGCTGCAGAGTGACAGGGAAGAATGTCACATCTCATGGGGCCCTCACAGAGTCCTAAGTTTAATTAGGGAATAAAAATACCTATTACTCTCAGTATCTGTACAGCTCTGTACAGTTTGCCAAGATCTTTCGTGCATGCACACACAATCCTTGAACATCATTTGTGCAACATTTGGTATCTTTCAACACCATTCCAATGGAGGCCTCATCCCCATTTCACAGATGAGGGAAAGTGAGGTCTGGAGCTCCAAGGTCACCCCGTTAATAAAGAGCACAGCCCAGACTCAGAATCAGGCCTTCAGACATTAAATTCCCATGCTTTCTGCTGAGCCATACTGAAAGAGGAATTAATGAGGCTGATGTCTTTAATATCATAACAATATCATAAATAACTTCAGGGGCCCTGGGCTTTGCTTTTTAATAATTGTTTTAGCAAAGTCAGAGGCATATAGAACATGCTGTTTTGCAGCCTGCTTTTTTTTTCTTCCTTAACAACATCTTGTGAACATTTCCCCCATGTCGTTAAATATTCTTTTACTGGGCCATCATTTTTAATGGCTGCATGGTATTCCATCACATGGATGCCCCATAATTTATTTAACCAATCTCTGTGTTGGACCTTTAAGCTATTTCCAGTTTTTTGCCCTCATAAACAAGGCTGTGATGAGCATCCTTGTGCATACATCTTTGCACCCATTTCAAATTGCATCCTGAGGGTCAAAAGGATGCATTCTTTTTAAAAATTATGCATTATTTTGATGTCTATTACCACATTTCCTGAGGTTGTTCATTTTCCCTTGTCCTCAAAGTGGTAAAAAAAAAATTTAAATTTTGAAATACTCAAAATGTTAAAAATTGCATCATTGTCCCCAATCAGTCAGGTAATCAGTTGTGTGACTTTGCCAGGTCACCTGGCCTCTCTGATCCTCCGTAAATTCATGTATCAAATGAGGGCCGGGCAAGCGGGTCCCTAAATCTCCTTCTGCTCATAGAGCTCCAGGAGAGCCCCAGACTGCTCAGGTTACAGCACTCAGAGGACAGAGAAAGTGCTGAGGGTTTCCTGCGAGGAAGAGGGGCTTGTACTACCACTGGAAGATACATAAGGATTAGGAATGGGCATAGAGGGAAAAGTGAGTCTGGGTGGAGTCCTCACAACCTCTGCTCTGCCGAGCTTAGAGATGGGCCTCTTGGTTAGCCAGGGCTGCCAGATGTCTGCTCTAGTGTCTTCCTGGTCCCAGTAATTTAGCACAGGGGCAGGAGAAGTGTTAGGGACATTTGTACGTCACACACTGTTGTCTGGAACAACATAAGGACCTCTACTGGCTTCCCTTGCTGCCCTTTAAGGGAGTATAACACCATCATTGGGAGCACATAATTGGCTCCCACGAATAAGGATCCTGTCCCCACATGGGGGGGCAGAACCAGGTATCACCAGGTGTGATTTTCTGGTTCTGATAAGTGGGATTTTGGCCAGGTGATACCACCTCATTATTCCTCAGTTTCCAAGCTGAAGAGCAGAAGCAGTGATACCGACCACATTCATTCATGGACCCACTCATTGGTGGACCAAATGAGTACCTCCTGTGGTAGGGCACTGTGCTAAACACCGGGCACTCCTTCCACCTGCACAGAGACAGTGAGCTGGCATGGAGCTTACCCTCTGAGGGAGGCAGACGTTAAAGAAACCATTACTAAATAGATACATACATGCAAACAGATTTCCACAGGGCTCTGAGGAAGCACGAGAGCTATCGGAATGTGAGAGGGGCAGTGGGAAATAATCTGGCCTGTAGAGAGGGATCGGGAAAAGTGTCCAAGAAAAAAATGACATTTACAATGAGAGATAAAAGATAGAGTGGAGGAATGAAGTGTCGGGAAATGGGAATAGCATGGGAAGTGCACAGTGGCAGGAGGAAGGATGAGGCCATTGGGAGCCTCCAATGGCAGAGTAGCTGGAGCCTGTGCCACTGGGAGGGTGAGCCCCGAGGAATGGAGAGTCTGGCAGGGGCCCCTCCAGGCAAGGCCTCCACCTGAGTCTGGGAAGGTAGTCCTGGAGGGCTGCCAGCAGGGAAGGGTGCCCCAGCCAGTGGTGCTCAGGGTAGGGAAGGGGCAAGAAGAAATAGACGCAGAGGAATGGAAGGCAGGGACTGAACTCTGTGGCACTCACCTGCTGGGGTGGGCAACCAGGGTTGGGTTACCACAGGTGACAAGTGTGGAGGCTTCTCCTTCCTGAAAGCCACAGGAGCTGGGGACCAGGGAGGCTGCGGAGGAGAAGGTCAGCCTTTGATTTTCTCATCATTCAGCTTGTGGCAGGGGCGGGAGATGGTGGCAGTGGTGACATGTTGGCCTGTCATACCACCACCTGTTGCCTAGAGACCTTTCTTGTAGAATAAGACTTCACCCCTGACCTTGGCCAGATAGTGCACATGCAGAAACACACACACACACACTCACACACACAAAGGGCAGCTTTGGGAAAATTGGCACTGGAGGCCAGAGGACTTTCCAGCCAGCCCAAGCAGAAAAAGATAACCTCCACCCCACCTGCCAAGTTCTGACCTGAGGGGGACACTTAGGTGCAGAGCAGGAGCCTGGACAACGTGCCGGACCCCAAGCTGCTACTTCCACCAACGTCCTCAACTCTCACCATGCTGGGATGATTAGGCACCCCAATGTGGCAGGAGGGGAAACTGAGGCTGGGGAGTGCAGCTTACCCATGGTCATGTAGCTAGCAGCTGGAGAAGGTGGCTTCAACTCAAACTTGTCAGCCGCCCCGCCCAGTGCTCCTTAGGTTAAGCCCAGGTGCTGGTGGGATACACAAGAAAAGCTTAGACTCACACAAGAGGGGTGAAAGCAGGCAGCCTGGTCTGGAGCTAAAAATACTGGACTTGGAATTGACAGAGCTGCCCTCCCCTCCCCAGTGATTCACTCGCTGACCTCGGTTAATCAGACACAGCAGCTCTCTGCCTCAGTTTACCCATTTGGATGTCAAATGTCACACTCACAAAGAGGGGTGAGGACCATGGAGAAGTGTGTTTCGGAGGAAAACAAAAGTGTGGTACAAGCCACGAATGGTGTCGTTGGCCTCGTTATTAATGTCATTAACAATAATACCAGTAATAAATCGCCAGGCTGCTGAAAAGTGCGCTAAGTAGAGGGGTGACGACTGATTTCCCTCACACTTGTCTGGCACTCTGGGCTCCTTATGGCTTCCTCCCATCCATCATCCCTGCAGTCATCCTGAGGCCCACCCATCAGGGCGGCCAGGCAGGGACTGCGGGAGGCGAGGTCTCCCGAGATCAGAACAGATGGGGACCTGAGGCCGGGGAGCAGAGGACTCACCAGGGTCCCCCAGCCAGGGGAAGAGGGACTGGGACGTGGGCCCAACCTGCAGATTCTGATGCAGCTCCTCCAGCTCCCCCTCCACCCACCCACCTCCCACTGCACCCCAGAAGAATTGGCACCTTCGGCAAAGCAGTGGAGCGCCTGCAGCGAGGCCTCAGGCCTCAGAGCAGAGCAGCAGGTGAGGAGGCAGGCGAGGCCCTTCACAAAGGCTTCGAGAAGGGGCTTCATCTCTCGGCTCTCTTTTTCCCACCTGCTTCTCCTTCCCCACGTGGAGGAGGCCCTGAGCTTGGTGGGAAGATGTAGAGAAATGACAGCCGGCCTCCCTCATGCATTCCTCAGAGTCTTCTTATGGCTCTGCCTCAATTTCCCCACCTTGGCAATGGGTCCAGGGACCTTGCTACCTAAGGGAAGGAACAACCATCAAAGGAATCCCAGACTGACATTGAATGGGACACTGGAGGGAAGTGAAGGCTGCCCACGGTCCCTCCTGTCTCAGGGAGGCTGCAGTCCTGGGTGGGAGGGGCTTTGTCCGGCTCCTCTGGTAAGTGGCCTCCTGGGGGGCCACTAGGTGCTTCAGGCTCATGTGTCCCCCTGCTCTGGAAAAGGAGGTTTGAACAGAGAAGCTCTCATCCCCACCTAGGACTTCTCCCTCATATGGGCCACCTTCCTCCACTCAGTCTTATTTCCCCCTTCCCTCCCCTCTCTCCCCATTTCTGAGTTTAGACTTTGTGGGTACCCCTCTCTGAATCCAGCACCCCCACATACATACGTAGACACACAAGTTTTTCTCCCACACACTGCCCCTTTTGGAGGCCTTCAGTGGTTTCCCAGGGCCCTAAGGACAAAAGCCTAAACTCCCAGACCTATGTTCAAGACCTCTGTGATCAGTGATCATGCCCCAACCACTAACTGCTGCTGCCCTGCGGAATCCAGCCCTCTAGTCAAGAGGGAACACCTGCTCTTCTCTAAGTACCTGTTTCCCCACCTCCACCCCTTGCCCTGCAGTCCCCTTCCTAGAAGCCCCTCCCTCCACCTCTGTGGACTCAAGTCTTTCCCAAGCCCTTCAAAGGCCACATCCTCCAGGCTCGCTGGTTCTCCACACAGAGAGGCCATCCCTACACCATGAGCCCCCAAGGCTCTGTTCCTCCTCTCTGGTGGCACCTCCATATTCAACCAGAGTTCTGCCGAATGTGTCTGCTACTCCCCCTCCACACACACACACCCCCTAGGCCCTTCAGAGAAGAAATCTTATCCAGCCCAGGGAGTGTCATTCAGCAACTCACATACCAAAGGGATTCGACAACTCTCTGTTGCATCAAAATTGCATTAAACCATCCCAAACCCAGAAATGCCACTCCTGGATATACACCCAACGGAAATGCATGCATATGGTCTTCAACATATATGTACTAGAATGTTCAGAGCAACAGTATGCATAATAGCTAAAAACTGGAAATAAGTCCTGTCAATAGACATGAGAGTGAATAAATTGTGGAATACTATGCAGCAGTGAAAATGAGCTGCTGCTGCCCACATCACACATGAGTCGCACAGACAGTGTTGAAGGAAAGAAAGAGACATAGGAGAGAACATACCACAGTTTATGATCCCAATTATAGAGAGTTCTAAATCAGACTAAACTAACGTAAGGTGATAGAAGTCAGAATAGTGGCTTATTTTATGGGGAGGGAAACATCAGGGATATGCAGGCGGGAAACCTGGGGTGCTGGAAATCTGCAATTTCTTCAGTAGGGTGGTCGTTTTAAAACACAGGATTGAGTGCCCCTGCATGATATCACACAAATCACCTGACCTCTGAAGTTTTCATTTTTCCCAATGTAAAAGGGCCAGAATGCCCACACCCAACTTCTTCCAGCTATCCGAAGACTATGTGAGAATGCACTTGAGGGCCGGGAAGATAGAGTGTCCCAAAGCCTGAAAAGTTTGCGGGAAAACCGCCACCTTTCTCCATAGCTGCAATGGCTCCCAACATACAAACCAGTTTACCTTGACATTGTTCGGGGTAGGCAGCTAGTGCAGCTTTGTCTGGCCTCACATGGGCAGATATTTGCCTGGAAAATGACCTAGTGGCCTGGGGTACTAGGTACAGCTGCTCCTGCTCTCTGACTTCAGTGGTATACTGAAAATTGTTTAACGACTGGCATGGTGGTGGGGGTGGGGAGTGAAAATGCCCTGGTTTGTAGTGTTTGCCAGTTCCCATGGTGTAAATATTCTCACTGTGGATAATTTCAAGCTACTAAAGTGATGTTCCTGAGCATGTTGTGGGGAAGAGATGTGCATAACTGGACCTTGTGAACCGGTGTAAGGCAGCTCCAATATACCACTGGGTTAATCCTCCTAAAGCACAGCTTCCTGGGTCCAGTGTTGGAGGCAGGAGCCAGGGGTCTGAGGATGTGAGCCATGCAGAAGGCTTGGTCTATGAGAGGGTCCTCCTTGGCATTCCCCTTTCAGAAAGGCCACTTCTTTCTGCCAAATCGTATTCCAATCTGGGTCCAGCCTTCTTCCCTCTTACTGCAGCCTCACTCCAATCCCTCTCCAACCCCCGTAAGTAATCTCTCACCAAAGTCCTTTGGCTCCTCTGAAGCTCTCACATCCCTCCTCTCCTCATCCGCCTTCACAGTCCCAGTCCCTCCCACGCCATCTTCCATCTGACCTGCCCATGCAGCCTCTGCTCTGCCCCCGTCTCCTGCTCCCCAGCAGCCTCTCTTTTACAGTAAAGTCATAGTGATCTTTATAAAACAGACTTCATTGTAGCATGCCCTCCCTTGAAAACACCTCGTGGCTTCCCACTGTCTACGCAAGGGCCAAAAGCTTGTCAGCCTGGCATTTTTGATGGTCCTAGCTCAGGCATTCCCTACCCCTGGAGTGTCCACACACTCTTCTACAACCCTGTGTAAACAGTCCCTGTATTAAAGGACTCCTCAAAGCCTGTCTGTTTTCTGCTGGGATCCTGACAGACGTGAAGAGGAAGACCTATTTACCCACCGGATCTATCCCACATGGAACAGGCTGCTTCAAGAGGAGTGAGCTCCCTGTTTCTAGAGCTGATCAAGCAGAGGCTTGTCTGACATGTTGTTGGAGAGATTTCAGCATTAATTGGGGCCTCAGTTAGAAGACCTTTATGGTCCCCAGCCACCTGAGAGCCCCTGCTCTTGTGCCTGCCTCACCAAAAAGCATCTGGCCCCAGTGCCTCTGCGGCTGTGCTTTGATGACTCATCACAGTCAGCAGTCATCACCCTGGGCCAGGTCCTGTCACAGCCTCTTACCATCAGCTTCGGGCTTACACCCCAGGCACCGAGAAACACAGGGTAGAAGGGATTCTTCCCTTCCCCACTTTGCCTCCTCCTTTACTTCCAATCCAGCAGCAGATAAGGTGGTAGAGGGGATACTGGGGGAGAGAAAAAGTGGAGAGGAGAACAGCCCCCAAGTAAGGACAGGAGACCCAGGATGGAGAATGTTATTTTAAAGATGGGGAAACTGAGTCCCAGAGTGACAGCACATGCCCCACAATTCTACAGGAACATTGGTGCTGCCCTTTCCTGGCGCCAGCCAAAGACCCCATCCTCTCCCCGCTGCTTCGCTGGTGTCATTGTGGCACTGTGTTTGGGGGATAATAATACGTCACTCCCGCTTATGCATCAGAGGTGAAAGTAAACACAAGGAATCTAAACTGTAGTTTCTCCCCCTACCCTTTCTCCCCAAGTGACGAGGCTTTTGAGCAATGGAGAGAGGCAGTCCCCCAGTCCTGAAACACAGGTTTGAGCTCAGCCCCGCCATTCCAGCTGTGTGCTCCTGAGAAAGTCACTCAAATTCTGCCCCCTGAGCTTTCTCAGCTGTAAGAAGATGCTTACAATGTCGAAGATGATATATTTGAATATATTTGAACGCACCTTGCACAGTGCGTGGCTCTTGGTAGATGCTCACCCATGGCTATTTCCTTTCATGTTAATCAACTTTATTGAAGTATAATCTACATCTAAGCAAGGGCATCCATTTTAAGTGGGCAGCTCATGAGTCTAACAAAGGTCAAAATCACAGCCAAGAGGTAAAATGTTTCCCTCAGCCCCCAAATTTCCTCCTGCCTTTTTGAAATCCTCCTGACTTTGGACACAGGTGACCACTGATCTGCTTTAGATTTATTGTTGCCTATTCTAGAATTTCATATAAATGGAATCTAACATGTGTACCTTTTGGGGTTTGGCTTCTTTCAGTCAGCATAATGATTTTTTAGATTTATCTGTGTTGTCATATATATATCAATCCACTCCTTTTCATTGCTGAGTAGTATTCCATTATATGAATATATAGAATGAACCTTACCCATTTTATTATTTCTAGTTTCAGTGACTAGAAATAAAGCTGATGTAAAAATTCATATGCAGGTCTTTTCATGAACATGTTTTCATTTTTCTTGGATAAATATTTAGGAGTAGGATTGTTGGATCATATGACAAGTTATTTAACATTATTTTAAAAAGCTGTATCTGCTTTCTAAAGTATTTGTACTATTTTGCATCCCTACTAGCAATATGAGAATTCCAGTTACTCTGCATCCTCTCCAGCTTTTGTTGTTTTAAAATTAGCTGTTTTAATAAGTGTGTAGTGGGATTTCACTGCAGTTTAATTTTTCATTTCCCTGGTAACGAATGATGTTAAACATCTTTTACTTATGTATTTGCCATCTGTGTCCCTTCTTTAGTGAACGTCCAAATATTTTGCCGATTTTAAAAACCGTTGTTTTTTTTCTAATTATTGAGTTGTGAAGTTTCTTTATATATTTTAAATGCAAGTTCTTTATCATTTACAGATGTTTTCTCCAAATCTACAGCCATCTTTTCACTTTCTTACTAGTCTTTCCAAGATGAGAAGTTTAAAATTTCATGAATTCCAATTTAATCTAAATGTTCTCTTATTGTTTGTGCTTTCTGTGTCTAATCTAATAAATCTTTGCCTAACTCAAGGTCATAAAGATTTTCTCCTATATTATCTTCTAGTAATTTTGTAGTTTTACATATTGCATTTAGGTCTATGATCCATTTGGAATTAATTTCTGTGTATGGTGTGAGGTAGGAGTCAGCATTTCAATTTTGCTTATGGATGACCAATTGTTCCAGCATAATTTATTGAAAAGATGATTTTTCTCCATTGAATCACCTGGCACTTTTGTCAAAAATTAATTGGCCACATATGTGTGGGTCTAATACTGGTCTCTATTTTTTTCATCTACCTATTTGTCATGATTATGGTAATTATTTGGCAAGTTTGAAAATGGTAGTATGAGTTGTCCAACTTTGTTCTTTTTAAAAATACTTTTGGCTATTTCAAGTTCTTTTATTTCCATATACATTTTGGAATCACTCTGTCAATATTTATAAGAAAGTATGCTGGAATTTTTATTAGGATTACATGAAACCTATAAATAATATGGGAAAAATTAACTGCTTAACCATATTCAGTCTTCTGATCTATAAACAATATTTTATATCTCTCCATTTATTTAGATCTTCTTTGATTTCTCTCATCAATTTTGTAGTTTTTAGCACACAAAGCTTACACATATTTTGTTGGATTGATCCCCAAGCATTTCACATTTTCATGCTATTGTAAATGGATTTTTTAAAATTACAATTTCTAATTGTTCATTGCTAGTACACAGAAATACAATTAAATTTTGTATATTACCCTTTTTTCCTGAAACCTTGCTAAATTCGTATGTTCTAGTAGTTTTTTGGTACATTCTGTTGGGATTTTATATGTAGACAATTATGTCATCTGCAAATAAAGACAGTTCTTTACGTTCCTTTCCAATCTGGGTACTTTTAGTCCTTTTTCTTGCCATATTGCACTGGCAAGTCTTCCAATACAATGTTAAATAGGAATCGTGTAAGTGGACATTCTTGTCTTGTCCTGATCTTATGGGGAAAGCATCAGTTTCTCATTATTAATTATATTACATCCTTATCAGGTTGAAGAAATTCTCTTCTATTCCTAGGTTGCTAAGAATATTTGTCATGGATGAGTGGTAAATTTTGTCAAATGCTTTTTCTGTATCTACTGAAATTATCGATGGTTTTTCTAGTTTAATCTCTTGATATGGTGAATTACATAGATTGATTTTTCAAATGGTGAACCAAACTTGCATTTCTGGGATAAGCCCCACTTGCCTATGATGTATTAACTGTTTAATAGAATTTAAAATTCAACTGGCTAAAATTTTGTAAAGAATTTTTGAATCTATGTTCTTGAAGGGTATTAGTCTAAATTTTTCTTATACTTTAACACGTTTATCTGTTATCTGTTTTGGTGTCAGGGTACTACTTTCCTCATAAAATGAGTTGAGAATGTTCCCATATCTGTATCAAGTATTTTTTATTGAATGCTGGGCATTGTTAATTTCATGTTGTAGAGTGCTAATCTTATTGTAGTTTTTAAAAAGTGTTGGACTTTGTTTTAACATGCAGTTAGGTTACTTACAGATCCTCTACTTACAGAGGACTTTTAATCCTCTAAAGTCTTGTTAAATTCACTCAAGATGAGTTTAGAGTACGCTGCCCCTTGAACTTGTTGAGGCCTATTACTAAGGCATCACCCTCCTGGGGACTCTCCATTCTGACTGGTCAGAACTTGAAGGTCTTCCATGCCTATGTAAATTTGGGGAAACGCTCAGTTTACAGCTCCCTGGTCACTGTTTGCTAGGCTTGTGGAGTTTTACCCTAAATAGTCATGTCTTAAGACTTGGCAACAGAATCCGGGGAATTCCTATGGAGATTTCCAAAGTCTTTTGTCTGCATAGCTTCCTTGTATCCAGTTCTCTGCTCCACAAATTCCAGCTGCCTCAGCCTGATCCAATGCCAATCCATCCCCTCAAATAAGAGAGTTCACTGAGCTCTCCTTGGGCCCCTCCTCCTTACGGTGCAGTCGGAATAGTGCCTTCAGGCAGGGGTGAACATAGGGTCCACCTAATTTGTTTTCTTCATCCCAACAATCACAGTCAATAGCTACCTACTGTCAATGTCTGAAAATAGTTGTTTCATGTATTTTGTCTAGTTCTGTAGGTATTTATGGGGGGAGGGTAAGTCCAGTCTCAGTAACTCAGTAACTCTAACATGGCTGGAAATGGTGTTGTCTCTTTCCTTATTGTAGTCCTTTCCATCTGCCACACCTCTGCCAGCAGAAGACACCTTCTCCTCCTAAAACCTGGGCATGTTGGAGGGGAAGAAATCTGGGCATGACCAGGAAAAGGCCATGCAAGCCTATCTTTCTCCATGCAGCCTCCTTCCTCAACCCCTGCCCACTCCCTCCTCCCCACTCAGGTTTCCTTGGAGCCTGTCTTAGTCTGTTTGTATTGCTATAAGGGAACACCTGCAGCTGAGTAATTTATAATGAAAGAGATAAATTTGGCTCACGGTTCTGCAGGCAGTATAGGAAGCATGGCACCAGCACCTGCTCCTGGTGAGGCCTCAGGAAGCTTCCACTCATGACAGAAGGCGAAGGGGAGTTGGCATCACATGGTGAGAGGAAGGAAGCAAGAGAGAGGAGAGGGAGGTGCCAGGCTCCTGTCCACACTCAGTTCTCCGGGAAATAATAGCATGAAAACCCACTCATTACTACAAGGATGGCACCAAGGCATTCAGGAGGGAGCCATCTCCCACCCCATAACCCAAACAGGTCCCATTAGGCCTCACCTCCAACATTAGGGATGAAATTTCAACATGAGATTTGGAGGGGAAAAATATCCAAAATTATATCAGAGCCCAAGCCTGGTATATTCTTTCAAACCTAGAGTATTGAAACCAATAGGTTTGGCCCTTTTGTGGCAAACACTGACCTGGGTGCTCTTAAAGAATCTTTTTTTTTTTCAGTCCTCACAGTATTTCTCTAAGTTGCTCTGTGCTGGGCATCGTGCAAGGCATTTTATACACATGATTCCGTCAAATATTCACCATAGTTCTATGATATAGTTAACATAGCATGATGTAGTTGCTACTGGGCCCCCTTTTACAGATGAGGAAACAGAGGTGCAGAGACGTTGATTGACTTAAGTGCCCAAGGTCCTACAGCTAAGAAGTGCAGGAGAACCTGCGAAGATGCACAGGGTTTCCAAGGCCAGGAACCCTGCTCTCCCCCGCAGCCCCCACTACACTGGCTCAGCTAGAGCCTCCTTGGTAGGAGCTCATCAGGAGCCTGCAGGCCACTACTCTAGGGCCATTCTCCCCCAGCCTGCCTGCTGTCAGCCTGCAGCTCCAGCGTGCCGCTTGGGCAGGGTGGGTGGCTTGCAGAGAAGGAGGGGCAGTCATTGAGGTTCTCTGACCCTGTGACCCTTCTCAACCGGCCCCCACCGGCCCAGCCTGAGCACCAGGACCCCAAGGAGCCCCTGCCCATCTGTAATCCCCTTGTGACCAATTCAGTTAGTTCCAGTCCCTGCACTCACACCTTGAGCAGGCCACAGGTCACAGGCCCTGTTATGCCTCTGCCCCTTCTCATCCCGCCCTGGGGTCCAGGGGAGGGGGCTTGTGAGGGTCCGAGAACTGCCAGTGCTTACATCTGAAAATTTAATGTGTCCCTTGGGGGAATTCCTAGGACCCTGGGACTCCCTGGGGAGCCACCACCACATTCCAGCCACTATCAATAAAGAAAATGTCACTGACTGAGGGTAGTGGGTCCACTCAGCTCACCTGTCTACTCCTGAATGCAGGTCCACTTTCCTAGGGAAACTTATTCTTGGTTTAGGGGAAAGGGAACATGAAGCCAAGAGCAGGCCTTCCTACCTCCTTCTCTCCCTGACTTCATCACCTTGAACTTCAAGCCTTCCCTGCTCAGTGGGGACAAGGGAGGCAGGACATTATTGAAGAGCTTGGGCCAGGCTTTCTGTGCTTCCTATCCAGTGCACCAAACTCAAATCAAATCAGCCCCCAGGTGCACAGCTCTTGTGTGAAAAACAAAAATGATGTCCCTCATTTGGGTAATGTCTTAACCTTGCCAGTGTGAAAATAATAATAACAGCAGTAGTTACCACTTGCCAAGTCTTGACTGTGAGCCAGGCACTTCACATAATTTACTGCTAATCCTCACAGCCTATAGCATAGATATTACAAAGCCATTTGGCCATGGAGGAAACTGAGGCATAGAGAGATGAGGTAACTTGGCCAAAGGCCCCAGAGCAGGGAAAGTCCTTCCAGCTCAGGAGTACTTGCTTGTATTCCCCACCTGTCTCTGCCATGTAACGAGCAACCTCACCCCTTCTCCAGTTACTCAAGGGACCTGTGAGAGAGACAGAGTTGGCATCAGCATGCCCTGCGACAGATGGGGAAACCGAGGCACCTGGCCTTAAGTCCCCCAGCAGGCTGAGAGCAGAGCCAAGAGAGCAACGTGAGCTTCCATGGCCTCTGAGGGACCTCTCTGCCCACACACATGTGAATGGGTGGAGTTATGTTGTTCCCATGGAAACTTGACAGTCATCACAAAAGCCAAGGGTCTAAAAAGAAACTGGTACAGTTTCAGGGCTGGCCTCACAGACATCTGCTTTAGGAGTCCCTCGATGAGACCCACAACTCATGGGGTGCACATCACTCTAGAGTTTACAAAGCCCTTTCTCGTGTATCATGAAATTCGATCCAACAAGTGAGGCAGGGATTATTTCACTCACTTCGCAGCTAAGGAGCCCGAGGTTCTGGTTAGTGACAGGTGGCCAGATGGTGAATCATCATGAGGCCAGCATGTATCTGAACATCCTCGGTCCAAAAGGTGCTAATGAACTGGGGGAAGGGCAAGGCCTTGGGAGCAGCCAGGCCCTCTGGGTCAGGGCTGACAACCTGAATTGGATGAGGTGCGCAGGAAGCCCCAGGAAGCCGTGGCCAGGAGGCCACTGCCAGGTCTCTCTCCCAGGGCACTAACTGGGGCTGACTGGATCAAGGGGCCATGTTATCCCACCGGAGCTGGTGTCTGGAGCCAGGCAGGGGGTGAACAGCCTTTGTCTCTCCTTTTGTTCCTTTGACCTCAGAGCAGAGGCCTGCATGAGGTTGCCCTGGGGAACCTGGAATCTGAGCTAATGAGGCGACTTCCTGGCCCAACCCAGACAGCTGAGGCTGCAGCACCATCGGTAGTAAGGGACAGGTAGCCTGGGACCTCTTCTGAGCCTAACAGTCTGGGTCCCCTTGTGGGTAAAAGCATCCAACAAGTGTCTGTGTGTGCTGTGAACAAGTACACTGGACAATAGGTGTAGACAGGGACCATCCGGAACACTGAAAGACATGGTCATCCCGCCTGTACCATCAGCATCCTCATCTCCATCTAAAAGACAAGCCAAGGATCACAGAGACTGCCACTTGCCCAGGGACACAGCTGGGCAGAGGCAAGCCTCAGATCTGAATCAGACCAGAATCCAGCTTTTGCTCCTGTCCCCTGACAGACCCTCCACCCTCCACTTGCCATGGTAATAATATCTCTCATTGATCAAGCACTCATTCCAGGCCAGACACTGTGCTAAGCGCTTTACATTCATTATCTCATTAAATTCTCATAATCAGTCTAAAAAGGGGGACTATTATCGCCTTTTTAGAGATGAAGAAATGGGGCACAGAAAGGCTAAGCAATTTGCCCAGAGTCACATAGATAGGAATTCGTTAGATAGTCCAAGAGGTCTTAAGTCAGGCCAGCTGGGAAATGTGCCAGCTACCAGATGGGGGAGGTGGGGGGAACATGGAGATATGCTAATCCTGGAGGACTTTCTAGAGGAGGCAGCTGGCATCTAATGGAGGGGCCGGTATGGAAGATCACAGCACAACCTCCCAGCTCAGCCACCTCTCTCCTCCCATCACTCCCAGACCTCCAGCAGCTTGCAGAAGAATGCACGTTCCAGGTTTGGCATCCAAACCTGGTGGGTCGAGATCCTGGGTTTCTATGGCAACCGTATCCTTAATAGCATCCAATAAGGACATTATTTGGCTGCAGTAAGCGCACACGATCTTTTGATTACTGCTGAAGGTATCAAGAGGCAGCCCTCCCCCTCTCCAAGGGCCCCCATCCTTCCTTGGAAAAACAGATGCTGCCCTCCCAAAAAGTGGGGGTATAGAAATCAGGGGAAAGTTCTCACACAAGAGAGGGGGAAATGGTCAAAAAAAAAATCAATGTTTGCATTAATGGAGTTGCCTGTTCAGCATTTCTCCTCTTTTATAGATTTAGATAACATGCTCGTCAGGGATATATCTTCATTTCCCAGAGCAAAGAAATTGATTACTCACTAATGGCACAATTCAGAAATTAATTTGTGCTACCGTCTCAAATATGTTGTTATTAATCAATTGAGAGTGTGGGGCTGGCAGGGGAAAAGGTGTCCACCAGGGTCTGAGGCTCTCAAGGCTGACCTATATTTGATGGACATTTCCAGAGGCTCAACTTGGGCCACTCAAAACCAGGGGCCAGAGGGTACAGACCCGAAAGACGATTCCGAGGATGCTGTGGGAAGAACATTAGACCGGAAGTTGGATGACTCAAAATCTAGGATTGACTTTGGGCGAGTCCCTCTGGGTCTCAGTTTTCCTGTCTACACTGAGAAAGGTTGGATTTGAGCAGTGCTTCTCAACCCTCCTCTAACTGCAGAGTTCGTTTTATAAAACAGCTTGCAGAATTCCAGGGTGCAAGATGTGCAGGTGGGAGCAGGAGTGGGGGGCCTGGAGGCTCTGACCCCCCCCCCCCAGTTATGGTCCCCAGGGCTCTGCAGAGCACTATCGAGCACTCTTGGGGAGAGAGTGTCAGAGGTTTTGTCATTTGGGGAGGTGGCCGTGGTTTCACCCTTCGGCACCCTGTTCAGCTCCAGCACAAGCTCTCAGTGCTAGACAGGCAGCACTAACAAGGCTGCCCTTCCATGCCAGAAACAGGGCCTGGTACACAGCAGGCACTCAATAAGTGCTTATTGTATGAGTAATGGTTTGGCCTTAGACCACTAGGATGGAGAGGGCTGGCCAAGTGGGCAGTGCCACATGAAAATGGGGAGCCTGGGTGAGTTTGGCTCGTGAGGAGGGGCAGCAGAGGCGGGCAGGGCCCTCAGGATGAAGGTCAGAAGAGGTCAGATGGGAGCGACAGGTGTCAGGCACCCAGGACAATGCTGGAACAGGAACACAGTGGCAGTGACTGCGTGCTGACGCAGCCAGGCATGGCACTCGGCGCTCATACACAGATGTCTTAGTTAATCCTCACCACAGCCCCCCAAGCCCTATTACCACTATTCCCCCATTCCACAAATGAGAGGCTGCCCAGGGCGTGCAGCTGGGGTGGAAGAGCCACTTTCAAATCCCAGCATCATGGCTGGGGGCCCATGCCCTCACCCACCATGCGCTTCACCTCTGCGTCGTGACTGGCTTGCAATCTGCTATTTCTCTGTGACCCTTCAGAGTCTCTGCAGGTCTTTATTCCCCTCACCTGGCTTGGTGCTGGGAGGTGGGCAGGGTCCATATCACTCTCCCCATTTGACAAATGAGGGAATGAGGCTCAGAGAACCCAAACCAGCAAGCATAGACAGAGGGGAGGCTTACACCCAGGCCTCCTGGAGTCCGACCTCGTCCTGGCAGGGCAGGGCAAATGGCCTCACCGGATAGATAGTGGGGCCGGCTCACTGAAGGCAAAGGCCAAAGCACCCGAACTGTGTGCAGAACAACCCGTTAGTGCAGGGGTGTTTCACCAGAGCCACAGGGACCCGTGGGGTCTGAGCTATCGATGGAGCAACTGCATCATTGTAGAGATGGGGAAACTGAGTCCCAGTGTGGGGAAGGGCCAACCAAGACTGCCCAGCAAAGGAAGACAGGATTCTCTAGGGTGAGACCCTGGGAGAGAACTTATCCCCTGCAGGATTCATAGCCCATGGGACAGGCACCTCTGTGCCGTTGGTGCCTTAGGGGTGGGTCTTGCTAGACACTGGAGGGCGGGCAGGATGGGCCTCTGGCTCCATTAAGGCCTGAAGATGTGGGATTCAGCATGTGGAAGCAGCAAGTGAGCTGGCCAGGAAACAGCAGGTCAGAGATGATTTCCCAGGTGATCTGTGAGCCTCGGGAGAAGCAACAAGAAAGAGCTGCAGTGCCTGGGGCTGCAGGAGAAAGAGCCGGGCTCCTCTTAGAAGCCAGTATTTCCTGAGTACCTACTATGTGCCAGCCATCTCCATCTGTCATTCCACTTAGTCTTCAGCACCATTCCCACCTGCAGATGAAGAAATGAGGGCTGGAGAGGGCAGGGGCTGGCCCCAAGTCACCCAGTTAGGCACAGGGCTAGAGTGCAGGGAACGCAGGGAACGGCGGAGCAGCTGAGAGGAGGGATGGGTTAGAGAAAGAGTGTTCACTGTGGTTTCCCTGGAGACGCTGACTGCCCACAGCCACTCTTACCCAACACAAATAATGGTGAAAATCTGCACCATCAGGTACACTCTCAGCAGCTCCTGTTCCCAGGGAAGGGGGAGCAGCAGGGTTTTACAGGCTTTGCAGCCAGGAGGGCTGTCATGGTCCTGGCTCTGCCCCGGGCCCTGGTGGGACCTTGGACAAGTGAGCCTCCATTCTCTCATCAGTAAAATGCAGTTAAATCCCTCAGGTTTGGTGAAAAGACCCAAACAAGAGGACTCAGGTGAAGGGCTTGGGGAACTGGAAAACACTGCGTAAGCATCCATGATTGCCCCCTGGCTAGAAGTTTCTTGGCTTTACAGGCCTCCTCTAAAAGTCCAGGAGCCTCTCACTGACTTCCACCAAGCATTTATTTCACCACGGTATGGTGTGGGCCTACTATGTGACAGGCTCATTGCTACACCAGAGCCATAGACACAGCCAGCTCAAGGCAGCCACCTCTGTCTGTAGCCTCCTCTCCAGCAGCTGCACTGACACACACTTGGCATGCACACATGCACGCATCATGCAGCATACACATCCACACTCATATACATGCTCACCTTGTTCACCCACAGCCACACACATATTCTCTCAACCCAAAGACACATGTGCACATGTACACATGCGTGTGCACACACGCACACACAATACACTTCTCTCTCTGTCTCTCATTTACACCATTTTGTCACAAACACATCCAGATAGTCACACATATGCGGTGGTACGTGAGCCACAAGTGCAAACACACATACGCACACTCACATCCTGACCACGAATGTGAACTGAGGCGCGGTGGCAAGAGCATAACTGCTGCTCCTTTCAAGGGAAGAAAGCGAGCCTGGGCGCCAGCAAAATCCTTCCGCTTCAGCCCTTCCTCTCTTTCTCCCTCCCCGTTGTAGCTTTCCTGGTGCTCTGCAGATGGCCCTGCCCTGGCAGGAGCTGGCACTACCCCAGGGCCACTCCCTGCCCCACACCATCCCTGACCAGCTGAGAAGGATCAAGGAAGCTCTCCTTTCCGTCAGGGGGTGGTCTGAGAACCATAGAGGCGCAGTCGCCTGCCTAAGGCCACATCACAACACTTGGAGTCCCACAGTTAAACGTGGGGTTCCCCGTGGTCCCCTCCCCACCCCTGCCATCCAACGCTTCCTTCTCTCAACACCTCCCTTCTTCATCTCTGTCCCTGACTCATGCTTCTGTCTGTCTCTCCTGGTCTCTATTTGCTTCTCTGTCTCTCTATGACACTGTGGTCCAGTGTCCCTCCCTGTTTGTGGCTCTGTGTAACTGTCTCCCTGGGCTGGGTGTGGAAGAGCATGAGTCTCTTAAGTACACTACTCACCTGGCCTGTGCACCTTTAGCCAGGTGGAGGCTGAGAGAAGGCAACTCATGGACCTTCTCTACAGACCTGACTGTGCCCCAAGACCATTGAGACACTAGGTGGAGGTGGGGGCCCTGAGCGGGGTATGTTGTGATTGTGAGTGTGTATAGAGGGTTTACTAATCCCCTGTTGCTCCTTTCCTGCTCCCTAAGGGGTGGGATTTCCCCAGCAGAGGGGCAACGGGGCTTGGCGTTACCTGGCTCAGCCAGGCACCTTTGTGCAAGGTACAACCTATTTAACCATACACAGTGCCCATTGGCAGAGTAGATGCCATTACGTTTAAGTAGGTTGAGTTGGGTTGGGTGGGCTTGGGTAGAAATTGGTGGGTTTGTGTGTGAAAGGTGAAGTTAAAATATGATGAGTACAAATGGGGAGTTGGGCTTTATTAGGCTAAGTTTGGGATGCACTGAGTTGGAGAGTATCCATGTGGAAGGAGGGTTGGGGGCTCACTTTGTGTTTTCGGAGTCATAGCAGCCATAGGGATGCGTGTCTGGTCACCTGTTCCTTATTTAGTGCTTATTACAACAGAACTAGGCTCAGCCCCAGGAAGTGCGGGAACTGATTAAAATGTGTGCAGATCCAATCTTGGGAAACCTCACTGTAAGTCTTCTAGGCCAGGCTTTCAAATTACATGGCTCCTCTCTCTCTTTCCGGTCTGGCCCCCTCTGCTTCCTACAGGGTATTCCTTAAACAATCAGACCTTGCCGCTGAGACCCCAGCCAGAGCACATTCCTGGAGGAGGGAGGGTGCCAGGTGCTGCAGGAGCAGTGTGGGGTTTTGAGGCCAGGTGAGAGTAGCGGCAGGATACATTAGTGAAGAGCATTAGGCATTGGGCATTCTCTGCTGCACTCCTCAAACCATACCTTTCCTGGTGGCAGCTCCAGATCTCTGGAGAAGCCTGTCTAATCCAGTCAGCTAGTCCTGCTCAGGATCTGTGGTCCTGGTCCTCCTCAGGAAGAAGTTGCCTTTTCCCAGGGGCTCCTGGACACGATGCTCTGACCTCCAGATGGAAGTTCTATGGGGATCTCTGTCTACTTGGTAGGCTGGGCAGGGAGGAAACATTTTGAAAATTTAGTGACTTTTGGTCCCCATCCAGTCACAAAGTGAAGGACACTACTGACTTCCTCTAGGTCAAGACCAGCCCCAAGCTGGGAGATGTGTCCCCAGCTTCATGCCAACGGTTGTGAGGAGGTGCCTTGGAGAAGACCCCTCTGTGGAGCCACCTGTGGAGCCACCTTCTCTGTGGAGATGGGTCTGCACCGTGAGAGGAGGAAAGGAAGGATAGAGTAGATGGACTCTGATTCCTTCCAGCACACATGGCGACTGTCACAGAATGAGGGCCTCATGAGTTCCTCAGTTTAACTGGCTCTGGCTCTGCAGCCCACCCCAGGGCTTAGGAAATACTGATTGGTGAGCGATGCTGATCTCTGCCCCTGGAGGGTCCTGAAGTTCTCCTCCTTCGATCCACAGCCTTGGCCTCCCTCCCCCTCCATTAATGCCCTTCACTCCCCCGACAAACTGATGTATGCCTTACTGTGCTCTGTGAGGAGGGTGAAGACATGGAGGTGGCCAGAAGCGGCGGTGGCTGGGTGAGCTGGAGAGCCCTCTCCGCCTCTGCCTCCCTGCCCCTCCCCACCTTACCTGGAGAATAACCTGGCTACCCTTCTGAACCTCTGGCCCGGCAGGAGCAGGCCCTCACTCACCATGGCAGCCTCAGCCCTGCTTGCCAGCCAGGCAATGGAGCCAAGGACATGGGGATTGGATTGTCAGGGAAGAGCCAGCTTTCCCCATCATAGCTGAGGGTGGGAGAGTAACAGCAGCGCACACACACTCACACATACACTTACACATACACACTCACACACTCACACATTCTCTCACACACTCACACATTCTCTCACACACTCACACCCACTTACACATACACACTCTAACACTCACACACATTCCCACACACACTCTCACACACACTCACACATTCACACTCTCACTCTCACACCCACTTACACACACTCTCACATACATTCTCACACACTTACATTATCTCACACACTCACACACACTACTCTCACACACTCTCACACTCACACACACATTCTCACATACACATACTCATTCTCACACACACATACACGCACACACTCACACTCACATACACATGCACACACACCTTCACACACACACTTATACATACACACATTCTCACACATACACACACGTTCTCACACACACACGCTCACATGCTCACACTCACACATTCCTCACATTCCCACACTCACACACACATTCTCACACACTCCATCACACACTCTTACTCTATGCACACATTCTCACACACTCACACATTCTCACACTCACATTCTCACACATAGATACATTCAGTCTCACACATATACACACACTCACATGCACTCACAAATACACACTCACATACACACTCAAACATACACATACACAATGCTGACACATACACATTCTTGCACTCACACATATACACATTCACACTCGCAATTCTCACACATGCTCTCACACACAATTCTCACACACATTCTCACACTCACACATATACATACTCTTACACACACATACTCGCACACTCACACTCAGACCCACATGCACTCACACAAATACACATTCTCACACTCATACACACATACATACTCTCACACACTCACACTCACACACATTTTCACAACACTCACACGCCCACACACATTTTCACAACACTCTCACACTCACACACTCACACACATTCTCACACACACTAAAAGGTCCCTGCAGCAGGGCCACAGCATAGGATTCTTGGCCCTCATATACATAATATATCATAACATGGGACAAAAATTTATAGGAAGATCTGTTTGGGTTCCACATAAAAGAGAACAGTCTAAGAATTAGAACAGTCTCACTATTAAATAGGCTGCCTTGGAAGTAGTGAGCAACTAACCCCTGGAGGGAATGCAAGCTGATGCCGTCCTTCTTGTTAGAGGCCTACAAAAAGGGTTCCTGCTCCCAGAGGTGCTGACCTAGAGGGCCTGTCCATATTAGGGCTTTATGATTCTGGCTAGGACAGTGGGACGTGGAAGAAGGTAAGGAGCTAGGATGGGGGTTCTAGTCCCAATATTTCTATTCACTGTGTGACCCTAGGCAAGCCACAGACCCACAGACCTTCTTGGAGCCTCAGTTTCTCTGCTAGAAAACCACCAGAATGGATGAATCCATGGGTTTCAAACTATGCCCTATGGATCTCAGAGTTCCCTGGAGCTGCCTCAGAGATGCCGTGGGAGTGATGAGAAGGTAGAGGGAACAGGGCCTCCTGCCCATCCCCCAATTCCAAGACACAGCTGTGCAGCTTCCACGTAAGACTTCATTTGAACCAAGGGTGCCTGCAAAGAAAGGTATCAAAACCCAGGAAGGATATTTTGTAAGGATAGTTCTGATGTCTGGACTCGAAATTTCATTTCAGAGATGCTGACTGACCTTCATAAATTAAACTTCGTTCGTGCCCGGCCTCATTCTGGGTACCACTGGGGACCCAGAGAAATCTAAGCCATGGTCTCTACCCTCGGTCCCCTGAAGAAGACAAAATCATGTCTGATCACAAAGTCTGGTGGTTGTCTTTGGGTTTGGTACAATCCATTACTTAGTTTTCATAAAGTGTCCCACTGCTTCCTGGGAGTAACCTGAGAACTGGTCAACCTTAGGGAGTTGGGGCATGGCTGGTGGGGCAAAATCCTTTTCTGTATTCTCTGAGGTGGATGGGGGTGATCCCAGAGGAAATGAGAATGGGGAACAGAGGGAAGAACACCCACATCAGTGTGAAAGGATGTGAGTAAGGAAATCCTTGGGTATGTCCAGCATAATAAGTGACTTTCCTCTAACGGCTGCCACCACCAGGGACAGCTCTCTTCCTGGTAGTACCAGCCGGCTGGGGGGAGAGCTCCATATAGTCCAGAGCACACTATATTCAAAAGGATCTGGGCCAGAGAAGTCTTCATTGGTCTACCAGGCACTGACTTGCAGATGCAGACTCAAGACCTTGAGTTCACCCAGAACTTTCAAGTGTGCAGTGTAACCTGCTAGGGCGGGTCTCGGGGCAGGGGAAACATGCCAACCCCACCACTGACCCTTCTTGCTGCAGACATATTTAGAGCAGCTTCTGCAGTCAAGTGCGTGCAGCAGTATAGTGAGCTCCAGGAATTGAAAGAAGGGAGAAATCCTTGGGAGTTGAAACTGACATGGTGTAGTCCAGTTATTTATCTATGCGTAACAAACTACCTCAAATCTTAATGACTTAAGAACAGTAGTTTATTATTATTGTATCTTTCTGTACTGTGGGTCAGTGATTCAGACAGAGAACAGTGGGGATGGCTTGTCTTTGCTCCATGATGTCCGTGGCCTCAGCTGGGATGACTAATGGCTGGGAGCTGAAACTGACCAGGCATCTCTCACCACATGGCCTTTCCACATGGCTAGCTTGGGCTTCTTTTCTGCATGATGTCTCGGCATAGCCAAAGTTCTTAAATGGCAGGTCCCAGCTCCAAGAAACCAATGTGGGAGCAGCCAGTATTTTTATTTGTTTGTTTGTTTGTTTGTTTGGAGATGGAGTCTTCCTCTGTCACCTAGGCTGGAGTGCAGTGGCACGATCTCGGCTCACTGCAAACTCTGCCTCCCAGGTTCAAGCGATTCTCCTGCCTCAGCCTCCCGAGTAGCTGGGATTACAGGCGCCCGCCATCACACCTGGCTAATTTTTGTATTTTCAGTAGAGATGGGGTTTCACCATGTTGGCCAGGTTGGTCTTGAACTCCTGACCTCAGGTGATCCACCTGCCTTGGCCTCCCAAAGTGCTGGGATTACAGGCATGAGCCACTGTGCCTGGCCTCAGTGTTTTTAAAGATTGGACCTGGAACTGGTATATGTTCACTTCTGCTGGCCACCTTGGTCAAAGCAGTCACGGACCAGCTGAGATTAAAGGGCTGGGGAAGCACCTCCACCTCTCAGTATGTCAAAGACTTTGTGGCCCTATTTAATGCACTGCCAATGATGTGCTAGTTTCTATCGCTGCTGTAACAAATTATCACACATTCAGCAGCTTAAACCATACCTATTTATCACCTCGCAGTTCTGTAGGTTGGAAATCTGGGCACGGCACAGCTCAGCTGGTTCTCTGCTCTGGGATTCACAAAGCCGAAATCAAGGTGTCATCAGGGCTGTGTTCCTTTCTCAGGGCTCTGGGGAGGAATCTGCTTGTAGGCTCATTCATGTTGTGGGCAGAATTCAGTTCCTTGCCATTGCAGGATCAAGGTCCCCATTTTTTTGCCATGATTCTGAGCTTTTGAAGGCTGTCCACATCCTCAGTTCCTGGCCTCTTCCCACATCTTCAAAGCCAGCAATGCAGTGTCAAGTCCTCCTTGCACTGTGACTTGCTCTGCTCTGACCTTCTCTTCTGCCTCATCTCTCTGCCCTCCCCTTCCACCACATCTCTCTGATTGACTCTGCTGCCCTCCTCTGCTGCTTTTAAGGGCTCATGTGATTATATTTGGGCCACTCAGATAATCCAGGTTAATCTCCCTACTTGAAGGTCAGCTGATTAGTAGCATTAATTTCTTCTGCAAAATCCCTTCTTCACAGCCTACCTAGATTCATATTCAACTGAACAGCTAGGGACAGGAGTCTTGGGGCAATGTCTTTAGAATTGTGCCTACCACCAATGGCTTCCTAGAGAAGATGGTGCGTAGCCTGAGCTCTGCACAACAGTGAGACCTGGGTGGCATGGAGGAAAGAATGCCCCAGCAGGAGGCACAGCACAGGCTAGGACATGAAGGCAGGAATTGTCATGTGTGTTGGAGAAGAGTAAGTTCACTGTGATGCTGCAGAGAGAGTCTGAGAAGGGGGCAGGGGGTGGGTGCCAGGGTCCCCAGATGGGTCCACACTGAAGGAATCAGACTTCAGGGGAGCAGCACTTTTGTTTGGAGATAACTAACTGGGATTTCATGGACCCCTCTGGCAGACACAGTGGGATTCAGGATGCCCTAAAATTTCATAATAAATACTATCCGTACATGAATACATGCATTTTTCTAGGGAACTTTCATCATATTCCCCAAAGAACCCATGACCTACAAAAAGCACAGACCAGCGATATAATCTGTCTCACCCTTACCCCTCCACTTAGCCAAACTCCAAGTTAGTAACTCCTAGAAGAATCCTTTTGTGACACAAAATAATCCCCTCAACTTCGATGTTACAAATCTGTAGCCAACAGAATTCCAAGCCCCATTTATTTTTCAGGCTTCTTTCCTCCCTCCATAGGGCCCCTAAGAAGGGACAGATGGTTCCACTCATTTTTGGACTTGTTACCTCCCAGGTCTTTCAGGTGCCTGCCTTGGCGCAGGCCACACTGGAGTGTGAGAACCGAGGGCCAGCCTGCTGTCATATGGTAGGAAGCATGCATGTGTTCCCCATGGGCCTGGACATACCCCTGGTGGTGGAAACTGGGTGAGGGCAGGAGAGGAGAGTATAACAGGAGGCCATCCCGAGCTGCATTCTGCACAGCCACCATCAGAGAAGGGGGCAGAAGGTGGTCCATGTAATGTCTCAAAAGGACCAACAAAAACACCATCCCAAACACCAGCCTCGGAGAACCTGACACCCAGGACATCAGCAGTGGGTTACAACAGTGACGGGGACCTAAGACTTTTAGCCCCTTTTTCTACTATTCCTCTATCTCCTTGCTCTGACTCTCAAGGAGCCAGCAGCAGCAGAAGGGCAAGAAAGCAGAAGTGAAGCAAAAGAACAGACCAATCTTATCTCCAAGCCATGGGTCAGCCCTGAGCTGAAGGAAAGGAAGAAGTTTTCAACTGGATGTGAGCATAAATCTCTGAGGCTGGACTGGCCCTGAAAGCGAGTCCTAATTACTAAGATGAGACTCTTCTTACAACCAACAGTAACCGAAAACTTAGAATCTGTCCAAGATGTTGTCAAGAGACAGGGCAAGGAGGCTTAATAGGAGCATGTTTAAAGCAGTGATTGGAAAAAATGAAGCCATTTCCTATTTGCATCCCATCAAGTTTAACCCCTTTATATTAGTCAGAGTAATTCCCACTAGCCACTCTAATAAGTAGCCCCAACATCTCGGTGGCTTTGTGCAGGAAGGTTGATTTCTCAGTGGCTTTGCGCAGTGAGGTTGATTTCTTACTCATATGACCCATGTCAAGCAGCTTTCCTAGATGTCTCTCTTCTGTGTGGTGACTCAGAGATACAGGTTCCTTTCATCTTGTGGCTCCACCATCTTGCAGCTTCAAAATGATCTTGGCATCACTCAGGCAACAAGGATTGTAGAAAAGCACACCAGGTAATTATTCACCTCATTCCAGGTAACATATATACCTTCTGCTCACATCCCATTTGCTGGAGTGAGTCATGTGACCAACCTAAGAGCAAGGGAGGCTGAGAAGTATAAAGAAACTCTCAGATGTGAGTGAACACCAACAGCCTTACCATGGTACTCATTGTACTGGTCAAGCAGCCATCAATCATTACATCTTTCCTTCTACTAATTCTTATCAAAGGCCATCTGTGAGCTAGGCCAGTGCCTACTACATGAACAAGAGTGTCTCAGAGCTTGCTCCTCCTATGGGTATAGCATGTGGGGTATTAGGTGTTGACAATTCAGAGTGATGACTGCCAAGATGGGGAAGTACAGAGTATCATGGAAGCATGGATGAGGAGCACAAAACTCAGGAGTTAGGGGAGGCTTCCTGGAGAAAGCGAGACCTGAAGGATGAAAGGAGTCAGCCAGGTGCAAGGTGGCAGGTGGAGGGCATCAGAAGAGGATTCCAGGCAACAGTTGCAAAGGCCTAGAGACCAGAAAGAGCCTCTGGGGTAGCGTAGCCATCCAGCTCTTTTCCTGGGTGCCCATGAGCCCTTTCTCCCACTAGCTCTGGACCCAGGTGGGTCCTGGCTGTGCATGATCCCACTTGGCCTGCCCCTACCCCTCCAAGCTGGGCAGTTAGGAAAGGTGGCGCATTTCACTTGTGCTGTGTGACCTTGGGCAAGTCAGTAACCCCCTCTGGGCCTTGGCTTCCCATTAGTTGAATAAAGCAGTTGGAAAGTTCCTGAAGGCCCTGTAGCTCAGTAGATGACCTTGCCCAGATGAGACGTCTTTTGGGAATTCCTTTGCCCTATTCTAATCCTGCCTCAACAGCAAAGTAAGGCAAGCTTGGTCACGGAGGGAGAGGGAAAGCCCGTGGGCTGGGGGAGGCAGGGGAGACAGCCTGCTTCTCACCTTCCATCCCGAACCCACCACTAATGAGGCCTGTCTGTGGAGTAATTAGCCACAATCACAGTGGGGTGCATTAGGCAGACACAGCCTCAGTGCAGCGGCAGCAGCTCTTGGGAAGCAAGAGCCCAGGGCTTTGAACACTGCATTACAACAGGGGATGCGTCCTAATGTCACTTAATTACCCCAGACAGCCTCAGATGTAATCGAGCCTGGATGGGCTGGCGGGAGCAGGCACAGGCGTCCAGAGGAGGCTGATGCGTTTATAATGATGCCACTTTGCAAGACAAATCTGGCCTTGGTGGGCTGAAGATGAGGAGGAGGAGGCCGGGGTGAGAGGGAGGAGGCTGTGGTGGCATCCAGACAAGGGTGCCTTCATTCTCCAAAGCCCTAGGAGATCTTCCAGATTTCTCCAGGCAGCAGGAAACTGGGGGACAGGTCTTTACTTCCCACCCCATCATCCAAGAGGCTGTACAGGTTAAGATTTTCCTCTTCGTTCTTTCATTTCATTCCCTGTGAAAGGTGAATAACAGGAACTGTGAGTGGCAGATAAGGGAGGAGGTCCTGGCAGGTGAGACACTGAAGACCAGACACTGTGAGGGGCCGATGGATGTGCTGAGGGAAGAAGGTGGGGAAGTGCCCTCAAGGATGCTGGCTTCCAAGAAAGTCCCATGGACAGGAGGAAGAGCTCTGAGGTACAAATCTGCACACTGAGTTTCAAGGGAGGACTCTCAAGATAATGCTCTTGCCAATGCATGTGCCTCCAGAGGCCAGAGACCCAGCAATGCAGGCACCTGGGGCCTCTGAAAGGCCCTGCAAGACAGGAATCATGTCTGCCCTGCTCATCTTCATTTTCCCAGCACCTAGCACAGTGCCTCAATAAATATTTATTGATTTGAGAAAATGAACAAATACCACTAACCCACTGATCCCTTTGGGCTGGGTCATTGCTTTCCCTGGACCTCAGTGATGTCATCTGGGAAATGGGGCCAACAATGCCCAGCTCACCTCCCAGGGCTGTGGTAGCAGGAGTCAGGCAAGCTAATGCTCACAAGACCACTTGCAGTGGTGAGGAGCCCCTGGCAGAGGTAAGGGGAACAACTGCATCTGGAGTCACTCTGTCTCCTGCTTCCTCCATCAAATCCCACAGGCCCACCCAGGCCAGACTGACCACCTGGACCAGAAAGAAGCGAAGATCTCAGTGGCCAGGGTTGGGGTGAAACTGCTCTAGGCCTGAAGAGAAGCCAAGAACTCACTCTACCCTTTTCTCTTTCCATCCCTCTCCCCTCTTTGGCCTGACTTATTTCCTATACACCAGGAATGCAGGCTTCTGGCATCTAGCTGTAATACTTCCAAAACTTCAAGAATGGTTGCCATGGAAGAGAATGTTCTTTGGAGAGGTTTTTCCAAAATACTAATGGGGAGAGGGCATGGTGATGGGACACCACTCAGGTGGGGACCTTGCACTGGGAGTGAGTTCAGAATGCCAAGTGGAATGCACGATGACAAATGGTATTTGGGCCCATGCCTCTCATGGATAAGCAGACAGATGGATGGGGGGCCCTTGGAGGACAACCGGCCCTCAGCGGGCATGAGCTAAGGCTCAGAGGTTGGGAGTGGAAGGCAGATGGTGTGGGCTGCAGAGTGAGGAGGAAGAGAAGGTGCAAACGGATCATCAAGGTCTCTAATACCAGGCAAAAAGTGGGACCCTCCCCTCCCACTGCCCTGCAGGTGAGAACAGTGCTACAGTGATACATCCTGAGGTCACTCTTCTCCCTCCCCTGGACCGCTGAGGACCTTTGCAGCAATCTCTGACCTTAGCTAGCTGTGTGACCTTGGTCAACTCACTATCCCTTCCTGGGCCTGTATACTTCCACTTGGACAATGAGCTAGCAGGATTATATGGTAGTTATCACACTTCTAACTCTGACCTTCTGTCTGCCTGTCACAAAAAGGGGGCTGTGGGAGGCACTGGCTTTCCCTGGGGTCTTTGTCACTTCACTCCAGAGCCTACATGTCCCCTCCCTGGGGTCCCAGCCACCACTGTGACCTACAGTGACATTGAGGGACGTGTTATTCTCTACCCTGTCCAATGGGCCATGTGCCAACACCTGCCTTTTCCGCATGAGCCATCCGTCACTGTCTTGGTGTGTTGGTGGGAAGACAGCTTCATTAGCTCCTCCCGAGCCATTCATCCCCCAGTGCAGAGACAAATGAGGCCCTCCAACCCCCATCAGCCTGGGAGAGTACAGAGTCCTAAGGGTAGTTTCTAAAGGGGTGCCCTGACATTTCTGCTCTCTGTAAAGTTCTTCTGCTGGAGGTCATAGACATTCTCCACAAGGCAGGAGACTCAGCCTCAGCAGGGATCCCCAAAATCTCCATCACCACATGTCACGATGCCTGAAGTCCCCACCATTAGAGGGGTCACGAGGCACTTCAGCCTCCACAATTCTATTAAAATGCAAACACTTCTGGCAGGAGGAGGAAGAGCCTGAGACTGAGAGCCAAGAGTCAAAGATGCTCCTTTCTCTGCTGTGTGAGCTCGGGCAACTGATTTTCCCTTCCTGGGGAAATCTCAGTTTTCCCATCTTTAAAAAAAGGAGTTGGTCTAGAATCTAAGATCATCTCCAAGCCCTTTGATCACTGATAAGAGGTTCAACAGGGCAAACGCTGGGATTCCGAGAATGTGCCAGTATATTTGAGGGAAGGTAAGTGCTCTGAGCCCTCTTTCCCAGAGGACCTGAGGCCATCAAGCACATGGCTTCAGTTTGTCAGACACAGTCAGGTCCGTTAGCAAACACAGCTCTCCCCTCTAAACCATTTGGAACTTCTGGTTACTAGCCATGGCTTTAGGGGCTCTGCCAAGCAGTGGGCAGTGGGCAGAGTGGATACCAAGGCCTGTCCTGGTGAATTGGCTGATAATAGGCCTAGAGAGGAGAGAATTTTCTTCCCAAGAATTTTTTTCTAGACTATCAGGATGTGGTTCTGCCTGCTTAGCTGAGATGAGGAGTCCCTCATCTCATGATGCCCATCTTTGCATGATGCCCACCTCATGCATGATGCCACCTCTGGGCCATTTTTAGTTCCCCATGGGTTTAACGAAGAAAAGAGAGCCACCACTTCTCTACTTGCTTGCCCGGCCCAATAGATGGAAGCTCCTTATTTATGGAGGGCAGAGGGAGAGGCAACTCACCTGTATGGGAACAGTGTGCAGAGAAACTCTCACATCTCCACTAATCAAGTTGGATCCTCCGCGGTTGAGCTCCAGAGAGAAAACTTTATGAGGTAGTCTGAGCTCTAGTGGGGTGAGTGGGTTGGAAGCTCCCTGAAAGGTCCCTAAAGTTGAAGGTGGGACAGCTGTGACCACCATACAATGAGGGCATTGGGTCAACTCTCATAGGCTCAGAGTAAACAGAGATGGAGGCTTGTGTGTGTGACCCACCATGTCTCGGCCACTCCATGGAGGCATGAGGCAGAATTATCTGTCTACATAAGTGTGACCTCGGCCACCCATGCCAGCTTGGAGTGGGAGCCTCAGAAAGATTCTGTCTCAAAGAGGGGGCCACAAGCCTCAGCTAAGCACTTCTTGGAGTAATCTTCTTTCACCGGCAGCCTTGAAAGAGCAATCATAAGTTTTATTAAAAGAGCTTATTGGGTCAAAATACCACAAGTACTCACCCATGCTCCACACACATGGTCATGGGAAACTGTGAGCCACTGATTACTGATTTGGACTATGACCCTGGCCCCAGGGAGTCCCTCAAGGGGAGCCATGTAAGACACAGCCATATAAGACAAAAGAAACTGAAAGCACACTGAGTATAAGGCCATTGTTTTTCAAGAGGGGGCCCAGGTGGTCAGTGCTCCCAGAGATCAGGAAGGGAGACAGTCAGAGGCAGAAGGAGGGCAGTGGGGATGGCAAAGGCTCAGGGGAAGAAAAGAAGAGTGTGTCTGGGGCCTGAGAGAAGGCTCATCTGGCTGGAATGAGGGCAAAGCCAGGAAGTGGACAGGGGCCAGAGAGGGCCTTCAGGGCCTGGCTATAGGATTTGTAGCTCGATCCTATAAGCAGAAGGAATCTCTTGAAGGCTTTTGATAACAGAAAGGGCTAGTGCTTGAGGGCCCTGAGAGAACACCTAATTTGGCCCTTCATTTTAAAGGTGGAAATCCTGAGACCCAGAGTTGGGAAGGAACACACTTAAAGTCATCCAGGCCTTTTAGAACCATGGCAAGGCAGGTAAATTTAAGCCACTGACCACTCCATGCCAGAAGTAATTGTGTTCTGTGGGAAAGAGATGCACCCTGCCACCCCAGCCCTGGGGACAGGGCTTTCAACACCACATAGGCTGTGGACAGCTTCCAGCCACCCAGCTTTCCCGTTGGAATCAGACAAGAGGCAGGGTATAGAGGGTTTCAGCACCACTCAAATTGTGGAGCGTTCCTGTCCATTGCCTTCCCACCAGAAGAGGGTTTGTAGATGCCTTCAGCACCTCGCAAAGCCATGGACAGCTCCTGGACACTCAGTTTCCCCACTGGGGAGCCCAAGCCGGGAGTGAGAAAGCAGTGGGGAGAGGGGCTGGTGTGCTGACTTCTATTATCAGGGGGCCCAGATGCAAAATGAATGCCTGTCATATTTATCCTTGTCATCACTAATAATAAGTGGCCTGATTTGTCAAGCGGGGATAGATCCAAAGATGCCAATTAAGAAGAGAGAAAAGCCCAGCTGCATTGTATTTATCTGCTGTACAGATGCATGGTGACAAAAAAGAGTCCAGATCTTGGGACCTCCATGCCCCAACCCCTACCCCCCTCCCACCTTCTTTCCACCTCACTTCCCCTGCCTCATCTGCCTCCTCTTCGTCTCTTCTGCCTCCTGCTCTCTCTTTTCCATCATGTCTTGTCCTCACATTTTACTGCACTTTCATCTCTCTTCGAACCCTTTATTTTATTCTCTCCTCCATCTTTTCTATTTCTCCCTTCAACAGTCACCCCTCCCTCTCTCCTAGACCACTGGATTACTTACCATTCACTCTCACTCTTTGGTTTACCAATATCCCCCCTTTACCTTCCCCACTACATCCCTGTATCCCCCCCTCCCAGGTCCCTCTCCTCCAAACCTCTGGATGCTATGACCCTTGTCTTCCGAACTGGCTTCCTCTCATAATCTCAGTTCACAAAGCATATTCTAGATTCAGAGGGTTAAATGGATGTGAACTACTGAAGGAAAACTAGAAAAGCCATAAATATGAAGGTTTTTACTTAAACTGCAAGCAAGCAGAGCCAATTTTTTAGAGGTTTTAGCTTTGAAAACTAAAATAAGATCTTAGGGAGACAGTTTGACTGGGTCCCTGAATCTAGATTAAAGTCTGAACCTATGCAAAAACTTCTCAATACTGCCTTCCCTGGCCCTGAACCAATCATGTCTGAGCCCTGAGGTCATCAGAGCAGGCCTTTTTCAGGTAGCAGAGGGGTTCTAAATAGCACCAAGAATCTTCATTCTATATCTTAGGTCTCTCCAATCAAGAAGTCACAGAGAAATGCCCCCAAAATATAAATAGCCCCACAAAGCCATTGTACTCTAAGTGGGGTTCAGGTAGGATGTGAAGATGTATCCACTTTGGTGTCTTTTATGGGGTTAAGGAGAGGGTGACAATGCATCATCCTGGTGGTCTCCACTCACTATCATTATGAGAGATTATTGTCCTCTTGTGGAGGACACATCCCACCCAGATATCCCAAGCTGGGCTATGCATCTTTTCCTGTCTCTGCTCCACTAAGGCCATGACCTTCACTCTCCAGGGGATAGTGAAAATCGTTCCCTGGATTTGGGGATTCTGAGTCCAAAGCTGCTTGTATAAGCAGAGGTCCCCTCTTTTTGGACCTCCAGCCCCAGACCCACGACCTCTCCAGCACACGATGACTTCACATTGCAGGACACCAAGGCTGACCATTGAGATGGGGTGGGGTTGCATTCAGTCTGGCTGAGATGAAGGGCTAGAGAGCAGGCCAGTCTATGGCCAGGAAGAAAAGAAAGCCACATGACCTCTGAGAGACCACTGGTCTTGCCATCCTGGCCAGAACCAGCTTCCCTGGACTTCACCAACTGGGTGTGGACAGGAGGCCCTTAAGTCACATCCTGAAATGTACCTGCATGCATAGGGAAATGAGAAAAACTGCCCCAAACTGGTCGGAATGCCAGTAACTACCTCACTTTCTGGTTTAATAACTGCCAGTCTCATCCTCCTCTGCCTTTCCTCCATCCCCAGGGGCCAGCTGAGAGCATCCCCCACTGATGTCCCTGAGCAAGAACTTCAGGCCTTCCTCCCAAGGTCCAAGGTTCCCCAGGCACTCTTTCTTCTTCCCAGGCTGCCTGCGCCAGAGGCTAAGCCTGAGCCATCCTTAGAGTGGCATGATGACATGTAAGGCTTCTGTAGTGGCCATGGTTTCTTAGGCCCTTTGGAAGCCCCCAGGGCACAGGAATCAAGTCACCTGGCTCTAGTCCCAACTCTGGATGCTAATTTATAGTTTTCAAAGTAGTTCCACATTCATGATTTTTTTTTCATGACCTTATGTGATCCTCACAACAGCCCTAGGAAGAGACCAAGATGATGTGGTTTTATCCCCACATTTCAGACAAGGAACTTGACATTCATTTTAGAGCCCAAATTAGAATTCAGACTCCTTGGCCAAGTATGGTGGCTCACGCCTATAATCCCAACACTTTGGGAGGCCAAGGCATGAGGATCACTTGAGGCCAGGAGTTCAAGACCAGCCTGGGCAACATAGCAAGATACTATCTGTATAAAAAATAAAATAAATAAAATTAAATAAGATTCCAGACTCCTTGCAACATAGCAAGACACTGTCTCTACAAAACAAAATAAAATAAAAATTAAATAAGAACCCACACTTCTTGTTCAATGTTCCTTCCTCTGCTCCATATCTTCAGAGACTATTTCAAGGACAGTCTTGAGATCATGCAATAATCACTAGGTTAATGTCTGAAGCTGATCTTGAGTTCTTGGGGAGACAGGTGTCATAGACAAAGAAATGATTGTCACAACCAGTACCTATGAGCAGAGACATATAAAGTCACTTGCTGCTGGTTCAATTTATGCTCACAAAGTCCAGAAATGCTGCATGAGCCTGTTTAACACCTCCAAGACCCAGGAATGGCCTTATCAGACAAGAACTGCCTACTCCATTTTTCTCATTATATTATATTATATTATATTATATTATATTATATTATATTATATTATATTATTTTCTTGAGACAGTCTTGCTCTGTTGCCCAGGCTGGAGTGCAGTGGCATGATAGCTCACTGCAATCTCCACCTCCTGGATTCAAGCAATCCTCCTGCCTCAGCCTCCTGAGAAGCTGGGACCAGAGGCATGCACCATCACACCTGGCTAATTTTTGTGTATTCAGTAGAGACAGGGTTTTACTATGTTGTCAGAATGGTCTTGAACTCCTGACCTCAGGTGATCCGCCCGCCTCAGCCTCCCAAAATGCTGGGATTACAGCTGTGAGCAACCACACCTGGCCGCCTGTTTAACTCCTAACGACAAAGTGGGCCACTGAAAATCACTCTGGGCTGGTAAGTTGGCAGTGTTTTCTACAAGCCTGCATCTTGCTCCTCCCTTTTTTACCTATCATTGGAATAATAAAATCATAATGATAACAAACATTCATTGGGCACATAATGTATTCAAGGCACTGGGCTAAATACTTTACAGATATCATTTCATTTATTGATCACAACAATCCCACAGCGTGGGTAGTATTATCTCCCCTTTTTCAGAGGAGAAGACTCAAGTTCAAGGATAATAAGTAACTTGCTCAAGGATGCAGCTTGAAAGTGGCAATCAGCACTTGAACTCAGATCTGTATTTCTCAAGTGCTGGCGCTTAGGACCAAATTCTTTGCAGCCTCCTGTCTTGAGGTCTGGCCCCCAGACTGAGGCCTTGGCGAAGGTGCAGATGGAGGCAATTCTTCCACCAGCAGCAGCCCTCAGAGTCCATCCACCTAGACTTGGCAGAAACTGAGCAGTGCTCTACCTTCCTTTCTTGGACGTTCTCACAACTCAGCCACTGTAGCAAACACTGTTGGTTCTCCACCTATATCCCCTCTTCCTTCCCATTTCAGGGCACACTGGCCCAACCGCCAACTGCCATCTTTATTTCTTTGCCTGAGGACTTTGACTGCTGGGTCCTCTTTGCTGAAGAGAAGGCCAGAAATGTCAAGGATGCCTCCTGGGAGCAGCCTTCAAGCAATGGCTGGTGAGACTTGCTACATAAACCCCCCTGCTCCCTCACTCCTTGGGTGGGCGCATGTGCCATGCCAGCTCTCAGGTTCCCCAGCAGGACTGGGCTTCACTCATCCACCATGGAAGCTGGCTCGGTAATGCCCCTCCTGCCTTCCTGCTGTCCCTACGGTGTTTCTTGCACTTAAACACACATCTCAGGATCGGCTTCTGGCGGAACCCAAACTAAATCTCCCTCTTCCTACTCTCAGCAGCATCCCCGGGGAGGCCACCGGATGAAGTTCAGACTCTAAGTTGGTGTGCAATGCCCTGCGTGCTCTAGCCCTCGCCCACCTCACTTCTGGATACCCCTCTTCCCACACTTGCAAGACTCTCCTCACACCACTCGCCCTACCCGAAGACCCACCCCGCAACCCCATCCCCTCCACTTGGTGAATATTACTCACCTTTCAAGACTCAGCTCAATGGCTGCTTCCTCTAGGAATTCATTTCTGACCACCCTCCCTCAGTGAAAGGCAATCATTCCTGCCAGGGAGCCCTAGGTGACCTGAACTTGCCCCTTGCTCCCTCGTTCCTTGGGGGGGTGCATGTGCTATCCCCATCCCTGTGACCCATTGTGGGGCTTACTGTTCATGGGGCCACCTCTCCCACTCAGTGGTGAGCCCCTTGAGGGCAGGGGACAGCCTGATCCATCTCCCAGCTGTCAGGCCAGCTCCCTAATAAATGTGTCCTGAATGAATGACGGTGTCTCTGAGATGAGAGGAGGAAAGGCAGGCAGGAGGTAGTTGGGGCAGGCGGCTGCTGGAACTCATGGTGCAGGGTGTGTTTGGTCCCATCATGGTCTCAGAACCTGTCCTCCCATGCCCCAGGAGCTCAGCAGTTGGGCCCATTGAATCCAATGGGTGCTCTGATCTCTTCCTTTCAGCTCTGCCTGCCCTGGTCAACGAGCCCACATCTAACGCAGGGTCTCCCTTGTACTGGCCCCATCCCAGGTGATCAGTGGAGATAAGCTGATATTCTGGAAAGAGCACCAACCTGAGTTTAAATTCCACTGACTATGGGTCCTTGAGCAAATTAAATGGCCTCCGTTTTCTCATCTGAACCTCAGTTTCCCCAACTGTAATGGGTAATAATTGACTCTCCCTCACAGGGAAGCTGTAGGCATTTGAGATGATAACCATGAAGGGCCTGGCACATCTACTGGAAGGTGAGTTGTGCAGGACATGGGAGGTGTGGAACACATTGGGCATTGAAATTTGTCAATTTCAGCCCAGTCCTCCACTTCACAGATGGGAAGCCAGGCCCAGAGAGCAGTTACCTTCGCAAGGTCACGGAGACTGTCAGGGACAGGCCTGCAGGTCTGAGCTGCTTGGCTGTGTTTGTTCCACTGCACCAAGTGGCTGATTTGCAGCCATCGTTGTTTAGCTAAAAATAGTTTAAAATCTCTTCTTCCCTTTTCCCCATGGTGGTCCTTGTGCAGAGTTCACTGATGACTCCCCATTCACTACCCTACCTTGGCAAGCCTGCCCCACACCTGGCTGCCCATACCTGCGCACACCTCACCTTCATCAGCAAAGATCTATCCACTCCCCAGGTTGTGGATCTCCAGGGCTGCAAGGCTGAGGGCACTGAAAGAGGCTGGGGACTTGTGGAGTCGTGGATCCACCTGCCCTCTCTCTCCCACCATCCCCACCCATGACCCCAACATCACTCAGCAAGAAGGCCAGACTTGGAGACCAGCTGGGGGGCAGAGGACCCCTTATTCCCTTAGCAAATGTCTGTTGCCCTCCCATGAAGCTCCAAGCTCTGTGCTAAGCTTTAGGGAGGCAGAGCTAAAACTGTCACTAGATGCACCCCAAGATATTCAGGGTTAGGGTAAGTGAAGAGACAAAGCAAGCAAAGAATGAGCTCTTTATGTGAGAGCCAACACTCCTCAAGGCAAACACCAGGAACTGGGGGAATGGGGGCAGCAGGAGTGGGTGGGCACTGGCCTGGGGACACTTCCTTCAGGACTCACAAAATCCTGAGCATCACGGGGCCTGGCAGCAAACCCCAGATCCCCCAGAAAATGCCTGTGATCGGATCAGCTTGCAGAGGGGAGCCCAACTTGGTGAGAAGAAAGTAGGGGACCATCCTCTCCCCTCCCGCAGCTCTCCATTCTCCCATCCCCCACAGCCCCAGCTCCTGCCCCTCCGCCTCTCACACCGTCCTATTAATAACTTGTGATACCATTAGCTTTTGCTGTCACCAGCAATGACAACTCAGAAGCCCCCGAGAGCTGTCTGCAAAGACAATAAACGAGAACTCTTAATTAACACCTCCCTTAACTAAATAAATTAATTTTATGCAGTTGCGATGTCAGCAATGTGACTTGCCAATGACTGAGGCCACTCGGACAGACTTGGCAAGGGCTGCAGGGCAGGCTCAGCGGGGTGTTAAGCTCTGCGGGGTGTCAGTGGACAGCAGGGCATGGGCATGAGCGCCAGCCTAGCCTGCGGATGGCATCCCGGGCAGGACAGCCAGGTGGCTGCATGTGGAGTTCCAGAGGGGCAGTCTGGGGACCCAGGGCCTTTCCCAGCTTTGCCTCTACCTCCTGAGTGGCATTAGGCAAGCTTCCTCCCAGGGCCTCTGTTTTTCTCATCTGTAACACGGGCATCCTCTCTTGTCATGCCTGCTTCTCAGGGCTGTGGAGAGGATAAGAAGATGCAGGGTAGGAAAGGGGTTATAAACTATAGAGTGTCGTGCATGTGTGAGAAATGCTGATGACACCACCCTCCAGCTGCTAGTCAGTGCTAGCTGGGCAATTCTGTCCTTCCCCTGACAACACACAGACAGGGTGAAATGGCCCCTGGGTCCCTGGGCAGCCCTGAGCTTCCCCGAGGACAACCTGGGGACAGGAGGACTTCTTCAAGGCCATCACCCTCAGAAAGCTTTGGTTATCCACCCACTCAGCTTATGTGCTCAGAGCAAATGAGGCCAGGACAGTGAGCCATTCCCAGTGCTCCTATTGGACAGAATCTGCACTGGCCCCAGGCTGACACTGGCCCTGACCTGGTGAGACCTCTGGTCCAGCCCTGAGTTGAGGTCCTGAAGCCAACCCCAGCTGTACCCAGCTCTGACCAACTTCTTCATTCAGGATCCGCGTGAGCCCCCAGCCATTGCCTGAGCCATCCCCTGACCTCAACCCCTGGCCAAGCCCCGACCCAGCCCTCCCTGTCACCCTTCAGTTCCAATGCCAGTCCACATGCCCCCACCCCAACCAAGCCTAGGACAGCCCCCTCCTCCCACTCAAAACTACACTGTGCTCCAAACCGTGTCAGCCTTGCCTTGGGAAAAAGAGAGAGACCCCAGTGTCCCCAGCAGTTTACACTGCGGGCACCTTCCACAAACTGCAGAGCCCTCCTGCCCACACTATCCCCTCAGCACATGCCTGTCATTAGCCATTCTTCCCAGTTGGCACTATTTTCAGGTATCTGCACACAGAGACATCTAGCAACTCACCAAAAGCCACACAGCATAGCTGTGGCTGGGCGAGGACTCAGATGGCCACCAAGAGATTCCTAATTCACTCACTCAGCCATTCAGTCACTAAACAAACATGCACTGAGTACCCACATCCATGCCAGGCCCTCGGGGTCAGTTATTGGAAAACAGACATGGCCCCTGCTCTCAAGGGGCTCACAGGCTGGGCAAAGATGAGACTTGTTCCCTGTAACTGCACCAAACTTCTTGCAGTTGCTGCCTCATTCCCTCCCCAACACACACACACACACACACACACACACACACACACACACACACACACGCTCCACCCTCCAGGCTGGCAAAGTGGAGACACACCTGAAATTAGCATAATGGGCTTGGGGGGGTGGAGGGAGGCCCAGGACCTCTTTGTCCATCTGTGATGCTACCAGGAATGAGGCCCGTGTTGGTGGCCGTGGGAACACGCAGTGCTGCATCAGTAATTGGGTCCATGTGGGAAGGGGATGAGCAATGATGTCCCCATGTCCCTAAGCACACAGGGTGACTTGCAGTGACCCTGCCTAAAGCCCACATCTCCACAGCCATGATGGAGTAGCAGGCAGCAGCCACTGGGCTGAGGCTGCAGGAGACCTGCCCACCAGGCCTTCACACATGTGCGGGCTCTGCACAGGGCAGGATGTCAGGGAGGCTGAGGACAGAAGCCCAGGGGCTGTCCCCAGCTTCTAACATCAGCGGGTCATAGAACTTCCTGCCTCAGCTTCTTGAAATCATGGCGTCCTTGACCTCAGGTACCCCTTCCATTATGCTCCGGCTCTCCCAACTTCTTAGAAGCCTCCTCAACTCCTGGCCCCTTTTGCGGAGGAGGCGGGAGGCAGTGAAATCATGGCATGAAGAGGTGGCGGACCCAAGCTCCAGCCCCCATGCTGCAGGAGCAGCTGTGTGACCTTTTGGGCAGGTCACCCAGCCTCATGCACCACCTCAGTGTCTCATCTAAGAAACAAGGCTGTGGGAGCCCTTCCCACAGGGTGGTGGTGACATCAGACTGCCACTGTGCTTGGCTAAAGGCTGGAGGCACAGAGGGTACCCAGCCAACGGGAGTTCCTTCATCTTATCTCACCTGCCACAGAGCCAGTCTCCCAGCACCACAGCCCCAAAGCAGCCCCCCAGGTGGGAAATGCCTTGGGGGTACCTACTGTTCCTTTGCTCACCACCCCTCCACAGCCTCCTCTTGGGTGGTCTTCAACTTCTACTTTCCCTCCCCCACGCCCTGACATCTGCCTCCTCCTCCCCACCCCTCACACAGAGCTCTCCTGATGCCCTGAGGCCTCCAGTGCCTCCATTCACAAGGAACTGCAATGGTACAGCCTTAATCTGTGTTCCTTCTCCTGGGCCTCCATATTTTGGAAGCTGGGACTGTTGACCTAAATGTATCCAAAGAAATGACTTCCTAATGGTGGAATTACGGGTATCGGGCATCTTGGTAGGAGGGAGCTTTGAGAATGAGAGCCTTCTTAACACCTCTCCAATCATACCCCATGGCTCCCCTTCAGGGTAAGAGTCTTCCTACACAGAGATCAGTGGATCTGGAATAAAGCCAACAGCCGCCGCCTAGCCCTGAGCATGCTTGGAAACCCACAGCCTGCTCTTGGACAGGAAGGTTCAGCCACAGCAGCCAGGACAGCTGCAGCTTTAAGAACGACTCCTGAGCCCAGAGAAGCATGGAGTGGAGGGGATTGATTTTTGGGTCCTCCTGGAGACTGGGATCCAAAATCAATCTGGCAATTAATAGGCAAGGTGTGAAATGGCTCTGGTTTCAGGCTCCCAGTGTCCCTGGTTGTCTTCCCCAGAGAAGGGCCCTGCTGCCTCTGTGCTTCCTTCCACTCCCCATATTCTGGGGCTCTGGTGACAGCTCCTGAGAAGTCCAGCTGGCTGGCCCTCTTCCAGGGCCTTGTCACCTGGACAGGGCCACAGGATAAGCTTGGCCAGCTGGCAGGGCTGGGAGGAGGGAGCAGGCAGCCTGGATTAGTGGCCAGGGAAGGGAAAGCCACCAGGGGCCCTTTCAAGCCCCTCCATCTCCACCCCTACATCACAGGTAAGAAGCAGGACATGGCGGGGCTTCTAGGGACTCTAAATTTCCAGAGGGCCAGCACCATGGGGGCAAATAACTGTCCATCCTATGTCCTCCAACCACTCTGCTGACCGAGCCTGGTGGACAGGCCCTCCCCCATTGCACAGACAGGCTGCTTGAGCTCCTAAGAATGTGTCCATCCAAGCGCCAAGTGGGTGGAATGGCCCCCAGATGCTCAGAACAGAACTGGGTGTGGGCTATGAGCCCATAAGAGAAGGTTTCTTGGAGAGGCAGGGACTCAGCTGAGTGATTGGGGTGAAACCCAGAAAGGCAAAAAGGAGAAAAGTGGCACGCCCAGTGAGGGATGAGTACGTGCCAAGGTCAGGGGATAAGATAAACAGGTCACAGCACAGTGCGTGACAGTAGGGGGACAGAATGGCCCAGCTCAAGGGCTGGAGCACAGCAGCCTTCAAGGTGTGGGCAGCTGATGTCAGCAGCCAACTCCTGTCCACCCTGCATGCCATGCTGGGGTCACCCCAGACCCACTGATCTACATCTCTTCCTTGTTCTCCAAGCGGCCCCTCTCTCCGGCCAATGGGCCAGCTGTCAATAGCTACATTTACAATCTCCATTATATCTCCATTGCCCAAATTTCTTTTCCTCATTTTTCTTACTAAAAGACAGTCTTTAAAAAGGAGTCCCTGAGCTCAGCCCTTTTCCAGCCTCGTTAATTTCATGCCCCACCTCATTTGTTCCAAGGACCTACTTTCCCCTCGCCCGCTGCCGCCTTCCTCCCGCCAGCTATATTCGGATCTCTGCTCCGTCCTCTGTAACCTTGTGTGCCGCTCAGAGTTCTGCGGGTGTTTTTCTCTGCCGAGGAACTCTGGACTCAAAGGAACCGCAGAGGTTGTCTGTTCACATCCAACCCCCTCCTCATGCCTGAAACTGGAATCCCTTTTCCAGCCCAAGGTTATCTGGTCTCAGTTGCACTCCTGCAAGGACAGGCTGCTGCTCACTGCAGGGCAGCTTTAACTGAGACCAGCTTCTTCCAGAAAGGTGGAACCAATCTGCCACTGATTGCCGTTTCCTCTCTGTGTTTTGTCTGAGTCAAGTCTCACAGACAATACTGTCAGCCCCCAGGTGCAGGGCTCAGTCATCCCTTTCTTTGGAATCCTTTGGACTAAATGTCCTTTGGTTACCTTGGATGTGCAAGACATGTGACAAAGCACCATCCCTTGCTCACACTGCTGCTAGTGCTGAGACACTCACTCCTGCCCCTGTGCCTCCAGCAGCCACTGGGGGAGAGTGGCAACCTAGAAACTTCTCCTCATTTGAGCTGAAAATCACCTCTTGGCCCTCCCCACCCTCTGGAGCTAGCTCTCCCTTCAGGAATCACCTGGAGCAAGTGGAATTCTCCTTCCCCCAGACAGACATTCAGACCTTGAGAATTCCATCATGTTCCTCCCAAGTCCTGCCCTGGCCTGGCTCTGCAGCCCAGGCACCACCCACTCCTCTCCAAAAGACACAGGGCAGTTCACCAACATTTATCCAAGGGTAGGGTCCCTCACTCGGGCTGAGGTCTGTGCACAGCCAGACCGATGTCAACAGTTAATGCAATGCAAACCTGCACAGGGCTTTGGCAGCTGCTCACACTGTTAGTTCGTGTGAAGTTAACAAACGTTCCCAAGCAGATTTTGCACAAACTTCCCTCAAGCTGAGCCATGGGCCCTTCATACCTAGCTGGCAGACTTCACATTTCTCTCTGTTGAATCCCACTTCTTCATTTCACTCAGGAGTCCCAGCCTGCAGAAATTCTTTGGGGACCTGTTGTGGCTTCTGTTGGGTGGGCCGTCCCTCTCAGCCTGGTGACATGGCCAGACTGGATCATCAGAGGCTGTCTCTAGCAGGGTAATTGTGAGGAGAGAACCCTGGGGCCCCTGGAAACATATTGTCACCCCAACCCCGCCCAACCACCTTGGCTTGCCAGGGGAAGGAGTTTACTGTGGTTCTGCAGTTTCATAAACTGGTTTGGTGGAGCGGGAGTGTGGGGGTTGGCAAACAAGGACCCCAGCCCCTCAGCACAACACCTAAGTGAGCCAAGGCCTCTGAGTCTGATCCCAACCTGCTCCTGCCCACAGGTCCAGCAGGAGGTGCCGGGAGCCCAGGAAGCAGGTGGAAAAGCTGGGGGCATGGGCAACTTTGAGGGTACAGAGAGGCCACGAGGGACCAAGCTCTGCGGGATCAACTGTTCCTGGCTCCCAGGGAGATATAACCCCCCAAATGAGTGCCCAGACCTCAACAGAAGCTGTCTCTGCTCCTCCTTCTGGTTCTTGCTGGGTGAGGGCCCCACCCACTGCCAATTGGAATGGAGGCAGTGTGTGGTCCTCACAGATGATAGACAGAAGCCCCTGCCCCCACAAACACCCCGTAGAAAGCAAGGGCCTGGGACTCAAAACATGCCCCTGTTTTAAGCAGTCATTTCCCATGAGACTTGCCCAACACCCCAAACTGCAACAGCCATCCTTTGACTCCCACACTGTCCCTAATTTTCTGGAAGCAGAGCAAAGGGAGCCCCCTGCGGAATGGGCTGCTGGATCCTCAGATCGATTTGGGATCTCTCAGTAGGGCCTCACCCAGGACTTCACCTCTCACTCACCTGCCCACCTGAGGATGCCGGAAACTCTCCCATCAGCCACGGGCTCCTTCAGGCTAAGGCTCCTAGTTAAAGGGCAGACGCTGTGCAAGGGCAGGTCAACCTAGGGAGCCCAGGCCTAGCAAAGCCAACTGGCCACTCCACCAAGACCCTGCCCCTCAGGGCCAGACTCACTCAAGACCTGCCTTCTCCCAGCAACCATGCAGGGTCATCTCTGTTCTGCAGCTTCCTTGAGGGAGGAGCCCTGGGCCTGCATCCTGGACGGGCACCCAGGTCACCCCCTCGCCTTCAGTGCTGGTGAATGATGAAGCCGTGGTCATTCCTTTCCCTCCCCAGCCCCACCCATCAACAAATAGGCACGTGGGCTAAACCATGACTCTTCATTTCAATCCCCATGACCGTGGGAGGCAGGGGCAGAGCAGAATCACTATCCCCAGTTTACAGATAAGGAAATAGGATCAGAGATGGAAGCAACCTGTGGTCACCCAGAGGGAGAGTGGAGAGCCCAGACAGGGGTGTCTAGCTCCCAGGAGGGCGGCCTCCCACACCCTGGTCTAGGGCATTCCACCCTCACTCCCACCGCCCTCCCTCTGGTTCTGTCCAGACCATGCCGACCCCAAAGCGTTCCCCAGGAGAGGCAGGCATGAGCATTGCCACTCACTGTTCTCACTGCTCACCTTGGGCATGCAAAGCATTCAGGTGTCAGGGCCCTTTCTCACTCATGAACATCCAAAGAGGCCTATGCCTGCTGTGTCTACACCCTCACCCCTGCAATCAGGTGATGCCCTACCACACCATAGAAGCTGCTCTCACCAGGTCACCTTCAGCCTCCCAATTGTCACTCTGGACTCTTTCACAGCTGCCGCCCACTCCCCTTGGTTTTGGGACACACAGCCCCATTCCAGCACTGCTCCAACTCTTGTCCCAGTCCTAAGTGGCTCTCGCCCCTGAGCTTCTCCTGCAATGCAAACCTTCTACAGATTTGTACCCTTGGCCTGCAAATCCCTCCTCCTCCTCTCCTCCTCCTCCTCTCCCCGCGGTCGCTCTGATCCATTCACCCCATGGCTTCTGAGACTCCTCTAGGTGGACCATTCTTCAGCCCACATTTCTAGCATTCCCTGAGCTACGAACAGAACATTCACCACACTTTAAAATCCTGCTTCTCCTTCAAGATCAAGTCCCGACTTCTCCTCTTCCAGAAAGCCTTGCACAATGTCCCCATGTCCTGCTATGTCACTCAGGGTGTCATGTCCTCTTCTAGCTGTGATGGTCCTACCCACACCTGCCAGATGGCACTGACTGGATGGGGAAATGACCCCCCATAGGCAGCCAGGCCCATCATGTGAACTGGCACTGAGGGCTCTGCCCCATGGGCAATAGACCATCAGATAGGGCTATGGGATCGCTTAAGAACAGGAGTTCAAGGCCAGCCTGGGCAACACAGTGAAACCCCATCTCTACAAAAAGAAAAGCTAGAGCAAGAGGGCAGAGGAGGAGGGTGGAGGATGGAGCAGACAAGTAGAAGAAGAGTCAGAGACCCTGGAGGTGAGGCAGGAAGGAGGCGGAGAGGCGGCAGGGAGGAGTCCTGAGCTGCCTGGCTCCTGGCTCCATCTCTCCTCCCAATAAACTTCTTTATCTTAAGGCCACCTGGATGAACCTCTGGAATTAGTGAGTAAAGGGTTCCAGCACCCCAAACAGATGAATGCCTTTCCTCATGCGGGCTCCTCCACAAACACAGAACCCTCGGGGTTTCCTCCCACCACTGCCCCAGGGCCCTCTGTGGGATGAGAGAGCTCGGGAAACTGGCAGCCTGAGACACCAGCAACCTGGAAGGCCATGCTGCACAGGACTTCATGGGCTCATGGCCCAGCACTGGGGCCCATTAGGGTTAGCTGCTGTGGCCAGAATCCAGTCTCCTGTCCCAGGAGCCCCTCCCACCTCACACCCAAGTGCACATAGGAGTCGGGCCAGTTGAGGCCCAGTCACGGCTCGGAGAGAGGCTGCAGATCTCTCTGGCATGTTGGGGCAGGAAAAAGCCTGGGAAGGGTGGCCTGGCCAGCATCCATGGTTGACAAAGAAGGAAACTGAGGTCCAAGGAGGGTGGCTGAGGCCAAGGGTGGAGAGGGTCGGGTGGGGCCGGCACAGCCCTGTCTCCTGAAGGAGGCTCTGCTGTTTCTAGCGCATCTCACAGCCTCTCTGGGGAGATCTAGTTTCCTTCCTGGTTTCTACACGACCTTGGGCCAGTCACCTTTGCTCTCCCCACTTCATTTCCTCCTGCATTTTAAAGAGGCCTAAAGCTCGGCATCGGGGATGTGGAGTGGCGAGAGCCAAGCCACTGCCCGGAACCAGGCTGTTGTAGGGGCACAGGGCCAGGTGACCTTTCAGGCACTGTCAGGTGACCGGCACCCTGGAGGGCTGGACAGATGGAGACCAGAGCCTGGGGCCTGGACCAAGAGATCAGCTCAGGACTCCTCGAGTACAGGGAGGGCTTCAGTGCCCGGCTGGCCCAACCCTCTGCCAATCCCGCAGGTGCTCCCAAGCAAACCTCTCCGGCAATTTTTCTTAACATATGATCTCCTGCTGTCACTCCATCGCCTTCCCTCCCAGGTAGTTCTGGGGCTGGGGGATGTGTGAGTGTGTGAGTGTGCGAAAGTGTGTGGGGTGTATGAAGGTATGTATGTGGGGGATGGAGGCAGGGGCTGTGTGAAGATGGGGAGTCTGAAGATGTAGGCTGTTGGAAGGTGTGTGTGCAAGTGTGCGTACTCGGGCACGGCAGCCATGAGGGAATCTGTAGATGGCTCAGGGGACATGTGAGGAAGAGCGACGCTAGAAGTACAGCTCCTGGGGAGCTGGGCACCAACGAGGCCTGTGAGCAGGTTTCATGGTAAGAGTCAGCACCTGCATCCATCCGAGGTGCCAGCACTGCAGGGCCTGCTGTCCGAGCCACAGCAATTGGCAGGAATGACATCGAGGCTCATCGCTGGCCTGCCCAGGTCAGTGGGGGGTCAGCATGGGGCCCCAGCTTCCTGGCTCCTGGACTGAGGCTACCCCTGCCCTGTGCCATCTGCTCCACACCCCAGGCTCTGCTGGTTACAGGCAGCACCAGGGCTGAAGCTCAGCTATGGTGAACTTTGGGACCCTCATTCAGCCACCCTCTGAGGACTGAGGACTGAAGGTGCAGCTCTGTGTGTGCCCTCCATAGGCCATGAGCAGGCAGAAGCTCTCACCTCAGCCCACCCCTCCTGCCAGCCCTCTACCCTTCCTTGCCCAGGCACAGTAAGCTGGGTGGGAGTGACAGAGGGTGCCTGGCTGGGGCCAGACAGACAGACAGCTGAGGCAGGCAACACACAGGAAACTGGCATGAGTAGGTCCCTTGCTCCCCAGCCTGCCTGCTGGAGGAAGAGGGAGGAAACTGCCACTTTCCCTCTCCCCACACACCCATGTGCAGCAGGAAAGAGGCTGGGAAGGCGGCCTTGGGCCAGGGAGAAGAGAGGTGGGACTGGGGCCCAGTGTCAGGCTGACAGGTACCCATGGGAGCACCCTCTCCAGCCACCCATCCCACATGGTCTCACTTCACAGAATGAGAAATAGAGGCCCAGAGAAGGCAAGTGAGAGGGCCTTTAGGTGGCCTGGCCTGTCATTAGCAACCATTCCTGGCCCAGGGGGCTCCATGTCTGCCCCTCCCAGTGAGGCAAGCTCCATTATTCCTGGCTTCAGGGCAGAAAGGGGAGAGGCAGAGTGGAGGCAGGGAGGGTCCAGGGCATTTCTGCCAGCCTGGGAGTTCAGTGTGTGGGCCAGAGCCATGCTAACTTGGGAGGGGTGCATTCCCACAAGACATGTTTTCGTAGGGTGACCAACTTGTTCCCATTTGCCCAAGACTTTCCTGGCTTTAACGCGAAATCTCCCACACCCCTGAAAACGCTTTAGTGCCAGGCAAACTGAGACAGTTGGTCACCCTACTCTGTAACCTCCTGGTGGCTCTCCCAATGGCTTCCATATATGATGGGGCCAGGGTGGAACCAAAGAGCTGGGGGGGGTCTTAGAGGCCATCAGCTTCATCGCCATGTCCCTCAGCTCATTGTCACTGTCCTCTGCTCCAATGCCCACAGCTCCTCATAGCTCCCCACCACACCAGGCAGTCTATTCCATTAGGGACCATCTCTAAGGGCTAGAAAGTTCTTACAGCAGGCTAACAGTGGCCTTTCTTCAGTCACTTTTCCCTTCCCCTTCTCCCCCTGCCTTCCTTCTTCCTCCTGCTCCTAGAGCTCCCAGAATACATGTGCCTGTCTCCTCTTCTCGGCCACTACCCTTTAATTCCTGGAAGGCTGTGATCACACCCCTGAGGCACCTCGGGCATGTCTTCTCCAGCGAGTGATTTCCAGCCTTGATGTGCTGGTGATGAGCAGAAAGGGGACACCAGGGGACATCACGGCCCCACTTTCACCCTGCTGCCTTCATCCCCTCCCCTGCTCCATGCCTTCCGGAGCTCCGTCTGTGAATTCCATCAGGCACCAGCCACCCCTTCCTGAGAGGGAGCAGAGTGGGGCCTTGGAGGGCAGGGCAGGGATAGAGCATCCTGAGTGCAGCAGCAACCTTTGGGGAGCCACAGGGGCTGGTTTGTGTCTGCAGATGCTCATTCTGGCTACTGTAGGGGAAACAAGCCACATCATGAGGTAGGGACTACTGGGGAGGCTACTGCTGTCATCCAGGAGAAGCCATGGTGGTGGCTTGGAGAAGGGCGTGGCAGGAGTGATGGAGCGCATTATGGATCCTAGATGTATCTAGAAGGTGGACTCTGAAGGATTTGGCAGTGGATTAAACACAGTAATGTGGAAAAGGAGGCACACAGCGGGGTCCCTGGTCCCCAGTGCTGCTCCACACACTCCCAGCTGACAGTTCATGCTGAGCCTGGAGGGCGGTGGGAATGGGGAGAGCATCCTGGGTGCAACTGCAGCCTTCAGGCCTGGGGGCTGGACATGTCTCCCTGCCTTCCACCATACCTGGGCCCAGGTGACTCTGTTCCCAGCAGGTGGGTTTCAGGAAAGGAATGGAACCCCAGACAGCATTGCAGCCTCCTGAACTCACCAGCCAACTGGCCTAGAGGTCTTGAAGCTCCTCCCTCTGTAGAAGTGGTTCTCAGCCCCATCTGTCCATCAGAGTCACAGCAGACCCCTCACCAGGCTCCACCCTACAGAGCTCCCAGATCGGATCCCTGCTGGGTGGGCCTGCTGGGTGTGTATTCTGATGCTCAGTGGGAGTTGAGGACCACTGCACTAGTTCAAGCCCCTTGCATTAGAGATGGGGAAACTGAGGCCCAGAGAAGAAAACTGAGGGTCCCAGGTCACACCATGTGTCAGGACCAAGGTTCCTAGCCCCACCCCAAGATGCCCTCAGCCCTTGAGGCCCCAGGCATTGGCAGGGAGGGTATAGAACCCTGGGGGAGGGCAAGGGCTGTTGACCCCCTAGGCTTCAGGGGCTGATCTGTCATCTACTCTGTCTGAGCCCCAGATGGAGGCGGCTCCCTCCTCCCACCCTGTGCCACCATCTCCTCCATGCTGTAAACCTGTCTTGTAAAAGCCGATGAAAGGCCTGGCTCTCAGCCACAAAAGCCTGCTCAGGCCTCTGCTCCGGCCTCACGTGGCTCCTGAAGCTAGCAGGAGAGAGGCAAGATGCTGGCATTCAGCTGCTCCATAAATCTATCAGAAGTATTTTTTTTATCACTTCCCGACATTCCTCTGTAAAAGCCACTCGGCTGCGTTTACAAATTATAGAATTCATTTGATGTCGGGGACCTGGATAATGGCCTGGGCAAATCCAGCAGAAACAGATGGGAGCTCACCCACTCAGCTCCCATCTAGCTGTGCAGCCTTTGATGACCAAGTCACGGCAATTCAGCCTCTGCCTGCCTGTCTGTAAGACGGGGTTGCAGGTGGCTGTGAGGAGTCGTGAGATCATAGATGTGCATGCCTGGCTCTGGGCCGAGCACACAGTAGGCCCTCAGTAAAGGATGGTGGCCATGACAGGTATTGGAGCCCGTCTGGAGCCATGAGTTGGGGAAGGGTCACAGGGTGCAGAGCCCAAGGCCTGGGCCTCTCAGCCCCATCTCTCACCTCCCTGTCAGGCAGGTCCTCCTGTATCACAGGGCACCCTCAAGGTGAGGATGCTCTGTAAACCACAAGGCTTATACACATGGGGAATTACCATTTTCCTCCTCCCACTCTTCTTCCTCCTTCCAGCAAGCTTGAGATCCTCTCCCCCACATGGAATCTTTGAACATCCCACCTCAAAACTGTTTCGGATGCTAGAAATCCATGGCTTAGAAGTTCCAGCCCTCCATGAACCGTTGGGTTGAGGTTCTCTGGGTCCTGGGTTAAGGATTCTGCAGCTGCTTCAGGCTGATGAGTGATGGCTGCCATCGGCCTTAGAGAATGTGGGGCAGCCCAAAGTATGGCCTCACACTTTGCCGTCGTTCAAGTTCCAAACTCCTTATTCTATAGATGAAGAAGCTGATGTGGAAGGAGGGGAAGGCACTGGGCCGAGGAGTTAAGAAAGAGCAGCCTGACATGTCTCATGCACCTCCTGTGAGCTGCACGCCAGCCACCGTGTCTGGAGGAAGCTGATGTGGAAGGAGGGGAAGGCACTGGGCCGAGGAGTTAAGAAAGAGCAGCCTGACATGGCTCATGCACCTCCTGTGAGCTGTGCACCAGCCACCATGTCTGTACACCATCACGCTGGATCCCGCAGACAATCCCAGCCATTTGAGAAAGGAGGCGCTGCGGTGGGAGCAGCCACCCAACAAGCTGGTAGCACTGTGACCTCCAGGAGCCAATGCACTGGACCCCAGGGTCTCAAATAGCAAAGGCCAACCCAAGACCAGCGAGGCCCGGCAGCTCAGGAGGCAGGTGAAATGGCGTGGCAGGAAGCCACAGGAATCTCACAGAGGGGATGAATCATTTCAGGCTGGAAGCATCCTCTTACAGAAGTTTCCTTTTCACCACTTGAGAGGTAGAACAGAGTAAATTATTAGTAGTGCTGGAAAAGCCAGTCGCCCTCCCATGTGAGCAATGCCGGGAACTTCTCAGAGAGCTTTCCTATCTGACATTGTTCGAGACACTGGGATGCCCTAAAAAGGTGGACAGTGAGGCTCAGCCTGTCCTGTTTCATTAAGGAAGAAATTGGGGCTCAGGGAGATGATCTGGCCTGAGGCCACACAGCCCAACCTCCAGGACTCCTGGTTTAGCACCTGGTGCCTTGGGTCTCTCTTCCCTCTGGGGCTGGAAAAGCAGGACCGGGAACTGTTTTTTGGCTTGTCTTCCAGAGAAAGAGAATCATTGTCTCGCCTTCTGTGTTCCACTCTCCTCCTCACTGGTGCCTTTTGTCCCCGCCTGCTCTGTGCCAGCATTGAGCCTGGGGCTTTCCACACACCATCTCACGAACCTCGCAAAAGCTACATGAAGGGGGAGCGCTCATTGGCCCATTGTGCAGGCAAGGAAACTAAGGCTCAGAGCAGTTGAGGGTTCAATGCCAAGACTGGACTCCAAATGTCTGCTCTTTCCTCTCAGCTATAAGCCTCTTGCCTTCAAGCTCTCCTGCACCGGTTATTAAGCCAAAGCGGCATCTGCTGTGGCCATGTTTTGCGGGGGAGAGAAAGTCATCGCTCAGTCTCCTTTGCTGAAAATGGGTGTAATGATCAAAGTACTCCCTTCCTACAGTCCTTGGGTAGACTGAGATCATGGCTAGGAAACGGAGCCTGACACATGAGCAGTCTTATTATTTTATCGCCCTTGCTGCCACCGCTCCTGTTATGTTGATCTAACACAAGACAAAAACAGAGTCTTGAGAATCTCAACGTGCTGTATCCAAGGCAGGGACTGAGGGGGTTGGGCTGCTGCCACGAGGACTGGGGGGAATTGAGGGCTCAGGGGAGGCAGGAAGATGAAGGACTGTTAAGGTTTTACGTTTTCCGGCAGGATTTAGTGGGAGTGGAGCCTGCAGAGGGGGTGGCACAGGGCTGGGACCAGCACGGGGCTGGATTCCAAGCATCCCAAAGGCCAGACCCCAGTGCCTGTGCCTCTGAGCCCGGGTCCAGCCCTGCCACCCAGGCCCCATCTGCCTGCATTGCCATCTCCTTGGCTTGTTAACTCGGTCAGTCCCTGGGATTTTATCAGGCGCCTCTGAGGTGCCCATTTCTGGGCAGCAGCATTGCAGGAAGAGGAAAGGCCTGTGACAGAGCAGGGCACCAGCTCAGGTCCCAACGGGGCTGAGTTCTAGCCCAGCTCCCTCACTTCCACGCATGGGCTCAGAACACACTGGATCCACAATAAAGCTTTTGATGAATGAATGCATGCATGAATGAATGAATGAGGCACCCTGGGGTCTCTGTTCCTTCATCTGTCAAATGGGAGAGTGGCAACTACCCGCCAAGGTTGTTGGGAGGCTGTCGGAAGCAGTGCACACGCAGCCTGGAGCACGGAGGCAGGCCGGGCGCAGGTGAGAGGGGCTGTGATGACAGAGGCTTTGCCTCTGGAGAATCACCAGCTAATTGCCTCTCCACAGTCGGCTTCCCCCACCCCAACTCCTGGATGAACTGCAGGTCAGCCCACAGCCCCCCGAAACTCAATCACTGTCTAATAAAATCCCGGGGCTTCTCACGCACCCACACACATCGTGCAACATAGTATTGGGAGCAGATGTTATAGAAAATCAGCGTGGCCTGGATTGGAACAATTCTGCATGTATTTCTGAGTTTTGTTTCAGAAAGTGAAGTCATCGTGGGTGACACAAATCAATATAAATATAAACGTCTTCCAACCTGGCCAGTGTGGGATAAAGGAGGTCACAGAGTGTCCACCCCCAGATCATGGGTTGCACCATCTCCACCCGCTTCATTGCAGCTTCCGCCCCACCCCAGGAAGATGTGGGGGGCCCAGGGAGGGTAAGGGAGGGACCTCTCCTATGTGCTCATGCCCAGGCCTCATGTGTACCCTCATGAGAAAGGAGTAGGGGTCCCAGGTCTGATCCCTTCCCAGGTCAACCCTTCAGTCCTCTTTGCATCATGAGGCCCTCTGTGTTCTGGACAGAAGTGGGCTGGGGGATGCTTCTCTCCCTGGGTCAGGCCATGCTGGACCACCAGGGACCTAAAGCAGGGACCCCCATATCTCCTGTCTCCAAAGGCCCTCCAGTGTGACCGCACTTCCCTCGGTTCATCTTTTCCTTTGGCAAACACTCTTTGAGGGTCTGCTCTGTGCCAGGTAGAGGGGCCCAGCCATGAACTGTCAACCACAGTCCAACTCTCATGGGACTGACAACCACAAAGGGAGCCTGGCCCCACAAAGTCATGGCACAAAGTCACTCCAGGGGTGGCAATTAACAGGGGCCTGACCTCATCTGGGCAGTGTGGCACACTGAGATGGACGGATGACCCCAGGTGACGTGGCAGTAGAAAGAGATGTGCAGAGACCTGGCAGGGGAAGAAGACAAGACATATTCAAGGAAAGGAAGGAAAGTCACATGCTGGACTACAGAGTCTGATGCAGCCCTGAGCTGGGGGGAAGGGGCCGACTCTCATCTCAGGTCCCCAGCTCCCTAGACCCCTCACCCTATCTCTGTCCACCCACAACCATGCTTGGGATTTCTTCTTCCCATACACACTTTCCTCAAAGGTCAGCTCATGCAAACGAGTGCCTGTGGCTACTCCTGCCCCACTGTCTAGCAGGTGCGGTGGGACTCTTGAGTCCCCTGGGACTTCATAGGAGGCTTTCCCCAGCTCCATCTCCTGCTCCCCTCCCCAAACACAGCAGCCACAATCAGGGGCAGCCCGCCGACCCTGCGAGCAACTATGACTCAAAACAACATTGCACAAATACAGTAACATTTCCAAAGCCATGGAATCTGGCCGTGTGACTAGCAGCTTAATGGCCTGACAGTGAGCACAGGGCTCCAACACGTGGGAGCGCCTATCAAGGGCTGAACCTCAGCAGTGCATATTTTACCTCAAAAAGAGGCGAGGCAGGCACTTGAGCCCTAGGGTTTAGGATCCACTTGGAGCCTTCTGCAACCAGAGAAGGGAAGGTCGTGCTCTAGGTTCAAGTTCTTTGCAGTCCAACCTCCAAGTCCCCACAGCCACCTCCTCCAGGCAGCCCACCCTCCTCTCTCTAAACCCCCAGTTACCTTTGTCCCCATTAGAGGCTGAGCTGGAGGCTTTGTTAATTCTTAAGGGCCTAGGGATCGAGACTGAGACCGTGCTGCCCCTGAAACTGGCTCAGGGGAGATTCACAGTGAATAATTCAACATGAGATCAAAAGCCACTACCTCCAGTAAGCAATCCTACCTCCCGTTGGAAAAGAAAGCCTTGCTTCTGTGATTTGAGAGAAAGACAGGGAGAGAGAGTCAAGGCAAAGAGATAAAGAGGCTTGGAGGCAGAGTAAGAAATAAATGTGGTGTCATCGCTCACTTACTTGTCCGTATCCCCAAAAGGCGTGTCATCTGTCTTGCTCTGCCCAGCACCCAGAACAGGAAGTGGCCCAGGGGGCCAATGAACATTTGTTAAATGAAAGAAGGAGAAAAATCATAAAGCAGGGAGTTCCATTCTCACCCACTCCCCACCTGCCTAGGCTACCTCAGCACCCACAACGACGGCCGAACCTCTGCCCAGCCAGAGAGTCATGCCAACCAGATACTCCCCCCACTCCTGGTCCTGGCAGCAGAGGGCCCAGCAGGAGCCCAGGAGGCTGGGGCAGCACCATGGCCCAGTCCTCTGGGTGGCTCTACACCACCCATGTGCAGAGAAAACAAAGCATGCACGTGGGCGTGTATGACTTATGGCTTTAATCTCCCTGATAGAAGGCCTTTAAAGATTATTTCAGGGATGAAAAATAATAATCCTGGGTAATGAATCACGGCCTTAAGAAGCTGATAAGCAGCAGGGAAGCTGGCCGGGCCTGAGTTCCTGATTTAATTAAAGTCTTACAGATACTCCCTGAAACAAAATCCGTCGTAGCCATCAAGGTGATAAAAAGACTGCAGGTTCCTTTAAACCAACTCACCTGCCTCATGAATCTTCTTCCTAGTGAAGACAGTGGATGAGGCCACGTCTTCCGGACCGGGCCTGCATCACTGCAGATGGTCTGCTGGGGACCCTGAGGGACAGAAAGTGCCTCATAAAGCCCAAGAGCCAGAGGCGGATGCCAGCCTGGAGGAGGCAGGGACCAAGCTCAGACAGGGAGCCGGACAACACTTGGGTTGCTTGCTAACTGTCTCTGGGACTCAGTTTCCACATCTAGCATCCAGCAGGAGGCGAGGCCAGCTGGTCTCTGGAAGCGTCCCAGAGCCAGACTTCTGGATTCAGAGCCTCATATTTTCCGAGAAGGTGAGGAGAGAGACAGATGATGTCTCCATGTGCTAGAAAGATCTCTCCTCTTCCCCGCTGATTTTCAGTGCCCCAGAATCCAGCTCCTGCCTCCCCATTTCCTTTCCCTGCCCTCCCCAGTCCTGCTCAGGCACGTGACTATCCTGATGAAGGCTCACTGCCAATGCTCCCAGGGACACTGAGCCACCCAGGCAGCCCTCTGGCTACCCTGGTCCAGTTGAGGGGTGGTGAGAGGAGTGCATGAGCCCAGGCAGAGTGCACCACAGAGGCTGAGCCAAGGGCAGGGCCCCCAGAGCAGGCAGGAGCTGTGGGTTCCGTCTGGCTCCACACCAGACTCACAAAGGCCTTGCAGAGACGCCGGATGGCTGGGAACTGGAAGGATGGAAATAGAGCCCAAGAGAACGTGAGGACAGTGGCGGTGGTCTCTGCATCCTCAGAGCCCAGCCAGTCCTGAGAGGGGAGTCAGACGGGTAGACGGGCAGGTGGACAGCATCCAGGGAGCTGACGTGAGCAGAGGCTGGTCCCCGCAGAGCTGTGCCAGCTCCCTCTCTGCCAGTCCTCGGCCTGACAGCCCGGGCTGGCAGGCACCTTGTGCTCAGGGTGGATGTGCGAGTGATTGGCCTCCTCCGATGGGGGCCAGTGGCATAGGGGCTGAGTTGCCAGATAAATTTGAATTTCAGATTAATGATGAATAATTTTTAGTACAATTATATCCCAAGTATTGCATTTATTTGCTAAATCTGGCATCCCTATGAAGAACGTCCCCTATGCCCCATGCCTGGCACAGAGCTGCCCCAGAGAAAGGCCCCACGCGGGCAGTGTGGACGGGCAGTGTGGACAGTGAGTTCTCATTCATGGCCTCGAGGCCCCTGGAGCCTCCAAGTGGACAGGAGCTGGTGGGATGGTAAGGAGCGAAGGCTCCTCCTGAAAACTGTAGGCTGGGATGGGGGTGGTCCTGAGCCCGGTCACCGCGCAGGAAAGTCCCCCTGACCCAGTCCCAGGGCTGAGGGTGGGGCTGCTGGGGGCCGGCTGCCACCCAGCGGCCAGAGTCGGAATGGCAGGTCGTGGCGCCCAGAGAAGATGGAGCACGTCAGCGCCCCCGCCACAAAACGGCCCATTTGGCAGGGTTAGAATTTTTACCCCACTTGAAACAAAAGGAAACTGAGGTTCAAGATCACCCCAAAACCTAAATTAATGTCGAGACCCTAGCTTGGGCACAGCCTAGTCCCCACCTCCAGCCCTCTCTCTCTCCTATTTGCAGTCACCAAGTGGGCCCCCAGGCCTGCCATGTCTTTCATGCCTGTCTTCCGCTCACCAACCTTCGATGGCTCCCTATTGCTGATAGAATGGAGCAACCCTTCCCTGTGCTGATACTCAGAGCCCTCTATGAAACAGCCCACACTTCACTGCCCAGACTTGCTACCTTTCCACCTTTCTAAGTCTCTTGTGCCCCCGCCTCCTGGAACCTCTCCCAGCCCTCATCTCTCTTGAGCTCCAGGCACCTGCCCCTGTGCCTTGTCCCCTTGATCTGCCCTGTGGCTGCTCCCCCTGTCTCCTATAGCCTTGAGCTCCTAAAGTCGAATGTCCTGGGTAGCAGGCCTCAAACATCTCTAAGCCCGTCTAACTTCATAGCTCTAAGTTTCATTATATGCACCAGTGACTCCAAAATGTATCCTTGACTTGGTAGACCCACGTCCTTAATGAGGTCCCTGCCTTCCTTCTGGAAGAAAACTCAGAAAGGGAGAGAGCTCTCCTGTTGTCTGGCGTCCTCCCCAGAGCCCACAATGGTCCCACAGTGGGTCATGCACCCAGCCCAGCCTTGCTGACTCAGGCAGGAGCAGTTGCGTCTTCTCTCTCCCACAGGAGTCCAGGAGGAGTCTGGCTCTGGACCTTCCAAGCCACCCCAGGCACTCGCTTTCAAAGGAGCTCCAAGTTTCTTGGTAGCTTCTAGTTCTCATTTATCAGAAGGAGAACTGAGGGCCTCTCTCCACCATTAAAGTCCTAAGAGGGGATTGGGACTGGAGTTTGTTCCTTGTCTACAGATGGACCTGGAACAAGTTCCTAGGGGAGCCCAGAACCCACAGATTATCTCAGAATATGCCTGTTATCTCATCACACATCGCTTAGCCCAGACTAGCCTAGAACTCACGCTTCAATACAAACCACACACTTAGCCAGCTCAGAGACACACGGTACCCCAGAATACCTGGGTTGGCTTGGAATACCTGCTAGCCCAGAGGTCAGTTCAAAACACACAAGTTAGCCCAGGTTAGTCCATAATGCATAGGTTTACTTGGTATACCCAGGATTGATTAAAACAAATAAATGATTTTTTAAAAATTTTTTAAACCCTCCCTCAAATGAAATCTTCCCCAGACCCAATGCATAAAACAGATGACATGGAGCTGCCTGGGTTGAAGGTGGATGGGGCCCAGGTAGTGGTGTGCTGCTGAATGTTCCACTCCCAGCTTCAGGAGAAAAGCTCTGGGTTGTAGCATCAGCCAATTTCTGTGGTGTAAATACTCCCTCCGCAGCCATTTCAGGTGCCAGCTGAGTCCCTGAGCTCAGAGCTGGGAAGAGATGTGCATAACGAACTCCACAAGCCAGGGAGCCAGCTCCAGCAGCCAGAGTGCCCATCCTGCGTCCTGGGCTCCTCTGGGGATCCATTCCCCAGAACCCCAAGGACCTCCAAGCTTGAGAACACAGGTCAAAGACACAGAGGCCAATCCAAGCCTGGAGCTTTCTGAAAACTGAAGGAACCCAGAAGAATGCTTCCTGACGTCCTTGGCAAGAGTGGGTAAAAGTAGGAAATAAAGTCAATGTGGAGATCGAGCCCCCAAATTTTCCACATGACTTCGACCAAGTTCTTTCTGCCCTCTGGGTCTCAGTCTCCCCATCTGTACAATGAGAGACCTAGGGCCACGAGCTTCAGGAAGCCCCACTCTGGCTGTGAGATCGGCCCCGCCTGCCTTTGTCACCTCCAGCCCTGCCCTGGCCTGGACTGGCACCCATCCCTGACAGAGCCCCGGGTGCTGAGTCACTCTGCCTCAACCCCTCATGTACCTGTTCCCAGCCAGCTGTCATCCGAGGAGTCTACAAAGTTAATTCACATGGGGGCATGTGTCCTCTGACCAGGGGGCTGAGTCCTGATGGTGCAGATGCAGCATCCTGCACAGAGCCTGGCTCCATAAACACGCTATGCCTGAATGACATGGCAGGCGGCTCCTCGCAGCAACCAAGAGCATTGGAAGAGCCCAATCAACACTTTTTTAATACTTAAAAAGAAAAATTGGCCAGCCGTGGTGGCTCACACCTGTAATCCCAGCACTTTGGGAGGCTGAGGCAGGCGGATCACCTGAGGTCAGGAGTTCAAGACCAGCCTAACCAACATGGAGAAACCCTGTCTCTACTAAAAATACAAAATTAGCTGGGCATGGTGGCCCATGCCTGTAATCCCAGCTACTCGGGGGGCTGAGGCTGGAGAATCTCTTGAACCCAGGAGGCAAAGGTTGTGGTGAGCCGAGATCAAGCCATTGCACTCTAGCCTAGGCAACAAGAGCAAAACTCCGTCTCCAAAAAAAAAAAAAAAATTTAGGCCAGGCACAGTGGCTCTCACCTGCAGTCCCAGCTACTCAGAAGGCTGAGGTGGGAGGATTGCTTGAGCCAGGGAGGTTGAGGCTACAGTGAGCTGTGATTGCAGCCCCACACTCCAGCCTGGGCAGCAGAGTGGGACCCAGTCTCTAAAAACCTAAAAAATATATTTTAAATAAATTTTTTTAAAATGTAAATTAAACTTAGATGTAGGTCAAAGTTTCTGTGAGGCGGGCCAAATTAGCTCTGAAGATCTACTGTATGACATGGTGATTATAGTGAATAATAATACATCAGATACTTGAAAATTGCTAAGACAGTAGATGTTAAATGTTCCACCACCAAAACAAAAAAAAAAGATAACTATGTGAGGTGATGGATATGTTCATTAGCTTGACTGCAGTAGTCATTTCACAATGTACACACATATCAAAACATCCCATTGTACGGAATAAATATATACAATTTTATTTTTCAATTATAGCTCAATAAAGAAAAAAATTATTCACGAAATATTTTGAACATTCAAAAAAGAACATTTAGCCACTACCTGGACTGAACTGATGTTAACACTCGGCCAGGCTTCCCCCACTGGGGCATGCCAGTCCCTCCTCTGAGCATGCTGAATGTCCCTCTCCCAGGGCCCATGGGACTGCCACAGGGCAGGTGACCACATTCCCTGTCGCAAGCAGGGCCTTGGGAAGACAGGAGCAGCTTCTCTGTACGTCTGCACTGTCTCCTGTCACAGCCTCATCTGATGGCTCATTTACCCTTATAACTGCCCGGTGAGACAGGTGAAGATTTATTTTCTCTATTGTACAGAAGAAGAAACTGAGGTGCAGAGGATGAGGGATTCATCTGAGAGCACATGGCACACAGGAGGCCGTCAGTACTAGACCCAGTTCTGTCCCTGAAACAAGTGTTCTCTTCCCGATCGGCCCCTTGGCTTCCATCTCAGCTCCCCTCTCCTCTGGGCCTCAGGAGGGGCTGTTATTAACCATGCCATGTCAGTAAGTGGCAATTGGGACTGTCTCAGGCAAACTGGGCCACACCTCGACCCTACCTTCGAAAGTCCACAAGAGCTGATCGAGCTCCAGCATCACCTGAGACACGGGGCAGATGTGAAAGAGAAGACACCGTCCCTGCCCACAAGGTGTATGCAGAAGCCAAGATGCGTTCTTTCACGGCATTGAACGGGCTATATGCACCAGTGCCTCCAAAGCCAGGGAATATCAACCAGGGCTGTGAGCAGAAGGGCTGACTTTCTAGAGGAGGTGGGGTTTGATTGGGGTCTTGAAAAGCAATCCCTGATGAAGGAGAGAAGAGGGTGAGGTCCCTCCTGGCAGAGGGAACCCTACATTCGGAGGCTGAGGCTCAGTGAGCTTTCAGACAGGGTGAGGGATTTTGAGAGGTTAGGAAAGTAGGTAATAAAGACAGAGAAGCACATCACCCATGCATATATCCCAAAATGACTCAAATCCAGAATATGTAAAAAAAAAGAATGAGAAAAAAAAACTCAAATCAAGAACAAAATAGGCAATTCAATTTTTAACTTTGGCAAAAAACTTCAATAGACCATCTACAAAAGATAATACCCAGATGTCCACTTAATATGTGAAAAGTTGTCAACATTATCAATCATTAGGGAAATGCAAATTAAAACCACAATGAAATACCATTATACTCCCACCAAAAAAGCTAAAATTAAAAAGAAATGATAATTCTGAATTTTGGCAAGAGCTTGGAGCTAGCTACCAGAACTCTTGCACTGCTGGCGGGAGTGTTAATTGCTTCAACCACTTGGGAAATGATTTGGCAATATTTGCTGAAGCTAAGCACATGCCTGCATATGATCCAGCAATTCCAGCCATAGGTATTTGCCCAAGAGAAATGAAAGCAAGTGACTGCCAAATGACATGCACAAAAATCTTCCTCAAAGCTTTATTTGTAATAACCCAAAACTGAAAACAACTCTAATGCCCATCTATTGTAGAATAAATAAACAAATCATGGTACATTCATTCAATGAAATACTATGCAGCAATGACAAAGAAGAAATTACGGATACATGCAACCATATGTTTGGATCTCACAGTGGGAATGCTGAAGGAAAGAAGGCAGACAGAAGTGAGCGTGTGCTAAATGGGTCCATGCATATGAAGCTCAAGGTTAGATGAAATTAACCCTGGGGATCCAAGCCTCAATAGTGGTTACCTCTGGGCAGGTTACTGACTGGAAAAGGCACAATCAAACTCCTGGGCTGTTGCAATTGTTCTATATCTTGATCTATGAGCCTTTTACATGGCTGTATACACGTGTGAAAGTCCGTCAAGTGTGTATATATATATGTATGTATTTTGAATGTGAGCAGTTTATACTAAGAAATACCCCCAATAAAGTGGGGTTTTTTTTTTCTATCCCTCCAGGTGGAGGCAGAGACTGGAGTGGAGAGGGTGAGGGAAGCAGCATAACCACTTGGGAGGCTTTTGCAACATGAAGAAGGGAGAGTGAGTAAACCATCGGGAAACAGGTGCCAGGTGTGGGCGGGGCCAGTCATGCTGTGGGAGGCCAGTGGAAGGTGGCAGCAGCATGGGCAGGTGGTGGGGGAGGTGCTGGGAGGAGGAAGAGGAGCTCCACTGGAGCAGGCTGGGCAGGACTCCCCTGGGGCACTGAAGCATTTCAACACGCCCAGGTACCATCTAGAACGGGCTTCTGGGATCCCATTCCAATACTCTGAGCAGCTTCACATGGGGTGAACTCCCCACCACAGAGGAGTTCAACAAGAATAGTCAGCCCCATTTGTTGAGTCCTTCTGAGGCCCATGGTAGACCCTGCACTGCCACAGAGGTCAGAATGGGGAGTGCTCATCAAGCCTATGAAGCAGGCCTTATTCTTTTTTTTTTTTTTGAAATGGAGTCTCGCTCTTTTGCCCGGCTGGAGTGCAGTGGCGCGATCTTGGCTCACTGCAACCTCTACCTCCTGGGTCCAAGCAATTATCCTGTCTCAGCCTCCTGAGTAGCTGGGATTACAGGTGCCTGCCACCACACCTGGCTAATATTTGTATTTTTAGTAGAGACAGGGTTTCACCATGTTAGCCAGGCTGGTCTCGAACTCCTGACCTCAGTCAATCCGCCCACTTCGGCCTCCCAAAGTGCTGGGATTACAGACGTGAGCCACTGCGCCCCACCAGACCTTATTCTTCCTATTTTGCAGATGAGCAAACTGAGGCTCTGAGAGCTGAGTCGTGGTGTTAGGACTCCAGGCTGTCAACTCACCCTATCGGTGACCATGTCACACTAGGGGTGGATGACCACTTGTGAGGAACAACGTGGCAGGGATGCAGGAGGGTGGGGCCCACTGGGCTGGATGGCGCTGGGAGAATGGGCTCGGGAATCTGTAACCTCTCAGGGCTCCCAGGAGTCCTGGTGCTCCTCCAGGTCTCCTGGGAACAGGCAGGTTGGATAACTGTGGCAATAACTCCGCACCTGGATGTGGGACAGAGGGAGCCCCGCAAGATGTCAGGCACTGTCCTCAGCCGTCACTGTCCCCGCCCCTCAGTCCACATTTTACAGATGGGGCAGTGGAAGCTCAGAGAGGCCAGCCAGAGAATGGCAAGGGCCCCAGCCTTGCAGACCCAAGCCCAGCTGATCACATTCACCTCCACACCTCCCCCAGGCCCAGAGGGCTGGAGGGGCTTGCCTCCCTGGGGAAGGGCAGGGAGGACCAATTCTGAGAGACCCAGAGTGTGAAAGAGGGAAGAGAGAAAGAAATGGAGAGGCAACAAAACCGAGAAAAGCAGAAACCAGGTAGGGCAGGGCTGGTGAGAGGAGGGATGACAGGGAGCGCCCAGAAAGAGGCCGGGCGGGGGCGGTGAGGCGGGAGGCAGTGGTGAGAGGCGGGAGACAGAGCAGATGTTCACCAGCAGCTGTGAACTCCCAGACAAACACAGCTAACACAGACCTGCGGGGCGCGTCCCTGCCACCGTCAGCTCCCACCCGTCTCTTCCTCCCTTCCCCTCACTGCCTGCTGCCCCTCTGCCCCCCGGAGGCCCAGCAAGCTGATTTTGCCCACCTTGATCCAGGTGCCTAGGGCTGTAAATGGGAGGAGGATCAGCAGAGAGAGGGCCAGGCTCCCCCAGGGAGACCCCTACCCGGACTGTGTGGCCTTGGGCCTCAGTGTTCTCATCTTGGGCAGTGGGCCTCCAAGGACCCCGTCAGCCGTCAGGCTCTGAGCCACAAGGCATTGTCCCCTGCACCCAGCCCCAAGCCTGCAAAGATGCTCCACCCCTTTCACCCAGCCTCCTGGCTCCGGAGGGAAGCATGGCCAACTGTGCGACACTGACCTGGGCCTGGGTCTTCCTCAACAATGGAAGGGGCCAAAGAATGCCTGCAGCCTCTCCGTCACCCAGGCTCCGTTCCTGCAGCCTCTCCGTCACCCAGGCTCCGTTCCTGCAGCCTCTCCGTCACCCAGGCTCCATTCCTGCAGCCCCTCCGTCGCCCGGGCTCCGTTCCTGCAGCCCCTCCGTCGCCCGGGCTCCGTTCCTGCAGCCCCTCCGTCGCCCGGGCTCCGTTCCTGCAGCCCCTCCGTCGCCCGGGCTCCGTTCCTGCAGCCCCTCCGTCGCCCGGGCTCCGTTCCTGCAGCCCCTCCGTCGCCCGGGCTCCGTTCCTGCAGCCCCTCCGTCGCCCGGGCTCCGTTCCTGCAGCCTCTCCGTCGCCCGGGCTCCGTTCCTGCTGCTTCTCTGTCGCCCGGGCTCCGTTCCTGCTGCCTCTCCATTACCCAGGCTGCGTACCTACAGCCTCTCTGTCACCCAGGCTCCATTCCTCCGGGTCAGACATCTCCTTGGGGCTCTGGGGAAGGGGACCTTACAACTGACTGGAGAGGTAGCATCAGGGGCAGATACCAGGGGAGATCCAGCAACATCATCCTCACCTCTCCTAGCACTAGTTCAGCTCAAACCAAGCTCTGTATTTAAGGGCTGAGTGACCTGAGGCAGGTCATTCAACGTCTGAGTTGCTCATCTCTAAGGGGTGGGTGGGGGACGAGGTTACTGTTTTGTAGAGCTGGTGTGAGGATCGGCTGACCCTGTAGGGGTGAGAATCCTGCCCAGCCCAGTGCCCAGCCTTCCCTGGCATAAGAACATCTCCCCATGAAAGAGGAAAGGTGACTAGCAGGCTAGAAGGGAGCTTGGATAGTGCTGACTCCATCCCCTTACCCACAACCAGAAAGAGCAGCCCGGAGACAGCAGCCGGGAGGCAGAGCAGCAGAGTCAGGGCTAGGACGGGACAGTTACCCCAGGTCTCTGTCTCCCAGGCCAGCACTCCCTGGTTTGGGAGGGAGTGGGGCACACAGCGGTCACCTACAGTCACTCCTGCCTATTTTGCAGACGCAGCAAATGCCTGCTCTATGGTGGCATCTGGAGATGCCAGGCAAGAGTGGGCACGGTAAAGTACACCATGGGCCTCCGGAACTTCGGCTCTGTTGTTGAGGACAAAAGAGCAGCCTTCCCAGAGCACTGGGCAGGGCACTCGCAGGAGTGGGAACAGCTGGGGTGGGCCCCGGACTGGTGGGGCCAGAGAGAGGGGGCGGGGCAGACTGAGAACCACGGCTCCCAAGACCCTCTGCCTGCTGTCCACTGAGGCCCTCTCTCCCTGGCAGAGGCACTGGGCTATGATTAAGCCATCACTGCCACTGTGATGGCACTTCTGATAGAATCCAAGAGGGATGGAGGAACAAAGTTCACGGGAATCACAGGTCCTTAAATCAGGCTGCCTCCACAGTCAGCGGCCTCCATGGGTCTTTAATGCTAGCCAGCCAGGTGCCCTGTGGATGCTCCTCAGGCTGAGGAGGGGGGCACTGTTTACAGCCCCTGCTTAATTAAATCAATAAACCACCAATGCAAATCTGTCAGAGGGCCAGCTCTTTACAATGCACCATGCGGAGGGGAGGCTGGATTAACAGCTGCTGCAAGAGGACAAGAGGAGGGGAGACGGAGAGACTGAGGAGGAAGAGGAGGGAGAGGAGGAGGGCCAATCTGGGAGCGGGGCTCAGAAGAAGTTGAGTGTCCAGGCCCCCAGACTCCCTCTCTGGACTACATCACAACCCATCCCTGCAACACCTAGAAGCGTACCATTTCCTCTTTCAGGGGCTCCTTTCCCCCTCCTGCCAACATGGCTGCAGGAAAGGCTCTGCTATCAGTCATTTACACTACAGTGAGAACTTGAGGCTAGGTGAGACTGCAGAGATTCAGTGCCATGCTGGCCCAGGGAAGGCTACTGGAGCATCCAGCCAGGTCTCCTTTCCAGTGTTTTCGGGCCTGAGCAGGATGGAGCTCCAGCAAGGACCCAGATACACGGCCACAGCTCTCCCTCTGTTCTGCATTCTGGGAAGACTGGGGGAGAACTGGTTGTCAGGAAGCCTGTCCATTAAGGGAAGCTGTGTGGTCTGGGACCAGCCCCTGACCTTCTCTGGGACTCATTTTCTCCGTCTGGATCACCAGGGGCTCAGAATCTGCAACCTGTAAGTGACTTTCTAGCTCAGACACTCTCTGCATTGGGCTCCCCTAAGGGGAGAAGCATCTCCTTGATAAGCCTGGGGCCCAACCTGAGCCAGGGTCATGGCCAGCCCATGTTTGGGGCCAGAGTCACTACAGCCACTGGCAACCTGCTGGATGGGACCTGGGGTCCAGCCATGAACCCCTTGCTCCCTCCATGTTCCCATCTGTAAAATGGGAATAATGAAAGGCATGGATACCCCACATGGGAGTAAAGTGCACTAATGAATGCTCTCAGAGCCTCGGATGAAAAAAGGAGGAGCCTCTGCAGGGCCGGGGGCATGGGGAGGCAGCATCGGGACCCCTGCTCCACCTGGACTGCCAGACACCCTTCAGGCATGGAAGCTACACTTTGACCGCCAGTCTCTCATAGAGCCTTCCCAGTACTCCCTCTGGGGCCGTGAGAAAATGCCTTCCCCTTCCGAGCCCCAGGTCCCTTCCCTGTAAATGGCTCTGAAACTCTATGACTCAGTTTCCCCATGGAAAGTGACAGCATCTTATGCTCTGCCCCTCCATCTGACTCAGGTCTACGGAGCCTTATGTGTGCCCAGCGTGATGAGGGGCACAGAGGAAGCATGAGGCTGGGCGCCTGCCGTCAGGGGACTACGTATCCCCTGAGCAGACAGGGGGTAAAGAGATGAGAGAAGTTTTGCGTGCACAAAGGGTATGAACAATGGCCACATGGCCCAGAAGCCTCAGCAAGGAAAGTAAACATAAGCCACCCCAGCCTCCCTCTCCCTGACCCGGATAGACATCGCCCATCCATGCTACTCTTTCCGGCTGAGCCTGAATGCGGCCTCTGTCAGGTGCTCCAGGCAGCAACCAGCCTGATCACCAAAGTTAGCAAGCAAAAGCTGCTCACCTGCTCTCAGAGGTCTAAGGGTTATGCTAGGACAACCACAGGAGGCTTCCTGGAGGGAGAAGTCTTCACCTAGGCCTTGAAAGAAGAATCCAGATAGAGGGGAAAGAAGAATGTGTTCCAGGTGGCAGGAGCAGTGTGCATACATCTGGGGGATAAATTGGCACAGCACACTCAGGGACAGTGGGATCTGCTGAGATCCCACTGAGAGATGGTCAAGAGAGTAGGAGGCAGAGTGGGAGGTCGGGGGGTACCAAAACTCAGATGCCAGTTCCACTGGGGCGGTAGGTGCCTCTCCCCAATCCAGTTGATGGGACCTGTCAGCCTTCACCTTCTGCACCCACTCACCAGGCTGGGGAGGTCCTGGAGGGGTCTGGGGGTGAGTGAGGTGGTGCTGGCCATGGCTGTCCACCTCCTATGTGACAAGGAAATCGGCAACTTTGTTAAAATGACATGTTGCCGTCCGTTCTCAGAGTTGCAGGGTGGGTGCCCAGGATGCACAAACCATGTCCACTAGCCCAGCTCCCTGGGTGATTTACGGTGGTGGCCAGCCCAGTCTAGCCACTGACCCAGGGGCAGCCCACAGGGAGAGGTGTCCTCCAGTACTCACACCAGAGACCAAATGCAGAGCAGCCAGCTTAGACGCCAGCCCTTGCCAGGGGTTTCTGGAGCCTTAGGGTGCAGGAGATAGACAGGCCAAGGGCAGGTGGACCACCCAGCCCCTCTCCCTTCCCAACTGACTTCTGGGCAGAAGTTGGGGCCCCTCTCTGTAAGACCTGCAAATTACACCCACCCCTCCCATCTCTCCCCACTCACACTTTCCTTCAGAACCTATCTTAGCTTTCACTTCTGTCAGGGAGCCCACCAGGATTTACCCCTAAGACTCAACCAACTGCGAAAAGTGGCAGGAGACTTGTTCGTAATTCAGACCCAATGCTCATATGATGTGGGACTCGGGCAAGCCACCCCTCTACCCAGGCCTTGGTCTCCCCACCTGTCACTGAGGGAGTCAGACAAGCGGGTGTCTAAAGAACGTTTCCACTATTTCCGGATGGAAGAGTCTGGTTGCCTGGCTGGTCTAGGGCCACTGGGTCATCTAGAATCCATCACCCGGTCCTGTGGCAATCAGTGCGTGGCCCGGGTGCTGACCAGCAACCTGAGGCGGGTGAAAGGCCCAGAACCTCAGACACCACTGCCAGAGGAGCCTTCAATGACCATCACTCTCCCAAACCTCATCTTTCCCAGGTAGGCAATGGAGGCCCAGAGAGGGTGAGGACTTGTCCAAGGCCACACAGCAGCCACCCACAGCTGGGACTCACACCTTAGTCAGTGCTTGCTTGGTGATGTGGCTCACGGGTGCAAAGGCTCTTCTTGCTGTTCTATCTCTACCCCTCACTGGGAGCCCCCTCTGGAGGGACTTCACTGTGTCCTGATTGGGAAGGACACAGAAGAAACAGAAGAAATGGTCCCCGCCTGCCAAGAGCCTGCTGTAGAGGTGGGAGGAGGGATTCTGGTGGCAACGGGAGCCAGAGAGAGCAGCCCTCCCCGCTAACTTCCCACCCCACTGCCTGCCATTGCCCCAGAGAGAAGTGATGCTTTAGGTTAAAATTGCCCCTTTAGGGGAAACTACAAAGTTATTTCCTGGCATTTCAGTATAAATGAATCTATCAAAAGTCCTTTTCTGAGACTGAAGGGGCTTGAAGTCAACTAAGGGACCCAAAGAGAAATGACCCTGCTTCCTCTGGGGGAGCAAAGTTCTCCCCACAGGCAGCGCTGTGGTCTCATGCTGGCTTACAGCTTATACCTGCATGCACACACACACCCCACAGCCAAGGCCAGAGTGGCAGCACCAACCTAGTGAAGACCTTCCCACTCTCACAGCAGGCTTTCTTAGGGGATGCGGGAGCCACCTGGCCCTAGAGGCACTCAAGCTAAGGCAGTGGAATGAGGCAGAGTGGACTTGTCCACCCCAGAGAGACTAAAAAACTTGACCATTCGCCCTCCTCCTCCTCCATTCACCTCAAGCCCTGCTGGCCTGAAATACAAGTCCACAGATGTCCCTTCCCTGCCCTGCTTTCAGCCCCTCCACTGGGGCACTGGCATTTGGAGGTGTTCTCTGAACGGCTCATCACCAAGCTCCAGGATTTCCAGAGCCCCCATGGATCAGGCCACAGCCAACTCTGCTGCTGGCCCTGGGCTGCAGGACTCCAGGGAAGCACTCACAGGGGTCACGAGTGGACATGGCCTTTGACCAGGAAAAAGACAGCCTGAAAGGTCCTCACCCAAAAGGAAGTCCCCCCACCTGCCCTGTGGAGAGGTGCTCAGGCAGCGCACAGGGGACCTGGCCTGCAAACTGTACCCCCAGAATCTCCCTCTCTCTCTCTCCCTCTCTCTCTCTCTCTGTCTCCCTCTCTCTCTCCATTTCCTGAGCTTGCACACTTCCTCTCCTGGCTCTCTGCCTCTCTAACTGTCTGGATTTCTCTCCATCTTTTTGTTTATTTGATTCATTCTCTGCCAGTCGCTTGGTGTCTCTCCCTCCGGGTCTGTCTGTATCTCTGACCTCCTCTCTTTCCGCCTCTACTCCTCTTTCTCTCTCTCTGTCTCTTCTTTCCCTCATTCACCCCCACCCCCACTCCACCACCTCCCATCTCCTCTCTCTCTCCCCACAACTCCCAGCCCTGCAGAGTTTCTCACTCTGGAAGCCAGTGCTGAATCGGTATTTCTGAGCTCCACTGCGAGCTGACAGGAATTCACTGTCTCCCCAGCAGACCCCTCCCAGAAAGCCTCCTCCACTATTTCCCCACAGTTCCACTTCTGGATTTGAAACATCTCCTGGGTGCTCAGCCCTGAGCCAGACCCTAAGGCAGGGAGGGAAGGGGAGGCAGCTTAGATGGTTGGGAAGAGCCGCTGGGCCAGGTACCATCCCGAGCACTTTCCATACATTAGCCGGGTCTTCCTCACATATCCAAGATGGGTTTCAACTTCCCCATTTTACATGCAAAGAAACTGATTCACAAAGATGTGAGGAGGCCACCCCAGCCACACTGCGGCTCAAACCCAGGTCTGTCTAACTCAAAAGCCCATGCACTTTCTTACCTCCACCTCATGGGCTGAGAAAGCCAGCCACCTGGGCCAGGTGCAGCCAGGATTCAAACCTCCAGCCCTCAAGGTGCATTCAGGCTGGTTCTGAGGCAGGAGATGCTCGTGAAGCAAAGACCACGGTGGGGACTATGCTACACTAAGGGCCAAGCAAGAAGCCCAGGCCCAGGGCAGGCTATTTAGGCTGGGGTCATGGAAACCTTCGAAGAGATATGGTTTGGCTGTGTCCCCACCCAAATCTCATCTTGAATTGTAGCTCCCATAATCCCCATGTGTGGTGGGAGGGACCCGGTGGGAGGTAATTAAATCATGGGGGCAGTTTCCCCCATGCTATTCTCGTGATAGCGAGTGAGTTCTCACGAGATCTGATGGTTTTATAAGGGGCTTCCTCCTTCACTCAGCTCTCATTCTGCTTGCTGTCGCCATGTGAAGAAGGGCATGTTTGCTTCCTTTTCCGTCATGATTGTAAGTTTCCTGAGGCCTCCCCAGCCATGCTGAACTGTGAGTCAATTAAACCTCTTTCCTTTATAAATTACCCCGTCTCAGGTATGTGTTTATTAACAGCGTGACAACAGACTAATACATGGGTCAAGAGGAGAAGGTCCCCCAGGAGGGCAAGGGAGTGAGTGAAAGCCTGAGGTGGGCCTAGGAGAACCAGGAGAGGCAGTTGAGCCAGGCTGAGGAGGCCCCAGCAATGTCAGTGGAGGGGTTTGGTCTGCAGGCTGGGGAGGCAGATGCTGAGACCCATTGCCCTCCCCTCAGAGGTCTGGGCTGCATATGGATGGCCCTTGGAGGCAGTGACCTCTGATTTGATTTGAGGTCACAGGAAATCACCCAGCCAGGTGAGAAGAGACCAGGAAGGACCATCATACAACCATGGTCCTGACTAGCTTGCTTCAGACCTACTGTGTGACTTCAGACAAGTTACTTACCCTCTCTGTACCTCTCTGTAGATTTAAGTGGTGGAGCCTGATAGAGTCTGAAGGCCCTCCTGCCCTGACATCCTTTCAATCCCACAAAGGGCCAGGAGGCTCTGGGAGAAGATGATCCAGATAAACCGAGATGGAGCTTTGGCCAGCAGGGATCTCAGGCAGGGGCCTAGACGAGCACACATTTGCCAACGGGGAGACCAAGGGCTGTGAGTGAAGCTGAGTCAGGCCCAAGGCTGTGTGGGAACTGAAGCCTTCCAAGCACTGCCCCCAAAAGCTCCTTCAAAGGCTGGACTTGGGGGTGCTGCCATGGGGGGGGTTCCACCTGTCTCCAGGCAGCATCTCCTGCCAGACATACCTGCCAGGGCTATGGGTGGTGCTGGGGCCCCTTGGCTCTCGGCAGGACTGTTCCTTCCTCAGGCTTAGTCATCTGGGGGTCCTCCAAGAAATATCTCTGAAGGATAAAGGGGGTACAGAGCAGGAATAGGCAGGAGAGCCTTCGGACCCTGGCATCCAGCTGTCACAGCTGCAAGGATGGGGGCAGAAAGGGAATTGGAAGAGCCTCAGCCAGCACCGCTCTAGGGATGCCTCAGCCAGGTGAGGCAGAGACCCAGGCAAAGACTCCCCCCGGAGGAGTCCCACATCTGCAAATGACCTCGCTGGCTCAGCCTCCAGCAGGGGCAGTCCGGGGAGAGGAAGTGTTGGGAGTGAGTACCACAGCGGCGCCTGCAGGTGCGGCAGCTGGGATGGTCAGTCACGTCCCTTGGGGTAGCTTCTCCTGAAGGGAGGCCTGAGAGGTGTCCTTCTGCGGCAGCCACTCTGACCTCTTGGGGCCAGAGTCCTTCCAGGTTGAACAGGTCTACCCCACATGCTGTGGGAGCACACCCAGGAATGTGAGCCTCCTCCAACACACTTAGCCCCGCTGAGGCAGCCCTGGCACAGCTCAGCAGCCTCATCTCCTCTCCAGGGACAGGCCCCAAGGCAGTGTTGCTGAAGGGCTGGGTGGCCTGGCCTTGAAGAGGACATGGGGTTCCCGGACCTGCCCCTAGCCTCAGGCACACCATCCTGCAGACCCCAGAAGGAGCCCCGAGACTCACCGCAGTGGACCGCAAGCAGTAGCCCACTCAGGGTCTCTGGTCAGCCCAGATCTCCCCAGCCTCAGCCTCCTGCGCCACATCTGCTGATGGCTCCCTCCTTAGGGAGTGGCACTGTCTGGATGTTGGGTCCCTCTAAATCTCACTGGAAATTTGATTCCCAGTGTGGGAAGTGGGGTCTGGTGGGAAGTGCTTGGATCATGGAGGCAGACCCCTCATGAATGGCTTAGTGCCATCCCCTTGGTGATGAGCGAGCTCTTGCTCAGTGAGTTCACCTGAGCCTGGTTGTTTAAGAGTCTGGGACCTCCCCTCTCTCTCGCTCCTGCTCTCACCCTATGATGCGCCTACTCCCCCTTTGCCTGCCATCATGACTGGAAGCTTCCTGAGGCCTCACCAGGAGCAGATGCCTGCACCATGCATCCTGTACAGCCTGCAGAACCGTGAGCCAATTAAACCTCTTTTCTTTATAAATTATCTAGTCTCAGGCATTTCTTTATAGAAAACAAAACGGCCTAACACAGGTAACACCCACCTGAGGTGAGGGGTAGCAGCAGGAGCACAGAGTCCCCCTGTCCCCACCCAGCTCTGGATGTTCTCCGCCCATAAGTCATCAAAGAGGGAGTGGGGGTGGAGGGATTGAGACTGTCTGGAGGTGGGTGGACAGAGGTGTTTAGCTGAACAACGGCCGCAGACATTCAGCTGTTCCTGACATAGCCCTCACCCATCAGCAAGAACATCTGCTGAGGTGGCTGGAGCCATCCCAGAATGGAAGGGATGGAAGGAGGCGAGAACCTGTGACTGAGGCCTTCAGTGTACACTGGGGGCATGTTGTCCTGGAAGCCAGCGGCCAACTCCACGTGTGCTCAGGACCCTTGGGTGGTTCCCAAGCTGCCGTCCATGCCTCATTTCACTTAACAACATTTGTTAAGTGCCTGGCCTGAGCCAGGGACTGATTGGAGCTCAGGGGATGTGACGGTGAAAGCCCAGATGTGGCCTCGGCCCTGCAGCAGATGCATTCTCAGCAAGGCCCACCTGCCTGTGCCATGGGCTCTCATGGAGGGTACCCAGCAGGGTGGGCCTGGCTGAGAAGCGATGGGGTAGTGGAGGGGGATGGGAGCCTAGAGGCTGGGACTGTGATCTCAGAAAGACATGGGGGTGCCCTGAGGTAGGTCATTTGAGAGAAACAGGCTAGTCTGAGAGGAGCTTTGGAGGCAGAGTTGGCAGGATGTGATGACCAAATGTTCAGGATGATGGGGTGACATGAGGACAATTCCCAAGTCTCCGGCTTCAGCAACGAGGAACCCTGGCTGTGCACTTAGTGACACTAAGCTACTTAACCCTGCTGTGTCTCAGGCTCCTCACCTCTAAGTCAGTAATACTACCTATTGCACAGGTTGGTTTTGAGGGTTAAATGTGTACGTGTAATGTGGGTGTAATGTGGGTTAAATGTGTATGTGTAAAGGGTTAAATGTGTATGTGTAAATTGATTAGAACAGTATCTAGCACCATGAAAGCCCTCAATAAACATAGGTTATTATTATCATCATTGTTGTCATGAGGAGAAGGAGGTGAAATGAATGGGTAAGTGAGTGTGTGGATGGATGGATGGATGGATGGATGGATGGATGGATGGAACATTACACTATGGTGGATGTAACGATGGAAGGAAGGAAGGAAGGAAGAAGGAAGGAAGGAAGAAGGAAGGAAGGAAGGAAGATGGATGGAAAGATGGGTGGAATGAAGGAAGCATTCATCGCCAATTAGAAAACCTTAGAAGACAAAGGACAGAGAATGAGTTTTGTTTGGGACATGTTGCATTTTGAGTGCCCCCACAAGGCATCCCATCAAAAGTGTCTAGGGGCAGCTGATAGCACAGGCCTGAAGTCCAGGAGCACGTTCTGGGCTGGGAACTTAGGACTATGACCAGCCATAGGACAGGGGAAGCCATAGAGTGGGGCAGGGCGGCGGGGCAGACGGTGGACTGGGAAGAGGGCAGACGGCATCCCAGCAGAACAGCCAGGACTCTTTCAGTGTCAAATAACAAACTCCAAATGGCTGAAGGGAAAAAAACCTCAGCTCATGGAACCGAAACATCAAAATCAGGGAACGCTGGGTCCAAGTGCTCAGTTGAGAGCTTGGGAGTCTCTCCTTCTCCTTCCGTCACTCAGCTCCGCTCTCCTCCCTGTTAGCCTCTTCCTCAGGCAGTCTCTCCCTGCAGTGGCCAAGACACCCAGGCAGCTCCAAGCTGACGTCTCACCACATAAGCAAGAGGAAAGACCCCTTTTCCTATCTGGCAGAAACCTAGGCTGGGCTCACCCTGGCCAGGCCTGGACACAGGACATCTCTGAAGCCAGGAGGTGGATCAGCCCCACCCAAACAATGGGGCGAGTGGGTGGGGAGGGAGTCCGAGGAAAATCTAGGTGTTGGCAGTCAAAGAAGGTGGAAGCATGCTGGGCAGGCACCCCCACAGCTGCCCACTTCACCAGCCAGCACCAGCGTTAATGGGGGAAGGGAGTGTCCCCCACAAACGCACGCCTGGCAGGGTGTGAACTCCAGGAAAAGGTCAGGTTTCCAGAAAAAGGGAGAGGTCACCTGTGTCAGCCACCACTAGCTGTCAGGAGGGATTGTGGCAAGAGCAAGTGCTCCGACCAACTGCTGCCACTGCTGCCACTGAAGAGAAGCCATGGGGACAGGGATGGGGCCTGCGAGGGTCCCCTGGGAGAGGCAGCAGAAACAGAAGCAGATGAGGGGCCTGGGCAGAAGAGTCCAGAGGCAGAGAGAGGAGGAGAGGAGCAGGCAAGGAGGCAGGCAGGACAGAAGGGCTGTGAGGAGCCTGGGGAGGTCAGATGGCGAGGAAGACCCCCAGAGGAGGACCCAGAAAGGACATGAGACCAGGGAGGAGGACAGAGGAAAAAAACACCAACCGACCTCCCTTCCTCCACCTCCCCCAAAGCCAAAAGTTAAAAATAGGCAGTGTGGCGAGCGGGAGACAGAATGAGGGCAGTTGTCTAAAGAGAGAAAAGGCAGCGGAGCCGGGGATGGGGGAAAGGCCCTGCAGGCCTCGGCGAGGATAAAAAATGACAGCGGCAAGGCACAGCCTCTCTCCCACCCAGACAGCCTCCCTGCCACCCATGGGTCGGCCTGCTGGGCTGAGGATCATCCCGCAGCTCAGCCTGGGCCCTGTGGAAGGGCTGCAGAATAATAACCCCACCCAAGGCCGCACATGGCTGGCTCCCTGCACCCAGGATCTGGGCACTCCCACCTGGCAGGGTGGGGACAGATGAGAAATAGAGGCTCAGAGAGTCCACGACATGCTACTGACTCCTGGGCACCGCCAAGAGGTTGTGGCCACAGAGACGACCCACCGTGGGATTCCCCAGGCTTGGGGTTAAAGTACAATGGGCACCTCCCTGTGCCGACACCAAGCTTCCAGCAGGACAGAGAAGAAAGGGGGAGTGGGCAAGTCAGAAGGTGATTTGAAGTCACACATCCCGTAATGCCTCCCCACCTTCCTGCACTGACAGCCCTGGTGGGGTAACTGAGGCCCAGAGAGGGAACGCTATCTGCCCAGGTGCTCAGGACAGCGAGCAGCAGAAGTGGGCACTGAGAACCAGGAGAACCTTTGGTTCCCAGCCGCACCCATCCTTACCTGGCTGGGTGTCCAGGCTAGACACCTCCTTCCTGGGGCTCCAGCTCTCATCATCCCCTGCCCTTCCTGCCTCCCTTCTGGGCACATCCACGGAAGAACTAATTCGTGGTTGGTTTGTAGAGGCAAAACCCCACATAAACATACACAGAGCGTTATGAGCTAAGAGGAAGCCCTGCTTGGAGCCGCCGTGTGCTGACATGGCTGCTCTCCATGCCCAGCTTCGGGGGGTCATTACTTTTGTCAGCAGACAGCATGATTATTGGATGGTGTTAATAATCTCTTATGTTTATAGATGGCCTTTCTTCTAAGGTTCTTAAAGCTCTTCCACATTTAACTTCCCCTTGTTGCCAGGAGGTCGATACCACAGCAGAGAGAAGCATTTATCTCCATGTTTTTATGAGGCCCAGAGAGGGTTGGCCATCTGCCCAGGGCTACACAGCAGATCAGCAACATAACTGGAATTAGTATTCTGGGGCCCAGGAAGGACCACCTTCTGGACATTCTCTCTGGCCATCTCAGGACAGGCCCACCCTTACACTTGTCCAGGGTTTTTATCCAGGTTTGACTCCATTTGATGAGGCAGGGCTGTTGGAATTATCACCACTGTGCAGGCTCAGAGAAGTGAAGTGACTTACCGAAGATCACACAGCAATGAGCAGATTGAGGACTCAAATCCAGGTCTCTGGACTCCCCATCCAGTGCTCTAACCAGGGCAGCAGCTACCCCCAACCACCCCAAAGCTGAGTTGGAGAGGCTCCAGAAGGAGCACTGAGGTGAGCCCAGTACCTAACAGGAGGAGGGAGACTTTGTCCTGTTACACCTGCCTGCAGGGAAATGGGGATGGGGCAGAGCCAAGGCCACTGTCCTCTGGGATCCCAGGCTGGGGCAGCCACGGTGGCCATCTCTCTCCCTTGGCCCACAGGTGGTTGGAAAGGAGGAGAGTAAGAAGAAACAGGATGGTCCCCATGGACAGGAAATCTCGGTGGGTTCATGGACACAGCAGACCCCTCCTCTCTCTGTGCTCCCACCCCTTCCACTGTCATGTGAGGATGGGGCTGGACACGGTGAGATCTAAAGTGCCCTCTGGCTCTGAGGTAGCTGAGATCTCCGAGAGTCAGGGTCTGCCAGCAGAGTCCAAACCACCAGAGCCCCTCTAGGCATCTTGGGCCAGGGAGCCCCGTCCAGCCCTCATTTGTCTCAGTGCTTACTGCGGAGTGAGGGGCCCAGGCGGGCAGGATGCAGGAAGAGGACAGCAGCAGACTCCAGCCCTGGCCCACCTCACCCCCAGCTGGCAGTGACCTTGGGCAAGTCCTTCACTCTCTGGCTGTCTGTCTCCTCCTCTAGAGAATAAGCGAATCTCCCTAGTGGGCCTTCTGGCCCCCGGGTGGCTATGATTCCCTGTGGCTCCCACAGGGGCAGCCCTTGCAGTTCGGGCTGGTTTGCGGTGTACAGGAATCTGATTCCGACATTGAGAAGCATTGATTGCTGGGCCTCTTCGGGGGCCACTGGGCCACAAAGAGAGACCAATTAGGCCGTGTCCATCTTCCTTCAAAGCCACAGGGGCCAGAGCTCCCACCCGGGGTGCCCAGGCCTTGGGAGGCTCAGGTGGGAAAGGCTGCTCCTCCCAGGCCCCAGTAAAGATGAACAGGCCTGCCGGGAGTGGAGGGGAGGTGGAAGGCGGGCAGGGCTGGAGACTAATGGAACTATTCAGGGGGCAGGAGCTGGAGAGGAAGACGTGCTTGATTCTCAAGAAAGATGAGGGAAGTGGCTGAGGCGGGGAGGGCGATCCCAAGGCTGCCTCTCGGAAACCTGCTCCCGGGCTCCACAGGGCTGCAGCCGAGGGTGGAGCTCCCCCACCTCAGCCCTCACGTCGAAGCAGGTGCCAAGTTCTGTGGGCACTGCCTCCGTACCAGCTCTGCACAGGTGTCTTCTCCCATTCTGTGGCCCCCAGGCTGCAGGAGGCCGTGCTTCGGAGCTGCGGGACCACCCAGCCTGTTTGAAGCCCAGTGCTGCAACTTTGCTCTGTTATTTCTGCTATGTCACTCTGAGCGATTTAGTCTCTCTGAGCCATAGTCTCTTTGTCTGTAAAAGGGGGAGATAATAGAATCGCCTTCGTGGGGCATTTGTGAGGATTAATTAAGACTGTGTGCAGAGTGTCTGGCACTTGGTAAGCTTTCCACACCTCCTCCCTCCACAGCTCAGGCTTAGCTAAGTCCACGTCCCCACTGCTTCTCCCCCAGACCCTCATCAAAGTTTCCTGCTGACGCCCTGCCTCACCCCTTCTCCCCCAGCTTCCTCCTCCACTCCCTGCCAGGGCAACCCTCCTGCAATGCCAATCTGAACCTGGCCATTCCTGGGCTTGAAATCTGTCAGTCCTGGTATGGCATGAAGTGAAAGAATGACATGCATAGGCTGGGCGCGGTGGCTCACGCCTGTAATCCCAGCACTTTGGGAGGCCGAGGCGGGAGGATCACGAGGTCAGGAGATCAAGACCATCCTGGCTAACGTGGTGAAACCCCGTCTGTACTAAAAATACAAAAAATTAGCCGGGGGTAGTAGCAGGTGCCTGTAGTCCCAGCTACTCGTGAGGCGTGAACCTGGGAGGTGGAGCTTGCAGTGAGCCGATATTGTGCCACTGCACTCCAGCCTGGGTGACAGAGAGAGACTCCATCTCAAAAAAAAAAAACAAGAAAAAACAATGGTGTGCACATTGTTCAGGTGTTATCATAGTAGTGCAAGCCTGTGTTTTTAAAGAGTCTCTCATTTTTAGAGATATACACTGAAATATTTAAATATAAAATGCTATGTGATTTGCTTCAGAATAATCTGAGGGTGGGAAGGAGTGGGCGGCCGAGACCAGCCTGGAAACTTCCTGGTGGAGCTGGCTGGTGCGTCTGTGGGGATCGTTATGCCAGTCTCCCTTCTTTGGTATGTTTAACAATTTCTATCTATAAAAGGTTTGTACAAATGTGGAGGGAGAATGGATGAGAAGCTGGTAGATCTCTGTTGGTGCCAGGTGCTGGGTACATGGGGGTCCATGAACTCTTCTCTGTACTTGGTGCCTATTTGATAGTTTTCATAAGAAATTTTTTTTTTGTTTTTTAAAAAGGAAATTCTGTCTGTTCTCCCTGCTGCACCAGAATGGAGTTCATGCATGTGGCTCCAGGGCCCCCCACGAGCCATGGCCAGTCACCCCAGCCCCTTGCACCCTGTGCTCTAGGATCCAGGACATAGCCAGCAACCAGACATGCCCGCGGTCACACCTCCATGCCGCTTGCTGTGCCCCCTCAGAGTGGCACACCTCACAACCCTGTCAGCCGAGAAGGCAACTTCTTCTCTTGCTTCAGCTTAAGAGTTGCCTCCTCTAGGGAGCTGGTCCTCATTTTCCTCCGGCCTCCCCCTAGGCAGAGCTGCCCACTGCCTCCTTGAAACCCCCACAATCCCTTCGGCCTGGGACACTGCGGACACAGGCTGCAAGGGGTGGGGCTCGTCTTAGTGCACCCAGGTCCCAGCACGGGGCCTGAAGCTCAGTACCTGTCCACTGAGGATTGAAAGGTCTCACCTAACTCAGGACTGAACCTTGACTGAGCCCCCCACAGAATGGGTCTCGTTTCCTGAGGTGGCCCTGCCCCCTTCTGGTGGACAGAAGTGTTGCAGGGAAGGCGGAAAGCAAGTTGGGCCAAGTCCAAGTCTACTTCCTTCATGGAGCAGAGCTGGGAACTGGGCTCCCCAGGGGAACCTACACAGAACCATGCAGAGCCTGTCGCCATGAGCCTCTCCAACCTCTTCAGTGCTCTCAGGTCTTCACTTAGAGGAGCACGCCACAACCTCGCAGACTGGCTGGCCTTTGCTCAGCCACCTTCTCTGCCCGGGTGCCCATCCGGGTCATCCCCCCCGCCCAATCTTGCCTCTGCCTGGCCAGCTCCTAATGAATCTTCAAGCTTACTCTAAGCACCCCCTCCAATGTGAGTGCTTCCCATGTGTAGAGTTGTTGTCACTCCACTGCAGCCTGGCCTCACGGCCTCTGTTAGAGCACTTGTCACCTGTAGCATTGGTGTGATCATCTCCTTCCCTAGATCAGAAGGTCCCTGAGAGAAGACACTGGTTCTCAGCATGGCAGGGACACACTAAGAACTGAAGTCATGTGTTGAGTCTCTACCACTATTGCCAAAAGCTCCTTCTGCCCTTCTCTGACGGGAAGGCAGTCTGGCCCATCAGAGAGGAAGAGGTGGCAGGTTCTGCCTCCCTAAGGAGGAAACTGGAACTTACCATTTCTGATGTCTAGACCTGTGCTGCCCAATAGGGTAGCCACTAGTGACTTGTGGCCACTAAGAACCTGAAATATGCCCTGTGACTGAGGAATTTATTTTGATATTTTATTTAATTTCAATTCATTTTAATTTACATTTAAACACTGATAAACAATTTGACATGTAAATCTACTTTTTCAACCATAAATTTTACGAAAAATAAATGCGGATCAAGTGTTTCCAATAAAAATTTAGTGTTCAAATTAAGGTGTGCCATAGGGTAAAATACATAGTGGATTCTGAAGACTTATATGAAAAAAGAGAATGTAACAGCTCAATTTTATATCAATTACTTGTTGAAATCATAACATTTTGGATATATTGGGATTAAATAACATGCAGTAAATTAAAAGCAATTTCATATATTTCTCTTTACTCTTTAAGAATGTAGCTATCTGGCCAGTCGCGGTGGCTCATGCCTGTAATCCCAGCACTTTGGGAGGCCAAGGTGGGTGGATCACCTGAGGTCGGGAGTTCGGGACCAGCCTGACCAACATGGAGAAACCCTGTCTCTACTAAAAATACAAAATTAGCCAGGGCTGGTGGCGCATGCCTGTAATCCCAGCTACTCAGGAGGCCTAGGCAGGAGAATCGCTGGAATGCAGGAGGCGGAGGTTGCAGTGAGCCGAGATTGTGTCATTGCACCTCAGCCTGGGAACAAGAGTGAAACTCCATGTCAAAAAAAAAAAGTAGCTATCGGGAAGTGTAAACTCACATGCGGAGCCTGCATTTGTGGTTCCCATTATATTTCTATTGGCCAGTGCTACAGTGGACCAGGGCCCCACCCTCAGGACTATTGGTATTTGGGGCTGAACAGCTCTTCCTTGTGAGGGGCTGTCCCATGCACTATAGGATGTTCAGCAGCTTCCTTGGTTGGCACTCACTAGATGACAGCAGCACTGCCATCCCCAGTGTGACAACCAAACCTTGCCAACTGTCCCCTGGGGGAAAAAATTCACTACCACCCTGATGGAAAGCCACCACTCTGGGCCCTTCTGATGGGCAATCATCACAGCCCCCTGTGAGAGATGGGTGGAAACAGCCGGGGGTGCAGGGAGGGGACCAGCAGCCCTGGGCAGTTCTGTGGGCCCAGGAAGGGGACCAGAGGGGCCAGTTTCAAGGTTCATGAGGCAGGAGCCTGACCCTGCTGTCCTGATCTACGGGCTGTGGGGCAGATGCCCTGGGAGAACTGCCGAGAGGGCCCCTGAGGAGCAGTCTTGGTTGCCGAGGGATAGGGGCCCTCCCTGGGGGCACCTGCATAGAAGGCTGGCAGCTCAGGGAGCTGCCACCCCTGGGCAGGAGCCTGGGAGACTTTCCCTGAGCAGAAGCACAACAGGACCTGATGGCGGCACCCTGCGCGGCAAAGGCAAGGACAGCAGTGGGGAGAGGCGGCGTGGCTCTGGGTTCCTTGAGAGTGGAAGCCCTCCTTTGGGATCGGGCAAACCCTAGGGTTCATGAACCACTTAGGGAGGTGGGGTAGGAGGCGGGGTAGCCCCCCAAGTGTAGATTGTATATCCAGCCCATGGCGGGGCACGGGGGTTCTACCACATTCTAGTCTGAGGCGATTTAAGTAACATCATTTGCATCCCAAGGGTGTGGAGCACTTATCTCTGCAGCAATCATCGTGATCTCTCCCTCCCCACCTTCCCAGAACCTGACACAGCTTGGCAGGTAGAAACCAAAGTATAGTTGAGGAAGGAAAGGAAGGAGGGAGGGAAGGAAGGGAACTTGGCTTTGGTCGTTATGCAACTGGGAGATAGTGCATGAAGCAGACAGGCACCGGAATTGTGAATGTTAGAAGCTTAGAATGGGAAAGGATCTAAAGGCTGTCTTGTCCAAAGCTCTGAACCATATGCACGGCAGTCTCTACAGCAGCCCTAACAGGATCCGTGGATTCAATAGCGGCCATCAGGACTGCGGAGCTCCTTGCCCCTTCCCTGGAGGCCCATCCTGTGTGCGACAGCATGACTGGTTCAAAGTTTTTCTAATCCATTGACAAATATTAGAACTAAATAGAGAGTTTATCAGCATGACTGGAGACAAGATACCACATCAAAATCCACACTTCTCCTATATACCTGCAAAGGCCAATTAGAAATGTAATGAAGCAATCATCCCGTGCATAGCAGCCAACGCTGACTATAAAACACCTAAGAATAAACTGAACAAGACATGTCCAAGTCCTGCATGAGGAACACAGTAAAACTTTACTGAAGGGCATAGAGAAGGCCTGAATAAATGGGGTGATATATCACACTCCAAGATGGAAAGACCCGATAATATGAAGATGTCAATTCTTCCCAAATTAAATCTATAAATTCAATGCATTCACAATCAGAATCCTAAAGGGATTTTTATGGAACTTGACAAGCTGATTTTCAAGCTCATCTGAAAGAGTAAACAAGCAGGAATAGGCAAGAACATTTTGAAGAAGAAAAATGAGATTGGACTTGATGTACCAGATATCAAAATGAACTATAAAGCTAGAGAAATTAAAACAGGATGGAGTCGGTGGATCAAAGGAACAGAACAAAGAACCCAGAAACCAAGCTATGGGGATTATGGGAAATTAGTATATTACAAAAGTAGCATTTCCAATCAGTGGCGAAAGGATGGCCTATTCTTTGTATTTAAAAAATAGTATGAGATTATTGTTTATCTATTTGGAAATAAAATAATTGTTACTTTTCTTATTCTTATTATTTCTCACATCATAGCCAAAAGTAAATTCCAAAGAGATTAACAAATCTTTTACCAACTTTTTACCAACTGAAAAAGTACTAAGAGGCAATAGAGACACAGCTATTTGTTAATCTTGAGGTGAGAAAGTCCTTCCTAAGCAAGACATAAGTCTAGAAACTGTAAAGGAAAAGTCAGGCAGACTGGGCTATCTAAGAACTAAACATTTCTTTATGTCACTAAGCTAAAAAGTAAATGAGATTCGGAGAAAATATTTACAACATAGATAATCAACAAAGGGTTGTAATTCTACAAACCAATAACAAAAGGACAACCTTGAATTAAGAAAAAAAAAAACAGCAGGTTAGATGGGGAGGGAGGAGAGCCGAGTAAGCAAGCACGAACGAGCAGGTTATCACTCAGTCCTGCTGGGGACCCTCGGAGCGACGGTGTAAACACACCAGAATCCTTCCACCAAGGGATAAGGAAGTGGATACGTATCCACCAACCCCCATCCTACATTGGTTGAGAGTAGGGTATTAACTCCCTGTCATCTGCAGCCTGTCCAGCTTGTGGGCAGAGCATCTTCGATGGGCAGGGAGCCTCCCCAGGCAGAGAGGGCAAAGTCTTGCTCTTGAAGGTCATGTTCAGGGTGGGGTTGAGAGGATACAGGGGGCACTGCCAGACACTCAACATGAAATGTCTCATTTAATCATTACAACCTCCCACAAGGCTGCTATTGTTATTATCCCCATTTTACAGTTGAGGACACTGATATTGCAAAAGGTTAAGTAACTTGCTCAAGATCCCACAATTAAGCAAGCAGAAGAGCCAGACCTCAGGGCAGACGCTGCCTCCAGAGGCTGTGGTGACCTCCGCCTGGCGACCTGGGGTGGGTACAGAGCGGGGTGGCAGAGGGGATTTTTACCTTTCTCTTTATACCAACCATATGGGCCCACCCTTTTTTTTCTTTCTTTTTTTACTATCAGCACATGCTCCTTCTATGATTTGAAACAAAGCTTTTACAAACCTTTTTAGATCCTTAGCGTGGGACCTGGCAAAAGATTATACTACATAAATGTTAGCGTTTCAGGGTTGTCACTGTTGAACAATATTTCTTGAATACAGTTTACATGGTGCTGAGTAGCTATCTCAGCTCCCCGCAGAAATACACAAACATGAATTTGGGAAACATTTGTTGAGAAGGTATTAAGTGCAGGGCAGATTTCCAGATGCCCCAGGGGATTCAAAGATGTGTCATTCTTCACCCTTCAGGAGCAAGGGAAAAAGGAAATGAAGCACTGAGGAAAGAGACCTATAGGGTGGGCAGGAATCGGGCAGGTTCAGCAGTGAAGGCTCCCAGGCAGGAGTGGGATTCCTGGGAAGCAAATAAAGCCTGAGCCTCAGGGGTTTTCACCTGAATGGGTCCCACCCAGGAGCCAACATGGTCATATGTTTTTGCAAAATTTTCTAAAGAAAGATATTTTCAGTGTAGGCCCAGTGAATAGGTCAGGCCCAGTTTGTTTTTCCACTCCAACTTTCCCCATGTCACACCCCTCCCGTTGGGTGGTATCAGAGTAGATGCCGGGCGTGTTTACAGATCTGGTAGAGGGCCAGGTGTGTTGAGGATACACTTCATTTGGGTTTAGAGGGATACATTTATGCCATTCTCTGTCACTACCATATCTAAGTAAGTTGTTGCTAGCCATCATGGTTATAGAAGTGCCTTCTAGGAATATACACACTTATAAGATATGTCCCATGGCCTCTGGCAGAGAAAGATGGGTAATGCAGGGAAACAAGGCTCCATATGTACAGAGCTGGCATCAGACCTCTGGAAAATTCTCCCAGTTATCAGGTGTGCAATATTTCTCAGCAGACAGTTTCATTTTCATCAATACCTAGTCAAAATAGATGGTCCCTCTTATTAGGAATATTCTTTTTTTTTTTTTTTAAACAGGTTCTCACTCTGTCGCCCAGGCTGGAGTGCAGTGGTGAGATCTTGGCTCACTGCGACGTCCACCTTCTGGGTTCAAGCAGTTCTCCTGGCTCGGTCTCCCAGGTAGTTGGGATTACAGGCACCCGCCACCACGCCTGACTAATTTTTGTATTTTTGTTAAAGGCAGGGCTTCACCATGTTGGCGAAGCTGGTTTTGACCTCCTGACCTCAAGTAATCTACCTACCTCAGCCTCCCAAAGTGCTAGGATTACAGCATGTGCCTGGCCAAGAAATATTCCTAATAATGTAACATATTCAATGATAAATACACTATCACTTTTTTTAATTGCACAAAAAAGAATGTATCAGAATTTCATCCTTCATTAGGCCCAACCAGCAAGCACATATGTGTGTGCCATCAAATTTACTCATTCAAACTATCAATAATAAAAATAATCAGTCTTCCTTCTAGCATGATTATCAAAATTTACCATCCTATTCTCTCTTTAGAAGTGCTAATGCCAAATCATCATCATATGAACAGGCCATGAAAATGTAGCCAAAATGGTAGGAAAGGAAAACTGGTACAGGTGTGTCAGCCAGCTCATAAAAATATTATTTTTCTGAACTTTGTGATGTTTGTAATAGTTCTTTTGAATTTGCAATTTGTTGTTAATTCCTTTCTCCTTCTAAGTAAATATTTATATTTGTACTTTAATTTGTTTTTGTAATTTGTGTTCTTCCTCTTAGAGAAAGTGTCCAAAATTCCATTAAGCATCAGGCTCATACAAAATTCTGGGTCTGCCCCTGCCCCTCGGAAGAGGTGACTATTGAATTATTTTAATGGAGAGGCAAAATTCTGGGGGGTAGAATGGGATGATCAGGAGATGGCCCAAAGAAATCCAGATATTACCAGCCTCTAGACTCTACTAGGGTGGCCCAGAGGTCCCTTGAGGCACAATAGTTTCCCTAGACCAGGCCACACCCTACAGCTTCACATGGCCCAGGTCCCCAGTCCCAGGATGTGTAGCCTAAAGGGTGACTTCTCTTTCTACCTGGGCCAGCAGCTGATTTCACTAGGTGCTTCATCACAGGGATAGTGGGTCCCTATGAAAGTCCTTCATGTAATTCATCAAATGCAGAATTCCAGCACTCTGCTTTCGGGCACATGGTAGATTTGCACTTCCCCACTCTCTTTGAAGCTAGGCACAGCCATGTGAGCTAAAACTTAAGATCCACTGCTGCTAACCCCCCACAATCTCACCCCACTTTTGCAGCGATTATGGAAAAATATGAGAGATGAAACCTCCATCAGCCTGGGTTCCTGTGTAACTACAAGGCATAGAGTCCCTCTGTCTACCTGTATTGAACATGTTATAAGAGAAAAAAAGAAATTTTTGTTGTGTTGAGCCACTGAGATTGGGGGTTACTTGTTATTGCAGCATTATCCAGCCCATCCTGACAGACAGAGGCATCAAAAGAGGGAAGTTGAGGCTGCTTCAGCACAACATGGGGCCCCAGACAACTTGAACACTCCTGTTCAAAAGAAAAAAGAAAAGGAAGAGGGCACATAGCAGTTTTGGGCCCATGGTAATTCTAAAATCCAGCAGGGCACATGTTGCCAGTTCCCCAGTGATAGCCCAGTCCTGCTCCCTGGAAGTGATTATAGCTCTTGGCTCAAACAGCCAAGCTCTTATCTCTGAAATCTGACTTATCTTTTCTTTTAGATATGTCCATGTTTGAAGTGGAGTAGCTTTTCAGTCTGATTCTGAAAGGTAGGAGGTACAGTGGACTCTTTTTGTTTTGAATTGTCTCTGTCTTTAGTTCAAGTTGGTAGTGCCAGTACCAATACAATTCTACTAAAAGTTTTGTGAGGTTCCTATAGACCTTATTGAGGTTCCTTCTATCGGACAAAAATTACAGCCACAAATCTCTTGAAGAGAGGCCCCTGTGTACCTTGGTCCAAGAGTCAGGGTGCTGAGGAACAAAATTCTTAAGGTCTTTAACAGCCCTCTTGCCTGGCAAAGTTGGTCTAGGAAGCACATCAAGCAGATTCTTAGAAGCCCTATTGTTTACCTGAAAGTATCTGTAAGACAGAGTCTTAAATCTTTCTAAGGTCATAACAGGAGTCTTACAGCTTTCCCCTTGAGTTGACCTTTACCATGAAGCCACTTCTTACCTTGAGAATCATTTGCTAACTTAGAAGACTGTCCAAGGCCCTCTTTTTAGCTCATTGCTCTCCCTCTTCTCAATGGTATTCTAGGCTGCTAGAAGCCAAGCATGAGTTCAGTGGGTACCATTCTTCTCTTCCAGGTTACTGAAGAAAGAGTGTTCCTACTTGTTCTTGAATCTTCTTTTTTTCCAATAATATTTTCCTCACTGTCTTTTAAAAAACTTTTTATTGAAATATTACATATATAACAGTACATAATTCATAGGGATTCAGCTTGAAGAATTTTTGCAGACTGACAGACGTATACACCCAAAGACCAACTTTGCCAGATGAAGACACAGGGTACTACCAGAAACCCATTCATAGTCTCTTTCTAGCACTAACTCCCCAGTGGTAATAATTATCTGCAGACTTAACATGGTAGATTGGCTTTGTTTTTTAAGTCAGGTTTATTGAGATATAATTTACATATGCATCTTTTTGACAAAGGCATCTAGTCATGTGATCACGCTACAATCAAGATACACAGAATGTTTTAATTTCCCTTGTGCCCCTCTGTAGTCAACTCCTTCCCCCCCACCCCTTCCTGCCCCTTGCAATCACTAATCTCTTCTCTCCCTATACCTAGTTTTGTGGTTTTCAGAATGTCGTATAAAAAGAATAATATAGGCCAGGCACAGTGGCTCGCGCCTGTAATCTCAGCACTTTGGGAGGCCGAGGTGGGTGGATCACCTGAGGTCAGTAGCTTAAGACCAGCCTGGCCAACTTGGCAAAACCCCGTCTCTACTAAAAATACAAAAATTAGCCAGGCGTGGTGGCGCATGCCTGTAATCCCAGCTACTCAGGAGGCTGAGGCAGGAGAATCACTTGAACCCAGGATGGGGAGGTTGCAGTGAGCTGAGATCATGCCATTGCACTCCAGCCTGGGCAACAAGAGAGAAACTCTGTTCCCCCCTCCCGCCCCACCAAAAAAGAAAAAGAATAATATAGCACATAGTCTTCTGTGCTGTTACTCCCAGCATAATGCTTTTGATATCCACCCATGTAGTCAAAGGTGTCAGTAGTTCATTTCTTTATATTGCTGATTAGTATTCCGGTTTATGGACATACGACATTGTGTATTCATTCACCTGTTGATGGACATCTGGATTGTTTTCAAGCACAGCTGCCACAAACATGAACATTAGCACACAGGCTTTTGTGTGGACGTGTCTTCATTTCTCTTGGAGTGGGGTTGCTGATACATAGGTAAGTGTCTGTTCTACTTCATAAGAAATTGAAATTGCCAAATGGTTTTCAGAAGTGGCTGACTTGGCTTCTGGTGGGACCTCTGACTCAGCAGATGGCCTTTTGTTCTTCCAGGAGCTGAAGCAATGGGCTGCCACTGCTGAGTGCTACCGTGATACCAGCAGATCTTGACATGATGGGCAGCTGTAGGCTCCAGTGGCCTTTGGTGTTTTCAAGAGTGACCGGATTCCAAAAGCTGCAGCAGAGAATGATTTCAGTGAAGAATGTGCTCCTGGGTTCTGGACATGGAAGAAAAAGATGTAGAGACACAGAGAAGGAGGCCATGTGAAGACAGAGGCAGAGATAGGAGTGATGCTGCCACAAGCCAAGGAACTCCAGGAGCTACCGGCAGCTGGAAGAGGTGAGGAAGGACTTTTCCCTAGAGCCCTTGGGAGAAGCATGGCCCTGCTGACGCCTCCATTCAGACTTCTGGCCTCCAGGATGGTGAGAGAATAAGCCACCAAGTTTGTGATAATTTGTTGTGGCAGCCCTAAGAAGCTAACACAGCAGACACTAGTCAAATAACCACAAAATATATGTAAAATTTAACTGCACTAAAAAAAAAAAAAAAAGTGGCTGAAGCATTTTTCATGTCCACCAACAAAGCATGAGAGTTCCAGCGATGCCACCTCCTCATCAGCACATGGTAGGGTCAGGTGGCCTTTTATCCAGTCATTCTGGAGGTGTACAGCGGTCTCTCATTGTGATAGTAATTGCCATATCCCCAGTGGCCCCACAGGAAGGAGGTGTCTTTCTTCATATTTTCCATACTCTTGCCCTTCTCCCGGTGGTGACTACCAGGCTGGCTGCCCACTACCAGGTTTGTGGTGAGGAGGTAAGTGTAGGCTCTCTGCTGCCCGGGGCTGTGGAGCTTTCTCAGCCTTCCCACCCATCCGCTTCAGTGCAGTGGACCCTGCCTTATATCCGGGGCAGGTCCTTCATGGGAGAGCTTCCCACTCTGCCCCAGAGGCAGCTGACCTGGAATGATATTAACATAGGATCTTGGTCCCAGTACGGTTTCCTGGACCTCCCCCAAGGGTAGGGGGGTTCTCCTACCAGAAATGAGCCACCATGGGGCTGTGCGTGCCTGGGAGTGACAGGGTTTGTTGGCCCTCAGCCTGTGGCTTAAGGCTTTTGCTCCACTGAACAGGGGGCTTAGGACAGGGGGTTGGGCGCTTTTCCCACAGCAAAAACAGCCCCTTCAGCCCCCACACTACTGAGTGGGTCCCTCTCCTTCCCTCATCCTTCCCCACTCCCTCACCGGATGAGCACTCTGAGAGCATGCACAGAGAGGAAGCAGTTAGTGTGTGCAAACTCTCACCTTGTCTGGGCCCCCTGCTGTCTCAGACCGACACGCCAGCCCACACCTGGCTTCCAACAATTTGTTAAAACTGAACTGATTTCTTTCTTCTTACCCACTTTAATGGAGGCTGCCCCTTCCTCCAAGCACTGCCCAAGTGAGCCAGACTGCACATCCTGCCTCTCCTTGGAGGGACCTGCCCCCTTGGAATTCAGGATACTTGGTTGCCCTGTGAGCTCACCTCCCTGGTGAGCTCAAGAAAAGTGATGACTTTGTAGTGCATGCAGTCTTTTCTCATTGTTAAGTATGATAGCAAGGCTTTCTGCCTCCTGGATGGAAGGTGAATACTTCTTGCTGTCCTTAAGTCTTTCCTTCCACCGTCTCTCACCACCCATTCTCAACCTAACGCTACACATTTTAGGTTGCTTTTATAGCAACATTCCACTTTCAGGCACCAAATTTTGTTCCTGCCATTTGTTCCTATTGCTGCAGAACAAATCATCATGCTGAGTGGCTTAAAACAAAAATTATGATTTCTCATGCTTCCACGGGTTGACTGGTCTCACTTGGGGCCTCACGTGGGATTGAAGTCAGATGTCTCCTGGGGCTGAAGTCATCTGAAGGTTTGGCAGGTCTGAGCATCCAAGAGTCTCACTCACGTGGCTGGAGAATGATTAACAGTTCCCAGAGTTTCTTTGGCTTAGTCTTAGAAGTTATAGCTGGATGTGGTGGCTCACACCTGGAATCCCACACTTGGGAGGCCAAGGCCCAACATTTGAGCCCAAGAATTTGAGACCAGCCTGGCAACATAGAAATGTCCTGTCTCTGTAAAAAATTTAAAACATTATCCAGGCATGGTGACTACCTGGGGGAGCTGAGGCAGGAGGATCACTTGAGCCCAGGAGGTCAAGGCTGCAATGAGCTATGATTGCACCACTGCACTCCAGCCTGGGCGACAGAGCAAGACACTGTATCAAAACAAAGTCACATGGTGACATTTCTGCCATATTTGACTGGTCATACTGGGCCATCCCAGATTCAACATGGGTGAGAACTATGCAGGGTGTGAATATTGGGAGTCATGGTTCATTGGGGGCTATCTTTGGAGACTAACATCCTGCCTAACACTACATACCAAAAGGGACCTTTCACATTTAGGTCTTAAATCTATCTAACTATAAAGTTAACAAAAGAAAAGGGAGTATATTTTTGTAGCAGGGTGGGGAGAGGACTTATCAAATAAATTTTCAAATGCACAAAATTATAAGGCAGAGGGAAAAAAGATAAATCTTATTACACCAAAATATAAGATTTCTGCCCACAGACATCATGGATCTCATGCAAGAAGTCAGTATACAGATGGCAGAATGAGAGGAGATATTTGCAATATCAAAACTGACAAGCAATTAATGTCTAGATTTTATATAAACACCCACAAACCAACTAAAAAAAGAGAGCACTAAAAATTCTCAAAAATTGGCAAAGGATATTAAAAAGCAATTCACAAATAGTAACCCCCAAATGGTAACAAGCATATGAAGAGGTTCTCAAAATCATTAGTCATCAGAAAACAATGTAGAGTAAAACAATTGAAAGCGGCAGGAGGCAGACAATTTCCTAGGCAGATGGGGGTGGGTCCCCAGTGAAACCCCACCTTCAAGCCAAAAACAGCCTGGACTGCTGGTTTGGGATGAAACCCCTCAAACCAGGGTGAGAACTTCTGTTCCTGTTTGCCCACCCTTTCCTGATTGGTTCTTTCTGAATAATGCTTTTTAACCAATCAAATGTTGCCTTTTCTAATACTACCTACAGCCCGCCCCTCCCCAATCCTGTGCCTATAAAACCCCCTAGACTCAGCCACACTGAGATAGACAACCCCACCTTCTCAATCCCTCTCCACTGAGAGCTGTTTCATCGTCAATAAAATTCTCCATCCTCATCACCCTTCAACTGTCAGCATGACCTCATTCTTCTTGGATGCAGAACAAGAGCTCAGGACCCACCAAATGTGGGCACCCACAAAGGCTGTAACGCTGGCCCTCTACCCTCACTGGTGGAGGGCAGCTGCCCCACAGAACAGAAGCTGCAGCAGGGCCAAGCTGGTCCAGGAGCCACGGGCCAGAGTGGAGAAAGGGGCCGCCTGAGCTGCCAACATGCCGCTGTCCATCAGGCTGCAGATGGTGGAGATAAAAGAGCTATTTAGCACACTGTAACACCCCTCTCTGGGGCTTCAGGCACCCCTGCCTGGGTGCTGCCACAGTCTCCTTGGGGTGACACACCTGATCTGGCTGTGGGCCCCACACAGAGCCTGTTCCTGTGTCATGGCTCAGTGCAGCTGGCTGGACCCTGCATTCACTCGGTCACATGCTCCCTCCCGCCAGGGGCTGAGCATACAGTCGCAGTGGCCTTGTGAGCCATGGGCTGTAACACAAGCCAGATGGGGCCTGGCAAGCTGAGTAGATAAGGCACTCCCTGCTGCAACCTCAGCAAAGGGGTCAAGAAAAATCCTGCATCACAACAAGCTCTCATTTTATAGCTATTAGCCTGACAAAAAAATAAAAAGCTGGCTAATGGGAAGTGTGAGTATGTATGTGTAAGATGCATATGGAAATAGTACCCCCTCACACCATGCAGGAGAGAATGAGGACTGGTGTCCCCATCCTGGACATCATCTAGAACTATTTTGAGATACACACCCATGGGGGGAATTGCTGGATTTATAGGGTATGGATATACTTAAGTTGCCTAAGAAACTGCCCACAGCCCAGGGAGCAATTAGAGATGTTCACTGCAGCAGCATTGTTGTTTAACTCTGTGTACGTATGTGTTTGTGTGCCCACATGCTCACGGGCTTGGGAGGTGGTGGTAGCAGCAGAAAGTTGAAGGGAACCTGAGTGTCCATCACTGATAGAACAAGAAACCCATGGCAGATTCTCATTACAAAATACTAGGCTGCAGTTAAAAGCTACAGATTGAATATACATATAGCAACATGGGTAGATCTTAATTTTCCACTAAATACTCTGTTTTGTAAGAAACAGACTGAGAAATGTAATATATTTACATAATACCATTTACATAAATTTAAAAATACACATAGACGAAACAACACCACACATTTTGCAAGAACCTGTGCAAACAAAAATACACATTAACACATTAGAGAGGCTGCTATGGGCGGTGGTGGGGGGCGGGGAATAAAAGTGGAGCACAAGAATAAAAGTTAATAGAAAAATGTGAAATGTGAGAGGACTTTTCTAATCTGACTCTAAGACTTATTATAAAGCTATAATAATCAAGACAAGGTAGTGTTCTGTCATGACAGACAAACAGATCAATGGAACAGAAGAAAGGGCTCAGAAATAAACCCACATGTATACAGTCAATTGATATTTTACAAAGGTGCAAAGACAACTCAGTGGAGAAAGGAATAACTGAGTCGCCATGTGCAAAAGTGCATCTGGATCTATAACTTGAAGCATATAAAAATATTTACTCAAAGTGGATCACAGACTAAATGTAAAACCAAAAGCTATAAAACATAGGAGAAAACTTTTGATCTTGGGTTAGGCCAAGATTTCTATGTGTACAACATCAAAATAGAAATCCATAAAAGAAACATTTGATATATTGGATTTCATCAAAATTAAGAACGTTTGCTCTTTGAAAGGCACCATAAGATAATGCAAAGAAAATATTTGCAAATCACTGCCTGATCATGTCCTTATATCCAGAATAAAACACCCTCAAAACTCGATAAGAAGACAACCCAATTTCTTTTTTAATGGGCAGGAAATTCAAACATGCTATTCAATAAAAAAAACTTATCCTTAGCAAATAAGTACATGAAAAGACATTCAATACAATTACTAATCAAGGAAACTCAAAACCACAATGAGATACTGCTACACACCAATTAAAATTTAAAAGGCTGACTATATCAAGTGTTGGTGAGGACAGAGAACTGCAACCTTCATACACTGCTGCTAGGAATATAAAATGATACAACCATTTTGCAAAACAGTATGGCAGTTTCCTAATAAGTTATAAAAGTCCACCTACCACATGACCCAGGCATTCCATTCCTAAGTGTTTACTCAAGGAAAATTAAAACATACGTACTTTCGAAGATTTGTGCACCATATTCGCAGCAGCTTTATTTGTAATAGCCAAAAGGTAAACAACGCAAATGTCCAATAGTGAATCGCTAAACAAATTGTAGTCTATCTGTACAATGCAATACTATAAAATAAATTTTACTTAGCCATAAAAGGAAGAAACCATTGATATAGGCAACAACATGGCTGAACCCCAAAACAGTTATCCTGCCTAGTATATACTCTATGGTCCATTTACATAAAATTCTAGAAAATGCAAACTAATTTATAGTGACCTAAAGTACATCAGTGCTTGCCTGGCCAGGTGGTTTCGGGAGGAAGGGGTTACCAAAGGGCAAGGGAAAACTTGCAGGGATGATGATATGTTCATAATGTTGATCTCGGTGATGGTCTCACGAGGGAAACATTAAAATTTATCAAATTGTACACGTTGAATATGTGCAATTTATTGCATGTCAATTATATCCAAATAAGAGATTTTTATAAAGAAAAAAATAGGTATTCTGGCGCCCAGGGCCACCCAGCTGTAAGCGGCGGGGTGGGATTCCAACCCAGAAGCGGGCATTTGGAGCCCTCATGCTTCACCCTAGCTCCCTGAAACAAGCACGGAGGATGGCTCTGAGCAGCGAGGAAAGTGCTGGAAGCAAGCAGGCCGAGCGCGTCCCTGGCTGGGGACGTTAATCATTACCGGAGGGCGGCCCGAGCGCGGCCCCGCCCCGGGACGGCAGCCTGCGCGCCCGGCCGCCGCCTGCCCTCTCCGCTGGCCACCTGCTGCCGCCCGCGCCATGGTGAGTCCAGGGGTGCGCGGCCGCGATCGGGGCAGCGGGGCCGGGGCAGCCGCGGGCGAGGTGGGAGCGGGAAGGGGCGGGGGAAAGTCTTTTCGAGTCCCCTGCGGAGCCGCCGGGGTCCGAAAGTGGGGTCTCTGCCCGGCTCTCTGTCGCTGGCGGCGGGGAGGGGAAGCTGAAGCCCTGAGAGGGGCGGTGGCGGGTTCGAATCCCACCCAGTTGGGAGGCCAGGCCTGCCCTGACCCCGGCCAGTGCTTGTTCCGGGACCCTTCCGGGGGCGGGGCCTACGACCTTCCTGGGCCGGGGAAGACAGTCGTGGAGGAGTCCACGGATCTCGTCCCCTTGGTGGCCCGATTCTGCTTTATACTGGGGTGGGAGCGAGAGGGAGGCTGAGTTTGCGCGCTCGTGTGCGTGCCTGTCCGCTGCCCCTTCCCGCTGGCACTCTGGGTACGGGGTCTGCCTGGGACTCACGCTCTGCGCCGGTATGCTGGCCCCAGAGCCACTCCCCGCGCCGGCTTGAGGCCCGTGCCAGGCCACGGGGGCTTGGTGGCGCTGGAGCAGCCCTCCTCCCGTGAGCTTCCCCCACCCACCCCCGGGGCGGGGGCGGGGGCGGGGCCCTTGCTCTGCTGTAAGCTCGCGAGCTTCATCAGACCATTTCTGGTCCACAGGCCTTCGGAGCAGGCAAGACTGGGAGGGCCTTTTGATAGGAGAGGGACTTGGGGGAGGGAGGATGAGTGGGGCTGTTTGTGAGGGGCGCTGAGGTCCCAGAGATGCAGGCTTGGGAAATCGGTAACCACTCCCCACACCTCGCCAGAGGAGGCAAACGGGGCAGCGTCCCCCTCTCTGTCTCCAGAGCCGGCACCTGGAAGGTTTGTCAGTTCAGCCGCAGGCTGTGCGACCTGGGGGGTTCCAGAAGGCTCTACCGAGAAAGGGAAGCCTCCTAAGAGCTCACCTGGACTCACCCACCCCTTTAAGAGCCAAGGAAGTAAACAGTGGGCTCTGATGCTTTGGCTGACTTCTGGTTGTCTAGATACACGGACCAGGCGGTCAGCCACGGGGAGAAGGCCAGCTCTGGAGTAGAGACCTACCTACTGGGCAGATGATGCAAATCGCTGCTGCCATTCAATCCCTATAGTCATCCAGAGCCGAGGGGAAGAGAGGGGCCAAGCTACATCAGTCCAGAGAGAGCTCACGTTTTCAGGAGGGAAAACAGCAGGGAAAAAAGACGGACTTAGGAAAGCACTGCGATGCTTCAGCTACCCCAAATGCTACCAGGCCCATCACAAGCCTGCTTGCCTTAGGAAGTTTTTTTTTTGTAATGCAGATGACATTTGCTTTATAGCAGTGGAGTTTCCTAAAGTGTCCCATTGGCACCTCATGATGATCTGTGGAGGTGGAGGTTCTGCCAAGAGAGGTACAGCCACCTGGCTGGTAAATGGTGAAAGCGGGTCTCAAAACTCCTGCCAATCAACACATGGTGTCCAGTCTGCAGGCTGCCTCATAAAAGCTAAATCAACCTCCCTCACATTCCCTCCCCACCCCTAAGGGTATCTTTTCAATTCAGCACTCTATTTCTGCCCTGGGGTGGTGCTACTCTAGAAGCCTAGGTTCTGGGATCTGTTAAGCTCCTAGACCTGGATCCTCCTAGGATGAAACTGACCCTTGCTTCCTTGCTTTCTCTGAGGTTCCACTCATGGCCTGAATTGTGCCAATTTGGGCTGCCTTGAGGGCACTTCGCACATTAGGTAAATAGGATGGGGCACTAGGTTTGCCAGCTGCCTTTGGCCAAGTTCCTTCCACTTTGGCCTGAGCTTCCCAACCAGCCAGAAAAGCAGACGGAAAACCAGAGAAACCTAGCCCTGGCGGCTCAGGACCAGAGGCTGCCTGGGAGCATGACTGAGGACCTACTAGAGGTAGTGCCAACGGCGGTCAGCTGCAGTGTGGCTAAGAATGGGATGGACACTTATTTTAAATGTAGCTCCTTCGTCCAGCCCCAGCAATGCTGACACACAGACAACACTGCGCCATCACTGGCTAGGGGTGGGCGGGAAAGAACAGCAGACAAGTCGTTTCCCCTCTCTAGGCCTGTTTCCTCTTCAATACACGTGAAAGTTACGGTAGGGACGTGGGGTGCATATGATGAAGTACATAATAGGAAAAGGAAGGGGGGAGAGTCATGGGTACTCTTCCTGAGAGGTTGTGGAGTAACATATTTGCATCTGGGATTTATTTTGCTTTTACGCCCTCACTGATGTAATAATCTCATGGAGGGAAGGTCCGTAAGGCTTTGAGGGCAGGGTGGGGGAAGAGTGCTTCTCTGTCCCCGTCATATGAATTACATTGCTTTTGTGATTTCCCTTGTGTGTGTGTGGAGTGTTAAAACCCAAGACCTGAGGGCCTATCGGCAGACGAGCCTGGACCCCACCTCCTGGGCAGGGTGCCACCCTTGAGGCCTCCCAGCCTATTGCTCAAAGACCTGCTGCCCTTTGGTCACCCACGTCCAAAGCAGCCAGTGGAAGCTAAGTTCCCCTAAAGGTTGGAGCCCCTCTGTTTTGACCTATAAAGAGAAATGCCCTTGGGCCTCTGTTTTTTTCCCTCTTCTAGGCTGGCAAAGCACACAGGCTGAGCGCTGAGGAGAGGGACCAGCTGCTGCCAAACCTGAGGGCTGTGGGGTGGAATGAGCTGGAAGGCCGTGATGCCATCTTCAAGCAGTTTCATTTCAAAGACTTCAACAGGGTATGGCACCAGGGTGGGACAGAGTTTTCTGAGACGGGCTGATGGGGTCACCTTACAAAGCATGTTCTCTCCCTTCACGTCTTGTTAGCCAAGACTCTCAGACACCACACTCATCCAGTTATTTGGGCACTGTGCCAGTGGGGAAATTAATTTTCCTGTCTAACTCAGAAAGTATCATCTTTGGGGATTGGAGAGCCATAGGAGGATGTGTCTTGGGCTCTCCCTTCCTGGAACTTTTAGCAGCAGTCTTCTGAGGAGATAGTTCAAGTGGAAACCATGCACATCTGAAGACATTTGAACAGACGGCCAAGACTGGCCAGGCCAAAAGCCTGTTGTGGTGTTTCCACCTTGTTGACATCCTAAATAGCAAGACTTTCTTCCTACTGCAAGGACAATCTCTAACTCAAGCCTGAGAACCAGTGACAGGATGTCAAGGGGGAAATGATTATAGAGGAGTCTCCTGGGGGGAAGCTAATTCATCCTCCTGCGTCTAGGCCTTGAATTGGTGATGTCCAGAAGTCCTTTCTCTTAGAACACTAACCTGGCTCTCACTCCACTTAAATAGGCCTTTGGGTTCATGACAAGAGTGGCCCTGCAGGCTGAGAAACTGGACCACCATCCTGAATGGTTTAACGTGTACAACAAGGTGAGTGATGCTGTGTGCCTCTGTTGTGCTCTGCCCCCATCCAAATACTGCGAACTCTGACACATTCTGAAGGCTTTTGGACTTAACAATGAGCCTTCCTGACCCATAGGTCATCCACTCATCTCATTTCCAATCTCACTGAGATTGCACATGCCTAGAATCAACATAAATACCCCTGGGAAAAAAAAATCAGTCTTACTATAAAGAAATGCAAATTAAAAGATGCATGAGATAGTTGTGGTTAAAGTAGACATTTAAGTAGACATTAAGAAGGCAAAACCCAAGAAAGGAAAGGCTGTGGGAATCAGGCATACTTATTCAGTGTTCATAGCTCTAAATGGCTTTAATCTTGCTGGAGGTATGGAAGAATGAAAAAGTAATAAACTTGAACTAAGAATACACACATATTTGGGAGGCCGAGGTGGGCAGATCACGAGGTCAGGAGATCAAGACCCTCCTGGCTAACATGGTGAAACCCTGTCTCTACTAAAAACACAAAAAAATTAGGCGGGCGCGGTGGTGGACGCCTGTAGTCCCAGCTACTGGGGAGGCTGAGGCAGGAGAATGGTGGGAACCCGGGAGGCGGAGCTTGCAGTGAGCAGAGATTGAGCCACTGCACTCCAGCCTGGGAGACAGAGCAAGACTCCGTCTCAAAAAAAAAAAAAAAAAAAAATACAGACACATAGCCAACCTATCAAATTATTTGCTTAATGAATAGAAACAGTCATTAAATGTCTACCATGTGCCAAAAGCTCTGCTGGTCTCTGTTTATAAAAACAGTAAGGGTGGAAGAGGTCGTCTATGAATGGATAGTGTTTAGGAGTTGGCATTGGTTTTTGGTTTTGTCTTTAGCTTTTAGGTTGCTCTTGACATTCAGATATTAAGCTTTTATTCTATAGCTGAAGTCATGATTATTTTTGAGAGACAGCAAAGGGGAGATGTAGAAGATGTTGTTACAGACATGTCAGGAAGGAGTCCCCAGGAGAGATCGTACTGGCCAGCTGCTATTCTGGAGCTCCTAGCAGGGCTGAGCCCAGCAGCTAGTGACTCCCTCCTGTTCTTAAGTGAAGTCAGTGGAAGCAGAATTTCTGGTTTCATTTCAGGTCCACATCACGCTGAGCACCCATGAGTGTGCCGGCCTTTCAGAACGGGACATAAACCTGGCCAGCTTCATCGAACAAGTAGCAGTGTCCATGACATAGACCCTGCCCTTCCTCTTTGAATTCTTCCGGGGGAAGGGGTGACTGAACTGGGAGTCCAGGGAGGGAGCTGAGGAGCCCTTACCCTCCCACCACTCCCCTCCCAAGACCCAGCCGCCGCCGTTGAGGGCTGAGTCCTTGCTGTGGGATGTGCCAGTGTCCCCACCAACACCAGGAATTTAGACCTTTTCCCTGCACCACTCTCTTCATCCTGGGGGCTCTGTTACACTAATTTGAATAAACTCTCCCCTTTCTTTGCAACTTCCCAGCAACAATAATGATTTTCTTGCCAGGCCGTCTCTTGCTCCCTAATTCATTTCCCAGGAAGCTGTGATACAGGGTGAAATAAAGTCTTGTCTTAGAAACCAGGACCCTAAACCCCACACTATGTAATAGAAACACATGTGTTTTTATGTCTCAAATAAAACTATTATATCACTTGGTCTCAGGCTCTAGAAACTTCTTTTCCACAGGTCAATCCAAATTGGAGTCAATAGGCATTTAAATGAAAGCACTTCCTCTGTGCTAGGCACTTCCTCTGTTCAAGGTACTGGAAAATGACAGGGACCAGACCACCTTGCCTTCAGATTCATTATCATCTAGGGGATACCATTTGATTATCATCAAACAGGAACACAATTAACTATTACCAATTACCAATTAACTAGTACTAATTAACTATTACTAGAGTGAATTAATGCTAGGTGGCAGGATAAGAAATGAGCTAAAGGGAACGCAAGTGATTAATGGTGAAAAGGGCAAATCTGGAGGCTTTGAGTTATGCCTTGAAGACCTGGGTAGGATTCTTGGGAGGCAGAGATGGCTGAGAGAACACCATGAACACAGATAAGGGTGTGAAGGGCACAGGTATTATATGCATTGTGGAACCTATGTCTAGAAAGGCAGTCTGGGGCCATATTACAGGTTGAACATCCCTAATTTGAAAATTGGAAATCCAAAATCTGAAACTTTTTGAATGCCAACATGATGCCCAAAGGAAATACTCATTGGATCATTTTAGATTTCTGATTTTCAGATTAGAGATGCTCAACTTGTCAGTATAATGCAAATATTCCAAAATCCAAAATCTGAAACACTTCTGGTCTCACACCTTTCAGATAAGGGATACTCAACCTATATTTTCTTCCTGGCTGTGATGGCTAATGTTAGGTGTCAACTTGATTGGGCCATGGGGTGCCCAGGCATTTGGTCAAACATTCCGGGTGTGTCTGTGAGGGTGTTTCTGAATGAGGATAACATTTGAATCAGTAGACTGAGTAAAGCCGACTGTCTTCCCTAACATGGGTGGCCTCATTCAACCAGGTGAAGGCCTGTACAGAAAAAAAGGGCTAAAAAGGGCTGACCCTCTTCCAAATAAAAGGGAAGTCCTCCTGCCTGACTGCCTTGAGGTGGGACATTGGTCTTTTCCTGCTTTCGGACTTAAACTGAAACATCCACTCTCCTTAGGTCTCAAGGCTACAAGCCTCCGGTGTGCAACAATACCATCTGCTTTCCTGGTTCTCCAGCTTGCCAACTACAGATCTTGGGACTTGTCAGCCTCCATAATCACATGAGCCAATTCCTTATAAGAAATCTCTTTGTGTGTATTGGTTCTGTTTCTCTGGAGAATCATAATACACAGGCCTATCATATCAGATATGGCAGATCCCAAATCCTGATGGTCTCTTCAGTTTCTTAAAATCTTAGCAAAGTTCTTAGGGCTTGCCTGGTTTACTCCACAAGAGAGAAGACACAGGCAGCTTAGGACCTGGCAGGCTATTTATTACTGGAGCAGTTAAGAGATGGTTTGCACAGTCAGTTCCCCAGCCAGGAACTCTCTAGGACAGAATATTCCCACGCTGTCATGAAGAAGGGGGCACTAAGAGCAGCCTCATCTCTACCCCCACGAGAATGCCACACAAATTTTACCTCACATATGTCACTATGCAGAGACTGGGAAGCCTTCTTCCTAATAGTTCTCACCTGTGTCTCCTAACTCAAGTACTAAGCTGACTTGTAAATGCCGGGGTCACTTGGAACAGGAATCTAGCCATGTCACAACTCAGTCTGAATGAGTTGGTCCCCCAGCAAAGGCCAGGAAAGGGGCAGAGGCTGGAGGTTGAGAAATAAGCGTATTGTTCACAAGAGGGATTAGCAGGACCCCGTTCCTAGCATATATGCTAGTAAAGGATTATCAATACCTATATTGATGGCAAACGAGATTCAGACAGTGGTCTCCCATCTGCTCCACTTCTGACTTAAAATTTTCCAAGTGTGCTTTGATCTGATGACTGGAGGACTGAAGGACAGAAGACGCCAGATGCGGAGGTATGGACTATGCTGTTATGTTACATTCCTGCCTCTGCTTATTTTCATGGGTCAAGGGTTGAAAAATGTTCACCCGATGCAGGGACAGCTCATGCCTGTATTTCCAACACTTTGGGAGGCCAAGGCGGGAGGATCATTTGAGCTCAGGAGTTAGAGACTAGGCTGGGCAATGTAGAGAAACTCTGTCTCTACAGAATATACAGAAAAATTAGCCAGGCATGGTGGCACACACCTGTGGTCCCAGCTACTCGGGAGGCTGAGGTGGGAGGATCACTTGAGCCCAGGAAGTCAAGGCTACAGTGAGTGATGATCATGCCATTGCCCTCTAGCCTGGGTGACAGTGAAACCTTGTCTCCAAAAAATAAAGCCAACCTTGGCAGCACTACAGTTGTATGAAGCACATTCATGTGAGACAAAGACACAGGTAACACTTTCTTTTCTTTTTTTTTTTAGAAATAAATAGGTTTATTCTAAAATTAATCCAAATAATTGAAATTATAGGGAAGGATATTAAGAAGAGAAAAGATTACAAGACAGAGGAAAGCATAAAAGAAAATAAGGTAATTAAAACTTCAAATCAGGAAAAAGGTTCTCAAAAATCTGACTTTGCCTACCCAGGTACAGTTGGTGGCTATCAAATTAGGACTCAGTAATTACTTGTGTCACTGAGTGAAAGCTGCTCATTGCTGCCAAGAACCTACAGAGAAGGCCAAGGGGCTGACGTACAGCTGTATGGAGCAGCAATAAGCACCCCAGACACGACTTCCTAGATAAGCCAGGCCTCCTCATCCAAGTACATCCTGGATCCTCTTTCTCTCTGGTTTCCAGGTACTCAGGAACTAGGCCATTTGGCAGAAAACTGTAGCAAAAAAGCAATCCTTGGCTTGACTCTGGCAAAGTCTGAATGGGCTAAAAGCCAAAAGGAAAAGCTGGGTTATCTGAATGACAGCCTTCAGATCCTGACTAACACTTTGGAAAAACTTCTCGTTTCTTATTCATAATAGAATAAGATCTCCAGCAGTTACATGTGTGTGAAGATTATCTGAGGAGCTCTGTTAGCCCCTAAACCAAATGCAGGGTTTGAGGCCAATGCCCTTTGGTTAGACAGAACCACACTGCCCAGATGGCTAGAGACCACCCAGATAACTCAATCCATCATTAAGTTATTGTAAGCAGCAAACTGTAAGCAGAAGTGGATGATGAAGATGGAAAAAAATATAAGATAGGGCCTGTCCCTGGCAAACTAAGAACCTGAATTTCAGACCTCTCTGAAATAGGTACGACTACCACTGCTGGTGCAAGGACCAATCAGCGACCTATTGAAGTGCCTGGAAATGAGATGGATTGCTGCTTAACTGTGTCTCTTTCATTGGTCTTGGTATCAGTGGGCACACACGATTGTTTCACCACCAGGGGGCAATCTCTCACCAGGAGCCCATTCAAGCATGGCCACTGCCCCATTTGTCATCTCGTGTGTGCCCAAGTAATCAAATGAATGCAACCATCCACAGTAATTACAATTAGGGTCATTTAACTATTTAATTGCTTTTTGAGATTATTGCTGAAATTAGGAAGGGAGCATTGAAATGGGAAGGGGGAGGTTAGAGAAGACAGAGATTTAAAAGAAGCAAGTACCATTTTCCAAGTATAAAACTCGTAATATTAAAAGTGACATAGCAGTATATTCACATGACTACTTAAGTCTAATGCAGAAACAAGACAGTACAGTTTTTGCAGAGGCCGATGTGACATCTGCATGCGACATGATACTATTAAGTGTCTCTACCCACCTCTGCTACAGAGTAGCTGCTATATGCACACATACACAAAAATACACAATGAAAAGCCTACAAAAGTGTTAAGTCAAACTAAGGCTCTTAATTGTAAATTAAAGTGGCTACAGTAGGTCCCTTTGAAAAACACCATCTCCCCTGGCACCAATGTTGTCACAGCACAGAGGAAGCGAGTGGCTCGGGGTCTGGTTCTGGGGAGACGCTCTACAGGGGCACATGCTTCTCCATCTTGGCAGCTGGCAAGCCACAGTGGTGTCTGCTGGGTGGCTCTGGGTTCCTGGACCTCATTCAACATAATGCACTGACCAAACAGCTCTGACCACAGCTACTCTCAAAGAGGTGCCTGCCAGGTCTCCCTCTGACACACACACATACACACACTACCCACTCTTGGAACCCACAATGCACTGCTGGGCAAACAGGAAAAACACACACACACACACACACACACATAAATGCCACACCAGCCCTGAATGGCGTGGCCAGCTAGTCACAGTTGTTGGGTCAGTAGTACAGTGCTCAAGAACAATTCAGACTAACATGCCAAGGAGCCTGAGGAAAAGTCTGGTAGTCATGGCTCTCCCAGCCAGCATTCCCAGTGGGGGAAACTAGAAGACACCAGCCTGGAGAGGCTGAATATTCAGGAGTCCCTGAGATGGGGAATGGAACAGAGGAAAGTGTCTTTTGACTCATCTTAAGTACTCCCCTCCCCAAATAGAAACCTCAAAGACTGATCCATTTCCCCTAGGGCCTGGGCCAGGAGTAGCTCACTGCTCACTGCTGAGGAGAAAGGCACAAGATATAATGTCATAAGAGCAGGACAGTGGCTCAGCCTACAGAGTTCCCTATAGGGGAAAGAAGGCAGGAAATAGGCGCAGGGTCTGGTCCTGTCCCTGCACCACCCTGAGCAGCTAGTCTTGGGAAGGGATTACAGGCCCTGGGCCATAGGCTGCTCGCCATTCTGCTTTCCTATCCTGTTTCTCTCCCTGTGCTGCTCCCTTTTAGCCAGGGCTGAGAAATGTTCAGCACCTGAGGCAAAACTGCCATAGTACCTCTGAAAGCTGAATCAAGGGGGAAGAGGCAGAAGAACACACTAATAGAGAAAATTTTCCTTGCTACGGGTGCTCTTTCACACCCACCTAGGGTAAGTCAAGGCAACTTGTGAAGGTGCTTTGAGCTGTTCCTTCAAGCAAACACATTTTCATTACATAATGGCTTAACGCAAGGGTGCAGGGAAGGACCACCACCAACTTTGGTGACATATTTGAATCTGGGTGTTCATCCTACTCTGATATTCAAAAAAGCATAGAAAAAGGTCTGATTTCTGCTCATCACCAGCCCAGGATAGGGTTCAGGTGTGCTCTGACCACTGCCAATTCAGGAAGGCGGCACCATGGCCAAAAGCTCCCAGATTATTTGGAAACCATGTTTTCTTCCTAGTCCATGGTAACAAGAAAAAGCCAATGGAAGCATCATTCCAAACAATAATCTCCAAAGATGGTGGCAACCAAGTGTCAAATGGGGACTGCAGGCACAGAAGAGACCACCCCAAACCCTGCCTGGGTGGACGAAGCAGGTATGCTAGAATAGTCCTGTCCTGCAGAATAGGGAACGGCAGCTTGGTCGATCTGTGCCCTGGAAAAAGAAAATGAGTTGCAATAGAAGTGACTCTAAGACAGACAATGAACCTACTCTTAAGAGAGACAGGGCCAGGCACGGTGGCTCACGCCTGTAATCCCAGCACTTTGGGAGGCTGAGGCGGGGGGGCGGGTATCACCTGAGGTCAGGAGTTCAAGACCAGCCTGGCCAACACGGTGAACCCGTCTCTACTGAAAAAGAAAATTGAAAAATTAGCCAGGCGTGGTGGTGGGTGCCGGTAATCCCAGCTACTCGGGAGGCTGAGGCAGAAGAATCGCTTGAACCCAGTGGGTGGAGGTTGCAGTGAGCTGAGATCATGCCACTGCACTCCAGACTGGGCAAAAGAGCAAAATTCCATCTCAAAAAAAAAAAAAAAAAAAAAAAAGAGAGAGAAGGCTGAAAAAGCCTCCTGCTTAGAGTATACCTCACACCCAGCTGAGGAAACATCTGTTATGTAAACGCCTCCTGCCTGAGATAACAAAGAAGCTCTAGCTATCTCATAAACTGTACCCCAGCTTCTCTAAAGAATCAGGACAGGTCAGAGCTACCACACAATGTTTAAGTAAAGTTGAAAGCTAGAGAGTTTAGAAAAGGAAATGGTTAAAACAATTCCTAGGGTAACATTTATAACAAGGGCAAAATCATTATGTAATGGAATTCTCTGGGGTCTTCAAATTAAAAACCACAAAAGGAAGATAAGAGGAAGAACAAGAATCCTGAGGCTCAAGCTGTCTCATGGTCTATCTTGAGTTGTGCTCTATGGAGCAAGACCAGATGTCAAAGTTGTGCACGGCCTGTTCCATATCCCAAGAACCTTCTGAAGGCTGGAATCCCCTTGAGACTAGAAAGGGTCCAAGTTCAGTGGGGTTTTGGAGAACCATTCATCTGGCTGCCCTGGGTGACAGTGTCGGTGCTGTACAAGCTGTCCAAGAAGACTGAGGACAATTCTGCAACCATATTCCTGTCAACAGTTGTCTGGGCCATGCCATAGATGGCACCCTACAAATCCAAAGAAAGAGACATTATTAGTGAGGCCAGGTCCAAAAGCAAGAATAAAACTGCAGCAATGAGCCCCTTCTCCCCGAGTCCTAGCTTCGCATGTGCACTGCCCTACCCCATTTCCACCTAAGGCATCCCATCATTCTATCAGAAAAACAGCTGGCATAGTCAATTTTTCACAGGGACTTTCCAGTCTGCCTTTCTGCATAAAGGGACTAGCCTAAGAAAATTCCAGAAAAAACATGTTTACTATCTTTCCTGTGACAAAATTTTCTTTTCAAATGGACACTACCACCAGCTGCTTTTATACAGAAGTCTCTAACTTACAAGGTACTTTATAGTGTATCTCATTTGAGACTTCAGCAACCCTAAGGGGTGGGTGATGCAGAGATCATCAGCTCCAGTCAACAAATAAAAGATGTCTGTGGCAAAGGGGCAGAGGCAGGAACAGACTCCGGGTCATATGATTCCTTCAAACTCTCCACCAACACCTAAATTTCCAAGAGAAGAAAAAAAACTCCAAGTGTCCCTACCATTCCTGTGGTCTTCGCTTTAGGATTCTTCATGATTTGAGTGACAGATTCTCGAATGTCCTTTAGGAATTGTATAGCTACTCGTTTCCGGGCGTGTAGTAATGTGATGCAGAAATGAATACTAGGAAAGAAGAGACAGAGAGAGATGAACCTTGAAGAAAGAAAAAATGTTCTAAAATGATGCAGCCCCAAATACGGGAATTTCCTGGTTGCCCTTTCACAATATTTCTGACAAGTGTAGTCATCCAAGTTGTTCCTAGTCCTGGGAATCTCGGCTCTCTCATGCTTGGGGTGTCAGGCATGGGCTGGCCTCAGAGCTTCTCGGCATGACTGAGAACCATGCTAAGAGGATGAACAGTGTTGGCTGCTTTGTCCCACCCATCCCCTCACAAATTCCACCACCATTCCTTCAACCACGTCACCATCAATGAGACACTTTTATCTTAGATAATCAGCCCCCATGTGCTCTCATGGGGACAGGGCCACATGGCTGGGGTCTTAAAGGACTTCAGGGCACAGAAGAAATTCTACCTCGCCCTGGAGGAATTTAGTGGGGTTTACTGGAATTGTGAAGAGGGAAAAAGATAGTCCAGATGGGACTGGCAATGCACCAACGTGTGGAAGGCTAAGCTGTACACAGAGGACATGAACAGACCTGTACTCAGTTGGAGTGGTGCATTTACTCAAAGGCATCATGGAAGATTAGGTTAGAAAAGTCTAATAAAGAAGGCAGTAGCAGGCCTGAATGATTAGAGACCCCCAGGAAGATCTTGAACTAAATATTAGCCAGGTAACAAGTATTTTATAAGAGCAATTTGATGGCTGTGTACAAGATGGATTGGAGAGTAGAAAGGCTAGAGACTGAGAGAAAAACCTCATGACCAACCACTGGTCTAGGAGGCTGTCACCTAATTCTGCCAGAGTTTAAAGCTAATGGTCTTGTTCTTTGTATCTAATAATTCCAGGTGGCAAGAGAGAAATCCTTTATATACTACAGTTGCTACTAACGTGCTAGCCTCTAGCAGTCAAACTCTATACTTCAGGTTACTGTACCACCCAAGTTCTTCCAAAATCATGGAGCAAAATAAGGGAAAGAGGCTTCTTCAAGCTTACCTGGGTGGGAACTGCAACTGGTTCAAGTTCCACCCCTTAGCAGTCATCAGGTTTGATAGTCGGTAGATGTCAAAATCACGGGATCCCAGAGCAATGACTGACAATTGGGGATTCCCAAAAACAAAGATGCCTTTGATATTTTCCAGTCTTAAAACAAAAAAATAAATGAAGGAAGAAAAAGTAAATTCAGTCACATACAATCCCCTGGTCACTATCTCTTTAATCATTCAAAGTCTTCCTTATAATGAATGCAATCTAACCCTTTGGGCTTTAGTCTTCTCATCTTCAAAAAAGAAGAGGGCTACACTGGATCAGTGGTTCTTACTGAGATCAGAATCATAGATGGAACAATAAAAATGGAATTCCAAGGCCCAAACCCCATCTAGATCTAATGACTCAATCACTGACTTCGAACCTGTCTACCCAACTCCCAATTATATTCCCCTAGATGCTTCTGAGGCATGAAAGATGTACTAAAAAAATTTCTGGAAAAGTAATCTGCCCATCTCCACAGTTCTAAAAAGTCATATGTAATCCCTAAAGCAAGAAATGGTATAGCAGGTCTTAATAAATGGCCCTATCAGAGCTATAGGAGGACCTTTTATATATATCTAATTTTTATTTATTTGTTTGCTTATTTATTTGAGACAGGGTCTTGCTCTGTCACCCAGGCTAGAGTGCAGTGGTGTGATCATAGCTCACTGTAACCTCAAATTCCTGGGCTGTTCAAGCAGTCCTCTTGCCTTAAGCCTCCTGTGTAGCTGGGACCAAAGGTGCACACCACCACATGTGGCTAATTTTTATTTTTATTTATTTTTTATTTTTGAGATGGAGTTTCGTTCTTGTTGCCCAGGCTTGAGTGCAATGGTGCCATCTCAACTCACCGCAACCTCTGCCTCCCGGGTTCAAGCAATTCTCCTGCCTCAGCCTCCTGAGTAGCTGGGATTACAGGCATGCGCCACCACGCCCGGCTAATTTTGTATTTTTAGTAGAGACGGGGTTCTCCCTGTTGGTCAGGCTGGTCTTGAACTCTGGACCTCAGGTGATCCACCCGCCTCAGCCTCCCAAAGTGCTGGGATTACAGGGATGAGTCACCGCGCCCGGCCTCATGGCTAATTTTTAAATTTGTTGTAGAGATAATGTCTCACTATGTTGCTCCGGTTGGTCTTTAATTCCTGAGCTGAAGCGATCCTTTTGCCTTGGCCTCCCAAAGTGCTGGGATTACAGGCCGGAGCCACCGTGCCTGGCCAAGGATCTTTCTCAAATGAGAAATGCCTGCAGGCAGCTTTCCTTCCCCCTCAATATACTTAAAGAGCCTCCCCAATCCAAGTGACACATAGAGAGATGGGCAGATAAGATGTTAACAGATACATTAGACAAAGCATGCAGCCTGTTCTGGCCTTGGCTTAACCCAAGATTTCATTGCCCTCCTTTCCTCATTCCTTCTGGCCCATTTCCAATTATTTTCTTATTCCAATGATTCTTCAAGTATGATTCCTGGAGCAGTAGCATCAGTATCTCCAGAAATGGAAATTTTTAGAGCCCATCCCAGTTCCACTGAATCAGAAACTCTAGGGGTGGGCCCAGCTACCTGTGTTTTAACAAGTCCTTCAGGTGATTAGAATGCATGCTCAAGTTTGGGAATCACTGTCCTAACCATTAAATTGTACATTAGCCTTAGGGTAAGAGCTGCCAGTTATTAAGACATCCATAGAGATGAGATAAACTACAAATGAGGCCCCCGTCTCAAAGACCCTCCAAAAGTCAGGGCAGAGAAAGGGAGCTTCTTCTCCCAGGCCAGCTGGTCTGGCCTAAGCCCTAAGCTGCTGCCCTAAGCCCTCTATATCGCAGGAGACAACAGGTGGGCTAGGGCTATGGATACTTAGCCAGGCAGGTGCCTTGAGCCTACTAGGACAAAAAAGCAATAGACAAGGCAGAACCCCAGTCTTCCACACATACTCTGACTTGAGGAAGCGAGCAGTTTTGATGATCTGTTTGGTAGCTTCAACATAGCCGTTCTCACCGAAGTGCATCAAGGCAGCCCAACAGGCTGCGCTAATGCCACCAGGCCGTGAGCCTGCGATGGTTGGGGAAGCATAGATGCCACCCTGCCAATCTGTATCGACGAAGAACTGATAGTTCCTGTACTTCTTGTCACTATACAACACCAATGATGAGCCTTTTGGGGCATAGCCATACTGTGGAAGAAGTAGCAGACAAGAAAAGTGAGAGTATAGTTCTGTCTGGCAGACCTTGTCCCAGAACTCTCATCATGCAAAGGAAATCCTATTTATTTCTCAGTTTCTCTGTTATGTTTCCCACTCACATTAAGGATTCAAACTTAAAATGCTAAAGGATAGTAGGAACTTAAGGGATGGAGTTTAAATTCTCTCTGTTAGGAATGAGGAATCTGAGACCCAGGGAAGAACAGCGCCCAGTTAATCGGTTTACTCCCTCTCTTGCCCAGCATGTGGTTTACCTTATTTAAAATATTTCTCTGGAGACCATATGTCAGGATGAAAGCAAGGGTAAGTTTGCAATGGAAGCCAGGAAAGGATGGAATTTGTCACTTCAAGTTAAAATCACCATCTGACCCCCTTCCCATCTTTTTTTGCTTAGTATTACTAAGAATATTATGCTTATGAGAACATAATGGTGCTCAGAAACTAAAAGCTACTTAATCCAGCTTTAAAATTAACTATGTAACTGGTTTCCTTATAGAACATCTGACCCCCTAATTAACTCTTATTAAAACTAACGTGGAACTAATTTCATTACCTGAACCATCCAGAAATGGATGGTTATGGGAAAAGGACACAGGAGCTATCTGGATGGTAAGGAAAAAACAGATGCTGACTGAAAATCGGCTGCAGATCACACCGATTTTGAAAAACAAGTCTTTAATATACTTGAGTTTAAAACAAGCTCTGAAAATGCAATCAAAACAAGGTACACATTCCTGAGGCTGCTAATACTTCTTCCACATCTGGATGTATATTCAATAGCGTTATCAACTGATCTAGACTTTGTCTCAGTCCACCAAGGGTGGCAGGCGTGGCCATCTCAAATGCTGAATGTTCCTGAGCACACAGGTTCTTCCCATTTTCCAAAGGACTCTTCCGTCAACATTTTCCCGTCATGTACGCTCAGGAGCCCAGTTGCACAGCAGCTCTAATGTTATCTACCAGCATGGGAACTCCACTACCAACCCTCACACTCCTCTACCCTCCACCTCAAATCAGCTCAAGGCTTCAGGGAGCTTTTTTAACAAGGGCCACTACACTAGCATGTTCTAGTTACACACAGTCAGTGGATACAGAAATTCTCTTAGCCAATTTGAGATAAAGGTAACAGGTTCATTTTCACTACTGCTTGTCACCTCTACCACTATACCCCATCACCTGAACCAGCTGATCTGGTGACGGCAAAGAGAGAGTTTAAAACAAGCATCTGATGAGAATTCTATAGTTAATTTTATACTTTGCGGGGAAGCTACCAATTTATTTTATCAATAATAGTCAAAATAATCAACTGGTAACACTTGATCTCCTCCTTAGCTCACCTTATGGGTGTCAGCTGAAATGCTGGTTACACCTTTCACCCGGAAATCAAATGGGTGCTCCAGTGGGTATCCTGCTTTCTCCATAAAGACGATGAGGAAGCCTCCCAGACAAGCGTCGACATGAAGGGGTATTTTGTATTTGACAGCCAGCTTGTTCCAAAAAACAAAGAACATAAGAGAATTTCCTTTATAGCCCTATAATAAAAACTGCAAGACATGGGTGGAAAGATGGGCTATAAACACAAGGCTATTTTGTATTATGCCTCCCATGTTTTTAAAAAATGGCTATTTTTAACATTCCCAACAAAATTTATCTTTCAAATGTATTTTCCCTTCAAAATAATTCATCTGAAATATGGTATCAATTTTATATTTAAATATGCATGACCTCAAACGCTCTGCGGTATCAAGCAGGAAATGAGTAGAGCTCTGATTTAGGCTGCCTCTCGCACAAGGGAAAGGTCCTGCCTCAGTCACTGCAGGATGAGGCGTGAGGGAAAGGGAGGCGCTGAGGGGCAGCATGTGGAATATCACCCTTTTGGTGGGCACATTCCTACATGCAGATTATTTCCAGATCTCAATCTAGAAGGCAATCCTATTTCAGAATTTCCAGTTTAAAAGGCCTCAGCCTTGTACTATCTTCCCCCACAGCAGAGACTAGCAACTTTTAAAGGCTTGCAACTGAGCTGCAGGGCTTCCCCTAGGGCTGATGAGAGCTACTTATCACTACTGTGGTCAAAAACAAAAAAAAAATCGCTTCTATTTGCCAAGTACTGCCCCATTAGGCTTTGTTTTAAAATATCCATTTGCCTGCCTTAGCAGCCCATTTCTCTCATATACCTTGGCCACTTCAGGGACAGGATCTATTACACCATGAGGAAACTGTGGGGTAGAACAGACGAGCATGGCAGTGTTCCTGGAGATAGCTCTTCTCATTGCCTAGGGATTTAAAGTTTAAAGGAAAATGAGAATCTATGTCACAATTACTCTTCTCTTCTGCTGCCAAGAGCAATTTGGGCTGCTAGCTTAGAGTTCCAGTTCCACCAGTACCCCCTCCTTCACCACTCCAACTGGGAGAAGACTGCATCCCACCACGGTGACAGGACACAGGTGACTCCAGGTAAGTCCATTTGGAGAATAGTCTGAGAGCACAAAATAAGAACAGAATCGCTGTGGGGGCGAAAATAATATTGAGCTAAGAGGCCAAAGAGCCAAATGTGAGCCCCAGCCCCACAACGTACCAGCAGTGAAACCCTGAGTATGCTACTTCAGTCTGTTCCTTATCTGTGAACTACAATAATATAACAGCTTCATCAACCTCTCTGGAATGTCATAAAGCTCAAATGGGATTCTGACAGAACACTGAAACTAGAAAACTCCTCTACACAAATGTGAGGCATAAAAATAATCACTATCATAATGACAATGGTATTAATTTAAGCCAATCTAAACCACAGTGAGAGTCTTTTTTTTTTTTTTGAGACAGGGTCTTGCTCTGTCACCCAAGCTGGAGTACAGTGGTGTGAACACAGCTCACTGCAGCATCAACCTCCTGGGGCTCAAGTGATCCTCCCACCCCAGCCTCCCGAGTAGCTAGGACTACAGGTGCATGCCACCATGTCCAGCTACTTTTTTAAATTTTGTGTAGAGATGGGGTCTCACTATGTTGCTCAGACTGGTCGCAAACTCCTGGGCTCAAGGGTTCAAGTAATCCTCCCTCCTCGGCTTCCCAAAGTGCTGGGATTACAGATGTGAGCCACCATGCCCGGGCCATGGTAAGAGTCTTAGGGGAAGTGAGTCCATGTTCATTTTACAAATAGAGAAAAGAAAGAAAAAGTGATGGCGCTGACCGCAAAACCAGTGTCTCTCAAGTCCCAAGTTAGTGACTAGATCACCTCCCTTTCAGAATTCATGAACCTATGAAAAGACTGAAGCTGCAGTCAATCACCACTATCAATGCAGTTTTTCATATTCTGGCTGCCACAATCAAAGGCAGTCAGACCCATCTGACTGGAAACGGCTAGTCAACAGGAGGGCCCTTCTGCTGTCAGGGCCCAGCACAGACAGTGGGCCCTCCAGAGGGACTCACCCGCACATCCACCTCCATCATCTTCGTCAATGGGACCCGCACAATCTTCATCCCAAAGTAACTGGCTGCTTTGTTAAATGCAGCATGGGCACTTTGGGGAGCCACACTAAATGACAGGGAAGAGGAGAATAATGTAACTCAGGCCAAAATAATAGAAAACACCATTAGCAGCTAATCTAAATTACCGGGAGTAAGTTCTGATTATTTTTCCCCAAATTAAAAATTTAAGTGTTTAGACTGCTCTACTTTTCTTTTTAAGCACACCCAAAAAGAGGCCAACTGATTTTCTGCAGAAACTTCCCTCCTATTTAGGAAATCATTCTGGCAATAGGAAGAGGACTCAGAAGTGATCCCACAGTGAGGGATCCAAAGCATAAAGCTAGGCTGGCAGGCGGAAAGCTGGGGGACAGAGACTTTGGATGAGAGCAACACAAGGCAGAGCTGGCTAACGGTTGCCTACCAAAGACAGGCACCTCAGTGAGAATGAGAAGAAGGCTTCCCGGCACAACACATGTTCAAGCAGAAATGTTCACACAGCGGCCAAGCATCAGCTCAGTGGCCCCTTCCAACTCTGAAAGACAACAAACCTGAAGAAACTAAAATCCCCATTTCTCCTACACATTTGGAAATAGTATTTCAAATAGTGTTGAAAGAGAAAATGAGGTCACGGGTATTTGCTTTAGACTTTCCTCAACTACTCCATTCATACAACGAATCTGTTCCCTCTAAGGAGAAAAATCTCTACTACTGAGGAAGTACCAAGCACCAAAGATCGACATATGAAGAAAGAATGGCAGCCTGGTTTATTCTCTTATGCTACATATGAACCACAGCATGAGACCATATGCAATAAATCCCCATTGTCAAGTAATACTTGCAGTAAAAATATTAAGATGTAGGATAAACATACTGTACAAGGGGACAGTCTAGGAAAAAATAATGTAACTAAACATCAAATTTATGTCCAAGGAAGGCAATGTGGGTAAATCTCAAAAAGATATTTTTATTCTTCCTCCCAGAAAACAGCCCTCACACTAAAGTTTTCCCAGAGAGTACCCTGAGGCAGCCTATAATATTAAGTAACTTTCTAAGGTAAGCAGAACTAAAGTACCTAGAGAGGTTTCTTTAGGCTCCAAATAATTTGCAAATATCACAGGATTCAAAGATGTAGTCCTCAAACTCTCACTTTTGGAAAAAGGATCTTATTTTTGCTTGTAGTATATACTATGCATGATCTGGGGGTGGGGCGGGATGGGAATGATCTTTAAAAATAACTGGCTGATCCATTTAGAATTTTACTGAATGTAAAAGGATAAGGGCAGAGGGGCTAGGACAGGGGGAAAGGGGACCAGAATTACCAGAGGAAGAGAAGCAGCAGGAAAATGGATTATCTGCTTTAGTTTCATAAAGCTGTACTCCAGACAGACAAATCCAAAAGGGGACAAAACAGCCACACATACATACATTTCTGGAGTTTTGATCCCCTTCTCAAAGGCCAGATCCCGATATGCTTTGCAGGCCATCAGTATGCTTTCTGTTCCCCCAGAAGTCACCTATAATAAAGAAGAGATGCCATCTGTTGGGGGAGTCAGGAATGCCCCGGCTCTTCATGCCCTGATCTTGACAATGTTTGATACAGAAACAGATAAGGTCTTGGATGCATGCTGCAAGGCAGACACTGCCATGTCTTCCAGAAGGAAAATTTGGCTTTATTGGCTAAGCCTAATTTTGGCTCAGGTGAAGAATGAAAGCTACTAAATAATGAGCAGAAACTCAGCACTGCCTAGACAAATGCACACTTGGCCAGATCCCACCTATTCACAATCCATTTACATTTCTGTATTAATTTTTCAATTTTCAGATAAGATAGGGCATTTTATGCCATTCAAAAATATCAGAATTTTAATTTAAATTTTCAATACCTGTTAAAGAATGTGAAATTGTGATTACAATTCTAGTAAACTGTGCAATACACTAAAAAGAGACATTCAGATTTAACAAAGTAAACTGCTGATTTTGACAAGTTTGAAAGACAGAGAAAAGCAGAAGTTTCTACTTGATGGAAGTTTGTTGCCTTATCTGAAATAAAACAAAAATCCTAATTTTTTTTAAGTGAAGTGAAATGTTTTCCTAAAGTTTGGCCTAGCCCCTCTGATAAACACATTTCTTTACCAGAGTTCAAACAAAAAGACGTAGGGGTCTTTTTATTCATCTTATTTCCCTCACTGGACTATAAATTCATGAAAGTAGGGACCAGTCTGTTCATGACAAATTCCTAGCACCTGACATAGTGGCTGACACCTAACAAACCCTCAATCCATTTTTTTTTTTTTTTTGAGACAGAGTCTCACTCTGTTGCCCAGGCTGGAGTGCCATGGCATGATCTCGGCTCACTGCAGCCTTTGCCTCCTGGTTCAAGCGATTCTCCTGCCATAGTTACCCGAGTAGCTCGGATTACAGGCGCCCACCACCATGCCCACCTAATTTTTGTATTTTTAGCAGAGACGGGGTTTCACCATGTTGGCCAGGCTGGTCTCAAGCTCCTGGCCTCAAGTGATCTGCCCACCTCAGCCTCCCAAAGAGCTGGGATTACAGGTGTGAGCCACTGCACCTGGCCTTCACATTTCTTAATGCCTGACTTGACTCTCAGTAAACCTTGACCAACACAGGCATGTCATAGCCACCTGGCTATTTTTTTAAAAAATAATATATGAGAATGAATCATTCCAAAACAAACAAAAAGCCACAATACTAAACTAGTTGGACAACTTCTTAGACTTACCATCTCTGAAGATTCATACAATCTTTGAAAGGTTTTTTCAATTTACAGGTGAGAAAACTGAGCCCTTGAGGAATTAAAGTGTTTCACTCAATGTCATACATTAGCATCTGTTGATAAGAAGTAAAACTTTCTACGTTTTCATATTTAGTGTAGCTTAATACAAGATGGAATCAGAGAAAGTGACCACTGAACTTTGCTAAAATAATATCCACACATAGAACAAAAATACCATTGGATACAAAATCCCTGTGGCCAGGAGTTATATGGAAGATGAACTGAGAAAAGTCATTTTTTGACTCAGGAAGTCTTTATGAAACATGTGACCATCACCAAAAAATAATGCACCCAACTTGGGCATGGGACACTTGTAGGTCACTACATTTCTACGCTGCAGAAGACAAAGTGCTTACAGCTGAGGTCAGCTCTGCAAATCAGCAGCATGTCCTGTGGTTTAGCATAAAACCTCAGAATGTCACAAGAGTCGTCAAGCCAGCTGTGAAGAGTCGGGGAGGGACCAGCAAAGTCCAAGTCACCAGTGCAACAATCTCTTCGTAAGGTCCAGTAATGACCTAAGCAATAATATTTCCAAATTCCTAGTCACCTGCTTCATGTGTCCTACTTTTAGTCCAATAACTAGTCAAAACATCATTGTTATGCAAACACCAGTGGACTTTTGACTGTAAAAGTAGGAATACCTAAATTCTACTTTTTTCTTTTTTGTTTTTTTTTGAGATGGGGTCTCAATCTTTCACCTAGACTGGAGTGCCATGGCGTGATCTCGGCTCACTGCAATCTCCACCTCCCAGGCCTAAGAGATCCTCCCACCTCATCCCCCAAAGTAGCTGGGACTACAGGCACACCCCACCATGCCTGGCTAACTTTTGTATTTTTTGTAGAGACAGGGTTTCACCTAGTTGCCCAGGCTGGTCTCGAATTCCTGGGCTCGAGCGATCCACTTGCCTCAGCCTCCCATGGTGCTGGGACTACAGGCGTGAGTCACTGTGCCTGGGCCTAAGTTCTACTTTTAATATGTATTTTTGATTCTGTGTTTTAAAATGCTATTACTCTCCCACTTCTTTCTACCTCCTATACCCAAAGAGAAACAGGAATTTTAACTGTGAAGTAAGAAAATGGAGGCCTCAGTAACTATTTGTTATGTCATTCAACTTCTTTCAACATGTATAAAAACTCTCACTTTAACATATGATATGTATTTCAGAAAACAAGAGAACAACATCTACTTGGAAAATTTTCTTTCAGATGCTGTTTGGATCTGATAACATTAGCACAAGCCAAGAAGAATGTTTCACATGGTAACCTAATTTCTTTTAGTATGTGAAGTTACCTCTATCATTGTAACTGAGACAAATAAAGTTAATAGAAGGAAAGATAGTTTAAGGCTGAAGAACAAAGAATGAGAGAGCTTACAACTCTTAACTCTTAGCTAGGAATAACCTAAAGACTGCCCAGCCATTTGGTTTTATCTTCTGGCTTCCCACCTCTGAACAGTGAACTCTTTCTTCACTAGAAGCAGCTCATCCAGAGAGAGAAGTAAGAAGCTAAGGGAGGAGTGGGGGAGACAGAGTGGGAGAGGGAAAAAGACAATACCAGTGCTGATTAGTTATTTTATAAAAGTCTAAATATTAGAAGAGCCTGGGAATCAGACTCTATCCTTCTTCTGATCCCTCACACGTGCTGAAGATCAAAATAATAGAGATATGGTTTAATTGCAGCAATGCAAAAAACCCCTAGGCCTGGACTTCAGGAGTAAGATGGGAAGAAAAAAAAAAAGGGTGAGTGCAGGGAGAGAAAAGAGTCAAAATCTACAATAACAACAACCAAACAAGGAAAGAGAGATAATCTAGGCAATAAACTTCAAATATTGGCAATCAAAAAAAAAAAAGAAACAGTGAAACAGCAGAGAGCAGAAGTAAGCAAAACACTAGTTTCTAATCAGCCCTTGAAACTGTACCGCAAAGTCAGCAAAATCCTGAGAATTTTCCTTTATACCCCCAAATCTGCAGAGGCAAGCTGAGGGGGTTTCCTTATTTTCTTCTTCTTCTCATGAGTGAGTGGTAAACATGGCTGCTAGGGAGAAATGAGCAAAATGAAGAGAGAACATCAGGATTGGCTCTTTAGAGTGAAGACTTCAGTGAATTAAATAATCAGAGCTCAAAGGGTATATTATCTCTTCCAAATAAGAGAGTGAACTCTGATAGGTAACTTTGAAGAGAATCTCAGAATAGACCTGGTTATTCTAATACAGATAGAACAAAGCTTTGGCTGAGCTTTGTCCCCAGCCAAATGGTCTCAGACAGGAAGCACCCACAGTGCATAAGAACAATGTCTGGAGAATGCCACCCCAAGATGAGAGAAAATGGCAAGGAAACTATGCAAACAAACTAAAAGGCAGGGGAAAAGGTAGTATGTAGCATGCAAAATAAAAACCCAACACAGAAGGAAACAAGCTAAGGGATGAAGGAAACCCCTTATAACTTTCTCACTATAGGAAAATATCATAAGAACATGAATTTAAGAAAACAAAGAGTTCAAAACCTAGACCATGAAACAAAAAGAATGAGCTACAGACCTAAAAAAACAAAGCCAGTAGCATCCATACAGAACTAACAAAGACATTAGGAACAGCAAGGAATAAAATAAACATTGCCAAGAATAAAAATGCTGACTTCAAGGAAAAGGTCTGAAATAAGTTTATTGAACCCAGATTTAAAAAAGACAGAGATTGAAAGATCAATGCCACTCCAAATGTGGAGAACTGTGTTCAATCTGGCCAGAGGCAACCAAAAGTCATACAGAGAATGACTGCGATGGTTGGAAGTCTGTGAAATCATATGAAAAGCGGAGTAACCCAGAAAAATGTGGGGCAGAGAAGATTCAGGGAGAAAGGGGCTTTCAAATAGACGAAGGTCTGTAACATGGAAAAAACAATTATGGAACTTCTATTTCTAGCAATATTATATACCTTGAGCAACCTTCCTAACTGAAATAACTAAAAAACTTGATAAAACATCAAAAAAAAAAAATTTAAACCTATCACTAACCTAACATAAAGAAACTTGCTAAACCCCCAAACAAAGCAAAATCAAGAATCCTGCAAGATAAGTGAGTGGCAAAACTAGCTTTCACCCTGAGGTGGCACCAGACCCTTCAGACTTCAAACTCCTACACTGACAGATGAGCAAAGGATGGACCAGAAGATACATTAGAGACTGCCCAAGATAAGGAGTCCAACAGGAGATGGCTGGAAAAAGACCACACTCTACAGTGTACAAGAAATAAATCCCACTACTGCAAAAGAGAAAAGAAAAACTGTTTTTCTCAACCCTGATGTTCAAGTAAAGAAAAATAGCAATCTTTCAAGAATGTGTAACAAGGAAGCCTTTATGTGAGTTTGTGGTCAGAATTCACACTACCTCTGTGGTACAAAATGACAAGCTAAGGATTTGACTTAATTTGGTTCCAGTGTGGTGGCAATCCCCAGCAACTCAAAAAGGTATGACAAATCTTCTCTGGAAGAAGAGAACTTCCAGACTTAACTTCAATCTAGGCCTCAAAGAATCCCTAGGTTCCCAGAAAAATGAGTGGCTCATAAAAAAATAAATAAATAAAATAAAATCACAAATATAAGGAAACAAGGAACCATGACTGAAGCCAGCAGAATCAGGTAAGGCTCATGGATATTGGAATTATCAGACACAGAATACAACATATTTATGTGTAATATATTTAAGTAAACAAAAGTTAAGCCAAGGAAAAGGACTATAAAAAACAACCAAGCAGATTAAAAAAAAAAAAAAAAAAAAAAGACGGCCAAGCGTGGTGGCTTACGCCTGTAATCCCAGCACTTTGAGAAGCCAAGGCAGGCAGATCACTTCAGCTTGGGAGTTCAACACCAGCCTGGGCAACATGGTGAAACCCCATCTCTACTAAAAATACAAAAATTAGCGAGGCATGGTGGTGCATGCCTGTAGTCCCAGCTACTCAAGGGGGCTGAGGTGGGAGGGTCGCTTGAGCCCAGAGAGGTCAAGGCTGCAGTGAGCTGAGATGGCACCACTACACTCTGGCCTGAGCAACAGAGTGACACCCTGTCTCAAAAAATAATAATAAAATAAAAGGAGAACTACAAAACAGAATTCTTTAGAATGAAATTAGAGTAAATAAAATTGAAAAGCCCAATGGGCTTCTACTGTGTCCGGAATTGGTGGGTTCTTGGTCTCACTGACTTCAAGAATGAAGCCGCGGACCCTCGCGGTGAGTGTTACAGCTCTTAAGGTAGCACGTCTGGAGTTTGTTCCTTCTGATGTTCGGATGTGTCCGGAATTTCTTCCTTCTGGTGCGTTCGTGGTCTCGCTGGCTCAGGAGTGAAGCTGCAGACCTTCACAGTGAGTGTTACAGCTCTTAAGGCAGCGCGTCCGGAGTTGTTCGTTCCTCCCGGTGGGCTCGTGGTCTCACTGGCTTCAGGAGTGAAGCTGCAGACCTTCGTGGTGAGTGTCACAGCTCATAAAAGCAGCGTGGACCCAAAGAGTGAGCAGTAGCAAGATTTATTGCAAAGAGCGAAAGAACAAAGCTTCCACAGTGTGGAAGGGGACCCGAGCGTGTTGCCACTGCTTGCTCTGGCAGCCTGCTTTTATTCTCTTATCTGGCCCCACCCACATCCTGCTGATTGGTAGAGCCAAGTGGTCTGTTTTGTCAGGGCGCTGATTGGTGCGTTTACAATCCCTGAGCTAGACACAAAGGTTCTCCACGTCCCCATCAGATTAGTTAGATACAGAGTATCCACACAAAGGTTCTCCAAGCCCCCACCAGAGCAGCGAGATACAGAGTGTCGATTGGTGCACTCAGAAACCCTGAGCTAGACACAGGGTGCTGATTGGTGTGTTTACAAACCTTGAGCTAGATACAGAGTGCCGATTGGTGTATTTACAATCCCTGAGCTACACATAAAGGTTCTCCAAGGCTCCACCAGACTCAGGAGCCCAGCTGGCTTCACCCAGTGGATCCCGCACCGGGGCTGCGGGTGGAGCTGCCTGCAGGACTGGAGCTGCCTGCCAGTCCTGCGCTGTGCGCCTGCACTCCTCAGCCCTTGGGTGGTCGATGGGACTGGGCGCCGTGGAGCAGGGAGTGGCGCTCGTCAAGGAGGCTGGGGCCACACAGGAGCCCACGGAGGGGGTGGGAGGCTCAGGCATGGCGGGCTGCAGGTCCCGAGCCCTGCCCCAGGGGAAGGCAGCTAAGGCCCAGCGAGAAATCGAGCGCAGTGCCGGTAGGCCGGCACTACTGGGGGACCTAGAACCCCCTCCGCAGCTGCTGGCTGGGTGCTAAGCCCCTCATTGCCCGGGGCCGGCAGGGCCGGCCGGCTGCTCCGAGTGCGGGGCCCGCCAAGCCCATGCTCACCGGGAACTCTAGCTGGCCCGCAAGCGCTGCGCGCAGCCCTGGTTCCGGCTCACGCCTCTCCCTCCACACCTCCCTGCAAGCTGAGGGAGCCGGCTCCGACCTTGGCCAGCCCAGAAAGGGGCTCCTACAGTGCAGCGGTGGGCTGAAGAGCTCCTCAAGTGCCGCCAAAGTGGGAGCCCAGGCAGAGGAGGCGCCGAGAGCGAGCGAGGGCTGTGAGGACTGCCAGCACGCTGTGACCTCTCACTACTTATCACCAGGCTCCAGCAATTTTCAATTTACAGCCAATCTTTCATCTACCCCCAACTGCCCCAGCCATCGTTGCTATTGAGTATCAGTTGTCCTAACAGTTATGCCTTTGTAGGTAATCTATTTTCTCTGGCTGCTCTCAAACACCAGTTAGATGTGTGTTAGCCTTCTCATCCTATCCTTTGCATCTCTTAGCCTCTCTTTCATACCTTCTATTTCTTTGTCTCTCTGGACTGCATTCTGGTTAACTTTTTTTTTTTAATCTGTCTTGTTCCATAAATGTGATTTTGGAACTATGTAATTATTTTACCTAGTTTTAAATGAACCAGGGCTCCTTGGATAAATGGCTGATTGAAGGCCTGGAGCAGGAAATGGACAAAGTGAACCTGAACCTGGAATATTTCGTCAAAAAAAAAAAAAAAAGGAAAGAAAGAGAAAAAAGGCTTTCAAAGATTACTTGGGTCATGTAAATGGACCTAGGAGCCAATATGATGTTTCCACTGGCCAAAGATGGATGAGGCAATTTGTACATCAATCTGAATAAGAGCTACAATGGATTGAGGCACACACAGCATTCCACAATTTATTCATCTGTGTCCTGTGGATAGGCATTTGAATTACTTCCAGTTTTTAGCTATCATGAATAACATTGCTATGAATATTAATGTCCATATATCCTGATATATATGTGTACTAATTTTTCTAGAGTATGTCCTAGTAGCAGAATTTCTGGGTCATAAGATATATGTATCTTCAAATTTACCAGATAAGGCCAAACTGTTCTGTGGCTATTCACTCTGGCCTCTTACAAGTTCTTCAAGAGTCTAATGGCATAGGAGAATATACTGTAAGTACATTATCATCTTCCCTCTGAAAGTCACCCTGTTCACCTCAGTACTCTAAGGGAAACTGCTGCTGTATTATGGGTGGTTCTGTTTTTAACAGTTTCAGTATTTTGCTTTGAAAATGAATGCCAGGCATATCACCTTTATTACTACTAATATTTGAACATGATGATTTTCATGGCGCCAACATATTAGAAAAACAAAACAAAAACAATGCTTCCTGGAAAAAAAAAAAGAAACTAAATTAGGTGCTCTTCGAATGGGCCCTTCAATAATTAAATCTGCAGTCTTTATAATGACTGCAAATATGATGAGTATCTGATAGGATTAGCACCTCTAGGACACCATTGCAGCATATTGAGTTAAATCTATCTATCCTACATAACCTGAGATTTCGTTTTTTCTAAAGACAACAGATCTAAACAGAAGTTTATCTATCATAGTTTACGAAAACTAACAACCATCTACTTGAAAGAACAGGTAAAACAAAGAATCCTCATGTGTTTCTTTAAATATAATGATGTCCTCCCCCTTTCTTTATGCCTAATAGCAACTAAATGAGGTTCAGTTTACAGCAAAATAATAAATTAAACTTTGGCTCAGGTAAAACCAGAAGTACACTAAAAACACTGCTGGATGGAACAACAAAAGTATACACAGATAAATAGGGGAATGGTAGGTATGCAGGTGGGGGATGAGGGAAGAAGCGGGTAGGGAGGGAAAGAGTGTAGAGAGCAGATATGGCAACATATTTACATTTAGTGAATCTAAGGTGTTCTTTAAGCCATCCTAGCAACTCAATGTAGGTTCAAAGTTTTTCAAAATAAAAAGGTGAAAATAAAAATATCTAGAAGAATATATACCAAAATGTTGACATTGTCTAGGTTACAAAATTACAAGTAACATTTAAAACTGCAGTTAATTAGGATCTTTCTACAATGATCAAATATTCCTTGTGTAGTAAAATGACCTTTCTACAATGATCAAATATTTCTTGTGTAGTAAAATATTTTTAATATTTTTTATTTTTTAAAATATAATTAATATTTATTAAAAACTCTTCTATTTTAACCTAAAAAATAAGGCTATTGGATGCCCCTTGCATATACTTACACATCCACACGAATCTGGTCCCCCATTGAACAGGGAACAAGCTATCCTCACGATTTCTGCCTCTATCTTGCGTAGTCCTGGGAAGATATCTGGATGCAGGGGGTTACTCCATGCAAAATCTCCATAAGCCTGCAAAAAAATGCAAGCAGATGTGAAATCAAAACTATTACACTATACAGGACAAAGAATCATGCACTAAACAACAGTTTCTAAGTATTAGGCACAACAATATAAACTGGAAAAAAAGATAAGATATATTCCTCAACCAAAAGATCAAAACATAGCAGAGGAGACAGACATGTAAATAAATAATTTTACAATGTGATGAGGAAAGAAGTATAAATATGGTTAAAAGCGCAGACTATAACACCAAACCGACCCAGGAGGAAGTCTAAGCTTTGCCTATTACTTTCAGCTGTGTAGGTCACATAATCTAAGGTTGTTTCTTCATACGCAGAAGTTGTTATGGTAGCTATCTTCTAGTGTTCTAGCAATAATTAAATAACATAATGCATGTGAAGCACTTAGTAGAGTGTCTGGCACAAAGCAGCTGTTGTTATCGACTGCAATATCAGGTGTGTGTACAGAGTGCTAAGGGACCCTGAAGAGGGAACAACTAACATCCTGAGTGATCTAGAGGTGTCTGCTGAGTGGAACTTTGAGAGATGAGTAGGAATCATCATTTGGAACAAGAGGAATGATGGAAGGGAAGGAAAACAACGTAAAAGCATGACACATTTAGTAAAGAGAAAAGGCAGGATTAGTGTTTATGTGGGAAATGAAGAGAAGTAGTTAAGAAAAAATAAGTGGGAGCTGGCTCATGAAGAAACTTGTATTCTCTGCTGCATAAGAACCTGAGTTTCATCCTGTAGATAATGGGAAGCTACTGAAAGATTTTAAGCACAGAAGATCAGAGCATTACACCAACTTATGCAAAACCTGCCATATTTATTTAGTAAGGGACAGTTTCATATTTATAATAATCAAACACAAAGACCTTAGAGATCATCAGTACAACCCCAATTTTATATGATGAAGTGGAGTTTCAAAAATAAATATGAGGGCCGAGTGCAGTGGTTCACAGCTGTAATCTCAACACTTTCAGAGGCCAAGGCAGGAGGATCACTTGAGGCTGGGAGTTGAAGACCAACCTGGGCAACAGAGTGAGACCCCATCTCCAACAAAAAAATACAAAAATTAGCTGGGTGTCATGATGCACGCCTGTAGTCCCAACTACTCAGGAGGCTGAGGTGGGAGGATCACTTGAGCCAAAGAGGTCAAGGCTGAAGTGAGCCATGATTACACCACTCCACTCCAGCCTGTGTGACAGAGTGAGACTTTGTCTGTAAAAATAATAAAATAAAATAAAAATAAATTTGATTAGAAATGGAAGAAGCTAAGAATGAGAATTATTTGAAGTATACATGAGACCACTGCTCATCTTGGGTCACATGATTTGAGAAAATTATGAAAGAGTTTCCCTATCTTATCTCTTCTTATCAAACAAAATCTGTCTCACCACAAAAATCTCATCTGACAGGACTACCTTCCCTAGTAATCTGCCTTCTAGACAGGACATCTGCAAAGACTGAAAACATAAATAACATTTTACTATTTTACAGACTGAAGATGTCTTTGATAATATTATACATATTCGCCTATGTTTGGGTGAAGAGAAACTTTTATGGTTTTATTGTACCAATAAGCTTTCCTTAAGTAATTTTTCTAATTACAAAAGTAAGGGAAAAAAAGGAGGTCATGTAAACTGGCACAGACCTCACAGGCTTCCCTCAAGAACTGGACACTCACCTTCACAAGGAGCTCAGTGAGCTTCTCCTCCCCACTGTACACTGTTCCAGAGGCTCTCCCCTCTTGCCAGAAGGCGTCTGCAGAGAAAGGTAAGGTCACTGGTCAGTAAGCAAGAATCTCTGGGAAGACAGGTTCTGATAAAGAAGAAACAGGAAGAAACTCCTCTGGATACAAAAGAAAAAAATGTTGAGTGGAAACCCAACAGCATTCTTATAGCAAATCAAGAAAAAAGTTCAATAGAGTTAGCACAATAAAATAAAGATGAAAAATCATTATTATCAGCAATGTGAAAAAGATATTAATAGCATTTAGCTACAATAAAGGCAATCTGATAATAATGTTGTCCTCATCCTCAACTGCCTTCTAACAGCAGGAACATTTGCCTTTGTCTATACTTATTTTTTGTTCTCTATATGGCTTTGGAGTGGCCTTTTTCTGCAATAGCTTCCTTCTTCTCTCCTTTCCTATCCAGTCCTAGGAATTTTGAGAACTATTATGAGCAGAGTTGGCAGAAGAAAGCAAAATGAAAAGTGTGAAATTTCAGCACACTATCATCAGAGATGAAACCAGCAAACAAACCACAATGAGGTATAAACCATGAGCACCCCGGTCTCAGACGCCGGCTCCCTTAAGCCAAGCCTGGAAACCCACATAAAACTAGTTACCTGCTTCCAGCAGCACACGCTGTAGCATATTCAAGATCAGGAACACAGTCAACATTGGGATAAACCTCCTTTATCCCAGTGTGGAAAGAAAAGTAAAGTTCCTGAGTAGAATATAAGATCTGACTTTCCACTTTCCTCTCTCCCCGAGACATTCTTCATTTTACCCACAAATTTGTTGATATGGGTGTCTCAGGTCCTTGTGCTACAATGCAGCTGTGCCCTATTGAAAGTGGGTAGTGAGAAAGCTATTACGGAAACACACCAACTAAAAACTGCATGGAGCCAAGGGCTCTCCAAAGCAAAGATCTTCAGCTCTTGAGAACAGAAAACTAAGTGGTAAATATACAGACAAACTCATTCTTACAGCAATCTGCCAAGCTCTGGCTTGCTGCCCGTTTGACTTTCACTCTTTCCTTAGAGGACACTGCTCTGTACTATACACAGCTTCAGACCAGTGGTCACCAGCCTTTCAAAAATAAGATAACTGGTTTCATTTCCTGTTCTTTTACTGATGCTAGAGAATACAGCAATGGACAGTGACTTAAACATTAAAGAGAAGGCAATATGATGGCGGCAACCAGGTCTCATAATCATGGAAATCTTTAACACCAGGTTTTAGAGTGCTAACCACTGCTTTATTCATCTACATCCTAGACTATATCAAATTTTGTACTATTCAATGTCAAGACCTCAACACATGTCACTTAGAAATTGTAAGGGTATTTGTCAAGGCCGAGCACAGTGGCTCACACCTGTAATCCTAGCACTTTGGGAGGCCAAGGTGGGCAGATCACCTGAGTTCAGGAGTTCGAGACCAACCTGGGCAACATGGTGAAATCTTATCTCTACTAAAAACACAAAAAATTAGCTGGGTATGGTGCCGCACGCCTGTAATCTCAGCTACTTGGGAGGCTGAGGCACGAGAATTGCTTAAGCCTGGAAGGTGGAAGTTGCAGTGAGCTGAGATCACACCACTGCATTCCAGCCTGGGCAACACAGTGAGACTCTGTCTCAAAAAATAAAAAATAAGGGTATTTGTCAAAATGCAACATGGCTCCTGGTTGGCTCCTAGAATAGAAAAAAGAACATTAGTTTAAAACAAAACATAGCAAAACAAAAAAAAACCCTGATGAACTAGAAATAGAATTTGTAGTGTAGTTAATAGCACTGTACCAATGTTAATTTTTTAGTTTTGATAAACGTACCATGGTTATAGAGGATGTTAACATCAGGAGAAGCTGGGTATAGGGAAATCTCTATCATCTTTGCTACTTTTCTGTAAATATATCAAACTAAAAAGCTTCTTTTTAAAAAGTACTTGTAATATGATCTTAATCAGTAACAAACATAAATCTGTTTGAGTTAATAATAGCAATAATGTTTAACATTTACTGAATCCTTACTATATGCCAGGCACTATAAAACATTTATACATGTATGATCTCATTTAATCCCCATAATCATCTTTTCAGGTAAGTACTGTACTACTATTACTATCCCCATTGTAGAGATACAGGAACTGTGACATACAGAAGTAACTCGCCAAAGGCATACTTTAAGTGGCAAACCAAGGTATGAATCCAGGCTGGTTCCAGGGTTACGCTCTTAAGCACCAAGCTATTTGGTCTATTTATCCATCCCATATGTGCTCATGCATACATGTGTATACACACAGACAAACACTATTAGCATTCTCAGAAACAGACAGATATACATATATAGATAGATGTAAACTATATAGACAGCTCTACCTATAGCTACATGCATAAAGATAGACACCATCTGTTTATCTTTGATAGTGGAATTATAGTGACTTATTTTCTTTTGTGCCTTTATGCAGATTTCACATTTTTACATGGATCTGTATTTCATTTGTATTACATATCTTATATTCTCTCTTCTTAAACACAAATATATTTGTTTTATTCATGCTTACAAAAGGAAATAAAAGCCAAGTTCCACTGTCTCTGAGATTTGCTTGCTTTATGGATGAAGGATGAATCTAAACATAATTTTAAAAATAGGAAATTCAACCTGTGAAACAGAGAGTAGGCCCTCCTAAACATGTATTAACCAATGATGAGTTATTCTTAACCTATGTGAACATTAAACAATGACAAAACCTGTCTCTTTAAGGAAGTAGAGAGCATGTATATGCCAAGCATCATACCCATAGAGCTGTACTCCTTAAGTTTCTCCAAAACAGCAGATGAGCTCAGACCCTGGGAGGGTAAAGCTTTCACATACTCTTTGTCCACTTTCAGGAATGACATGTTCTTGCTAATATCATCCTTGGTCTTGTTCAACTTGTCTTGAATCTCCAAAGGTAAGAAAGACAAAGTTATCCAGATGCAAGAGTACAGTAGAGACAGCAGAATTATTATGACAGTCAAGCAACTGCTCAATGCTAGGCACCGCACAAGTAACTAAACTAACATTTTTCCTAAAGATATATGGTGATATTCTGACTGATCAGCTACTTTCTGGCATGTACAATAGCCTCTTAAAAATTTGAAAAGCGAAGCTTCTCTCTAAAGGTCAAGATGCACTCAGCCGGTCGCGGTGGCTTACACCTATTATCACAGCTCTTCAGGAAGCCGAGGTGGGCAGATCATTACAGGTCAGGAGTTCGAGACCAGCCTGGCCAACATGGTGAAACCCCATCTCTACTAAAAATACAAAAATTAGCCAGGCATGGTAGCAGGCATTTGTAATCCCAGCTACTTGGGAGGCTGAGGCATGAGAATCACTTGAACCCAGGAGGTGGAGGTTGCAGTGAGCCAAGATCACACCACTGTACTCCATTCAGCCTGGGCAACAGAGCAAGACTCTGTCTCAAAAAAAAAAAAAAAAAAGTTGCACCCAATTTCCCCATAACCCTTTTCTCTGCCACATTGACATCACTGCTGCTTCACTTGGTTGGCATTGCTAAAGTCAGCACATCCTTGAGGGCAGTATTTGGACTTTGATCCTGCCTTGGCAGCAGCTACAGTGTGTGTGTAAAAGAATCAAAGGTATAACTAGGAACAGTGGCCAGAAAACTGGCCATGCTGCAGTAAAAGTGATTCTGGTCCTTGTGCAAGTGATGAGCTCCTTCAACAGACATACACGCAGCACACTAGGAATTTGGAGGTCCCATTCAACACTAGCACAAGGCATTCTAAGAACTGCCAGGAAGACTCTAATGTATCTCCTTAAGCTGCTGTCGACAGCTTGCACTGTCTGACCCCAAAATATTAAAAGGAACTAAGGTCCTTTCTGCTAGGTAGTTTATCAACTATGGTTCCCTTCTTTTCCATCCTCAAAGCCACAGCTTCTGAGCTGTTTTCTTTTATTCACTTACATATTCACATTCATATTCACTGCATATTCACAAATATGCAGGCCAGGGACACATAGTGAACAAAACAAACTTAGGCAATGGAGCACACAGGAAAAAAAACCTCCTGTCCTCATGAAGTTTATTTTCAGCAGGAGAGACAGAAAATAGTAAGACAGGTAACAAAAAGTGCTGAGGGAAAAAAAATAGCAGAGTAAGGAGGCAGAAGGGCAGGGGCTGCTGCTTATAGCAAAAGGCTCTTGGGTAGTAGGTTTGGGGAGAGAAGCTACATGTCACGATTTGTCACAGTGCTATTGTTTCAGCAATATATTTGTTAAAGAACGCCAGAACTCACTCCACACTAAGATTTTCTCATCTCTAGCCAAGGATAATTAGAATACAAGAAGATCTTCTTAGATATGGCCCTCAGTGAAACCACAGGGAAAGCCACTCCTTTCGAGCATGTCTGCAATAGTCTAAGAGGCCCACACTGGCAGGGAGCAGAGGCTACACTCCTGGGCAATGCCTGGGCATGCTATGGATGTGAAGACATTTTTTAAGTTGTAAATTAAAAAATTAATTCACATAAATGGCGACTCATGCAACAGAACAGGCTATGAAAGCTGAGCTTCCATACATAGAGTATGCTATTGCCATAAAACAGACAAAAAGTGACAGAGAGGTATATTAGAAAGCACAAGTACTTCCTTACCCCCAATTCTTGCCTCAAAGCCTGTATTACGTTACCCAATTTTAATTTCTTCAAAGCATTTATTTCAAAATAAAATTCCACATATTTGTTTACTTCTTTATTTTCTGTCTTTCCTATTAAAATGTAAGTTCCATGAGAGGAAGGATTTGGTCTTGTTCACCACCATATCCCCAGCACCCAGAAAAGTACTTGACACTGAGCAGGTGGCTCAATAAGCATGTGTTAAGTGAATAAATGACAGAGGTATACACACACGCGTGCGCGCGCACACACACACACACACACACATACACACATGTAATTTTTTGTATCTAAGCCTCAGAATCTGTTTCTGAAAAATGGAGAGTGATTGGATAGTCCTTGGCAAGCTAAGGATCTTCCAATTCTGTTACTTTCTAAGTTTAAGAGTGGGTTCTGGAACCCTAGCATTTATTTGTCTCAAAGTCTGAAAACTGAACGAAAAGAAGAAAAAAAAATTCAGGAGATAAGGGGAAATCCTAATCTCCTTTGTGCTACAGTCCATCTTCTACAATACCTTCCCTGTCCCCACCCCTTATACTCTGTAAGGACTAGATTTACTTTTAGGGATTAATATAATTTGGAGAGCAAACAGAAGCCTATATGCTCACATTTCCCTTCACCACCTGTTATTGCTCCCACTCTCCTACAGGAAATGAACCTGAAGATACCTATCTCTGGGAGAGTTAGCACAGCGATCTGAATGGATTTCAGCCAAAGGTTAAAGATAACTGGCCAACTTTAGGTCAGGGGTTGGCAAACAAACCCTGGTATAGCCAGGAAAGGGAACTGAAAGCCAAAAGTAGAAGAAAACTTAAAGGCAGGTAAAGTTGGGAAAGACCAAAGGGGGGTCAGGGGAGGGCACTGGAGGAGATGAAGATTCCAAGGACTCATATGCCTTCCTTAGAGCTTGCCAAGTGGCCTGCCCTGTTTATCTTCATCTGGGATAACCTGTGGGAGACGCACAGAGGTGACTACCTTATCCTCAACATGGATGAGGGCCAAGAGGACATAACAAAGGGGACATACTACAATACAGAAAATTGCAAACAGCAAGAGACAGCGCTGTGCAACTTGGGATCAGCAAACTACAGCCAGGAACCAACAAAGGCCTACCTGAATTCGTAAAGAAAGTTTCACTGGAATATAGCCAGGCTCATTCCTGAACCTCTTGCTGCTGTCCCTCTGCAAGGGCAGAGGTGAGGAGTTGCAACAGAAATGATATGGCCTACAGAGCCCAAAATGTTTCATATCTAGCCCTTTATAGAAAACATTTGCCGACCCCTGACCTAAACCATGTAAGCACCCAACTCCTAGATAAATACCTAAAGTCAGCCAGCTGCATGTTGTTCCAAAGCACCTAACAATACAGTCAGGTTTTCTCAAATTCTTACTTCCTTAACAGGCTTCTCATCTCTCCTTTGGCCAGTTACATTGGAGAAAGGGTTAAGTCAGGGTTCTCAACCTTGGCCATTTTGACATTTCCAGCCAGATAATTCTGTGTTTGGTGGGTGGGGGGGGGCTGCCCTGTACACTGTAGGATGTTTAGTGTTTAGCAGCATTTCTGGACACGATCCATTACATGCCAAGAGCACCCCTCCATCCAAGCTGTGACCACCAAAAATGTCTCCAAATGCTGCCAAGTGTCCCCTGGAGGTAAGAGACAAAATCACCCCTCCACTTTGAGAATATTAGGTTTAGTAAATAGAAAGAAAGAGGTATGATTATCAAGAGGGGAAAAAATGACATACACAGATTCTACTTACCTTACGACCAATAATGGGCATCTTCCTGGTGAGCTTAAAACATTTCTTTTTAAACCTTGACCATAAACCTAAAAGAAACAAATGGTTCTCTTATTCAAATAAATTTCCATGGATATGACCTGGCATATAGCAACCATTCAATGTGTCTTCCACCTCACTTGCCTTCCAATTGCAAAGAGTTTCTTTCGTTTAAAAAATTTTAAAAAAACTTTTAAATTTAAGTTTGTGAATAAGTACTATATTTACATGGTTCAAAATTTTAAAAATACAAACACATAACACACACAGTAAAGCAGTGAAGCTTCCCTCTCTCAAACGTATCCCCCCAACCCTCATGCTACCCCCCTGAGTTTCCTTATGCATACACGTGCAACAGTAAAGCTATATTCTTATTTGTCTCCCTTTTTTTGCACAAAAAGTAGCACACTCTAGCACTGTAGTAGACCTTGTTTTTCCACTTAGGAGTATTATCTTAAAGATCAGTGCATCCTCATTCATTTTTATAGCTGCAGAGTATTCCATTTTATGGATGTGCCAAAATTTATTTAACCTGCCCCTTAATGATGGATATATAGGTTGCTTCTAATATTTGCTATTACAAATCATGCTGAAATAACCTTGTAACACACACCATACTGCACACCTACAGGATAAACTACAAGTACACCTACAGGATAAACTCCCAGAAGCAGAACTACTAGGTCAAATGATATACGTGTTCCAGAATTCTTGACCTTCCTAAGGTTTCTAGATGTTCAACATTTCTCTTCCTTCCCCCAAGACTAATGGGCAGCCTGTTTTTAGTTTTGTTTTTCTTGGATCTATGTCCAGCCTCTCATCCAACACAGATTCTAACATTTTCTGGACCTACAAATGCCCTCAAAATTGTGGATGCTGGCCAGGCACAGTGGCTCACACCTCTAATCCCAGCACTGTGGGAGGCCGAGGTGGGAGGACTGCTTGAGCACAGGAGGGTGAGACCAGCCTGGGCAACACAGTGAGACCCTGTCTCAACAAAAAGAAAAAAAAGTTTGAAAAATCACAGATGCCAGAGTCCACTCTGTCAGGCAGTACATAGAACAAATAGGGAATACAAATCCTGTCGATCATAATAATCATAAATACATGGCATCTAAATAGACTAATAGACCTTCTGATGCATTCACAATCAATGTATCTCGACTGACTCTGACAACAGCATTCTGAGGCTGGCACAGAAGGCATTATATACCATCTACGAGTGACATAAAAGGCAATGCAAGATCAAAGCATCAAAACTTGCTCAAGGCCACAGATAAAATCAGTGATAGAGCAAAGATTTAACTGAAGTCTTTGTATTTTCAGTCCAGGATTCCCAGGATTCTATACTGCTTCAAATGCACCACAGGAATTTTCTGTTTGAGTCTATAAGAATCTAAGCCTGGCTTTTATCCAAGGTGTGAACTGAATATGAACTTCTACTGCATTCCTAGGAGATCTGGAAATTCCCACTTTCCTGGCCAGAAGGAGCTCCCTCTTCACTCAACAACCACGGGATGTGTCTGCACCCCCTTTTTGTATCTATCACATCATGCCTTGCATCTCTGCTAGCTGTTTTTGCTTCAGCTGCATCCCTCTCTTTCTAACTCTCCCTAGAGTCCACATTCTGTAAACACCTGGGACAAAACCAGGTAACTAAGACACAGACTGAATAAGAAGACAAAGAGACTGAAACCACTTGTTTGTGGTTACTTTTTGTTTAAATTTTGGAGTATTTCCTTCTAGCCCTATGTTCTACACACTGTAATACATACCTGAGATTCTGTATAATGTAAAATAACTGTATCCTCCTCACTGATAGCACTTTCTACATTATTAACAATTCTTTCTAAACATATTTTTAATGTTATAATAGTTCATCAAATGACTATAATCTAATATTGGATATTTTAGCTTCTTGTTATTCAACTATTTCTAACTGTTAAAGCTGTACAGATTCAGAAATGCTTCCTTATTTGATGAAGTAATTAATGAGGTAAAAAGAAGTCTAAAAATCAGCAAACTGGACCAGCTGTCCAGAAGTATAGTAATGTGACTAGGTGGAGGATAAAAGAATAAACTAATTTTGTGGAAGTTGTGAGAAAAAATGGTACAGGGTAAAAAGAACGGAATACAGCATCAGAGATGAAGAAACTAAAAATAAAAAGATCCCATGGCCCTGACCTAAAAAGATTATCTCAAAAGTCCCCAGAAGGTACAGAATGAAAAGTAATTAGAATTTTTTAGTGGGATTGAGAGTAAGGGGAAGAAGGAAGACTGGGAGATGGTCAAAAGGATAGAAAATTCCAGTTAGACGGAAGCAATAAGTTCAAGAGATCATGGTGACATAGTAAATAAAAATGTGTTGCATACGTCAAGATTGCTAAGAAAGTAGATTTTAAGTGTTCTCACCATTAAAAAAGGTACATGAGGCCAGGTGTGGTGGTTCACGCCTGTTATCCCAGCACTTTGGGAGGCCAAGGCAGGCGGATCAGGAGATCAGAGTTCAAGACCAGCCTGACCAACATGGTGAAACCCTGTCTCTACTAAAAATACAAAAATTAGCTGGGCGTGATGGCACGCGCCTGTAATCCCAGCTACTCGGGAGGCTGAAGCAAGTGAATCGCTTGAACCCAGGAGGCGGAGGTTGCAGTGAGCCGAGATCGTGCCACTGCACTCCAGCCTGGGTGACAGAGCAAAACTCCATCTCAAAAAAAAAAAAAAAAAAAAAAAAAAAAGTACGTGAGGTAATCACGTTAGTTTGATTGAGCCATTCCACAACTTACACATTTGAAAACTTCATGTTGTACATCATAAACATACAATTTTTATTTGTTACTTTAAAAAAAGAATTTTAAGTTTAACAAAATAGAAAATGCCAGTGTAAGAACAATGCATGGTTCTTAACAGTTTACAAATTCCACTCATGCAAAAGATGCCATTCAGTCCTCATATTACCCATGACTAGGTAAAGCAGCTATTATGATGTCCATTTTATTGCAAGGAAATGGGCTAAGAGAGCTTAAGGGTGTCACCCAAGGTGACACAACAAGAAACTGAGAGTTTATCATTTCCTCCATGACATAAAGCTGATTTCTGTTGATGAATTATGGACAACCCACAGTTAAAATCAGCATTAAAGTAAAAGTAATAAACTGTGAGCTGATAATCACAGAGGCAGAATTAAGGAAGAGGCTGCTAACCCCAGCACAGTTCATGCCGCTGCCCACTTCTCCTCTACCCCAGGCTCCATCCTTTGTTCCAGAAATACTCTCTTCCCTCAAGAGGGATTCAGTGTTGGAAGATCAGCAAAATTCATCACTAGTCCAGACTTCAGACTCCTTTAGTGCAGTGTAACTAAAAATAACTTGATTGTTCAGCAACACATGGCAAGTGAGCAAGTGCTAAAAAAAATGAATATTCTATCAAAATTATCCCTGATCTCTGGAGGGAAGACATTCTTATCTGTGTCTAAAATTCAAGTTGGAAATTACCAAATGAAAGTGTGCTGTGTGTGTATGTGCTAAATTGTATAAAATTGTCAACATTTGACGATTTTTTTTTTACAAAATTACATTTTGTATGGTTCAAACTGGATTCAGATATAGAAACAGAGAAATACAATAGTGGTATCCTTCAGTAGTAAGATTTTAATTTTGTTCTTATTATATACCCATATTGTCCAACTTTTCCATAGTGAATATGTACTGCTTTTGTTTTGTATCTTTAGAAACAAAATAACTCAGCTGGGCATGGTGGCTCAGGCCTGTAATCTCAGCACTTTGGGAGGTTGAGGTGGGCGGATCACCTGAGGTCAGGAGTTCAAAACCAGCCTGGCCAACATGGCGAAACCCCATCTCTACTAAAAATACAAAAATTAGGCAGGCGTGATAGTGGGCACCTATAATCCCAGCTACTCATGAGGCTGAGGCAGGGAGAATTGCTTGAACCCGGGAGGCAGAGGTTGCAGTGAGCCAAGATCATGCCACTGAACTCCAGCCTGGGTGACAGAGTGAGACTCCGTCTCAAAAACAAAAAACAAAAAACAAAAAAAAAACCTCAAATGGCTTGGAGTTCAGCCCACAAGGATTTAGATGGCATATCTCATCAGTATACTACGACTAACAATTTTCTCATGGAAAATTGGCCTCTCAGAGGCCAGCATATTCCTTTTTGACCACTAAAAGCAGATAAGTATCAGAACCTAAGATGGCTGTGTCTCTACTATTAGCTAAGCAAAATGTATGGCATAGTGAGCTGCAGAACTGAAAACAGAAGTAAATACCTAACCACAAAAAAAGAAAAATATGGGAGGTAATGCATGTTAATTAGCTCAATTTACCCATTTCACAATGTATACATATTTCAAAACATATGTTGTACATGATAAATATAAACAATGTTTATTTGCCAATTAATTTTAAAATTTGTTTTAAAAAGAATACCTAAAATTAATATTAATCATAGCAAGTAAAATATAAATCTCAGATCTCTAAGCTTAGCCTTATTTCATAAATGTACCACCTTTGAATTGTAGTACATTTGTAAAACAAGGCGATACAATAAATGGTGGTTTCCAGGGGATGCGGGAGAGAGTAATGGGCAGTTATTATTTGATGTTTATTAAAATGGAGTTCCAGTGGGGTGATGAAAAAGTTCTGGTAATAGTGATGCCTGTACAATAATGTGAACGTACTTACTGCCACAGGACTAACTGTACACTTAAAAATGGTTAAAGTGGTAAATTTTATGTTGTATATATTTTATTATAATAGAAGGATAAGCAGAGACTGATTTTTTTTTTAATGAAAAGTTAAAAAATAAAAAGAAAGTATATTTCTTGCTACCCCTCAGAATCCTCTGAAATGGGCCCCTTACTCACTGAATTGAATACTTCCTAGGAAAGGAATAAGCAAGAGCAGAAGGACACAAGCTACATCCATATCCAAACCATTGAGCAGATGCAGCGGAAGGGCCGGCCAGTCTAATTTCTTAGAGTTTATCAGAAAATCTTGCAAGGACTAGGAGCAGCAACTGAGGACAAGGTTTTTAAAGCTGGAGTGAGCTACAGATTTACACAGGAGAGTCAGGTCTCATTTCCACTTTAATTTAAAAACTCTAAGCAGTTGGAACTTGCTTCTTGGTTGTCAGGTTTTGCAATGTTTACTGCGCCATAAATGGCTAAGAAGCTATTTGCAGGGTAAAGAGATAAAAATGGAATCTGGCTTCTAAATTGACTTTCCTTGAACAAGAGAAGAAAAGCAGAAAAAACACATTAAAGAGCCCTTTTAAACAGGTGTTATCAGGGAAGCAAAGTGGTGGGGAAATTTCAAGCAAATGAGAAACAGCTAATGATTATCTTCAATGTTACTGTTTTCTTATCCCAAGGAAGTTAACTCCCATACCCTACTAAGAGTGGGGAAAAGGTGCAGGGGAGTGTTATAGAACATCCAGCACCAAATCCACTACTTGTGTTTAGGTACTAACAACACTCACCAAGCACAGACTGCAGAGGAAAATAACTCATAAGAAGGTAACACACAACCAGGTTTCTAGGCGGGAAAAAGGTGGGTGGGCAGGAGAGGGGCTTAATCCTAAGCAAAGGTGGAAGATTCAGAAGCAGATCACTGAGACTGCTCATCTTCTGCACCCTGAGAAGTGGCCTCTTCTTCCCCATGTTGATCTGGCACTGAGTCACTTCTAGGAAGCTCAAAGTATACGATCCCCTGATACCAGTTCAACTCCAAGAGGAGAGAGATCCTGTACTACTTGTGCAGATATCCCCACAGCCTGATGGCAGTGCCTGGCACATAGCAAGCACTCAAATGGTCACCATGTAAGTGCTGTTCCAATTTCACCTAATCTTTACTGAAAAGGATAGCACAAAATGAAAGCAATAAATTCCTGCTCTGGGAACTCCAGGTGACATAATTATGTTCTAGGGAAGAAACTGGTACCAAAGGTTTAAACCATACTGAGATTTCTGTGGATCCTTACAATGACTAATTCTGAGGCGTTTTTACGTGAACTACAAATCCAAAAAAAATCAATGTAAGGAGTATTAGTTATACAAGAGTCCTGTTATAACTTGACCAATCAGAAGACAAAGTACTGCTTTACATTTAAACAGATTTTAAAAATAAGAACCAAACCAGGGCCGGGCACGGTGGCTCACGCTTGTAATCCCAGCACTTTGGGAGGCCGAGGTGGGTGGATCACGAGGTCAAGAGATCAAGACCATCCTGACCAACATGGTGAAACCCCATCTCCACTAAAAATACAAAAATTAGCTGGGCGTGGTGGCGTGTGCCTGTAGTCCCAGCTACTCGGGAGGCCGAGGTAGGAGAATCACTTGAACCTGGGAGGCAGAGGTTGCAGTGAGCCAAGATCAGGCCAGTGCACTCCAGCCTAGCAACAGATGGAGACTCCGTCTCAAAAACAAACAAACAAACAAAAAAACAACCAAAAGGCAATAAATTAGTCCTATCTCTCAGCAATTAGTTTGAGGCTAGTGACACACCACTATACCTTTACAGAGGAGACAGCATACTTACTCTCTGGCTGGAAGACAAACTCATATCCCCAGACTATCAGCAGGGTCCACACGACACTCCATGCAATTAGCTGCCAGGGCTCATACTTGGTGCAATGTCCATTTACATAATTCTTGGCTTTTGTGGAGTATACTTCCAAAATCTCTAAGTAGGGCTCAAAGGCCTTCTAGAAATACAAGTGAAAAATAAAAACATTACATTTAGAGAGAGAAAAGAAGTCTGTTCTTAGTTTGTACTTCAACTCTCATTTTTCAAGGGCAAGGTCATTCCGGATCTTGCCCTTCTTCAGCAATAATCTTATTATCATCTACAGCCCTCAAGGCTTCTGTACCAGTCACTCCAGCAGCACTCCACTGCCACTTAACAGCTAGTGGACTTTGAGACTATTTTCAATCTTGTGCCTATTTTATACAGTAAGAGGGTTAAGCTAGATCGTCACTTCAGCCCTAAAATTTCTATATGACTGCTAGAATCACTGTCCCACTCTCTTAACTCACACTAATACCCCCAATATCAATGTCATTTCTCTTCTCTATTTGAATCTTTCCTATTCTCTACCCCAGTAGTCAGCAAACTGGTTCTGTAATGAGCTTGATACTAAATTATTTTATATTTTAAGTGTTGCAAAGCAAACATTCTCCTTTACAACTACTCCTCTCTGCTGCTGGAGTACAAATATAGTCAGTTATTGTGTAAACAAAGGAACATGGCTGTGTTCCAACACAATGTAATTACAGACACCAAAACTTGAATTTCATATAATTTTCATGTTCATAAAATATTCTTTAACAATTTTTAAAATGTAAAAATCATTCTTAGCACAAGGACCATATAAAAGCAGGCAAGAGCCAGATTTGGCTTGCAGGCCACAATTTACCAATGCCTGCTCTAAGGCCTTACTTGACTATAATCTCTCAGTCAGCAACCATATCTTACCATCATGTGTATTCCTCACAACACCTGGTACGAGCAAGAAAAAACCTGTCCTCTGTAAACTTACCAGAGTATCTCATTCACGAGAATTCCTCTCTCCCTTTAAATTCTCCTCCAGTACTCATTTTTGATAAGTCCTATACAGAGCTTATCACAACCTGCCTTGCAGTCTACTCATCTGTTTCTTATCTCCCTGACTATATGGTTAAGTTCTTGAAGACAGACCAGTTCTATTCATATCTACAATCCCCTACAATGCCCTGTACAAACTAAGGTCATTTTATAGTTTACTATTCATTCACTTAATCAACATTGATTAAGCATCTCCAGGGTTGAAGGCAGTAAGCTGGGGAAGTGTTCAGGTACATATCATAGTTCCAAGTCTATACTGAGTTTACAATCTAATATGCAAGATGTAGATGTGTGTCCACACACACACACACACACAGGCACATACATATACAAACAAATCACGAAAACTTCTCAGGGGAATAGCCACAAAAAGCATATGAGTGCCAAGATGGAGCACTGAGGAAGGACTATCTAACTCTGAAGGGATAAAGATAATGACAGAGGGCAAAATTTAAGCTGGTTAAAAGGATGAAAGAAAATTCTCTAGGTAGAAAAGTTAAAAGGAAAAAAGTCATACCAGAAAGAGAGGATAGTAGCTGCAAATGCATAAAAAGAGTCTGCATATGGCAAAAGTTCTATGTGGCAAAGTGTAAGCTACATGATGGCAGGGACCATTTCTGTCTCATCCAGTACTAAATCCCCAACATGTGGCAGAGTGCCCGGCACACAATTTATACTGAATACAAACATGGACAGGGGCTGACAGTGCCCAAGTAACAGTGCCCAAGTAAATGAGTGAACACTTAAATCAGAGACGTGAGGCTGGGAGAAGTATGCTAGGTCCATGATATGGTTTGGATGCCTATCCTCCAAATCTCATGTTGAAATGTGATTCCCGACATTGGAGATGAGGTCTGGTGGGAGATGACTGGATCACGGGGGTGCATCTTTCATGAATGAGTTCTTGCTCAGTTAGTTCAGGTGAGATCCGGTTGTTTATAAGCCTAGGACCTCCCCCCACTCTCTTTCTTGCTCTCACTCTTGCCATGTGACGTGCCTGCTCAAGTTTTGCCTTCCGCCATGATTGTAAGCTTCCTGAGGTCTCACCGGAAGCAGATGTTGAAGCCATGTTTGTACAAATATGCAGAACCATGAGCCAATTAACCCTCTTTTCTTTATAAATTACCCAGACTCAGGTATTTCTTAACAACAATGCAAGAACGGGCTAATCCAGTCCATGTTTAAAAAGGACTTAGAAAAACTGATATACAAACTGATAGGAACTTTTGTAAAGCAATTTGTTGGTATCTATCAACATTTTAAACGCATGTTCGTTTTGACCTAGCAATCTCACTTTTTGGCATCTGCATACTTTGCACATGTATACAAATAAACATGTTCAAGGATATTCATTTCAGTATTCTCTAACAAAAGGGAAAAAATAATGTAAATGTCCACCCACAGAAGAATGGTTAAATAAACTATAATACGTGCATTTTATGTACCCATACCATGAAACATTAAGAAGAAGACAGATCTACATGAACTACGTAGAAAAATTTCCAGAACATAGTATCAGGTAAAAATAAGTAAATTACAAACAACAGCAATAAAACAAAACAAAAGGCATGGATTTTTAAGTATGTGAGTAATTTTTTCGGGTGTGGGTATAGATCATTCAAAATTTTCAAGTTCAAGTTCGACAGACTGGTTAACTATGATGTTAACAGTTAATATCAGTATTAACTATGGTAAGACTAGAAGAGGAAGGGAAGGTAAAAAAGGTAGAAGATGTTTTGAGAAAAAGATAATGATACTGACTTAAATATATTCCTATTGGATATCCACATCCAGTGTTCTAGTAGGAACATGAAAGCTTAGAAAAAGGACAGATACTCAACAAATGCTTGTTGAAAACATTTATACCTGCAATGGACTGAATGTTTACATCCCCCAAAAATTCATATGTTGAAATCTAACCCTCAAGCTGATGGTAGGAGGAAGAGGGAGCCTTTGGGGGGTCATTAGATCATGAAGGCAGAGGCCTCGTGAATAAGATTAGTGACTTTATAAAAGAGACCCCCAGAGAGCAAATTTGCCCCTTCTACCATGTGAAGATACAGTGAGAAGACATTTTCTATGAACCACTTTTATGAAGGCCACCTTCCAGGAAGTGGGCCTCATCAGGCACCATATCTGCTGTTGCCTTGCTCTTGGGCTTCCTGGCCTCCAGAACTGAGAGAAATGGACTTTTGTTTATATGCCACCACGTTTATGGCATTTTGTTATAGCAGCCTGAATGGACTCAGACAATACTCTTAGTAATTAGACTGTGGTATAAGGTAATTAACATTAGACAACTACTAAGTTCCCTGGAGGGCTACCCATGGAGACAGTTTATCTGCAATTCCCCAACAGTTCTTGGTGGCCATTCCCCAGAGCCCACTGTTGCATCAACAACCTCAATCCAAAGCAATGGCAATACCAGCCAAAACCTGGGAAAGACCAGAGGAGTCTATCATCAAAAGTATGTCATGATTTCTATCATTATAAAGACTCGTCTAGTGTGAAAGTTGTGGTCAAACCAGATGGTTAAATACTGTGCATGAACGAGATGATGAAAGAACAATTATTCAGATTAGCTTTTCTTCTGGTGATACTAATTCCTAATTCACCCAGAAAACAGAAGTTACCAATGTCAAAAGATGACTATAGATATTATGAACAATTCACAGCACTGAGCAAAAAAGTAACATAACCAGTATTAGGGTGACAGCAAAGAACCAGCAAATGCAAACTAATTTTTAAAAGCCTTAAAATTAAGATATAAAGACATTCCTCACTAACATTTAAAAATTACATTCAGCAAGAATATATTTTCTTTGTATTTGTTTTGATTCTTATGAAGATAATGGCAATTCTTAAATTCAAAGGAGGTCCTTTAAAAGGAGATAAATCTAAATTCTTTAACACCAAAGACAGAATGACACTGTAGTTGGATGGGTCCTGACAAGCTTTTTGAGTAGTCAACTAGTTGATCACAGAAATTACATCTCCTGGCATCATTCTAAGGTCCTCCTAGTGTTACTACAAACAACCTAGGCTCAGTCCCCAATGTAGATGCAACTCACAACACTCACAGCTCACTGAATTATTGGGCTCTGTGGCATAAGGTATCCTATCTCCTTGGACTAAAGGATGATGCAGTTCCTTAGGACCTTGAAAACAGCACAAACCCCAGGCTGGGTCCTGATGCAATACTCTAGCCCTTGGGAAGCACAGAATGTAAGAGCTGAAGGGAACCTGGAAGATCAAGTCTAACATTTTCATTTTACAAGCAGAGACCCCAAAGTGAAATGACATGACTACGCTCATACAGACATGCTTGTGATTAAGTGAAGTCTAGGAACGCATGCCTTTTGACTCAGTATTCAGTACCCTTTCAAATCTTGATTTTCAGTATTCATGGGCAGAGGAGTAACACATTACAATCCAGCAGCATCCCAAGAGTTTTCTTTTCACAATTTATGTTCTTGGCAGGATCTACCCTGGATACATGGTACCATGTATAACATACTAAAATTATATAGTTAGGTCATGACTACAGATAAACATCTAGATCAACCTTGTCCAACATGCAGTCCAGGACAGCTCTGAATGTAGCCCAAAACAAATTTGTAAACTTTCTTAAAACATCATGAGACTTTTTTTTTTTGCAATTTTTATTTTTTTTTAAGCTCATCAGCTATCATTAGTATATTTTATGTGTGGCCCAAGACAATTATTCTTCTTCCAATGTGGCCCAGGACAGCCAAAAGACTGGACACCCCTGATCTAGATAGAGATGGCACAGAAGTTCATGTGATTATAATTACTATTCCCACTATGTCTTTTTACTTATAACAGTACTTTTTTGTCTATATATCTCTGAATATATACTTATAATTCTTAGGCTTCTGTTTATTTCAATTTTATCAATGTATTGTGTCTCTGGAAATATATGAACTATGAATGGTCATCCACAAAGGCCACTAGCTTACTGTGCAACTCCAGGTAAATTATTTCATCAATCTTTATGTCTTTATCTAGAAGAAGAAACACAAGAACAATACAGTCATAAAATAAGCTGTATCTGTATATGTGTGTGCCTGGGCAGGGAAGGGGGACAGGGGTGCTTATCTCCAACCCTTGCTTAATAGAACAGTAGTTTCAGTACAGTTTCTATAAGTAAAACATTCCTTCCTTCACTGTTATAAAATTGGAAAGGTATTCCTCTAGAAAAAAAAATTATTTGCCCAGTGAATGAATAATACTTTTTAAAGTATAACATTAAAGAAAAAAACAAACTCTTATAAACCTTAGTAGTAGGAATATTCATAATATTAACTACTTTAAAGAGCTATTGTCAAATAATGAGTAAACTAGCCTTTCTCTTGTTTATTCCATTTCCAATTCAATGATTACATTTCAGATGATACCCAAAAGGCATCAAAATAGTACTCAATAATCCTAATCGTTAGACAAAAGGCAGCTCCTAGAATTTATGGGAGCTTGGTAGCCCACTCGCCCCAATGACATAAAACTCTTTCAGCCTTCACTTTAAGGATGCAAGACCTTTTCATGAATGTACCCAACAGCAGAAGGCTACAAATATTGTAAATTTGGGGTATGCTACTTGTTAGACCACTGAGTTTCAAACTGTTTCAATATGTGTATTAGAGTCTACGTGTATGAGACTGTGTTGTAAAATACAGTCCCAAAGAAATGTCTTTTACAACACAATCTAATACATGTAGAAACAGAAACATATAAAACCAAAAGTTTCCAAAATAATACTTAGCACCTTATTACTTGTAATGTACTCACATTTCTATTTCTTCCTTCTTTAACGCTTGATATACTAAACTGATTTTGTGTCCCTCTAAATGGATCATAATCTGCAGTTTCAAAAGCAGTGCTTCAGAGTGATTTTACTTCTGGCTTCCTTAAATTTAGAATGTGGTTGTGTAATACAGTGAGGGAGCTAACACTAATGTTATTTTCCACTCTACACAATCTCAGTGCTTTTTATACTTACGATTTATTCTCTTAACATTTTTGTGAGGTCAGGAATATGAGCTGAAGTAATAAGCCCAGGATATCTAGTCATGAGTTACTTCCTAACTGACAGTAGACCACAGCTATCCCCAATGATACTAAACTCTTTTAATCTCCAAATCACTTCAAGAGAGCAAAAGATTCCATAAGCAAACTTCCAATAGTAGCACTATCCACCCCTTGCTACCTCCAAAAAAATCTTACGAACTGGTACTGCTCGTGACCAAATACCAATTAGGCAGTGATATTTTTTCCTTATCAAATTACTTCAGCACCAATTTATACCTAAAGAAACATTCCACAAATGAATATTACTAAAAGAGAAAAGCCATCTGGCAAATATTTCCAGACCCACACTGGATGATGCATCTTTCCTTGGAACTAATACAATCCTTTCTCCATTACTCAACAGGGCTAACTACCTGTTATGATTTGAATGTCCCCCCTAAAACTCACGTTGAAATTTAATTGCCATTGTAACAGTGTTGAGAGGTGGGATCTTTAAGAGGTGATTTAGATCAGGAGGGTTCTGCCCTCATGAGTATATTAATGCCATTATCTTGGGAGTGGGCTCCTGATAAAGGATGACATCTTGGCCCATCCCCTCTAGCTCGCGTGCTCACTTGCCCTTCTGACATGTTATTATTCAGCAAGAAGAAGGCCCTCACCAGATATCAGTGCCATGCTCTTGGACTTCCCAGCCTCTAGAACCACGAGCCAAATAAACTTCTATTGTTTATAATTACCCAATCTGTGGTATTCTGCTATCACAGCAGAAAATGGACTAAGACACCATGTATATTTGTTTTATTCAAAAGCAATGGCATCTCCATTCAGGTAGTCCCTCAGAGCTATCTACCATGCCAACCTAGAAAGAGCTCTACTCTGTAATGTTGTCTCTGCTATACGTATGCTTACTGCTGTTTAAGAGTTTCAGTCATTCAACAATTATTTTTGGAGTGCCTACTGTATGAAGGCACTATTTTACAGGGATCAGAGTTCACCCACTTGTTTCACTAAAAACTTTCTCTTCCCTCTAAAACTCAAAGATTTGGTGACCCTCTGATTACAGAGGGAATAAAACTAATTTAGAAAAAGAGGCCAAGACAACATGCACAGGAAAGAGTGAAGCACTTAAAAAGTATTAACTTTTTAATTTGGCCAGGCATGGTGGCTCACACCTGTAATCCCAGCACTCTGGGAGGCCGAGGTGGGTAGATCACCTGAGGTCAGGAGTTTGAGACCAGCCTGGCTAACATGGGGAAACCCTGTCTCTACTAAAAATAGAAAAATTAGCCAGGCATGGTGGCGTACACCTGTAGTCCCAGCTACCCAGGAGGCTGAAGCATGAGAATCGCTTGAACCTGGGAGGCGGGGGTTGCAGTGAGCCAAGATCGTACCACTGTACTCCAGCCTGGGTGACAGAGCAAGACTCTGTCTCAAAAAAAAAAAGCATTAACTTTTTAACGTAATTAAAATTTTAAAAATAAATTTATTTTATAAAAATAATTTTATCTTTTAAATTTATTAAAATTTAATTAATGAGAATACATGGTATTATACACCTTAAAACTCTAAATGGCTTTCATGTTATTTTATTTGTATTTTATAACCTCATGAGGCTATTAGATTAAGAATGTACAGGCCATTTACACATTATAAAGTACTTGTAATCCCAGCACTTTGGGAGGCTAAGGCAGGAGGATCCCCTGAGGCCAGGAGTTCAAGACCAGCCTGAGCAACATAACAAGTTCCCATCCCTACAAAAAAATTTAAAAAACAAACAAACAAAAAAGCAGTAGGCATGGTGGCACACTCCTGTAGTCCCAGCTACTTGGCAGGCTAAGGTAGGAGGATCACTTGAGCCCAGGCATTTGATGCTGCATTGAGCTATGAGCATGCTACTGCACTCCAATACAACTTGGGCGGCAGAGTGAGACTCTATCTCAGGAAAGGGAAAGGGAAAGGCAAAGGCAAAGGGAGGAGAGGGAGAGGGAAGGAAAAGAAAAAGGAAAAGGAAAGGAAGGGGAAAAAGAAAAGAAAAGAAACCAGTGTGCAGTATCACTCTATAGATGGGGAAAACTGAAGTCAAGAAAGGTTAAGTGACTTGCTCAGTCAAACTGATAGAAAGAGGCAAAGTCAGGACTTCACACTCAGAGCTGAATTCCACAAGATATTGGAACCATCGCTCTGGGCTTCAAAACATCATAAATACCTACATACTAATTGGGAAAGTATGACCTAAAAGAAGAAAACCAAAGAGCTGTAGGTAAAGCCAAACAGGGGAACCAACAAGATATTCCAATGTATTCTCTCTTTACTGTTCTGCTCACATTAAAGAAAAACAGGCTGAAGATCAAAGAAAAACATTCCTGCTGACAGGCTGACCCACTCTACAAATAATTTCTGAACTGCCACAGGCACACAGATTCCCTGCCAAGGAAAATGTGGCAATTTTGCTCAGTGGATTACTGCACAGTGCTAAGTGAGTGAAGGTTGTATGGTCAAAACTGAAGTGCACACAAACCAGTTTTCTCAGGCTTCCATAACAACTCGTACCTCTCAAACTGCCTCCTTGTCTGAATGCAGCTTGCTGGGCCACAACAGAGACCTAGGGCCCTGAGTGTAAGTCTGTTATTCACTCAAGGAAATGTTCAAAACAGTAATGCCCTAATGATTTTACTGATCTCTATAGCTTCATTATAGAGTCAAGTTTCTGGGAAAGCTACTTCCCTACAGAAAGTTTCCCTTCATTCTCCTGTACAATGTCTTCTTGGCATTTCTTTTTTTTTTTTTTTTTTGAGACGGAGTCTTGCTCTGTCACCCAGGCTGGAGTGCAGTGGTGCAATCTTGGTTCACTGCAAACTCCACCTCCCGGGTTCAAGCCATTCTCCTGCCTCAGCCTCCCAAGTAGCTGGGACTACAGGCACCCGCCACCACTCCCAGCTAATTTTTTGTATTTTTAGTAGAGACAGGGTTTCACCGTGTTAGCCAGGATGGTCTCGATCTCCTGCCTCGTGATCCACCCGCCTCGGCCTCCCAAAGAGCTGGGATTACAGGCATGAGCCACCGCACCCGGCCTCTTCTTGGCATTTCTAATGTGCCACGTTTCCAGTGTGCCTCAACTCAGGGTATTTCTCAAGAGTCACTCAGGGCCAAACTGCATTAGCCTATTGCATTATGAGTTAATTTGTCCTAGAAGGAAAGAATTCAACTCTGGTTAGGGAGAACAACCAAATAATTTTAATATATGAACTCTCTATGGTACCAGGTGCTGATAAGAATACAAATTAGGAGGAGGATATAAGTCTTCTATCTCCTACACTGCCTAAAACAGCATCTTCAACACAGCAGGAACTCAACGTTTATTCAAATAAAGTAATTATGATATTGCCTATACTTTTGACAGTTTTGTTTTGCAAGATCCTAGGATGTTTCTGCCTCCTCTCTCCCACATCTCTCCTATTTAAGCTTAACAAGACACAGTGGCAGTGGGTTGAATCTGCAGAGGAGAATGGCTGGTTATCTGTAACTGGACTCTGCACACCGTGGCACTCTGCCTACAAGTTCACAAGGTTCATCACATCATAGGCCATCAGAGCTGAACCTGTCCTTCACAGATGAAGACATTGAGGCCTACAGGTCACAAAGCTCGGAAATAGCGGAGCCAGGACTCAAATCTTCTGGTTTAAAATGCATTGTTTTTTCCACTGCCTAGTTTTCCAGAGCCAAACTATCAGTGGCACAAATCAGGAGACCAACAGTTCTCAAAGTCCTGTCAGCTAGTTTACTCCAAGAGCCAAAGGAAAGGCTCTCATCTTCACTACGCTCCCAGTGAAGGCATACAGAACTTCCAGATGACCTAACGGCATCCTACAAGGGCTGAGCATTTTGGGGAAGTGAACTGCTATTGCATGGCCTTTTCGAACTGCAAACTTCATTCTTCTCTGAGCTAGAGACTTACACTCATACTACTTATTTGCTTACAAAAGAAAGACGGAAAGAAATTAGTTTGAAAAGTACTTCAGAAAAGTTGTCTTCAAAATCATAAAATGCTACTGTCTGAAGGAACCTTAGAGACCACCTATAGTCCAATCTCATTGCAGTGATGAAGAAACTGAGGCCACAGACTAATACCAAAATGTGCCTTCCCTGGTTTCAAACTAGAGGCACAGCCCCCAAGAGAATCTATCTTCTTCTTCAATATTCTTTCCATAAAGCCAGTGGGGGTACATCAATATCATCCAAGAAGCATGATTCCTGGAACGAATCATCTTCTTGGGTCAGAATACCCCACCCACAGGGTCAGAGTACAGAATGTGTATTTTGTAAACCTCCCTCCGGTGATTCTGACAGGCAACACTGCTTAAGAATCCATTCTCTTCCCCATCCTTTTCTTTTATTAAAAGATGACCCAGTAGCTGACTTAACATATTACTGACACCCAATCACCAAACTTAATGGCTACCCGGTATTCACGCAGCAGGGAAAAGACATCCACGAAGCTTTCCTGGGAAGTGTTAAAAGTCAGGGCCCAGTCACGTCACTCTACTAGATATCAATTCATTGTTCCTGCCTAATATTTATTCTTTGGCCAGATACTAATAAAAATCAAAATCTTCTACCCCACAATCCTGCAAAGAAGACAGAATTTGTTATTTGTTTTCCTGAACTATTCAACGCTCAATACTTTTTCCAGAAGGACCATAAATCTGAGCTTTACAGCAGGAATGGGCTGTTGAGGAAAAGAAAAATCTGTTCTACCCAGTTCAAATGTTACTCTAAGGACTAAGCCTCAGCCTAGGGAGTGAAGTTAAAATACAGAAGAGACTCAGTTAGTATATTTATTCTTATCAGCTTCTGCCCCCCCACCAAAAAAAGAAAAGCCAGAAAGCAAAGCTAATTTAATCTGATTTTCTTTCATATTACAGTCTACAGAACTTCAAAGTGCAAGGTAAACAGGTAAGAAAATACTATTGTCTTTATAGCCTCCAAAAGCATTAAAGTTTATCATCAAAAACACATCACAACCCCAAAGGGAAAATCCTCTTGGGTCATTAAAGAAGTAAGAACTGAGCAACAAAACCAGACAGCCATTCCAAGCAACCAGTAGTGACTGTGAGAAACGTTTGAGGAAACTGAATCATCATTTCTTAGGAGACAAAAAGCAAACCACATACTTCCCCCAAAATTCCACTATGTGAGTCAAGAGATCCAGTATCTGAGAAGTTCGTCTCAAAAAGCTTAAGAGTCTACATTTTCCCTTCTAGCCTGGCCTTGCCAGATATGTACACTTGGTACCATTCCCCAAGCACCAACTGCTATACACTTAGCATGGGAGTATTCAGGCAAAGCATCTTTCCATCCCTGAAATAACAAAACCATCTTGGCCACAGAAAGAACACACATATGAAATGTTCCCAAGTCATCAGAAGTGCACTCATGGAAAACCACAGCTTCTAAGTTCCTAAAAGCTGAACCCGAAACACTGCTAAATGGTCACTTTATTAATGTACTTGTGGTCAGGACAAGGCATCAAGTAAAGGGAGATGCTGATTCTGTTAAGTAACAATTCTGAGCACCTCTCTTCTGAAATACATATTTAAAAGTATCAGGAGCAGCTTATACTAGGAGAGAAGACTAAATGCATAAAACTGAATTCAATAAGCAGAGGAACACACTGAAGGACACAGAGATAAGAGCAATTACCAGTTTTGTAGGAAAATAGACTCCCAGCCTAAGGCAAGTAGGTAAGATATGGGGGGAAAAATATGCAAATTTGCACATGGAATGTTGCTAAGTTTGCTATGAACTCTCAGAGTCTGACAATAAATAGCTAAATGACTTACTGTGCACATGTATACAGGTTATATTTCAAAGCACAAATGAGTTTCATCATTCTCTAAAACTAGAAATGATAATTTCTTGGATAATAAGCAAGATCTAGTGGAAAAGATCCCGTATTTCTCACACAGAAAGAAGTCTTAACTTCTCTGAGCATATCACGATTGGGGAAGGGCAGAGGTTAGCTGACTTCTCCAGTCCCATACTTATCTTACTAACAGAATTCTCTATCTTTGTCTGGGAGTTAAGACACTTAGACTTTTCATAACCATTTGTGGAAATTCCTTCCCTACAACAGTCATGCTGCTATTAGAGATGAGGAATACTGAATATTTGCTGAGAAGTGTAACCTAACTAAAGCTATTTCTCTAGAGATTTCCAACACGTAAGCCTGCTCAAAAGAATAAGCAGGGACCTATCCCTAGGTCTCTGACTGACCTTCAACTATATAAACACCCTTTGGAAAGTGCATCTTCGAAATTACCAAGAACCTACTTTTAAAAGCTGAAGTAAGCAGCTGAGTAAATTTAATTTAAAATTAATACTTGGAAGAGTTTCAAACTTTGTGGTATCTATTGAAAGTGAGCAGGAAAGTGTGCTTCTGTGATGTTATACGTATATATTGGTTTGCATCCATGGTTCCTGGTTCATAACCCCCATAGCCCTTGTTATAGTCTTCTATTATAATGCTGGGGCACTTTGGGCCTCAGGAAACAGAATCTCTCTCAACCTTCTCCTGTCCTCTTTTACCTGCCTCAAAGCAAGACTCTAGTCCAACTGTGGGCCAAAAAACCCTCATTCCTGGGAGGGTTGTGCCCCATATTCTGGAGGAAGGAAGGCTGCACAGAAAGGCCAGCGACAACCTGAACAGACAGGCCTTGCTGGGTTTCCGGTCAGTCTATTAGTATGAGATCATGCCTCCTGTGTCCAGTCACATTTCTACATGGTTGTCAATCATGCCTATGTAACTAAGCCTCCATAAAAACCCAAAAGGACAGGGTTCAGAGAGCCTCTGGATAGCTGAACACATGGAGGTTCCTGGAGGGTGGTGCACCCAGGGAGGCATGGAGGCTCCACACCCCTTCCCCTATACCTTGCCCCATGCATCTCTTCATTTGTAACCTTTGCAGTATCCCTTAAAATAAACCTGTAAACCTAAGTAAATGTTTCCCTGAGTTCTGTGAGCTGTTCCAGCAAATTAATCCAATCCAAGAGGAGGTCATGGGAACCTCACCTTGAAGACAGTCAGTCAGACATTTTGAAGGACCAGACTTGTGACAGGTTGGGGTTGGGGGAGACAGGTATGGGTTGGGACTGAGCCCTCAACCCATAGATCTGATGCTATCTCCAGGTAGACAGTGTCAGAATTGAATTAGGCGACACCCAGTGATGTCTGCTTCTTGGAGTGTGGGGAAAAAAATCCCACACGTTTGGTCACGGAAGTCTTCGGTGTTGATTGTTGTGGTGTGAGAGTAGAGGAGAGAGTTTTTCCCTACGGCTTCCAATGAAAAATTATGCATTATCTGGGACGCCCCTCCGGGTTACCAGATTCTGATTATGAGGAGGCTGTTTACGGCTCTGAAAGTTGTAGATAACTGATAGCAGTGCAAAGTAATCTAGATCCCTAAATATGCAAATTCTGCCGTCAGGTGAAGTTTCACCTGACTTTCCTACCCCTATGACAGAGAGTTGTTTTGCCTCCATTTGCACATTCATTTGATATTCCTGATCCATAAATGAGCAGCTTTTTGGACCTCTCCTTTGAACCAGTTATAACATCTGCCTGGTTTCCTCTTTTGGAGTAAAATAAAATCTTCAACATATGTTCATTTTATATCTGTATAAGAGTCAGGATATTACTTTCGAAAATTATCTTTTAACAAAAGCTAGAGATCTTTGCTGTTCCAGACTCCTCCGACGCCCAGAAAATGCTTGTGAACATAAAATCTTATATAATTACAAAGAATTCAGGACATCCTAAAGGCCAGTCATAAAGGTCCATATTCCCCAGTTAATAACTTCTGTTCTACAATAAAGCATAGAAATAGCCTCGATATTACAAAAGGTCCTATATAAGTAAAGTAAGCCCAAGATCCTGTGTCTCCTGTAGGTGAGAACAAGAGACATTGTTAGATATATCCATTACTTAAAATTCTGTAGGAAAAGCCCTGTAACTGCAATAAAAAGGAGTGCAGTTCTGATCCATGCTACAACATGGATGAACCTTGAAACCATTAAACGAATGGTTAATCAGGAAGTCAATCAGGAAAGACCACATATTTACTGTATGATTGTATTTATATGAAGTGTCCTGACTAAGCAAATCTACACAAAGTAGACTGGTAGTTGCTGAGGACCGGTGAGAAGGAAATAAGGAAGTGACTGCTGAGTACTGGGTTTCTTTGGAAAATGTCCTAAAATTGATCGTGGGGATGGCTGCACAACTGTGAATATACAAAACACCAGAGTTGTACACTTAAAAAAGCATCATGACCTAACAGTTCCATTTGTGTTCACCAAATGTCCCTTCAGCTAAGAAACCACCTAAGATTCTTTGGATTCACAGGCTTTCTTTTAATAAAAAAATAAAATTTAAAAGGCCTTCTGAAAAAGTTTTTAAATGGGCCAAGGACAGCAGAAATTGCAACTCCAGAAATAGAGAGTAAAGCTCTGGACTCCAAATGAAAGCAACCATAACTACCTAAGAATAACTTGCCTAAAGGTATATTTTTACGAGTTATAATAATAAATTATTAACGACTAAAATGATGAGATTTTAAAGAATATTTTTTTATCCAGCAATTCCTAAGCACATACTGTAGCAACTACCCAGATATCTGAAAAGGACAGTGACCTTTGAGTATTCCCCTGAACTGACACCTCACCACTACTCTTGCGGACTCTGAGAGTCATGTTAATCTGTTCTACAGAAAGGCAGCTGTGGTGTCCTAGAAAGTCTGGACTGGTAATCAAAACCTTCGGCTCTAATTTTAGCTCTCACTTAGAAGCTGTGTGATGTGTGGCACAACACTAAACCTCTATGCAACTGGACTCTGCTCATCTGCAAAAATAGAAGCCATTGGGATAATTCAACAAAACGTTCAGGAGAAAAAAAAAAGATACCATCGTCCACTCACAGGGTTGTTGTGAATATTAAATGAGATAAGGTAATAAGAAAATGACTGCAGATAATAAACACTCATTAAATATTCAGTGAACCTGAATTATCCAATGATAAACATTTTCCTTTTCTCTTCAATAAGCAACAAGGAAAAGTAACCTTCCCAGTCACAAAGGAGCTGGAAGAGGCTTTAAGTAGTTTGATTCCCATGCCTATGTTGTATTTTCTTACAGACGGTGGTAATAAAACACACCTTAGTAATGAGCTATTTCTCAGTTTTCTAAGAGAGATGTTAAGTCAACTCTTAATCTTCAACAATCTATTAAATCAATCAGAAGGCTGCGAGTGCCCTCTGGCCTACCTATACAACAAGATTAAATCACTTACCTACTATCTTTACAGATCGTAAACCTGTGTGTTTTCAGTCATCCAAACAGACTGTTGACTCTTGTGGTCGTGATTGTTGGGAAAGCATTTGAAAACATTTTCAGAAAGGGCTGGGTAACAGAGTCTTAGGCTTTCTTCCACTCTGGCCCAACACAGCCAGACAGGGAGCAGACTTACCCTGGCATCCTCATATTTGCCCTCCCCAGCGCCCTTCAGGACACTTCTGAAAGGCATCCCCTTTCAGAAGAATGTGAAAACAGAATTTCCAATTTGCCTCAATTGTCTCAAAGACTCGGTGCCATTAAGACTGGAATTCAATACAGAATTGATCTATTCCTTTTTAGACCCATCTGTCAAAACGAATTCAAAAGAATGGAATTAAATGCTTCAGTGAAAGCCTCCAAAAAACATGGTCCCCCAATATTGAGTATAAAGTGTTACTACAATAGCCACTTAGAATCTAAAGCATTCTAGAAGATTATGATTTTAACCTGAGAATTAACTACTACAAATATTTTAAATTCTGCCCTTAACAGGGTCCTTTTCATACTCAAAAAGAACTAAGGTTGCTTTGTTCCCATCAATTGTGTATTAACATTTACAGACTAGATAAACAAGAATGCAGTAGGCTTTACTCTCTGGGGAAATTACAGAAAAGGAAGGGCATTTCACATTTTAGAATTGCTTGTACAGGCTGGGTACAGTGGCTCACACCCATAATCGCAGCACTTTAGGAAGCCGAGGCTTCTCAATGAGGATGGTTAGAGACCCAGAGTTCAAGGCTGCAGGAAGCCATGATCGCACCACCGCACTCCTGCCTGGGCAACAGGGTGAAACCCTGTCTCCGAAAAAAATAAAAATAAAAAATAAAATAAAAGTGCCTATACAACTTCAGGAAAGAGTTCTCAGTGCTCTTCTCCATGTGTGGTATGCAGATGACAGAAATTTAACATTTGCTGCCCAAAGCTAAATCAAGAAGTTATATATTAAAACTCTGGTAGCGTAAATTAGTACAACCACTTTGGAAATCTGTTTGGCAGTACACGTTACCACACAGCAACTCTACATTTTATGTTTACCAAGACATGTTCAAGAAGGCAGCAGTGTCATTCACAATAGCCAAAAAACTAGAAACATAAATGTTCTACAACTACAGAACAAATTAGTTATAATATAGTTATACATTGTAACACTACACAGCAATAAGAAAGAAAAACTAATGCTACCTAAGAACATGACTGAATCTCACAAACACAATGTTGAGCAAAAAGGCCACTCACAAAAGAGAATATACTGTATGTTTCCACTTTATGTAAAGTTCAAAATCAGCAAAACTAAGCAAAACCTTTGGTAGGTATCAACTGGGAGGGACATTAAGAAGCTGGCTGGAGTGCTGGAAATGTTTAATATCTTGATCTGGAAGTATATTCATACATAAATATTTACTGACCTGGATAATTAAGATTTGTGCCCTTTACTGTATGCAAATTGGACCTCAAAAAAAAAGCCCTATGATTTTTTTAAACTCAAAAATGACTCATTCACTTTATGGGATAACAGAACAAATCGCTGATACATAAAGCCTGAATAATGGGCTAGGATTGTTCTGCAGTTTCTGCCTATACTAACAGGCAACTCATTCATTTATCATACATTTGAAGTTTCCTATTTCATGACAAAAAGCTGATGTAGCTATATTATGTCAAAAAGCAAATTATATGAAAAGCTCAACTTACAAGATGTAACAATTTTAAATCTGAATGCACCTAGTAACAAAATCTCAGCAAATATACAGCAAAATCTATTAATAATAGAACTAAAAAGGAGAAATAACTGATAAGGCATATGACTTGAAGAGGCAGCCACAAAACAGAAAATCCAAGTGGTTGGTAAACATTGAAAAGGGTACTTAACCACATCAGTTATCAGGAAATGCATACGGAAATTACAATTACATTTATCTGCTTACCAGATTGTCAAAAAATAAGCTTTATAAATATCAGGTTTGCCAAGTTGGGTGGAAATAACTCTCATATATTGTTGATAGTGGTATAAATTGTATTGGCCTCTTCAGAAAAGTTTAGCAATATCTAGTGAAGTTAGGCATGTATGCCTTTACAATCAGCAATTCCACTCCTAGGCACAAATCCCAGAAAAACTCTTGCACTTGTGATCACTTGTTATATAAGAACGCTCATAACAGCAATGTTTGAAAAAGCCTCAAATTGGAAACAACCCAAATGTGAATTATAAGTCAAATGGATAAATAACTGCAGTTTAGTCACACAATAAAATACTATATATACAGCAATAAAAATGAATGAACTTAAACTACATGCAATAACATGGATCGCATGAATACTGAGCAACACAGGAAAATCACAAAAATAAAAATACATATGCATCCATTTACATCAAGTTTAAAAAAAAACAAACTAAACTTAGGATGCATACACAGGTGGTTAAAACTATTTTTAAAAAGGCAAGGGAATAATTATAAAAGTCAGGATGGGGTTATCCATAGAGGGGAAGAAAGGAAATATTTGTAACAGGGTGAAGCGTAGAGTTAGAGATAAATGGTTTATATCCTAATCTGGTATCGTTGTTTTATTATTGTTCATTAAAATGTAGATATGTGCTTTCTATACTCTTCTGCACGTATAATAAATTCCAAAATAATTTTTAATTAAAATGGAGGGCAAGCCCTTCTTTTTCCGTTTCCTCTTCCTCTTCATGAATGAAACATGAACCTGACAGGTAGAACCCCAGGCAGCTACCCTGGCCCAGGAGGGGATGCACTACTGATAGCGGAATGACAGACAGAAGCAGCCTGGCACCTCAAAGACTCAGGAATGGCCTTATCGGCATGGAATGGAATGGGAATGAATGGAATGGAATGGAATTGTACTGGCATTGCATTGTATTGTATTGTACTGTAGTACTGTATTGTATTGTATTGTTGTGTTGTGTTGTATTGTATTGTACTGTGTTGTAATTTTTTTGAGAGAGTCTCACTCTGTCGTCCAGGCTGGAGTGCGGTAGTGTGACCTTGGCTCACTGCAACCTCCACCTCCCGCGTTCAAGCGATTCTCATGCCTCAGCCTCCTGAGTAGCTGGGATTGATTACAGGCACCCACCACCACACCCGGCTAATTTTTGTATTTTTAGTAAAGACGGGGTTTCACCACATTGCCCAGGCTGATCTTGACTTCTGGCTTCAAGTGATCCGCCCATTTCGGCCTCCCAAAGTGTTGGGATTACAGGCGTGAGCCACCGCGCCAGGCCAGTTTTCTCTTAAAGAAATATATTTATGTCTTTTAAAAAATCTCTATTACTTTAGGTTTTTCTGTTATATACACTCAAACCTAATTCTAGCTGATGCATTCAGTGATCTGGACACATGAAAAATTTTCTAAAAATTAAAGCTGTCCAACAGTGGAAAGAACCCCCTGAGAAAGTATGTAGCACTCACTCCTGACAGGGCATTGTAGAGGGATTCCTAGGCAGCAAGAAAGCTGGACTGCAGTACTTTTAAAGGCCCTCCAGGCAATTAAGATTCTAAGGCTACTACTGGAACAAAGCAGCTTTGGGCTTGCCAAAGCTGTGGCAACTGTGTGCCTCTGAATCTATCCTGTTAAAATCAGTGGGAACATTCCCTTTCTATAATCCATATGCTATCCACCTTCAAGATTCTGTTCAAGAATTATCTCCTCATTTGTGCCTTTTAAGACAAACTAGACCTCTCAACTCCAGCATGCTGGATGTTCTCCCCTCCAGATGATCTCCTCCTCCAGATCCTCCATCCAGCATTTTCCAGCTCGGCTATGTGCCTCCGGATTCCACCCTCTGAATTAAATCAACCAGACTCCTTAACCTCTGGTTTCCAGTTGTATTAGACCAATGGGAGGCTACAGCAGGAGATCAGAGGGTAGCAAAAGAGTTTGAAGTATTTATTCCCCTTGATGCCTTTCCTACTGGGTCACTGGCTGGCATTCCTACAGGTTACCTTCTCCTTCATCTCAACTCTCTCAAAGTTCCAGAAACTACTCCCTTCCTTGCCCTCTCACAGGCTTAAGAGTGTAATCCCAGCTACTTGGGAGGCTGAGGCAGGAGAATCACTTGAACCCAGGAGGCGGAGGTTGCAGTGAGCCGAGATCGAGCCACTGCACTCTAGCCTGGGCGACAGAGCAAGACTTGTCTCAAAAAAAAAAAAAAAGAGAAAAAACAACGTCAGAATAACCAACATGAAAATTTTTTAGGATAACTTGGTGCCTACCTGAAAAATGTATTGTGTTTTAGACTCTTGATTTCAAAAGGTTCCACAGAACTAGTCTGCGCTTACCTTACCCATGTTTATATATAGCTGTCCTACAGGGAGCTTTTATTTAGAAAATGTCTGCATAATGTTAGATTCTTCTCCTGTCTACATTAAGCACTACATAATTGGACTTCATTATGCTTTTGAAATGCTTATCTGCCTGTCACATAAGTTAAACTATTTAATTTGTTTTGAATGTTTTGGATTGCTACATAATACAATATTCTAAATTTAGGCATGAGGGTTTTTTTGTTTTGTTTTTACTTTTTTTTTGTCATCGCACTATGGAACACAAATTAAACTCTCTTAATTTATAAGAAGATAGTTGCAGTTAAATTTTGAAAATGGTTGTAATGAGCCATGAAGTTCAATCTTTGTAATATAGGTATTGCTCTTTCAGACAAATAGTCCATTTTCAATGACTTATTATTTTGTTGAAATTGTGGTCGCTAATCACTTGGTTGCCAAATATTTACTTCAGGAGCAAAGATTTTCAAACAAGCATACATGATGCAAAATACCAATCTGGCTTCTAGTCTCTTTACTGTTTTTGTTTCACTCAGATTAGCTCAGTTTTCTCATCAAAGCAGAATGCTATCTTGTATGTATTTTTTTCATTACAAGACCCATGAGCTGCTTTTATGCTGAAAATGGTCATTTCCCTGTTCACTTACTGACATGTGAAGAAGGGTTTCTTGCTTTCTTAAACATTTCCGTAAGGCAGGCTAGAAATGTAATGCTTCAAATGTTCGATGATTATGGTCTTTTGATAGGAACAGATTCTGCTTGGGATATATATCCAGGCACTCTCTAAGGTCTAGGGTTGATATTAACAAAGGAATGTACTTAGAATAGCAGTACATTTTATGCAAATATGGAAATTATTTTAAGAAACAATGACATATCAAAACTGCTTTTTATTTACATGATTTTGAAATAGACTAGAAAGCTTTCCCTATAGACATATCAATATTCCAATCATAACTTTAATTCAAGAATGCAGTTTTACCAAAAGAAAAATCTGAAAATTTCTATTCAGGCTACTGGAATTGGTTATTAAAAGAAAAAGGAAAAAGAAGAATCTTGCTGCTTTCAGTATTTCCTGATTTTTTTGTAAATATAAAGAGGAACTTCAATTATGAAAAATTTTTAAAAGATATATATATCTATATATCTATATATATGTACTGTTTTGTTTCCTGTCTTGAAGATTTTGAGTTATGGTTATTGGTTTCAGATTGATTAATTCACATATGCTGTGTTTTGAAATGAGATCCCATTAGCTTTTTTTTTTTTTTTTTTTCAATATAAAGTGTTTTCTTTAAAAGTCTGATATTGGTTCGTGGCCTAGTGCCTTGGATTTTACATATTTTTCTTTTTAAATGCAAAACCTTTTCAACAAAATAGTGTTTGTCATCAGGTTGGTACTAAACATTTATAATTACTGTGTAATTATAAACAAAAATACATAAAGCTTTGAATATAATTATGTAGGATAAAAGTTAAGGTTGTTCACTATGATGGCATCTTAGAATTAAACAAAACTTTTACTAGGGCTGAAAAGAGAAGACTGATTTAATGTGGTGTGATTATTCTGAAGATAAATGTCTGGCTACAGGGAATATTTTGTACTAAAAAATGATTACACATATGGCTGTGTGTGTTTGAGTCTGTGTCTGTGAGAGAGCCAGAGAGAGTGAGAGAGATTGACGGAGAAAGGGAGAGACACACACACGCCCCTTGAATTGCTTTAACTCCTAAGTGTTTCAGTCCTCATTCCGGTAAACTCCCCATGCTGATTCTTTGTTTTAAACTGAACCATAGGTACAGTTTCCTTTTTGCCAAATGTCAAAACAGGTACAAATTTTAAAATGTAATGCTTTTTAAATAGAAAAATGTATAAAATTAGAAGTGCCCACATATAAAAAATACTTGAGATGAAGATTATCTTTAGTGAATATCATCTGCATATCTCTGTAAGTTCAATTGTGTTTCTTACAGTCCCTGTCATATTACCAATAGAGGCAATAAAAGCTTCAGTGAAATTGCCATGACAAAAAAAAAAAAAAAAGAGTGATAATGGCTCTCCTATTGCTAGCTAGCCCTTAGATGTTTCACCTAGATGTTTTCCTTAAACCTGCTCAGCCTTGAAAATAGTCCCTTGATCCCTTAGTACGCTGTTGGATTATGCCAAGATATGACTGATATATCCACAAACTACTCGCAGCCTTCACCATTCCATCTTCTCAGAGGGCCCCTATCTCCCCTTCCCCCACAGCATGGTTTTTATCTCAGTAATTGGGTTCTGTACATTTACACATACAGACTGATTCACATCAATTCCCTATGGAAATTCTTAAACCCAGGCTGATTCTCAATTCTGCCACCAATGTGCACAAACTGTATATAATATTAGATTGGGTAAAACCTAATTAAGAAGGTAAATATTACTAAAAATTCCTGACACATAGACTGAAAAGCTAAGTCAAATACTGGGATTTGGATTCTATCTGTTTATAACCCTCTTTTCCTTTAAACCAAAGGCTGTGGAAATTATTACAGCTCTGTTTCATCTATAACACTGGGAGATTGCCAAATACAGTGTTCATCCTGCAATGGCCACTCAAATGTCAACAAATTTTTTAATGTCCTATCAACAATCCCAATGAATTTTCCCTTTCTTCTAGCAAATCCTACAAACAAGACACAAGGCTCAAATAATAGAACAGAGCTCCTAAGGTCAATCTTTCAGTTTATTGCTTAAATCCCACTTGAGATTCAGAAAGAAAGCATCCCTGAAAAAGAGTCAAGGGTCACAGATAAAGACGCTCAAGGACCTGGAAAGATTCAATTTTTGAACCCAAAAAACAAAACTGAGGGAAGCTTGCTGTTTGCAAATCAAGAAAAGAGTGGTGCAGAAATGTTGCAAAGGACAGCATTTCTTAAGAATTCTGCATTGCTATAAAAGATCAGCTGCACCATCTCCAATATATATTCCTGAGCAGCAAGGCTTGACCCATGGGCAAAATAACCCCAAGTGAGACAATAACAGACACGTTAACCTCCAAGAAGGGAATCACTCCCCCACCCATATGAAAGCATAGACTACACAGATATCCAGGTATCTATGGTAAGAAACTTCATACCAGTTTCTCAACCTCACCACTATTGACATTCTAGGCCAGATAATTCTTGTTTGCAGGAAACTGTGCGTTGTAAGGTGTTTGGTTGCATCCCTAGCCTCTACCCACTAGATGCCAGCAGAACCCTTCAGGTGTAACAACCCAAAATGTCTCTAGGCATTGTCAAATGTCACCCAGAGGGCAAAATTGCCCCTGGTCAAGAACCACTGCCCTAGATAAGCAATTATCACTCAAACCCCACCTAGCACTACCAGGGTGCACACGCTAACCTTGATTCATCTATGAATATCAGCTAATTTAGTCATCATTTTCTGATGAGAAAAGAAAAAAGCCACCTAAGGGGTAGACTGGCTTTATAAAATACCTTTTTCTTAAAAACTACAAATATTTGGCAACTTGCAAAGTGATACCACCCTCTAGCACCAAGGAGGAGAGTATGAATAAAAAGAATGGTTGCCAAGGGGGAGAAAGGCTGCTACAAAGCTGTCTGACTTGAATTCCCTCTGACATCATCACAACTCTCAGCAGATGAACATACTCATTTTATTCTCTATGAGACACAGGTGGAAAGTACTGCAGTCTATGACACATCACATACGAGCAAATGGAAAAAGGCAAGCAAACTATCCTAATCAAATGATAACAAAATTGAGGGCAGGAACACACTGAGGGCTGATAGCCCGAGCCTGTCAGTCTGGATTCAAGGCTTGTTATATGTGGACTCCAGGTCATCTCCAGGTTTTCTCTCACAGCATACTGTCCACACAAGTAGTCTTCAACTCTATGACCCAATGCCCTCTTTTTATAACAAATATTCTGTAATCCCTTTTGCTACTCTGACATGGCATTTAAAGATTATAACACTATGCCTGCAGATACAAGTTTTAAAATTTCAATATAATTCATTAAATGCGACGTAAAAGAAAATAAAACACAAATTTTTTTTTTTTTGAGACAGTCTCGCTCTGTCGCCCAGGCTGGAGTGTAATGGTGCAGCTTCAGCTCACTGCAACCTCCACCTCCCGGGTTCAAGCAACTCTCTTGCCTCAGCCTCCTAAATAGCCGGGAATACAAGTGTACGCCACCATGCCCAGCTAATTTTTGTATTTTTAGTAGAGACAGAGTTTCGCCATGTTGACCAGGCTGGTCTAGAACACCTGGCCTCAAGTACTCTGCCCGCCTGAGCCTCCCAAAGTGCTGGAATTACAGGCATGAGCCACCACGCCTGACCCAATAAACAAGATTTAATAATAATTTAATAATAAAACATGTATTTTCAGACTACACTAGAAGAAAAAAGACTCCCTCCTCCCCCAGTCCCCCATTGCCAAAGTGCCCCCTAGAGGGTGGAGCTATCCTATCCCATCTGCTCCACACAGACCCTCTCCCATCAGTCACAATGGTCAGCAACCTCTACCCTTACCAGGGGTAAGGACACAAAGTAGGCAAGAGGGAGGGATCTGAAGTCAGACCAACTGAGGTCAAACTTGGCTCCACCACTCAACTGCTGTAGTTACTCTCTATAAGCCTCGTTTTTCATCTGTAAAAGAAGGATACCAAAAGGTTTTTGTGAAAATTAAATAAGTACAGTATTCCTACACTTAACATGTAATACATGCTCAATAAATGTTAGCTATCAGAGTTAACATTACTATTCCTGAATCCACCTTGTATTGTTTCCTAGCTTTTGCTCACTTATTCCATTAGCAGAAAAGACGGGAGACTGGATATCCATTTACCAGAGATACTCTTCAACAGATTCATGTATAATATAAGCTGCATCACAGGCCAGGTACAGTGGCTCATGCCTGTAATCCAGCACTTTGGGAGGCCAAGGCAGGCGGTTGGATCCCTTGAGCCCAGGAGTTAGATACCAGCCTGGGTAACATGGCAAACTACCATCTCTACAAAAAATAAATACAAAAATCAGCCGGGCATGGTGGCATGTGCCTGTCGTCCCAGCTACTCAGGAGGCTGAGGTGGAAGGATCATCTGAGCCTCAGAGATTGAGGATGCAGTAAGCTGAGATCATGCCACTGCACTCCAGCCTGGGCATCAGAGTGAGACCTTGTCTCAAAAAAAAAAAAAAAAAAAAAGCTGCATCCCATGACTTCTAAGACTATTTCTAATTCTGAGATGCTGCACTGCACTGAGGTTATTTTTTTATTCACTTAGGTCCTTTCTTCCCAGGTGGAGGGCCAAGAACATGTTTTACATATCATATAAAGTAGCTTGAGAAACACCTCATAGAATGATGGGTTAGTGTGCCACTGAAAACCCAGCCATGGTTATTGGTTCTTTACCAGTTAGTTCCAAATAGCATTATACATTACAGTCAAGGAATGAATGACAACTTTTCCAGTGAAAGCACTTCATGCAACATGTATGTTGTCTTCAGAAAGTGATGACTGCCTAGGGCCACTCGCATCTATGTGGATTAATTCCTTACAGCAACAAGCAAAGCAACACTCCTAAACATTCTAAATTAACAGGTGAGGAGGTGAAAGGTGGTGGCAACAGCTAGAGAAATACCTCAAAAGAAAACTGATTCCAAAGTTAATATTCCGAGTAAAAGCAGTCATTGTTCTGTTAAAGTAAATGCATAGGCCCTATAAGTAATAACCATATCTCTGTGCATGGGGAAATATCTTACATATAAGAACCTATAATTTACATAAACATATCCTTCTGTAAGAGGATAAACAGAAACTGTCAATTGCTACAAGTCACTCTGCATTAACCATCCAAGATGCTCACAGCGGTTATTTCTGGGTGATAAATTACTGCACGGGGTAGAGGCGAATGAAGGGGATGTAGGAGATAGGGGAGATTAACAAATCCCCTTTCCTTTTGCTTACTTATAGTTTCCAGTATTTCTAACATAATGGTCTTTGAATAAGAATTTTAAGTTATATAAGGGTATTAATTAAAACTGAAAAATCCATGAAATTTGGGGCAAGATACTATTTTAGATGAACTTTTCATTGGGATCTGCGGATAACCTAAGTATTCATCTATGTCTCTCACATACAACCTAAAATTATCCTAGATCCCTGCCTCAAATCACAATGGATCAAAACTTAGTTTCTCTCTTCTTTAGCCCCCCTGCAGACCTTACAGGTTATGCCACTACGATGTCAGCACCCAGTATAAGGAAATCTCACTACCAGTTTTTGCCAGTTTCCCAGTGACGCCAACCCACCCTCTGGGATAGTGAGATAAAGAGAGAGAAATGAATTGTTTTTAAAGCACTGATTTTGCACTCAGAGAAGTGACAAAAACAAACAAACAAACAAACTTGGCTGGACACGGCGGCTCACGCCTGTAAGTAATCCCAGCACTTTGGGAGACCAAGGCAGGTGGATCACCTGAGGTTAGGAGTTTGAGACCAGCCTGGCTAACACGGCGAAACCCCATCTCTATTAAAAAACAAAAATTACCCAGGCATGGTGGTGTGCACCTATAATCCCAGCTACCCGGGAGGCTGAGGCAGGAGAATCGCTTGAACCCGGGAGGCAAAGGTTGCAATGAGCTGAGATTGTGCCATTGCACTCCAGCCTGGGAGACAAGAGCTAAACTCCATCTCAAAAACAAACAAACAAAACAAAACAAAACGAAACAAAAAAAACTAAACCCGGACACTTTTTCTATACCACCATTTCAAAGCTATAAACTCTCCATAATTCTCACACTAAGAAGTCCATAAGGAATCATAAAAGTCCCAAAAATAAAATGTCATTTTGGTAAACATGCATTTAGCAACGCTATTCTTCCCTGCTCAGTAAAACAGCACAGAAAGATCTCAGGAGGAGAGGAAACAGCTCTAAAGCAGGCATACCTCTCTGTCCAACAAAAGAACTTAAATTCATACTGGTTCAATCCAACAAGCATTTGTTAAGCACATACTATATTCAGAGCACCATGCTAGGTGTTTATTCATCTCTAAACAAAGAAGACATGATTATCTGCCTGTCGAGGAACCATAACTCTAATCTGGAAGACAAACACTCAGATAAACTAGTATATGGCAGACCCTGATAAAACGTAATAATAGAGGTTTCAAAACTGCTCTGGTAGTACGGGAAGGGAGGGATTAAAACTGCAAGAATTATGAAAAAGAAAGCCAGGAGAGGTGACCTGTGCTCCTAGTCCTAGCTACTCCAGAGGCTGAAGCAAGAGGATCACTTGAAGTGGGAGTTCCAGGCTACAGTGAGCTATGATTATGCCTGTAAATAGCCACTGCACTCCGGTCTGAGGAACATAGCAAGACCTTGTCTCATTTAAAAAAAATAATAATAATTTTGAAAAAGATTCTTCAATAATTTAAGTTCTACATATACTGTATTGATGTATTTAATTCAGCTATTTATTCATCCTGATCATTCATCCAAAATAAAAGGTGGTTGGCCAGGCGCGGTGGCTCACGCCTGGAATCCCAGCACTTCGGGAGGCCAAGGCGGGTGGATCACCACAGGTCAGGAGTTCAAGGCCAGCCTGGCCAACATGGAGAACCCCGTCTCTACTAAAAATACAAAAATTAGCCGGGCGTGGTGGCGTGCGCCTGTAATCCCAGCTACTCAGGAGGCTGAGGCAGGAGAATCGCTTGAACCCAGGAGGCAGAGGTGGCGGTGAGCCGAGATCATGCCACTGCACCCCAGTCTGGGCAACAGAGTGAGACTCCGTCTCCAAAAAAACAAAACAAAACAAAACAAAATAAAAGGTGGCAAAACGCTCAGCTACCAAAAGCAAGCATCAGAGGTGAAATCTACACACTGGGATCCTTTGGACTAAAAAAACGGAGACAAATGCCTTGGAACCAGGAGGATGTCTGCAAAAGGCTCACCAACATCAGAAGGTCTGTGCTAGGCATCTTCCTCTTCCAGCCTCCTCTCCGCGCTCCCCTTTTTCAGACTCTGTAAAAGGGAACCAGGTTTGTTTACTTCTAGAGCTTTAAACTGTCTCGCCAGCCCGCCTAGATTCGCCAGAGCAGCCAAGTTATGGTTCTCTCCCTCCTTTGAAGGCTCAGATTTCATTCCCAGATATCACAGTCCACCCCTAGCACCCCAGACCAGCGAATCAAAATCCTGCTGCAACTAGGTTTCCCTCCCACAGCTGATGAAACTAATCCAGACCCAGACTCCCACAAAGCATTCCACCCAGGTGGAAACTAGGGGAAACGCCCCGTCTGCGCGCGATCGGGGTGGGGAGCCCAGCCCAGGCCACCTAACCCGGGCTGAAGGTGCCGAGGCTACCAGGGTCCTGCCTCCTCCGCACTCCCTTCAGAATCAGCACGGCCTCGCTCTCGTTGTCACCCCTCCCGTCGGAGGACCAGCAAATCCTGGCCGCCCATGCCTACCCCGCGGCAGGCGTGGGCTCCAGACCCGCCCCACCGCGGCCCCGCGCCCGCCCGCCGTCCACTTGCTTGGACCTCAGCGGCTGGTGCCCACGCCTTCAGCCCGCCCCCGCCCCCGCCCCGGCCGCAGCCGCCCCGCCGCCTCTGCCCGCCCTCGGCCCACCCGGCCCCTGTCCTCTCCTCACCCCGCGGCGCCTCCGTCCCGACCCTCACCGCCCCCCGGAGCCCGCGGCGGCCCCTCCACCTCCTCACGCCGGAACCAGCTTCCAGTCTCCTTCCCTCGAGCACCCGGCCGGCTCCACCTCCTGCGTCTCCCTCAGCACGCGACGGACTCGCAGGCCGCGAGACCCAGGCTCCCCTGTTGCCGCCGCCGCCGCCGAGATTGGAGGCCCGGCAGCCGCCGGCCTCGCCCCTCCCGGAAATGGCTCCGGGGGCACCGGCCCGGCTCCCGGACCCTGGCGTGCGCGGCCCCGCTGCTACCAGCCGCGCGCACGCCCAGACCCGGGCCCCACGGCCTGTGCGCGCCGCCTACCGGCCAGGCAGCGGGCTGCACCCAGACCCTCCAGTGAATGTCTCAACCAGGCCGTCCTGGGGCGGCTGTGGTATCCCGACGGTCACCAACTTCTCTTCCAAACTGCCTTGGACAAAAAACTTTCTTGTCACATTTGGTCACTTGGAGCCTCCTGAGAGAGTAGGTCTGCAGGGCATTGTACAAACTAATCCAAAACAGCCACAGAGTTGGGTCTCTTTCCTGGGCCAGGGACTTCATTTTTCCATCGAGGTCAGTGGTGCCTGAAGAAAAGCAACAAGGAAACTTATTTAATGGAAATATCATCCTCATCCTCCCCTCCACCACTGCCCCCCCCCACCCCAAAAATAAAATGGAGAGCAGAGGCTACTCTGCCATCACTACTTTCATGAGCAGTGCTGGGAATCACCTTATACACAAGTGCAAGGGCCCACTGGGATCACAAAGGTCGCCTTCATTTCCAGATGAAAAAACTAAGTCTCAGCTGGGTGTAGTGGCTTACATCGGTAATCCCGGCACTTGGGGATGCTGAGGCGGGAGGGTTGTCTGAGCCCAGGAGCTCTAGATCAGCCTGAGCAACATAGTGAGACCCCCAACTCCAAAAAGAAAAAGAAAAAACTAAGTCTCACATAGGTTTCCCATGACTTGTCCAGGTTGTCATAACATTGCTTTAGTGGTAGCAGAAGGCAGTGCAGTTACATGGAACCAACTGGTCAGTGACCTGCATTCAAGATTTTTTTTCAATAGATTTTAAAATGACACCTAGATAGACTCTTGAAATCTCTCAAACAAAAATGACACTAATGAGGGTACCCAATTCCATCCCCTTGGAAAATGTTGCCATGACACTAAAATTAGGGCATCATCACTACCGTCATTATCCACATGTAGTGCTTTCAGGATGAAATGTACTATCACAGCTGCCCTCCTCTGCATACCCCATCGGCACTTCCCACTTCCCCAGCCATAATGGTTAAGGCCCTGAAAGACTATGAACAGGTTATCTTTAGGCCTCCTCACCCCCATTCCGTCAGAACTCCCAGACATTTCTACCATCCAGAGCCCCTGACTCAGGCATGAACACCCCCATACCCTTAGCCCCCTCACTACTATTCCCCAGCAGACATGCATTCTCAGTGTTTGAGGGTCAGAAAATGTTCTGGGGCCTCCTGCCAATGCCTACTCATCAAGAGTTGCTTTAGGGTTTCAGGTATGCCTTCCCATTCTCCATCTCCTACCCTTCTGCTTTAATTCTTCATCAGATCCCCCAGGAACTGCACACCTCCTCTCCATCTCCTTGTTAGTTACCACCCCCACATCCTTTAATCTAGAATCTGTGCACCCAGATGACTAGAGGGCAGGGTCACGTCTGATTCCTCCCTACACCCTAACACACAGTATGCAGTCTGCTCATTCTTCCCAGATGCTCAAACCAATGCAATCATATCGACTGATCCTTGCTTTGCCAAGAACTATGCTAGGCACCTTTACATACAAGCCTTATTTATGGCCTGACTTGCCCAGATCAGGTGACTCTTATCATCCCTCAACCTGTAAACAAGGACACCAAGACCAAAGAAGGAAATGATCCTCCCAAAGACACACAGGCAGGATGGGGTGGAGTTTGTGTGGGAGTTTGGAGGGGAAGCCAAGGGTTCAGAATTTGTAGCGGGGACCTCGAATATCCTTTTTGGTTAATTAGAATCAAAAAATGGTAGGGCTAGAGGGGTCTCCAGCTATTCGCCAGCTCCACCCCAGAGAATACACAAATACACGTGAAGAAACTGAGGTCCAGAGAGAGATGCGACTCCTAGCAGTTCCTGGCAGAGCCCAGCCTAGAACATGGGTCTGGGTTTGCAACTCTCTGAGCCGATGAAGCCCTGTGTGTGTGTGTGTGTGTGTGTGTGTGTGTGTGTGTGTGTGTGTGAGAGAGAGAGAGAGAGAGAAAGAGAGAGAGAAAGACTTCAGACCACCCTGCTCTCCTACCCCACACTCCCTCTGACAGCAGAATGACGTTAGCAGGCACATAGCTGGCTGGTCAGAGGCAGAGGAGGGCTATCTGGAACTTCCATTCTGAAAGTGTGGTTTCCCTGAGAGCAGCATTGGCTTTACCTGAGAGCTTGTTATAAATACAGGTTCTTGGGGCCCCACTCCAGACCTCCTGAATCAGAATCTACAGCTTAACAAGGTCCCCAGATGATCTTAATGCACAAGAAAGTAAAAAGCACTTCCCTAGACACTCTGTTTGCAGAGAAAGCACAATTTTTGTTTGCTTATTTAGAAACATGGTCTCAATAATGTTGCCCAGGCTGGAGTGTAGTGGCTATTTACAGCCATTATCATAGCTCACTACAGCCTCAAACTCCTGGGCTCGAGCGATCCTCCTGTCTCAGCCTCCTGAGTAGCTGTGTCTACAGACACATGGCACTTTGCCCGGATAGAAGGCACGATAGTTGTATTAAGCGTGTGGGTTGTTTGGGATGGCTTAAGGAGGCTGATGAAGAACGTGTTTGTTTGGGGCTGGGGAGGGAACCAATGCTCCCCAGTTGTCCTTTGGTACCATCATGGTGCCTTCCAGGATGACAAAAGATTGTCATTCAGGTGTCAGTGAGGCACTGAAATTCCCGCAGATGACGGAAGGCTTGGGACGGGGGAGGGAGGTGTGGAGCAAGATGGTCTGGGATTTTTTCCCTCTGTGGCTTCTTTAATTTAGGCTAGGAGGATCTCCCTGCAGTGCTTGTGCCTGCCATCATTTAAACAATTCATGCCAGCAAATCTGGTTCTGCTTAAAATGGCAGCCATCCATGGCCAAGTTAATGACAGCCTCCCACTCATGCATGAGTGCACACTCCCACTCTAAAAAGCAGGCGCACACACTCTCCTGCCTCCATTCTTGCTCCTGACACCCCTTGCTCAGCCGGGGACCTTCTTGAGAAGCTCACCTCAGGACAGGGGTGTGGGCAGATCTTAGGAGGGTTGCAGCCTCTAGGCCCATCCTGGAAAGGAATGGCCCACAGGAAACCAACAAACAGTTCCTAGAGCCCAGAATGCCCAAGAAGAGGCAGGAAACCAGCACATAGCTCCAGCAGCAGGCTCAGCTGATCACAGCAGAGCTGGCCACCAGGGGAGGAGAGGCCAAGGGCCAGACAGACATGGGAGCCCCCACAGCAGGGACCAAATGCCCCGACATTGCCAACTGGAGTGAGCAAGGGGCAGCAAGTCACCGAGTTATCATGGGCCCCCTGACCTCACTCAGGTACATACCCCAGTTGCCAGTTTGATCAAAGTCAGAGTGGCCAAGCCCTCAGAGAGCCAAGAGTTATTTCCCAAGGAAACCTCATCTTTCGTAAAGAAGCCCACTGATAGGGTTTGACTCTGTGTCCCCACCCAAATCTCATCTCAAATCATAATTCCCATGTGTCGAGGGAGGGAGGGTGATTGGATCATGGGGGTGGTTTCCCCCATGCTGTTCTCATGGCACTGAGTGATTCTCATGAGATTTGATGGTTTTATGAGTGTCTGGAAGTTCTTCCTTCGTTCTTCTCTCTGCTGCTGCCTTGTGAAGAAGGGGCTTACTTCCCCTTCACCATCCGCCATGATTGTAAGTCTTCTGAGCCCTCCCCAAGCCGTGTGGAACTGTGAGTCAGTTAAACCTCTTTCCTTTATAAATGCCCCAGTCTCAGGGAAGTTCTTAATAGCAGTGTGAAACGGACTAATACACCCACCATTGTTGCTATCCAGGCTGCACAGTCACTCCTAGCAAAACATTAAAAACTGAGAGCAGCTGTTTCTCAAACACTGAATAAATATAAACTTCCTTTGACAAAATAGCTTTGAAGGCAGGGAGACAGGTCTCTACCCAGGAATCATTGTGTGGCCTCAAAATAGCTTTGAAGGCAGGGAGACAGCTTTCTACCCAGGAATCATTGTGTGGCCTCCAGCAAGTTGTTGTAACTGTCCAAGCCTGGGCTTCCTCCTTTGTAAAGCAAGAATTAACAACTACCCTAAGACTGCTGTGGCAATTGTAAGAGATGTATGTGTGTGCCCATCACATATGAGGCCTGATCCACCATAAGCACTCAATAATTATTACTATTATTATTATTATTAATTTATAAAGACAATGCCTCACTATGTTGCCTAGGCTGCTCCTGGGCTCCAGTGATTCTCCCACCTTAGCCTCCCAAAGTGCTGGGATTACAGGTGTGAGCCACCGCGCCCGGCCAAGAATTATTGGTCTAACACCCTCCGCATACATCCAGGGTGTACTCAAATAAGATTCCAATCTGAGCCGTGTGATTGACTAAGCCCAGCCTAGCCCTCTCACATTGTTGCTGGAAGCTGGTTTCGATCCCCATCAGGACCTGATCCTAACAAGTTGATTAGTCCTTCCAACGTGCCCCTTGCCCTCTCTAGGGCATGCTAGACCTTTGCAAGGCTTGTCTGAGAGCTACAGATCTACTGTTTTCCTGCAGGTTTTATTGCTTGTAGATCAGTAAGTCCTAAACCAACCAGATCCAACACCCCTGTTTATAACAAATATTGTTTTGTAACTCTCTTTTACTATCTTGAAATCAATATAGCACTATAATTTTAAAAGGGAATGTCACGATAAAATCATACATGAAGTTGGCAGAGGCATGGACTTACAATGGATATGTTTGCATTACAGGAAGGCAATATTTAATTGAATAGTGCTGTCACTGCTTTCTTTATATTTGACATTTTGACATAAGGACTAAATTAGGCTATTCATAGAATTAGATACAATCATCATGGATAGGAAAGCTGCAGATGCAGACCAGTATAGAGGTAGTGTCTTAGTGACTCAATTACTATGTGAGCAGCATTGCCATGGATGATGTGATTTTACAAAACTGTGGCTTAAGGTCGATAACGTTTCAGACAAAATGCAGGACAATTTACACACAGCTCTCAACATGGTAGTTGTACTCCAGGTAGGTTGTGCAATAAAATCATGTGTTCTTTTTTGTTGTTGTTGTTGTTGTTGTTTGAGACAGAGTCTCACTCTGTCGCCCAGGCTGGAGTGCAGTGGCACAATCTCGGCTCACTGCAACCTCTGTCTCCCCGGTTCAAGCGATTCTCTTGCCCCAGTCCCCCGAGTAGCTGGGATTACAGGCGCCTGCCACCACACCAGGCTAATTTTTGTATTTTTAGTAGAGACAAGGTTTCACCATGTTGGCCAGGCTGGTCTCGAACTCCTGACCTTAGGTGATCCACCCGCTTCAGGATTACAGACATGAGCCACTGCACCAGGGTGTTTTTTTTTTTTTAAACGTACATGTAAAGTGAAGTTGATTATGGCTCATGTGCCTATGAACTAGCTTTTCACCTCTATGAATATTCTGACAGTACATTCAAAAGATGTACAGGACTCAGGACAATTCTTCAATGTGATGGGATGCATCCCTCACTAAGAACAAAGAGGGACCTGCCTGTTGCCCCTGCCTGCAGCACCTGGGGGAGAGAGAAAAGTCATCATGGGCCTTATTTCTGCCCCAGGGACTGCAGTATTCCCCTCACTGAATGCCAGAAGCACCAGCCTCATCATTATGACAACCAAAAGTTTTTTTTTTTTTAATTTCCAGGGTGCTCCCTAGGGAGCCCAGCTGCCCCAGTGAGAGCTTCTCTTGTGGACTGATGACAGGGATACACTCCAGCACAAGCAGCATTTTAATATCTACAGCTGAGGATTTGTCAAGCTAGAAGGGACTTAAACATCATCCAGGTGCCCATCTAGCATGGATAGTCAGCATCTCCAAGGAGCCTTTCAAAATCCACATGTCAGGGCCCTCCTGCAGATGGAAGGAATGAGGTGTGAGGCCCAGTCATCTGTATTTTGTACATTCCCGGATAAGAGCTGCAACATTCTAACCATTCTCATCTCTTTCTAAGTCTTGGTCTTGCAGCTAATGGGGGCAGAACCTAGAATTCCTGACATTCCAGCCCCAGAAGCCCAGACCCAGAAAACACAGTGAAGCTTGTGGGTTCTTGTGGGGCTGTTGGGACGCTGTGCTGTGGGGCTTTGGATGCACCATTGACTCTCTCTGGGCTTCAATTTCCTCATCTCAAAATTGGGTAGAGAGGGGAAGCTGTTCCACACCTCTGTCAGTCTAGAGTTCTCTTTGGCCCACTGGGGTTCCCCTTCCCAGAATCTTCTGTTTGGTAACTCCATCTGTCTGTCTCCAGGTGCCCAGGAAGGGCCCTCTGTCTTGTGGTTACTTGGTCAGGGAGTGTTTGTCCTGGCCCTGCTGTGAAGGATGAACATGTTGCCAGAGGGCCAGGCCCTCTCCTGAGTGTTGACACAGATAGGACATGATGAAGAGGCCCAGCCTTATATAAGTCGTGGGTAGACAGAGGACCAGTGGGGTAATTTCAGCCCTTGGCCCAGGGTTGCTCCTTGCCTGGCACTGTAGAACTGGTTTCCAGGGTTGACTCAGAGGGGCTGGGCACCACCTGTATCCTCAGCTCAGAGGTCAGGGTAGCCGGGGGCGGGGGGGGGGCACCCTAATTCACAAGGGATGAAGAGCTTTTTATGTCTGAAAACTGAATGAAAGGAATTTCCTCTAGTCAGTGACTAAGGACAGAATATTCTCTGTGCTTGGGGGAGTGACCTAGGCAGAGGGATCAAGGACAGCTTGAGCTGAGAACACAGCAGGAGCAGGAGCTAGCCAGGCAGAGAGGGGCAGGAAGAGCGTTCTGGCTGAGCAAGTGCGGAGGGCCAGTGTTGGGGCAGGAGAGGCCAGGCCAGTGTGGCCAGAGAAACAAGCCTGAGGGGGACGGAAGGCAGAAGCTGGCATGCAGGTCAGTAGGGGCAGGCATGGCAAATACACATGCCTTCAGGGGCCCAGGCAGGCAATGTGACTGCTACAAATTGGGAATGTAGGCTTCAGGCTACATTCATTCAACATGCATACAACTATTCAATGCCAGGTTGCAATATTCAGGACCTGGGATGGATCATTGAGCAAAACAAAGGGCCCTGCCCTCATGCAACTTACATTCCAGCAGAAGGAGACAGACTAATAAACAGAATAAATAAGTAAACTATATGGTAAGTTAGGAGATGCTTGGGGCTATGGAAAGAGAGGAAGCAAAGCAATGTAAGGGAAGCACAAAGTATGGGGTTTAGGACAAGATGTCATGGATACTGCAATTTTATTTATTTATTTATTTATTTATTTTTTGAGATGGAGTCTCGCTCTGTCATCCAGTCTAAAGTGCAGTGGCGCCATCTTGGCTCATGCAACTTCCACCTCCCAGATTCAAGCAATTCTCCTGCCCTAATCCCAAGTAACTGGGATTAGAGATGCACATCACCACACCTGGCTATTTTTGTATTTTTAATAGAGACGGGGTTTTACCACATTGGCCAGGCTGGTCTTGAATTCCTGACCTTGGGTGATCCACCCGCCTCAGCCTCCCAGTCATGAGCCACCATACCTGGCAATTTTAATAGCATAGTAGGGTAGTTCAACATCTCAATTTTCCAAGGAAAGACAGAAATCTAGATTTTTAAAAATTCTCTCAATTTTAAAATTATGATGTCCTAAGAGCCTGCCAGAGTCAGAGATTATTCTCACTCTCTTTGCAAGGGCTACTTTGGTTCTTTATGTTAAACAGTGGGAACAGTTCAGCACTCCAAGAAACAGAGCCCACTTAAAGGGCTTGTCATTTACCCCTAGACTCAAGCTTCATATGTTACCAACAATGCTTTTCAGCCATCTGTGGAGAGTGCTTCCTTTTTCCATACACCCAAGTTGCTCAGAACTCCCATTTTCTTGGGGCAGACACAGGGGTTGCCTGCAGCCCCTCTCCTTGACCAAGCTCTAGGGGAAGCACTGTTGCTTCAAAGGGGAATAATGCAGTCCCTGGGGCAGAAATGAGGCTGATCATGACTTCTCTCTCTCCTCTAGGCGCTGCAGGCAGGGGCAACAGGCAGGTCCCTCTTTATTCTTAATCAACAACAGGAAATAGAAAGCCAGCATAATTCTGGATAAAAACAGCCCATAATTTTATAGGACTATGTGGTTTTCTTGTCGCAATGTGCATAATTTATCTTGTGACCACAATGTAACTCACTGAATCACCTCTGTTTGTTAATTCCATCTTTTTCCTCCCAAGATAGAAAGGGGGAAAAAAATCTCTAGTTGTATGGTATTGGTCAAGAGATCTAAAAGATCATAAAGTGTAATACGACCAAGGAACTCCCAGAACTTTGGGCAACTCATTCAGTTGTTTTGAAGATTTTTTAAAATTGGGATACATTGTATGTACAGACAAGTCCACAAATCAAAGTGTAGAGCTAGATGAATATTGACATAGTGAACACCATTGTTCAGCACCACCCAGATCAAGAAACAGAATGTCACCAGTTCAATTGTTTTTTAAATAAATGCAAATGCAGATGGCAATCCTCCTGTCTGAGACCTCCCAGTCCTGTAGGAAACAGTGTTTTGATCTTCATCCAAAGAGCAACAGCCGTTGAGGTCTTTTCAGTCAAGGGACTGACAATATCACATTTGTGTTTTAGAACAATCCGTCTGCGTGGTATGGAGAATGGCTAGGAGAGAATTCATATGGGCAGAAAAGGTACTCAGCAAAGAATGAAAATAGTTGGTTCTAGGGTACAACAATGGCATAAGCTTAGAAGACAGACCTTTGGAAAGTGACAGAACAGATTAAAACAAGACTCCCAAAGCCACAGGCTACCCTGTGCCTGGCAAGCAGGCTCCCACATGTGCCCTCAAGCCAAGATTCCCAGGGAAGAAGTCACATTCAGAGCTCAGGGCAAACTAACCCATAGCTAGTGGGCTACACCTTTAACTTGTTGCAGCTGGATTGCGGTACCTCTCCCTTAACCACAGGATTCTTTCTGACTTGAAGGTTGTTTGGCAGAAGTAACCAGTAGAGTAATTGTGTTCATGCTGATGCTATTTCAATTTATCCTAAGTGCTATGGGTTGAACTGTGTCCCCCAACAATCCATGTGGTGAATATGGCCTTACTGGAAAATAGGGTCATGGCAGATGTAATGAGTTAAGATGAAGTATTACTGGAATAGGGTGCACCCCTAGCCTAATATGACTGGTGTCCTTATAAAATGGGGCAATTTGGACAGACATGCATAGAGGGGGAGCACCATGTGAAAATGAAGGTAGCAATCAGAGTGATGACTTTATAAGCCAAAGACCATCAAAGGTTGCCAACAAACCACCAGTAGCTAGGAGAGGGCCATGAAACGTGTTTTTCCTCATAGCTCTCAGAAGGAACCAGCCCTGCCAACACCTTGATCTCAGACTTCTATCTTGCAGAAATGGGAGACAATCCATTTCTGTTGTGCAAGCCACCCAGTTTGTGGCACTTTGTTACAACAGCCTGATTAGCAAGCTAACACAAATAGATTCTCACGCTAGCCCCAAACCTCAGTAGGTTGGCAATGGAGGAATGGGAAGGGCAGGGTGACATGACCATTCTCAGTGGCCTCATGTGCCCACTGACCACCCAAGTGTTGGGGCAGTGGTGGGGACTTGGAAGCCTGCAGAGCCCTCCAATAGCTGCTGCCAACTGTCTTTCTGGGAGACAAAGCAGCCTCAAGCTAGTCCTTGTGGGTCTGCTTGAGGGCACTGCTACATTCAGTTTTAGGGTATAAACCCACACCTGCCACTTAGGGACAGCTGTTGCAGGAGGTGCTGCAGAGGAAACCACTCACTCAGACATATTTCAAATGCCCACTCTTGCTATCCACTATCCATTGAATTCAAGTGCGTCAAATGTTTAAACCATGTGCCCTGGCTGCCCATCCAAACATCTAACTCAACATTCCTAGCTACTGCATCATCTTAGAACAAACTCAACTCATTTCATTTGAATATTCATATGAATCCCTTCAATACAGACATCATACAAGTCCTTTAAAACAAACTGTTTATAGCTAGTAGCCATCTCCTGACCTCAGCTGTCCCCCTCCAGGGAAAGCTTACAAAGTTTCTAGTTGGGAACAGAAGGCCCTTTGGGACTTGCCCAATGTTGTCTCAGGACATGACCTCACAACAGTAAAAACAAGTCAAAACCCAAGGCCTACTGGCAGAGAATCAGTTAAAGGACAAGCATAACTAAGTCAGCAGAGGTTACCTGGGCCTCACCCCAGCCTACATGGAAAGCACTTACCTGGTAAGCGCTCCGTAAATGGTAGCCCATAGCAATAATCATCTGTCAGTGGCTGTATTGATCTATCTGTGAATCAGATCATATCTGGAGAAGATAACCTTGAAGGGAAAGACACCATAAGAAGCCCAGTTAACTGAATGCCTTTCTTGAACTTGGCCACAGTGACCTCTACGATCAGCCGCTGCTTCTCTCCACCTTCATCTCCCCCATTTCCACCTCACTCTCAGACTTTATGTCCCAACTATACTCACAGTGACTATCTGGGATACTTTTGAAACTAAGGACATATTATTAAGTTTTCTGGGACAACAAGCATAAATTGGTCTGTTCTAACAATCTGAGTCTTCTAGTCTCCCTAGCCATCTAGAACAACTTAGAGTTTCCATAACATGCCCTGGGCTTTTATAGCTCCAGACTTTTGCATGTGCTATTCCCTTTTCTTGGAACATCCTTCTCTCCTTGGTCTACTTTGCAACCTTCCCCAAGACCCCTAGGTAGGCTCGAATTCTCTTTTCCTGTGTCTCCATTTCCCTAACACTTAGCACATTAAGTCTTAATTTCTCTGGCTCCCTCAAGACCAGTAACCACTCGAGGATGATATTATGTCTTTTCACCTGTATGTTCTCTAATCTATTCCGTGTTACAGACATTCAACAAATGTGTGTCTAATCAATGATTTTGTGGTTACCTGGAAAAGAAGTGGGTGTCAGAACTAACCACAAATGTCTGAAGAGTTGTCATGGTGAAGAAGGCCCAGACTTGATTCGTGTGGCCATAAAGGATAGAACAAGAATACTAACCAGAAGCCTCAAGGAGGCATATTTCAGCTCAATATTAAGAAGAACTTTCTAGGCAAGAGACCTAAACAGAAAATGAACGGGCAGCCTTGAGCAGTAGAGAGCTTGTTGTCATTAGAAGTGTTTAAATGATAAATGCTAACAAACCCTTGGTAGGAATGAGGCAAGGATTCAAGCATGTAGTAGATGAATGATCTGAATAAATACCTGAGACTCTATGACTCACTTATTCATCCGTTCAATGAATACTAGGCATCAGGCACTGTACCAAGAGCCTGATGAATTAACACAAAGCAAACACACCCATGTAACCACCACATAGATCAAGGCCCTATTCTTGGTAGTGAACAAGGCAAATGTGGTCTCTGACCTCTTGGAACTTACAGGCTTGCAGAAGAGATATATAAAATTGTAAGAATTATTGGGTACTAAGAGAGAGTACAGGAGGAGAACTAGGTATGGGGACCCAGTTTTGTTCCCCTAAGGCCACTTTGTTCTATGACCTTGGATGTTCTGGAGAGCTCAGGCTTATTCTCTCTACTCTGATGCCTGCTCTTCCAGTTGGGTGGCCTTCCTGAATGCTGGCTTAGACCAGTCTATACCTGTCAGCTCCAGAGCTGTGAGTCCTGGTCAGATGACAGGTAACTAGGTAACTTTGATCATCCCAGGGGAAACAGGTGAGTGAGCCATGTGGGGTCTTTAACCATGCCTCCATTCTTTCCTTTTCTCTTTTCTGAAAGACCATCAGAAGGCTAGTCATGCAGAGCTCAGGACAATAAAGGCACAAAGAATGCTATGATAGATGTACCCAAAGAGCCTGGCAAAAATTCAAACTCTCGGAGCAGCCAACCTTCATCAAAACACTCAATGGTACTGGCCGCAATCCAGAACTCCATGCACAAAGCAAAAAAGACATAGCAGGTGAGCCAACAGCATGTGGTCACAGGATTTTCTCCTGTACTCTGATGGGGAGTGGCATCAGGAAAAAACAGCAGCCATTCACACAACATTAGCTTGATCTTGGTAAACACTAATAATTAAAAAGCAAATACTATGCATCATACCTTTACTGTGGATCACACTCTGTGCTAAATGATCTTATATGCATTATCTTATTTAATCATCAAACAGCTACATAAAGTTAGAAGAATTATTATTTCTATTTTACAGATGAGGAAACTGAGGTCAGGAGTTGTCAAAATTTGGTTTAAGTCACATAGAGAATGGCAGGCCTGAGTAACTCTGGAGCCCAGGCTTCTGGCCTCCGTTCTGTGGACTCTTTCATGAGGTTAAATGAGAGCCCGCCAAAGCAGAGTGAGTTGAAATGAGCTACCCTCTCTGACCTCCAAAGGCAGGTGAGCAAGTCCTCAGCACAGTAGCAGTTTAGCAAGACAGTTCACTGCATAGGCAAAGTCAATAGGAAAACAACAAACTAAAAAAAAGTATTTTAATTACTCGTATTACAAAGCGATAATCTCTCTAATACATGAATCCATCTATCCGTATACGAACTAACAAACCAATAGAAAAATGAGCAAAGGTCACAAAAATGCATACAAATAGCATTTAAACACATGAAAAGTCAACCTCACTCAGTAAAGAAATGCAAATTAAAGCTACACTGGCCAGGCATGGTGGCTCAGGCCCATAATCCCAGAACTTTGGGAGGCCAAGGCGGGTGGATCATGAGGTCAGGAGATCGAGACCATCCTGGCTAACACAGTGAAACCCCATCTCTACTAAAAAATACAAAAAATCAGCTGGGCATGGTGGCATACGCCTGTAGTCCCAGCTACTCGGGAGGCTGAGGCGGAAGAATCACTTGAACCTGGGAGGCAGAGGTTGCAGTGAGTCGAGATCGTACCACTACACTCCAGCCTGGGCAACAGAGGGAGACTCTGTTTGAAAAAAAAAAAAAGCTATACTAAGGAAGCACTGGTCTCCTACAAACTTGACAAGCTTGTGGGATGCCCTTAAACATGTAACGTATTTGAAAAGAAGGAAAGTCAATGATGTAAATATCTATCTCAAGAAATTATAAAAACAATAGCAAACTAAGCCTAAAGAAAGTAGAAGGTAATAATGAAGAGGATCAACAAAATGAAAAATTGGTTTGTTAAAAATAACTACTAAAAATAATAACCCCTGGCAGGATTGATAAAGAAAAAAGAGAGAAAGGGATGAGAGAAAGAGAGAGAGAGAAAGAGAGAGAGAACAAATTCAGTCCAATATCAAAAATGAAAAAGAAGATATCACTATAGTTCCTAGAAACAAAGATATGGTCTTTATGCAATAAATTTGAAAATGTAGATGATATGGAAAAATTCCTAGAAAAACACAATACATGCCAACACTGAAATGACAGAGATATTGTAATTATCTGACAAAGATTTTAGAGCAGCCATGATTTTTTAAAAATTGCTTCAGTGAGAACTTAGGAACACAAAACAAATGAAAAAAATAGGAAGCCTCAGCAAAGACATGGAAGCTATAAAGAGCAAAATGGAGATTTTAGAACTGCAAAATACAATCACTGAAATAAAAAGTCAATGGATGGGCTTAACAGCAGAATGGAGGAGGTGGAGGAAAGAATCAGTCAACTGGGAGATAGAAATTAACCAATCTGAAAAAAAAAAAGAAACACTAGACCAAAAACAAAACAAATTAGAACAATACAAAAACAGAACCTCAGGGACCTGTGGAACTATAACAAAAGATCTAATATTTGTGTCATCGAAGTCCTAGAATAATAAGAGGAAGAGGATAGGACTGCAAAAGTACTTGACATAATGGCTGAAAAGCTCCCAAATTTCAGAAGAGACATAAATCTACAGATTCAAGAAGATGAGCAAACAAAACAGAATAAGCCTAAAGAAATCCATGTCACAAGACACATAATTATTAAACTTCTAAAAACTAAAGACAAAGAAAAAAAATCTTGCAAGCAGCCAGAGAATAACTCCTTATGTATAGGAGAAAAAACAAGTAGAATGACAGCAGTTTTCTCATCAGAAATCACAGGGGTTAGTAGGAATATTTTTCAGATGATGAAAGTAAAAATGTGTCAACCCAGAATCCTATATGAGGAGATCGAAGATCACCTGGTGAGCATCTAACAGGCCATCAGTAGGCAAAACTCCTTTTCTGGGGAATTTAGAAATAAACGTCCCTAGTATCTACAGTTGGCCTCTGTTTTCAGGCCTCTCTCAAAAAAAAAAAAAAGAATTCACAAGTAACTGTAATTTCTATACATCTCCGAATGCCATGCTGAAACTCACTGTGCAACCCTTGATGACATTAAGGCACCAAAATGTTGACAAATGTAATCATTTACCATGACCCACATGGCTAATATGATCCAAATTACCCTTAAGCTCCCGCCTTAAGGTCCATAAATACCCCTCAGGAAAATCCACGCGGGTGTGCTCAGTCCTCTCTGGCAGAGGAGCCCTGCTACACTCTTCTGCAGCGTTCTTTCTAATGAAAATTTCCTTTTTCAAACCTATACTGTTGTTGGTAAATTCTTCTTACCAACCCATGAGTTGACTACTTTCCAATGCTAGGGCTCTGACACCTCGCCCAGCATCTTGGTGACCTGTATGGGGACTTTACTGGGATTTCTCCCTTCTTTTTTCTCCCTGCTTCCCTCGATTTTTATTATCTTGTTTTTTATAGAGAGAGGGTTTTGCCATGTTGGCCAGGCTGCTCTCGACCTCCTGGCCTCATGTGAAACGTCCAACTTGGCTTCCCAAAGTGTTGGGATTACGGGCATGAGCCACTGTACCCGGCCTGATGGTCTGGTTCTTTACTCTTAGGAACTGAAGGTCCCTGGCTGAGGCCAATCTTCAGTGGGATTCTGAAGCCCTAGAGAAGGGATATCTGTGTGTCACTGCTCTTAGGGGTGAGAAAGTGGCCTCTTTTCTTTTCTTTTTTTCTTTTTTCATTTTGAGAAGGAGTTTCGCTCTTGTTGCCCAAGCTGGAGTGCAATGGTGCGATCTCAGTTCACTGCAACCTCTGCCTCCCGGGTTCAAGCGATTCTCCTGCCTCAGCCTCCTGAGTAGCTGGGATGACAGGCATGCGCCACCACGCCCAGCTAATTTTTTGTATTTTTAGTAGAGACAGGATTTTGCCATGTTAGCCAGGCTGGTCTCGAACTCCTGACCTCAGGTGATCCAACCGCCTCGGCCTCCCAAAGTGCTGGGATTACAGGCTGAGCCACCACACCTGGCCCAGGGTTCTTTTCTATTTTCAGACTGCCAGTGAAACAGCTTGAGTACTCTTTGGCAATTGAGGGTTTCTGGCTGAGGGCACTCCTGGGTGTTACCTGAAGGCAAAGACAAAAGAGTGAATTCACTATTGCCCGCCAGGGTAGCAAGTCCACTTTCACTTTAATAGTCTAAACCATGCCTTGAAACAAGCAGCAGCAATCTCAACTCTGCACAGACACAGTCTACTGGTTGTGGACCCCATTTTGGATTCAACTTCATCACAGGCACCGCATCCCAAATTATAGGTAAGTTCTGCTTCACATTAGGTTCAAGCTGACCACTCAAACAAGAGCATGCTTGGACTGGTCATCCAGGCAAGGGCAGGCCCTCTATTTGTGGTGAGACACCCCTGAATAGAGTGAGCCAAAGGGAAAAGGGAGGTCCAGATCCCTTAGGGATGCCTCAGAGATCTTGTAGTCCCTTATCAACACCCAACATGGATTCGATTCATTCTTCCATTCCATCTGATTCGCCCTTGGCTTGCATTCTTAAAAAGTGGTCCCATTTTGACCCACAAACTCTCAGAAAGAAGTGTATGATTTTCTTTTGTAAGGGTTCAATATAAGCGCCCCAATAATTTAAATTGTCCTCTTAATGGGACCCTGGATTGGAATATTATTTTACAACTAGACTCATTTTGCCATAACCCCAGAAAGGATTCAGAGGTCCCTTAGGTCTTTTTCGCTTTATCCCCAAACCCAGAATTACATTAAAAATTGTCATGTATGCTTCCAAGGAACTTCCTCTCTCCCCAATTCTAATGTCTTAGATGATCCTCCCTTTTGTCTGTTACTCTCTTCTCAGCCTGTTACTACTTCATCTACACCCTCTCCATCTGCTCCATCCCCTAGTCAATCCCTCCATATCCAGATACATTATCCCCCTCACATACTCGCACAGGAGTCACATATGCCACTAGTACAGAGTCCTCAGAAAATCCCCAAAATATTTTGCCTCTCTGTGAGGTGGCAAATGGAGATTTGCGGACAATTTGAGCTCATGTGGAGCCTTCGCCAAGATGGCCGATTTGAAGCAGTTGCCATCTGAGGCACTCAGGGAGAGGAACGAAAGGAGCAAGTGAATATAGCACCTTCAACTGAAATATCCAGGTCCTACATTGGGACTGATCAGGGAAACAATTCTACCCACAGAGAATGAAGAAAAGCAGGGTGGGGCGATGACCCACTCAAGAGCAACACGGAGCCAAGGGAACCCCTGCCCCCAGCCAAGGGAAGTGGTGAGTGATTGTGCAACCCTGGGAAACCGTGATTCTCCCCTCATGAGTCCATGCCACCAGGGCCTTAGGTCCAACACACAGATCTGTGTAGTCTTGGCAGAGCAGCTGCTCAGGCACACACAGAGACCCAGGAGTTTTACATACTCCAGCCCCGGGATCCCCAACAAAGGTATCTGCAGCTCAGGCAAGGCAGTGAAGTGGCTTCATTGTCTGGGGTAAAACCCAGAGTCTCGTGGCAAGAAAATTTAGGACATTGACACACACAAGGAGTTTAGGAGCAGAGGTTTAATAGGCAAAAGAAAGAGAAAGGAGAACATTCCTCATCACTGGGTGGGACCTCCCAGCCAAGGCTTCCTCTCTCTCTCACTAAAGAGAGAGGAGCTTCCGAAAGGAAAGACCAGCTGGTGATGGAGTGTGCGGGATTTTATAGGCAGGCCTGAGAGGCAGTGGCTGATTTACGTGGGGCCCACGGATTGGTTTGATCGGGTGTGATGTTTCCATAGCACATGGGGAAGACTGTCCACTCCACCCTAATCTTATGCAAATGGACTCTCCCCTTGGCCAGCGCCATCTTGTCTGCTCCTTACTGTATACATGGCTGGCAAAGAGAAGGGAAGATGGAGCCACCATTTTGAACATGATTGGCACAACCACGGGCATCTATGTCTGCAGCTTGATTTTAGAGGCTGCTTTTTGTTCAGAAGAAAAATGATTTGGGGCTGCCTTTCATTAAAAGGAAAATGTTATCGACGACTTCCGTGCCCTCACTATCTGCCTAAGTAATTTCTTTTTAACTCCTGTATCATTAGGAGGTCCATACATGCCCCTAGGAAGGGCGTTGAATTCAGGGAGTCAAGCAGCACTAGTCTGTAGGACCCACTTCCACGGCACCTCACAAGGTATTTTAGCCAGCCACTGGTAACAGGGTCGAGCCTGCCCGAGTTGGGCTGGAGCTCCCTGCGGGAGGGGTGCACCACCAGCCCTGCTGTTTGGTTGATTCAGCCGTTCCAGCCTGTGGGCTTTGGAGAGTCCAAATAGTCCAGATGAGGAAGGGTTTCCCTAGTGCAGCACAGCAGCTTTGTCAGAACATAGCCAGACTGCTTCTTTAAGTGGGACCCTGATCCATTCCTCATCACTGGGTGGAACCTCCCAGCCAAGGCTTCCAGCCACCCCCACCCACACGTATTCTACAGACAGAGCTCTGATTTCTCCATGGGACAGAGTGCCCAGGGGGAGGGGTGGGCTTCCACCTTGGTTGTTTGGACAAGTCAGCCCATGGGCTTTGGAGAGTCCAAACCGACAGGGGCAGAGGCGGTTCTCCAGCATGACAAGGCTGTTTTGGCAGGGTGTGGCCAGACGGCTTCTTTAAGCAAGACTACAGTCCATCCCTCCTCACTGGGCAGGACCTCCCAACGGGGGCCTCCGGTCACCCCTGCATGTGTTCTGTGGCTGACAGCGTTCTAATTTCTCCCTGGGATGGAGAGCTCAGGGGGCAGGGCAGGCTGCAACCTTGGCTGTTCCAGTGTCTCAACCAGTCCAGCCTGTGGGCCTTGGAGAGCCCAGACCGATCCCCCACACGGCATAGCTGCTCTATCAAAAAGCAACCAGATTGATTCTTTTTTTTTTTTTTTGAGACAGAGTCTCACTTTGCCACCAGGCTGGGGTGCAGTGGCGCAATCTCGGCTTACTGCAACCTCTGCCTCCCGGATTCAATTGATTCTCTTGCCTCAGCCTCCTGAGTAGCTGGGATTACAGGCATGGGCCACCATGCCTGGCTAATTTTTGTATTTTTAGTAGAGACAGGGTTTCACCATGTTGGCCAGGCTGGTCTCAAAATCAAGGGATGGAGGAAACTTTACCAAGCAAATGGAAAACAGAAAAAATCAGGGGTCACAATCCTAGTTTTTGACAAAACAGACTTTAAACCAACAAACATCAAAAAAAGACAAAGAAGGGCATTACATAATGGTAAAGGGTTCAATTCAACAGGAAGAGCTAACTATCCTACATATATATGCACACAATACAGGAGCACTCAGATTCATAAAGCAAATTCTTAGAGACCTTCCAAGATACTTAGACTCCCACACAATAATAGTGGGAGACTTTCACACCCCACTGACAATTTAGACAGATCATCAAGACAATAAATTAACAAAGATATGCAGGACCTGAACTCAGCTCTGGATCAAGTGGACCTGATGGATATCTACAGAACTCTCCAGCCCAAAGCAACAGAATATACATTCTTATTGCCACATGGCACTTGCTCTAAAATTAATCACGCAATTGGAAGTAAAATACTCCTCAGCAAATGCAAAAGAACTGAAATCATAACAAACAGTCTCTCAGACCACACTGCAAACAAGTTAGAACTCAAGATTAAGAAATTCACTCAAAACCATACAACTATATGGAATTGAACAACCTGCTCCTGAGTGACTTTTGGGGTAAATAATGAAATTAAGGCAGAAATCAATAAGTTCTTTGAAACTAATGAGAACAAAGATACAATGTACTAGAATCTCTGGGATGCAGCTAAAGTAGTGTTAAGGGGGAAAGTTATAGCACTAAACGCCCACATCAAAAAACTAGAAAGATCTCAAGTTAACAACCTAACATCACAACTAATAGAACTAGAGAACAAAGAGCAAACCACAAAGCTAGTAGAAGACAAAAAATAAGATCAGAGCTGAATTGAAGGAGATAGAGACATGAAAAATCCTTCAAAAAATCAACAAATCTAGGAGCTGGTTTTTTGAAAAATTAATAAAATAGATAGACCACTAGCTAAACTAATAAGAAAAGAGAGAAGATTCAAATAAACACAATCAGAAATGATAAGGGGGCTATCACCAGTGACCCCACAGAAATACAAACAACTGTCAGAGAATATTATAAACACCTCTATGCACATAAACTAGAAAATCTGGCAGAAACGGATACATTTCTGGGCACATACACCCTCTCAAGACTGAACCAGGAAGAAATAGAATCCCTAAATAGACCAATAATAAGTTCTGGAATTTAGGCAGTAACAAATAACCTACCAAATGAGTTCATGTCTCATTTCCAATTTCTGATTCTCACAAATTCAATCCAGATTGGTTTCATTTAGCCAGCATCCCTCTAAGTTCATTCAAGAATTTTGGGCTTTAACTATTACCTTTGACTTAACCTGGAAAAACATATTCATTGTATTAACTACTTGCTGTTCCCATGAAGAAAAATCATGTGTACGGTCTTTAGCTCGAGCTTGGGCAGAGGAAGCTCATGCTTGTAACCCTAATGATAATAGAGACAGGGCAGAATTTGTCCCTGACACAGAACTCAATTTGGCAATACCAGGCTGCCAATGCTGACCCAAACAGAGGCAGGGGCAGACAAGATTATATGATAAATTGTTTGTTGGAAGGAATGAAAAAGGCTGTAATAAAACCTGTTAATTTCTCTAAATTATAAGAAATCACTCAGGAGCCATGTGAGAACTCCACCCTTTTCCAAGCTAGGCTGGTGGAAGCCATGCATACATATACACATTTAGGCCCCAAAAGCCCTGAGGGCCAATTCATTCTAGCCGTACACTTTATAAGTCAGGCTTCCCCAGACATCAGACAAAAAATCCAAAAATTAGAGGAAGGCCCAAAAACTCCTTTTGTACTTTATTAAATACAGCCCTTAAGGTTTTCAGTAACTGGGAGAAAACATCAAAAACAAAGAAGCCTCAATTGGAGGAGGAAAAATGCCATTGTCAAGATAATCACATGGCAACAGCATTGGCACATTCTTTTTCATTAGCTAATAATCCCAAGGCTCGTCCCTATAATGCTAACAGAATGGGGGCCTGTCATCACTGCAGAAATCCAAGACACTGAAGTACAGATGTCCCAAACCACCAGGTTACAAGTCACCCCAGGGACCCTGTCCTTATTGCAGACAAGAGGGTCATTGGAAGAGCAAGAGTCCCTCTCCCCATCGTGAGGTGAGGCACCTCTTCCTTCTGGGCTGTAACAGCCAAAGCCTTACCAACCTATCCAACAAGGGGGTTCTGCAGAACAAGGACAAGGGCAACAACAAGGCCAAGCACCTCTAACTCCATTCCTGGATTATGATCAACTTCTGAAAGTCATCCTCTGAAAGTCATCCTCTAGATGACTTTCAGAAGTCATCCATCCAGCCCCTATCTTTTCCATCTCTATGGATGAGCCTCAGGTAAATCTGACTGTGGCTGAACAAGACATAATGTTCCTCATAGATACAGGGGCCAGTTATTCAGCTTCAAAAGTTTATTACTGCCCAAATTGCCAGTTCGCCATTTTCCTCATGGGTATTGATGGAAACCCCCAATGAGGCTATTTCACACTGTCACTCCCTTGTAAAATGGAAGGCTATTCCTTTACCCACCCACTTCTTTTTAGTCCTGCCAAGCCATCCTGTTTCATTATTAGATGCTGACTTACAAAGTTACAAGCAATTTACCGCTAAGACCTCATCTTCTAGCAGCTGTATTCACTCACACTTCACCAAAAGAGCCACTGCAGTCTATAGAACCTCATATTCTAAAACAAGTGCCATTTGAGCTTTGGAATATTTTTATTCCTGGTCATTCAATATCAGCTGCCCCTATTATCATTCAGCTTAAAAATCCCAATAAGTTCCCCAGAACCCCCCAATAGCCCTTGAAACTAGAAGAACAAAAAGGGTTACAGCCCCTAGTAACAAAGTTTTCAACCCATGGATTATTGCACCCAAGCAACTCACCTTGCAACACTCCCATTTTAGCTGTAAAGAAACCAGATGTCCTCTCTCCAGTCCGTGCCTCCAAGATGACAAAGAAAAGGAACAACGGCCTCACCAAAAAGGGCCACAGCCATGTGCAGCCTATTTGCTGCATGAACTGTGCCCGATGCATGCCCAAGGACAAGGCTATTAAGAAATTTGTCATTCGAAACATAGTGGAGCCCGCAGCAGTCAGGGACATTTTTGAAGCGAGGGTCTTCAATGCCTATGTGCTTTCCAAGCAGTATATGAAGCTACATTACTGTGTGAGTTGTGCAATTCACAGCAAAGTAGTCAGAAATCAATCTCATGAAGGCTTCAAGGACCCAACACTCCCACCCTTAGACCTGTGGGTGCTGCCCCATGACCCCCACCAAAGCCCATGTAAGGAGCTGAGTCCTTAAAGACTGAAGACAGACTATTCTCTGGAGAAAAATAAAATGGAAATTGTACTTTAAAAAAAATGGCTCCTACTGACTAGTACAGGACCTTAGAATTGTTAATGAAGCTGTTATTCCTATTCATCCTATTGTCCCAAACCCTTACACTCTTTTTGGACAAATTCTCTCCATCACAGCTTGGTTTACTGTACTTGATCTTAAGGATGCCTTTTTCTGCATTCCTGTACACCCAGATAGCCAATTTTTGTTTGCTTTTGAATAGCAAGACTCAGATACTCAACTAGCTCAAAGTTAACTTAGACAGTTCTGTCCCAGGGATTCAGAGATAGCCCCCACCATTTTGGATAGGCCCTAGCTAAAAACCTGTCTACCCTGCAGTTTCTCCCAGATAGCAATCTACTGCAGTATGTGGATGGACCTGCTAATCTGTAGTACTAACAAGGCTGTTTTAGACCAAAATACAATATTAGTACTAAATAAACTTGCTGATGGTGGCTACAAAGTATCTCCTTCTAAGGTACAAATATCCACACAAAGGGTTCAATTTTGGGTCTTATTTTAACCTTCAGTACAAAGAGCCCCTAAGCATTTGGAAAAATCTTATCATCTTAAACGTGACAACCCCAGGAACTAAACAACAGCTTTGGTCCTTTTTGGATATGGCCAGGTTTTACAGAATATGGATTCCTTCCTTTGGATTAATAGCAAAACCTTTATATGAATCCCTCAAGGGAACTGAGGAGCAACCTCTTTCCTAGACTAATGTTATGAAGCATGCTCTAAACACTTAAAAACAGGCTTTAATCTCAGCCCCAGTCTTAGCCCTAGCAGATCTGACTAGGCCTTTATTTTTGAATGTACACAAATGAAGGGGAATAGCTTTGGGAGTCTTAGCCCAAGATCTAGGGCCCTTTAAGTGCCCTATAGCGTATTTTTGGAAAACTTTAGACCTAGTATCCCAGAAAGGTCATTCCCTCTCATCCCAGCCTAAGAGCCTTAGCAACAGTGGCCCTCTTAATCCAAGAAGCCTCAAAAGTATGTTACCTGCCTCACCTGGGCTCTCACTGCTTTGCAGCACTGCTAATAATTATTTAAGCCCTTTTCAAACTTCGGCCCTATCCCATCTTAATAATTCTCTTCATTATGGTGATTGTACTCTAGGAACAATAGCTCATACCCAAATCAGTGTCTTGAACATAACTTCCGATTCAGAATTCCATTCTAGAAGAAAAAGGGCCCGAGGACTTAAGTGTGGCCAGAATTGTGGGAACTATTGCAACTCTCACCCCTTTACTTACCATGAAATGTCAATATGGGAACTTACCACCTCCCTTGAAATAGCCTTAGCAAAAACTGGCACAAGTCTATCAGCACTAGAAAAGTCTTTACACTCACTAGCAGGAATGGGTTTAATAATAGACAAGCTCTGGATTACCCGCTAGCTGAACAAGGAGGAGTCAGTGCTGTCATCAAGAAAACCTACTACACCTACATTAATGTGTCTGGAGAAGTGGAAACTAAGGTCCAAGAAATCTTCAAACAAGCCAAATGGCCACACACACTTTCCCAAAGTAACCAAGACTGAGCCAAAACCTCTATTGATTGGTTTCCAAAAATCACTTGGCTTCTCCCATTCCTTGGACCTTTATTCCTTGTCATTCTTCTTTTGAAATTTGGTCCCTGACTTTTTAATGCTCTCATTAAGTTTATATCTTTCAGATTACAACAATTTCACCTACAGATGACTATGTAATCCCAATACCAGCCTCCTGATGGTATCTGGTCTTCCCCACCTCTTCATGAATGAGTTTTTCATGACCCTTCATTCCCTTCATGACAGAGAGCAAGAAAGGGAAAAACACAACCTATACCTTCAATGCCCCTTTCAGTAGGGATTAGCCAGATGGACTCAACGTGCCTTTTCACTGTGGCATTTTCCCTTTCTTGAAACCCCAGTAGGCAGCAGGTAGACAGGAGCATGGGGGAATACAGAGGGTCAAAGTTTCCAAAATATTTGTCAGGGGAAAAATAAGGAAAGCAAAAGTCACCTGGTGAACATTGAGCAGGCCCCGGAGACAAAAAACTCCTTATCTGAGGAATTTAGAAGTATAATGAAAGAAGTGAAGACCATCTGGTGAGCATCAAACAGTCTATTTGGAAGCAAATTCCTTATCTAGGAAATTTAGAGGTAAATTAAACTTCCCTAGTACCTAAAGTTGTCATCTGGTTCCAGGTCTCTTTAAAAAAAAAAAAATTGTAAGTAAATAGAAATTCTATACATCTCCAGAATGCCATGCCAAAACTCATTATGCAACCCTTGCTGACATTAGGGCACCAAAATGTCGACACGTAATCATTTATCATGACCTACGTGGCTAATATGGTCCAAATGACCCTTAAGCTCCCAACTTAATGTCCATATATGCTCCTAAGGAAAATCCATCTTGGTGTCCTCAGTCCTCTCTTGCTGAGGCACCCCACTGCACTCCTCTGCGGCATTCTTTCTTTATAATAAAACCTTCCTTTTTCAAACTAATACTGCTGTTGGTAAATTCTTCTTAACAACCCGTAAGTCAACCACTTCCTGATGAAGGGGCTCTGACACCTCACCCAGCACAAATCTGCTGTAAAAAAATGGTTAGAGGGAGTTCTCCAAACAGAAAGGAAACAATAATAGAAGAAACTCTGGAACATAAGGAAGGAAGAGCCCAGTAAGTAAAAATATGGGTAAATACAATGGGCTTTCCTTCTCTTGAGATTTCTAAATTGTGTTTGACAGTTGAAGCAAAACTTACAACACTGTTGGATATGGCTCTAAATGTATGTAGAGGAAATATTTAAAACAATTATCAACAAAGGGAGATAAAGGAACATAAAGGGAAATGAGCTTCCATACCTCACATGAAGTGGTAAAACAAGGATACAAGTAGACTGTGATATGTTTTATATATGTTATATATGTATAAAATATGTATATGTGTATAAAATAAAATATATATGTATAAAATAAAATACCTACAGCAGCCACTAAAAAAAGATACAGAGATACACTCAAAAGCGTTGTAAATAAATCAAAATGGAATTCTTAGTAGAATGTCCAAGAAACCCACAGTGAGACAGGAAAAAGAAAAAAAAAGAACATAAATTGGTAGAGTGGATTTCAAAACTTCATACAACTCTATGCAGTCTGTAAGAAACTCATTTCAAATATGATGACATAGGAACATTGAATGTAAAATGATGAAAAAAGATAAATCATGCAATCATTAATTAAAGGAAGGGAGTGGCTAAATTAATATCAGATAAAGTAAACTTCAGAGCAAAGAAAATGACAGAGACATAGGGGATATTAAATAATAATAAAAGCACCAGTCTATCAAGAAGATCTAGCAATCCTAAATGTATGTGCACCAAACAGCAGAGTCACAAAATGTGTGAAGAAACTGACAGAACTGAAAAGAGAAATAGACAAATCCACAATTATTGTTGGAAGCTTCAATAACCCTCTCTCAACCATTGATAGAACTAGACAAAAATTAGCAAGAATATACAAGAACTCAACAATTTTAACCAATAGACTTTAACATTTATAGAGCCCTTCACCCAATAACAGCAGAATACACATTCTTTTCTAGTGCTCATAGAATGTACACCAACATAGACCACATCCTGAGCCACAGAACAAACCTCAACACATTTAAAGAATTAAAATAATATAGAGTACCTTCCGCAAGCACAATTGAATCAATGTTGAAATCAATAGCACAAAGATAACTGGAGGGTGGGCATGGTGGTTCATGTCTGTAATCCCAGCACTTTGGGAGGCCAAGGTGGGTGGATCACTTGAGCTCAGGATTTCAAGACCAGCCTAGGTAACATGGCAAGACCCCATCTCTACAAAAATACAAAAATTAGCCAGGCGTGGTGGTGTACACCTATAGTCCCAGCTACTTGAAAGCTGAGGTGGGAGAATCACTTGAGCCTGGGAGGTCAAGGCTGCAGTTAGCTGTAATTCCACCACTGAACTACAGCCTGGGTAACAGAGTGAGACACTGTCTCATTTTAAAAAATAAATAAATGAAAAAGATAACAGGGAAATCTACAAACATTTGGAAATTAATAACATGCTTCTTTAAAAAATCCATGTTGGTAAAAGAAAATTTTAAAAGAAATTTTAAAAATACATTATAACTGAATGAAAATGAAGACATAGCATATCAAGATTCGTGGGCGACTGCTAAAGTACGTTGGGAGGAACATTTATAGCACTAAATGCATATATTAGAATAGAGGAGGCCAGGCACGATGGCTCATGCTTATAATCCCAGCACTTTGGGAGGTCGAGATGGGTGGATCATGAGGTCAGGAGTTCAAGACCAGCCTGGCCAAAATGGTTAAACCCCGTATCTACTAAAAATACAAAAAAATTAGCTGGACATGGTGGCAGGCGCCTGTAATCCCAGCAACTCCGGAGGCTGAGGCAGAGAATTGCTTGAACCTGGGAGGCAGAGGTTGCAGTGAGCGAAGATCGCGTCACTGCACTCCAGCCTGGGTGACAGAGCGAGACTCCATCCCCCTACCAAAAAAAAAGAGAGAGAAAAGTGTCCAACAAATAATCTAAGCACCCCCCTCACAAAACTAGAAAAAGCAGTGCAAAATAAATCCAAAACAAGCAGAACAATGAAATAACGAAGATAAGAGCAGAAATCCATGAAATTGAAAACAGAAAAAAAAAAGGAAAAATATCAATAAAACAAAGAGCTGGTTCTTTGAAAACATCAGTAAAATTGGCAAACTTCTATCTAGCAAGACTGGCAAAAAAAGAAAGAGAAAGAAATCACAAATTAATAGTATCAGGAATGAAATAAAGATATCACTACATATTCTACAGATATCAAAAGGATAATAAGAGAATATTACAAAACAACTCTACACAAATAAATTTTACAATATAAGAGACATTGGCCAACTCCTTGAAAAAGAAACTATTACAACTCACCCATTTTGAAACAGATCTCTTGAATAGTCCCATAACTGTTAAGAAAATTGAATTTTCAATTTTAAAACACCCCAAAAAATAAATCTCCAGGCCCAGGTAGTTTCACTGGAGAAATCCAGCAAACATTTAAAGAAGAATTAACATCAATTTTACACGATCTCTTCCAGAAAATAGAAAAGGAGGTAACACTTCCCAATTCATTTTATGAAATTAGTATTACCCTGATGATACCCAAACCAGAGGAAGATACTACAAAAAGGAAACTACAGATAAATATTCATCATAAATATAGGTGCAATAATCCTTAACAAAATATTTTCAAGTAGAATCCAGCAATATATAAAAAGAATTGTACACCATGACCAAGTGGGGCTTATTCCAGGGATAAAAAGCTAGTTCAATATTTGAAAAATCAATGTACTGACCAGCAAAAGAAGAAAAATCACAAGATCATATTAGTTGATGCAGAAAAAAAGCATTTGATAAAATTCAACACACATTTATGACAAAAATGCTCAGAAAAATAGGAAGAGAGAGGGACTTCTTTAACCTGATAAAGAGTATATATAAAAAACCTACAGCTGACATTATATTTAATGGTTAAAGACTCTGTGTTTACTTCCTAAGATTAGGAACAAGGTAAGGATGTGCACTCTCACCACTGTTATTCAACTTAGTATTGGAAATTCTAGGCAGTGCAGTAAGACAAGAGAAGAGAAGAGAAGAGAAGAAAAAGCATATATATGGGAAAGAAAGAAAGAAAGAAAACTGTCCCTATTTGCAGATGATATTATTACCTATGTAGAAAATTCCAGGGAATCTACAACATATCTCCAGAAACTAATAAGTGAGTTCAGCAAGGTTGCAGGATACAAACTAACATACCAAATTAATAGTGTTTCTATATACTAGCAATGCATATATGGACACCAAAATTTAAAATACCATACCATTTACAGTTCCTTTAAAAACAAAAACTGAAATAGGTGAAAATCTAACAAAACATGTCCACGGCTTTTATGCTGAAAACTATAAAATGCTGATTAAAGTAATCAAAGAATATTTAAATAAATGGAGAGATATACTATGTTCATGGACTGGAAGACTCAACATGGTAAAGATGTCCATTCTCCCCAAATTGATACAGAAGTTTAACCTGATTCCTATAAAAATCTAAACAAAAATGTTTGTAGATATCAATAAGATTATTCTAAAATTTGTATGGAAAGGCAAAGGAACTAGAATATCCAAGACACTCTTAAAAAAACAAAGCTGGAAGTCTTATACCACTTATATAGACATCAAGATGTATTTAAAGTTACAGTAATTAAGAGAATATAGTGTTGGTGCATTGGTAGACAGAAAGTCCAGAGACAGACCCACACATATACGGATACTTGAATTTTGTTAAAGATGGTACTGCAGAGATAAGGACAATGTTTTAAGTAATGGTACTGGGTCGAATGGATATTTATATGGAAAAAATATATATAAATTTTGACCCCTATCTTACACCAAACACAAAAATCAATTCCGTATTGATTGTAGATCTAAACATGAACAGCAAAACAGTAAATCTTCAGAAAATAATAATGAGAATTATCTTCATAACCTTGGGTAGGCAAAAATCTCTTAAAACACAAAACCCACTAACCATTAAGGACAAAATTGATAAACTGGGTTATGTTAAAATTAGGAATTCTCTTTATCAAAAGACTGCATATAGACACAGACAAGCAAGACACAAAGGAGAGAATATATTTGCAACACAAATAACTAAAGATTTATCTGATCATTAATTTCTCCATCTATAGGATTACATGAGGTAATATATCTAAGAGGTTGGCACAGTGCCTGGCACATAGAAAGTGTTCCATGAAGTTTCTATTGCCTCTGTTATGACTGAGTCATCCAGGCCAAGGACTGTACCTCAAATCACTCTCAGGCTGACAGATCTCTCTACAGTTTTTGACACTCCACAAAGGAGTCAGAAGAGTTTCCTCAGTTCTTCTTTTACAAACCAGTGTTGAAGACATTTCCTGAGGAACCCCTTCATCCCCCCAGCTGCAGTCCCTATGCAGACCCCCATGCTCGATTGTAAATAACATAGTTGAAGCATTACAAGGCACCAGTGGGGAGGATGAGAGTGGGTTTTCATCTCAGCTGAGTCAGCTCGCGTGGTGGGAAATGCCACAAGAGTGCTGAAAGCAGGAGGGAGGAGTGGCTTGTCACGGGGAAGAAAGCCTCTCTTCTCCCAAATGCTATATCATCTATCTTCACAGCTGCCAGGATGCCCAGAAGTATGGAAGAGGGGGTTTTCAGTATGATTTCAAAAGAGTCACCGTATTCCTGCAGAGACAGGCCCAGAAAAAGCCAGGGAACATCCTGACCTGCCGAAGGATGGGTGGGCATTTGGAGTAGGCCAAGACCAGAGGACAGCCCTCAGGGGGCCACCAGAGTGGTATGAATCCCCACCCCTTAGCTGGGAGGGGCAGAACTTTTGAAGGACTTGGGTTTGCCTCTAGCTACCCACCTTCCTTTTCTTGCTCCCCAGAGAAAAGACACAGAGTCTGGAAGCCCCAGGGCACCAGTATGAAGCCAGGGGTGCTGAGAGCAAAGGCCCTGGGAAAAGCCCACCTCATCATTCTGAGGGACAGCACCCGGCACTGTCTGCAAGCCTTCCCATAGTTTACAGAGCCTGTCTGCACCCCTCCCGGGATCTGATTGAGTTACAGCCCTGTCGGCTAAGAACTATCCTTACCCCCATTTGACAGGTGTCCAAGTTGAGCCTCAGAGAAATAGTGAACTACCTAAGATAGTTCTCAGACAAAGGACTCATCCTACTACCTCCATCAAGTTACCAATAATAATGATGATTATTATCCTTTTTGAGCATCTCTTGTGTGCCAGACATACAACTAAAGGCTTCACTTCCATTAGCTTGTCTTCAGAACAACCACAGAAGTAGGTGAGGATATCCCATTTTATAGACCCAGAGAAGGCAATAATAGTAAGAAATTATACTTGGGGGCAGATACTGTTTGAAACGCTTTAATATATATCAACTCACTTAATATTCTCAAACATCCTGTGAGAATAAGTGCAGTATCATCATCTCCATTTTAGAGATATGGGAACTAAGGCTCAGAGAAGGCAGGTGCATTGTCTGAGGCCACACAACTAGGAAGTAGCAGAATAGGGACTCGAAGCAAGGATTCTTCCCACTATTTTGCATCTGTGGCAGTCCCGGTGACTTACCCAAGGTAACGTGTCTATGGGATGTTGAAATCTGATTAAAACACCTGTCCAAATGCAAGCCCAGAATCTTCCCACCCAGCTGTCATGCAGAGAGAGGGGCTGGGGTCCCTCTGGGTAATGCGGGCTGCCATCTTCTCTCCTTCCAAGACCCACCTCCCTGAGAATGGGTCCCCAGAACCAAGATGCATGGAAGCCGACCCCTGTGTGGTGGGGTCAGGCCAGGTGGGGCTGACGAAGCTGGGACGCAGCCCACCAACGTCCTCTGCCAGCGTTCCGCCTCCATCCGCTTCTCTCTGGCTAAAACCAGCCCCAGACTCTCCTTCTCTCCCTTGGCCCCCATTGAAAGTGTTGGATGGGAGGCAGCAGGGAAGTCAGGAGGGACAGAAGGTCCTTAGCCCTTGTCTACCCTTCCAGGAGGGGGAGATAGGCAGGGGATGTGGTAGAGGGGTGCTGGGCAGAGGTTCTGGAGTTGTGGGAACAGGGTAACCTAGCAACCACTGGGCTCAGTGTCACAAAGCAGGCAGACTTGCCCACAGAACCCACAGCCTTCCCCTCGATTTGTCCTCTTGCTCCTTCCTGCTAGGACAGCAGGGCTTCTCGTACACATGCTGTAGCGGGCACTGCCTTGGTGAGTCCAGGGACCTCTCGGGAGAGGAGATGGACCCTGGACAGCCCAGAAGGGCAGAGGTAGAAAGGGAAGTTTTGTGGCTGGATTGATGGGAGCCCTCAGACCCCTCTGCCTGGCTGGCTGGGGCCCCAGGGACAGAGAGCAGGGGCAGGGCAGGGCAGACTACACTGGGGTCCCACCTGTCCCGCTCTGGACAAGGCAGGCTTGGCCTACTAGAGTCCCTGTCAGCCTCTCTACAGCCGCTGTGGGTTATGACCCCCTGGTGGCTTATTAGATCAATTTAAATGGATCATATCTAACATTTAAGAAATAAAAACCAAAAATAGGGTAAAAATATCAGTGTGCATCATATGTAGTACGGATAAATATTGCTTCAGGATATTATTGTTTTAGTTTCACACACACACACAAACCCATATGTGAATTGGATCATGACATAAAGAATTTCTTACCGTCATCACAGCCAAACACATTTGCAAGTCTCTGTTCTAAAGAGTACTTTTTCCCATAGGCAGGAGGATTTGGGGCTTCCACATATCCTGTTCTCAAGATTGTAGCATCTCAGTACTCTAGAGCCCAGTACCTGACATCAAGGATGTCTGGAGCTTCCTTTTAAGGAAAGAAAAGATCAGCAAACTGTGAGTCAGACTGCCCGGGCTCTGGTTCCTTCTGTGTGACCTCAGCAAATCTCCCCTGCTTCCCTGATCTCAGACAACTCCAACCCATCCCACTACCTGATGAAGGCTGGCATTGGGAGATCTCTGGGGTCCCTTGCAGATTCTGTGACTCTGAGGGTTAATTCTCAGAATGCACTGATGTCCTGTCCCAACCCCATCCCTAGCACTTTGGCTAGATATATATATTCAGGTCCATAGATTTAATCATAATTCTTGGTTTTGACACCTATCATCTTTCATCTATGCCATTTAATTAGTTTATTTAATAATATAATAAACACAAGCAAATACACCACCCAAACCAAGAACAAGAACATCATCACTAACACATCTCCTTATATGCGCTTCTCCTGCACACTTCCCCTCCCCGCCTTCCCTCGGAAATAGCCACTATGTGAATTTCGTGCTTAGCATTTCCTTGTTTGATGCTGTTGTTGCTGTTTTATCGCATGTTCATGATCATTTTGCTTGCTTTTAAACTTTTATTTTTAGAAAGGATCTCAGGCTATGTGGTCCTCTGGAACTTGTGGTCCTCTGGAACACACATAAACTAAACCATTTATGAAAGAAAAATAATATGTTTTTAAACAACATTTATACTGTTTAGTAGTTATTTTATATTATCCACACATTATATATAGTGGATGACAACAATTGTATTGTTTCAAATGCATATATCTTGTTCTACTGCAGCCTATTTAATAGTAATTAATAAAAAGTAAATTGAGTTAATAAGATTGCATAAATATAACATCGCAAAACCAAGAATTGTTAAGTTTTCTCATACTGATTATAAGATTCATCCATGTTGTTACATGTAGCTGTGGCTCATTTATTTTCATAGCAATAAAGTATCCCATTGTCTGAATGCACCACAGCTTATTTATCCATTCTTCTGCCATCAGACATTTGGGTTGCCACCAGGTTTTTGCTATTTTGAACAGTGTTTGTATGAATATTCTTATAAGTAGCCCCTGTTGTACATCTATAAGAATTTCTCTTATATCTGGGAAAGAAATTGCTGGGTGATACAGCATGCAAATGCTCAATTTTAAAAGATATTACCATTTCTCCCCCTAAAGTGCCTGTTCCCGTTTACACTTCCACCACCAGTTCGTGAGAGTTCCTGTTCTGCATCCTCAACACTAGTATTAAGTGAGAGTTCCTGTTCTGCATCCTCAACGCTAGTATTAAGTGCACTGGCCTTTAGTCTGTTAAAAAGCATACAATGGCTACAGATGTTCAATTGGCTGATTATCCACTGATGAGGTGAGGCTCCAAATGCCCACCCTGCTGACTGAGGAGGGCTTGGGGTAGGGCAGGGTAGAAGACAAAGGTGGCCTTGGGGGATCTCAACAGATTAGGAGTCCAAGAGAGGTGGTTCTTACTGGACTTCTGCTGCCGGTCAGCCAGACCCCCCAATGGGTCCTCAGGCTCAAGTTAGCCCAGGTAGTGGGCTTTGCCCCTCCTGGGCAGGGAAAAGACTTGAGCGGGTGCCAGAAGCACTGAGCAAAGGAGTTCCAGGGGTTCTCAGGAGGTGACTTCCTCTGTTACTTGGGGGTAGAAGAGGACAGCTAACTGCAACTTTCAGAGAAGGTTTGCTTTATTTCTTTAAGCCCCAGATCCCTTAGAGGCGAATGGAGAATGGAACAGGAAACTCAGGGGCCAAGTCAGTGGAGTCCTCAGAGGGTCCGGGGGCGGCACGCCTTGCTTAGCACATCCAGAGTCCATCTGTACTCCAAAAGGACTCCCTTCAGCCAGGGCCACCGTGAGAAGGGCATGCAGACAGCGATCAGGCAGGTGGTCCCAGCAGGCCTCCAGTGGGGACTGGCCCACCTTTGCTGATCTTGACCTTCCTCCAAGGGCAGATGCATAGCGTCCTCAGGAAGGGGAGGGGTGTGGGGTAGAGGAGAGAGGACCCAAGCTGGCTTGTCTCCAGCAAAGCAAAACAGAGCTTGAAGCTTCCCTCAGCGCCACAGCCCCAGTAGCTGCTGCGTCAGCTCTTCCTCTCCTAGGAGGGACCCCCATGGGAACAGAACTTGCTGGTCTGGTCTGGCCTAAGCTCCAGCTCTGGCCTCTGGACGCTGAGTCTGAGCCAAGACTACTCCTGAGTGCATGGGGGAGGATGACAGCCTATAGCTGGCCTCTGGGCTGTCCACAGTCTGGCTTGGGGAGAGGCCCCTGTTGAGACCATCCCCATCCCCAGGGATGTATATAAGGTGACTTTGCTCCATCCTGGGTATTTTGATGAGTAGGTGGGTCTGCAGCTTCTCTTTCTGGTTTCAGATATGGTCTCTGGGAAAAAACTGGGGTGCTGGGAGAGTCTGAGTTCCCTCAAATGGATGCCAGCTCCCTGATAAGGAAGACTAACCAGGACAGGATTGCACCAGTTGGGAAAGGACTCTGGGGGAGGCCTAGCTTTTGGTGCTATGGGGGTGGTGGTGAAACCCAGGAAACCAGATTTCAGAGCTCCTCAGGAAGGGGTTCTGTAACAAGCACTGAGCTCTGAGCCCAGGTGGGCCCACTGCCAGAGGAGACTCCATTAGCTTCTCCTGAAACCCCCTCCTTCAGTCCAAAGGCTGAGCTGAAACTGGAGAAGAAGTCAGGGCGCAAGCCAAGGAGCCCCAGGGACAGTGGGCCACAGAAAGAACTGGTGATCCCAGGGATTGTGGATTTCGAGCGGATCCGCCGGGCATTGAGGACCCCAAAGCCCCAAACCCCTGGCACCTACTGCTTTGGACGCCTCAGTCACCACTCCTTCTTCTCCCGGCACCACCCACACCCCCAGCACGTGACCCACATCCAAGGTAGGGCCTGGCTGGTTGGGGTGGGAGCAGAGGGAGTATCACTAATTGGTCTTGAGAACTGGGAAGCAAGAATTGATGGCAGCCCATTTCCAGGCTGGGGCCCAGAGAGGATGGGGTCCAGGATCCCAGGGCTGCCAAAGAACCCAGCCAGGACTGCTCAGTGGGCAGGAGAGAAGCCTCCAAGGGTGGGTGACAGGTTCCCTACAGATTCCCCTGACTGCTGGGTTCTCCCATTTTACAAATCAGAGAAAGGGATAAGTTCTGTCCTGGAGCAGTGCTCTGTTCTCTTAAGTTCTCTAACTTAGGCCATGTCAGCCACTCAGCCATCCAGCCAGCCATCAAATATTGATTGAGTGTGAACTATTGGCTAGGCACTTTTTTAGGCCTTGGGGATACAACAGTGAACAAGACAGACATGGTGGCCCCCCTCCTGGAGCTGACCTCCAGTGGGGAGGGATGGGAGATGGGGAAGGTGTCAAGTGCCCAGGCTGCAGTGGGAAGATAGCTATTTTTGAAAGGTGGTCACAGAAGACATGGCCATTAACATGACATTTGAGCAAAGAACTACACAGGAACTATGCACACAGCAGGGGAAAGATGTCTCAGGCAGGTAGATCAGCAAATACAAAGTCCAGAAGGCAAGAGCGCTCCCACTCTGTTGGAGCAGCAGCAAGGAAGCAGAAGCTGGTCTGGCTGGAGTAAAGTAGGAGAGGAGAACGGAGAAGGCATCAGGGAGACAGTGGGCCCAGATCAGGTAGGCATTTGGGCCACTATTGTCACCATTAAGCCACTTTCCTGAATCAGCTGGAGCCCTTGGAAGGCTGAGAGCACAGAAGTGAGATGTTTTAACAAGGTCATCCTGGCCTCTGTCTTAAGTGTGGCTTGGACCAGGGGCTAGAAGTGGAAGACTCAGTGGCTCTATGCTGGAGATATGTGAAATGTAAAGTCAGTAGGACTTGGCGATTGATTAAAAGTGGAGTGTGAGAGGAAGAGAAGAGTCAAGGCCGACTTAGATTTTTGGCTTGAGCACCTGGGAAACTGGAGTACATTGACTGAGGCAGGGAAATGTGCAGAAGGGCTAGTGTAGGCTGGGAGGAGTCAGGGGTTTGGTTTCTGATGTGGGAGATGGGTGATGCGAGATGCTTTCTAGACCTCCAGGTGGAGGTACGGGGGTGCAGTCGGATCTGGAGTTCAGGGCAGAGACACAGACGTGAGAGCCATTCGAGAGGGGGTGTTTCAAGTGGTGGGCCTGGGTAGGATCCCCAAGGAGTCCGTGTAGCTACCGGAGAGAAAAACCTGGGGACAGGTACCTGGGGACCCCAGGATTAAGAGGTTGAGAAGATGAGAAGTCGGCAGAGGAGATGAGGAGAGGTAGGGAGCCGGGACAAGAGTGAGGAGTCCTGGCACCAAAAGGGAAGTGTTTCAGGGAGGAGACAGCAGCCCTGCTAGGTCCTTGCCAGGCCGATCTTCAAGCCTCACTGTCAATAGTGATATAATAATCACCCAGGGTTAGCCAGAAGGGTCCTCAAGTGCAAACGGCCCCCACTACCTCCAGGCTGCCCTGCACGCAGCCTTGCACAGGCTGACCAAAGCAGAAGTTTTCTGCAGAGGGTGTGGCTCAATCTCTCTCCCTGTCATGTGAGCCCAGGCCTCTCCCATCATGAACTGTGACATAATGCCCTCGCCCCAGCATTCTCATCTTTAAGCTGCCTGCCTACCCGTTTGTACTCACATCGGCAATTTGTTGCCCTGTCACAGGAAATCGGAAGATCCCCAGGACTAGGGGCCCAGGAAGCCTAAGTTCTTGTCTCACCTCTGCCCAAATCACAGTGTGGCCCTGAGCGGGCCTTTCCCCTGTCCATTCTAGGATCCCCCCGTGGGTGAGGCGGTCGCTGGTCTAGGTGGTTACAATGCCCTCCCAGCTCTGATAATCTATCAGCTGGTGGTTACTGGAAGAGGTGGAGCCGGAATCACCCTGCCTCTCAGCCTCTTCCCTGCCTCCTGGAGCTCTTAAGGTCCACCTAAGCCTCCCTTCCCACAGCCTCTAACCCTTTGCAGATCTCACCGGGAAGCCTGTCTGTGTCGTCAGGGATTTTCCAGCCCCCTTGCCTGAGTCAACTGTCTTTTCCGGCTGTCAAATGGGGATACCCACCATCTCTGTCCCCATTGGAGACCCACAGTCTAATCGGAACCCCCAGCTTTCTTCTGGTGGGTACTTGGGCCATGCCTCCCTCTACCCTGGGGCTCATGCCTCTCCCCAAGGCTGCCTCACTTGGGTGGGTGCCCAGAAGGAAAGGGCCATCGCTCTTAGGTCAGTGAGGTCCGTTGGGGGAACCCCACTTTTTCTCCCATTTCCTTGGACAGCCTAATCTCTGCATTACTCCCCACCCAGCAAGTCCTAGCCAGCAGAAATGCACCCCTGCTTGGATTTGAGGTGCTTGAGGAGTAATAACACACAGAGGGCAAGCAGATGTTGAGCCTGCAGTCATGTGACTGGCAGCTGTAGGCCAGAATGCTATAGGGAATATTTAGTAGCTTGTGTGCTCAGGCATTGGCCAACCAGAACAATCAGCCACAGTGCTGGCTTGGCGTTTCAGAGGTCTCTGCTCTGCCAAGCATTATCCTTTCCACCACTGAGGTGCTGGAAGCCAGTTTGGTGGGGACAGGGAAGAGATCCTGGAGAAGGGGCTGGGGCTGCCAGTGCAGGGCAGAGAGACTTGGAAGGCTGGCTGCTGCTCTCTTTGCCACCCTCTCCAGGGAGTAGTTTGATTTCTTAATAACAGGCCCATCTGTATCTCCTCAGCTTCAGTCTTGGCCTCAGGGACCTAAAAGAGGCAAAGCTAGATTAAACCATGTGCATCTTGGCACAGGTAACCAAATATTCTCCAGCATCCCCTAGAAATGCCACAGGCTAGGACATCAACATCAGCCCCTGCTAGAAGGAAAGCAATGCCCCACCCCCGCACCCCACCCACTGCCACAACCACCACCCATGGTGTGAATCCAGATCCTTCTCCCTCCAGGGCACCGCCTCCCCCTTTCCCTTTAAGATCCAGGCAGGGAGGCCAGGAAGGAGAGCAGACTCCTCTACCAAGGCCTGGTGGCACAGGGAGGGGAGGAGGGCCCCTGACTTCAGTTGGCAGGACCTTGTCCCCTCCTCCCAGAAGCCTGGAAGAAGGAGTTGAAGGAGCTAGCTTCCCGGGTGGCCTTCCTCACCAAGGAGGATGAACTGAAGAAGAAAGAGGTGGGTGCGGAACACAGGAGCTAGTCTGGGAAGAGGAGAAACGGATCCTTCCCTGTGTAAGGAGATCCCTCCCGAGTCAGTTCAGCCTACCAGAGGTGGGGTGGGGGGACTGATTCATACAAACGTCAGGGGAAAGGTCACAGTGAGGGAGAGAGCACACCTAGGTGGAGAAATCCAAGCAGGGGTTTTAGGACAGGAGGCACTTGGGGGCCTTCGATATCTAAGTGAGATGTTCACAAGGGGACTGAGGAGTTCCGAGCAGAGGCACCTAGCACAGCAGCTCAAAAGCTGGCAAATGCAGGGCACCATCAGAAACCAGGCTATAAGTGGGCAGCAATGGGAAAGGTGAGGGGGGGCAGACTTTGCATGTGGGGAGGAGCAGCTTGTTCTTAATTGCCAAGATTTTTAGTGTCTAATCGCATAAGGAGCAGAGAATCTCGGAAGGTTTTCAAACATGATAGGGGTGACCCCATGGGTGCCATTTGATGATAAAACAGTAAAGTCACCTGAGAGGCAGCTTGAAGGTGACTGGAATTGCTCTTAGGACAGTCTGGTCCTGCCCCTTGTCTTGGGTAACCAGAGTGGACAGGCAGAGGCCCGGCTTCTCATTCCTGCTCACAACTAACTCACTGCAGCACTCAGGACAACTCAGCTAAGCTGTCTGGGTCTCTGTTTTCTTATCTTTAAAATGGGGGGAAGGATACTACCAGTCTTAATTGGAATTGCAAGAGCAGGAGGCCCCAGGCACCAGGCCTCTCTGGGACAGACCTGGGGGCAGCTGAGCTGGGAATTAAGGTAGGCGGTGGGCCCTTGGTGCAGGATGCTGTTTTCAAATCTCTGATGGGTGTGGGGAGGAGCAGCAAGGAGGACCTACCTGGGAGGGAGAACGAGAACCACCCGCGGGCATCCAGCGATCGACCCTGCATTACTGAGTTCCAGGAGGAAGAGCTTTTGCTGGTTTAAGCGTGATAGCTGATAGTGGAAGGGCCAGCTGCCAGAGAGAGGGCCGGGGATGCCCAAGGAGGGGTCTAGGGCAGGTGAGGTTGGGGGGGTGGCAGAGCTGGATGATACCCTGGGACCCTGGCAACGCTGTGATGCTGGGATTTGGGAGGCGAAGTGCCCTGGGATTGTGACCCGGCCTCCTGCTCCTCTCCTCCCCTCAGCCCTCTTCCTCCCCTCTTGCTGACTGCCTGGAGTCTCTGGCCACTTTTGTCCCAGCAGAAGGAGCAGAAGGAGGAGCCTCTGCGGGAGCAGGGGGCAAAGTACTCAGCAGAGACTGGGAGGCTCATCCCCGCTTCCACCCGGGCTGTCGGCCGCCGCAGATCTCACCAGGGCCAGCAGAGTCAGTCTTCCAGCAGACATGAAGGAGTCCAGGCTTTCCTCCTTCAGGATCAGGAGCTGCTGGTGAGGGCCCAGTTCTGCTCCCAGGCTCCTGGCTCTCCACATTAGGGGTCTTACAAACCGCTTTAGGGCAAGGCCCCTCCCAGGGATACTGGTGCCTAGGACTGTTAAGAACAGAAAACTCCAGCCCTGTGGAGTCAGCAGCAGGGGCTATGACCCCCTGCTGCCTCTAGGTTTCCATGTGAGTCCTTTCCCCTCCCTGGGCCCTAGTTCCGTGATCTCTCCACTGGAAGCATGAACGCACTGTTGTCGAGGGTCCCTTCCAGCTGTAGCATTTGCTGAGTTAGTGAAGGGAGCTGCAATGGTGGGTTGAAGAAGGAGGTCCTGCCCATCACAGCAGGCCGCACCCCACAGCCTGCATGGCTAGGCCCAGCCTGGTGTCCACACTCAGCGAGGGGCCTGGCTTGTGCTTCAGTGAGCCCAGAGCCCACCTCCTCCATGCTCACGTTTCCCCACTGAGGCCTGAGATGAGTCCATGCCTCATCCCGGTGGGTGAAGGCGTCAGAGGTCCCTGTGAAAATGCACGGATGTCCTCCAAGAAAGGCCAGAGGTAGACCCAGCATTCTGCCACCTTCCTTGTGACCAGCACTGTCAGGCACACACTCCCTCTGAAACCTTACCACAATGCAGCAAAGTGGATAGAGCAGACAGGGTTCAGCACCTCCATGCCACGGATGGGGAGGCCGAGGCCCTGCCAAGTGATAGTCCATGGGCCAGGTCCCCTGAGACGGAGCAGCATAGCCAGGACTAAGGTGCTTTCTCCACCATAGGGCGGCCTCACCTCACCTGGAATTAGGTTCTCAGGTCCTGTGGGGAGGGGGCACAAGGCAGGTAAGTTGGACACAGAGAATGGAGAAGGGCCCAGGGGCAGGTCAGGGTGGGTCAGCACAGCGGGTGGGCATCTGGGGACGAGGGTGGACCCCTAAGCAGGCAGAGGCCTGGGGAGAGGCCCAGCCCAGATTCCACTCTGCTGAGGATGAGGCCGACCTGCTGGGGACCGACGGGCCCCTCCAGGTCCTAGGATGACTGACCGCCAGGAGCTGAGGGGGCCTCACTTTCTTAGGACTCCAGGGCTTCCACCTTTCACCTCAGGCCCCAACTCCAGCCTGCCATAGCTACAGCCACCAGCAGCAGTCTGGCCTAGGGAGCCCCCATAGCCCATCCCAGACACAGCTGGATCTTTTCCTGATGCTAACTGACTGGAGAACGCAGGGGAAAATGAGCCCGGAAGTAGCAAAGATGTCAAAGACTGAGGATGCAGCAAGGAGCCAAGCATGCCCACAGCTCTGCAGGAGGGAGCCGGTGCTGAGCAGTTTGCAGAACCGGCCTGTGCTGCCCCGCCTCAGGCTGCCCTCTGGGCTTCCCCCATCCCTTTTCCAACATCCCCAGACTCTGGGACTTTTAGGGTATGGCTTACCATGGGGTTCCTGAAATCCCCACACCAAGGCCCTGGGCATGTGGGATTTGGTGTGTCTCTGAGGAGCTGACTGGCCAGCTCGGACCTTGGCTTCCCAGTGAGGGGGCCCTAGGGAATAACCAGCCAAGCAGGCTTCAGGGATGTGGGGTCCACAGAACCTTTCGCTGAGGTCGTGTCCTGCCACCAACTACCTGCTAGCATCCCCTCTCAGGGCCTCGGATTCTCCACCCGTCCAGCAGGAAGATTAAGAATCTTCCTCCTGGACTGTTGTGAGACAAAGCCCTCCGTTAAGTGCAAAGCCCAATGTGGAGGAAAAGGCACAGACCCTTGTGGGAACACGTTTAGCCCAGCAGGCGCCTCTGGGAGCCCACTTTGGGGGAAGGGTCTCCTTGGTGCCCTCCAAACCTACATTTGCCTGTACTCCTTGCCTGTACTCCTGGCTGGAATGTGCTGGCCTCCTGCCCACAGGTCCTGGAGCTCCTGTGTCGGATCCTGGAAACAGACTTGCTAAGCGCAATCCAGTTCTGGCTGCTCTACGCTCCGCCCAAGGGTGAGGACACAGCCCCGCAGCACTGTCTCAGTGGAGGCTGCCAAGGTCCTGCCCTTGATCTCTGGTTCTGCAGGACTCAAATGTCCCTCAGCTCCCACCCTGGAGGGGGCCTTCCATGGAGGCCTCTCCTCCACTTTGGAGCCCCAAACTAACCCTTCCCAGCTGGACAGCATCTCTGCTTCCTCCTCCCCAATTCCTCAGCAGGATTTCCTTACCCCTGCTCCTTGGAGGGGACCCCTCTTTCATGCTGACCCCAGGCCTAGGCACCTGGGAGGAAAAAATCCAAAGACTGAACTTAGCAGACACAGCCCCTCACACGTTGCATTGGGAGACCCCCACACACACACAGGTGCAAGTAGATGCACATAAGGCTACTCATGTGTATACACATGAACACAGGAATACACACGCGGACGCACTGGGACAGTGGGTAGGGGGTGCATCTGAGTAGAAGGGTGAGGAGTGATGAGAACCAGGAAGCTAATTGGAGAAGACTTCCTGGACAGGAGAGTGAAGGAGAAGGGGGAGGAGGAAGGCAGGTCCCCAGTAGACTTCCCAGCGTGGGCCCGGGGATATGGTGGGCAGGAGGGCCAGCTGGGGCCAAGAACAAGGCGTACACATCCTCATGTGGCAGGACAGGGATGTGAAAGGGCTAGGGGCTCTGCACACATGGGCCAGGAGAGAAGGGGGAGCTCTCCCGAGGGGACCTGAGGGCAGAAGGTGGGATGCTTAGAGAAAGCTGCCCTGGATGGAGGCCCTGCTTCTGGCCCCGCCACAGGGACAGGAAGGGGGCTGGGGGCTGAGGACACTGCCCCCGGGCTGTGCTTTCAGAAAAAGACCTCGCTCTGGGACTCCTGCAGACAGCAGTGGCTCAGCTCCTTCCCCAGCCCCTAGTCTCCATCCCTACAGAAAAGCTCCTAAGCCAGCTTCCAGAAGTGCATGAACCTCCTCAAGAGAAGCAAGAGCCACCCTGCAGGTGGGCCCCGCACCCCGCCCTGCCCTTCTGCAGCCTTCTGTCCTCCCAGGTGAGGCCAGTGGGACCTGGAGAAGGGAGCCTGGCGCTGACCAGGGTCTGGGCTGACTAAGTCTGTCCTGGAGGCAGAGGCCCAGCCCCTCCCCCAGGGACCTTCTAGTGCTACCCAAGCCACTTCAAGGCCAACACAGCCAGACCAGCCCCCAAACTGCCAGGGCTGGGGACACCCCAAGGGGGCCACCGGAGTCAATTTTAACCAGATAAGGCTGGATTAGCCACACCTAACTCTTCAGAAGCTCTTTGGTCTATGGGAAGACATGAGTAGAGAGAAAATGCTAACACAAGGCAGTGGTTTTATACCAGTACTAAGTGCCCTGATGGCTGGAAGAGAAAGATTAATTACGAACTGGGGGAGGCCTCACAAGGCAGGTGAGTGGAGCCTGAGAGTCAGCAAGGCCACTGAGCAGCGATAAGTTTGCCTGACACCGCTGGGTGTTCCACGTTTTTCTAGTCCATCCAACAACCCACTGAGGCAGTATTAGCTCCATTTTACAGATGGGAAAACTGAGGCTCAGGAACAATAGAATGGCCTACCCAAAGTAACCTGACTGGTCGGCAGAAGGGCTGGGATTCAGTCTTGGACCCGACTGACTCCCAAAGCCAGCAGCACTCAGATTCTCCCCGGGAGCTTGTTAAAAATGCAGACCCCTAAAGATTCTAACATAGCAGGCCGGGGTGAAGCCGGGGGGGCCTGTATTTTTAACAGTCACCTGAGTGTTTCCAACAGAGTTTGGGAAACACTGATAGGAGTGGTAGGATTTGACTGAGCAAATGAAAGCTTGGGAAAAGGTCATCCCGGGAAGTGGGACCAGCCTGGGTGAAGGCATGGAAGTCAGGAAGGTATACAACTGGGGAATGACAAGTTTGAGGTGTCTGGAGCATGGGTGGGCTTGGTGAGAAGAAGCAGGGGTAGGGGTGGACTGAGGTTTCTTGAAGTCATGGGTTCTTGCAAGGCCTTGGACTTGGTGTTCCCTTCCACTCTGAGAGAGCAGAGGAGGAACGGCCTAGCGAGGAAGACAGGCTTCACTGTGACCTTGGGCAAACCACCTCCCAGCTGCGATCATCAGCTTCAACTATCTCTCAAAAGCCCCCTCCCAGAGTCGTAGGGAGGGAAAATAACATCGGGCACATAAAAAGGCATGGGGAGATGTAAAGCCCAATGCAAGACGGAAGAGCATCTTTCATACTTTGAATTCATTCAAGACGCAGGGTTCTTGTCTTGCCCACTCAAAGGGAAGTCCACAAGGAAACCAGTGGAGCGAGTGAGTCAGGGCTAGGGGGAGGGCTGATGCAGAGTCCATGCCCTGTTTCTCCAGAGACAGGAGGGCCTTGCTTCCCAGTGGAACTAACTGCAGACGGCAGGGCCACAGTTGTCTGGGTCTGGCCTGGGGTGATACAGGAAGGCCACCTGGGTGCTAGTCATGGACAGATGTTTTCTGGCCCTCCAGGAGGGGTGACTCTTGCCTCTCCCTGGAGCAGACAGCTGACTGCACCTGCACCACCTTCCCCACCTCCCTGTCTCCCCTGCCACCCGTGGGGTCAGGTTTCCAGCATGACCTTCCCAGCCCCTTCTTTGTATTTGGTCACAGTCAATCCCCGAAGAAAACGAAGATATCACCTTTTACAAAAAGCGAAAAACCAGGTAAGATTCCAAGTAGTGGGTCATTTGGGGGACTCACCAAGGCCCACTCTGGCTGGATTTCTCAGGGGATTCCAGTCAACTTGGAGATGAGTCCCTGCCCAAGGATGCTGCTCATTTCATCTATTCATTCACTTATTCATATTCATTCTTTAACAAATATTTATCGAGCACCCACAATGTGCTGAACTCTGGGGATCAGTGAGGAAGAATTCAGACAAGTTCCTGCTGTCACGGAACTTACATCCCAGCAAGGAGGAATACAGACAACAAATTAAAACACCTGGGGAGGAGTGGAGACAGATACTGTAAGGAGAATAACAAGGCTCTGTGGTCAGTAGTGAGAAGGACTGGCAGGTGGGGAGAGGGCTCCTAGAGCTGAACGGCAGGAAAGATACAGCTCTACCCAAGTCTAGGAAGAGCCAACCAGCAAAGCTCCCACCTCTTGGTGTGCTGGTGGAAAAACAAGCAGACCATGGTGGCTGGGGCCTTCTGGGTGGGGGACAGTGGTAAGGGAGGCATGAGACAGGTGGGAGGAGCTGGCCTGCGGTAAAGGCCAGGTGTGTGCATGGGTGTAGAAGAGGGTTATGAGCAGGGTGTGCATGCCCCCTCTGGCTACTGTGTGCAGCACGGACTATGGGGGACAAGAATGGGTGAGGGAGACCAAGGAGAGGCTGCTGCAGTCATCCTGGTGCCTTAGACTAGAGTGGGGGGCAGGGGTGGCAGCAGGCTGGAGGGGAGAGAAAAGGAAACACATCCTCAATGTATATTATTCTCCCTGATTAGACCATCAAAGGTCCAGAGTGCCTGGCAGAGAGGCACAGAGTAGGCATCTCATTGATATTTGTTACTTGGATGTTGAAAGAAGAGAGGTTGGATTCCATTCGCTCCATTCCTCTCAGGTTGGATTCCCTCCTCGGTCACCAGCAGAGCTGAGAGCAGGAGCTGGGCTTGACTCAGACCTTCCCCTCAGCACTCACACATCCACCTGCAGCTCCCAGGTGGGGGCCCCACCTTCCCGGTCCTCTCCTGCCTGCTGTCTCTCCTCCCACTAGAGTACATTGGAGAAGCTCAAGTCCTCCAGATGCATTCAAGCCAGAACACAGAGAAGAAGACATCGAAGCCGAGGGCAGAGAGCTGAGGGGCCCTAACACTTGCACCTGCCTTGCTCAAGAGCAGCCCCAAGGGTTCAGGGGTGTTTCTGTCTCCACCACCTTCACAGCAGTACCTGATTCCCTACCGTGAAAACTCTTACTAAATAAAACCGTCTTCCCTGAGAGAGGACAGTTCTGCTTTCCTAGCAGTGGGAGGCCTGTGCTTGGTTGGGGTCACTGATGCCAAGAGAGAGATGGGCTGCACGGAACCATCCCTACTCCCCACTCCCATGGGAAAGCCCAAGTGCTACCTCCACGTGGGGCTTCCCTGGTCCTTTTATGTTCTAGAGAACTGAAGGGCAGATGGCAGTTGGGGCATCCTGAGAAAGGACTCTGCCCCTCCTGGAGCTGAGACACACAGGACTCTGGGTAGGGTAGAGCAGAGGTCGGGGAACGTGTAGGCCTCCTTAGAAGGATCACTGTTGCCAATTATTGAGTTTCTATTTTTGTGTGTGCTGGGCACAGAGGCAGCGACTTAGGTAAAAGCTGGTGATGAGCACAGTGTGAATTGTTCTATGTGCTTTATATGCAGTACATATCTACACACATGCAGGTGAAACAACTTGTCCAAAGTCCTACAGTTAACAAGTGGCAGAGCCTGGGTGTCTGGCTCCAGAATCCCTGCTCCTAAAACCTGCATTCTGGCCGGGCGCGGTGGCTCACGCCTGTAATCCCAGGACTTTGGGAGGCTGAGGTGGGCGGATCACCTGAGATCAGGAGTTCAACACAAGCCTGACCAACATGGCGAAACACCATCTCTACTAAAAATACAAAAATTAGCCAGGCATGGTAGTGGATGCTTGCAATCCCAGCTACTCAGGAGGCTGAGGCAGGAGAATCACTTCAACCTGAGGGGTAGAGGTTGCAGTGAGCCAAGATCATGCCAGTGCACTCTAGCTTGGGCAACAGAGCGAGACTCCGTCTCAGAATTCAAAACAAAACAAAACAAAACAAAACTGTATTATACTGCCTTACCCACCCTAGCCAAAAGCTGTGGTTACATTTCTGAAATCATAAGATCTAGAGAAGACTCTCTGGGAAGTCCAATGTCTTCCATGACATTTCTGCAAATTCCCTGGAAAATTGGGATGGGAGGAGGCATTGAGGATTTACAAGGTCATTGTCCCCTGTGGCTCTGAGCTGCTATTTTACTGGCTTAGTTAATGAAGTAAGTGGACTTAGTTCCATGGATTGCGGCTCCATTCTATGCTTGCAACACTACCCTACCTTACATTCATTCAGATAGATTCAGTCCCTCTGGATTTTCCCAAACACTCCATTCACACAAAACTTTTCTGTACAGCAGGCTTCAATCAAGATTAGTGATGGATAGGGATTTGCTGTTAAGTAAACAGCTTCACGTTCAACATTAAGCCACCTTGTTTTTAAAGGCCCTCGCCCCTCTTCCACTGGGGTTGTCTCCCCAGCAGCAGCGCATGTAAGAATGATGCGGCCATGTTCAGGAGAGTCTCTAGGCCCTGCTCCCCAAGGTGCTCCCTGTCCTCTTGGGTATCCGAGTGATTTCTCATGGGGGTCAGGATGCCATGGCCACTTCCTGGTCACTCCTAAATTTTCTCTGTCTCCAGGCCCTGGAAGTTCTCTTCTCCCTTTCCCCTGCTTCTCTCCCTGAAGCATGGAGACAGATTTTCCCTTTCATCTTTTCTCTGAAGGCTCTAGGTCCTTCCTGGGACTCAGTCTCCTTAGCCATGGAGGTAGCCCTTGTTCTTGGCTATCCAGGAATGTGAAACCTAGCACTGTCCAACCAAAGCCCCCCATCCCTTCACATAGTGAAGCAGCCTCATTGTCTAGGGTGATACCTAAGGTTTATTGTCTCACAGCCAAGGAAATCAAGGACACAGACACACAAAGAGTGAGGTTAAGAGTGGAAGTTTTAATAGGTGAAAGAAAGAGAAGAGCTCTCTGCTGCAGACAGTCGTCCCAGAGAAATGGGTTGCTGGTTCCATGGTGAAATGCAGGTGGTTTTATAGATGAGGTTGAGGAGGCGGTGTCTGACTTACATAGAGTGGGAAAGATTGGTTGGAGCAGGTGTGCCTTTGCATAGGGCACGAAAAACTGGTTAGGACTAGGTGTGCCATTTGCACAGGGTGAGAATTTCTGGCCACCCTCACCCTAATCTTTTATTATGCAGGCCTCTGCCTGGCCTGCGCCAGGTTGCCCATTCCTTTACTGTACACATGATAACAAAAAAAAGGGAAGATGGAGCCTCCATGTTGGACATGCCTGGCTCCCAGGTAGCCCTTTTCTATTGGCACAGCTGCCATCATTCCCCGTTACAAGCTTCCAGCTTGTTTATCTGTGCTTGCAGCTCGATTTTTCAGGCTACTCTTTGTTAGAAAAAAATAATTATTGGGCTGTTTTTTGTTAAAAGGGAAGCTCTGCTGGGGACTCTTTTACCCTCACTATCTGCCTAAATAATTTCTACCTCCTGTATCAACAGGACTGGTTAGGGGTAGGATAAGCATGTAACCCAAGCTGGGCCAATCACATTCTGTCCTTGGAAATGTTTTTTCGGGGGAAGGAAGGTTGGAGTATCAGAGAATTCCATCATTGTTCCATGGGGACAAAGCCCTGGATACAGTCACACCTGAGGCTCCTGATTCTTCCCCACCCTTCTCCATGTGTGAGGCAATAAAATTCCTTGCCCATCCAATAGTTGATTTTTATGTATATTTTTCTACATAAAATTTACCACCTTAACCATTTTAAAATACACAGTTCAGTGGCATTAAGTAGATTCACATCGCTGTGCCACCATCACTCCCATCTGTCCACAGAATTCTTTTCATCTTGCAAAGCTAACACTCTATGCCCATTAAACAATAACTCCCCATTCTCTCCTCTCCCAGTTCCTGGCAACACCATTTTATGCTCTGTCTCTATGGTATTGACTGCTCTAGGTACCTCACTTAAGTAGAATCATACAGTATTTGTCCTTCTGTGACTGGCTGATTTCACTTAGCATAATGTCCTCACTATTCAGCCATCCTGCAGTATATGTTAGAATTTCCCTCCTTTTTTTTTTTTTTTTTTTTTTTTTTTGACAGAGTTTCACTGTTGTTGCCCAGGCTGGAGTGCAATGCGTGATCTTGGCTCACTGCCACCTCTGTCTCCCAGGTTCAAGCAATTCTCCTGCCTGAGCCTCCCGAGTAGCTGGTATTACAGGCATGCGCCACCATGCCGGGCTAATTTTGTATTTTTAGTAGAGACAGGGTTTCACCATGTTAGTCAGGCTGATCTTGAACTCCTAACCTCAGGTGATCTGCCCACCTCAGCCTCCCAAAGTGCTGGGGTTACAGGCGTGAGCCACCATGCCCAGCCAATTTCCTTCCTTTTTTAGCCAAATGACAGTCTCTTGTATGAATATACCACCTAACGTTTATCCATTCATCCATCAATGGACACTTGGGTTGTTTCCACTTTTTGTCTATTGTGAATAATGCTGCTATGAGAATGAATGCACAAAAGCAGTTGATTTTTGTGTCACATGTGATGAAAAGGATCCACAATAATCTAAGGTCATATAGCTGGTAAGCAGAGGTTTCAGAATTGAAATCCAGATTCACCAAACTACAGGTCCTGGCTCTGAGTGACTGACAAGAGCCCTTGGTTTCTAAACTTGAGCCATTCCCACACCCCATCATGAATTTTGGTATACCTGGTTTTTTCTTTCTCTCTCTTTCTTTCTTTCTTTCTTTCTTTCTTTCTTTCTTTCTTTCTTTCTTTCTTTCTCTCTTTCTTTCTTTCTCTCTTTCTTTCTTTTTTGAGACATGTTCCACTCTGTGGCCCAGGTTGGAGTGCAGCTCACTGCAGTCTCAAACTCCTGGACTCAAGCAATTCTCCCACCTCAGCCTCCTCAGTAGCTGGGACTACAGGCACATGCCACCATGCCTGGCTAATTTTTGCATTTTTGTGTAGAGACAGGGTCTCCCTGTGTTGCCCAGGCTGGTCTTGAACTTCTGGGCTCAAGTGATCTGCCCACCTCCACCTCCCAAAGCGCTAGGATTACAGGTGTGAGCCACTACACCCAGCCTTGTTAGAAGTATCTACCACCTATACGCTTCCTTAATGTTTATTTAAATTTACCTTTCTCTTTTTGCTTAAATAAATGTATGTATTAATCCATTCTCACACTGCTATAAAGAACTACCCGAGACTGGGTAATTTATAAAGAAAAGAGGTTTCATTGACTCATGGTTCCAGAGGCTATACAGAAGGCATGGCTTAGGAAACTTACAATCATGGCAGAAGGGTGAAGGGGAAGCAAGCATGTCTTCACAGCATGGCAGGAAAGAGAGTGAAAGGGGAGATGCTACACAGTTTCAAACAACTGGATCATGAGAACTCACTATCATGAGAATAGCAAGGGGGAAATCTGCCTTCATGATCCAATCACTTCCCACCAGGTCCCTCCTCCAACATTGAGGAATACAATTCAACATGAGATTTGGGTGGGGACACAAATCCAAACCATATCATTCCACCCCTGGCCCCTCCCAAATCTCATGTCCTTTTCACATTTCAAAACACAGTCATGTCTTCCCAACAGTCCCTCAAAGCCTTAACTTATTCCAGCATTAACTCAAAAGTCCAAAGTCTCACCTGAGACTAAGCAAGTCCCTTCCACCTATGAGCCTGTAAAATCAAAAGCAAGTTAGTTACTTCCAAGATACAATGGAAGTACAGGCAGTGGGTAAATGCTTCCATTCCAAATGGGAGAAATTGGTCAAAACAAAGAGGCTACAGGCCCCCATGCAAGTCTGAAGCCCAGAAGGGCAGTCATTAAATCTTAGAGCTCCAAAATAATCTCCTTTGACTCCATGTCTCACATTTAGGCTACACTGAGACAAGAAGTGGGCTTCTAAGGCATTGGGCAGGTCCACCACTGTGGCTCTGCCAGTTACAGCACACTTGGCTGCTTTCACAGGCCGGCATTGAGTGCCTGCAGCTTTTCCAGGAGCGTGGTGCAAGCTGTTAGTGGATCTACCATTCTGGGGTCTGGAGGACGGCGCACTCTTCTCACAGCTCCACTAGGCAGTGCCCCAGTAAGGACTCTGTGTGGGGACTCCAACCCCACATTTCCCTTCTGCACTGCCCTAGTAGAGGTTATCCATGAGGGCTCTGCCCCTGCAGCAGACTTCTGCCTGGACATCCAGGCATTTCCATACATCCTCTTAAATCTAGGCAGAGACTCCCAAGCCTCAACTCTTGCCCTCCGTGCACCTGCAGGGCCAATACCACATGAAAGCCACCAAGGCTTCTTATGGCTTGCACCCACTGGAGCAGCAGCCTGAGACGTATTTGGGGACCTTAGTCATGGCTGGAGCTGGAGCGACTGGGACTCAGGGTGCCATGTCCTGAGGCTGAGCAAGACAGTGGGGCCCTTGGCCTAGCCCATGAAACCATTTTCCCTCCTAGGCCTCCAGGCCTGTGATGGGAGGGGCTGCCATGAAGACCTCTGAAACTCCCTCGACACATCTTCACCATTGTCTTGGCTATTAACATTTGGCTCCTCTACTTATGCAAATTTCTACAGCTGGCTTGAATTTTTCCCAAGAAAATGGGTCTTTCTGCCACATGGTCAGGCTACAAATGTTTTAAACTGCTATGCTCTGCTTTCCTTTTAAATGTAAGTTCCAATTTCAGACCATGTATTGGTGAACGCATATGAGTACATGCTGTTAGAAGTAGCTAGGACACCTCTGGAACACTGCTGCTTAGAAATTTCCTCCACCAGATACCCTAAATCATCTCTCTCAAATTCAAAGTTCCACAGATTTCTAGAGCAGGGGCACAATACTCCCTGTCTCTTTGCTAAAGCATAGCAAGAGTGACTTTTACTACAGTTCTCAATAAATTTCTCATCTCCAACTGAGACCTCCTCAGCCTGGAATTCACTGTCCATATCACTATCAGCATTTTGTTCACAACATTCAACAAATCTCTAGGAAGTTCCAAACATTCTCACCTCTTCCAGTCTTCTTCTGATCCCTTCAATCTGTTCCAGCCTCTTCCTGTTACCTACTTCCAAAGTCGCTTCCACATTTTCAGTTATCTTTATAGCAATGCCTCATTTCTCTGGTACCAATTTTCTGTATTAGTCCATTCTCACATTGCTACAAAGAACTACCTGAGACTGGGTAATTCATAAATAAAAGAGGTTTAGTTGGCTCATGGTTCCACAGGCTGTACAGGAAGTTTATGGTACTGGGGGATTTGGTTAAATAAATGGTCATCTAGCCATACCGTGGGGTACTGTGCAGTCATTAAAAATGAAGACGTGGCTGGGCACGGTGGCTCATGCCTATAATCCCAGCACTTTGGGAGGCTGAGGCAGGCAGATCACCTGAGGTTGGGAGTTCAAGACCAGCCTAACCAACATGGAGAAACCCCATCTTTACTAAAAATCCAAAATTAGCCAGGAGTGGCGGTGCATGCCTGTAATCCCAGCTACTCGGGAGGCTGAGGCAGGAGAATCACTTGAACCTGGGAGGCAGAGGTTGCAGTGAGCCGAGATCGCACCATTGCACTCCAGCCTGGGCAACAAGAACGAAACTCTGTCAAAAAAAAAAAAATACGTAGTTCAACGTAGCTCAGGATGGAAACGTGTTCTTATTGTATTGCTGTAGGTGGAGTAGGAGGGGGAGAAGATCCCAGATGACGTGTATGTGTATAGTATTAATAATACTCACCCAGCGTGCATGTGTGTGTGTACAGACACAAACAATCTTGCACATGCACACATCTGGAATGGATAACTAAATTATTAACAGTGGTTATTGCTAAGTAGAATTATAGATTTTTTTTCCTCAGGTTGTAAAATTTTTCAATAATGAGCATATATTTCTTGCATAATTTTTTAAAGGAGAAGATTTGTGGTGTAGGCCCCAGAGATTTCTAATCTGTGGCAGCTGGGTCCCTGGGACTGCCCCAGCTACATTTCCACCCCTTCTTGCTCTTTCCCTCCTCCCCCCAGACCCCTACCTTCCCCCAAGCCTTCAGTCTCCTGAAGCCAGGTAGGGAGCAGGGGCTCTTTGGAAGAGCCCACAGAGTTCCAGGTCAGATGGCCCAGGCTCTGTGCCTTCCCCTCTTCCCCTGCCTGCTGTGTCATTTCAGGTGGAAGGCCTGGAGTTTCACCAGGAGGGTAAATCAAAAAAGGGCCCAGAGGCCAGTCTATTGCCCAGGAACATGATGAGGCTCCAATTGCCCCTTTTCTCCTCTGGAGGAATGGGAAGGTAAGTCTCCTGCTGTCCCTAAACCCTTGCCATCCCCCCGATCCCTTCTCCACCAGGAGCTTTCAGGCCTTACTAGCCCAAATGAAGTCACAGGCTGGAACCTCAAGGAGGCCATCTGGACACAGAAGACAGCCATGGTGAGGACTTCCCAGGCTCTTTGAACAGGAGGCTAAGGGTGACTCTGTGCAGCACTGTCCCTACTGACCCCAAGGGCAAGGAGATGCTGGAACTTCAGGGGGCTTCCTCCAAAATGACAGGTGTGCTGGCCCCTGGCTATGGGTTGAGGAAGCTTGGCAGACCAGGGCAAAGGCTCTGGAAGCCAGTCGGGGCTGATAGGCTAGACTCTGGGCACCTGGCTGTCACTGCGGCAGGGCTCTGCCAAGCATGGGGCAGGTGTGGATAAAGCCTTGAAGTCAGAGTGGCCTGGAGAATCCCCTCCAGGGAAGAGACAGGCAATCTGGCACCCTGGCACCTGCACCCACCAGACTCCAAACAGGAAACCGTTTAGGGCAGGAAGAGGTGAGACCATTCCCATATGGCCTTTCCCACTGGGCTCCTACAGGAAGTGAGGGATGTTTCTGAGGCTGCGATGGAAAGAGGGCCCTTGGTGCTGTTCCTCTATCTTCACCCGTGAATCCTTTCATTTTCTCAGTTTCCACCAAAACAAGCAAAAATCCTGACCCATAAAAAGCCCTCAATTTGGAGAGTGGACATTTCCAGATGTTTGGGGAGATGGCAACAGAAATTTAATTGAACCTTAGACATATTAGACAACCTGCATCCTAAAAAGCCCCCAGCCAAAGACAGATGGAGAGGCTGCCCTCTCTGTGTTCCCACCCCCACGGGGGTAGGAGTCTCCAAACCATTTTCTCCTCGGCCTTAAGGGGAGGAGTGAGCTCTGCACAATGACAAGAAGCCCTTTTGCCAGCTTCACCTTTTCTAAGTGCCCAGCAGTGTAGATTCTTTTACTCCATGACACAAATTCTGCCACTGCTTAGAAGGCAAAAGTGGTTGCAGTCATTTTGCTTTCAGTGACAGTCTCTTTGTTCTGTGGTTGCTAAGATTCCTTTAGAGAGCCCCTCTTGTTGTTCTTTTTTGTTTTTGAGACAGGGTCATGCTCTGTCACCCAGGCTGGAGTGCCATGGCGCAATCACAGCTCAGTGTGGCCTCAAACTCCTGGGCTCAAGGGATCCTCTCACTTCCACCTCCTAAATAGCTGAGACCACAGGCGTGCAACACCACGCCTGGCTAATGTTCTTTTTATTTTTTGTTGAGACGGGATCTTGCTATGTTGCTCAGGCTGGTCTGGAACTCCCACCTCCAAAAGTGCTGGGATTACAGGCATGAGCCACTCTGCCCCACTGGCCTCTAGTTGCATTTAAACAGGTTGAGAATTTCACAATAACCTGAAATAAAGTGTTGTCCTGGAACTTGGGCCTCAGGGAAACAGGAGATTCAGTAGCCAAGAAACCAGTGGCAACCCTGTGTCCCACCTGGCAGTGACGCAGCAGGGCATGGGTGGAAAGGTGGAGGGACAGGAGACAGCCACAGTGAGCTGCGCCCCCACCCCCAGTTCTCTTGCTACAGCCCAGCCCTCAACCTTCGAGCTCTGGCTTCATTGTCCCCTTCCCATAAATCAGAGAGAGAAAAAGAAACACACACACAACCTTTTGGGGTCCAATGGCGATGTTAATAAATACATAAAATTTTAAAGATCTGGATTTCCAAGGCACAAGAGTTTAACACAGGCCAGGCTGGTTCTCACAGGAATGACTCCGCGTGTGCCCCAGCATCCCAGGGAGGGGAGGGCAACAGGGGGAGGGCGGGGAGCCCCCCAGGACCTCCACTCTCCAAAGGGGTTGCAGGCCAGGGGCCCACTACTCATGTTCCTCCAGGCTGGCTCAGAACAGCCCCTTTGCCTTGGGGAAGGAAGAAGTGAGAAGCACCTCTATCACCTGGCAGGAGTTTAGGAGACATCCTCCAAGACCCCGGAGGTGTCCTGGGACCCCCTGCCACTTCCTGAGAGCCAGAGGATCTAAGACTGTTACCTGTCCCTTGGAGGTAGCATGGCCGGCAGCTGAGCACAGCTCAGGCCCTTACAGCACCGTGGGTGAGTGTGTCTTCCCCACTCCAGCACCAGGCCAGGGGCTGGCACCCTGCCCTGGGGCACTTGGCCTGGGTGGCCCTTGTCATCTCCAGGGCCAGGCTATGAGTGGACTCTGGTCCTCAGTCCTGGGGTCCAACCACCCCTGGGAGAACCACACACTCTGGCCCAGCTTGAGCCAGGTAGAAGATGAAGATGTCCGACTCCAGCAGGAGCGATCTTCGGAGAAGGGCAATGATTGAAGGGACAGCCTGAGAAATCGTGTTCCCTCTGTGTCCCACAGAGTCCCCTTCCAGGCTGAGAGTGATAATTGAAGTTGCCATCCTGGTGGAGTCAGGGAGTGAGCGCCAGTTTGGAAATCCCTGGATGCTGAGGACTTGGGGTCCAGGGTGTCCTGAGCCCCCTTCTCTGGTGGGCTGGGGTGAGATTGGGGGGCCAGTCTGTAATCTGGAGTCACTAGAAGTAACACTAGTGACATCTGCAAGGCCAGAGTATGGCCATGAGCACCATCTTCTGGCCAGCAAAGACAAACTGGCCTCTGCTGCCTGGCCTCAGCTGGTGGAACTGCATGGAGCTCTTGGCTTCCAGGAGCTGGGCCTGCGATCACCTTGTGTTCCACCCCCTCCAGCCCTGCAGCTGGGAAGCCTCATGCCACATTCCCAGGCCCCCCTCCTCTCGGCCTGGCTGTGAACAGTCCCCCACCTACCCTGGCCCTGCTTTGCCTTTCTGGGGAGAGGGGCCAAATATGCAGGGCCTCCACAGGGGTCCTCACAGTTCCGGGAAGGCAGGCAGCCCTGACAGCTTCTAGCTACAGACCAGCCGGGATTCAGACCTGCCCAGGCCCAGGGTCTGTGAGGAGGGAGCAATAGTTGACCCTGGTCTTGGCAGGGGAGACCAACAGGGGCCCTGAGAGGGTCAGTCCCGCCGGGGGCAGCTTGCTGAGGTATCTCCGATTAGGGCTTTCCCTGATCTTTGTCTTCCTCCCACCCCGCTTTGTGGGGTAAAGAGCATCACAGCCCCAAACGAGAAGAAGGCGAATGATTTAAAATGAAGTCTGTGCTTGCGCCTGCCCTGCTATGTGTGTCCTCTGAGCTGGGAGTCACGGGGCAGTACACAGAGTGTAAACGTGCCAGTGGGATGGCAGGGCACAGCTCATGTCACCGGGGAGGCAGCAGGGAGGCTGGTGCCGGGATGTCTCAGGTCTTCTCCAGGTTGCCCTTTGTCCTCAGGGACTGGCGTAGGTGTCTGAGTCCAGCCCCAAGGCAGCCCCCCGGGGGTGGTAGGGGAGATGCTCCAGGATGCTCCAGGGATTGGTGTCTCAGGGGCAAAGGGATGCTGGGTCCCTGGGGAGCTTGTATCCAGAGCTCCTGGGAGCTGTGTGGCTCGGCCATGCTGATGGTCCTCTGATCCCGTTGGCTTTCCAGGAGGCTCTGCAGCATCTGCAGGGTCCTGGGGTCCTGGTAAGGGGCTTCCAGGAGTGGAGAAGGGGGGCAGTGAGGTTGGGCCAGGGTCTGGGCCAGGGTTGGGGCCCGAGGCCTTCTTGATGCAGGACACACAGCAGAGCCGGTGGTAGCCGGGAATGGAGCAGTAGCGATCGAGCACTTCCATCTGGCAGAAGACAGACCTGTCTCCCGTGCAGGGCTCCGCTGCACACACAGCACAAGGACAAGGATGGAAGCAACGTGGGGATGCCTGTCAGTCAGGTGGCCCCCCCTCCCACTTACCCACTGACTGCCCGCCCTCCACCCCTGCCCCTGCTGGACCCACTATAAAGCTTTTTCTCAGGGTGGGGGCTACAGAGCCACCTGACGGGAGAGTCAGCCCTGACTACATGGAAGAGGAAGTAAAATCCCCTAGAGCAGCAGATCTCAAAGTGATGTCCCCACACGCAGCAGCAGCAGCGTCACCTGGAAGCTTGCTGGCAATGCACATCCTCCAGCACCACCCAGCCCTATTGCATCAGAAACTCAGGCTGGGGCTCAGCGCTGTGCTTTCACAAGCCCTCCAGGGGACTCCACGTGTGGGCGCATCTGAGAACCCTGGCCCTTCGCCATTCGCCCTCAGCCCTGCTGCACACTGGAATCCTTGGGGGTGCCTGTCTCCTTCACCCACACACTGGACAATCTAGGGTGTGACCTACCACCAGGTGCTTCTAACTTGCAGCTGCTCTGGATGGAAGTGGGAACCCTAGCCCCTCCCAATCAACCCAAGGAGTCTGGCCCCACTCCAGCCAGGGTCAGGCTAGACCCCAGGCAACTCATGCTTGGGACAGGCAGACTGACCATCCTGCCACAGTCAGCACACATCGGGACATTAAGACTGCTACTGCTTAATTTGGAATCAAGCAGATTTCAGTTCAAATCCAGGCTCTACCACTTAAAAGTGTGAGGCCTTTGGCAAGTCACTTAAACCCTCCAAGCCTCAGTTGCTTCACCTATAAAATGGGGCTGATGTTGACCCTTACCAGTGAATAATAACATTGCAAACAACATCTTTAAAGCACCTGGCAAAGATAAGTGCTCATTACACTAGTTTGCTTTGCCCAAAATATCACACCTTTCTGTGATAACTCCATGTAGGCTTCTCCAGACAGAATGTGAAGGCAGGAGCTTTGCTTTCTACTAATTTTTGCCAGAGAGAGAGAGAGAAAGAGGGAGGTGGGAAGAGTGGGAGGGACAGAGGGAAAGAGAGACACAGGTGGAGGGGCAGGCTTAGGGGAACAAGAGAAAGATCAGAGAAAAATGGAAAGCCAGTGGCCTCTAGATGGCGCCAGATTTCTGGAACCAGAATCGGAATCGTCCTTTGCTTTGGGAAGGAAGACGGCAGGAAACCCAGGCACTCCCCCAGTCAGAACCTCAGCCTAGGAGCAGAGAAGTAGAAGATTGGAGGTAGAAGGTCCTTTGAGGACATCTAGTCAGAACCTTATCTTACAGATGAGGTCACTAAGCTCAGAGAGGTTAACGAATTTGCAGCCAACTGGTCCTCTAACTAGGAGTTAGGGTCTTTGATCTTTCTGCTACTCATCTTGCCAGACCCTGGTCCTAGGGAGGGTGAGGAAGGAAAAGAGAGATGGAACCTAGGAAAGGAGTGAAGAATCTACAGCCTGGCACGTAGCAGTTGCTCAGTAAATATCTATCCGTGGGTGGATGAATGGAAAGATGGGAGGATGAACTGAATCATGGGGCTGAGAGAAATTGCTAGGCCTATTGTTACTGGAAGCTGACAGCCAGACAGGAGTGCATGCATTCTCTCATCCAATTATCTCACCAGCCCTATGAAGGCAGCTCATATCTACAATTGCTTGTCTGAAAATATTGGAACCAGATATAGTTCAGAATTCAGAACTTTTGGGATCAGAAACATTATATTCTGTGTTTATATTATAGAACATCCTCAATGGAGCCTGAGATATCACCTTGTAACTAAATATGGCTAAATTTCTATATCAAAAGAATAAATGATCTCATTAGTTCAGGTCAGATTTTGCTGCCAGGTAAGTTTGCACCAAACTTAGAAATAAACATTTTGGAATTGCAGGTAACGGCTCATGGACCAGTAGAGCCTCCTCCCCACTTCATAACTGAGGTATCTGAGGCTCAGGGAGGTGAAGGTCACACAGACAGCTACAAGCTGGGTTTGCTCCACTGAGTGGCCCATGCTGCAACACCAGGGCCACTGAAAGGTCTGGGGAGCAGGGTAGGGTCCATAGACTGTACTTACTTGATGATATCTTGTTAATGGGATGTAGGGGTTCAGATTGTGGCACCCACTGCCCCTCTGGCGTCCCAAGTTCCCAGACATCGGCCCTCACCGTGGAGTTCTGGTGATTTCCTGTGAGCAGGAAGAAGCAATTCTAGTATTTGGGACTTTGGCCCAAGGGACTGGACCTGGCCTCCCCATCCCCTCTGGCTCACCTCCACAGGCGGGCAGGCTGCAGACCTGGACAGTGTCTGGCCTATCCCCCTCGCAATGCCCGAGGCTGTTGGCGTTGGTCCTGCACACCACCTGCCGCTGCTGGATGCCCTCTCCACAGGTGGCAGAGCACTGCCGTGGGTGGGTCAGTGCCAGGCATAGCGGCCGGGGTCAGGGTAGGTGGAGAGAAGAAAGACGAGTCAGTGAGCTCAGAGCCCAGCCAGTGCCCGGGGACAGAAAGGGTACAAAGGAGAGCACCAAGTCTTCACTTGACCAGAGGGACATGCAAGGACTGCTTCTAAGGAGCCTCAGTGGGACACTGTACCTGTTGCCAAATAGTCCTGATACCAATGGTGAAGAGCCATTGCCCTGAGCCTAGAACTCCATGGGCCTTTCCACAATCTAAACGGTTAATCTCTGGCTCAGGAGGGAACCTCTGGGACCCCATTCCCTACTACCACCTGCATGCACTGTGTCTGGTCTGTGCCTGGGTTCTTTAATATTTTGTGTATCACTCTAGCAAACTCCCCTGTTGCAATCCACTACATGGTGTGACCTGGGCAGGTGGATTGATGTGATGATATCCTATTAACAGGATATAGGGGCCTGGATTGTGGCTTCTGCTACCCCCCACCCCTGGTTCAGTGTCTTACTCTGTAAACAGAGAGCTGGGCGACAGGGTCTCCATGGACCCTCCTCTGACTAGCTCTGATAGTCAATAATCTTGTGACTTGATTTACCAAACATGGGCCTGCAGAAGTATGTTCAAAAGTGTCTTCTTCCCTGATGGAGCAGGGTGCGGGTACAAGGAGCAGGAGGCACCAGAGGACCGAGGACCACCGTTTGCAGGGGGTGGCCACACACATCGTCCCCTGGACCTGACCCACTCTAACTCTGACAAACAGGGAATGTGGAGGTCCTCAATGGAGGGGCAGGGACTCCAGGAAAGCAGCGTTGCCCAGTGTGACTGGGTCACCTTTTAGATGCTGACCACAGCCTTATCTAGCTGGAAGGAGAGGAATTTGCAGGACCCCACTTCCCACACTGGAGCATGTGACCACTGAGACACAAGGGTCATGGGGCCACACAGAACTACGAGACAAACACGGCATATCCTCCCAGGATGAATCATTACAAACAGCAGCTAACAGCTCCTGACTGCTCAGTCAGTCTCATAAGGGGCTGTGAAAGTTGATTATATGAATAGGGTCATACTTGTCACACCCAACTAAATCAGAGTTGAGGGACCAGGGGAAAAAGCACTCAGGGCACCTAGCACCTGCTCCAAGAATTAAATTCTCCACTGGGCCAGCTGCTGAAACAGGCTGATGTAATTCCAAGACCAGTTTTACCTAGCAGCTGCTGAAACAACCTGCTGTGACTCCACGGCTAGTTTTCCATAGCACCATCACTCACCAGTCAGAGCTTGCCAGCTCCCAAAAGCTTGTCTAGTGCCAATGAGTTGGTGTTCAACACAATACATATCATGTCTCTTTCTAATAAAACCCCCAACCTTTCCTTTGTTCTTTGGACATACTGAAGACCACCCGGTCTCTGTGTATGCCTTGAATTGCAATTCTTACTTAATAAAAGTTAAATTTAGAGATTCATCTCTATATTTTGCTTATTGCGACAGGGCCAGTATCTTCCACTATCTGCCATCTCTCTGTTACTTTTATCTGTGGGGTCCTTTGAAGACCAGCAATCTGTTTTATATCAAAACAAATGAAGCTATATATTATGGAGACATATAAAATGCATGAGTTGTGTGTGGATTTTTGGTTCTTTACAAATATTCATAATGCAATATTTCAAAATACAGAAAAGTATGGAGTTATTCACAAAACCCTATCCAGATGCCACCACCAGCCTTAATAAATGAGCATCCCAGAATATTTTCAGATTGTGTTGTGTCCCTCTAAACATTAAGGAAATGACATCCATTGGAAGTGCTTTTTTACTTCATACTGAAGTACTTTTTCTCACCTAAATGTATTCTCTATAACAGAAGTTTATCTATTTTGGTAAGTACAGTTCAGGCCTGTTCATTTTTCTTGTTGTATAGTACTGTATTATATGAACAGACCATGATTTTTGTCCAATCTTCTATAGATAAACATTTGAGATACGTCCTAATGTTTTGCTGTTGCAATAAACAGCATTGTGATCAAATGAGGTTTTTTAAATTGGGGTAATATCTATATAACATAAAGTTTGCCATCTTAACTAATTTTTTCTTTTTTTGAGACAAAGTTTCGCTCTTGTCGCCCAGGCTGGAATACAATGGCGTGATCTTGGCTCACTGCAACCTCTGCCTCCCAGGTTCAAGCGATTCTCCTGCCTCAGCCTCCCGAGTAGCTGAGATTACAGGCATACGCCAGCCACCACACCCGGCTAATTTTTGCATTTTTAGTAGAGACGGGGTTTCACCATGTTGGCCAGACTGGTCTTGAACTCGTGACCCCAGGCAATCTGCCTGCCTTGGCTTCCCAAAGTGGTGGGATTACAGGCGTGAGCCACCGCGCCCAGCCCATCTTAACTATTTTTAAGTCTATGGTTCAGTGGCATTAAGCACATTCCCATTGTTGTACAATCATTACCACCATCTGTTTCCAGAACATTTTCTTCTTTCCCAACTGAAACTCCTCGCCTATTAAACACTAACCCCTCATTCACCCTCCAGCAGCCCCTGGAAATCACCAGCAAAGTGCCCTCATGGAGTGTTTGTCCTTACATGTCTGGATGTCTGGCTTATTTCTTTTCTTTTTTTTTTTTTTTTTGTGAGACAAGCTCTTGCTCTGTCACTCAGGCTGGAGTGCAGTGGCATGGTATGGTCATAGCTCACTGGAGCCTTGACCTCGTGGGCTCAAGCAATCTTCCTACCCTAGCCTCCAGAGCAGCTGGGATTACAAGCACACACCACCACGCCCAGCTAACTTTTTACATTTTTTGTAGAGGCGAGGTCTTGCTCTGTTGCCCAGGCTGGTCTCGAATTCCTGGGCTCAAGCAATCCACCCACATCAGCCTCCCAAAGATCTGCCCACCTCAGCCTCCCAAAGTGTTGGGATTCCAGGCATGAGCCACTGCATCCAGCTTGGCTTGTTTTACTTGGCATGATGTTCTCAATGTTCACATCAAATGAGTATTTAAAAGAAAACCCAAGACAATTTCGTCAAGGCAGTTTCCCGAAGGTGGCCTCCAGGGTCTGAGCCACAGAGCACCCAAATAACTAAGCAGCGCTACTGCTATCTCCCCTTCGCTACCCTGACTGTCTAACGCTCAACCTTCCACAGCACCGTCAGAGTGATCTTTACAACCTGAAATCAGAGCTTGTAATGCCCATGTTAAAAGGCTTCCCTGGTTTCCCATTGCTCTTAGAATATATGCAAACCCCTTGCAAAGCCCGTAGCCATGGACCCCCGCCTGCCTCCCCAGTGTTATCTCGCAGCCCCTATCCCTCCCAGTCAGCTCCAGCCCCACTGTCCTGTTGGCTTCTGGAACGTTGTAAAATTGTTCCTGACTTGGTCTCTTCCTGTGGCTTGTCCCTCTGGTCTCAGCTTGAGCAACACCTCCTCAGAGAAGCCCTCTGACCGCCCTCCATCCTCCACCACATCGACCCACTACTCCCCACCCAGCTCCGACTGCAGTCTGTCAGTGCTTGGCTGTGGGTTGATGGCCTAATACATTTCCCTCACAGGACTGTGGGCTGCACGAGGGCAAGAATCAGCTCTGTCTGGTTGATGCTAGGTTCCCTCATTCTTAGTACAAGGTCTGGCATACAGCTAGTGCTCAGCAAGTATTTCTGGAATGCAAGAGTGTACTTCAGTCTGCTCATCTGGAACACAGGGACATGAACCCATGCCTCCTGGCACTGTGTGAAGCTTACTGGCAGGAATGAATGAACCTAAAGGCCTAGCACAGAGCCACGGCCCAGGGTACGTAGGAGCTATTCTACTTTAAGGAAAACAAAATTTGATGTAGGGGGAGCCATTCAGGCAGAAACTCTCTTGCCTGCAGGGAACACCAAAAAAATCCCTCAGACCCACCTCCTCCCCAAGCCCCTCCCACCTCCTGAGGACAAGTCACCTGGGACCAGGCTCCCAGCCTCCACTGGGCTGGGCAGGGCACTCGGAGACAGGGCCGTCGGGCCTCAGGCCGGTCCCCGGCGCAGGCTTTGGCCGGCATGACCTTGTGGGTTCCATTGGAGAGGGGCAGCAGGCACTGTATCCCCCGTGTCTGCACCCCCAGCTTCCCACAGCTCCGGCTGCAGGCACCCCACTCCTCCGTCACCCACCTGGAAACAGGGTGAAAGGAGAGGAGGTGAGACCAAGGGGGCACTTCATCCCAGAGGACACTTTCTATCCCCAGACAGCTGCAGGCAGGAGCCAGAGAGTGGGTTTGGGTTTCAGAATGTTTGAGGCCTAGGACAACTGTCCACCTGGCTCTGCAGCTACTGGGTATGTGACCTCAGGAAGGGCACTCTTCTCTCCTGCTGTGTCTCGTCTGAAAAACAGGCATGATGTGTATTTAAATCCTAGCACCCTGCATGTCCTCGAGCAAGCTATTAGCCTTCTAAGCCTCAGTTACCCCATCTTCACATCACGATTACTTCAAAGCCGCATACATATTTGAGGGCCCACTGGCGCAAGCACTGTCCTGGGTGCTGAGAAGCGTCAGGGCACAAAACAGATCAAACCACACTTTCAAGGCAGATCCCCCAATTTCCCATGGGGCTCCTGGGACAAGAACACTGTTACTGTCACCATCATCATCCACAGAGCTTCCACATAGAGTAGCTATGCTGGTGGCCTGCAAGTGTCTTTTAGCCACTGAGCAACTTCCAACAGCATCTTAAGCGCATGCCCACTGGGTGCATTAGAGGAAACGAAACTGCTCTGGTGAGGATGGAAGGAGGGAGAGCCTCGACTCCTACTCCTCCCTGGGTTCCCAAGGCATCTTTTAGTCACTTCCAGGCAGGTTTCCTAAGTCAACCTCTTCCTTAAAACCCCAAAGGGGTAGGGGCTGGGGGATACCGGCCAGGAACTCAGGCAGAGCTAAACTGCATGTTCTGTGATTACAGGCATTTGTGGGAAAATCAGTCTGAATAACAATACAAAGGAACAAGTGAAAGAGAAGCACAGGGGGCTGGTTATGAAGCTGTCTTGGGCAGAGGAGGGGCTGGTTATCATGGCCTGGCCTGGGCACAGACAGGGAGGCCACAGCAGCCTCTAGCGCTGGCCACCGGTTCCCACCCTTGCCCCAATTACATGCCCAGCCCTGGGGCTCCCCCAGCCCAGGGGAGCAGAAGCTGACGAGACCCAGGCAGCACCCTACGCCTACCAGGGAGGACTCCTGGGGAAGCAGGAGGATGGGCGATGCCCTCTGTGGCTGCTACCAGCCAGCCACCCTCGGCCTCAGTCTGCTTGGGGTGTACTAGGGAAGCCTGGTGGAGGCTGAGGAGGTCTTGAGGCCGGCTCTGCAACAGGTTCAGAGGCCTGGCCATGAGCCCTCCACCAGGCATAGCTCTCTCCTCTCCCCAAAGTCTCTCCCCTAAATAATCCCAAGGTCATCCTTGTGCTCAGAAGAGCATGTAGCCGCAAGCCAGGGAATCCCAATTAGGGGCTGGACCATGGCTGGGGGCTGGCAGGCTGAGCCATGTCTCTGGACTCCTGACGATCAGGCAGAGAAGAGGTAGAGGTCAGCATCCTGGCCTGGGCCTGGAGCCCAGAAGCACTGAAAGTTGTGTTGCCTGTATGGTCGTGTCTCCATAACCCAGTGCTGAGGGGAGCAGGCTCAGCAGCCCCGCTGCCTGGGGCCCGGGCTAGGCATAGAACCAGACTCCCCGTCCCTCCCTGGGAGCACTCACACAGGCTGAGAGCACGGGTGCTGGTTGCAGCGCCGGCGGATGGGCTTGGGCCTCTTCTTGTGGTCACACAGGTGTCGCTGCACCATGTGGTGGTCTCGTCTGCGCCGGCAGCCGTATTTGGTGAACTGGATCCCTATGGGGTGGGCAGGCTGCCGTGGGCCTAGTCCAGCCAGGCCCCCCATTGCCCTGGTGGGGCCTCAGGGGCAGTACCTGTGGAGAGCCTTGTGGGCCAATCCCACCTCCCTCTGCCTATGCCCCCGCCTGCCCACGTCACTTTCTGAGGGACGCCTTCCTGATCAGCTCCATCTCGCTGGTAAGAAGGTGGCTCTGGACAGCTGTCTGTCCCCACAGTGGGTGAGCTCTTTTAGGGTAGAAGCTCTGCCCGGATATGGCTCTAGCACCCCCAGCCTCATCCCAAAGGCCCTGCCCAAAACGGGCTTCCACACACTGGAGATCTTCAAGGAGAAACTGAGTCATAAGCAAGGACACATCAAATGGAGACAACATCAGTCCCCCACCCCTGCCTCTCAAGGGATCCTGGGCTGCCCCAACAAAGCACTGGCGGGTCAGGGAACCGGTACCTCCTCCACAGGCCTTGCTGCAGGGGGCCCAGCTCTTGAGCGCCCACTCATAGGTGTCCATCTCCTCCAGGAGCACATTGTTGCTCCCGATAAGGGGCAGCAGGTCCTCATGGATGACGTACTTGTAGGCCAGGCTGCTGCGGGGGCCACCCTCAGTTGGGGGGAGAGCCTGAGGGGAGATGGGGAGCTGGCACAGGACCAGAGAAAGAAGCAAGGGCGGCATGCACTGGGAGGGGAGGGGCCGAAGAGAAGGCCTTAGGGTCGGAGCAGAACCTGTGAAAGCTAGGATGAGGTTGTGCCCAGCATGGCTGGGGTATGGTAGGGGGTTGGATTCAGACCAGCTGCCATAGGACAAACTCAGGCTGGATACCTGCTGTGTGCCAGGCCCAAGGGCAGCCACTGCACCTAGGAATGCTCTTCCCTTTCATAGACCTCAGTTCTGATGGGAGGGCAGGGCTGGCTGTCTGTCTGTCTGTTCTGCTCACTGCAGCATCCACACTGCCTGGCTCTAGAAGGCAGTTAACAAGAATGGTTCGGATACTGACCCTCATCAAATATATGACTTGCAAGTATTTTCCCCCATTCTGCAGGTGGTCTTTTCCTTTCCTTGATAATGTCTTTTGATGCACTTAAGTTTTCAATCTTGATGAAGTCCAATTTATCTATTTTTTCTTTTGCTGTGTATGCTTTTAGTGCCTGTCGTATCTAAGAATCTAAGGTCATAAAGATTTGCCCCTCTGTTCTTTTCTAAGAGTTGTATGGTTTAAGCTCTTATATCTAGGTCTTTGATCTATTTTGAGTTAATATTTGTGTATGGTGTGAGGAAGGGGTAGAACTTCATTCTTTTGCATGTAGACATCCAGGTGTCCCGGCACCATATTTTGAAGAGACTATTCTTTCCCCATTGAATGGCCTTGGTACACTTGTTGAAAATCACCTGGCCATAGATGTATGGGTTGTCAACAAATATAAGGTGAGTCAAAAGTATATGCTGGATTGAATTGATATGCTGACACCAATAGGCCACAGAGCCTGTCCTCCAGGAGCCCCCCAGCTGGTGAGGGTGACACCAGGAACAAAGCCCATCCAAGGTAACCCTGCCACCAGCCAGTGCTGAGGGCACCATGGACAGAACTCCTAATGGTCTCGTCTGCTGGGTTAATCCCTATTCCACAAGCCCTGGCCCATGCTCTAGGAAGGGGGGTATGGGCAGAGATGTGCCCCAGTCAGGCTCTTGTCCCCTTTTCAGGAGGCTGGAGCTCCTGGATCAGCTGCATTAAAGGCCCGAGGAAGCTGCTCCTGGACTCCCTTGCCAGCCATGCTACGATGCACACAGATGTGGGATTATGCCAGGATGACCCAGCCCTGCCCAACCTCCCTCCAGGCTCCATTTCCAAGACTGCCTTAAAGAGAGCAGGCTCCCTGCATGTAACATCTGGGGTCTGACAGTGAGGAGACAACTGTCTTTATCTCTCCTCACTTGCCATCCTGCAGGCTTTTAAGCACAAATGAGGAGCTAATCCCAGGATGGAAGGTGCCTTGCCCTTGCCCAGGCTCCTAAAGACACCAGAATGGTGTCACGCTGGCTTGGCAGCAGATGTAGCGAGCTAAGGGGACAAGTGGGGTGGGCAGGGGTTGCCACCGCACAGAGTGGGGCTCACCAGGATGGCAATGGCTTCAGGCAGGGGCCCGCTGGTCTTGAGGCTTTCCTTGGCATCCTCCACCGCATCCTCCCACTCCAGGCCCATGGCGGTGAAGGTCCGGCTTGTGGCTTCCTTGCCCTTGGGGTTGAGGATGAAGCTGCCGGTGACCTGGTTCTTCACCACTGACCGGTGGGGGGAGAGGGTCACACAGATTTCTGCTCCTCTCCACAGGGGGCGGGCCATGAATATGAAATTCAAGGCCTTCCCAGTGAGCCTTCTGGGCTCCTGTCCACCGGCCTTTCCTTCCCACCCAAGCCCTCCCGAGTCAGACAGGTCAACACGCTCCCTGTCAAACCCACGTGCGCGCACACACACACACACACACACACACACACTCTTGCTGCCTCTGGATCCTAGTGCACACCATTCCTCCCACCTTTACTGCCTTCCTTTCTTCCTGCCTAACTAACCTCTACCCATGGTTGAGGCTCAGCATAATCTCCTCTCCTCCAGGGAGTCTTCTTTGGTTGCCCAGTCCTCAGGGATTCTGCCCTCCCTAGAATTTCTATAGCAGAGCATAGAGGCTGAGAGTACAGACTCTGGAGTCGGATTGATGGTGAGGAAACTACTCAGCCCCACTGTGCTGCCTCAGTTTCACCATCTGTAGAATGGGAATGATCATTGTACCCAGTTCGCAGGGCTGCTGCTGCCCCAGGAGGATGATAGAAATCCCCGCGCCCCACGACTGAGGCTCTCAGGACAACGAGAAGAGTTCATAAACATAGCCAGCTTGGCAAGTAGTGATGCGCAGTGGGCACTATCGCTAGACCACCAGAAAAGTACTGGACTTTTGGCACTGCTGTGATTGCAGATGCCACACCTCTCCCAGCGGCCTGTTGGCTTATCTCCATCTTGGTGTCCTCAGCCCAGCACAGGGCCTGGAACAGAGGCAGAGATTTTAAAAATCCATAAATTTCTACCCCTTAATGTCCCAGTCAGTGAGTAACTCACAACTTATTACCAAAAGACCCCGGGAGGCAGGTGGGTGGGAGACATGTAGATGCCAACACCTGGCCAAGGCCCCTGAGTGGTACCTTTGGCCACCCTGGACTTCCTAGGGCCCAGCAGCCTGAGACCCAAGCACCTTAGCCAAGTAGGGAGGGCAAAGGCTCCAGAGCCTTGGGGTGTCCAGGTGGAAGGGCCCACAGAGCTCCCACCTGGGACAGATTTAAATGGTCATAACTGTCATATAAGAGCTAAGGATCCGAGAACACTAACTATGTGCCAGTCACTCTGCCAACTGCTTCAGTTCAATCCTTAAATACATCCTAAGGGCTGGGCTATTGTTAATACAGATGGGGAATTGGAGACTCCTAGACACACAGTGTCCTGGACACACAGTGGGCAACAGTTGGAGCTGGGCCAGAGCCCAGGCACCCAGAGAGACAGGAGCAATGTAGGGGCAGGGTGAGGGTGGGGAAGAGGGGTGGAAAAAGAAGAGCCTCGCCCCTTCCTGGGAGGCTGCTGGAGAGATGCCCCTCGCCTCCTGCCCACCCAGGCCTCTCCCTCAGGTTCCCTGATCGCTCTCAGTCCCCAGCAGCTCCAGACTGTCTAAGCTAAGGCTGGGCAGCTCCTCAGGCCAGGTGCAGCCTCCAGTTCTCCCATTGCCTTTGACTGTGCCTGCACCTCACTGTAGCAGAGCCCTGATTATGCACCCCTCATTCCAGACCGTTGGGGGTGGACCACCATAAACTCTCCACTGTCCAGACCCAGTCCCGAATCCAGGCTCCACCACTGACCTGTTCTGTATCTAACCTCTCTCTGAGCCTCAGTTTCCTTTAACTGCAAAGCGGGAAAACAATATTCATAGATGGCCATGAGGCTTACTAAACATACGCATGAAAAGTGGCAGCTCATGGCCCAGCGCATGGGAGATATTAACAGCATGAGTTCTCCTTCTCTTCCCTACACTTCCTTTCAAAGACCCCATGTCCCCAATTCCAGGAGAGTCTAATGACAATGGACAGAGCCTCTCCCTTCATCGCCAGGGCTGCCACCTGTCCTGGGCCTCTACATATCCTGTTGGGTACACACACCCCTACACGTGCATGCACGTGCATGCACACACTCACACACACATATTCACACGTTTTCACTGAAGGCCACTGTGCACCTCACACCTGTATAATCACACAACCTGTGCCAACTTCAGAGTTCAGCTCCTGGGCCGCCACTGCTTCGCTCTCCCCACCAGGCTCCCCGGAAAACTCTAACCTTTCAGGGAACTCACCCGACAAACAGGCAAGCAAGCCCGCACTCGGCCTGCCCCGGATGCTAGCAGCCTCTGCCATGACCTCCACAGAAGACTAGTTCTTCCCTGGGGATCGAAGAACTAGATTTCTGGAGACAGCAGAGGGTGGAAGGGGCTGCTAATGTTCTGAAATCATCCCCTGGGGATGCAGTGTCCGTGAGCTCCACCTCTTCTTGGAATAGATGTCCCTTCTCTCCTTGCCCCTTCCCTCCCCCGGCCCCTAATTCCAGCACATTCCCCACAGCCAGGCAGGCACAGCAGGCAGGACTTGCCTGAACCAATGTCCTCTAACCTGGGCTCGCTGTGGTAGAGTGGCATGGCTGGCAAGGGAACAGGGCTGAGAGGCAGGAGACCTGGGCCCAGACTGGCTCTGCCCATACTCCTCATGGATGAATCAGGGCATACAGAGGCCCCCAATCCACTTTGGGTTTCAGTTTCCCCTTGTGCCTATGGCCTGATGGGACAATGCCCTTTCAGATGCCTTCAAGAATAGAAGTTTAGGAGCCCACTGGAGCTGTGTTAAGGGGAGGTGCCAATGCAGATGCATTCTCCAGGAAATGCAAGTTATCCAGGAAACTTTGAAGGTATTTACAAATTGCTATTTTGATGATAATCTAAAAATATGAATGGCAGCATTTGTGTGTGATGTGAGCCTGCCAAGAGATATGTGTTTTGTTTTTCCATTTATGATGAAATTGGCACCAAGCAGTGTGACTTGGCAGACGTAATAGGTAAGAGGGGCCTCTGTGACATTTCAAGGGGACATTGTGGCCTGCACGTCCTCTGCAAAGGGGTCTGAACACAGACACCACTGCCCAGTGTGGGAGAAGCAGCCTTCTGCCCACTTGCCACCGGGACCCTGCTCTGAACCAGGCTCACAGGGTTTGAACCGAGATATAATTCACATGCCATACAACTCACTCGAATAAGGTGTACAATTCAGTGAAAAAAAAATTTTTTTTGAGACGCTCCTGCCTCAGTCCCCCAACTAGCTTAGGACTACAGGCATGCACCACCACGCCTAGCTGATTGTTTATTTTTTATTTTTGTAGAGATGGGATTTCACCATGTTCCCCAGGCTGATCTCAAACTTCTGAGCTCAAGCGATCCACCCACCTTGGCCTCCCAAAGTGTTGGGATTACAGGCGTGAGCCGCTGCGCCTGCCCTGATTTTTAAGTAGATTCAGCCATTGCCACTGTCTAATTCCAGAACATTTTCATCGCCCCAAAAAGAAACCTGATACCCATTAGCCGTCATGCCTCTTTCCTTCCCCAGCCCCTGGCAGCCACGGATCTATTCTCTCTCTGTCTGTGGATTTGCCTCTCTGGACATGTCCATTTTTTGACAGCCAATTTAGTTTCAGCAAAAACGAAACAAAACATCACTCATATTATATTAATGGCCTTAATTTAAATTTATTAACTTATTGTGGTATTCTCATTTTTAATCGAGCCTAGCTTCATAGTTAGATAACTGTTACAAGCACAAGGGTGTCACCTCATTTAGTGGCTTGGTGTTTAAGTATGATTATAATGAGAATAATGTAAGGGCCTGTGTGGTAGACTGCAGAATGCCTCTACATTCCTCCTATTCCTCTATGCATGCTGCTTTGCACAGTAACTTCACCACTTCTACCATCAAGAGCTAGTCTATGTTTCTACCCCTTAAATCTGGGCTTGTCCATGTGATTTGGACTAATGGGACGCTAGAAAACATGACACAAGCCATTCCTGAGGACTATGTGACAGATATAATGTGAATAACACTGGGTTAGCCTGTTGAGGACACAGCCCTGCCACCTCCATGACCCCAGCTGACAGCCAGTACCAACCACCAGACATGTGAGCGAGGCCATCCTAGACCAACCAGCTCCCAGAGACCTACCAGCTGAGGGCATCTGCATGACTTGGTCCAAGAAGACAAGTAGAAGAACCACCCCACAGAGCCCAGCCCAAACTGATGACCCATAGGACCGTGAGCTAAGAATTATTCTTGTTTGAAGCCACTAAGTTTTGGAGTGGTGTGTTAGGCAGCAAAAGCTGACTGATACACTCTGTGAACATGGCTTTCCTTTAACAGCCATCTATGTGCACAAGAAATTATTAACAGTAGTTGCCCTTAGGGAAGAAAACTGCCCCCAGGGTACAGGGGTAGAAAGGGGACTCTTTACTAGGTCCCCTTTGAGACCTTCTGAAATGTAAACCATGGAATGGGTTACCCATGCAGCATAAATTTAAAATAAAATGAAAAGGGGGTCTCTGCCCATTACTCCAGTTAGTACAATTCCACTTGTACTAGAATCTTGTCCTCTGGTCTCCCAGCTCCCCCAAGTCAGAGGGCAGGGCCTGGGGCCCTGCTGTCCCCTCCCAGCACCCCAGCACTCACCAATGCGGTGGGGGGACTTCTCCAGTGCCTCAATCTGGATGTGCCTGGCACCTGCTGGGATCTGCACCAGCTTGAGAGCTCCTGCCACACACAGGGATCCAGAAGTCGTGAGCATCCTAAGCTGGTGGTCCCACTGCCCAGCGTCCCCCACTCCCTCACTGGGCACCCAGGAACATCTCATTTGATCACAGAACCTCTCTGAATCTCTGTATCCTCATTTGTAAACTGAGGATGAGACCTTCTCCATGAGGGTGCTGGGAGGATCGAATGAGACATGTCCTGTAAACTCTAAGGGCCTCCGTGTGTGTGAGAGCTGCTATTACTTCCCTCTTTCCTGACCCTCTTCCTCTCCGTCTCACTTCTGCCCTTCCCCCCGTCCCTTTTTGCTCCTCTGACTCTCTCTCCCTGCTTCTTCTCACACCTTAAGCTACTTGCTACTGATGGGATTTAAATGATAAAGGCCATGAAGACTCCACATGACTGTCCTGAGCCGCCCTGGCCCTCCCGACCCAAGGCCTGGACTTTCTCAGAGCCACCAACCTTGTCCCCAACAATCAAAGGTGAGACAAAGTGTAACATCTCCCAAGGGAAAATAGGCCCCATTTATACTAAAGTGTGAAGGACTGATATCTGGTTCTTTTCCACAGCAAGTCTGGTCAGATTGGAGGTAGAGAGGAAAGTCAAGGAACTCAAAGATACCAGGAATTCAAAGCAGAAAGTGCCACAGGTTTAAAAAAAAATAAGGAAGGAGAGAGGAAAAGAAAATTATCAGTCCAGTCTTGGCTACACCTTTAGATCTGTCTGATGCCTCCCACCCACCAATAGTCCCAAGGTCCAAGGGATGGCCGAGCTCCCATCACAAAACTTTACCTAGCGGGAAAATGTCTCTTGGAGCTCCTGGGCCCCAAACTCAGGGAGGAGCTTGCCTGAAAGGTGAGGTGACTGGCTGCAGCACCTGGCTCACCAGCCTGGGCAGCCCAGGAAGGCCTGGAGATGGGCCCCAGGGCCCCTTCTCCCCACCCCAGACTGTGGCACAGTTCAAGGAGGGAGGGCCCCCTGAGGGACGGCAAGAACTCCAGTCAGCCCTCGTCATCCCCCCAGCCCCAGCCCGGCTCACCTGCCTGCTTGGAGGCCTTGCCCAGCGTCCCCTTCACAGTCCTGCAGTGGGAGTTGTCACCCCCGCAGACTCCACACTTGTCATCCGCCTTCATGGACCCCACCTCCTTGTCACAGCCGACAGGCTGAGGCCAGAGGTGAGGTCAGTGGGAGGAGGCTCCCCTGCCCCCACCGCCACCCCGGGGCTCCCATTCCCATCCCCAGGCCCTGGTCAGGAGAAGACCTCTGGCCTGGGAGATGTCCCTGGACAGGATTCTGGCACGAATTCACCGTGGGACCTGGGTGAGGTCTTACACCCGGCGTGATGAGGATTCTTGCCATCTCCTCTCCCCTCCAATGGGGCTGAGCAATAATTAGCCCCTTCCAGCACCCCAGGGCTATGCTGAGGACCAACAGGGTGTTGCGAGTGGGCCGGTGAGGCAATGCTCATCTTCCCAGGCAGGAGGGGCTACAGTGCAGCCCTCCAGTCTCCCTGTGCCGGTAGTCGGGGTGGCTGGGGGTGCACCCACCACACACTCGCCACGCGCACAGACGCTGTATGGGTCCCGGTAGCTGCAGCGTGTCCCATCGTGAACCACCTGGTTCATGAACACCACGTCCCCCGTGTCCGCCGACTGGCAGATCAGCTCACACTTCTGGGCGTCTGTAGGGAGAGGGACTATGCTGAGTCCCCAGCTGGGCTCAGAGAAAGTGGCCCAGGACAGATCAGTATGTGGTCCAGCCAGAAAGCTCCGGGGCCAGCTCTGGACAGTTGGGGGAGCACTGGGTGTGGCACGGGGGCTGAAAATCCCTGCTGTGTCACTTATTAGCCATGTGACCTTGGGTAAATGCTCTGACCTCTCCCAGCCTTTGTTCCCTATTTTTATTATCCCTAATCAGTAAAATGCCACATCGGCTTATTGAGAAAAATCAAGTGATAAAGTAATAATAAGCCAATGCTTAGTGAATGCTTACTATGTACTAGATATTTCTAAAACCTTCACATGCCCTTAAAATACAGCTTTAATGGCTTTTCATGAATTAACTCATTTAACCCTCTCAACACCTCAATGAGGTAGGTGCTAGCATTACAGAGGAGGAAATTGAGGACCAGAGAGGTTAAGGAACTTGCTCAAGTCCACACAACCACACGATAAGTGGTTCAGCCTGGATTCTAACCTTAGCAGTCTTGCCTGAGTCCTGCTCTGACCCCTACAAAACTTCACTGTGCACATGTATGACATGCGTCTTAACATGTTTGTAAACATTAGAAGGCTGCGTGAAAAAAAGGCAGAAAAGTGGTCTGTATCTGGGTTTGCAAAATGGAGCAACAGTCAGGGAGAAAGAGAGTCCTTTCTGGTCCTAACAATTAAATGTTTCCTTCTTTATGTGGGCTATAGATATCCTAAAAAGGAGGTTCCAGAGCATATATAAACACTTACTGTGCTTCTTAGAAAAAAGGAAGTTGGGGGCTTAGCTAACTTCCTGGAATTCGTCTAACAGTCCTGGGAAAAACCCAAAGTCCAGCTGCCCCACGGGCCTCCCAGCCCCTCCTCTCCCCAACGCTGTGGCTGCTGGTTTGGTTTCTGAATGGATCTGGAAGGCTTTCAAACCAAGATTCCCTCAGCCAATTACTAAGGAAACTCTTGGGCTCTGCTCTGGTCCCTGGGCTCCAGCACAGCTGGTAACTCCTTGTCTCCAGCATGAAGGACTCAAGTCTGGAGCCACAACCTCCAAGACCACCTTGGATTTCATCCACAGGAACCAGATTCCTGTAGGGACCTGGGTCTGGGGGAGCTCCAACCCAGGACAGGCAGGATCCTGACCCAGGCAGGCAGCTCTCTAGGCAGCAACGGAAGCCACAACCTCCAAGACCACCTTGGATTTCATCCACAGGAACCAGATTCCTGTAGGGACCTGGGTCTGGGGGAGCTCCAACCCAGGACAGGCAGGATCCTGACCCAGGCAGGCAGCTCTCTGGGCAGCAACGGAAGCTCTCTGGGCAGCAACAGTGCGAAGGGAGTGGTGAGCTCCCCAGAGTAGGAGGAATCCAAGCAGAGAGAAGACACCCCCTGCAAGGATGCTCTGGAAGAATCTGGCAATGACAGGCCTCTGAGGTCCCTTCCAACCTGAAGAGTCTGTCATTCTAGACCAGAGCTGAAGAGCTGACAGTTCTGGGGTGGAGCCCAGGCTCCAGGGAGGAAAGCCCGTCCTGATGGGAGCTGTCTGGGCCAAGAGTTGTGTGATGGAGAATGAGCATCTGTCCATGGAGGACCCATGGAGAGGCTGGCAGGGGAAAGCTGGAATCAGAGGATCATTGAGGGCTCTTCCAGCCGAGGCTCTGACTTGCCACGAATCCCAACCCTTCACTGGATGCTCTGCCGCTATGGAGCCATCACTGGAAACACTCAAAAATAGATGGGAACTGGCACCACTATGGTCCCCAAATTCAGACTCTTTACAGGAGTCTAGAAGTCCTGTGTATGTCCCAGGGCAGCCTAGAGAGTCGTTATGAAGATCCCACCAGATCCTATCTGCGTGCCTTCCAAAATCATCTCATCGACTCTGCTGAAACCACAACCCAATCAGTAAAACCTAAAAACACAGCGTGTAATAGGACTGAGCTCCTCAGGACACTGGTCATGCAACGGGAAGGGCGCCTGCACCTATATAATTCTTCTCCCTGCAGGTAGGGACAGAAGACGAAAGGCAGGCAACCCTAACAGCCAACACTGCTGCCGGCCTTGGCAACACCTGTGTGTGAAGTGTCCCTTCCTCAAGACACTTTCCTTGCATCTGCCAGAAAACTGTCATCATAAGTACACAAATCAGGGATGGCCTTGATGGGGATGATGACCCCAGAAGTATACCAAGAACAGGCCTACAAAAGGGTATATGGTGAGCCCGCTGACTTCAGTGTCCCTTTTGGCACCCCCACTGTCCCTCCACCTTCACTGGTGTATGTAGGGGTAGGAGGCCCTGCCTGGGCACACACAGCCCCCGCAGATGCCTAAGGACATGGAGTGGGAGGGGGGTGGGGCCCACTCACCATCGTCAGGCTCGTAGGGCACCCAGCTGTGCTTGGCATTCTGGTGCACATAGTAGGAGTTGCGCTTGGCACACTGCTGGGCCCGGAAGTCCTCGTAGGTCCCAGGGCACTCCTCGCTGTTGCAGACCTGGTACTCGAACATGGGCCCTAAGCACAGGCGGCCTCCATAGGCTGGGCTGGGACAGACACAGAGAAATGGATGACCTTGCTGGCTGGGAAGGCTGGGGAGGGCCAGGTTTCCCACACAGCCACCAGGAGCAGCTCAGCCATTCATAATAGCATGACAAGGGCCTCCACTGACATAAACCAGAGAATGGCTCCCAGGGTGGGGGCTGTGGAGCTCAGCTGAAGAGCTATCCAGATCCTTCTTCCTCCCTGACTGCTTTACCCTTCAGACATACACCACCTATTCCACGGTGAGTGTGACGGACAGATGTACAGACTGACACAGGGACTGACTAACCCTCTCCAGCTGGACTGGAAGAGAAATCCATCTTACTCATCTTTGTGGGTGCCTTCAACTGTTTTGCAGGCCCTGGCATAGAGCAGGCCCCCATAAACGACTCAGCCACTCCCATTTGCATCAACTTCCACTTAATATCATCATAAACTAAGGAGTGGTAAAAGAAACTTGGATTTGGAATCAGAAGAGCTGGCTTCCAAGTCCTGACAGTGCAACCTTGGCCAGGCCACTTAGCCTTGCTGTGGCTTAATTTCCCCTTGAAAACAGGGACTATAATCCCTCTTATTTTACTCACCTCCTGGTGTGTCTGTGAAGAATAGTAAGAAAAGGTATTTTATAGTCATCTATGCTCTCTTCTTCATTAAGTCAAGAGGATTGGGTAAGACTTGATACAAAGTGTCCAAGTGCTGGGGTTAACAGTACCCTACTCATAGACATGTGGGAGAATTGCACAGATTTTTGTACCTAAGTGCTTAGCATCCCACCTAGCACAAAGTGCTTGACATACTATAATAATGATTACTATAACAGCAGCTTTCATTAAGTATTTAATTTGTGTGAGCATGGTGCTGAGAGCACACATATTATTTCATTTAAGCCTCATAAAATAAAAATAGTTGTTATTACACAGGAGCTCAATAAATGGTAGCTTTGATACCAATTATACCAAGGGATAATTGTCGGTCATGCCTGCAAGGTGATTTACTCAGAACAGGGACCCCTGGGCTTTTCTATAACCACAGACTTTGTATTCCCGACAGATGAAAGTTACAAGGCAGTCCATTTTGGTTCATGTGTGTAGAAGGTCAATATAGCTGTCCATATTAACTATACGGCTATATTCTCTAAAACAAAGGAACAGCTGCTTCAATAGGCAGTGAGTTTCCCATCCCTAGCGATAAATAACAGTATGAATGACCACTCCTGAGGACACCAGAGCCACTGTGACCCTACAACTTTGCGATTCCGCAGTCTTCATCATACCCCTCAGTGCTGTGAGGGGTCAGGCCAGGCCCTGTTGTTGTGGGGGTTCAGAACTCCTGCATTCCTAGAGCCAACCAAGCCATGCAGCTGGCCTTGGCCAGTCCCCATCTCCCGTGGTGCTGTTCTAAACAGGCTGCCTCTGCTTGGAGATGGAGATGGAGAACTAGGGCTCAGATATCCCAAAACCATGGAGTTGGGGAGAAGGTCCCTATAGAGGGGATGAGAAGGGAGAATGGACATCTCCCCCAGAATGCTAAAACTCAGGGGTGGGGAAGAGGGGAAGGAGCTTTGATGTTAGAAAGAGTTAAGAAAAATTAAAGGGAGATTTTCTCCATGTGGTAGAAAACAAAGTTAGGAAATTGATTCTTCCAACAAAGAGCTTAGATCAGTGTTTCTCAAAGTTTAGCCAGAGGGTCGGGGTCATGAGAGGACTTGTTACACGCATGAAGAAGTAGGGCCACCCAGACTCTGGGGAATCTTCTGCGCATGAGCTTGAGAACCACTGGTTCAGACAAACGCACAGAAGGCAGACCTGAGGGTTCTTAGTGGATGCAGGTAGGAGTGATCTGCCTCCACCAACAAGTTTGTGTCCTCATGCGTTAGCATACACAACCACCCACAGGGGCCCTTCTCTCCTGCACTGTCTCCCCAGTGCCTTCCCCTCCAAGCCCCTCCGCCCTGGGGAGGGACTCCCTGCCCTCCCCACCCTAGCCAAGCACACTCACGAGGGGTTGTTGCAGCTCCGGCTGCGGGATCGCACCCCGCCCCCACATGACCGCGAACATGACCCAAACTTGGTCCAGGAGCTCCAGCCTCCATCCTGGCCATATGTCTGCTCCGGCGACTTCCAGATGCAGTGACCTTTGAAGCACCACTGGGGCAGAGCAGAGGGCATGAGGTCACCCTGGGCTGCTGCTGCTGAGCCCACCCGGGGAGCCAGAAAAAGGGATAGCAAGAGCATGAGCCTGGGTTTAGGCAGAATCCCACCCCTAGCATGAGCTGAGCAGCCTTAAACAAAAGGCTTGCCTTTCTGGGCCTGTTCCTCAACTGGACAATGTGGGTAACTGCACCTGCTCATAGCTTCTGATGAGATCATACCCAGTATACAAGGCCCTCCAGAAATGGCAGATCTTATGATGAACAGTGATAATAAATGTGCAATTATCGGCACACCCGGGAGTAATAAAAGGCTGATAGGGGAGAGAAGACACAATCTTCCCACACTAGCTAGAGTTGATCTTGGCTCTGTATCTCAAAATCACCTTCCAGGGATCATGAGATGTGCTTCTGGGAGGCAGACCAGCCATGCAGGGAGGTCTGTGCATGCAGTGGAAGGAGTGTATGCATGAAGGATTCCTGGGTTTGAATCCCAGCTCAGCAATACTAGCTACGTGTGGCTACTTTAGCTTGCTGAGCCTCAGTTTACCCACCTGTTAGGTGGGACTGCTCTCATATCTATACAGGCCTTAGCACAGGGCCAGGCAATAAGGGAGGGCTCAACTAGAGGCAACTCCCTTCCCTTTTCCTACAGGGTAGCATGAAAAAAATGCACAAAGCTCTCTGGGCAAAGTTCATCTCCCAAGAGATGAACTCAGTGGCTCTCAACCTTGGAATCACCTGGGGAGATTTTACAACTTCAGATGCCTGATCTTCACCCCAGACCAACTGAGTCAGAATCACTAGGGGTAGGAACTTTTGGAGGCACTATAATGAGGTGTAATTTACGTACTATAGAATTCACTCATTTCAAGTATGCAATGCGATGACTTTTCATAAATTCGCAAAGTTGTCCAATCGTCACCACAATCCAATTTGAGAATATTTTTATCACCTCAAAAATATTCTCCGTGCTCATCTGCAGTCACTTCTTGTTCTATAGGAGGGGTTTTAAAACTACCAGGATGATTCCAATATGCAGCCCAGATAGAGAACCACTGATGAACTGTCTCGTGAAACTGTGGCTGGGGAGGGTCTGGAACTTTGAAAACACCTGGGAAAACTTAAGAAGTGGAAAGACCTGGAACAGCTATAACCCATCAAGGACCTGCCAGGCCAGGGGAAGCTCCATCCACCTGTGACAGGACAAGCCCCAGAGCTGCTCAGCAGGACAGGTGTGAATAGGAGGAGCCTGGCTAGGGCAGGAGGCAGGGGGCAGGCTGGTGGGGTGGCCCTGGGGCTGGGCTCCTGCTGATGCTGAGGAACCACCTCTCCTAGCACCTGGCTTCTTCCCTGCTCCCTCACGTGCCTTGACATGAGTCAGTTACCTCAGAACAACCCTGAGGTTGGTCAGGTGTTGGCGAGTCAGAAAAGTTCAATGAACGGCCCAAGGTCACCACAGTGATCAAGGGCAGGGCCGGCAGCAGAGCAGAGCTGGGTTTCAGACCCAGCCACGGGGTCCCCCGGGCAAATGAAGCCCTGGCACCCACACATGCATGAGGGAGCAAACACAGGACATTCATGAAGGAGGTTGGTGTGGGGAGAACACGTGTGTCTCATGCTCAGAGACAGCATAGGGGTGGGGGAGTAGGCAGGACACACAGAGATTTCTCTGCATCCCTTCTCTGCTAATCACTCCCTGAGGGACCCCATAAAGTTCCTTAATCAACCTGCCTGGGCCCCATTCTTCTCATTGGTAAAATGGAAGTAAGCCTTCCTGTCAGATGGGCTAGGAGATCATGCTACCCTCAGCCAATTACAGAGACAAAGGGCTGTGGGCTGGGAGAGAAGACAGGGTGAGTTTATGGGAAGACTCCACGTGTATTTACCCACACACTGGACTCACCACTGTCTTTTAGCACCACCCTCAACTCATATAAGCACTTGGAGGGAGGGGTCAGGGTTCACTCTGGGATCCACCCCCATGCCAGTGATGGATGCCCTGCACCCCAGGAAGGCCACTCCTGCTGCACACCCCACAGGTACCTTGCCGGGTGCACACTCAGTCCCATCCAGCGGGGGCCCCTTCTTGGTCTTGCAGAAGTACGGGTTGTCAGGATGGCTGCACCACAGCTGCTTGCAGGGCTCAAAGGTCCTGAACTGCATGGCAAGGGAATGGGGTCACCAGACTGGACTGGCTCTTTGTCCAAGAACAAAGGGTAGTGATGGAGAGAAAAGAGGGTGTGATGAGTGCAGGCACCCAGGGCACTGCAGGGAAGGCAGCCAGAGCCCCTCACCTGCTTCAAGTTTACTCAACTCCAAGTACCGGCAGCCTCCAGGGACCCCTCCTTTCTCCATGGCACTGAGAAAGAGCCTAGCCATGGCCCATGCTCTTGTCGTTCTCTCTCCAAGGCCTCCCTCCCCCGCTTTACAGAGGCCATTTGTCACTGAGCTGGGACTAGGGCGTGAGGCTCTGGGGAGGTCTGGGTTCACAGTGCCCCTGCCCTGAGCCCTGTGCACATGGGGAGAATTAAGGGGACTGCTGCTTTCCAGCCCAGACCCCCCCCACCCCAGCACTCCAACGAGGCTGGGACTCCACCTCCCTGTAACTTGGACACCCAGCCATGCCAGAGGTTGATGACCTTACGTTTCAGATTGTCCAGAGAAGCCATAGCTTCCTTAATATTCCCTCTTATCCCCTGCCAGCCAGACAAGCATCCTACAAGTACAGCATTTGGACCCTGAAATCCCATGTCCTTGTCCTCTGCCCACAACTCAGGCACTTTGTCAGACCACATGTCCCAGACAGTGGGGAAGGTGTCCACACATGGTTGGGGGCGCTCCCCATTCCACGGAGGTGAAGAGAGCTGCATTCCCTGATGGGTAGTATGAAGCACTCAGGTCCCCAAGGCCTGCCCCCTTCAGAAAGCCCCCTACCCCTGAGATGGCCCATTCTCTGACAGCTCAGCCTGGGCCCTGGGTGGCAGCTGCTGAGTTCTCTCCTAGGGGACTCTAGCTGATCTCAGGCTCAGCAGTCTTCCCCTGTGCCATCCTGCAGGGTAGGGACAAGGTTATGCTCCCTTGTATCTATGTCCTCAGGCACAGGCAGCAGGGACATGGAACTGACGCTCTGGAGAGAGGTGATGTGCAGGTGCAGAAGGTGGGGAGTTAGACTGAAAGACTTGGCACATCCCCGGAGGGTGTGGGACCTGCTGCTCCACCAGGCCAGAGCCCAACAACTTATCTGGAACCTGGGCTCCCTTGCAGTATCCAGACAGTATCCCATCAGGTGCCCACCCTCTCTGCTCTGCTGTTCCCATCTTTCCCAGGGCTAATGCATTCCCAAGCCACTGTGTCCACCTGCCCCCACAGGTGTTCACTCTGCATCCCTGCATGGTGGCTGGCACTGTGTCTGTGGGCCCATCACCAGGCCCACTGGCCAGCTGGGCAGAAGGCACCTCATGAATGGTCAGCATGGGCCACAGAAGGACACTGCCCTGGCCCCCAACCACCTGGCAGAGGCCAGATGGCTACTTACTGCCAAGCAGGTCTGGTAGCCACTGCCAAAGTCAAAGCGGCACTGCTCATCCATTGAGTAGTTGATCCCAGGCAGCTCTGGGGGCTGGGGCCAGGCAGGATCAAAGGGGTCATCGAGGAGGCAGTCGTAGGAGCTGCCAGTAGAGACAAGGAAGGTGAGCCAGGCTGACAGCAGGAAGTCCCAGGCTTTCCCTTCCCAGGGGCTGGGGTTTTCATGAGCAAGGCCTGCAAGAATTTGCACCCGCTATTCTGTTCCCAGCGCTGTCTCTTCCAGGGAGGACGGGCTGCCTTGAGCAGCCCCTCACTCAGGACCTCACTCCCACCAGTGACTATATCTGGAAGGGCTCCATTTGCAGCCAAAGGCAAGGGTACCCAGACTGGGATTAGATACTCAGCTTGCAGCTGGATTAGGAGGTCATTTTGCCCACCTTAGAGGGACACGATATGGCCAAGACTAATGGTTGATTCATAGACAGTTTGAGGACTCACTCTGTACTGAAAGAAGGAGAAAAGCCTACCATGCAAGATGGACCCTGGGCGAGCCGCCCTGGCCAGCTCCTGTACGGGGCTAGTGACTATATCTCTGCCTCCACCTGCCCCCATCCAAATCCACTTGGCCTCCCATTCTCAGGCCTCAAGGTCCTGAGTCTAACACTTGCTCTGTACCTGAACATCCTTGAAGACCCAGGAGCTGACCAGCCAGGCCGGAATTGGGAGTGTGCTGCTGGGGCCAAGGATGGGAGTGGGGAGAGGAGGAGCTCCCTCCTCAGCATGCCCATTTCCTTGGGGCCTGGGGGAAAGCCACAGTGGCACTGTTCATCCATTGAGAAGTCGATCCCGGGCAGCTCTGGGGGCTGGGGCCAGGTGGGCTCAAAGGGGTCGTTAGGAGCCACTGGGTTTAGAGCCCCAAGCCTCAGCCCAGTGGCTCATAACCTTCAGCAGGCATAAGTATCACCTGCAATGCTTGATAAATCCAGCTTCCTAGACCCAACCCCAGCAGAATCTAACTTACCATCTTCCATGAGCCAGGGGGTCTGCATTTTTAATAAGAATTCTATGTAAATGGTCACCTGAACACGTTCTGAAACACTAGACTAACCCACCTGCTATGCTAATGGGGTATGTTTTAGGCCAGGTTTGGCGGGGAGGCGAGATGAGTCACGGAAGAGTCAAGCCAGGGGCAACGTGGGGAAGCCAGCCAGCTGTGTGATGTCTGCTCAGAGTGGCAGGTCGCATGCTCCCCTATCCCAGCTCTGAGGGCAGGAATGACCTACGGGAGGTAGCGGCTGAGCTCCAGCTTGCTGCAGCGGGACCAATGGAAGCGGTGGAAGGCAGCCTGCACCAGGGGCGCCATGACGCTGCCCAGGCTGGTCTCATCTGCACAGCCATTCCCCTGACCGTCATGCTCCATGCCGAGCCTGGAATGGGGAAGACAGAGGAGTCCTGATACATCCCAGGAGCCTGCCCCGGGAAGGCAGGCAGGCAGGCAGGCCAGCAGCAGGAGACCCTGACCTGACCCGGAGCTCAGATCGCTCTTCCTGGCCTCAGTTTTCCAACCACGTAGTGGGGAGGACCAATCTTCTCTCCAAGGCTGCTCCCACTGGGACGGGGCTCATCCTGCCCTCCAAGCCTTCGCTCCTGCTGTTCACCACTCCCAGACACCCACCCCTTCTGTGAGCTCCACCCATGTTCTTACAGCTTCCAAGGCCAGATCAAGCCCCACTCGGCCACTGGTCCTAGCTGTCTCACCTGTGGGCTCACCTCCACAGCAGGAGCCATCTATCCCACCATTAAAAACTCATAGCCATTCGCTGGCTTCCCACAGAGGGCCTTTGAGTGCAAAGACCAGGTTTCATTCAACTCAACTCAACCTCATTTCTTGAGCCCCTGTCAGCGCCTGCCTCTTGAGCCTCTCCAAGACTCTGCAAGGCTGGGCACAGAGCTTTGCACATGGTAGGCACCTACCATAATAAGAGTTTACATTTAAAAGTTTGCTCTTCACAATTAGTCATTAATGCCAAATCCCAAGAATTCTAAGTTCTTAAACATTCCCAGATGGCTGCATCTGGCTTTGATTGCTAGGCAGATACACAGGCCTATAAGCTTGACCTTGTGTCTCCACAGGGAGGGGCCTCAGAGGTTCCCCTGGTGTCAGCCCCATGTTGCAGGTGTGGAGAGGAGGTCCCACCTGCCTGGAGGAGCAGAGCTGGGATAAAATCTAACAGGGCTGATGGTGTCTCTTGGTTCTGCCCCTGTGACATGGCATGACCTACTGAACAGTAGCTCATTTGTGTCCACCCAGCATGTAGCCTCTTGAGGGCTTCTCTGTCCTGATCTCCACTGTAGCCTCATTCCTAGAATGGGGCCCGGTGCATGGTAGGTGCTCAAGAAATATTGAATGAATGAACACACTCTAAACAAAACCCAAAGCCCTAAGATCAGGCAAGCCAGCCTCTGCCTGGCCTACCGCCTAAGCTCTAAGTGCACCTGTTTACAGTGGGCTCAGGCCAGCACTCCAATGAGTGCTGAGTATCAGGGTGGGCTGGATCAAGTCTTAGAAAGGCCTCAAATGTGGACGTGATGGAGGGAAGCCAGAGATCAAGACCACCCAGAGAGAGCAGGCCTCTGCGTGTGATGGGGACACTGCCACTGACCCACCCAAAGGCAGGGCCACATCTGGTCCCCTATGGCCCTGGGATTTGGAGGCTGGGCCCAAGGCAGGCCCAAATTACTACTCATGCCCCTTGGCTCCTCCTAACTCAGGTTAGGGCCTCCCTCTACTGGTAACTGCAGGAGGCCATGCCGCAGTGGCAGTCCAGCTCCTCTGACACCTCCCAGGACACTGGAACCAGGCCAAGCTGGGCAAATCCTCCCACAGCCACAGAATTCCCTGGAGCTCACGGCACAGCTGCCAGTCCCACCCACCGTGCTGCTGCCACTTACACGTGGCCGGTCTCATGAGCTATCACGAAGGCTGAGGAGAAGCCATCCTCATGGTTGAGGGCACAGCTCCTCAGGGGGTGACACATGCCAGTGACGGGTGCATACCCTGCCGAAGAGAGAAAGAAAAGGTGGAGAGCGAGGTGGAGGGCAGGTGAGGCAGGACACACTGAGGTCTGTGCCCAGCCCAGCCCTCTGGTCAGTGCTTGGAGTGGGGACGTTCCTGGAGGAAGACAGATGCTCACAAAGTCCCACCTGCAGCCAAACAAACCTGGGCCAAGCCACCCTCACATCCTAGGGCTTGATGGCTTCCCTCTTGGCCTGCAGTTTCCCAGGGTTTATCAGCGCCCCTCTAAACCAGAGAACACCCGGGCCTGCAAACACACTACTTCCACAATGCCTCCCTCCAGTCCCACAGTCAATCAGCAAACAAGCTCCGAACACTTTCTATGCAGGAGTTGGGGGCAGCATTATGTTAGGTACCAGGGGGAAAACAGGAGACTCAGATCCGAGCCTACCCCGACCCTGCAACACCCCGCTACCCACCCACCACCACAGCTAAAGAACTGTGGTTTGGCAGGGAGATCACGTGATGAGGCATGGGCCAGAAAGGCTAGAATTCAAGAAGCAAGCCAGGGTGCAGCGGGGGAGCTGGAGGAAGGGGAAAGGGAATGGTTTGGAAGGAGTTGAGGGGGACCAGGAATGGCTGATGGAGGGCAGTGAAGGACAGCTGAGACAACTCTTCAGAGGTGGGGAGGACACAGGCCAAGGTGCAGGCAGGCCACACAGGAATCATGGCAGTGCAGGGGGGCCGGCACCAGCTAAGCACTACCATGCATGAGGCCTGTGTCCTAGGGGCCTCCAAGGTGGGGGTAATGACAAAGGGCATGTCCCTGCCTAGGCCTGCAGTCCCCCCAGACAGAGCTATTCCTTCATGTTAGAGGAGCTGAAATGTTCTTTTATTTGACATGGTTTGGGGAGTATAGCAAGAGGCTGAGTGGGAAGGAGGTTTCTGGGGCCTCTGTTGTCCTGGAAGGCTGAGATTTGCTCTACATGTGATATACATGTGTGTGCATGTCTGTGTCTATGTGAGTGCCTGTGCATGCATGTACATGTGTCTTTGTGTCTCTACATGTATGCAGTGTCTCTGTGTGTCTGTGTATACGTGTGTGTTTGTATATCTGTACATGTACACACTGGCTTATGTCTATTTGCATGTGTGCATGTGTCTGTGTGCACATGGGCCTGTACATGTGTGTGGATGTCTGTACGTGTGTGTGTGTGTGTGTGTGTGTGTGGTGTGTAAAACCACATTTGGGGCTTCAGTCATTCAGACAAGAAATTTTTGGGTAGGCAGGGCTGACCAACTGATTTCCAGCATTAAAGCAGAAAAAAATAGAAAGCCTTCAACATGGAACCTGGAGATCCAGTTTGAGTCTCACATCTGCCTCCTGTCTGCTAAACCACATGGGCAAGTCTCTTCACCACCCCATGGCTCAGTTTCCCCATATGGGTATCAAAGCTGCATGTTTGCAGAGTATTTACAATTGTCAATACTCTGTCACAAACATGTCATGCACCCCCGGGGCCTTTAGCAGCCCTGGAATGGGGGAAGGCAAGTATTATGATGTTCCCCATTCCACAATTGGGAGGACCCAGGGAGATGAAGAGATCTTGGACCACTGGGTTGGCAAGGTGTGGAGCTGGAGGCAGAGCACAGACTTCCTGTTCTGCAGCCCACACAAGCCCCATCTTAGGTGTCCCACAGTCTGCAATGAGGACAGAAGGACACAGTGTGGAGAGAAGCATCTTGAAGCCCATGGAGGGTCTTCCAGCAGCCAGGCTCTGGGACATTAAGCACAGGACCCAGGGCCTGACCACTCACAGCTGCCTGCAGCCTCCACCAAAATATCGGGGACAAGAGTAGGGACCCCTCTACTTCCCACGGTCCCAATAAACCATTGCAAAGCTCATCCTCGGCTGTCCAGGTCCCATCCCTTCAAACCTCCATGTGGTGGGCCCCAGAAGAGAGCCCATCTGCCTCCAGGCCCAGCCTCTGTCTGCCGTGCATGCTGCACACACCTGGCCATGGCAAATACAGTACCTTGCATACCTGAGGGCCCAAAGTCCTGCCGGGTGAGGAACACAACGTGGTCATGGTGCTCAGCGTGGCTGGGGTCCTGGCGCTGCTGGGAGTGTGCCCAGCGACACACCTGCTCCAGGCTGCGTGAGGGGTTCCCGCGCTCGATCAGGCTCAGGGACTGCAGGGGCCGGGAGAGCACCAACAGCCACGTGGAGGGTCAGAGCCCTAGAAACAGCAGGCCTCTCTCCTCCCACTTACAGATGGGAACGCTAAGGCCCAGAGGACTGCAGGACCCACCCCAAGATCACCAGCTGTCCCCACTCAACTGCTGCTGGCACACAGCCCTGCCTGCTTTCAGGGATGATCACGTGCCAAGCACCATGCTGAGATGCGTTTCTGCCGGGAACTTCACACACACAATTTCCAATCCCTTCAACTAACCTGCAAGGCAGGTGCTGTTCTGAGCATTTCCTCTATACTTTGCATTCATTGCTTTATTTAATCTTCACAATAGCCCTTACAGGAAAGTTTGGTGGCTACCCCCATTTAATAATAGGTGACTGGTAGTCTAAGATTGCAGAGCGCAGGGCACCAGGGCTCAACCATAACATGACTTGTCTCAGTGGCCACCCCACTGTAAGCCCCAGTTTCCCCAAGAAGAGGGATCTCCCAGTGATAAAGGTGTGGAATCGTCAGTTTCTCAGATTGTAGGAAACCATAAATTGCTGCTTACCACCTCCAAAGGCTCCATCACTGAAGCCACAATTCTAATAGCCTCAAGTTCTGATTCTGGAAACAGATTCCTGGATGCTTACCCCTGCAGCCCACACCATTGCTGGTCCAACACTCTGGCCCCACAACCCTTCTCCCCGCAAACCCTGCCTGCTGACAAGGTGGTTTACCTGTCGGTAGCCAACCATGATCAAGCGGACGAGGGCAATATTTATATGAACCCCCAGGGACTCATCGTGGTAAATCTCATCTACCTGCAAGAAGAAAATACAGTTTAAGGGAAGGAAACATTCATTACAAGCCTACTGCATGCCAGGTACTGGGGTAGGTACCTAACATATGGTATCCCCACCGTGACCTTATCAGGCAAGATACTTATCCTACTTTACAGATAAAGAAACTGAGACTGAGGGGGCAAAATGACCTGCCCGAGGACACACTGCTAGCAAGCTGCAGAACTGGGATTCACATCTTAGACCATGTAATCCCAACCATGAGCTCTTTCCACAAAGCCACATTGTAGAGGGCCTGGTCTCAAACTCAGCAACTCTGACCAAGACTCATCTTTCCACGTCTGGAGAGCCTCTTCCAGACAGGTCACCTGGCTCAGGGAACCACAGGCCACTCGCCCTAACATCCCTGTGTACCGTTCCAGTTGCCACTGGCATAATGTCTGCCCTACAGTACCCCGGCCCTGGGGAGGCAGCAGTGGGCACTCCTCCAGGAGACATACTCCAGGACCTTGGAGCAGCAGCAGCACCTGGGAGCTTGTGAGAAATGCAGAGTCTTGGGCCCCACCCCAGGCCTCCTGAATAAGGATCTGCAATTGAACAAGATCCCCAGCTGACTGGCAGGCATAGGCAAGTTTGAAGAGCACTGCTCTAGATAATCCCTTTTTCTCACAGGCCCAGGACTGTGGGCCAGTGCCCTGCACAGCTCATCAAAGAATGCAGCCCTTTGCACTCCTCTGCCAGGAAGCTCCTGAACAGTGTTCATGAGGCGGACACTCAGCCTCTGCTTGTCCACCCTAAAGGAAAGGGAGTTCACCCTCTCCTGGGGACACCCATTTCCTGAGTGGTCCCATTGGATACTCCAGCTTTTTTGTTTTAAATAACCTTGTTTATGAATACAAAACACCTCACTAGAAATAAAAACTGAAAACTACAAAAAAAGAAAATGAAATCACCGACACTACTATTAGTCAGACTTAATAATAACTACAGTTAACCTGCATCATGCCACGTGTGTACATGCATGCATCTTATTTTACAAAATTGGAATCATACTGAATATACTGTTTCTATGTTGCTTGTTTCATGGAACATCATTCAATACATTTAAAAGCCTAATCTTGACCGGGCATAGGCACGGTGGCTTATGCCTGTAATCCTAGTGCTTTGGGAGGCCAAGGTAGGAGGCTCACTTGAGGCCAAGATTTTTTTTTTTTTTTTTGAGGTGGAGTCTCGCTCTATTGCCCAGGCTGGAGCGCAGTGGTGCGATCTCGGCTCACTGCAAACTCCACCTCCTGGGTTCATGCCATTCTTCTGCCTCAGCCTCCTGAGTAGCTGGGACTACAGGCACCCGCCACCACACCCTTCTAATTATTTTGTATTTTTAGTAGAGACGGGGTTTCACCGTGTTAGCCAGGATGGTCTCGATCTCCTGACCTCATGATCCACCCGCCTCAGCCTCCCAAAGTGCTGGGATTACAGGCGTGAGCCACCGCGCCCGGCCGAGGCCAAGATTTTGAAACCAGCCTGGGCAACATAGTGAGACCCTGTCTCTACAAAAAAATGCCACTGCCGCCATCAGGGATGTGATGCCAGCAGTGTGGTCAGGGATGTGATGCCACCAGCATGGTCAGGGATGTGATGCCAGCAGTGTGGTCAGGGATGTGATGCCACCAGCATGGTCAGGGATGTGATGCCAGCAGTGTGGTCAGGGATGTGATGCCACCAGCGCAGTCAGGGATGTGATGCCACCAGCGCGGTCAGGGATGTGATGCCAGCAGTGCGGTTAGGGAGGTGATGCCATCAGAAGTGGAACCCAGCCTCTGCCTCCTGCCCACATGGCTTCCTAGGAGCTGGGCCGGAGCTCCATGCATAGTCTTGCTCTCACTACTTCCATCTCCCCATGCCCTTCAGCCATCAATTCTTTTCCACTCAAAAGCAAAGTGATCAACCTACAACCCACAAAGCAACCATTGTCCACCACACGGAGAAGAGTAATAGCACTTCCAACCACACAGGCGTGACAGTCCCATGGCAAGGGGTGAGCCAGGAGGGGAACAGGAGATGTACGCTTTGCTGGCATACCCCTTCTGGGCCAGCCAAGGAGGCAGCCAGGCTGTAAGCACGAAACTGTGGGCAGCAGAAGCCGCGTGCATCACCAAGCCCCAGTCCCAAGCCACTTTCCGCAGTGCCCAGAACTGGCAGCTGCCCCAGTTCATGAATGGGCAGACTTCAGAGCAGCCGGTGTCAGGCTTCAGCCATGGGCCTTCCTGGCACCCATATCTGGATCCAATTGAGTAGCAAGACCAAAGACCAGCACCCACTGAGGGGAAGCAGCTCCCTGCCAACACCCCACCACAAGGAACAATGCCAATGCCCACCACAAGAAATGACCATAGTCCAACGAGCAGCAGGGCTTCCTTCCCAAACTCCTCCCCTCCCCAGTGGGAGTAAAGTGCTCCAATGCGTAGAGACAATGTCCTCCTCAATCCACACACCCTAGACTTATCCTAGGAGGGACTTCAGGGTGGAGTAGGGGGCACCCAATCAGTCACACACACACATAGGCTCCCTGGTGGAATTCTAAACTAAGGAGTCTTTGCTGATCACTGAGATGATCATGGATCTGCAGTAGGGTGACCCTTAAGTAACCCTTACTTCCCAGCCCCTCCAACACTGGATCACGGCCTTCCTTCTGTACTGGGGTGGGTAAGTGTTGCAGACCTCCCTGAGTGCACTATAAGCAGACTAAGGACAGGATCACAGGCAATGCACGCTCTGCACAGCCACATCTGTGTCCCACGCATACTCATGTAAACCCATCAGTTATCCCGGGGGCAGGAGAAGAAAGGAGTCACTGGGACATTCAGCGGGGGCATCTGCTGGGCCTCTGGGCATCTGGAAATGCCCAGGGCTGCTGCCTTCCTCCACGTGTCTTTCTTGTAAGGCAGACCATGTGAATTGCTGCCAGACTCCTGCCATATTTCTCATTTCTGTACCTCACTCAACAGGCCAAACCCACTCATCAAAGCCTCCAATGACCCTTGCTCCAACAGCTGCCATCTCCAGCTCAGGACATTGAGAGGTCCTTACAGTGGGACTGGGCAGGGGGCTGCTGCCTGTCTGAGCAGGAGATAGAATCACAGCTCATCTGTCCAACATTGGCAGGAGGTGGGGTGAGGCCCCCTGATGCCACTTCCCACTCCCTGGTAACTGGCCTAGATGCAAATGCTATGTAAACAGAAAGGGACAGCCCATCTGGAGATACCACTGAGAAGCAACCCGAGACCAAGGGCTTCAGGTGCCTGGTGTTCTGAGTTCTGCAGCTCAGGCCCCCACCCCCACCACCCAGCTCCAGGATCTGGAGAAAAGGGAAACAGCGTCTGGGCAGGAGGGCTCAGGGAAGTCTCAGTGGAGGAGCTGGAACGATCCCTGGACCAAGAAGGTTGTGGGCCCTTAAAAGGAGAGGGGCAGAGGCTTGCAGCAGGGGAGAGGAAGGCATGAGCCACGTGGGGCCACCAAGAGAACCCCAAGGTCACTGGCAACCAAGGTAGCTAAAGTCAACTGCTTTGGTCTGAATGTTGGTGTTGCCCCAAAATTCATATGTTGAAATCCAACTCCCAAGGGAATGGTATTAGGAGATAGGGCATTAGGGGGTAATTAAGTCATAAAGGCAGAGCCCTCCTGAATGGGATTAGTGTCCTTATAAAAGGAGCCCCTGAAAGACCCCCTCACTCCTTCTACCATGTGAGGACACAGTGAGAAGTCACCATCTATGAACCAGAAAGTGGGCGGGCTCTCACCAGTCACCAAATCTGCTGGTGCCCTGATCTTGGACTTCCCAGCCTCCAGAACTGTGAGAAATAAATTTCTGTTGTTTCTATGCTACTCACAGGATATTTTGTTACAGCAGCCCAAACAGGCTAAGCCATCCCCCTCCATCTGACAGGGAATTTCTTCCCAGCCAGTACTCACATGCACTGAATAGTGGGGAGTTTTTCATCATTGGAAAGTTCCCTGGGGCATGAGACCTGTTCAGCCTTCCCTTCCACGTCCTCTGCTGGCCTTAAGTCTCCTGCTGGCAGTTTCACTGAGCATGTCTGCTCCCTTTCTGGGGACGGACAGTGACCGCAGTCTCTTATGGACTTCCCTGTAAGCACACCTCCGTCAAAGAGAATACAGATCACTCACCAAACGGAAAACACTGTATTAGCACCATCTAAGCACCGAGATAAAGAAACCATCAACCTAGAATCCTGAACTCACAAAACCATCTTTTAAGGACCATGATGAAATGAAGACATTATCAGATAAACAAAAACTGTTACACAGACCCCACTAAAGGAATGGCAGGGAAGATGGAAAATGATCCCAAAAAGGAAGCCTAAAGCACAAGGAGAAGTGAAGAGTTTTGAGGCTGTGATAGAAAAGGAGCTTGGCAATGAGAAACAGTTGGGTCTTTTCTTATACTAAATAAGGATGATAAAAATAAACTGCTTTTATTTTATTCCCTTTCTACCCCATTAAAAAAAAAGGTGGAGTTAGCCCTTCCATTCCAAGTCCCCTGTTGCAGTCCTCTGGCGCCCTGGTACGCTCATCTGCACACACCCCTGCCATCCCCAGCCCTTGAGTAGGGACCTCAGCGTCTTTGATTTGGCTCAAGCTGCCTGAGACTTTGCACAGGCCAAGAAGGTGGCTGGACAGGGCTGCCATGTCTGGTAGAACTGCAGAGGCCGTGTGACACATGGCACCATGGCCAGGACCTCAGCTGCTCTGGAACATGCACAGGTAGCTCGCTGACAGACTCCAGCCTGGCTGTGCACCCAGGACCTGGCCCTGTCTGCCTTGGCCCTCCATGGCTGCCTCCCAAACACCAGAGGTGAGGCCAGGGAGCTAGCTCAGGGGAGATCACGGATCGCTTCCCATGGTTGGGCACGAGACAGGATGGCTACGAGGCACACCCACAGGGCAGAACAGAGCAGTGTGTCCAGCTTCCCTGCTCCTCACCTCTGAGCCAAGTTCAAAGTCACCTCTGCGCCATGTTCAAAGTACCTCTGCCAGGACCCCTACATTAGGATTCAGCACCACATATTGACCTGAGATAACCACTGGGTATGTACCAGAAAAACAAGCAAAAGTCAGGACACTCTCTGACCAAGGGAAGAAAAGGCAGCACAAGAGAAGATGGTAGAGGGTACTGGGATTAGAGGGAGGCACTGCTACTCCCCAAGCACCTACTGTGTGCCAGGCACTGTGCCAAGGGCTTGGCATACAGCCTCACAACAACCCTATGGGGAGAGGAATTATTTCCGTCTCATAGGCAAGACATCCAAGGTTCAGAGAGGGTAAGTAACTTGCCCAAGGCCACGCAGCTAGAAGTGAGAAGGCCAAGAGTTGAACTCAGATTTCTGTGACTCTCAGGCCCACTTCCTTAGCCACTACACTCAGCTGCTGTCCAGAACCAGTTTCTGTGGCAGGGTGGCTGGGGTGGGCTTTCTCTGGCCCAGGAGAGAGAATGAGGAGCGTTTACAACTCAAGAAGGTTGTAAAAGGTCCACTCACTGCTTGGTAGCCAGGCTCGGGCAGGTCTTAAACAGGGAGAGGTGGAGGCCAGTGCTGAAAAAGCAAGACCCTGGGGGTATTAAGCCCACCCGCGCTCAAACAGAAGCAGAACACTCATTGCCACTAATGGCTGGCACAGCCCACAAGCGCCTCCTTGCATTGCTTCACTGAATCCTCGCGGCGAATGGCCTGGAATTCCTATTATTCTAAAAATAAACTTTATTTTAAAATAACTTTAGGTTCAGCTAAAAGTTGCAAGGATATTACAGAAACTCCCCATACCCAGTTTATTCCAAATGTTAACATCTTCCATTACTATGGTATGGTTGTCACAGTTAACGAACCAATACTGACATGCTGTTATTAACTAAAGTCTACATTTTATTCAGATTTCTCTAATTTCCCCCAAATGTCCTGGTCCCATCCAGGGTGCCACATTCCATTTAAACTTCCTGTCTCCTTAGCCCCTCTGCTCTGTTTCTTCTCTGTGACAGGTTCTCCCACCTTCTGGTTTTTGATGACCAGCACTGAGTCATCAAAAGTCTTGAGCAGCACTGAGCAGGTATTTTGTGTCCTTCAATTAGGGTACGTCTGATGGTTTTCTCATGGTTAGATGGGGGCTATTGGGGAGGAAGCCCACAGGGGTAAGGTGCTTCCTCATCAGGCCATGTCAAGGGTGCATGATACCAGCCTGACTCATCACTGTTGCTGTTGGCCTTCATCACCCAGCTGAGGGAGTGTTTGTCAGGTTTCTTCACTGAAAGTTACCCTCTGCTCCCTGATTTCCATACTGAATTCTTGAGAAGAAAGTCACTATGTGTGGCCACATCTAGGGAGTGGGGAGTTAAAATCCACCTCCTTGAAGACGGAGTCTCTACATGAATAAACTGGAATTACTCTGCATGGGAGATTTGTCCCTTCTTCGTTTATTTATTCTATCATTTATGTTATCAGTATGGACTTTTATCTATTTTATACCTTGGGCTATAATTCTCTGTGATTTGTTTTGTTGCTCAAATTGTCACAGCTTTGGTGGTTGAGAGCTCTTTGAGTTGGGTCCTGTGTCCTGTAAACACACCCCCATGGTTTGGGGATTTGGGGTATGTTTTTTAACACTTCATTACTTTCTGGCTCTAGGAGATGCTCCGGGGTCATCTTGCATATTCCCTGCCCTAGTCCCAGAGTCAGCCATTTCTCCAAGGACCTCCAAGGAGGATGGTATGCTATCCCTGTTTTCAGGGATACAGGCAGGCCCAAAGGTATACGGAAGCTTGCCTGAGGACAGCAGTCATTGTCAGAGGACAAGCCCAGGCCTTGGAAAACCTGACCTGCTCATACACCTTCCCTGATCACTTACTGCCTCTGAACCTGGACAGATGTGGGCAACATTGCTTGAAGACAGAGGAATGGCCACAGTGACCCCTCCTGTCCTTTCTCAGTCCTAGGGAGACGACAGCAACATGGAGTCTCAGGCCCTGGACCAGCCCCTTGGTGTGCAACCCTGGCCCTTCTCACAAGGCACAAGGTGACTCTGCAGACCATGTGCTCTAGCCCCCAGCACCCCCAAGACACATGCTGCATCCTATTGAGTCCAGTAGGCTCCTCTTTTTCATGTTTACAATCACTGTTAGCCAGGGGGCAGCCCAGGGGTGAGTGTCACTGCCAGTGCAAGCAAGAGCCTCTGTCATTCCTGGTGGCTTCACAACCACAGCCTTCGTCATTTCAGGTAACAAACTATCAGAGGCAGGAATGTGAATCCTGGGTGTTGTCTGAAAACCTCCCATTGACACCTCCCAGTAAAATCAATCTGGCTCCAGCATCAAATCCACAGGATGCTGTCCGTAGCTTGTATGAAAATCCAAGGATGCCAGTGGAGCCCTCAGGTGGCACCATCCCTGCTCTCGATGGCAGGCAGGGCAATGCTGCATGGAAAGGTCACACACTGAGGACTATGCTGACTGTGCTGAAATGTGACATGCAAGGGCACTGCTCTGAATGTGAAGAAGTTAGGGGAACTCTTCACCTGTTCATGTTGCCTTATCTGTGTGTGTACAAGAGTAACATATGATAGGCCAGGCGCAGTGGCTCACGCCTGTAATCCCAGCACTTTGGAAGGCCAAGGCGGGTGGATCACGAGGTCAGGAGACTGAGACCATCCTGGCTAACACGGTGAAACCCCGTCTCTACTAACAATACAGAAAAAATTAGCCAGGCGTGGTGGCGGGTACCTGTAGTCCTAGCTACTCGGGAGGCTGAGGCAGGAGAATGGCGTGAACCTGGGAGGCAGAGCTTGCAGTGAGCTGAGATCGCACCACTGCACTCCATCCTGGGCAATAGAGCAAGACTCCATCTCAAAACAAAAAGAAAAGAGAAAAAAAAAAAGAGTAACATATGATAAAGACCTAAGTCTAACTGAGGTTAAAAGCTGTCTTCTAGCTGGGTGTGGTGGCTCACGCCTGTAATCCCAGCACTTTGGGAGGCTGAGGCAGGAGGATCACAAGGTCAGGAGTTGGAGACCAGCCTTACCAACATGGTGAAACCCCGTCTCTACTAAAAATAGAAAAATTAGCCAGGCATGGTGACATGCACCTGTAATACCAGCTCCTCAGGAGGCTGAGGCAGGAGAATCACTTGAACCCGGGAGGTGGAGGTTGTGGTGAGCTGAGATCACACCACTGCACTCCAGCCTGGGTGACAGAGCAAGAGTCCATCTCAAAAAAAAAAAAAAAAAAAAAAAGAAAAAAGAGAAAAAGCTCTCTTCTAATAAGTCTACAGTAAAAATGCTAAGTGATGAACAGAGTTTCATTGGTAACACTTTTTCGTTCTTAAGGACATAAAATAATGGGGTATCTGACCATCAGTGTGGTCTTAGATTTGATGAAATATGGTACATATGTGAACTGGTCTGTGTGCACACATCTAATTTGGTATGGTACACATGGGTGCGTGTATCTACACAAACACACCTGTGTTACACATGCCGATGACTAAACATGCACAGGTATATGCTTGTGTGTGGGTACCCGTATTATATGTGTGCACGCATGTGCATGTGTGTGGGTACCTGTGTTGTATGTGTGTACACATGTGCATGTATGTGGATGTTTAACAGCAATATACTACTACCTGTGGTCTGAGCTCTCTGCCTTCCCCAGCCCTCTGGGGCTGACCCTCGCAGTAGCCAGAGCTGGGTCTGGTTTACCCTGGGTTGGGACACTAAGACCTCACCAAGATGCCATGCTCAGGTGTGCACACACAGACAAGTTCACATGTGTGCCATATTTCATCAAATCTAAGGCTCCATGATGGTCAGATACCCCATGATTTTATGCCACATACCACATTGGTAGGCCCTGCCTCCGAGGTCACTAGTGAGGTGTTTAAGGTCTTGGAGGATGAGGCTGCTCTCAGGGGAGTGGAAGGAAAGTGCTGAGTCTCCCGACTTCTTTCTCAGCTGCTGCAGGCTCAGCTGCTCCATCTTCCCTCTCTGCCAAGCTCATGATCATGCCCTATATTTTAAAGGGCTGGTGTGGGTTCCAAGTGAGCACTTTTAGCTGCCTTTTAATCAGCACACCTCTTAAAGGGTGACTGTCTCTGGAGCTCCTGGAGCCTACAGGCTGGTCTGGGTGGTGCTCCAGGGATCCAGCTGCTCAGCCCACCTCATGCCCAGGCTGCATGTGCAGAGTGGCACCAGGGTGCACAGGGATGGACCCACCCAGCCCAAAAGAGTCCCTCTCACAAGCCCACAATGCTCAGCATTTATCCCCCACAACCTATTTGTGAAACGCAGCAGCCTCGATGTCCCAGGCTGGCAGCTTGTGTGTAAACAGAGGCAGTGTGGAGGCCTGTGAAGGTCGAGCTCTGCCACGTCTCACCACTGCATGGTCTTACCTCTTGGAGCTCGACCCTGCTCATCTGTGGGTGTGGAGGAAACATAGCTTGCAGAGGCAGGAGAGTGGAGGGGAAAAACAGATGTCAAGGCTTTGAAACCAGGCCTGGCCCATAGCATGTGCTTGATCAATGGCATCTGTTAGTTTAAAACTTATTTCAGCCAGGCACAATGGCTCATGCCTATAATACCAGCACTTTGGGAGGCTGAGGCAGGAGGATTGTTTGAGCTCAGGAATTCAAGACCAGTCTGAGCAACGTAGTGAGACCTTGTCTATTTTTTAAAAAAAAAAATAAAAATTAGCTGGGCACAGTCAGCCATGCCTATAGTCCCAGCTACTTGGGAGGCTGAGGCAGGAGGATCACTTGAGCCCAGGAGGTCGAGGCTACAGTGAGCCATGATCGCACCACTGCACTCCAGCCTGGGTGACAAAGCAAGACCCTACCTCTAAAAAGTGTGTGTGTGTGTGTGTGTGTGTGTGTGTGTGTGTGTGTGTGTGTATTTGTGGAGTGAGATGCTGTCCACGAAAGCAAAAGTGTTGTGTGAACCATAAAACTCTCTTTGCAGGAGGGTGCTCACTACCACATATCTCTCACACCAAGATTCCCAGCACATCATTCTCTGCCCAGTGGGTTTGCTTTGAAAATTCCTGTGTGTGGCAATTGGAACTAATACCATAGGTCAGGGGGTCTCAGTGGACAATTTGATGTGGATGATCTCAGTTGGGGGAGCTGTTCTGTGCATTCTAAGATGTTTAGTGGAATCCCTGGCCTCTACCAACTAGATGCCGGTAGCACCCCATCCCCTCTAGCTGTGATAACCAAAAATATCTCCAGACATTACCAAATGTCCCTGGTTAAGAACTACTGCTTGGGTGGGTGCCATGGCTCATACCTGTAATCCCAGCACTCTGGGGGGCCAAGGCAGGAGGATTGCTTGAGGCCAGGAGTTCAAGACCAGCTTGGGTAATATAGTAAGACCCTGTCTCTACTAAAAATTAAAAAAAAAAGAAGAAGAAGAAGAAAATTAGGCAAGCATGGTGGTACTCACCTGTGGTGCTTAGGAGACTGAGTCAGGAGGATCCCTTGAGCCCAGAAGGTTGAGGCTGCAGTGAGCCATGATTGCACCACTGCGCTCCTGCCTGGGTGACAAAGCAAGACACTGTCTTTAAAAAAAAAAAAAGGCTGGGCACCCTGGCTCACACCTGTAATCCCAGCACTTTGGGAGGCTGAGGCGGGCAGGTCACTTGAGGTCAGGTGTTCGAGACAAGCCTGGCCAACACAGCGAATCCCCATCACTACTAAAAATACAAAAATTACCTGGGTGTGGTGGCACGCCTGTAACCCCAGCTACTCAGGAGTCTGAGGCAGGAGAATCACTTGAACCTGCGAGACGGAGGTTGCAGTGAGCCGAGATCGCACCACTGCACTCCAGCCTGGGCAACAGTGAAACTCCGTCTCAAAAAAATAAAATAACTTTTAAATAAAATAAATATAATAAATAAAATAAACTTTAAAAAGAACTACTGCTTTACAGTGAATGAGTTTTTTTACTTTTCACAAAAGCAGTTTTGGGGAAGAGACATAAAAGAAGAGAAAAAGACCAAAAAGAGAGGAAAGAAGAGGATTGTCTGCTTCGTGTCAAGGAGGATGAGCTCCTTAGAGTTTCATCTACCCAAAAGGAGAATGTCTGGCAAAGCCACACTCTCCGTCAGCAGGAAAGCAGTTTTTGTGGTGTTCCAAACCAGGCTTTATGATGGATGTGTAATGCATGTCAAGGGCAAACAAACAAAATGCCACCCTTCCAGGCTGAGGCCACCAAGGCCCTGATCTGACAGCCAACTGCGCCAAAACCTCCCAGGTCTAAAACAGGCACCAAGCTCTTCTATACAGGCCATCTGAGCAGGCCCCAGGCTCAGAAAGGGGCTCTGAGGCAGGTCAGAGCTGGTAGGACCCTACAATTGGCAGAGGTGCTAGCCAGTGTTGTCCCGGCAACCACCCCAACATCTATGTATTGTCAGCCAGGTGGGGCAGGGTGGGGAGTGGAGGTGGACCAGGCACCTATCATCCAGACAGGCTGGCTGCCAAGAGGGTTTCTAGAGGAAACAGACTGGAAGCTTCTGGCTGCAACCTGGCTGGAAGGAAATGATGAAAGGGCCTCTCTGTCTCTCTTCTCACCCTCCCTGTGCTCCAGTTCCAGGCCCTAGGAGGTTCCCCAATATCCCCATGTCCAAAGAGGTCCTCGCCCCAGAGAACTGGTCCATCACCCCTGGGCCAGGAGAGGACCCTGGGAACCTGCAGATCCACCTTGGATGCCACCACGGGGAGCTGTTCTCATGCCTCTTCTTTACGCCACAGTCCATACTGCTGCCTTGCCAGCCATCCCGCCACACCTAGATGCCAGGGAGGTCTCTGCAGGCTTCTGTCACCTGTTGCCACACACTTGGGTCTCCTTCCTCAACCCTACCCCCACAACCTTGCTGTGCTGTCTGCCGCCCTGGCCCACATGCCCTCCCCTCTCCAAATTGCCCTCTCCCCCAGGGCAGGCTCAGCAATGAGCCCCTGTAGACAGCCCTCCTCTCTCCACAACCCCACAGGGACAGCACCCCCTCTAAGCTCCTTGGTACTGGTACCATTCTCAGTGGTTCCCTGATTATTCCATAGGACTAAGGCTTGTTTTTGCAGCCAGACCAAAACTTCCACGATGGGAGTCTGTCTGTGATACAAGGCACACAACACGTACTCACTAAATGCTGAAAACAACTACCCCTTTATGCTTCAAAGTGCTCAAATGGTTCTCTAGTCCTGAGATTTGAAGAAGTCTTAAGGAAGATGACCCAGTATAGATGTGCAAACAGGCACAGAAAAAGACAGCGCCCAGCAGCGTGTGCGACAAGGCTGAGCGGGGAGCCCGGTCGCATCATCTGAAGCTGCAGGAATATCCATAGCACCTCCCCAGGTCAATGCAAAAGACATATAGGAGGCAGGGCCACCCAGACTGTCCCTCCAGCTGCCCCTGACAGCAGTGCCCAGGGCCTTGTCAGATAACTTTGGGTGCTTCACTAATGGCTTCTGCCCCCTCCTCCCTGGGTTGAGAGCACAATGGGACCATCCATCCCAGGAACCAGATCTCCTCCCTCTGGTCCCGCCAGCCCAGACCTGGCCCCGGAAATCAGGATCAGAAATGGTCACAGCAGACAGGTGTTCCAAGGGGAATGCAAAGGCAAGCTGTTATTACTGGCCCCATGGAAATCCCCTAAGGCAATTCGAGCGTCAAGCATCCCAGCCAAATAAAAGCTTCCACACAATGGACAGGATGAGCTGCTGGTCCCCAGGGAGGCAGACTGTCGGTCCCCATCTGCTCTCCTTCCCTTGCTGGGAAGTTTGACTGTCCGTCCTCTGCACCTGTTCGGGGGAAGCCAGAACCCCACACCGCCCATGTACCCGCGATGGCAGCAGCAGGTCTGCAAGGTCATGGCTCCTTTAAGCCGCAGTCCATCTCAATGCTGTGAGCCTCTCTCCCCAAGAGGAACTGGGCTTCCCTCAGGGGAAGCTCTGCCTCAGCTGTGCCCCTCACCCATCGCAGGCCCTTTCTGTTCCCACATTCACAGGGCAACCCAGCAGTGAGCAGAAGACCTAGCCTCTAGCGGCCTTCCAGAACCTCTGGGAAGATCATTACTCTCCTCTCTCCTCACCCACTTTCTGGCAGATTGTGGGGAGAAGGAAGGTAGGACCAAGACTATCCAAACAGCAGTCACCAAGGCAGGCCCTCGGGGCCCAGTCTTCAGTGGAAACTGACAATGTTCCCCGGCCACAGCTTTGAGTCATGCATGAGTCAGAGGTCAAGGGTCAAAAGTCAGAATGTGTTAATTTGGCCAAGAAGGTTAGAATGGGTTACTGAGCCTGCCTTCCTCCAACAGTAAAGTCCTAGGGACGTCAGGGGAACACCAGAGAAGGATAAGTGGGCAGCTGGCCTCCACATCATGAACATCAAGGGCTCAGAGAGAACTTCCCACCCACTCCTGCCACCATCCACGTGGTCTCTTATAACTCCAGATTGGAGGGCTTCCTACCCCCTTCTGAATGCATCACGTTTCAGGCCAGGCCAGCCCTGGAATGCCAAGTTTCAAAAGTACACTTTGCCCAATAGAAAGAAACATCTCACTTATAGCCCATCAAAAGACCTCTTCTGGTTTCCAAGGGAAGCTCCCAAATTCTGCTTGGGGAACAAGCTCCCATCTACTCTCCCCACTACCTTCCAAACTTCGCTGCCTTCAGCTCTCCACCTCAGCAGTGGGTTTCATTGTTTTTCCCATAGCCCCAAAGAGTATCCCCTCCACCCTCACCCCCATCATTTGAGCTGACCCTCTTAGAGCCCTTATCAGGGGCTCAGACCAGGCCACTCAGTGGGTCTGGAAGGGGCCTCGCTGAGGGCACACAGTGCCCAGAAACCATGCATGTGGAGCCCCTCACCAAGCAGAGACTGTAGGAGCTGGCACAGGTCATGGCCCCTCCAGGACATACATGCATACAAGCACTCCCTCTCCTGGGGTCCTGTTCCCAGCCTGTGTGAGGGCCCATTTGGAACCCCAGCATTAGGATACAGATCAGTGTAAGCTGAAGACATCTGAAAGCCAACAGATGCAGAAAGAAGCCTTCTCAGCTTTCCTTAAAAGCAGCAGCATCTGGGAAAAGAGGTTGTCAGAAATCCCCTTAAGGGAATTTCACGGTCATAAAGACAGAAATACCACTTGACCCTGCTTAAGTAAGCATTATCACAAACTTCATCTCCCGTTAGTTCTCCTAAAAACCCACTTGTCTTTCCTAAAGAAACCTTTCTCCCTTCCCCTTTCTCTCCCTATTAAGCTAAGAATATAAGCCCCCAGGTTTTGTTTCTTTTTTTTTTTTTTTTTTTTTTTTTTGAGACTGCAGTCTCCCTCTGTGGCCCAGGCTGGAGTGCAATGGCCCGATCTCGGCTCACTGCAACCTCCGCCTCCCAGGTTCAAGCAATTCTCCTGCCTCAGCCTCCCGAGCAGCTGGAACTACAGGCGCACCACCACACCCAGCTAATTTTTGTATTTTTAGTAAAGACGGGGTTTCGCCATATTGGTCAGGCTGGTCTCAAACTCCTGACCTTAGGTGATACACCTGCCTCAGCCTCCCAAAGTACTGGATTACATGCGTGAGCCACTGTACCTGGCCAAACCCCCAGTTTTCACCACCCCTTTGAGGTACTCATCATGGAGCACCCCTATATACAAGGAACTGGCAAATCAACTCTTTTCTCCTGCCAGTCCATCTCTTTCAGTTTAACTCACAAGCCCTCCAGTACTGAACATAAGAGGGTGGAGAAAAGTTTTTCTACCATAACAGCTGGGTCACCAGCCACGGACAGCACCAGCTGGCACCAGGCCTGGGGAAGAGGGTGAGCTCTGGAGTGGACACAGTGGTGCTCAGATCCCAGCCCCACGGCCTACCAGAGGGCAGACTAGCAAGTTACAGCCTGTCTCTGCACGCCAGTTTCTATGTAAGGACATTGAGGCTACTCAGACCTCTCACAGGGTTATGGGGAGACTTAAATAAATGAGGTCGAGTCTACAAAGAGTCTGGCTCCCAGTGGTTGCTCAAAAACAATACTAATAATTTCTACAATGATATTCTTTTTTTTTAATTCTAGAGACAGGGTCTTATTCTGTTGGCCAGGGTGGAGTGCAGCGGCACAATCATAGCTCACTGCAGCCTTGAACTCCTGGGCTCCAGCGATCCTCCCACCTCAACCTCCTGAGTAGCTGGGACTACAGGTGTGCACCACCTTGCTTGGCTAATTTTTTAAATTTTTTTGTAGAAATGGGGACTTGCTATGCCCAGGCTTGTCTTGAACTCCTGGCCTCAAGCAATCCTCCTGTCTTGGACTCCCAAAGTGCTAGGATTATAGGTGTGAGTCACGGCACCCAGCTTGCAATTATATCTTGTGCAGTGGTCTGCAGACACACAGCAGTATAAGCTCAGAGGGCAGGGACTGTGTTTTCTCTTCCTTTTGTGTCCCCCACTGTGGAAGCCATTCTTCCTGTCCGCATGCTTTGCTGCTTGCCTTCTGGGCACAGGTCCTGCTCCAACTCACCCCCATACACAGCGGCAAGCTGTGACCCAGCAGACCCAAACCAACCTTCTAGTCACAGCAATTAATACAGGGATAGCCTCATGTCCCACCCTAGCCAGTCTTCCCTAGGAGGGCAAGAAAGAGACCTTTGGCATTTGGGTCCTAAGTGTGAGGACCTGGGTTGTTCCTGTTTCCCATCATGGGAGAAAGCCCATCTGCTGCTGGGTTCCACTGACAAGCACAGGCCAGCAGAGTAGGGGACGGTGCCCTAATGGGCCTGAAGCCCTCATCCTGTGGCCCCTGGGGCTCCTGCCCCACTGGCTCTGTGGGCATGTCAGCAGCTCCCTGCCAATACACCCCTCTTTGGCTTCAGCTAGTGTGAGCTGGATCTGTCACCTGCAACCACAAGAACCCTGACCCCCACCCCACCCCACCCAATACCTCATCCCACAGAGGGCCCACAGAGGTAGCACAGCACCCAGCTCTGAACAAATGAATGGATGTTAGCCAAGGCTGGCAGTGAAGCCAGCTGGGGAGCAGGGCTCCAGCAAGCCTGATCCACCCTCCAGAACCTGCCGACACCTCAGTCCAACCAAGAGTTAAGAAGCCAAGCAACAGAATTCATGGAGGTCCCCCAGGGTACCTCTGAAAGAGTTTCTCTGAAAGATGAGAGAAAGAATGGAGCAGATCACCCAAGACAACTTTGTGGTCCCCCTCAGAAAACTCACCCCCGCCACTGCCCTGGGCACTCTCACTCTCCTAACCCCAGCCAGAATCCTGGAAGTGAGGAGCAGGTGGCAGAACAGAGTTGCAGAAGAGACAGAATCCCACCACACTGCTGTGTAGGGCTGTAACCCAGTCCAATCCAGGGCTGTAGCCTGGGAGATGCTGCCACTCCGCTAGTTCCGGGAATGAGGGCAGAGATTTTTAAGGAGGACAAGTCATCAGACTCCTCACACCTGGTCAGGCCTCAAACCAGAGAATAAAAACTTGTGCTTCAATGGAAGACAGGCACTGCCACCGCGTGTCTTTCCCCCTTATCGGAATCGGATGCAGAGAAAGTGCCCTTACAGCAGAGAGCACCATGGGTCACTAAGAGCAACGCAAAATTCCTGTCTGCACGCAGGCAGGTTCCATCTTCTCTGGCAGAGGCTAAACAGCCTTCCCTCCCACCCTACACAACATCAATTTTGTCTCCTTTTGCACATTCATTATAAAATTCCTAATCTATAATGTTTCTGTCCTTGGGTTCTCTTTTGAACGAGTTATAACATCTGCCTGGTTCCCTCATTAATGTGGAGTCAAATCTTTAACATATGTTCATTTTTATTTCTCTATGAGAGTCATGAGTTTACCTTTTCCTGAAAATTATCTTTTAACAAAGTGAAGGATTCTGGGGCTGCAATAGGGCTTGGCTTACAGTCCTGGGGTCTTCAGCCCCAGTTTTGGGCCGTGGGACCCAGGTTCCTACCACTCTTGGGCATCCTGAGGTCTCCCCTACCCCTTTCCCCTTTCCTGCCCTTCCTCTTGTCCCCCACCTGCTGGCTCCAGGGGCCAAACCTGGCTCTCAGCGTGGCCTCCTACTAATGGGATCGGTCCCCAGCTACGGCCTCAGGCTGGGCCTGTGATTTGCAGAGTCTGGGTGGGCGGTCAAGTGTTCCAGCATGGTGGGTGTGTTCAGATTCATAGGCGTCCTCTCCCTCCCCTCCCTCTCTCTTTCTCAAACAACTCCATGTGGTAGCCTTTGCCCTTTGTGTCCAAAACCACATGCTAGGCTCCTGGGATGGAAGAAGTGTCCACACACAGGGGCGGCCAGGGACAGACTTTCTAGCCCCCCACCCGCTCCCTGGGCTCCTGTCATTGGAGCTGATCTCTGCTCCTGCTCTTTTATTGATATTGACACTGCAGACAGAACTCTGCTGCTCTCTCCTGCTGCCATCTCAATGGGTGCCGGCCACCCGCTTCTCTCGTGGATACCATTCGCCTCCACGTTTACCAATCACCTCTCAGGTCTCAGACCCTGTGCTGTGTGTGCTGTTGGGGTTCCTAAAAAGAAAAAGCCCCTCCCCTCAGGGAACTCACTTTCCCAAACTCAGGCGAGGAACAACTTATACACGCAAAAACAAACAATGTAACAATACTAATGACAGAAAACATTACTTGAGTACCCACTATGTGCCAGGCATGTGCTAGATACCCTGGATACTAAATCTTCACAAACCCAAGAGCAGACACTATCATGAAAAAGCAGAGGCTCTAAGGGGCTAAACTGTAGCAGACACAAACTGGGGTGACTGGCCAGCTCAGAACAATTTCTCCAGCGGCCATGGCTGTGTCTAACTGCTCTCCAGCCTTGGAGCACTGATGCTCTCCCTCTCTAACGTGTAGTGATCATCCCAAAGAGTGGCACGTGACCCAGGTTAGGCCAATCAGAGTCCTGCTTCGGGAGATTTTGCCTGGGAACCAGAGGGGAAACTCCTTTTGTCTCCAGCCATGGATGGGGATAGGAGTCAGCGTTGTGTTGTCAGTGGCCAGAATGTCTGGTAGAGAAGTCGGTCAGAGAGAATCAGCATGTCACAGACAGAGAAGCGAACCTGAAAACTTCCTCTAGTTCCAATTACTCTTATAACTGGCTCCAACCTGTCCCTCCCCCAATTTGACCCACGAAAGAAATTACCGCTTTTGTCTTCATCTAGATTGAGTTGGGTTTTCATCATTTGCATCCTATGGATCCCTGAGCAACACAGGTCCCCTGCCCAAGGTCCCAGAGACATTAAGGGGCTGTCCCCCTAGTGACCACCTCGTCAAAGGTGCAGCCAGATTATGGACCCAGGCAGCGCCCTACCAATGTTTCCAAGGGGACTGACATGACGTGGGGTTGACATTTCTCCCCATCAACTGTCCCGTTCCCAGAAATGCATGACCAGTCACTTCACGAAGGTCACATTATTATCACCAACCACCACCCACTGACAGCGCATGCTCTGCATGGCCATGCTGTGCACCATGCGCTCATTTCATCCTCCCCAAAACCTCTGGTAGTAAGTACTGTTAATGCTGCTTTCAAAGTGCAGAAGAGACACACCAGAGGGTTCGTAACTCGCCCCCAAAGTCACAAAGACAGGAAGGGGCCGAGTCAGACTGTGTGCTCTTGGCCGATTCACTAATATTCCTCTTAGTGCCGTAGCACAATCAATTGCACATCTCTTACAGCCTCCCAGCACTGCCCATGTTAGACTGAGGATAAGGTGATTCTATCCCGGCCTTGGCATACTGCAGTCATCTTTCGGTCTGTATGATCATACAGCTAGCCAGCCTCTTTATCCTCTCCAGACAGGCCTAGGGGCAGAGGGCCCTAACATCAAGGCCAGTGAGGGCCCATGCAGGGGCTGGAAGCTTTGGCCTTCAAAAGAGGCCTCACTCAAATTCTTCAGGACCCACCACGTACATATCTTCTTTCTCAGCTCTGGTGTTCCAGATGAATGTTTATGATGAGCCATTAACCTGGTCACCTTGCAGAGGCTCAGAGGTGAAGGGCACCTGCCCTGTTGCCTCCTGTTGACGTGGCATTTTCCCTTGTGCACCACTGCCCACCTCCCCCAGGCCTGGACTGCACAGTGTCCCATGCTGAGCTGGGGTCTATCCCAATGGGTCACCTGCCTCCGGTACTACACTTCATAGGGGAGGGCTGAGGGTCCGGCCCCCATCCCCAGCATCTGGCCCCTGCCTGCACTATTTCTACCTTGGGTCTCACCTCACCCAGACAGGTCCCCATCCTTTCCCAGAACCACACAGCCACAGGCACCCTGACAAAGGCCATATGCTCTCACCCTCCTTTCCCTCCTGCTCTTCCTTGTCTCTGCCCCTTTAGCCCAGGGATGCTCACTTGGGGCCACCTGTGGCCTATAGTGTATTTTGTTTGGCATCCACAGTGGGTTTCTCTTTTAACATTTAAAAACTGGAAATGTAGGCTGGGCGCGGTGGCTCACGCCTGTAATCCCAGCACTTTGGGAGGCTGAGGCGGGCGGATCACGAGGTCAGGAGATCCAGACCATCCTGGCTAACACAGTGAAATCCCGTCTCTACTAAAAATACAAAAAATTAGCCGGGCATGGTGGCAGGTGCCTGTAGTCCCAGCTACTTGGGAGGCTGAGGCAGGAGAATGGCGTGAACCCGGGAGATGGAGCTTGCAGTGAGCCGAGATTGTGCCATTGCACTCCGACCTGAGTGACAGAGCCAGACTCCGTCTCAAAAAAAAAAAAAAAAAAAAAAACTGGAAATGTTCACTTAAATATCTGGATTAAAATTTTCCATAATGAAATTTTTTAAACACTTAAAAAAAAACTACATTTCTGACTTTTCTTGAAAAACTAGCTTTTCTGTGACGAGAGTCCTGTATCTCTGCAGGACAGCCACAGGCAGCAGCTAAGGGCACGGGCTCTCTGCTTCAATGCAGTCTTAGAATTTGCCCACATCCCTGATTTTCCTTGCCTGTCTGTGCACACCCAGGGCCAACGTCAGGGTCTCAGGACCCACTTCACATATTGACAGCTCCTCGGCCAGTCTCCCCAGCCTGGGGGTGGGCATTTTTTCCAGATGATGAGTCCCAGAAGAGTCCCTTCAACTCCAACACAAGCAAGGCTCCAGGCCACGCCTGACCCTGACTCTGAATGTGTCCAAGCCCAGAACCCACTGTCCACAGGCTCCAGCGCAGGAGGCCTGGTGGGTCACCTCAGCCCAGGTATGTACAGCTGGGATCAGGCCACAGCCTGGGACGCAAGTCAGGCCAATTCAGGCTCATTACACCATCGAACCTGGCTGCCAAGGGTGTGCCTTCTGGGCTAAGGAGCAAGCAATGACTTCCCCAAATCCACCTAAAAAATACCAGGCCCCAGAAACTTCCACTTGGATCAGCACTGGGGCCCAGTGGGGTGGGGTGGGGCCCACCCCACCCCACTCCCCCCAAGTCCTAGGACACATGGACACTCACGATATTCATGAGGGTGAGGACATAGTTCTGCACATGCTCCTTGCCATGGAAGCGAACCACCGAGTCGTCCACCACCAGCAGCACCTCGATGCTGTAGCTGCCTGGCTTGGCATGCCGCCGCTTCCGCTCTGTGTCGCCCAGCTGGTCCCCCACCAGGCCCAGCAGGTTGGGAAGGTCTCCCAGGCCAAAGGCTGGAACCAAGACAGGAAGAGAGTGAGGTCCAACCCACAGGAGGGGCTGTCACTGTGACATTGCCCACCACCCACCTCTGTCCCCATCACTGGTGCCCCTTTCCCTGCCTCTGTAAGTAAAGTAGTATGAGGGATTGCTCCATACTAGGTCAACTCATGGGCAAGAGCCATTTTCCTGCCATGAGGGCACTGCTAAATCTTTGAAGCAATGAGTAGCAAAGGGGTGAGAACTGGCCCAGAGCAGAAAGCCTGGGTTCCGGGAGCCACTCATCCTATCTCTGTGGGCGTCCCAGGCCCAATCCCTCGCTTCTCTGGCCTCCATTGTCTCTCTTATAACATGAAGATGAACCACCCTTTATCTCTAACCCACAAGGTTGCTGTAAAAATCAAAGTTGGCAATATCTCCATAAAGGAGAAAAGTCATGGGGCTACTGTGGCCTCCATAGGGCATCTGAGGAACTCCGGGATACTCCTGTGAGCACTGAGCCTCTCAAATCCCACCCAAGAACTGTCAGTGACCCCAGATTTCACCATCGCTGCTCTGCCCTTTTGGCTAAAAGCAAAATAGCATTTATTAACTTGTATTATATAATCCAAGAGTTACTAAACTTTTTCTGTAAAGGACCAGATAAATATTTTAGGCTCTGGGGGTCATTCATTCTCGGTCACAACCATTCGATTCTGCCACCGAAGCACAAAATCAGTCGCAGATGAGACTGTGAGTGAGTGTGTCTGTGTTCCAATCCAACTTCCTTTACAAGACAGCTGCCAGGCTATATCTGGCCCTGGGCCTTACCTTTACTGACCTCTAATCTAATCTAATGCAACCCAATCTAGTCTAATCTTTACAACAACTCTATCAGATTGTTGTCCCCATTACACAGGTGAACACATTGAAGTTCAAAGATGTTAAGTAGCTTCTCATGTGGGTCTGTCTGAATCAAAAGCCCATGCTTTGAAACATTACCATCTATGCCGCCACGTAGAAGGGTAACAACTTGAGCGCTGTCAGTCATCTATGCTATAGCCTGAATGAAGATAGAATACACTCTGCTGGGGCGGTGGAGTGAGGGTGCATGGAGACTCACGGGGAAAGCTAAGAAGGCAGGACAGGAGGCTGGGGTCTGTCAAGAAGGCTCCAGAGCCTTAACTCTTAATGACTTTCCCTCCATCTCACTCTGAAGCTTTGATACTCATACCATTAATTTCTAAGAACCTTCATTTATCCCCAGTTATTTGAGAACTCCCCAGATAGGAGGCTGGGACTGAGGATGTGAAGAGGCCACCACAATATCCCCAGCATGTATTAGGGGTGTGGCAGCAGGAGGGGCCCCATACTAGTCAATGGATGGACGGTGGGTAGGTGATAAAGGCCGGGCCTCTGCCCTTAAGCCCACTGCCTAGTAGAGGGGACAAATAAGAAATTGGATTGTAACAATACAGGAATATCAAAGACTACAGCAGGACTGATCAGAGAAGGCACCCCACTGGAGATCCAGACCTGTTGGGGAAGGCATCCAGAGGAGGGGTCACTGAAGCTGGGGCTGAACAGAGAGCAGGAGATAACCTGCTTCAGCACAGGGGGCAGAGGGCCCTGCCCCTGCACAATCCATTGTGATTGTTTATTTTACACATGGGAGCGAGTGAGTGCAGACCCCGTCCACACGTGGGTGATGCACATGGATGCATCCATGGGAACCTCTGCAGAGACCCGAGCCGCCTCTACGCTGCTACCCACACGGGTGCTCAGGTAATGGGGATCTGAGGACAGGTAACAGGGAACACACAGGGCTTGGTGTCACCATTTGTTTTTATCTCCTCTTTGCTGAGTGGTGCTATAGTGCAAAGGAACAAAGCCCTAGACTTAAGAGCTGGAAAAACGTGTGGCCACTGGCCTGGCAGGGAAAGCCCTCTGGGTGGACACACAGCCTGGTGAGCAGGGCTCAGGTGGGTTTCTCCCTCACTTACCCTTGAGGCTGGCACCGCTCTAAGCTCACACTGCAGGCAGCTTCTGGTGGCCCTGGTGTCTGAGCCAATGGCAAGCGCAGCAGCCCACAGCCAAACTCCTGGGAGAGAGGAGGGCAGCCCCCAGCAGGGGAGGGGAAGGCGCAAGGCTCTCTCCATGGAGCAGGGAGAAAAATAACAGTCACTCCCAACGCATGGGCTGTGCTCAGAAGTGTAAGCCCTGCGAGTGGAATGCCACACTTGACCCCTCAGAGCCCTCCCTGCCAGGCCTGTCACAGGAAGGCTGGAGAGGTTACCCCACTCGCCCTAGGTCACGCAGCAGCTTCATGACAACAGCCCGGAATGTAAACTCAGGCCTCCCCCAGCCATGACCACTGTCTATCGGGGCACAGCCATAATTCTCTCTCTGCAGACTTTCTGGGGAATTGGGGAGGACCAGCCAGCATCAGCCTTGGATGCTGTGGGGGGGCTCCAGCCACACCCTCTTCTGTGGGTCCCTCATCCTTCAGGATGACAGGAGCAGACAACCCTCAGGGCAGAGCAGGGCCCACCAGCCACTGGGAAGCTGCCATGAGCCATCCAAGAAGCCCCAAGCCAATGTAAAATGGTGCAGCTGCTTTGAAAATACAGTTGAAAGTTAAACCTAGAGGTGCCATGTGACCCAGTAATTCCACTGCTAAGTATGTACTCAAGAGAATTGAAAACGTATGTTCACATAAAATCTTGCACATGAATGTTCACAGCAGCATTTCATAGTAGCCAAAAGATAGAAACAACTCCAGTGTCCACCAGATGAATGAATAAATGTGGCATGCCCATACACTGGACTAGTGCTCCATCATAAAGAGAAGCATCAAGACAGGCGATCCCATGGATGAGCCTTGAAAACATGCTGAGTGAAAGAAGCCAGGCACCAAAGGCACATACCACATGATTTCATTCCATGAAACGTTCTGAATAGGCAAATCCTATTTAGAAAGATAGAAAGTAGATTAGTGGTTGCCAGGGGGCGTTGGACGGCAGGGAAACAGGAGTGACTACAACTAACGGATGGGAATCTTCTGGAATTAGATGGAGGTGATGGTTGCACAGCATTGTGAATATAGTTTTAAAAACCCACCAAATCATATGCCTCAAAATGGTTAAAATGGTGAATTTTATCTCAATTGCTTGTAAAGCAGCCGCCCTGAGCCCCAGCCCGGCTGGCGGCCCTGGCATGGGCAGCCCCACGGAGAGCCCGAGCTCGGGCTGCAGGAGCACATACCCCATTAGTGTCCTCAGGAGGGAACTGGGGGTGGGAACGGGGCTCCAGAGAGTAGGACCATGGATTAAATAGGAGAGGGAAGCGTTAGGAGCAGGAGAGCATCCAGGACGCAGCCTCAGGGGCCAAGGCAGGGCCGCGGGGTGAGGGCCAGCTTGAGCCTGGTGGCCCAGCACCGGGAATTCCTGCCCCTGGACTCTGAACGGTTCAATTTCTCACCAAAGCCTTGGGAAAGGATCACCTAACTCTTCTCTGGGGCTCATTCATGGATGTGTGTATATATGAGAGTATGTGTATATGAGCATGTGTGTGTATGAGTGTGTTTGAGAGTGTGCGAGTGTGTGAAGGGGTGTGTGAGTATGTAGGGGGTGTCAGTGTGTGGATGTGGGGTTGTGAGAGTGTATGAGTGTATAGAGGGGTCTGTATGTGTGTATGCAGGTGTGTGAGTGCGGGTGGGTATAAGCATGTGTTTGTCAGTGTTTGAGTGTGGGTGTACGGGTGTGTGCTTGTAAGCGTGTGTTTGCGTCAGTGTGTGAGCATGAGGGTATAGATGGTGTGTGTCTATGTGTGAGTGTGGGTGTATGGATGTGTGTAAGCATGTGTTTGCATCAGTATGTGAGCATGACTGTATGGGTGGTGTGTGTCTATGTGTGAGTGTGGGTGTAGGGGGTGTGTGTTTGTGAGCGTGTGTTTGTGTCAGTGTGTAAGCATGAATCTATGGGTGGTGTGTGTCTATGTGTGATCGTGGGTGTATGGGTGTGTGTTTGTGAGCGTGTGTTTGCATCAGTGTGTGAGCATGAGGGTATAGATGGTGTGTGTCTATGTGTGAGTGTGGGTGTATGGGTGTGTGTTTGTGAGCGTGTGTTTGTGTCAGTGTGTGAGCATGAGTGTATGGGTGGTATGTGTCCACGTGTGAGTGTGGGTGCATGGGTGTGTGCCAGTAAGGGTGAGTGCGGGTATATGGGTCTGTGTTTGTGAGTGTGGGTGTCAGTGTGTGGGAGAGTGCATGGGTAGATGTGAGTGTGTGGGCCCACACATGCCCTTTTCAGGAAGCAGCAGCTGAGGCCTTACTGAGTGCCGAGAGGAATTGTCCCCTCCACTCCAGGTTCACTGGTGCACCTCAGACTCCCTGACAGTGGAGCAGGGGGCTGGAATCCCCTCCACAGCCTCAGCCACAGCTGGAGATGTGAAGGTCCCCAGCCTGAGGAAGATTCCCCAAAAGCCTTTAGCCGGCTGCTAGGCAGGCTCTGAGCACCTGGCCAGGCCTCTGAGGCACCTCTCTGTGTGCTGAAAACTAGACCCAAAGAGCTGAGCTGAAGCCTCTGGCTTTAATCAAGCTGTGAAATGGAGACAGGCACGCCTAGAAATGCTTCTCCCCACACTGGGCTCAGCCCCACGACTGGCCTTCAACTAAAAGTACAAGTCACAGGTTTCCAAGAAAGTCTTCTCCTGCCCCTGGTCTTTCTAAGGAAGGCCCGTAGATGGACCAGGGCCTGGCCTCACTGGAGTTCCAGCCCCGGAGCCTGGTGTGGGGCAAGAGTCGCAGCCACATTTCTTTGGGTCTGAACTCCAGCTCCGTGTGCTCAGTGGTCTCAGCTTCCCAGCTGCCCACCATGGTGGCTGGTGATGCAGCTGGTTCCAGGCTCACAGCTCTGGAGCTGGACTTCCCCAACGTCTCTTCCTAAAAGAGGGGACCTTATGGTCTTTGGATTCAGAATCGTCCTTTAAAAAATGGAGCCCAGGGGAGACTCAGCCCTCTTCTCAACCCTGGTGGAGAGAAGGGTGCCCTGAAATCCACGCCAGTGCTCAGAGGCCCCGCCAGCCCTGCCCTCCCCACCTTAGGCCTGCAGAACCCTCTGGCTCTGGTGCCACAGCTTCTCTTATGAGTGATACTTGGAGAGCAACTGGAGCTTCAACGGATGCACTGTCTGTGAGGACAACTAGCTTCCAGGCATTTCTCACACCAGGCCCAGTCCCATAGGGAGCTGGCACAAGGATGCGGTCCAGTCATAACCAGATTTCACCCATGGCCTCCTCATCTCCTCTTGGCCAAAGGAGCTTTGTGACACTGTGAAGTTGACCAGCGGGCCTAGGACCAGCACTTGTCACATCCAGTTTCATTCGCCCAACCATAAGTCTTGAGTGCCTCTGGTGTGTAGCCTCCTGCACTGGTCGCCTGGGCGCAGGGACACCCCTTCCCTCAGGGGGTTCCCACCCTAACATGTCAGCAGTTACCCTTAATAATACTGTAAGGAGAGCTGCCATTTATCCAGCACCTACTACATGCCAAGCCCTATACTGGGATTTTCACAGATACCATCACCATTACATATAACATTTACAGGTAGACATGGATCATCTCTGCTTTACTGATGAGGAAAATGAGGGCTCAGAAATCTTAGGTAACTTGCTAGGGTCACACAGTAGACAGACTTGAAGGTAGGGTTGTAAAATGGTCTACGGGACACAAAGCTGACCATGACGCCCAGACACCAGGCAGCCTCCCTGCAGGTGCCCTAATAACTCCCTTCCTGTGGCTCCCAAGGGTTGAGTCAATTTTAGGGGGGAAGAACTCACTGCAGGCATTCTACCTTCTGCCTTGCCTCAGAAATAGCCTTGAGAAGCAATGGTGAGCTCCTCAGAGACCTCTGGAGTCCCAGGGACCACAGTTCAGGACACAAGTGACTCCTCTGGCCCCTAGCTCCAGCCAATTACAGCAGCTTCTAGAACGCAATGGGGTTTCTCTGCCAGTACAGCAGGTCTATGTGGCCCAGTCCCATTTTACAGATAAGAAGACTGAGGCCAGACATGGACAGCTTAAGGACAGAAGTGACCGGGAAACACTCCAGAGGTAGGGAGAGAAGCAGCACACAGGCCCCTACCTACAGCCTACCTTCATTGTGCAGGTCCCCGTCAGGTTCTGCCCACTCCTGCTGGACGGCCTCCCGGCGGTACACCACATGTGTCCTCCCGCTGGCCTCCTTCTCCTGCTGGCCCCGCTCCAGAGGCTCAATGAAGAAGTCGGTGCTGTCTGTGCGGATGAGGCCCGCCTGAACCAGGGACGGCAAGCAGCGGGAAAGAGAGAAATAAGAGGCATGAACACACAGTACAGCCGACAGGCGAGCATCTGTGAATGCACATATGTGACCCTACATGCTTGCAGGCTCTTCCTCCAGGACCTTGAGGAGCCCTGGGATTCCAGGATGTTCTATGAGGCCCTGGCAGGGGAGTGGGAGGAGGTGGTAGGAAAGCTGAGCAAAGGGGCCCACCCTCCTTTCAGCAAAGTAGATCCACTTTTACAGTGTTGTCTATCCATGGGGCTCTACATAAAATTTCATTACATCAGAGCTTCCATTGCTTATAAAAAGCAGAGGCACAAAAGCCACTGCCATAAGGCACATGCACATACACCAAGGCACTGCACTCCAGCCCGAAGCACATCACAGGGGTTTGCTTTACCTAGAGGCAGACAGGAAGATCCTAGGGGCAAAGGCTCATTATCCCTAAGGTGCGTGTTTGTCCCCCACTCCAATATGAAGCGCTGTTATTTCAGGTTGAAAGCACGTGGGTGTGCACATGGCAGGATGGGGGTTGGAGGCCGGGGAGGAGGGCAGCTAATGCTCATTCACGATAAATGAGCCAGGAATGCATGTTTTTAATCTAATGATTCCCTACATCAAATATTCCCTTTAAAAAAATCAGGTGTTGGCCTTGGAAATAAAAACAAAAAAATATGTTGGCAAAGTCCAGAAAATGTGTTATTATCCCCCAGTGAAGGCGGTCATCACAGGGGCCAATGAAACATACAACTAGATGTGGGTTCGTGTATGTGTGTCTGCATATGCACACGTGCACATACACACACACGCACACACACACCATGTCATCCTACAAAGTACCAAGAGCAGCCCACCTACCGTGGTGGATGGAAAATAGTAGGCATTATTTAGCAAATAAATATTTGTTGAATTCCTTCACTCGTTCGACAAATATCTATTGAGTGCCTACTACATACCAAGGACTGGGAGCGCAGCTGTGAACACGAAGCAGTGAATGAAGGAAGTGTTTTTATAAATTCACTAGACCTTCTCCATTTGAATTGGAACTCCAGTGACAACACAACTCCATTCCACCCATTTTCCCACCTCCTTCTGTTCTGAGGCTGCATCTTAGGAGCCCCCTCCAAGTCCGACTGAACACCCATCACTAAGCCTCCAGCAGCAGCCAACCTTTTCTTTGCCCCTTCTAGCTGTTTCTGTGGATCAAACAGAAAACATCATTTTGGAGCCAAACCAAGATGGTTGCCTTCTGTGCTTCATAAACAGGCCCAATCAGGAGGCCAAGAAATGTTCCCAGGGACAAATGGCATTATTGGAACAAATTTGAGGCTTCCCTGTCACCATTTTGTCAGGTAACACTCAACTGTCTGCAAAAGTTCTGGTGTGCTTGTTAAAATGTCAACGTCAAACCTTATACTGAGCATCCATGCATCCATGCAGAGCACTTTGACTTTATACCTACTGTGTGCCTCCTATGGGCAGGGACAAATGGAAAAAATAGGCCCAAGAGCCGAGGGCTGCCAACGTCCTGCCCGGTGCTATGACGAAGTGTGGACACGTGTCCCAAAGGAGGTGCCATCTGTGGGTCCTGAAGGATGACTATCCATCAGGTTCCTGGTTGCAAGGATTAGAAATTCAACTCAAACCCCCTGGCCTGAAGGGGAAGGTACTAGCCCCAGGACACACCTAGGCAGGGGCTAAGACTGGAAGTGAGAGGCCCAACACTCTTGCCACCACTCCCCTCAGCTCCTCCTACACCAGCTTCATCCTCCCTCCTCCCAGACAGGCTATATGTCCCCTGTCCTTGCAGACACATCTCCTCTCTGCCACCAGAGACAAGGAGATTCTCCCTTCACAGTCCCATCCAGGCAGAGTCACAAGGTCACCCAGGGACTGTCAGCCCAGGTTTCCACAGCAGGCAGAAGGGAGAAATTGTTAGGGTGCAAAAGAAACCAACCCGGGAAGGAAAGAGCATACCAGGTAGAGGGGAAGGACCCCCAGGTGAGGGTGGAAATGCAGGAAGGACAGTGTGGGGAGGGGACCAGGACATTCAGGCTCAGGGACAGAGGTTGAGCCCAAACCTGGACAAAAAGTGGTGGCCAAATCCAAGAGCCTCTGCCACTGTACGCCTGCAGAACTCCCCACAGGAGGCCTGTCTTCCAGCTGGTGGCTCCAGGCCCGGGACACACCTCCAAGGCCTACCGCAGCTTTGTTGCCGTGAGGGCCTGTGATGAACTCTCAGCCAAGCCCTGCATGATTTATCCCATCCCGCTTTCTGCACCCGTGTCTGATACCCAGAGGGGCTGTTCCTGCCCCTGGAACAAGCAAGCAGGAGACAGCATGAGTCAGAGGCCACTGCTCCACCCAGGCTACAGGCACACAAACCTGGCTGGTCCAGGGCAGTGGCCTGCACCGTCTCGGTCCATCACGCCTCTCAAGCTGCCTAGCAGAGGGCGAACTCTCCAGACCAGGAAGTGGAAGGCTCTGTTCAGCCCCTCCCACACACCAGGCACCTGGTCAAGGCCCTCCCCCATTCTGGGGCTTGGTTAAATGGCTCCACAAAGAGGATCCTTCAAACCTAGCATTCCCTGCCCCACAGCCTAGTGACTCCACGTGGCCTCCAGGGCTCAGTGTCTCATATGAGGGATACAGTTTCCAGAATGAAGCCACTGCCTTCCAGCCCACCCCCTCCTTCTGGCCCACAATCATGGGCTACAGACCTTTCAAGATCATCGTGCTCGTCCCAGTCTGAGGCATTATACTTTGACAACCTCCCCAGTTAGGAGACCTCTAGCTTTTACTTGGATGCCTCCAGTGACAGAGAGCTCCCTCCCTCAAGATGTAACAGATTCTGTGTAGGGACACTCCTAACATTGTATTCAGCATGAACACACTTCCCTACTTTCCATCCTTTATAAATAGTTTTCTTATCATTGTTATTAACAACAGTACCTGCCGCTCATATTTTTATATATTATCTTATTTCATCTTTATAGCCCTATAAGGTAGGCAGTAATGTTAGACCCATTGCACAGATGAGGAAATAGAGGTTCAGAAGGGTTAAGTAACTGGCCCAAAGTCACCCAGCAAGTAAGTGCCAGCATTCTTAACTACAATACTGTATTACCTGGGTTCAGCCCCCAGGCCTGCTTCTGCTGTCAGGAGCCACTTGGAGCAAGAAAACATGGCTTTCCTAGTACCACCTGCAAATCCCTGGGCCTCTGGTCTGACCTTGCTGAGCAAGGACACTCATTCTCCAACTCTCCACCTCTGGGCAAAACCCTCCCATGGAGGCCAGCACACCTCTCACCAAGGATATGAGAAGGGAGGGCAGGGCACAGCCCATAAAAGAAATGGTCCCTCCCACTCCCCAGGATTCTTACCCCTACGGAGACCATCCTCATCACACCCTCACTGTTCTCAGCAGAATGGGAACCCGCAGGACCCTGGGTCCGGGGTCCAGCCTCCACACTCTTAGGCCTCTCCCCAGGAAAGGGTTAAAAGATCTGTCTTTCCCCATCCCAGTAAACTGTTTAGGACAAAGAAGCCAGACCCAAGCCCTGTCCTACGTAATCTGAGGAATAAGTTTCTAAATTTCTATGCGACTGTGGATCCCATCAGCCCCCAAGGGATCAGGGCGGAACCTCCCCAGAGATGGTCCTTGTCCCATTGCGTGCATCCTACCCAGGCCTCAACAGGCAGCTCTCATCCAGGTCTGGGCTCTGCCTGGGCCGCAGAGACTCTCCTCCTAGACAGAGAAGACAGGAAGGCAGGCTTGGCCACCAGACCGGGAGGCAAGATGGGCCCAGTTCCTTCCCCCTCAGACCTTGGTTTCCCTGTCTGCACAATGAGAGGTTTGGCCCAAGTTCCCTTGAATCTCTGCCGTGGCCAGGAAACCAGGCACCACACAGCATAGACTGGCTGGCAGTGAGCACTTTCTGGCTCTCTGCCTCCTCATTAAAGTACTCCCGTCTCTCAATTTATTGAATGTTTATATTTCTGAAAAGTGGTGGCTAATTTTAAAGTGCTAAAATCAAATCAAATTTCTGTATAAAAAAATCAAGAAAAAAGGAGAAATAAATTCTGGTAGGATGGAAAATAAATATCAGCCATATTGAATTTCCAACTATATCTTATTCTTTTACAAACAGTAAACAAATAGGAAATATGTACTAGATAGGTTCTTCACACAGTAAAACTAAAACAAAGAATCATTGATTACATCCAATTGAGCCACATACCCATAGGCCCTTGTCCAATTTCCCCAAATGGAAATTCTCCAGTGCACAAATCTGGCCACTCTCAGCTGGGCTAAACTCCCTTTAATGTGGCTGCTTCTGAGGTGCCTTCCCTGGGAGGTGTGTGGCTGAATGATGGTGAGGGTGGAAGATGGGAAGGACTGTGGATTCTCCAACATGACATCGTTTTGGTTGCAAAGGTAACACATTCGGCTGCCTCTTCATCCAGAGGTCTCCAGGCCATGTTGACAGGTTTTCCAGTATGGGTTCCCCTCAGGGAAAGCCCCTCAGGGTGTAAGCCCAGGACACCCAAAGAAGACATGGTCACGTGGCAACTAGGGAGGCGAGTGCTGGCTTAGAAATCACCTTGTGTCCCGCTGTGAACCACAACTGAGCAAGTGCAGCGGGTCACCCACAGCTGTCTACTATCAGGATGAGGTCCCAGATATTATAGCAGGTAATTGAGGCCAAATTGTTTTGAAATGAGTACGTATGTGTGCATGTGTACATTAAAGTACATCTATTCTCAAATTGCATGTATGTGCATGTAAACTGGGAGGCAAGGGTACCTGGAGCCAACAAAGAGTTCTCCAAGAGGAGCACAGAAGAGATCCCCAAGGACTGGGAGACATGTCAGACATGGGCAGGTACAGAGACAATGAGCAAGGACCTGGCCTGGGGTCCAGACAGTTGCAAGTGGCTTGGCTCTCAGGAGACAGCTGCAGGCCCTGGGAAAGGGGGATCCTAAGTCCCCTCGCCTGCTGCCGCTTGGACCAGCCTACGTTTGCCAAATGCCCAGAAGGGCTATTTCAAGATAGTAGCTTCAGTGAAGCCAGCTGAGGAGTGGGCCAGACTGCCTCTCCTTTCTCCTTCCAAGGCTGGCCTATCTGGGGCTTCCCCAGAGGAGAAAGTAGCAGAGCAGGCCACCTCTCAGCCAATCACCCCATCACCTCCCAAGGAGAGTGCATTCTTGGGTCTGAACTTGTTCTGGAATTTCTATCACAAGGGCTTTATTTCCACCGACACCCCTTGGTCAGCTGTGCTGTCTCAGGTTCTAGGCTTCCATCAAACCCAGCTTGAAACTGTTCCACTGTAGGAAACAAAAGAAAACCCAGCAACTGGATGCTGGGGTGATACACACAAGGATCAGAAATGGCTTCCACCAGATTCCTCAATGGGTGGCTGCTTCCCCTCAACAGGGCCACCTGCATCTGCATGCACTGTTCCCAGCCACTGCCAGCCACGCTCCTTGGCTAGACCACATGGGCTGCTACAACCCAGAAACCTCGACCGCAGGTGGCTCCTTCTCTTCCCCCACTGCCCTGCTCACCTAACCCTAGCACTTGGCTCCAGTTATTATTAAACTTCATCGGGACCTCCAAGGTGTGATCCTTACATCCTCGCTTCCCTTCTCACCACCCTGGACATCTAGGTCTAGTTGCACAATAATTCTCTTGCAAACACCCATACTCTCTCACCCACTTTCCCTCTATCCTGCTGTCCCAGGGAAGCTTCTCCACCCTGGTTCAGCCCAACCATCCACTTACTCCACGCGTGCACACAGGTGCCTACTGTTCTCACTTGAAATCAGCAGCTCACCTCACATGAGCATGAAGCTGAGGTTCTGTTGCACTTCCCTGTTAAGACTAACAGCTTAACGGTCTGTGTCCCAGCTCTCCCAAATGGCTCAGACCCCCAACACTGCCCCCCTGCCCAGTCTCATACTCCAAGGCTCCCACCACCCTGCTGCGCACTGTCCTCCCACAGCTGGGCCCCTTCTCCTCTTCTGTGGCTGGATGTGGTCCCCCTACTCCGTGCTCAGGATCACCTCTCTGTTACCTCCTCAAGGACTCAGCTCCTGCAGCTAGCACCCCCTTTCCAGCTTCATCACACTCTCCTTTCTACAAGACCATTCCTATCTGCATCCAAGCACACTCGAGTGTCCCGCATCTTTGAAACTCTCTACCTCCCATCCCTGCCCAGCTACTGCCCATGTCACTGCTTCCCTCCACAGCAGAAAGCGTTGTCTACACTCACCACCTCCATACCCCCTGGCTTCTCCTCTACCCACCTCAAGTGGCCTTCTAGAGCCACCACTTCCTGGAAACTGCTTACCTGTGACCACAACATGGCCATAGCCAGCAATCACTTCTTTGTCCTGGTCTCACACAGCTCCTCCCATCATCAGCTCTCCCTGGCATGTCCCCAGGACCATGGCTTTAGGTACTGCATGACTGCAAATGACTTCCAGTTTATATCCCCAGCCCTGGCTCCTCCTGAAATTCCTTTGTGATTATCCAACAGCCTCCTTGATAGAGACTGGATCTCCACTGGTCATCTCAAACTTTGGAACAGAACTCTGGGTTTGACTTCCAGACCCACTCCTCCCCTTGTCTTCCCCATCTCAGTAAATGACACTGCCTTTTTCCCAGTTGCTCTACCCCAAAATCAAGGAGGAGGGACAGGCTCAGTGATCTAGGTCTTTTCAAGTCCCCCAACCCTGGTGGTTCCATCAGTCAGTTCAGCTGAAAGCAACACCCTACATAACCTGCAGGGGCCAGAACCTCTAATGGGCCATCCGGGGCTGTTGTCTCTGATTCACGGCAGGTAAGAGAGGCAGCCCCACCCCTCACACCCCCACACCCTGGAACCATGGCTCCTGCAGGGACTCTTCAAAGTGACCCAGATCTCTTCCTCCCTTAACATGTCCTTAAGTCTTTATGAATCACATACAGCTTGCTAAGCTTGATGGGGGTAAGGTGGGGGTGCAAAAAGACATGAGAGACCGGCCTCTCCTCTCCTGATAAGGGACTTGTATCTGGAATATATAAAGAACTCTTACAACACAATCATTAAAAGACAACCCAGTTTTAAAGTGGGAAAGGGATCTGAACAGACGTTTCTCCAAGAAAGATCTACAAATAGCAGTAAGCACATGAAAAGATGTTCAATATCATCAGTCATCAGGGAAATGCAAATCCAAACCACAAAGAAATAGGATGGCTTGAATCAGAAAGTCAGATAACCAGTGTTGGTTGGCAAGGATGTGGAGAAACTGGAACCCTCATACATTGGTGGGAATGTAAAACAGCGCAGCCACTTTGAAAACGGTCTGGCAATACTCCTCCAATGATTAACAGCATTACCACATGATCCAGCAATTCCCCTTCCAAAGTGTAAGCACCCAAGAGAAAGAAAACATATGTCCACGCAAAGAAAAGTTGTTCATAGCATTATTCCTAGTACTCAAAAGATGGAAACAAGCCAAATGCCCATCAATGGATAAATGGACAAACAAACTATATATATATAGCCATACAATGAAATATTATTTTGCCGTAGAAAGGAATGAAGTACTGGTAAATGCTACATGATGGATGAATCTTGAAAATATGCCAAGTGAAAGAAGCCAGATGCAAAAGGTCACATATTACATGATTCTGTTTGTATGAAGTGTCTTCAAACAAATAGAATAGGCAAATCCACAGAGATAGAAAGTAGATTCGTCACTGCCAAGGGCTGGGGTAATGTTGGATCGGGGGTGAATAGCTAAAGGCCACATAGTCTCTTTTTTAGGTGATGAAAATGGTCTACAGTTGACAGCAGTGGTGATTGCAGATCTCTGTGAATATAATTTTTAAAACCACTGAATTGCATATTTTAAATGGGCGAATTGCGTGGTATGTGAATTATATCTCAATAAAGCTATTAATTAAAAAGATAATATGCATGCATGGAGACGAGAAACATGCAAAGAGATAATACACAAGCACGGAGAGGACACACAAAGGGACGACTCACACAGACGACAAACGCTCCAGCAAACACTCATGCAGAGACGACACGCATGTGGCACACAGACTGCCTGCTACCACGGAAGCGGGAGTCAGCGAGGCTGGGATGAAAGCCTGCCGACGCTGAGATTTCATCTAATTCAAACCTGATGTGGAAGCCCCAAGCCACAGGAGCTCTGCTGGAGGCTGGGGCTGCCAAGTCTTCGGCCCAAGCCAAAAAAAGTCTGAAAGCTGATTCAGACCGAGCTGCAGCCTTGGGGACAGGCAGGAAGAAGGAGCTCTTGGAGGATGGGGCTGAAAGCTGCCAGACTTGTCCACAACTGGCACGCTCTGCCACGTACATCTGCACGGCACCCCATACCAGCACCATCAGCGCTGCCACAACAAGCCAAAGGTTCAAAGAAACACCAGGAAGCAGAGAGCCTCTGCCAGCTGGAGAGAGTTATCTGGGATGACCACTCGGCCACAGTTCCCAAGGTCATGACCTCTGCAGGCCCCACACCCTGGAAGATGCTGGGTGAAAGGCTACTGAGGTCTTGCTGAGCCCAGTGCATTTACAGCAAAAGTCTTTCTCAGTGGAGAAGCAATGTGGTGGGTAAATGCAGAGACCCTAGAGCCAGAGAGTTCCTGAGTTCAAATGCTGGCTCCACCACTCTCAGATCATGTAATCTTGGGACACTTACTTAACATCATTGTGCTTCAGGATTATAACCACAACCATCTTGTAGGGCTGCTCTGAGAAAGCAATATACATAAGGCACCTAGGATGGTCCCGAGCATGCCACAAGGGCCATATTAGTGTTTGCATCTGCGGCCGTGATTCTCATGATCACCATTGTCACTTTGAAGCATGCATGGAAGCCCCAGTGGCTCAGGAGGGGAGCCCGCAGGATCAGTGCTGGGGGTGACATTCTGGAACCACAGGAGGGTTTGCTTGTAGCCCCTGGCTCTGCTATGGCCTGTCTTTGACATGCTGATAGAGTTTGGATGTTTATCCCCTCCAAATCTCATGTTGAAATGTGATGTCCAGTGTTAGAGGCGGGGAATGGTGGGAGGTGATTGGATCATGGGGGCAGATCCCTCATGAATGGTTTAGCACGATCTCCTTGGTGGTAAGTGAGTTCTCACTCAGTTCACACAAAATCTAGTTGCTTAAAGTGTGTGGCACCTCCCCCATCTCTTTTGCTCCCAATGTCACCATGTGGCATGCCAGCTCCTCTTCCTTCCCACCATGATTGCAAACTTCCTGAGGCTCTCACCAGAAGCAGGTGCTGGAGCCATGCTGGTACAGCCTGCAGAATCATGAGCCAACTAAAATTCTTCTTTATAAATTGCCCAGCCCCAGATATTTCCTTATAGCAACATAAAAATGGACTACCACACATGCCCAGATGTCCTGCCTGTAAGTGGAAAGAAGTCCTCAAGAAAAAAAAAGAATACCAGTGGTTGAACATCCTAAGGGGAAAAGTCCTTACCCCCCAAAAGGGGACTGATAGAGGATGATTTTAAAGGTGAAAAAGACCTGCAGACAAACAGCTGGGCAGAAACATACGCAGCTGTTAGGGACTTGTCTTTAGGCAATAAGACTGTAGGCAATTTCTTTCTCTTTAAACTTTTAGGTATTTTCTAACTTTTCTATGATGTCCTTATCTCAAAAGGCACACCTTTTCGGCACAGAGTGTGTGCCTACCACAATGAACACAGAATCAACTCCCATTCCCTAAACAAAGTTTACAAAAAGGGAAGCAAACATAATGTATCTCTCCTTTTCTGTCATTCAACTTCCCTGCAAAGTAGTGTAGAGGCTTCGCTGGGGAGGGAAACACCTGGGGTTCCATCCCAGCAGGGTCCTTCCCAGCTGTGCGGCACCAGCCCTCTCTCAGCCTCAGATTCCATATCTGAAACCAAAGAGTGGATGGGAAGATGAAATAAGGCATGGGAAATGGCCCTCCTGGAGCCGGGTTCACAGCAGGTGGTGGTCTTTTCCTTTACTTCCCTCCTCCGCCTGGCTCTTCTGGTCTGAAAGACCTGACCCCAGCTACTGACCTGACACACAGTAGGCTTTCCAGGAGGCAACAGCAGCCATTCTTACCCCTAGATAGTCATTAAAATCACCTGGAGGAATTTACAAAACTACGGCGACCTCCCAGACCGATGAAATCAAAACCTGATGGGTGGGGCTCAGGAGTCAGTGCATTCTGGAAGCTGCTGGGTGATTCAGACGTGCATCCAGGGCTCAGAACCACTCATCCAAACCCTGGAGGCTTTCAAACAGTGGAATGGCAAGAAGAGGGACATTTAGAATGGCACGAAAAGGGACATTTAAGTGGTCATCCATGTTTCATAAAGAGAGCAATAGCAGCACAGGTGTGTTCATCATAACACCAGAAATGGGCAAGTAAGAGAGGAAACGAGCATACAATAAGTACGTTCCCTGAGAGGGGACAGAGGGAGTCCAGCTGGCTGGGTTACCGCACGCCTCTTACTTCATGACCAAGGGCCATCTAGACCACAAGTGATCCAGCGTGGGGGAAGCCTGGGAGGTAGAGGGAGCAGCTGTGATCTGCTGAGTGGCCAAGGACCAGTCAATGCCCTCACAGCCATCCAAGCTGGGGGTCCATAGTGCAGAGAGTGAGGACAATTATTAGGAGTCCCTCTGTGCTAATGTTGATGATGAAGGTGATGACTGGCTGTCCTCCAGCACCTTGGAGAACAGAGCTGCTCAGATCATCAAAAGCTTGAAGTTTTGTTTTTTTCTTTGTTTTTTTTTTTTTTTTTTTTTTAACAGGGTCTCACTCTGTCCCCAGGCTGGAGTGCAGTGGCACGATCTCTGCTCACTGCAACCTCTGCCTCCCAGGTTCAAGCGATTCTCCCGCCTCAGTTTCCCGAGTAGCTGGGACTACAGGTGTGCATCCACACCCAGCTAATTTTTGTATTTTTAGTAGACACGGGGATTCACCATGTTGGCCAGGCTGGTCTTGAACCCCTGACCTCAAGGGAGGCCCTGCCTTGGCCTCCCAAAGTGCTAGGATTACAGGTGTGAGCCACCGTGCCCAGCCAAAAGCTTGAAGTTCTTAAAGGAGGGGTGGTCACTTTTTATTTCTACTCCCCTTCCCCGCCAACAGGCAGATGTCCTGGCCCAGAGGCAGGACCTGTAGGTGCTCAGAGACTGCCTTCTGCTGCAAACCCCTCACTCTGGAGCCCAGCCAGACTCAGGGCAGATCTTGCCAGGCCAGCAGCCACCCTCAGATTCCATTCCCGAGTGCCCAGGAGCCAAGCGGCTCTGAGGCTTCCCCCTCTGTCACCATCATAGCCCACCAAGCTCGGCGAAGGAGCTCTGCCTGGCCCCTGCTTGGCCCTGAGTCCTGGAAGCAGCCATGGCTCCAGGATGAAGAGACAGGAAGCAGCCCTCAAGTGCCAGCAGGCGGTGTGGCTGCCAGGCCCTGAGCGGAGGAGCGGCACCCTGCGTGGAGGCCCTGCAGTTTGAACGCTGCCACTCAGACGCACACCAGCTGACAGTGAGCAGCACTGGGCAAGGTGCTGCACCCTTGGCAGTGGAGAACAGGCCCAAGAGAGGGCCCCACAGGTCACTGTCCCAGCCAGGCCTCCCCTCCGAATGAGCCCTACAGCAGCCTGGCCCAGTGGGTCGCTGACTAGTTTTAAACCATGCCTCCCACGTGAGATCACGCACATAAATGTTTATCACTGCATCTGATGCATAGCCAGGTCTGTAGTGAGCTGCCGATGAGGGACTTGGCAGTGGCCAAGAGACAAGTTCCCTCCAGAATGCAGGTAAGCATGGGAGAATGCCAGGCTAGCTCTAGCCCCACAAGTGGCTCCTGATGACACAATGACCCTCCAGGTATCACTGGCCAGTCTCCTCTGCAAAGGGTGGAAGGAGCAGATGAAACACAATTGGCCAGAAGACCCCAGACAGGTGGCATGGTCCTGTCCTTAACCCTGCCCAGGGACCAGCACCACTAGCACAGGTTCCAGATTTGGCCACACTCTTACAGTTCACCTGCCAGGCACTAGCAGCACAAATGCCCACACTGCAGCCACCAGACCCCCTCTCCAGACCCCCTCCCTTCACATGTTCACCTATGTCTCTGTAACTTGCTTCTCCTAAACCCTTGCCTGCAATAGCACATATTCACTCATTCATTCATCAGATGATGACTGAGAAGCCCCTGATCTAGGTGCTGGAGACACAGCCAAAAATTACTCTTTGCACGGAGCTAACATTCTACAGCAGGGTGGTGACAGGCGATAAATAACTAGAAATATGTGACATACCAAATGGAAGGAGCCATGGAGAAGAGAGGACTGGAGCTGGAAATTGTGAATAAGGTTGCCAGGGAGGACGTCGCTCTGAAGGTGACATTTGAGTGAAAGCCTGAGGGGTCTGAGGGGCAGGCCCTGGCAGTCCCTGGGGAGGAATGTTCCCTTCAGGGAGGGCAGTGAGGAGGAGCGATGGCGGCCCAGGGCCTGGCTGGCTTCTCTGGGAGGAATGCCGCGAACCATGGAGGACTCGGATTGTAACAGGACTGCCCAGGCTGCTGTTGGCGAATACACTGCAGGGGCAAGGGAGCGCAGGAAGGCGAATGTCATCATCTGGGAGAGACAGGAGGTGGCTCACACCACCCCAGTGCTGGTTATTCTTATTATGCTGTGTTGGTTTCCCTTTTAGAATTACCAGCAACAAAAATCCCCACAATGGAGCCACACAGGACCCGTTCTGTACCAGAGCCACAGTTCCCATGGGCCTCCGCGCCTTCGCCCCTGCTGTGCACCCCACTAGGAATGCCCCTTTCACCCAGCTCGAAGGCCACCCCATCACTGCTCCCTCCTTTGTGCTCTGTGGTGGTGGCTCTTGGCAGGTGCTCTATCCCTGTCCAGGTATCTCTGTCCTTCTTCTAGACGTGAGCTTCAGGGGGATGAACTGGTTGGTGCTGCACAACTGACTTTGGAATGAAACCATGCTAAACAAGCATCCTTCGGGTCAGGCCTTAAAACAAACTCCCTTGGGTATACCACCCTTGTGAGAGATCCGCTTCCCCAAAACTGTGGCCGTGGATTAGGGGACGGCATATTTTACCTAGCATCTCCCTACGCGGGGACTATGAATTTTGAAGTGACAAAGCCTCAAAGGCACGATGCACCCAGGCCAGCAGTCGGCCAGGCTGTGGAACACAGGCCTCTTCAGGCTGGAGGAGCTAACTCATAGAGTGTGGGCCCCTGCCAGCCTCAAGGGGTGGATGTGAACCTCTGCCTGGGGGACGGGAGTGGCTTGGAGGGGAAAGTGGCAGGCTGTTTCTGGACAGACCAAAGGTGTAAATATGTGGCTGGCTTAAAAGCAAAGGCTCTCCCTCTCCCTCCCCCTCCCCCTCCCCCTCCCCCTCCCCCTCCCCCTCCCCCTCCCCCTCCGGTCTCCCTCTCATGCGGAGCCGAAGCTGGACTGTACTGCTGCCATCTCGGCTCACTGCAACCTCCCTGCCTGATTCTCCTGCCTCAGTCTGCCGAATGCCTGCGATTGCAGGCACGCGCCGCCACGCCTGACTGGTTTTGGTGGAGACGGGGTTTCGCTGTGTTGGCCGGGCCAGTCTCCAGCCCCTAACCGCGAGTGATCCGCCAACCTCGGCCTCCCGAGGTGCCGGGATTGCAGACGGAGTCTCGTTCACTCAGTGCTCAATGGTGCCCAGGCTGGAGTGCAGTGGCGTGATCTCGGCTCACTACAACCTACACCTCCCAGCCGCCTGCCTTGGCCTCCCAAAGTGCCGAGATTGCAGCCTCTGCCCGGCCGCCACCCCGTCTGGGAAGTGAGGAGTGTCTCTGCCTGGCCGCCCATCGTCTGGGATGTGAGGAGCCCCTCTGCCTGGCTGCCCAGTCTGGAAAGTGAGGAGCGTCTCTGCCCGGCGGCCATCCCATCTAGGAAGTGAGGAGCGCCTCTTCCCAGCCGCCATCACATCTAGGAAGTGAGGAGCCTCTCTGCCCGGCCGCCCATCATCTGAGATGTGGGGAGCGCCTCTGCCCCGCCGCCCCATCTGGGATGTGAGGAGCGCCTCTGCCCGGCCGAGACCCCGTCTGGGAGGTGAGGAGCGTCTCTGCCCGGCCGCCCCATCTGAGAAGTGAGGAGACCCTCTGCCTGGCAACCACCCCGTCTGAGAAGTGAGGAGCCCCTCCGCCCGGCAGCTGCCCCGTCTGAGAAGTGAGGAGCCTCTCCGCCCGGCAGCCACCCCATCTGGGAAGTGAGGAGCGTCTCCGCCCGGCAGCCACCCCGTCCGGGAGGGAGGTCGGGGGGGGGGTCAGCCCCCCGCCCGGCCAGCCGCCCCATCCGGGAGGGAGGTGGGGGGTCAGCCCCCCCGCCCGGACAGCCGTGCCGTCCAGGAGGGAGGTGGGGGGGTCAGCCCCCCGCCCGGCCAGCCGCCCCGTCCGGGAGGTGAGGGGCGCCTCTGCCCGGCCGCCCCTACTGGGAAGTGAGGAGCCCCTCAGCCCGGCCAGCCACCCCGTCCGGGAGGGAGATGGGGGGGTCAGCCCCCCCACCCGGCCAGCCGCCCCGTCTGGGAGGGAGGTGGGGGGGTCAGCCCCCCGCCTGGCCAGCCGCCCCGTCCGGGAGGGAGGTGGGGGGGTCAGCGCCCCGCCCGGCCAGCCGCCCCGTCTGGGAGGTGAGGGGCGCCTCTGCCCGGCCGCCCCTACTGGGAAGTGAGGAGCCCCTCTGCCCGGCCAGCCGCCCCATCCGGGAGGGAGGTGGGGGGGTCAGCCCCCCGCCCGGCCAGCCGCCCTGTCCGGGAGGGAGGTGGGGGGGTCAGCCCTCCGCCCGGCCAGCCGCCCCGTCTGGGAGTTGAGGGGCGCCTCTGCCCGGCCGCCCCTACTGGGAAGTGAGGAGCCCCTCTGCCCGGCCAGCCGCCCCGTCCGGGAGGGAGGTGGGGGGGTCGGCCCCCCGCCCGGCCAGCCGCCCTGTCCAGGAGGGAGGTGGGGGTGTCAGCCCCACGCCCGGCCAGCCGCCTCGTCCGGGAGGGAGGTGGGGGGGTCAGCCCCCCGCCCAGCCAGCCGCCCCGTCCGGGAGGGAGGTGGGGGGGGTCAGCCCCCCTGCCCGGCCAGTGGCCCCGTCCGGGAGGTGAGGGGCGCCTCTGCCCGGCCGCCCCTACTGGGAAGTGAGGAGCCCCTCTGCCCGGCCAGCCGCCCCGTCCGGGAGGGAGGTGGGGGGGGTCAGCCCCCCCGCCCGGCCAGCCGCCCCGTCCGGGAGGTGAGGGGCGCCTCTGCCCGGCCGCCCCTACTGGGAAGTGAGGAGCCCCTCTGCCCGGCCAGCCGCCCCGTCCGGGAGGGAGGTGGGGGTGTCAGCCCCCCGCCCGGCCAGCCGCCCCGTCCGGGAGGGAGGTGGGGGGGGTCAGCCCCCCCCGCCCAGCCAGCCGCCCCGTCCGGGAGGTGAGGGGCGCCTCTGCCCAGCCACCACCCCGTCTGGGAGGTGTGCCCAACAGCTCATTGAGAACGGGCCAGGATGACAATGGCGGCTTTGTGGAATAGAAAGGCGGGAAAGGCGGGGAAAAGATTGAGAAATCGGATGGTTGCCGTGTCTGTGTAGAAAGAAGTAGACATGGGAGACTTTTCATTTTGTTCTGCACTAAGAAAAATTCCTCTGTCTTGGGATCCTGTTGATCTGTGACCTTACCCCCAACCCTGTGCTCTCTGAAACATGTGCTGTGTCCACTCAGGGTTAAATGGATTAAGGGCGGTGCAAGATGTGCTTTGTTAAACAGATGCTTGAAGGCAGCATGCTCGTTAAGAGTCATCACCAATCCCTAATCTCAAGTAATCAGGGACACAAACACTGCGGAAGGCCGCAGGGTCCTCTGCCTAGGAAAACCAGAGACCTTTGTTCACTTGTTTATCTGCTGACCTTCCCTCCACTATTGTCCCATGACCCTGCCAAATCCCCCTCTGTGAGAAACACCCAAGAATTATCAATAAAAAAATAAATTAAAAAAAAAAAAAAAAAGCAAAGGCTGACAAAGGCCTTCAGCCACCCGTTGGGAACAGAGTTTGCATTCAGACCAACTTGGTCCTAACAAACGATCTCACCTCCAGACATTTCTCTAAAAAGGGGCCTGTTCTACTGCCCCATCAGCCATGCTACTGAAAGCAGAAGAAAATTAGACTGCAGGGTTTTTCAATGTTCCATGACAAGTAATGTGTACATAACAGCAGCCCTCTCCCTCTCCAATATTTTGAAAATGGATAAAACAGCAGCACTGGTGACTTGAGTCTGAGAAACACCAGAAGGTTCCGTTTGAGCATCAAATCCCACTAACTGGGCCATTGACATCTGTTTTTCTTAGTTGGCCTCCCAGTTTCAGAGAAGACAATGACACGCAGAAGTTAAGCAGCCCTCCCCCTCATAGTGGGAGCCTCATAAACACCTCTACTCAGTACCCCCAGGCCCCTTCACCTCCCACCACCATTAGACCAATCACTTTTAGCATTAATCATTCTGAAGCTGTTGCCACAGCTACCATATCACGGGACAGCACACAGTTTACGACCTTGAGTTTCTGTTCACATACGCTTGGCCTTTCCACTGACAGGAGAGGCTGCCTGGAACTGCGAGAGGAACATTGCCTGGGAGTCAGGAACCTTGGTCCTTGCGTGCCCTGACACCTGACACTCACCTGCTATTCCATGACCCTGGATCTCCTCCCCAACTTGAGCCTCGGCTTCCTCTACTGGAAAATGAAGAGGGAGCTAGAGGGCCCCAAAGCCTTTTCCAGCCACAGCTGTCTCCAACTCAGGCCAAAGTCAGGGCGAATGGTGGAAAGTACGCTGAGCTGGGATCCATGCAGGTTTTCATAACACAAGGGTATCTGCAGGTGCCTGAGCTTATGTTGACAGGGAGCTCCTTGGTGCTGCTAAGGATGAAGCAGCATGTAAATATTATCACTGTTGTTGTTTTTAGGGCTTTGAAAGCAGGGCAAGACCCACATGCTGAAAATGGAATGCTGGGCCTGGTGGATGGTTTGGGAACTTTCCACTGCAGTGCCTGGGAATGTGGAATCTCCTGGGCCCTCACTGAGAGCCCACCCTGGGCCTGTACCACCCTGGGGCTGGAAGGCACATGGAGAGACAAGCACAGCCCCCATCACTCTCACCAGCCTGCTAAGCAGCCCTCAGGCCGCCCTCCCTCCAGCCAGTGCCTGAAGACACAGAGGAAGAAAAATAAAACCAGCCCTTGCTGGAATGGGAGGCCGGCTCTGCTCCGGAGGAGCCGCAGTGAGGTGATGTCTGGCTTTTATTCCATATCATAAATAAGTTATTAATCCAGGGCAGACAGTGAAGCATGGTCATGAGGAGACAAGGGAGGTAAAACTGCAAGATCAGACTGGCTGGAGGACTGGAAAACCACCCAGGACCCAGGACCCAGGACCCAGGACCCAGGCCCGGGGCCTCTGCTCAGACAGACAGCGGCCCAGACAGGAGGGGGCCTCTGGAAAGCAGGGGGAAGAGCCCTGGCATGGGCGCCCAGAGAGCTGGAGACAAACCTGCTGTGGATCCTGCCTCAGTTTCCTTATTTATTCTAAGACATCAGCAGGAAGAAGAAGAAATGCTAACTTTTATTTCTCCAGGCACTGTGGCAGCACTTTAAGTGCATAATTTCTAACCCACAAAACTACAAGGTAGGGACACCCACTTTACAGATACATAAACTGAGGCTCAGAGACGTCAAATCACTTGCCTAGGGGCAATGTGGAAGAATATTTGCAAAGATGGCTGCAACTTGTCCTCTTGTTTCTGTGCACCATCTCTTTACAATGAGACTTTACCACTCCTTCCCTCAAATGGAAGAGTCCATTTCCCCACTCTTGGAAAATTTTGTCCAGCTTTATGGCCTGCGTTGACCAGCAGAAGGTGCAGAAGTGATCTTATGCCATGATATGGTTTGGATCTGTGTCCCCACCAAATCTCATTTCAAATTGTAATCCCTAATGTTAGAGGTGGGGCCTGCTAGGAGGTGATTGAATCACAGAGTCGGTTTCCCATGAATGGTTTAGCACTATCTTCTTGGCACTGTTACCGTGACAGTGAATGAGATCTGGTTGTTTAAAAGTGTGTAGCACCCCCCTCCCCTGCTCTCTATCTTGCTCCTGCTCCCGCCATGCGAGATACCTCACTCCCCTTTGCCTTCTGCCATGATTGGAAGTTTCCTCAGGCCTCCCCAGTAGTGGAAGCCGCTATGCTTCCTGTACAACCTGCAGAACTGTGAGCTGATTAAACCTTTTTTCTTTCTAAATTACCCAGCCTCAGTTATTTTTTTATAGCAGTGCAAGAATGAACTAATACATGCAACTCCCAAGGCTAGGCCTCAAGGGGTATTCTAGCTTCCACCTTCCCCCTGTTGGAGTGCTACCCTGAGACGGCCTACTGGAGGATAACTGGCCACAGAGAGAACTGAGGCCGCGCGGCCTACAGCCAGCACCATGCTGGTCATGTAAAAGAAGCCAGCTTGGGCCTTCCAGCCCAGCCCACCCTTCAGCGGAGCACAGCCACGTGAGCAGGCTGGAGCAGGCAGGGGAGGAACCAGCCAGCCCACCCACAGAGTTGTGAGGAAGGACACAATGTTGTTTTCAGTTCCAAGTTTTAGACTGATTTGTTACACAAGAATGATAACTGATAGTCACTCAGTTTCCCACCCTGCCTATTTCCCCAGGAGAGCCTGTGCTGCCCACCTCCTGGAATTTGGCTGGGATCAAGACACTCCCATGCAGACCACAGCCCCTCTGTGTCCTCCAGGCCCTCACATTGCCCCAATCACGAAGCAGTGACTTCCTCTTTCCACACTGAAGACCCACAGTCACCCTGGCAGGCGGGTCAGGAGAAGCCCCCTTTCTTTCCAAAGACTCCCTTTCTTGTTTCGTGTGCTGCAAACACAGATTGCCGAGAGGTACCCAGTATTTCCCAGGAAACCGGGTTATCTAAGTGGCAAACATGAGAAACCAGCTCCCACTCTCAGAGAGGGTGTGCACCCTGAAGACAGAAACTTGCTCACGAAGGGAGTGCTGAGGGCGGGGAGGTAAACGGGTTTCCCCTACACGCCCACTCGGCCCACGGAGAGTGACTACGTGAGCACATGCAGGGGGGTCTGAGGCCCAGGGACAGCGTGCCACAGCGGGCCTGCAGGGCCTGCCAGGGCGCAGGAGGGCAAATGGCAGTGTGCGTGCCTCAGCAGTCACCACCTCTGGCCTAGGAGCAGATGGCCAGATAGCCACGGAGAGGACGACAAATGCTGTCCCCTCATCTAACTACAGGAGTTTATGCCTCCTCACCCAGACGGTTGTCCGGCAGGCCCAGTGCTGGGTCATGAGGACACATAGGTGACCACACTCTGCCCTGCACCTCTGGGAACTACAGGTGGGAATGTTCAGGGCCAGCAGCAAACTGAAGGAGAAGCAAGGTGCACCCCGAGAAAACTAACGGGCCTGAGGGGGTCCAAGGCCAACACGGGCTCTGTGTGCCCCACTGAAAACCCAGAGACCCCTCTGGGAGTGGCAGCCAGAAAAATGGGGTGCTCTTGACTTCTTTCCTGCCACCATCCCCTCAGACCTGGTAGACTCAACCAACCAGTAATCCACACCATGTAATAGCAACAGCTGAGTGTACTGGGGACTGCACTAAACCCTTTACACACATGACAACTGTATGAAGTGATTACTATTATGATCCCCACTTTCCAGATGAGAAAACCGAACCACACAGAGGTGAGCTAACTGCTCAGGGTCATGGCATGTAACAGGCAGAGCTGGGATTTCAGCCCAGGCGGGCTGGTTCCAGGGTCACACTCACCCCCCAGCACATGCTGCTGAGCTCACAAGCAACCCAAGGCCTCCAGCTAACAGCCTTGCTGGGTTTGGTTCATACAATGGCTTAAGAATTACCTAAAAATCCATATTTCCCATTTCTCCTACAATACTCAAACCTCTTATAATACCAGAGTGACACTGGAGTGGGCAAGTCCTCTCCCTTTTGCCATAATCCCACCCCCTATGACTACCCGGTCCTCTTCTCTTTCTTCTGTTACCTGCTTACTCCTGGTGCATCTGAAATTTCCACCTCCTGCCCCTCCAACCCAGGGGCCCAGACTTATGCTCAATGCTCCAGGAAATGCACACATTTAAGACAGTCTCTGATTTCTAGGAACTGGTAGTTGAAATGGGACATACATCAAGTGAGGGGACAGGGAAGGTGTGAACAGCACAGCCAAGGGAAGGGGCTGAAAAGTGAGGCGAGAGCAGGCCAGCCTGGACAGGGCAGGGGCGGGGACAGCCATCTGTGAGCTGGAGCCCATAAGGCTAGAGAGGCAGGTCAGCAAGGCAGCAAGGTCTGCACCAATGTGGGGCCACACACAGGGCTCTGGTGCCCCCTGCCCCTCCCAGGGTCTCTAGGCACACATGTGTGAGGGCAGGAGGCCTGCAGGTCAAGATGTAAGGGGACAAGCCAGCTGGGTGTCTGGGAGGGGGTAGGTCACAGTGAGACTCCAAGCCTCCACACTCCACACCTCCAAAGCAGGGTGGAATGTGGAGCCGACCCGCAGCTTCCCAGGGCGCCCACAGGACGCCTACTCACTCATCCAGCCAGTCAAGAGCAGCCCCCGGGGCAAGGACAGGTGTTTGGCACAGGAGACCAAAAAGCCACAGACAAGTCTGCTGTGCACCAGCATCGAGCTGGAAGGATGAGTGTCTTTCTCAAACACTAATGTGACTCCTGTTTACAAACCTCCATGGCTCCCCATGATGCCAGGGGTAAGGCCAAGCTCCATGGTGAGGTTGACATTTTCCAATTACATTTTCACCATTCTCCCTCTCCCACGGAGAGCTGAAATGACCTGCCATTTCCTGAATCTTGCAGAGACACAGGATTTCCTTCCCTACAGAATGACTACAATTCTCACTCCGTGGCTTTGAAAACCCCTACTGATCCTTTAAAACCCAGCCCAAATGTCCCCTACCCTGGAAGCCTTCCCTGAGCACCCCTCCTTCTCAGTACTCACCTCCAAGCCACCCCTGGCATGCATTATGCTTCCCTGTATTCCCACAAATCACTGAAGCTTAGTATGGTCTGTGTTGCTTTTTACTGTCTACTGTGCAGTTCAGCCTCCCCTTTAAACCGTGGGCTTCTGGAATACAGGGGCAGAGGGCTGAGCTTCATCCCTGCATCCCCAGGACTTGGCCAAGGGCCAGTCAGATAATGCCAATGATCTATATATCATTGCAATAAAGGGACTCTGATGATATTTGTAATATTTATCATTATTAATAATCACTGTTAAAAAGTAATCACGATTGGCTGGGTGCGGTGCCTGTAATCCCAGCACTTTGGGAGGCAGAGGCAGGTGGATCAGCTGAGGCTGAGGTCAGGATTTTGAGACCAGTGTGGCCAACATGGTGAAACTCTGACTCTACTAAAAATACAAAAATCAGCTGGGCATGGTGGTGCACGCCTGTAGTCCCAGATGCTCAGGAGGCTGAGACAGGAGAATCACTTGAACCCAGGAGGCGGAGGTTGCAGACTTTTATCCATTTTTAAGGCCCTGCCATAAACCATGCCCTACACTTTGCCTTATCTCATTTAATCCTCTGAACAACCCCATAGACAACTGTTCCTCTGCCCTTCCTACAGATGAGGAATCTAAGCATAGGGAGATGAAGACACTCGCTCAAGGTCCCACAGCTGATCTGTGCTGGAGTGAGCACATCCTGCTCTTTCCCCCAAACTAGACTATTTCCTTGGAATTACGAACACCACCTTTCGTGGGGCCCTTCCATAGGCCAGGTGCTTTTAGTAACAGGTTTATTTTATTTTTTTTATTTATTTATTTTTTGAGACAGTTTCGCTCTTGTTGCCTAGGCTGGAGTGCAGTGGTGCAATCTTGGCTCACTGCAACCTCCACCTCCCGGGTTCAAGCGATGCGATTCTCCTGCCTCAACCTCCTGAGTAGCTGGGATTACAGGCATCCCCACCATGACCGGCTAATTTTGTATTTTTAGTGGAGGCGGGGTTTCTCCATGTTGGCCAGGCTGGTCTCAAACTCCCCACCTCAGGTGATCCACCTGCCTCAGCCTCCCAAAGTGCTGGGATTACAGGCATGAGCCACCGCGCCCAGCCAGTAACAGGTTTATTGAGATATAACATACCATATAATTCACCCACTTAAAGTGCATATTGTAATTGTTTTTAGTATATTCTCAGAATTGTGTAACCACTGCCACAATTTTAAAATATTTTCAGCCTCCCATAAAGAAGGCCCTTACCCTGAAGTTCTCAACTCCCCCCGCCCCACCCCACACTGTAGTCCCATTTTAAAGACAACAGGGAGGTGCCGAAGGAGCTTCTGTGACTTGTTCAGTGGTGAGCAGCTGGGCTGGGATGCAGCCTCCCCTGCCCCTCCCAAAGCCGTCTGCCAGGGTCTACTCAGTATAACCCATCAAAAATGCAAGATCTGCAGAGAGTGGAAAACAGAACCAGATGGTGACAAATCTTACACGTGTGGCTGCTTCCGCGCCAGGCCCTGACTCACAGAGGCACTGAAGGCAAAGGGGGAAACACGGTGCAGCCAAGCTCCCGTCACCCCGTCGCAGGGCATCAGGCCCCAGGGCCTGGGGAGGCAGAGATGGCCGTAGGAGAAGCAACCCTTCAGGAGGCTGGTGGCCTGGATTCTAGATGGGCACAGTGAGCATGCAGCCCCACTGAGAAGCAGGGACCCCACTCTGCCGACCCCAACCTTGCACGCCACAACTTCTCCAGGATCCGCAAAGAACTGATCCCCACCCCATGTTCCTCCCAGGTGCAGAGTGTTAGTGGCTCTGAAGAGTGGCCCGTCAGGTCACTGGACACATTCCCAGTCTGGGACTCTCAGGTCTAACAGCATCCCAGGCTAGCTGCCCACAACCCCAGAGGAAGCACTTTGCAGGCAGGACCAGGCCCCGCCCCCACATCCCTTATTTCCTGCCCCTGGACATCCTCAAGACTGGCTGGGTCAGTCATTCTTTCTGCTGGTCAGGGGCCTGGCACTATCTTTCATGTTTATAATGTCTGAACAGTCTTGAGCAATTGCTACCTCCTCCAGGGAACCTTCCTAGATGCCCTAACCAAACTAAACAGGTCCTTCTCCTGCTGCCTCTCACTAGATTCTCAAGTTTGCTTTTATGTCTGGGTCCCCACTAGCCTACAAACCCCTCCAGGGCAAGGGCCCTGCTTTTTCATTCCTGGATCTTTCTCTTTCCCCTCCCACAGCTAGGACACCCAGAAGGCCCTCCATAACAGTGGGTGGGAAGTAAGACAAAGTATCCCATACCCCAGTGTTAGGCATGAATTAACCACAATGTAGGAGGGAGCCATCAACTACAGGTTTACAGGGGCCTGGCTCCAAACTCCAACAAGGTCAGCCCCATGCCACAAAGCACCAATGCCAGAGCTGGAAGGGGTCTGAGCTTACACATCCCAGCTTCCTTAATGCACCCAGGAGGCAACTGAGGCCCAGAGAAGGGGCCAGCTTGCTCAGAGTCACGCAGCCATTATCTCTCAACTCCCAGCCCAGCCTCTTCAAGAGAGCAACCTACCCCATCCCTGCCCCACACCCCTTCTTCCATCCTGCCCTTCCTTCAAGGTCAGACCAAGCCCCCCTGCCCCGCGTGTCTTCTAGGGTCCACTCCCCAGCCCCACCTGACATGGTGCTCCTTCCTCTGCCCAACCATCACTAGCCTGCTCAAGCTCTTCCCCCTGCCCAGAAGGCCCTCCCCACCCCCTGACCCCAGCAAACTTCTACTCATCCTTCAAGGCCCAGTTCAAATGTCACCTTCTCTGACATCAAAGAAAACAATCACTCCCATTTACTGAGCACCCATCCCCACTGTGTTCTAGAAAACCAAGTGAATGCTGAAACTACTGGTGGGTTTCCCCCTGCATGGCACCCAAGTTCCTCGAGGACAGGGACCTGACTCTCTGCAAAGCAGGAGTAATAACAATATCTGCATACACACTTCAGAAGATTGAAGGAAGCAAAAGAGCTTTGTAAACTATAAAGTCCTGTACTAATGGAAGCTATCTGTATTATCTTCGTATCTCCGCCTATGACTCAGTTTCCTCATCTGCAAATGGATGGAGTTAATAAAAGCACATACACATATGCATGCTGTGTCTGGGCCACAGGAAGAACCCGTTACTGTTGCTGTCATTATCTGTGTCACTTTCATTTTCTTTATGATCTCCTGTGGACCTTGTCCATGGTCAGCACTCAGTACAAATTTTTTGAAATGAATGACTTTGGCATTTGAGATGTTAGAGAATATGGGATTAAAATCCAGAGACCATGTAAAGATGCAGAGTTCAATCTTATCAGAAATGCTACACCGTGGCCTTTGAGTCCAAAGGTGAGCTCAGCTGGGTCACTGGGACACAGCCCCTTGCTGTCACGGGACACAGGGCCATTTCCTGGAGTGGGCGGAAAGTCAAGGAATCCCAGCCTGGGGTGACCTCTGTGCCGGCGGCCCCAGTGGAAGGCAGTCAGGGAGTACCACTCCCAGGGCCTGGAGGGGAGGCGTCCAGATACTGGACTTCAGGACTGGCCTCTGGAAACAGCCAGGGTACATGTTGTGGTCCAGCCTGAAGCTCAGCCCAGTGAAGTCCATTTCTGCCCCTCACCAAGGGGAGGGGGACCCAGGCAAGTCACTTCCTAGAGCCTCAGTTCTATACCAGCTACCCAGCAAGCCTCCAGAAGCCTGTACCTGGACAGCCTCTGAGACCCGATCCGGCTTCAGCAAATGCCACACAGAATCGATTCCCATCTTCCAGGGAATATCAAGTATAGTCCCTCTTTGGACAAATGAGAAGAGTAAAGCTCAGAAATGGGGAGGGGGTGACTTGCCCAAGGTCACACAGCTAATGAGAACATTTACTCAGAGGCCACCAAAAATCAGCAACACCCTCTGAGGAATCCCCAGCCCCAGGCCCACTGAACAGCCCCACCTCCACCATCCGCCAGCCCCCAAAACCAGAGCATGAAGACTTGTCACCATATATGCTACACCACGTAGCCATGTGATCGTGCTTCAGGAGTGCTAGCTCAGGGTCCTTCAGGGCCCTCCCTGGTCCCTGTGGCACCTAGTGGTCAGTCACTACTTGTCAATGGGCTGCTGAGCTGGTTCAATGACAAGGGAGGTTTTCAGGATGCAAAGGGGGTGGGGAGTCACTTATTATTAGCGACGGTCATCCTCAGTTTAGGTTCTCACCATATATTGAGCATCTCCTCTGTGTCTCGCTCCAGGAGGGCAGTCAGAGAAGCTGGAGCCCTAGCCCTGTCACTGAGGAGCTTACAGCCTACCTGTGTGATGACTTTAGAAGGAATTCACCATCTAATTCAGTTCAGCTGCTGGCTTGCACCAGCACTTTCTCTCTACCTGCATGGATACTGTATCCCTGGATGATTCCTAACATCACTTGGGATTTTCCACCAAAACTTGTGGCCATGGCATAGCTCTAGCCAGCGGGGTGACCAAGGGCCCCTGTGGCACAGAGCCGCAGAGCCAGAGTGGGCTGGCGGCAGAGGCTCAGCCCAGACACCTGACAAGGCCTTAGGCTCCCCCAGCTGCCCTGACAATCTGCTTTCTCGAAGTCCGCTCTCAGGAACTCTTGAATCAGTTCACCTGCAGAGTTTGGTAATGATCAGATCCTGGTCCCTCCCCTGAGAGGCAGATTCTGCGCACCTGACAAGGTGCTCAGGTGATTCTAGTGCATGCTCAACTATGAGAACCAACTACCATGTAGATAAGCCCTCTCCATGAGGGCCCTACCACCTTCAATGGGATGAAAATTTATTCTGGGGAAGGCAAAAATATTACACCTTTGAATATATAAAACACAGATGGATATTCAGTGTATAAACAGATATTCAGTATATCTGTGGTATTAAAATTGCATGAGGAAAGCCAGGCACAGTGACAAGCACCTATAGCCCCAGCTCCTGGGATGCGGAGGCAGAAGGATGGCTGGAGGCCAGGAGTTCGAGGCTGCAGTGCCCTGTGTTTGTGCCTGTGAATAGCCACTGCACTCCAGCCTGGGCAACATAGTGAAAATCCACCTCTAAAAAAAAAAAAAAACCTCATCGTGGGGTAGACTGATGATTGGGAGGAAATGTCTAAAACATTTAGGGGTACATCATGATAAAAGGTGGAAAGCACTGGCCTAGACAGAGGCAGCCACGAAATCAGCAGATAAGACATCTCCTACACATGAGACAATGGTGACAAATGCTCCCCACCCTGCCAGTGAGGAAGGAACCCACAACCCCTCCCCATCTCAAATTTTCTCGCTCTCAAAGCTGAAGGGCAGAGGAGCAAGCGGGCCCCTTCTTGAGACCCATCAGCTCACATCTGATGTCTCTGGGGCAGGGAAGAGCTGCCCAACAGGACCTTGAGGCTGCTGTGCCAGCTCACAAGGGCCTGCACACTGAGGAGGAGCAGCGAGGGGAATGAGAGCCAACCCCAGGTGGGGGCGAGAAAGACAGCCCACCCCATGGCTTTCTGGTTTGCAATGTGGAGCCAACTAGCAGAGGCGCTCCCAGACTCTGGGAAGCATTGCGGAAGCAGTGGGGGTCCTAGGAAAGGGACACACAGAGCAGCCAGGAAAGAGCAGGCTGGCTCTGGGAGGAGAGACAGGGAGGAGAAGAGGAAGGACACGACGTCGCAATGTTACAAGACATAATAGCAGCCGCTAACTGTGCCCACGCCACGAGCCAGGCAGGGACAGCCCCCAGTGCACTGCCCAGTTAGGCAGGCCATATCATTAACACTCGCGGGTCAGCTCCAGGAGAGCAGAAGCCACGTCTGTCTCAGGCACCACTGTACCCCCAGCATCTAGAACAGTAAATATGTGCAAAATAAATAAGGGAAAGAACCACAGAGAGGTTAACTCATCCAAATCCTCACAGCTAGGCAGTGGCTCAGCCACACTTCCAACCCCAGTGTCTCTCTGCACTCAGAAACACCAGCCAAACAGCTTGTGATCCAGCTGGGTCCATGGAAGGCGAGGGGTGAACATCATCCCAACTTGGCCACTTCACACCTGGCAGCGCATGAACCTAGTGGCCCGCGGGGGCAGGCGGCACTCCCTCTGGAAGGCAGCACCACCCCTGCCTTGGCCCAGACTGCAAAACATGCCCATAGCAATCTCAAAACCATGTGAGCAGGGCATGGGAGGGGGAGGATGCAGCTTAATGAAAGTCTCATCCCTTACCAATCCGTCACAGTTGCTGATGGCAACAGCTGCCCCAGGCATTCCAGTGACACCTCCAGTGTACACACACTCCTGCCGTAAGGGCTGCCGGAACAGCTCCCGAAAATCCTCCTGCCACTCCACTGAGGATCCTGGCACTACCAACCTCCGATTGGGCCGCAGGCGCAAGTGCAGTTCCTTCCCGAAAACAGTGACATTGAAGTAGAGGGAGTGGCGCCCCACCCTGCCAGGCCACAGGGTCCCTCCTGGGTGCAGAGGGCTGCGAGCCACCCGGAGGTGACTGGAGTGTCGTGGTAGTGTGGGTGGCGTGTCCACTACCATGCTCCCTGCAGAGGCTGCTGCTGGGCCAGACACCACGTGGGAGAGGAAGCGTCCCCGAAAGTCTGTGCTGCAGGGCACTGTCACACCATAGTCACTGAGCTTTCCAGAGAGGTGCAGCTCTGTTGGAGGTAAACAAAGAGTCACTTCAATGCAGTCGGTTCAGAGGTAAGGGGAAGTCAGAAATCCCACGCGGGCAGGGAGGGATAGGAACTCTCAGTGTCACCCTTAGGTGGGCCCCTTAGCCTGAGTTCACCCATTTTCCATCCATTGCTTCCTGAGCTCCAGGATTCCTACACTTGGATGAAGGGTGTTCGGGTACCTTGTGGCACTCCCTGTAGCCCCCAGGTCCTTTTTAAACTTAGCAGAAGAAAGCAAATGATACCAGACAGAGCCCGGTCACTAGCAACAAGACTTCCGACCTTGGGCTCTGCCCAGAAAAGGACTAAAATTCCCCAAAAGCCAACAGGGCAAATAAAGGGAAGGGCAGATCTGCCCAAACTCCCCAGTGTGCTGAAGTCACCAGCCCAGGCTGGGGTAGTGCCCTCCTCCCCAAACTTCCAAGAACGCAGCTGGCAAAACAAACACACCTAGAAACCCAGGGGACCATGGGCACGTGTCAAGGAGAAGGTGGGGCTGCAGAGGGGAGCGGTTCTCTATTTTTCCAAGGTTAGAAAGAAAACTTTTTACAGGAGGACAGTGGCCGCTGAGATCTCTGTATGGCCGAGCCCCAAGCTGGATAAATATAGATCTTCAAAAATAAAAGGATATACAGGGGGTGACCTGCCCACTTGGGCTGAATTAACTGTGAGGTCATGGCCCCATGCTCCAGGCCACATGCCAGCAGGCCCATCCTCACGCAGCTCTCCTTGAGCCCAGCCAGGCTGGGCAGGAATGACAGCTCCCTGGCTTCCAGGCCTGGTGATTCATGAATGCGAGTTTGGGAGGAATTTTCATTTCCACACAGCTCTACCTCTCGTCTCCCCAGTTCACGTCACTGATGAAACATAGAAAGTGGTGTTTCCTGAAAATCCCCCATGCCCACAGCTCTAGTTTCATCCCCATTATAGCAGAGGACCCCTAAGACTGCTGCAAGAGGGGACCCACTCTGGCACATGAACAAGGCTCACAAACAAGGAGGGACCCTGCCTGGAAATGACCGGTGACTCCTCCCCATGTTCAGAGCCACCAGGAGGGTACCCCATGCTGCAGGGCGGGAGTGGAGTGTATCTGGTCTGTATGCAAGAGACCTGTGTCCACAGCGTTTGACAGTGCTACGTTGGGGGCAGTGGAAGGATGTGTGTTTCTGTGCAGGAGCGTGAGTGCCCCGCATGCTCTGCTGTAGGAGGCAATCACCTGTTAGCCTTATGCTGGGTATGTAACAGCCACACACAGACACACACACACACACACCCCTTGCACCCATGCTCACACAAGTTGGAGACAGAAAAGACATTGAAAGAGAAAGACACACAGGACAGAGAAACAGATTGGGGAAGAGGGGAAAGAAGAAACACAGAGAGACAAAGAGACAGATGCGCTGCTCCCGAGAAGAGACTCGATGCTCCCAAATTCTCTCCTGGGGTCTCTGTCTACTTCTAGTACCAGAAAGGGAGAGAAATCACGGGACAGTGCCGTGGCACAGTGGAAGAAAAGACAGCAAATCAGCCCAGAGTGTGCATACTGCCTCCCACCCGCGGGAACCCTGCCCGGGTGGCTGGGGCAACCTTGGGCCACCCTGACCGCGTGCACCCCGGACCCCACGGGCCCCCGCGCGCCCAACCCGCACGCACCTGGGGTCCGGCTGCCCGCGGCGGCGCAGAGCGCACAGTGCAAAGGCAGCAGGTAGGACAGCAGCGCGCGGAGTGGAGCCATGTGGCCGCGCTGGGACGCGGGCTGGGCAAGCGCCCGATCCCCAAGTCCCAGGCTGAGGGCGGCGAGGCTAGGGTGCGCCCCGGGCTGTCGGAGCACCGGCTGGCTGCCGCCGCTGCCGCCTCAGCCGCCTCCCCGCCTAGCTGCTTCCCTCCCGCCTGCTCCGGGTCCCCTGCGCGGCGCCGCCGCCTGGACCGCTGGCTCCGGGCGCGCGAGGCTGCCGGCTGGAGAGCGGGGCCACTGACGCGCCAGCGCACCCGGTGCCAACTGCCGGCTGGTCGGTCAGCCCGCCCGCGCAGTGACGCTCCGGGACTCCGCGGGAGCCGGGCGACGGGGCGGCGGGACGGGCCGGGGGTGGGCACACTGGGCGGGGCGGGGCCGGGCGCGGGTCGGAGCTGGGGCGCCGGGCGCCCGGGGGCGGGGCGCGCGGCTGGGGAGTGCAGCTGCCTGCGGCCGGGGATCGGAAGTGCCACGCGGAGACAGAGCAGGGGTTCCTGGCGCACGGACCGATTGTCCCCTCAGACGCCTGGGATCCCCGGAGTGGTGGCCCAAAGCCGCTTTCTATGGCTGCTCCGCCCCCTTTCTTGGCCGCAGGGCCTGCTCTCTGTTTCTGTTCCAGAGCCAGGAGCCCAAGGGGTGTCCGGCTGCATTTGGGAGTGTGGTGGACAGTGAACCTCCCGGTAGAGGGAGACTCCCTCTTTCTTTCACTATGGTCTTGATGCCCTCACTAACCATCGACCCCTTGGATCTACCCATTTTCCAGACTCCAGCCCAGGGTGCACGACTGACCTGTGTCCTAGCCAAGAGCAGGGCTGAGCCGGTGAGGAGAGAGCCCTGGCTTCAGAGTCAGACAGCCCTGATTGAAATCCTAGCTCTGAGCCTCAGTTGTCTTATCTGTGAAATGGGTGTTAACTACAGCACATAATAGATGCTCAATAAGTGATAACTGCCCTCCACTTCCATCCCTGACACCAGTAGCAACTGTGGCATCCCAAGGTGGAAAGAACCAAGAGTCTGAGAGATGAGCACTTGATGCTAGTCTTGCAATGGTGTTGAGACCAGGTCAGGAGTCAGTACAAACAACCCAACAGAAGATCCATGCTCTTGCTTTACTCTGTAAATATGTAACTAATAACTTGCAAATAAACTATATTTCAAGCAATCCAGGGGTGGGAGTTGTGGAAAGGAGATTTTTTTGTAATAACCATGGAATAAAGAATCTTGGAAATGATGCCAAGGTTTTGGAGGACCAGTGCATTTAAGAAGCAGGTTCAGAAAGCTAAAGTATATTATATTCCAAGCATTCCAAGCTACATCAGAGCATCCAGTTATTTGGAAATGCCACAACCAAATTGATCTATATTAAATTCAGGAAGAATAGAGTTCCTCTTTCTCCTCTTTCTGGTCTTTTAAGATGTGTGTTGGCTGCGTGCAGTGGCTCACGCCTATAGTCCCAACACTTTGGGAGGCTGAGGCGGAAGGGTTGCTTTAGCCTGAGAGGCTGAAGCTGCAGTGAGCTGAGCTTCAGCTCACACCACTGTACCCAGCCTGGGTGACAGAGCAATACCCTGTCTCAAAAAAAAAAAAAAATGATGTGCAAAGTCAAGGTCCAGACAGGATTCTGTGTGTGAGGGATGACAGAGCAAGAAAGTTAGAGGGTGTGTGTGTGTGTGTGTGTGTGTGTGTGTGTGTGTGTGAGAGAGAGAGAGAGAGAGAGAGGAAAGAGAGAGAGAGATAGGAAAGAGAGAGAGAGAAAGAGAGAGAGAGAGAAAGAGAGAGAGAGAGAGAAGGCTGGGAGATGACCAGGCTGGAGCTTCACAGCTCTGGCCCTCTGCAAACCCAAGCCCACCAAATGATCTCTGGATAAAATGGCTTCCCTTCTCAGGGTCTCAGTTTTCCAAGCTGCAGAGTGGGAACCCTGCGGGACAGAAGGAAAAAGTCATGGCGTAAGGATTGCCCCTTTTCTGCTGTGGGGCCATCTCAGAAAGACTCCCCTAGAAAACTCAGGGGCCCCAGCTCCATTCCACCCCCTTGTTCCTGCCTCAAGGAAAGCAAGTCAAGAGGAGCAGGTCACAGCTGGGGCCCCAGCAGCCTGCTTCGCTGGAGTGGGCTGCGGCCTTCCCTGGAGCCAGCCTTGGCAAGCAGAGAGCAAAACCTCTCCCCGTTTCTTTACCCCCGCCCCCTTCCCTGGGGCTACAATGATTGCTTTTATCGGCAAGTATTGTGTGTCCAAGCTCTCTTCCATGGAGGAAGGCTTTGTTAGGAAAAGGGGACATGGGGGCCTAGCTCAGAGTCTGGGCCAGAAGGTGGGGAGAGGGCAAGGTGGCCCCAGATTTGGAGGTGAATGGGGCCAAAGGAAGAAATCCCCAGGTGTAAGCTGGGGACCCTCCTAGGAAGTCAAGGTCTGGGTTTCCCAGTGTCTTCCTTGAGTCTTCGCGCAGGAGAGAATGTCTTAGGTGTTTCTCCCAACACCCAACACAACAGTTTCAGTCTAAGGCCCTGGGGGAGAGGGATGCAGAAAGTCCGTGTTGGCTGCATGAAGCCAGCAAGCAATTGAGAAACCTGACATGGGCAAGAGAAAGTCTGAAAACCAGGTAAGGAAAGGGTAGAGAAATGTGCTCTAAATGAACATGCAAGGTCGCCAGGGGGGACCCCAGGGACTCTGGGGACTCTGGGAAGGAGAAGCTTAGAGGGAGATTTCACTGCCGTGGATCCAAGCTGAGGCTTCCACAGGGGAGACAGAGAGGAAGCAGTGTTCCTGGTTGGGAATGGCACGAGCATGGGCAGGAGGGGGCGGCCTGCCATGAGCCTCCCAGGCAGGAGGAGAAAAGGCTGGACTAGCTAGAGCCCATGGAAGGCTCCTGTGACAGGTAGGCCAGAAAGACAAAGTGGAGGTGTCTATCCCCAAAAGGTGACTGTGGCAAGAGTTTGAAACAGATGTAATGAGTGGGCTGGGGCTTGGGCAACGGCCCAGGATTTGACCCTGAGGAGCAAGGTGGTCCCAGCCTCCACCCACGTTCCTTTGAGCATAAACAAAAATGCAGAGATTTGGAGATAGAGGGGTTGAGAGGCAATCTCCAGTCCTGTGCCCCACTCCATTTTATAGTTAGGTAAACTGAGGTCTGGAGAGGAAAGCAGACTTGCCTCTGGTCACACAGCTAGTTTAGAGGAGGGCCAGTTCCCCTGGCTTCAGAAAAGCACAACCTCTGCTGAGCGCCAGCTCTCTTCCCCTCTTGCTCCATCTTCCAAGATAAAGATGAGGAGGTTCAAGGTTGAGACAAAATATCCCCACCCCAGCAGGAGTCCCAGATGCCCCCACAAGGAAGTAAGAGTGTCAGCTTGTGATAGGTCTCTGCAGCAAGAGGCCAACAGCTCCACGAGAGTGACCCAGAGGCAGGGGGTCCAGCAGGCAGCTATCATTTGTTGAGAACCAGCTGCTGTGCTAAGTGTTTACCTGTTTTATCCACACCTGGAGGAGATGAGTACTCTGAAACACAGGAAGAGGGTCCTTGTCTTCCAACCCATGGTGTGACAAGTGACCAGTAGGGCTCTGAAATGCTCTGGAGAAGAGGAGTTCCACCCTAGCTCACTGAAAGCCATCACCATCCACCCTGGATAGCCAGTTAGGAAGTCAGACAGCTGGACCACCCTAGTCACCTCTCTCACCCACCACATCAATCCCCTCCAAGTCCTGTGGAGTTGACTCCAAAGGATATTCCAAATACAGTAACTTCTTTCCATTTCAAATGCAACCCCATCTCCCAGCAGGCCACCAGCAGCCCTCTGTGGACACTGCTGTAGGTTTGTCCTAACAGATAACCCCACTCTTCTCCGGGCCCCGGAATCTCTCCTCCAACTACACCCAGAGATGTTTGAGACATCACATGGCCCTCTCTGCTATTAAACCTCCAAAGGCTCTGTTCCTCTTGGAACAAAGATCAGACTCCCTGTGCCCACCTTCCTGCCTCTGTTACGGACAAAGCTGGTCCTCTCAAAAAAATGAGGTATTATTCTCCGTTTGGTGTCACAAAGTCAGTACGCAAAACTGAGAGTGAGCATCAAGCAGTGCAGGCTTTATTTAATGGCCATGGAATTGAGAAGTGGGAGCTTGGCTCACGAATCAACTGTCAGCAGGTTCCATGATGCCCCACAAGCCGCAAAACCAGCAAGTTTTTATTAGTGATTTTCAAAAAGGGAGGGAGTGTATGAATAGGGTGTGAGTCACAGAGATCACGTGCTCCACAAGGTAATAGAATATCACAAGGCAAATGGAGACAGGGCAAGATCACAGGACCACAGGACCGGGGCAAAATTAAAATCGCTAATGAAGTTTCGGGCACATGTTGTCATTGATAACATCTTATCAGGAGACAGGTTTTGAGAGCAGACAACTGGTATGACCAAAATTTATTAGGCGGGAATTTCCTCTTCCTAATAAGCCTGGGAGCGCTACGGGAGACTGAGGCTTATTTCATCCCTACAGCTTCGACCATAAAAGACGGCTGCCCCCCGAAGCGGCCATGTTAGAGGCCTACCCCCAGGGACGCATTCTCTTTCTCAGGGATGTTCCTTGCTGAGAAAAAGAATTCAGCAATATTTCTCCCATTTGCTTTTGAAAGAAGAGAAATATGGCTCTGTTCCATCTGGCTCACCAGTGCTCAGAGTTTAAGGTTATCTCTCTTGTTCCCTGAACATTGCTGCTATCCTGTTCTTTTTTCAAGGTGCCCAGATTTTCTATTGTTTAAACACACATGCTCTACCAACAATTCGTGCAGTTAACGCAATCATCACAGGGTCCTGAGGCGACATACATCCTCCTCAGTTTACAAAGATGATGGGATTAAGAGATTAAAGTAAAGACAGGCATAGGAAATCACAAGGGTATTGATTAGGGAAGTGATAAGTGTCGATGAAATCTTCACAATTTATGTTCAGAGGTTGCAGTAAAGACAGGCGTAAGAAATTATAAAAGTATTAATTTCGGGAACTAATAAATGTCCATGAAATCTTCTCAATCCATGTTCTTCTGCCATGGCTTCAGCCGGTCCCTCCATTCCGGGTTCCTGACTTCCCACAACACTGCTCAGCTTGTGAGTGCTGGGAAGTCACAGATACAGGGCATCTTTAATAAAGATGTTGAGCATTGAAAACAAGGGGAGGAATATTCATGCCTTCTCTGGGAATGGGCGGAGAACTTCTGGGAACCAGAGTTGCCACCTTCCTTTTTGTCCTTTCGTGGTTTGTTCTAGCCATTGGCATGGTGATTATCAACTGTGGTCATGATGGTAAGAGTGTCATTTAGCCTGGAAATTAGATTATAATGAAGTTAGAGGTTCTTCAGAGGTCAAGGGAACTGTCATCTTGGATCCCACCAGTCTTAGCTGCTTAGTCACGAGGGGGAACTTCTGACCTCGGATGTCCTGTTTTCTAAAGATAAGCAGAGTTAAGGTGGGGTGAAAAGTCACTGAGGTCACGTACACTGGGTAACCCTCCAGCCTAGCTCCTTGCAGGCACCTTTGCACAACAGGCTGTTCTCTCTGCCCATAATGCCCAACCCTCTCTCTTCTCCCAGTCAATGCCTGCTACCCTCAGACATCATCCTTTTAGTTCTCTCTTCCCCAAGCCTGTCCTGGCCTCCCAACCAGGTCAAATCCACCTGCTGTTGTACCATCTCTGGGCCCCTGCACAGCAGTTTTTGCTGTTGAGTTTCTCCTGATTCTCTGTGATTCACAGATGAACACCTGCTTCCCCCAGACTGAGTTTCACAGGGAACAGGGACCACATTTGGGGTTCTCTCCTCATTGTATCCCCAGTGGCTACCCTGTGTTGGGCACATGGGAGGCCCTTAATAAATATTAGTTAAATTAGTAATCAAATGAACGGAAGTTGGAGAAAGAACAGTTCACGGAAAATTTGGCAAGTCAAGCATTTCCCAGAATAATCATTCCAGGGGAAAACGTGAGACACATGTGTGTAAATTCTGAGTGGCCATCAACAAACATCACCAGGCTCCACAGTCAGGCACGGATGCAGGAGATGAGTTGCCTTTCTGAGTTGCCAAGCCTTGAAAAGATATTAAAAATAACAAATATAATCATCATAGCTAATATTTGTTGGCCAGCCCCTTTATACATTTACCTCCACTCCTGCAACAACTTTGTAAGGTCAGCATCCTCATCCCCACTTGCAGAAGAGGAGTCTAAGACTCTGCCAGGTTGGGCAGCTCTGCCAGTGCTCACAGCACTCATAGCTGGTAAATATCAGAGCCATATTCAAACCCAAGTCAGATTCCAGCTCCCAGGCTTCCAGGCACACGGTGATGCTGCCAAGAGATTCTCCCACCTCCACCTTCTTGGAGATCACTTAGTTCATTTTGTTTTCCTTGGTTATTATTATTATTATTATTATTATTATTATTATTATTATTATTTTGAGATGGAGTTTCACTCTTGTTGTCCAGGCTGGAGTGCAATGACTCGATCTTGGCTCACTGCAACCTCTGTCTCCTGGGTTCAAGCGATTCCCCTGCCTCAGCCTCCCAAGTAGCTGGGATTACAGGCATGGGCCTGTAATTTTTGTATTTTTAGTAGAGATGGGGTTTCACCATGTTGGTCAGGCTGGTCTTGAACTCCTGACCTCAGGTGATCTGCCCGCCTCGGCCTCCCAAAGTGCTGGGATTACAGGCGTGAGCCACCGTGCCCAGCCTCCTTATTTTATAAAACTGTTTGTTAGTGGAAACGACAACACATGCAGAAAAACACCACCTGCCTATTGTACAGAGGGGCAAACTGAGACCCAGAGAGCAGAGTTGACCTTGCAACACCACACAGAAAGATCATTCAGGGGCAGGATAACACCTCAAGTCTCCTGGTTCCTGGTTCACAGTGATCTTAGAGTATTGGTGATATTGGTTCCCCCTTTGGTCATTCATCGTTAGTTCCTACCTCAGCCCAAAGGGAAGGAAGAGGAAGAAGAGTCTGAGTCTCTTCCTGCTGCTACCTGAGAGCCACCGTCATGCACAGCAGCTCTAAGCCAGTGGTTCTCAAATCAGCGTCCCCCTGTGCAGCAGAATCAGCATCACTTGAAAGTTTTTAGACAGGCACATTCTCAGGCCTCACCCCAGGCCTACTCAACCAGAAACTCTGGGGAAGGGGCCCAGCAATCTGTTTTAACCTGTCCTCCAGGGGACTCTGATGCATGCTCAAATTTAAGAATCACTGTTCTAAACAAAGCCTTGAAAACTGGGGCCAGGCTGGGAGCAATGGCTCACACCTCTAATCCCCAGCCCTTTGGGAAGCTGAGGCCAGTGGATCACTTGAGCCCAGGAGTTCAAGACTTTCCTGAGCAACATGGCAAAACCCTGTCTCTACAAAAAATACAAAATTAGCCAGGCGTGGTGGTGCACCTGTAGTCCCAGCTACTTGGGGAGGCTGAGGTGGGAGAATCACCTGAGCCCAAGGAGGTCGAGCCTGCAGTGAGCCATGATCACTTGACTAGATGACAGAGTGAGACTGAGTCTCAAGAAAAAAAAAAAGAAAAAGAAAAAGAAAACTGGGGCCAAATGAAGACTGAGAGCAAACTCACTAACTGAAGATCTGTGACTTGCTCCTAATTCAAGGCCACCACTCTCATCTCCTATCCCCTGTCTCCAAAGCCTGGGCTGGTGCTGCATCTGAACTCCAGGAGTCTGGCAGAGCTCCAGAAGCCTCCAGATGTGCGGGAGAGGGGCTGGGCCTCGTGGCCTTCTCCACATGACCCTTCTCCTTTGTTTCCCCAGCATTCCCTCTGCACATTTTTTGGCAAGTGTCTAATGACTGTAGCTAGGAGACAAGGATGGGTTAAGTTAACCACAGTGATTTGTCATGCATTACAGAACAGCTGATGCCCCCGAGACTGGCTGAACCATGAGATCAGTTAGAAACAATGCCGTTTGTGCCCTGTGTGTAGACATTGTGTGGCTGTGGTTACTGCGTGTTGGGGAGTGCGGGGAGAGGAGGTCTCCTTGTCTTTGTGAGGAAGGATGCCAAAAAGCCCAGCTGTCCTTTGGGAGTTTTGTTTCTGCCATCCCCTCTTCTGAAACCACAGGTCTCCTATAGCATCCTCCTAAGCGAAGTCCAGTGCGGCCCCTGGCATTGGCTGCCTGGGGTTCCAGAGAGTAAGGCAGGAAGCAGTGATCTCCCCCATTTCCCCGTGCCCCTATGGTATAATGGAAGGACTCAGAGAGATTCGTCCAGGGCACGCTTCTTACCGGCTTTTCTTCCAATCCTAACATCCTCTTGGATACCACTTAGCAGCTTTTCTTCCAATCCTAACATCCTCTTAGATACCATGGGTGACATTCTGCAGCAAAGAGGGGCCAGACCTCTATACTGTTCCTTTCTTTAGATCAGTAAGGGGACTTTGGCTTACATGTCACCAAACACATGGCTTAATTTATTATCTCATATAAAAAGGAATCCTGAAGCAGGCCAGTGCTGGACCTGGTTAATTTGGCAGCCTCACAGGATCTTCCAGCATCTCAGTCCCTTCCTCTTCCACTCTGTCATGCTTGGGGATTAGTCTCATCCTCAGGCTTGTTCCCTCTTAGCTGTAAAATGACTGCATTAGCTGCAGGCATCACATATTCACCTGATGCAATGGGGACCAGAGGCAGTGGAAGAGGGAGTTCTTTCTTTTTTTTGAAACAGAGTCTCCCTTTGTCACCCAGTGAGAGTGCAGTGGCGCAATCTTGGCTGACAGCAACCTCCACCTCCCGGGTTCAAGTGATTCTCCTGCCTCAGCCACCTGAGTAGCTGGGATTACAGGCATGCACCACCACGCCCAGCTAATTTTTTTTTTTTTTTTTTTTTTTTAGTAGAGACGGGGTTTCACCATGTCGGTCAGGCTGGTCTTGAACTCCTGACCTCAGGTGATCTGCCTGTCTTCGCCTCCCAAAGTGCTGGGATTATAGGTGTGAGCCACCACAACTGGCGGGGAGTTCTTTCTTGTCTCTCCTTTTTAAAGACTTTATTATACAGATTTTCTTTTTCTTTTTCTTTTTCTTTATTTCTTTTCTTTTTTTTCATTTTTTTTTTTTTTTTTTTTGAGAGAGTCTTGCTCTGTTGCCCAGGCTGGAGTGCAATAGTGTTGTTTCAGCTCGCTGCAACCTCCACCTCCTGGGTTCAAGCCATTCTCCTGCCCTCAGCCTCCTAAGTAGCTGGGATTACAGGCACTCACCACCATGCCCAGCTAGTTGTTTTGTATTTTTTGCAGAGATGGGGTTTCACCATGTTGGCCAGGCTGATCTCGAACTCCTGACCTCAGGTGATCCACCCACCTCGGCCTCCCAAAGTTCTGGGATTAAAGGAGTAAGCCACCGAGGCTGGCTGTGACTTTATTATACAGATTTTTAAACATAAACAAAGGAAGACAAAAGAGTATAGAGGCCCCTTCCCCCAATTCCATCACCCAGCTTCAGTCATTATGCCCATATGGCCAGCTCCGTGTCATCCTTACCCCTTCCCTCCACACCCGAGGTCATTTTAGAGCAAACCCCCTACATTATCTCCCATTTAGTATCAGCAGCTAGTAGATAAAAACTCTCTCTTCTTTAAAAACAAAATCAAAACAACATCAACAACAACGAAAACCATGTCTTTGTCACACCTAGCAAAATTAACAATAATTCCTTAAAATCATCTTGCATCTGATCATTGTTCAAATTTCCCCAACTGTCACAAACATTTTTGTCTTGTTTGGTTTTTAAGACTTGGTTTGGGCCAGATGCGGTGGCTCATGCCTGTAATCCCAATACTTTGGGAGGCTGAGGCGGGTGGATTGCTTGAGATCAGGAGTTCAAGACCAGCCTGGCCAACATGGTGAAACCCTGTCTCTACTAAAAATACAAAATTAGCCAGGCGTGCTGGTGGGTGCCTATAATCCAAGCTACTCAGGAGGCTGAGGCAGGAGAATCACTTGAACCCAGTAAGCAGAGGTTACAGTGAGAGGAGATCCTGCCACTGCAGTCCAGTCTCGATGACACAGCAAGACTCTGTCTCAAAAAAAGACTTGATTTGTTCAAGTGGGTATCCAAGCAAAGTCCATACATCTCATCTGGCCAGTATACCTCAGAAGTCTCCTTTCATCTATACCATAAGTGGGCAAACTACACCTGGGGCCCAGTGAGCCCGCCGTGTGTTTTTGTAAATCAGCTTCATGGGAACGCAGCCGCCTCTGCTTGTTTATGTGTTCCATGGTTCATTCCTGCTAGAGGCGGAGTTGAGCAGTTACTGCCGAGACAGTACGGCCCACAAAGCCTAAAATATTTACTGCTTGGAATTTGGCAGAAAAAATCTGCTAACCCCTCATCTAAACAGTTTCTCTCTCTCCCTCTCTTCCCCTCCCCAACATCTTTTTTTTTTTAAGTCAAGAAAACCAAGACATTTGTCCTACAGAATTCCCCACATTCCTGTGTCCCTTTTGAAGAATAAGGTGAGGCTTCAGGGACCCCCCAGCGGCAGAGTCACCCTCAAGTGTTACTGTCCAGACCCCCCACCAGCCCATGCCTTGGCCAGTTCCTGATGAGGGCTGAGCCCCCTCTTTGGAAACATATGGCTGCTCATACGAAGATAAGCAAAGTCGGGTTTCTATCAGAAAGAGGGGAAGGAAGTGAATGGTTACTAGTTGGGAAACCAGGATGGTTCCAATCTTTCAAAATGGGCCAACTTAGCCAATGCTAGGGGTGGCCAAGCCTTCCTCAGCAGGCTTTACCCATTCAGGGTCCCCTCATCCTCCAGGATACGCCCTGTGCCACCTTCCAGCTCATGTTTAACATGTAACAAGTAGAGGTGATGTACCCACCAACTTGTTAAAAGCTCTATGATGGACACACGGGGTGCAGAGGTGAGCCTAGCAGGCCAATCCCTGTGCCGGAGCTCACTAAACAGTGAAAGTCACAGAGGAGGGGTCAGGCAATCCCTGGGGGAGGGAGGACTGACATGCTGGGCCCGGGGCAGGCACGGTGCTGGAGGGCGGTAGCCACAGCCATGTTGGAGCTGTCATAAAGTGCTTCCTGGAGGAAGTGCCATTTCAGCCAAAGCCTGAAGGATAATCAGGAGTTGGCAAGGGGAAGAGGAGGACAGAACGTCCCAGGAGGAGACAGCCACTTGCCTGGTGGAAGGAACAAAACAGGAGCCAGAGCGTGAGGGGCTGGTGGGGAGATGTGGGCAGGGATCCAATCTCACAAGCCTCCAAAGACCCTGTGCGGGAGTCTGGCCTATCCGGAGGGCTCTCAGTAGCCACTGGAGGATTCTATGAGGAGGAGCAGCTTTGGGACTTAAAAAGCTACAGATGTAAAACCTGCATTCAAATTTCTCACTCACATCGAGGTGTTACAGTCAACCATAGTCGTGTACTGGGGTAGAGACAACAGGGTAAACTGTTAAGATGCAGTGGGAGGGTGTTTATCATACTATGCTCTGCCTTCTTTAAATATTTCTCATATATATTAAATGCATGTCTTTATATTTTATATTTATATTTTAAATATGTAATTTCTATTTTAATATTTAATTTATATAGTTTATACTATAAAGCATTATATTATACAATGTATTATTTATGGTGTATTTAATATATCATATCATAGACTATTCTATATACAGCAGTCCCAACTTATCCATGGTTTTGCTTTCTGAGGTTTCAGTTACCCATGGTCAACCACAGTCCAATAATATTACATAGAAAATTTCAGAAATAAGCAATTCATGTTTTCAGTTGCATGCTGTTCAGCGTAGTGTGACAAAATCTCGCACTGTCCTAATCCATCCTGCCTGGGATATGAATGATCCCTTTGTCCAGCGTGCCCATGCTGTCTTCACTACCCACCCATTAGTCAGTCAGTAGCCATCTGAGTTATCAGATCAGCCAGGCAATCTTGCTTGTGTTCAAGTAACTCTTACTTTACATAGCAGTGGCCCCAAGACGCAAGAGTAGTGATACTGACAATGCAGCTGTGCCTAAGAGAAGCTGTATCATGCTTCTTTTAACTGAAAAGGTGAAAGTTTTCAACTTAATTAGGAAAGAAAAAAAAATTGTACAATGAGATTACGAAGATCTTCTGTGAAATTGTGAAGAAGGAAAAAGAAGTTCATGCTAGTTTTGCTGTCACACCTGAAACTGCAAAAGTGACAGCCACAGTACATAATAAATGCTTAGTTAAGATTGAAAAGGCGGCTGGGCGTGGTGGCTCACACCTGTAACCCCAGCACTTTGGGAGGCCAAGGTGGGCAGATCATGAGGTCAGGAGTTCGAGATCAGCCTGGCCAACATGGTGAAACCCCGTCTCTACTAAAAATATAAAAAATTAGTGGGGCATGGTGGCACACACATATACTCCCAGCTACTAGGGAGGTTGAGGCAGGAGAATCACTTGAACCCGGGAGGTGTAGGTTGCAGTGAGCCAAGATCATGCCACTGCACCCCAGCCTGGGAGATAGAGCAAGACTCTGTCTCAAAAAAAAAAAAAAAAAAAAGACAAAAAAAAAACCCCGAGGGCAGTGAAGGCATACAGGCATGCCTTGGGGATGTTGCGGGTTTGGTTCTGGACCACCACAATAAAGCAAATATTGCAATAAAGTGAGTCACACAATTTTTTTGGCTGCCCAGTGCACATAAAAGGTATATTTATGCTATTATGTGTACAATAGCATTATATCTAAAAAACAATGTACATGCCTTAATTTAAAAATACTTTATTGCTAAAAAATGCTAACAATCATCTGAGCCTTCAGCAAGTCATAATCTTTTTGCTGTGGAGGGTCTTGCCTCCATGTTGATGGCTGCTGACTGATCAGGGTGGTGGTTGCTGAAGGCTGGGGTGGCTGTGGCAATTTCTTGAAATAAAACAACCATGAAATTGGCCATATCGATTAACTCTTCCTTTCACAAAAGACATCTCTGTAGCACACAATGCTGTTTGATAGCATTTTACCCATAGTAGAACTTATTTTAGGATTGGAATCAATCCTCTTAAACCCTGCCACTGCTTTATCAACTAAGTTTATGGAATATTCTAAATCCTTTGTTGTAATTTCAACAATATTCACAGCATCTTCACCAGGAGTAGGTTTCATCTTAAGAAACCACTTTCTTTGCTCATCCATAAAGAAGCAACCCCTCAACCATTCAAGTTTGATCATGAGATGGCAGCAATTCGGTCCCATCTTCAGGCTCTTCTTCCAATTCTAGTTCTCTTGCTTATTTCTACCACATCTGCAGTTACTTCCTCCACTGAAATGTTGAATCCCTCAGAGTCATTCATGAGGGTTGCAATCAACTTCTTACAAACTCCAGACTTCCAGACTTGAGCAAGATTATGACTTGCTGAAGGCTCAGATGATCATTAGCATTTTTTAGCAGTAAAGTATTTTTAAATTAAGGTCCATACATTGTTTTTTAGACATAATGCTATTGTACATGTAATAGCATAAATATAACTTTTATATGCACTGGGCAGCCAAAAAAAATCCTGTTAATGTTGACATTTTTATCTCCTTCCATGAGTCATGAATGTTCTTAATGACATCTCTAATGGTGAATCCTTCCCAGAAGGTTTTCAACTTACTTTGTCCAGGTCAGTCAGACGGATCACTATCTATGGCAGCTATCACTTTATGAAATGTATTTCTTAAGTAATAAGACTTGAAAGTCAAAATTACTTGATCCGTGGGTGCAGAACAGATGATGTGTTAATAGGTATGAAAACAACATTCATCTCCTTGTACATCTCCATCACAACTCTTGGTAACCAGGTGCATTGTTAGTGAACAGTAGTATTTTCAAATGAATCTTTTTTTCTCAGCAGTAGGTCTCAACAGTGGGCTTAAAACATTCAGTAAACTATGCTCTAAACAGATATGCTGTCATCCAAGCTTTGTTGTTCCACTTCTAGAGCACAGACAGAGTGGATTTATCATAATTCTTAAGGGCCCTAGGATTTTCAGAATGGCCATTGAGCATTGGCTTAAACTTAAAGTCACCAGCTACATTAGCCCCTAACAAGAGAGCCAGCCTGTCCTTTCAAGCTTTGAGGCCAGGCATTGACTTCTCCTCTCTAGCTATGGAAGTCCTAGATGGCATCTTTTTCCCATATAAGGCTGCTTTGTCTCCAGTGAAAATCTGTTGTTCAGTGTAGCCACCTTCATTGATGGTCTTAGCTAGATCTTCTGGATAACTTGCTGCAGCTTCTACATCAGCACTTGCTGCTTATACTTTTACATCAAAGAGATAGCTTATTTCCTTAAACCTCAGAAACTGACCTCTGCTAGCTTCCAACTTTTTTTTCTTTTTCTTTTTCTTGTGTGTGTGTGTGTGTGTCAGGGTCTCACTCTGTCACTCAGGTTGGAGTGGAGTGGTGTAATCATGGCTCACTGCAACCTCCACCTCCCGGTCTCAAGAGATTCTCCCACCTCAGCCTCCCAAGTAACAGAGACCACAGGCATGCACCACCACACCCAGTTAATTTTTTTTTTTTTTTTTTTTGTAGCAACAGGTTTTCTCCATGTTGCCCAGGCTGATCTCAAAACTCCTGGACTTAAGTGATCCACCTGCCTCGGCCTCCCAAAGTTCTAGGATTACAGGTGTGAGCCACCATACCCAGCCCCAACTTCTTTTCTGTAGCTTCCTCACCTCTCTCTGCCTTTATAGAACTGGAGAGAGTTAGGGTCATGCTCTGGATTAGGCTTTGCCTTAAGGGAATGTTATGGTTAGTTTGATCTTCTATTCAGACTACTCAAACTTTCTCCATATCAGCAATAAAGCTGCTTCACTTTCTTATCATTCCTGTGTTCACTGAAGTAGCACTTTTAATTTCCTTCAAGAACTTTTCCTTTGCATTTGTAACTGTTTGGTACAAGAGGCCTCATTTTCAGCCTTTTTCTGCTTTCCATATGCCTTCCTCACTAAGCTTCATCATGTCCAGCTTCTTATTTGAAGCAAGATATGCCACCCTTCCTTTCACTTGAACGCTTAAGGCAGCATTGTAGGGTTATTACTTGGCCTAATTCCAATATTGTTGTGTCTTGGAGAATAGGGAGGCCAAAAGAGAGGGAGAGATGAAGGAATGGCCAGTTGGTGGAGCAGTCAGAACACACACAACATTTATTGATTAAATTTGCTGTCTTAGGGGCACGGTTTGTGGCACCCCAAAATAATTACAATAGTAACATCAAAGATCAATAATTACAGATTACCATAACAGATATAATAATAATGAAAAAGTCTGAAATATTGCCAGAATTACCAAAATGTGACACAGAGACATGAAGTGAGCACATGCTGTTGGAAAAATGGCACCAATAGACTTGCTCAAAGCAGGATTGCCACAAACCTTTACTTTGTTTTTTAAAAATGGAGTATCTGCCAAGCATAATAAAGCAAAGCATAATAAAATAGATATGATTGTATACTATTGGCATTTCTGCCTTTTTCTTAGTCCCATAAACTGAAAGCCCGGAATGACCGAGAAGGCCTTATTCGCTGCACCCACTGAAAGGGCAGCCAGGTCGGAGGTGAAGTGACATTTGCTTATTTTCAGGATGACTTGCTCCCTTTCAAACTGGGAGACACAGAGGTACTCATGCTCTGCCTGAGAAATTATTGCCTTCCAAGCCCAGCTGCTCAGAGCCTTCACAAGCCCAGCTTCAAGTCATCCTAAGTTGGAAGTTGTCATCCATGTGTTCCTTTAGAACAGGGAGTTGCCTTTACTTCCCGCCCCCACCCCCCGACCACATCTGGCCATGGAGGAGGGCACAGACCCTTACTGAGCACCCACTATATATCTGGACCCATGGAAAGCACAGCCAGCCCCTCTAATTCTGCTCTCCATTTGCAAACTTTGAACTAAATTCAGATGACTTAAATGTATACCTGCTTGTGATCCATCAAGTGGTAAAGATGGTATTGTGTATGATGTGTAGCATTTCCCCAGCAGAAGAAAATACCAGCTGTGGCTGGGAGGTAGGAGGCCAGGTTCCCATCAAAACTCTGTGGTTAACTGGCTGAGTAGCTCTAGGCAGTGCCTTCCGCTCTCTGCATCCCAGCCTCATCTGAACTATGAGTGGGTGGATGAGATCACTTCTGCAAAGCCTCTGAGCCCTGCTGGTCCATGACTCAGCCCCCAGGCCTTTGCACAGGCTGTTTCCTCAGCCTAGGATGCCTTTTCCCCATGCATCCGCCTGGCAAGCTGAGTCTTCCTTTGAATCCTTTTTCAGTAGCCACTTCCTCCGTGAAGCACTCCCAGACACAGAACCATCCTGCTCTCCCACCAGAACATCATTCAGTACTCTCTCTTCTGTTCCACATCTGTACCTTGGACATAAGTCAACTGTGCTGAAAGGCACAGTAGGCTTCCTGTGCTGAAATTATTCACAGGCTTAATAACTGCAAAATAAAACCTTCAATTCAGCTTTACCTACTGTCTAGCATAGAGCCTGGGACAAAGTAGAGGCCCTATAAAGCCTTCATGAATCAACGAACACATGCATGAACTCTTTATGATTTCTTAACCCTATTCCAGTGTTAGGAGATTGCCATTATGGTCAAGAGAAAGACACACGCTTCTTGCTGAAGCATTTCTTATATGTTTCTCAAGGGCAGGTGCCATTCCTCACTCATCTTTTGTCTCACCAGGGATAGGCACTGAGTAGGTGCTCAGTAAATATGTGTCACATTGAACAATGTTGACATATGACCCCAGCCCCAGCCCTCCACACTGGGAGAGCAGTCTCTCCAGGGGGCTAAATAATTTCTCTAAGAATTTGAACTCATCATCACAAAGGGTGTGTAAATTAGGGATTAGATTTGGAAAGAAAATATCTACATTGGCACTAGTGCAGGGACCTGCAGGCCAAGCTATGGGTGACATGGTGGCATTTGCAAAGAAAACCCCACCAGCTCCAATAGTGTGCTCAGGAGTGTTACGGTGGGTAGCTAGTGAGACATGAACAGGGCAGAAGAGGGCCCCTACACCCCACCAGGAAAATCAGGCGATCATTAGGTGATGGTTAGGCAGTTGTCACACTGCCTCTCTAAAATAGTAATAGGTCTCAACCAGCACCAGGAAAAGGCATTCTGCCTGTAGATAGAAAACACCTAAAACTGGTGATCATCAGTTTCCTATAAGATCTCAGGAGCTGGGCGAGTGGGCTCAAGCACGTGCATTAAGACACGAAATGGCGGAGTTGACCTTCCAGGAGCATTCCACCAGTAAAAGGGAAGAACTCCTCGGGTGAGCATGTGTACAACTCCAGTAAACACACTGCACATGCTACCCCCCAAAGGGCTAGCAGGCCACCGTGCACGCGGGCAGCTCACCCCAAGGGAAGAATCAAGCGAGAAGGCCGGGCATGGTGGCTCATGCCTGTAATCCTAGTACTTTGGGAGGCCGAAGTGGGCAAATCACCTGAGGTCGGGAGTTCAAGACCAGCCTGACCAACATGGAGAAACTCTATCTCTACTAAAAATACAAAATTAGCCAGGCATGGAGCACGCCTGTAATCTCAGCTACTCAGGAGGCTGAGGCAGGAGAATCACTTGAACCTGGGAGGTGGAGGTTGTGGTGAGCTGAGATTGCACCATTGCACTCCAGCCTGGGCAACAAGAGCAAAACTCTATCTAAAAAAAAAAAAAAAAAAAGAATCAAGTGAGAAGGGACGCAAGACCCCAGAAGCATGCCAACGTATAAAACCCCAAGTCAAAAGGTCAAGTCCTGCACTTGTTCTTCAAGTTACCTGCTTGGGCCTCTTCGAAGTGTATTTTCCTTGCTTTCATTCCTGCTCTAAAGCTTTGGGGGTTTTGTTGTTGTTGTTGTTGTTGTTGTTGTTGTTGTTGTTGTTAGAAAGAGTCTCGCTCTGAAGCCCAGGCTGGAGTGCAGAGGCACGATCTCACCCCACTGCAGAGTTTCAAGTGATTCTCCTGCCTCAGCCTCCTGAGTAGCTGGGATTACAGGCGCCCGCCACCACGCCCAGCTAATTTTTGTATTTTTAGTAGAGATGGGGTTTCACCATGTTGGCCAGGCTGGTCTCGAACTCCTGACCTCAAGTGATCCGCCTGCCTCGGCCTCCCAAAGTGCTGGGATTACAGGCATGAGCCACCACGCCCAGCCTCTAAAGCTTTTTAATAAACTTTCACTCCTGCTTCAAAACTTGCCTTGGTCTCTCCTTCTGACTTATGCCCCTCAGTCAAATTCTTTCTTCTGAGGAGGCAAGAACTGAGGTTGCTGCACACCTGTATGGATGTGCCACCACAAGCAAGAGAACCATTACTACCATGGTTTATGGTCCAGGCTTAAGTAAAAAGGTTCCCAGGGAGACAACATCTCCTACCAACACAACAACAGTAATATTGATATGTTCGTGGAGTAAAGTGTGGGTCTTGCAGGCTGCTGTTAAAAGGCTGTGCTTGTCCGGGCATGGTGGCTCACACCTATAATCCCAGCACTTTGGGAGACCGAGGTGGGCAGATCACTTAAGGTCAGGAGTTTGAGAGCAGCCTGGACAACATGGCGGAACCCCGTCTCTACTAGAAATACAAAAATTAGCTGGGTGTGGTGGTGAATGCCTGTAATCCCAGTTGCTTGAGAGGCTGAGGCATGCGAATCGCTTGGACCCAAAAGGCGAGAGTTGCAGTGAGCTGAGATCATGCCACTGCACTCCAGCCTGGGTGATAGGGCAAGACTCCATCTCAAAAAAAAAAACGGGGGCTTCTGCTAAGAGCTCCACCCGGGACAGCTGGATATGCCAAGTGTCACCCAGCCAGGGATAACTTTTCCTCCTTCCTTCTCTTAGGACTCAAGGTCAGATTAAAATGGATTCTACTGTGTTTTTTTCATGTAACCCTCATGGGGTAGGTATTGTTTTCATTTCACAGACAAGGCAAACTGAGGTCCAGAGAAGTTAAATAACCAGCCCAAAGCCACACAGCTAGTAAGTGGCAGAGTTGGGATGTGGAGGTAGCTCTTCAGACTCCAAAATCCACTCCCCATTCCTCACACTCCTTTAGTGTCTGCAAACTCTCAGCATATCATTTCTCGCCAAATCATTCACCTCATGACAGTTCCTCATAGTGCAGGGCCTGCCACAGTGCCTAGAGCTGGGCTGTACCACAGCCATAACTCAGGATAGACAGTGAGCCACTGATTAAGTTCTGCGCTCAAGGCAGAAATCTCTCCTGCAGCCTGGACTAAGGAGGTGAGAAAGGAGATCAGCCTCCAGGGTTGAACCTTGGGAACTGAGTGCGGCCTGATACACATCACCTCACCCAACAGCTGATGACGACTCCCCAAGTGGCCACGTTAGTCACCGGCCCACCACATGCACTGCGGTTCTTTTTATAACTCCGAGCAGCTGAGCCCAGCGGGGCTGTACAGCCGCTCCACGTTTAAGGCTCCACAGGCCTGCAGGATATGATTTTTGGCAAGGACTCCAGATCAATTAGCCAAGTCAGCACTGGGAAGCTGGGAGCTTGTGGGGTGGGAACCAGGTCAGGAATTCTCCCAGGGCCCCTGACTCAGTCAGCAGATGGCTACCTCAGGCCAGTGGAGCAGAGCAGAGGCCTTGGGTGGAGGGCTACAGAGAGCCATTGAAAGACAAGGTCATGGAGACAGCAAAGCACCCAGAGAAGTAAAGTACAGTGTGCAGGCCTAAATCCGGAATGAGCTAAAAAAGGACTCTAGATTGCACGTTATGAGATGTGAAACTAGGGCCCCTGAGCTATGTGCTTCCCAGAGTCCTCTCCAACCATCCAAGACGAAGCTTCCTCCTACTCGGAAGTGACTGACCACTGAATTTTCAAAATAGGTGCACACACCACCCCAGCCCCCGTGCCTAGAGAGCAGCTGAGAGGAGGAGATCTCTGTCTCTGGAGGCTGCCACACCCCATGACCTAAGATTCTTACTAAGATGGGGTGGGTGGGGAGGGAGGTAGAGTCAGAAATTCAATCCCGGTGAGTAGCTTTTGTAATGAAAGGTGCACCATTGTCAATGTCCAGAAAGCCAAACACAAGACACAGATTAGGTTTATCAGTCTGAAGAAATGTCAGTAGTGGAAGTTCAGGTAGTCCATCTGCTGGGAGGGCAATGCCCCCATGCTTTGGGTTTTAGCAGCCCTGTGGCCAGCTAGGCTCAGTTTGGACCCACCTGGAGCTCTCTATCAGCTTTGGGGACTCCTTGGCCCTTCCTCCTCCTACCTGCAGGAGGCAAAAATAATAATAATAATAATAATAATAATAAAAAACAAGAAAAGTGTTGTTGAGGTAAAGTGAGAGCCTCATTAATAAGAACAGTGGGGGACCCTTACTCCACAACCCTCACCCACCACTTGGGGAGAGCATTTGTTACCAGATCCAAGGGGTCTTCCAGAAAGCCATGTCTCCATCAGCACCCATCCTTGTTGTCAAAACTGTAAAGAGCTATGAAGTGTGAGAGATGTTGCTCTACTTTTAAGCTAATCCAGTTTCCTGGAAGAAGACACAAAAGTCCTGGGTCAGAGACTAAGGACACTGTTGCTCAGGGGACAGCAGGCAGCAAGATCTTCATGTTACCCTCACACTCCCGGTCCCACAGGGCCAATGTGGAGGCAGGCCCATGTGGATGCTACCACAGTTTTGTGTCACAGCTGAGGGACACAGCAGAAGAAACCTCCAAACTTAAAAGGGGGCTGCGGCCAAACATGCCTGTTAGGTTCTAGCCCAAACTGAGGTCTGAGGGGAGTCAGTGACTGGGTGGCAGGTAGCTGGGAAAACACTCAAGGAATCATAGGCAGTTTCAACATGGCTTTATTCTCTCTCTGGGCGTGAGCCATATGTACAGCATCAGCAGGGTAATTATACCTTTTACAGACAATAGTGGCTCCAAGCCAAGCACAAGCTCAGGTGAGTGGTCCCCTAATGCGCCTCACATGGCATGGTTACATAATGTGTATAGTTATGCGCCTGCGCTCCAAACCCACTGAGTCATGCTGTGCCAGAAGGCCACCTCGGCCTACTCCTGACTAAAGCACAGCCATTTCCCTTACACTCCACCTCCTAGACCAAGGGCATCTTCCAGGTGGGGATACATGCCCATAGGGCAGATTTCTGAATCCACAACCCACAACAACAATACAGAGAGCAACAGCTCACTACTAGGATCCCAGCTATGCTACTTATGACTATTAGGGCCCAGCATAGGCCAGAGCCCAAGGATGCCCACCATCTCTGCTGGGAGTTGTCAGTAAGGCTCTCAACTGCCTTAATCTCCTGTGAGACCCCTTAAAGGGTGCTGTTTTGCTCTGCCAAGTGTTGTAAGGAATAAAGGTATAACATTGTGTTCCTAAAAGAGCACAGGTGACTCATTGGGCATCAGTTACTATGTCTAAGGCCATTTGGTTTTGCAACGATACCTTTCTGATCTGATCAACTTCATCCGTTAACAGGAGGAGGGCCACTCAGATGTAATTCAGAGCCTGAGCAGTGTGCTCTGCAAGAGCAGTAACTTGTGCTTCTACAGTTATGATACCCACTTGAGGGATAGTCACTGCCAGGGGATAGAACCACCAAGGGGTTCACTGTACTTGCAGAACCCGAGAGCATAGAGCCTCCTGGTTATGTGGGTATCTGGGCAATGTGGAGAGAACAGTGGCAGGTACATAAGGCCAAGTCCACTACATAGTGATACTGTCCCAGTTCCATCATCAAACAGTCCATCAAATTCATGATGATACAGATGCATGCAAAGGGGGTATTACTTTATTCAGTTCCCAATAGTCCACCGTTATCTCCCAAGTTCCATCAGTCTTTCTAACTGGCCACACCAGATAATTGTAGGGGCTGTGGTTGCCATGCATTATCTGCACCTGCTCCAGCTTTTTAATTGTCTCTGTTATCTCCATCTACCCACCCAGCAAACAGTAGTAATGGGTGGAAGTAACCCATCGGGGTTGTGGCAGGACCTGAGGCTGTTGATGCATATGTCCACATGGCACCGGCTTCACCACATGCACTCAGAGTCTGAATTCCCCAGCCATGGTTTGTAATGCCAGGTCATGTAAAATGTCCACCCCCAGAATGTATTCTAGCATGGGAGAGACATACACAGTATATAAACGGGGAGCCAAACGGCCGATGCCAAGGTGTAGAGATATCAGTTTCACTTTCACTGACCAGCCTCCATAATCATCAGTGTATGCAGTTTTGTCCAGAAACTTACCCAGGTTCCCGTAAACAAGGCTACTGTCTGCTCCAGTATCTACCAGTGCCAGTACCCACTGTACATTGGTGGGGGACCAGTGGATTGCCAATTTTACATGTGGCCTCCAGTCATCCGATGTCCCCCCAAGCTGGGCACCTCAGCCAGTTCCCTAATCAAACAGAAAAGGCTCTACATTTCCACCTGGCTGCAGCAAGTAGTCTTTGATCTGGAGCACCCAGCTGGGACTGGGTCGTGCAGTAATGTCCTTCTCCCCCTCGAGCATTTTCTGGAATTGCTGCTGTAGACACAAGTGTCTCCACAAAGTTAAGGGTACTTCATTGAGCTGCTTATCAATTTTCTCTCAGTCAACCCTGGCCAAAATCAAATGTATCCACATCTATGAGCATGTCACTCATTGGGCCCCCTTTTGTCCCATGGGTGAGCCCTTTATGGGAAAGGCACCTTCCCCTTCTTTACAGCATGGACCCCTCAGTCTTGCTGACAGCCTTCTGCTTCCCCACGGGCCGCCACAGCAGTGATCACTTCATGTATGTGGTGCCCTATGTATGGGGTGAGAACAGCAGCTTGGGGATGCAGAACCCAAAAGGAGATCCCTCATGTGGGAGGTGAAACATTCACCATCTGGCCCCCAAGTATTCATGTCAAACATAGCCTGCCGCATACCCATCTCAAAGATGGCTTGCACCAAATTGGCACATGACTACCATTTGCTCACAGTTTTAGGTATTTCACCAGCATTGTTCCACACAGTCTATATGGCTGCCCATAGCCACTCAGTCAGGGTGTGGTCACCTTGCCCTGTTGCTCACCACCTGCTCACTTGCAACTGCTGACTGATGGAGGGATGAGTCATGATGGAGGCCAGCTCTTCCAACTCAGAGACAGAACAAGAGATACTATCTGCTGCCTTGTCCCACAAACGAAGCATCCAGGCAGTCAGGAGTTCCCCTGGATGCTGGTGGCACTGCTTGCCTAATTTCTGCAACTCAGTTGGGGTACAGGGAATATATGAAGTGTGTTGCATTACGGTGGGGGGGTCCCTGAGCCCGCCCTTGGGGCCCCATCGGCTGTTCATGATCTATCTTCTGACAGACCATTGGGTAAGCCCACAACAGGAGTTCCTCCTCCTCAATAGCAGACCGAGTGGGGGCCTCAGACAGAAATGGTGGACCCAGGCCTGCATTCATTGCAGCCTCTAATTCTTTTTCTGATCAGTGTAGCTGGGCCTCCAGGCACCCCACCTGCACCTGGAGGTCCCCATTCACAGCAGCCTCTAACTCTTTCTGAGCTCTGTAGCTGGGCCTCCAGGTGCCCCACCTGAGCCTGGAGGTCCCTTACCTGCACTACATCCCTCAGAGACAGGGTGTGTACTTCCCATTGCACAGTCAAAAATGCCCATCCAACTCTGCCAGCAAAGGTTTGCTCCTTCTTGATGCTCTGTGCTTCCAGCTGCTTCAGCACCTTCTCCATGCTTGTAGGGGAACCCATCTACTGCCACCCAGGTTTCCACCAGAGCCCATCTAAGAAGCACAGCTGCCACCGAGTACCACAGTCTATGTTGTGGCCACAAGGCCAACCTGGAATTGGTGGGGACAGAAGGCTCAGTTACATTGGGATCCTGCTTACAGTGCCAATTGTCAGTTTCTAGACCAAACTGGGTCCGAGGGAAGTCAGAGGGCAGGTGGCAGGTAGCTGGAAAAACACTTAAGGAATTGTAGGCAATTTTGACATGGCTTTATTCTCTCTGTGGGCATGAGCCTGGGCAAGAGCTGTACATACAGCGTCATCAGGGTAATGATACCTTTTATAGACAACAGTGGCTCTGAGCCAAGCACAAGCTCACATGAGTGGTCACCTAATGCACCTTATGCAGCATGGTTACATAATGTGTGGAGTTGTGCGCTTGCACTCCAAACCCATTGAGTCATGCTGCACTGGAAGGCCACCACAGCCTACTCCTGACTAAAGTGCAGCCATTTCCCCTACACTGCCCCATCCCCACCCTGGGGGACAGCAAACAAATCTGACCTCTACCCTGGAGACAAGATCTTTATCTTCCAAGGCCATGTCCAATCTGTTTGCTGTACAAAAATCCTTGAAAAGATAGTCTGGAACAAAAGCTGTGACACGACACAAAAGATCCAAGGGAATTGTCTCCCAACAGATACTGTGGGGGGCTAATGTGAGCCTGTGAGCTGAGAGGGAAGAGGCCTCCCGTCTCCTTAAGTACAAGGGCAAGCAGTGAGCAACAGGCTTTTCTTCCCTGGGCCTTGCATGGGACCAGAGCATCCAGAAGCAGCATCTGAGACCATCTGGGTGAGGGTTAGTAGGGGAGCCAGGTACCTTGGGTTGTGGAGAAGGAAGGCAGCCAGGGCAGGGGTGGGCGTTTCCAGGACCATATCAAACTAATAAGGGAGAGGCCATTGAGGGGCAGCCTCTGACTTAGCTGACAACCCCTCCTCCATTTCTCTTGGCCATTGGTGACAGAGGACCCCTACCCTGGTGACCATCCACAGAGACTCCTACCCTTAGGGCTTCCTCCTCTGCCCCAGGGTCCCTCATTACTTCCCTGATCCTAGCAGGAGAAAAGGCCCCAGGGAACTCCAGCTGGTGGTGTTACAGGTAGACAGACACGCATGGGGCAAGAGAGAGCTCTCCTCCACCTACTACATTGAGCGATGGTTTGGCTGTTGTCACATTGTCTCTCTAAAAGTGATAAACTGGCAGTCAGCACCAGGGAGTGGCCGTTTCCTTATGGTCCACACCTGTTGCATTAAAGTGTTAATTGAATGCAGGTGCCAGGGAGAAGCAAAAAGGGGCTTCCAACAAAATCTCAGGTATTGGACTAATGAGCCTGGGCATGTGCATCAAGAGACAAAATGGTGGAGTATTACCTTCAGGGGGCACTCCACCAGAAGAGAGAAGAAAGCTTCAGATGGGTGTGCATACAACTTCCTAACCACACTGTACATGCTCACCTCCAAGTGTAAGGAGAGCACTGTGCATGTGGGCAGCCCACCCTAAGGGAAGAATCATGGGAAAGGGGCCAGCCTAGAAAGTCCTAGGATCAGGGCTAAACACTGCACTTGACCTTCACATGCCTGCTTGGGTTTCTTCCAAGCATGTTTTCCTTTCTTTCCTTTTCTGAAGGCTTTTAAATAAACTTCCACTCCTGCTCTGAAACGTGCATTGGTCTCTCCTTCTGCCTTATGCCCGTCAGTTGAATTCTTTCTTTCGGAGGAGGCAAGAATTGAGGTTGCTACAGACCTGTATGGATTCCCTGCCAGGTGACTCAGATACCTTTGACCCATAACAGTGGGAACCTGAGGGCTCCACCAATTCCACAGTTCCACAAAACTCTGAAATCAGGTGGCACAGGTTCAAGCCCTGGTGCCAACACTAACCATCCAGGTGAGTTGATCCAAGTTACTTTACCTTTAAGTGCCTCAGTTTCCTTCTCTGTAAAATTAAAAGAATAATGATATCCACTTATGAGGGATCTTTGTTTATTTCAATAGGTTTTTGGGGAACAAGTGGTGTTTGGTTACATGAATGAGTTCTTCAGTAGTGATGTCTGAGATTTTGCGCACCCATCACGTGAGCAGTGTACACTGTACCCAATGTGTAGTCTTTTATCCCTCACCCACTCCCACCCTTTCCCCCAAGTCCCCAAAGTCCATGGTATCATTCTTATGCCTTTGCATCCTTCCATGAGGGATTTTCTAAAGATGAATCCAATGATTCATGGGCCGTGCTAAGCAATCATGAAGCAGCTGCACCACAAATAATGACCGCTGTGATCCTAACAGTGTTTCTGGAGGGAAAACTGAAGGCAGAAAGTGGAGTTGAATGGGCCAAGGTCATGCTGTGGGAGAATGTAAGCTCTGATATTCCAAACCAGGTCCCCCAACGTCCTGTCCAGGGTACCCACTCCAGCCAGGGGTGCCCTGTTGACAAATTCCGCTTTCTTTTTTCCATCTTCTCTCCAACCTCAGCAGCTTTGCACCCCTACCTGGGCACTAGATCCCTCAGCAGGGGGATTCCACACACTGCCCCTGATACATATAGGATCTGGAAGTGTTTTAGGCAAGTAAGCTATGCTCATGAGGGTCAGACAGAGGTCAGTTTGAGTCCTGGCTCTGCCACTTAACAGCTCTGTGACTTAAGGGATGTTTCTTAAACCCTCTGAGCCTCAGTTTCTCCATATGGAAAATAGGGAAATCATAGACCTAGTTTCTTGGTCTGTGGTTAGGGTGAAATGTATGGAAAGTGTATAACAGAGCACCTGGTACATTGTAAGGATTCAACAAATGGCTGTTAATCTGACTGCATTTGATATTATTGCTTTAAATGAGCAAATTACAAAATAAGACACCCAGATCTGGGGGCTTTGGTAGATTCTGTGCTCAGTTTTTTTTTTCTAAATGAGATCATGGATGAGCATGAAAGCCCCCTGACAATTGTACAGAGCTATGCAGGTGACAGAGGAGATGCTGTTCATGACTATAGGGTGCACAAACACGCTCCCATCACAAAGGCCTGAAAGCAGAGCCCTAAGCAGAGTTACAGCAGGGTGAGGGCCAGGTGACCACAGACTGAGCCCTCACCACCAGGGTAAGAGCAAAAGGTGAAGATGGCCATGATGCCTACAGCCCACTAGGTCATTTCACATTCACAGTAACCCTCTGATTTGCTGGGCAGGTGGATATTAATGCCCCTGTTTTCAGATGTGGAAACGGAGGCTCCAGCCCAGGGTCACAAAGATCTGGCCTGCACCCCTGCATCTCCAAAGGCTAATGTTTTTGTTTTTTAACAAAAGCTCTATATTTACCCCAAAGATAAATTGCCTTGTAACTCTACCCCAAACCAAAAGGAAAAGAAAAAGCTGCTCATAAATTTAAAATGGCATTTCCCTCATTTATTGACAGAAAGCATTCAAACATAAAAGGGTCGGAGGTCACTTCGAAGATGGCCGAATAGGAAGACCTCCAGTCTGCAGCTTCCAGCAAGATCAACACAGAAGACAGGTGATTTCTGCATTTGCAACTGAGGTACCTGGTTCATCTCACTAGCACTCGTTGGACAGTGGGTGCAGCTCATGGAGGGTGGGCTGAAGCAGGGCGAGGCGTTGCCTCACCCGGGGAAGCACAAGGGGTCAGGGGATTTCCCTTTCCTAGCCAAGGGAAGCCGTGACAGACTGTACCTGGAGAAATGGTGCACTTCTGACCAAATACTGAGCTATACACAGTCCTAGCAACTGGCACACCAGGAGACACCCTCCCATGCCTGGCTTGGTGGGTCCCACGCCCACGGAGCCTTGCTCACTGCTAGCACAGCAGTCTGAGATCGACCTGCGATGCTGCAGCTGGATGAAGGGAGGGGCATCTGCCATTGCTGAGGCTTGAGTAGCTCACAGTGTAAACAAAGAGCACGAACTGGATGGAGCCCACCACAGCTCAGCAAGGCCTACTGTCTCTATGGATTCCACCTCTGGGGGCAGGGCATAGTAGAACAAAAGGCAGCAGACAGCTTCTGCAGACTTAAACGTCCCTGTCTGACAGCTCTGAAGAGAGCAGTGGTTCTCTCAGCACGGCGTTTGAGCTCCAAGAACAGACAGACTGCCTCCTCAAGCAGGTCCCTGACCCCTGTGTAGCCTGACTGGGAAACACCTCCCAGTAGGGGCTGACAGACACCTCAAACAGGCAGGTGCCCCTCTGGGATGAAGCTTCTAGAGGAAGGATCAGGCAGCAATCTTTGCTGCTCTGCAGCCTCCGCTGGTGATATCCAGGCAAACAGGATCTGGAGTGGACCTCCAGCAAACTCCAACAGACCTGCAACTGAGGGGTCTGACGTTAGAAGGAAAACTAACAAACAGAAAGGAATAGCATCAACATCAACAGAAAGGACATCCACACCAAAACCCCATCTATAGGTCACCAACATCAAAGACCAAACATAGATAAAACCGCAAAGATGGGGAGAAACCAGAATAGAAAAGCTGAGAATTCCAAAAAAACAGAGCACCTCTTCTCCTCCAAAGGATTGGAGCTCCTCGCCAGCAAGGGAACAAAGCTGGATGGAGAATAAGTTTGACGAGTTGACAGAAGTAGGCTTCAGAAGGTTGGTAATAACAAACTTCTCAGAGCTAAAAGAGCATGTTCTAACCCATCACAAGGAAGCTAAAAACCTTGAAAAAAGGTTAGACGAATGGCCAGCTAGAATAAACAACATAGAGAGGAGCTTAAATGACCTGATGGAGCTGAAAACCATGGCATGAGAACTTTGTGATGCATGCACAAGCTTCAATAGCTGATTCAATCAAGTGGAAGAAAGGATATCAGTGATGGAAGATCAAATTAATGAAATAAAGCGAGAAGACAAGATTAGAGAAAAGAGAGTGAAAAGAAATGAACAAAGCCTCCAAGAAATATGAGACTATGTGAAAAGACCAAATATATATTTGATTGGTGTACTGGAAAGTGATGGGGAGAATGGAACCAAGTTAGAAAACACTCTTCAGGGTAGGATCTAGGAGAACTTCCCTAACCTAGCAAGGCAGGCCAATATTCAAATTCAGGAAATACAGAGAACACCACAAAGGTACTCCTCCAGAAGAGCAACCCCAAGACACATAATTGTCAGATTCACCAAGGTTGAAATGAAGGAAAAAATGTTAAGGGCAGCCAGAGAGAAAGGTCGGGTTACCCACAAAGGGAAGCCCATCAGACTAACAGCGGATCTCTTGGCAGAAACCCTACAAGCCAGAAGACAGTGGGGGCCAATATTCAATATTCTTAAAGAAAAGAATTTTCAACCCAAAACCTCATATCCAGCCAAACTAAGCTTCATAAGTGAAGGAGAAATAAAATACTTTACAGACAAGCAAATGCTGAGAGATTTCGTCACCACCAGGCCTGCCTTATAAGAGCTCCTGAAGGAAGCACTAAACATGGAAAGGAACAACCAGTACCAGCCACTGCAAAAACATGCTAAATGGTAAAGACCATTGATGCTATGAAGAAACGGCATCAATTAATGGGCAAAATAACCAGCTAGCATCATAATGACAGGATCAAATTCAAACATAACAATATTAACCTTAAATGTAAATGGACTAAATGCCCCAATTAAAAGACACAGACTGGCAAATTGGATAAAGAGTCAAGACCCATCGGTGCTGTATTCAGGAGACCCATCTCATGTGCAAAGACGCATATAGGCTCAAAATAAAGGGATGGAGGAAGATCTACCAAGCAAATGGAAAGCAAAAAAAAGCAGGGGTTGCAATCCCAGTCTCTGATAAAACAGACTTTAAACCAACAAAGATCAAAAGAGACAAAGAAGGCCACTACACAATGGTAAACAGATCAATTCAACAAGAAGAGCTAACTATTCTAAATATATATGCACCCAATACAGGAGCACCCAGATTCATAAAGCAAGTCCTTAGAGACCTACAAAGAGACTTAGACTCCCACACAATAATAATGGGAGACTTTAACACCCCATTGTCAATATTAGACAGATCAACGAGACAGAAGGTTAACAAGGATATCCAGGACTTGAACTCAGCTCTGCACCAAGCAGACCTAATAGACATCTACAGAACTCTCCACCCCAAATCAACAGAATATACATTCTTCTCAGCACCACATCTCACTTATTCTCAAATTGACCACATGATTGGAAGTAAAGCACTCCTCAGCAAATGAAAAGAACAAAATCATAACAAATTGTCTCTCAGACCACAGTGCAATCAAATTAGAACTCAGAATTAAGAAACTCACTCAAAACCGCACAACTACATGGAAACTGAACAACCTGCTCCTGAATGACTACTGCATAAATAAGGAAATGAAGGCAGAAATAAAGATGTTCTTTGAAACCAATGAGAACAAAGACACAATGTGCCAGAATCTCTGGGACACATTTAAAGCAGTGTGTAGAGGGAAATTTATAGCACTAAATGCCCACAAGAGAAAGCAGAAAAGGTCTAAAATCGACACCCTGACATCACAATTAAAAGAACTAGAGAAACAAGAGCAAACACATTCAAATGCTAGTGGAAGGCAAGAAATAACTAAGATCAGAGCAGAACTGAAGCAGATAGACATACAAAAAAAACCTTCAAAAAAATCAATGAATCCAGGAGGTGGTTTTTTTAAAAGACCAACAAAATAGATAGACCACTAGCAAGACTAATAAAGAAGAAAAGAGAGAAGAATCAAATAGATGCAATAAAAAATGATAAAGGGGATATCACCACCCAATCCCACAGAAATACAAACTACCATCAGAGAAAACTATAAACACCTCTACGCAAATAAACTAGAAAATCTAGAAGAAATATATAAATTCCTGGACACATACACCCTCCCAAGACTAAACCAGGAAGAAGCTGAATCTCTGAATAGACCAATAACAGTTTCTGAAATTGAGGCAATAATTAATAACCTACCAACCAGAAAAAGTCCAGGACCAGATGGATTCACAGCTGAATACTACCAGAGGTACAAAGAGGAGCTGGTATCATTTCTTCTGAAACTATTCCAATCAATAGAAAAAGAGGGAATCCTCCGTAACTCATATTATGAGGTCAGCATCATCCTGATACCAAAGTCTGGCAGAGACACACAAAAAAGAGAATTTTAGACCAATATCCTTGATGAACATCGATGCGAAAATCCTCAATAAAATCCTGGCAAACCGAATCCAGCAGCACATCAAAAAGCTTATCCATTACGATCAAGTTGGCTTCATCCCTGGGATGCAAGGCTGGTTCAACATATGCAAATCAATAAACATAATCCATCACATAAACAGAACCAACGACAAAACCACATGATTATCTCAATAGATGCAGAAAAGGCCTTCGACAAAATTCAACAGCTCTTCATGCTAAAAACTCTCAATAAACTATGTATTGATGGAACATATCTCAAAATAATAAGAGCTATTTATGACAAACCCACAGCCAATATCATACTGAATGGACAAAAACTGGAAGCATTCCCTTTGAAAACCGGCACAAGACAAGGATGCCCTCTCTCACCACTCCTATTCAACATAGTGTTGGAAGTTCTGGCCAGGGAAATCAGGCAAGAGAAAGAAGTAAAGGGTATTTAATTAGGAAAGGAGGAAGTGAAATTGTCCCTGTTTGCAGATGACATGATTTTATATTTAGAAAACCCCATCGTCTCAGCCCAAAATCTCCTTAAGCTGATAAGCAACTTCTGCAAAGTCTCAGGATACAAAATCAATGTGCAAAAATCACAAGCATTCCTATACACCAATAACAGACAAACAGAGAGCCAAATCATGAGTGAACCCCCATTCACAATTGCTTCAAAGAGAATAAAATACCTAGGAATCCAACTTACAAGGGATGTGAAGGACCTCTTCAAGGAGAACTATAAATCACTGCTCAATGAAATAAAAGAGGACACAAACAAATGGAAGAACATTCCATGCTCATGGATAGGAAAAATCAATATCATGAAAATGGCCATACTGCCCAAAGTAATTTATAGATTCAATGCTATCCCCGTCAAGCTACCATTGCCTTTCTTCACAGAACTGGAAAAAAACTACTTTAAAGTTCATATGGAACCAAAAAAGAGCCCGCATCACCAAGTCAATCCTAAGCAAAAAGAACAAAGCTGGAGGCATCACGCTACCTGACTTCAAACTATACTACAAGGCTACAGTAACCAAAAAAGCATGGTACTGATACCAAAACAGATATATAAATGAATGGAGCAGAATAGAGGCCTCAGAAATAACACCACACATCTACAACCATCTGATCTTTGACAAACCTGACAAAAACAAGCAATGGGGAAAAGATTCCCTATTTAATAAATGGTGCTGGGAAAACTGACTAGCCATATGTACAAAGCTGAAACTGGATCCCTTTCTTACACTGTATACAAAAATTAACTCAAGACTGATTAAAGACTTAAATGTAAGCCCTAATACCATAAAAAACCCTAGAAGAAAACCTAGGCAATACCATTCAGGACATAGGCATGGGCAAGGACTTCATGACTAAAACACCAAAAACAATGGCAACAAAAGCCAAAATAGACAAATGGGATCTAATTACACTAAAGAGCTTCTCCACAGCAAAATAAACTATCATTAGAGTGAACAGGCAACCTACAGAATGGGAGAAAATTTTTACAGTCTACCCATCTGACAAAGGGCTAATACCCAGAATCTACAAAGAACTTAAACAAATTTACAAGAAAAAAAAAAACCCATCAAAAAGTGGGAAAAGGATATGAACAGACACTTCTCAAAATAAGACATTTATGCAGCCAACAGACATGTAAAAATGCTCATCATCACTGGTCATCAGAAAAATGCAAATCAAAACCACAATGAGATACCATCTCACGCCAGTTAGAAAGGCAATCATTAAAAAGTCAGGAAATAGTAGATGCTGGAGAGGATGTGGAGAAATAGGAACGCTTTTACACAGTTGGTGGGAGTGTAAATTAGTTCAACCATTGTGGAAGACAGTGTGGTGATTCCTCAAGGATCTAGAACTAGAAATACCATTTGACCCAGCAATCCCATTACTGGGCATATACCCAAAGGATTATAAATCATTCTACAATAATGATACACACACACGTATGTTTATTGTGGCACTATTCACAATAGCAAAGACTTGGAACCAACCCAAATGTCCATCAACGATAGACTGGATTAAGAGAAGGTGGCACATATACACCATGGAATACTATGCAACCATAAAAAAGGATGAATTCATGTCCTTCGCAGGGACATGGATGAAGCTAGAAACCATCATTCTAAGCAAACTATCACAAGGACAGAAAACCAAACACTGCATGTTCTCACTCATAGGTGGGAGTTGAACAATGAGAACACATGGACACAGGGCGGGAACATCACATACCGGGGCCTGCCAGGGGGTGAGGGGCTGGGGGAGGGATAGCATTAGGAGAAATACTTAATGTAAATGACAAGTTGATGGGTGCAGCAAACCAACGTGGCACATGTATACCTATGTAACAAAACTGCACGTTGTGCACATGTACCCTAGAACTTAAAGTATAATAAAAAAGAAATAATAATTTAAAAAAAAAACTTAAAAGCGTCTAAAATATCAGAACGCCACTTTATAGTGAGAAGCAGAGTCTCCAAAAAGTAGAATCTCAGCATGCACTGGTCTGATCTGCCCCACTTCTCCCCCAGTGCACATACTCCGCCCCTGCCGACTCCTCTACCCAGTGCTCAGGCACCAGCAGCTGTCTGCATCTCCCCAGTGATGGGAAGCTCACTACCTCCCAAGGGTACTTATTTTATAATGGGACAATTATTTTCACTTTTTCCTTTTTTCTTTTTTTTTTTTTTAAGACAGGGTCTTTGTCGCCCAGGCTGGAGTGCAGTGGTGTGATCTCCACCTCTCAGGTAGAGGCAATCCTCCCACCTCAGCCTCCTGACTAGCTGGGACTACAGGAGCACGCCACCATGCCCAGCTAATTTTTGTATTTTTTTTTTTTTTTTTTTTTTTTTTTTTGGTAGAGACAAGGTTTCATCATGTTGGCCAGGTTGGTCTCAAACTCCTGACCTCAAGTGGTCCACCCGCCTCGGCCTCCCAAAGTGCTGGGATTAGAGGCATGAGCCACCATGCCCAGCCTATTTAAAAAAAAAAAAAATGGTTGCCGGGAGCGGCAGCTCATGCCTGTAATCCCAGCACTTTGGGAGGCCAAGGCGGGCAGATCACCTGAGGTCGGGAGTTCAAGACCAGCCTGACCAACATGGAGAAACCCCATCTCTACTAAAAATACAAAATTAGTCATGGTGGTGGTGCATGCCTGTAATCCCAGCTACTCGGGAGGCTGAGGCAGGAGAATAGCTTGAACCCGGGAGGCGGAGGTTGCTGTGAGCCGAGATCGCGCCATTGCACTCCAGCCTGGGCAACAAGAGCGAAACTCCATCTCAGAAAAAAAGGTTGTGGTTAATTTGTGCCTGATAACTTTTAAATGTAAAGGTATAATGAGAGTTCATGGCAAGAATGATGCAACTGACAAATTTCCTTTATATATGTGGCATGAAAAACAAGATAATAGGCCAGGAGCGGTGGCTCACGCCTGTAATCCCAGCACTTTGGGAGGCTGAGGCAGAGGATCACCTGAGGGGTTCGAGGCCAGCCTGACCAACGTGGCGAAACTCTGTCTCTACTGAAAATACAAAAATTAGCTAGGCATGGTGGTACTTTCCTGTAATCCCAGCTACTCGGGAGGCTGAGGCAGGAGAATCGCTTGAACCCAGGAGGCAGAGGTTGCAGTGAGCCGAGATCGTGCCACATTGCACTCCAGCCTGGGCTACAAGAGCGAGACTCTGTCTTAAAAAAAAAAAAAAAAAAAAAAAGGAAAGGAAGGAAGGAAGGAAGGAAGGATCATAAGCTGTCCAGAAAGCCCCTCCATGTACTACCCTCTCCATCCCTAACACTGCTTGACAAAATGACCAGTCTTCTGACTTCTGTCGCCACAGATTCATTTTCCCCATTTTAAATTTCATTTACATGGAATCATACAGTTTGTATTCTATTGTGTCTGGTTTTGTTCACTCAACTTTTTTTTTTTTTTTTTTAGACGGAGTCTCACACTGTCGCCCGGTCTGGAGTGCAATGGTGTGATCTCGACTCACTGCAACCTCCACCTCCTGGGTTCAAGCCATTCTCCTGCCTCAGCCTCCCAAGTAGCTGGGATTACAGGAGCCCGCCACTGCACCCAGCTAATTTTTTGTATTTTTGGTAGAGACAGGGTTTCACTATGTTGGCCAGGCTGGTCTCAAATTCAACATTTTTATGTGAGATTCATCCATACTTGTCTCTTGTATCAGTCATTCATCATTTTTTTGCTGCTGTATAAAATTCCATTGCATGAATATTCTATCATTTATTCACCCATCCTATTGTTTATGGGCATTTGGGTTGTTTCCATTTGGGCTATTTATGCACAGCACTGCCATGACCAGTCTTGTACATATCCTTTGTTGGACATAAGCAATTATTTCTATGGGGGCAGGAGTGGGACTGCTTGCTCTTAGGTGTATGTATGTTTACCTTTTAAAAAATTACTAAATAGTTATTTAAACAGTTTGATGTTTTTTGCCTCCTTTTTCTTTTTCTGTTTGTTTGATTTGTTTGTTTGTTTGTTTTTAGATAGGGTCTCACTCTGTCGCCCAGACTGGAGTGCAGTGGTGTGACCACAACTCACTGCACCCTCAACCTCCTAGGGCTCAGGTGATTCTCCTACCTCAGCCTCGCTAGTAGCTGGGACTACAGGCATGCGCCACCACGCCTGGCTAATTTTTGTGTTTTTTGTAGAGATAGGACTCCCTATGTTGCCTAGGCTGGTCTTGAGCTCCTGGGCTCAAGTGATCCACCCGCCTCTGCCTCCCAAAATGCTGGGATTACAGGCGTGAGCTGCCACGCCCGGCCGCTTTTTGCCTTTTTCTTATGGATTTGCTGTTTTTCACATTTAGTTCTACATCCAGCTGGAATTTATTTCATATGGGGTACAGTGAGATTCAAGATACATCTTTTTCCTCTCTGGGTATCCAAATTTCATCTACCATTTATTGAAAAGAACATTCTTTCATTGCATTTCAGTGACTTGCATGTCACCATTCTGGTGACCATATGTGGGTATTTGTTTCTGGACCTTATTCAGCCCCATTGGCCTATTTTTCTATATTTATGCTAATACCACACTGACTTAGTTATCGTAGGTTTATAACAAGTCTTTATATTTGGTGGTACAAGTTCTCCATTCCAGCTTTGGTTTCTATCTATTCTTGACTAGCCTTGGCTCTTTATATTTTCTATAAATTTTAGAATTTGCATGTACATTTCCATAACAGAACCTTAGGGTTTTTACTGGGATTGCATTACAAATGCCGATCAAATTAGGGAGTAATGACTTGTCTACAATCTTGAATTTTCTAATTCATGAATGTTGACATATCTCTCCCTTACATGATTTCCCTCGGTACGTGTTTTGGAGATTTTTGTATAGCAGTCATCCTTCACTAAACTTATCCCTAGGAATTTGTTGTATTATGATGCTCCCATAAATGAAATCCTTCTTTGTATTTCATTTTATGATTGTTGCTGGTATGTCTACTTTGAATCCAGTGGCATTACTAATTTACTTATTAATTGAATCATTTTTTATTAGATTCTTTCCATTTTCAATTTACTCAATATGTCATCTTCAAAAAATGATTGTTTTATTTCTTTCCAATCATAGGCCTTTATTTCCTTTTCTTGCTTATACTGGATGCAACCCAGTGCCTGTTGAATACAGCTGGTGAAAGCAAGCCCCCTGGTCTTATTCCATTTTCCAAGAAAAATTATTTAATATTTCAACTTCAAGTATGATGCTACCTGTAATTCTCATTCTTAAATTGTTGAGTTTTTTAATCATGAAAGAGTATCAAATTTTATTGCATGCTTTGCCTACATCTACTGAGATTATCATATGATTTTTTTATCCTTTTACTCTGTTATATGATAAATTATGTTGATTGATTCCCAAATAATAAGCCATCCTTGCATCCTTTCCAAAGCTGGAATAAACCCAGCTTTGTCATGTCAGATTATCTTTTTTATATACTGCCGGATTCAATTTGCTAAAACATTTTTGGAATTTTTACATCTATGATTATGAGAGAGACTTACCTGTAATTTTTATGTTTTATAATATTCTTGTGAAGTTCTGTGATCAAGGTGATTCTGACCTCATAAAATGAAGGAACTGTTTTCCCTGGAAAGTTTTAGGTAAGATTAATGTTATATTGCCCCTAAATATTTGGATGAAACCCACGGTTTAGGCCTAGAGTTATCTTTGTAGGAATGTGTTTGTGTTTGTGTGTGTGTGTGTGTGTGTGTGTGTGTGTGTGTGTGTTTATTTGTTTTTTAAAAGATTAAATTGATTTTCTAGCCAGGCACAGTAGGTCAGGCCTATAATCCCAGCACTGTGGGAAGTCGAGATAGGAGAATCCTTTGAGGCGAGGAGTTTGAAGAGGTACGCCATGGAACATGCAGTGAGCTATGATGGCACCACTGCACCCCAGCCTGGGCGACATAGCAAGACTCTACCTCAAAAATAAATAAATAAATAAATGGATTTTCTGCTATCGTAACTAAGACTTTGTGGTATTGCCAAAGGATAAACATAAAAGGTCAATGGGATAGAAATGAGAATCCAGGCCAGGCACGGTGGCTCACGCCTGTAATCCCAGCACTTTGGGAGGCGGAGGCAAGCAGATCGCTTGAGGTCAGGAGTTCAAGACCAGACTGGCCAACATGGTGAAACCTCATTTCTACTAAAAATACAAAAATTAGCTGGATGTGGTGGCACACTCCTGTAATCCTAGCTACTTGGGAGGCTGAGACAGGAGAATCACTTGAACCTGGGAGGCAGAGGTTACCGTGAGCTGAGATCACGACACTGCACCCCAGCCTGAGTGACAAAAAAAAAATGAAATGAGAATCCAGAAATAAACTTTATTGTAAATGTTTTAAATTTTCTGCATATTGTTAGATATGAGTTCTAAATTTCTTTTCAAATAATTAATATGTCAGTATGTTCAATTATTTGCCTCCTACTTTTAAACTTAACTTCCTCTTAAAGCAACCTTTTTCAATTACCTACTCCACCTTGACTCATTCCAATTACCTACTCCACCCTGACTCATTCTGATCACCTGCTCCACCCTACATTCCAATCACCTGCTCCACCCTAACTCATTCCAATTACCTGCTACCTGCTCTACCCTGACTCCCGCCAAAGCACTCACCCCATTCTCTTTAAATTAGCCAATCGGAATTAGTTTAGCCTGTGTGGTCTAACCCTAGCCAATAGGGGAACGATACAGCAGCAGGGGCCACGTGCATCAGGGATAAGAACCCTTCCCCCTCCCTTGTCCAAGTGTGCGCTCACCATTGTTCCATCTGTAAGGGTGCACCCTTCTATATAGAAGTAACTTGCCTTGCTGAGAATTAAAAAGAAAATTTTATATTCAAGTGCTATTCCTTTTGCGGCACCAAAACTTTGTATATAACAATATTATAATAGTTTGACATCCTAAAAATCAAATTTAAAATAAAAACAAAGAAAAAAAAACATTTCTAACTGGGGACAGACCTCCCCTCCAACTAATTAGCCAATTCTGAAAGACAGCAAAGGGCCCTGCCGGGAGTGGGTCTTTCAAATGCAAACTAGCCAACGCAGAGCCACACCTCTGCCTCACTCCTCCCTCTGCCTCACTCCTCCCTCTGCCTTACTCATCCTTCTGCCTTACTCATCCTAGGGCCAGGTGGCAGACGGCTGGGTACACCCCTAGAGCCCAAAGCCCACTGAAATGGTTCAACACAGCCAATCCTAAACTGTTCATCCTGCCTTGCCTTCCCTCTCCAAGGAAGCCCCAGGAAAGGCTCTGGCCCCAGTCTGTCCCTTGCTCCTCTCTTCTGCCTCCTGCCCTCCCTGGCATCTTTCCCATGTGGACCTGCACGGTGTGCTGCACCTCTTGTCTTCAGGACTGCTATGGTTTGCGTGTCACCTCCAAAACTCATGTCGGAATTTAATTGTCATTGGGACAGTATAAGAGGTGGGACCAAGCCGGGCACAGTGGCTCACGCCTGTAATCCCAACATTTTGGGAGGCTGAGACAGGCGGATCACTTGAGGTCAGGAGTTTTAGACCAGCCTGGCTTACATGGTTAAACCCTGTCTCTACTAAAAATACAAAAATTAGCTGGGCGTGGTGGTGCACACCTGCAGTCCCAGCTGCTCAGGAGGCTGAGGCAGGACAATTGCTTGAACCCAGGAGGCGGAGGTTACAGTGAGTAAGACTCTGTCTCAAATTTAAAAAAACAAACAAACAAAAAAAGAGGTGGGACCAGGTGGCACTTTTAAGAGGTGATTAGGTGGTGACCAGAAGCCTTACCATTAACATACACAGGTGATTAACATATTTCATATATTGTGTATATCATATACTATATTGTTACAATAAAGGAAGCTAGAGAAAGGAAATGTAAAGATAATCACAAGAAAAAGCAAATATATTTACTGTTCATTTAATAGAAGTGTATCATCATAAATGTCTTCATCCTCTTGATGTTCACGTTTAGTAGGCTGAAGAAAGGGAGGGGGTTGATCTTGCTGTCTCGGGTGACAGAGGCAGAAGAGATGGAGGAGGTGGAAGGGGAGGCAGGAGAGGAAGGCTCGCTCAGTGTAACTTTACAGAAATACATCCTACTTTCTATCTGACTTTTTTGCTTTTTTATTTCTCTAAACATGTTTCTATGTGGTCCCACGCCTTCTTCCACCATTTGCTTTAGTTTCAGTGCCTGTAGAATGTCCCTGTTGTAAAAGTCAAGAGTAGTCTTGAATAATTGGAACGCTTCTGCCAGATTGTCTAATGTCAATTTGTTTCTGGCGCTATTTGTTCTGTGTCTTCTTTCTCATCATCTTGCAGTTGTTTGGAAGCATTCATCTCCATCAAGTCATCTTCTATTAATTCCTCTGATGTGGTGTCTATTAGCTCTTGAATTTCTCCAAGATCCATATCTTGAAACCCTTCACCACCATCCCCCGACCTTTTTGCCATAACCACAATCTCTGTTTTGAGTTCTTTGATTGGCTCTGTCATAAATCCTACGAAGTCATGCACAACATCTGGACACAGTTTTCTCCAGCAGGAATTTATTGATTCAGGCTTGATGGCTTTCACAGCTTTTTCTGTAGCAATGATGACATCTTTAATGGTGTAATCCTCCCAGATATTCGTGATATTCTCTCTGTCTTGGTTTTCTTCCATCACATTGACAATCCTTTATTCCATAGAGTGTGGTGTGTAATGAGCCTTAAAGGTTCTTATGGCCACCTGATCTAGGGGCTGAATTAGAGACGTATTTGGGAGCAAGTACACTACTTCAATACCTTCAGTGTTGAACCGATGGGGTTCTGGGTGGCCAGGAATATTGTCCAATATCAAAAGAACTTTAAAAGACAGTCCTTACTGGCAAGATGTTTCCTAACTTCAGGGACAAAGCATTAATGGAACCAATCCAGAAAGGGTTCTCATTGTCCAAGCCTTCTTGTTGTACAACAAAAAGACTGGCAGCTGGTGTTTATCTTTTCTCTTCATGGCACAGGGGTTAGCAGCCTTATAGATAAAGGCAGTCCTGATCATATGTCTGACTGCATTTGCACAAAATAGTAGAGTTAATTTATCCCTTCCTGGAGTAAATCCTGATGCTGACTTTTCTCCTTACTAACATATGTAATGTTATTTTATTTTTAGTGGAGATGAGATCTCACTATGTTGCCATGGCTGGTCTCAAATTCCTAAGCTCAAGCCATCCTTCCTCCTCGGTCTCCCAAAGTGCTGAGATTACAGGTATGAGCCACCATGCCCAGCCTCCACAATGATTTTCTTAAAGGCATCTGGAAACTCGTCTGCTGCCTTTTGATCAGCAGAAGCTCCTCTTCCTGTCATCTTGACATTTTTTTTTTCTTTTTCTCATTTCTTTTTTTTTTTTTAATTGATCATTCTTGGGTGTTTCTCGCAGAGGGGGATTTGGCAGGGTCATAGGACAGTAGTGGAGGGAAGGTCAGCAGATAAGTGAACAAAGGTCTCTGGTTTTCCTAGGCAGAGGACCCTGCGGCCTTCCGCAGTGTTTGTGTCCCTGGGTACTTGAGATTAGGGAGTGGTGATGACTCTTAACGAGCATGCTGCCTTCAAGCATCTGTTTAACAAAGCACATCTTGCACCGCCCTTAATCCATTTAACCCTGAGTGGACACAGCACACGTTTCAGAGAGCACAGGGTTGGGGGTAAGGTCACAGATCAACAGGATCCCAAGGCAGAAGAATTTTTCTTAGTACAGAACAAAATGAAAAGTCTCCCATGTCTACCTTTCTACACAGACACGGCAACCATCCGATTTCTCAATCTTTTCCCCACCTTTCCCCCCTTTCTATTCCACAAAACCGCCATTGTCATCATGGCCCGTTCTCAATGAGCTGTTGGGTACACCTCCCAGACGGGGTGGTGGCCGGGCAGAGGGGCGCCTCACTTCCCAGTAGGGGCGGCCGGGCAGAGGCGCCCCTCACCTCCCGGACGGGGCGGCTGGCCGGGCGGGGGGCTGACCCCCCCACCTCCCTCCCAGACGGGGTGGCTGCCGGGCAGAGGGGCTCCTCACTTCTCAGATGGGGCGGCTGCCGGGCGGAGGGGCTCCTCACTTCTCAGACTGGGCGGCTGCCGGGCAGAGGGGCTCCTCACTTCTCAGATGGGGCGGCTGCCGGGCGGAGGGGCTCCTCACTTCTCAGACTGGGCGGTTGCCAGGCAGAGGGTCTCCTCACTTCTCAGACGGGGAGGCCGGGCAGAGACGCTCCTCACCTCCCAGACGGGGTCACGGCCGGGCAGAGGCGCTCCTTACATCCCAGATGGGGCAGCGGGGCAGAGGCGCTCCCCACATCTCAGACAATGGGCAGCCGGGCAGAGATGCTCCTCACTCCCTAGATGGGATGGCGGCCGGGAAGAGGTGCTCCTCACTTCCTAGATGGGATGGCCGCCGGGCAGAGACGCTCCTCACTTTCCAGACTGGGCAGCCAGGCAGAGGGGCTCCTCACATCCCAGACGATGGGCGGCCAGGCAGAGACGCTCCTCACTTCCCAGACAGGGTGGCGGCCGGGCAGAGCCTGCAATCTCTGCACTTTGGGAGGCCAAGGCAGGTGGCTGGGAGGTGGAGGTAGTAGCGAGCCGAGATCACGCCACTGCACTCCAGCCTGGGCACCATTGAGCACTGAGTGAACGAGACTCTGTCTGCAATCCCGGCACCTCGGGAGGCCGAGGCTGGCAGATCACTTGCGGCTAGGAGCTGGAGACCAGCCCGGCCAACACAGCGAAACCCCGTCTCCACCAAAAAAATACGAAAACCAGTCAGGCGTGGCGGCACGCGCCTGCAATGGCAGGCACTCGGCAGGCTGCGGCAGGAGAATCAGGCAGGGAGGTTGCAGTGAGCCAAGATGGCAGCAGTACAGTCCAGCTTCGGCTCAGCATCCCATCTTGACATTTCTTAAGCCAAACCTCTTTGGCTTAAATGATCAAACCATCCTTTGCTAGTATTAAGTTCTCCAGCTTTTGATCCTTCACCTTCTTTTTGCTTTCAGTTGTCATGTAATGCCTTTGCTTTTTCTTGAATCATATTAGAGTTTATAGGTATGTCTTTATTACAGCAATCCTGCACCCACATAAAAGCTGCATTTTAAATATTAAATACAAGGGTATTTCAAAACAAGTGCAAAGTTTTTATGCCTGCTGTTGTGGCTGCAGCAACAATTTTGCTAATTTCCTTCTCTTTTTTTTTTATGATAGCCCTTATCCTGGATTCATTTGTCTTGAAATGATGGACAACTGCAGCAGCAGACCTCAATCTATGGTACATATCAAGCAATTCAACTTTTTCTTGTAATGTAATGACTTTTCTCTAATACTTGGTAACACCTCCAGCATCTCTAGTGGCACTTCATATGGGTCCCCTGGTGTTATTCAAGATTTATGGTATTGCACTAAATGCAATTAAAAACAAAACAAAACATGAGAACCATAGAGATTCTCACTTAGTCTGGGCAACAGAGTGAGACCTTTTCCCCCTCCCCCCCCCAAAAAAAAGTGCAGTGGCATGATCATGGCAGTGGCAGCCTCAACCTCCTGGGCTCAAGCAATCCTCCCACCTCAGCCTCCCTAGTAGCTGGGACCACAGATCGGTGCCAACACCTGGCTAATTGTTTTTATTTTTTGTAGAAACAGGGTTTCCTTATGTTGCTCAGGCTGGTCTCAAACTCCTGGGCTCAAGTGATCCTCCTTCCTCAGCCTCCCAAAATGCTGGGATTACAAGCATGAGCCACCACACCTGGCCAAGAGATCACTTTTTACTGTGATATGCAATTTTACTGGAGAGATGAGCTGCCCACATGGAGTGATTAGCATCACATGGTGTTTTAGGCAGATACTCACAACACTTGGTCTCACTGCAATAGCAACAGGAGGTGGCTATGCAGTTATCACAATAGTGCAGTATGGACTACAGTTGTTTTGAAGCAATTATGATTTAATACTGTATCTTTACATTTGTTTACGTTTCTCTCAACTCTGAATGGTGCCTTATAAGGTCAGTGTTTGTATTTGTAAGTTTTGATAAGTTTTAACTTTTTATAATAGATTTGTGTACATTTTATGGTTGTAAATAATAAAATAAACTGTGTCTACATATATTTTATGCGTTCATGATATACCTAACTTTTTCTTATGTTTTTTTTTTAATATTTCTAGGCTATGTGGTTCATCTGTGAGTTTTTTCAAATTGTTGTAAATCTCCAAAAAAATTCCCAATATATTTATTGGAAAAAATCCACATATATGTGGACCTGCACAGTTCAAACCTGTCTTGTTCAAAGGTCAACTGTATTATAAGACTCTTAGAAGAAAACATAGGCCCAAATCTTTTCAACTTCAGATTAGGCAACTGTTTCTTAGATATGACACCAAAAGCATAAGCAAAAAAATAAATAAATTGAAATTTATCAAAATTTGAAACTTTTGTGCATCAAAGAACATTATCAAAAAAGTGAAAAGACAACCTAGAGTGGGAAAAAGTTTTTGCAAATCATATGTCTAACAAGGATCTAGTATCCAGAATACATTAAAAAATTACAACTAAATAAAAAGACAAATACCGAAATAAAATATGGGCAAAGTATCTGAATAAACATTTCTCCAAATAACAGATACAAAATTACCAATAAGTACATAAAACTGTGTTCAACATTAGTCCTTAGGGAAACATAAATCAAAACCAAAATGAGATGTCACTTCACACCCACTAAGATGGCTACAACCAAAAAGACAATGCTGTGGTCTTGAATGTTTGTGTCCCCCAGCCCCTGAATCTATATGTTGAAACCTAATTCCCAATATGGTATTAGGAAATGGGGCATTTAGAGATAATTAGGTCATGAAAGCTCTACCCTAAGGAATGGGATGGGTGCCCTTATAAAAGAAGCCCCAAGGGAGTTTGTTTGCCCCTTCTCACATGTAAGGACACAACAAGAAGGTGCCATCTATGAAGGAGTGAGTGAGCCCTCACCAGACACCAAATCTGCTGGTGTCTTGATCTTGGACTTCCCAGCCTCCAGAACTATGAGCAATAAATCTCTATTGTTTATAAATTACCCAGTCTAAGGTAGTTAGTTATAGCAGCTCAAACAGACTGACTAAGATAATTGGCTAGGTTGTGGAGAAACTGGAACTCTCATACATTTTTCGTGGGAATGTGAAGTGGTGCAGCTGCTTTGGAAAACAGTTTGGCAATTCCTCCAAATGTCAAACCTAGAATTACTATAAGAACCAGCAATTCCACTTCCAGTAACATACCCAAGAGCAATGAAAGTGTATGTTCACACAAAGCTTATATATGAAGGTTCATAGCCCCATTGTTCATAATAATCAGAAAATAGAAACAACCCATCAACTTATGAGGTATAACCATACAGTGAAGTATTATTCAGAAATATCAAGAAAAATACTGATAAATTCTGCAACGTAGATGAATTTTGAAAGGATTATGCTAAGTAAAAGAAGCCAAACAAACAAACTACAACTTGTATGATCCCACTTACATGAAGTGTCAAGAATAGGCAAATCCATAGAGAAAGAAAGTAGATTAACAGTTGCCATGGGGATAGGATGGGGGAAGAGTAAATGGGGAAAGAGTACTAATTAGTAGGTTTCTTTTTGGGATAGTAAAAATGTTCTGGAACTAGATAATGATGATGATTGTATAACATTGTGAATGTTCTTAATGCTACTGAATCTTACACCTTAAAAGGGTAAGTCTTATGGTACACAAGTCTCAATTTTTTAAAAAGAAAACATTTATTTTCTGGCTATAGGTTACCCAGATTTTTAATGTATTTCTGTGTTAGCTTTGGTAAGCTATTGTTTTAAGGAAATGTACTGTTTTATCTAAATTGTCAAATTTATTGGCATAAAATTGTTCATAATATCTCCTTATGACCTTTTTAATGTTTGCAGGTGCTGTAGTAATGTCTCCTTTTTCATTTCTGATATTGCTAATTTGTACCTTCTCTCTCTCTCTCTTTTTTTTTTTCAAGACAGATTCTTGCTCTGTCTCCCAGCCTGGAGTGCAGTGACATGATCTCAGCTCACTGCAACCTCTGCCTCCCGGGTTCAAGTGATTCTGCTGCCTCAGATTCCTGAGTAGCTGGAACTACAGGTGTGTGCCACCACACCTGGCTAATTTTTGTATTTTTAGTAGAGACAAGGTTTCACCATGTTGACCAGGCTGGTCTTGAACTCCTGACCTCAAGTGATCCACCCGCCTCAGCCTCCCAAAATGCTGGGATTACAGGTGTGAGCCATGACAGCTGGTTGTTTCATTAACTTTTGCTCTTCTCTTTAGTATTTCCTTCCTCCACTGTTTGGATTTAATCTGTTGTCCTCTTTTAAACATCTTTAGATGTATACTTTGATTATTGATATTGTAAGGGAGGAAAAATAATTTTCTCTCTATTGTTTATTGAGGAAAAAAAGCCAAACTCTGTAAATATTTTAAAAGGTTTATTCTAAGTCATTATGAGTGAACATGGCCCGGAAAAGTCTCAAGAGGTTCTGAGAAGGTGTGCCCAAAGTAGTCAAGTAATAGTTTTTCTCACACGCATCCGTGTGAAGAGATCACCAAACAGGCTTTGTGTGAGCAATAAAGGTTTTTAATCATCTGGGTGTAGACGAGCTGAGTCCAAAAAGAGAGTCAGTGAAGGGAGATACGGGTGGGGCCGTTTTATAGAATTTGGGTAGGTAGTGGAAAATTACAGTCAAAGGGGGTTGTTCTTTGGTGGGCAGGGGCAGGGGACATAAGGTGCCCAGTGGAGGAGCTTCTGAGCCAGGAAAAGGAATTTCACAAGGTAGTGTCATCAGTTAAGGCAGGAACCGGCCATTTTCATTTCTTCTGTGATTCTTCACTTGCTTCAGGCCATCTGGATGTATATGTGCAGGCTTGGGCTCAGAGGCCTGACAGTTTTGTTTTATACATTTTGTGGGGGACAGAAGTTACAAGCAAAGACATAAATCAATACATAGAAGATGTACATTGGTTCAGCCCAGAAAGGCAGGACATTTTAAAGGAGGGACTTACAGGTATAGGTGGATTCAAAGATTTTCTGATTAGCAATTAGTTGAAAGACTTAAGCTTTGTCTAAAAATCTGAAGTCAGTAGAAAGAAATGCTTGAGTTAAGGGGGATTGTGGAAGCCAAGGTTCTTGTTATGCAGATGAAGCCTCCAGGTAGCAGGCTTCCTGAAAAGATGGCTTTGAAGGACTCTTTTAAAATATGTCAAATAATTATATTTTAGACTAAAATATTTTTATTTCCTTCAGGGTCTGCTATCTGTCATGTGATGTTATCCCAGAGTCAGGCTGGAATTTGCTACAAATAATCTGTTTTGTCAGCTTTATGATCTCTATTTTATGTTAATGCTGGTCAGTTGTTCCTAAACTCTTAAAAGGGAGGAGGTATAAAAAGGTGTGTCTGACCTCCCTTACTGTCATGGCCTAGAGTTGAGTTTTTCAGGTTTCCCTAGGATCCCCTTGGCCAAAAGGGTTCATTCAGTCTACTGGGGGACTTAGGATTTTTTTTCTTTGAGACAGAGTCTCACTCTGTCACCCAGGCTGGAGTGTAATGGTGCGATCTCGGCTTACTGCAGCCTCCACCTCCTGCGCTCAAGCGATCCTCCCACCTCAGCCCCACAAGTAGCTGGGACTACAGACACATGCCATCATGCCCAGTTGTTTTTTGTTTTTGTTTTTGTTTTTGTTTTTGGTAGAGACAGGGTTTCATGTTGCCCAGGCTGGTCTTAAACTCCTGAGCTCAGGTGATCCACCCATCTTGGCCTTCCAAAAGGCTAGGATTACAGGCATAAGCCACCATGCCCAGCTTTTAGGATTTTATTTTGGTTTACACCTTCATAGTTCTTAGTTAGGACAGATCCCTGGAACAAAAGAGTGACAAGAGAATAACAAACAGAAGTTTAATAACACATATACTTTATGCATATAAAACCATCCTTTCAGGGTTAACAAGAAATACATGCAGTGTTCTGGGCAGAAATATACTCATTATTAAGCATTAGGAGCACTAAGCAGGCTGCACTTTGGCCCACTTCTTTGTAATTTATCTTTTTTTTTATTTTTATCTATTTTTTTTTTTTTTTGAGACAGAGTTTCACTCCTGTTGCCCAGGCTGGAGTGCAATGGCGCGATCTCGGCTCACTGCAACCTCCGCCTCCCAGGTTCAAGCGATTCTCCTGCCTCAGCCTCCCCAGTAGCTGGGATTACAGGCATGTGCCACCACGCCCAGCTAATTTTGTATTTTTAGTAGAGACGGGGTTTCTCCATGTTGGTCAGGCTGGTCTCGAACTCCCGACCTTATGTGATCCGCCCGCCTCGGCCTCCCAAAGTGCTGGGATTACACGAGCCACTGAGCCCGGCACTTCTTTTAATTTAAAGTCACGTAGCACTAGATCCCCACCATCTGCATTCCCACTGTTCCTACAGATAGGATCTCTGACACCTAAGGCTTTTGTTTAAGAATTACTTAAGATGGCCGGGCGCGGTGGCTCATGCCTGTAATCCCAGCACTTTGGGAGGCCGAGGCGGGCAGATCACGAGGTCAGGAGATGGAGACCAGCCTGGTGAACACAGTGAAACCCCGTCTCTACTAAAAATACAAAAAATTAGCCGGGCGTGTTGGCAGGCACCTGTAGTTCCCAGCTACTCGGGAGGCTGAGGCAGGAGAATGGCGTGAACCCGGGAGGCGGAGCTTGCAGTGAGCCGAGATCACATCACTGCGCTCCAGCCTGGGTGACAAAGTGAGACTCCGTCTCAAAAAAAAAAAAAAAAAAAAAAAAGAATTACTTAAGATGTTTTCAGATCCTGAATTCCAGCTGAACAGCTGATGCCCATCAGCTTGAAGACTCCCACAGAGGAGCTGAATCAACATGAGAATGCAGTTTCTTCATCTCCCCATCCCAGGATTTCACGCTGCACTCTTTGACCAATCAACAATCTCCACACCTTGGCCACTCCAAACTCCTTAAAATCTCTAACCCCCAACTCCTCTGGGAGGCAGATTTGAAGTTTCCTCTTGCCTCCTTGCTGGGCAGCCCTATGATTAAAACTTTTTCTCTGATGCAACTCTCAGTGTTGATGTATTGACTTACCATGTATACTGCAACAGACTTGTTTATGGTCAAACATACATAAGATACCTAGAGTAAATGAGTAAATCTCAAAGAGATGGCTCTGAGTTCAGGCTTAGATATAATCTTCAGCTAAAACAAAAATACAAGGGTGTGAAGAAGGCCAGCTGTGGGGAGATGCCCAAGAAAATCTCAAGCCGGGTGCAGTGGCTCATGCCTGTAATCCCAGCAATTTGGGAGGCCAAGGCAGGCGGATCACTTGAGGCCAGGAGTTTGAGACCAGCCTGGGCAACATGGTGAAACCCCATCTCTACTAAAATTACAAAAATTAGCTGGGCATGGTGGTACATGCCTGTAATCCCAGCTGAGGCAGGAGACTTGCTTGAACCCAGTGGGTGGAAGTTGCAGTGAGCCTAGATCATGCCACTGCACTCCAGCTTAGGTAAACAAAGTGAGACCCTATCTCAAAAAAAAAAAAAAAAAAAAAAGAAAAGAAAAGAAAATAGGATAAGGTTTGTTAGGCAGATTTAAGTTGATACCTTCTCCACTGATAAGAGTTTCCAGTGATTTAACATCATTCTTCTCTTTCTGGTACTGAGCAGGAAACATCTTTACAAATGGAGATTTCCTTTATGGCTTTTAATTTCCCTTATAAAAGGGTAATTTTTACTGTGTTTTCAGAGCTTCTCCTATGTCTGCAGTTTCTCAAAATTTTAAGGGATCTCTAGGGTGTTGACTTTTCTGGCCAGAAACCTCTGTGGCCACAGCACTATTGCCCAAGTTCTTGTCCTGTATCCAAAAGAATGAGGTATGCAGACAAGTGAAGGGTGAAGAAGAGTTTTATTTAGTGTTAGAACAGCTTAGAGGAATGGGTAGCTCCTCTCTGTAGGCAGGTCATCCCATCCAGTGTTCAGCTCTCCACAAAAAGGAGGCCCTGGAGAGGATAACTCCTCTCTGCAGGCAGGTCATTTGGACATTTCTGCAGGTCTCTGCAGCTATCAGCAGAGAAAGTACTCCTCTTTGCAGGTGGTCCTCCCATCATCTCCGCCCTCTTCGTCCTGTGCCCCACTCTGGCTGAGCCCTGGGCTTTTATGGGCCTTGGAGGGAAGGAAGTACATGCCAGTTGGTCCCTGGGTGGCCATGGGAGGCCCAGAAGAGGCACCACAAGTCCCCCCACCAGTCTGCCAATCTGCAGGACTGGCAGCCCGGTCCCCAGCCTTCAGACCTTCCCTGGCCTGAAGGTGTGGCCTTACTGGGGACCTGCCTCCTTCCACCCAAAAATCAATTTGCCTCCCACTGCCATTCATGGCCCCTGGGCTTGGCCCCAACACCCCCTCCAAGATCAGAGGAGGCACCATGAGTGAAGAGAAGCCAGGCAGTGGGAAAAGACACCTCTGAGCTTGGAGGGATGGAGGAGTGTCCTTCCTAAGGCCACTGAGGGTGCAGGCTGCAGAGACACCAGCTCCTGCACCTGGGAGGGCGGTCACAGCCACACCCAGGAGGGCAGATCCTGCCTGCTCCCAGACCTCCTCAAAGAGCACAGCTGCAATTTGGACGGCTGTAGCCCCACCCAGGAGGGTGAGTCTCCTGTGTGCTCTGTAGAGCAGGAGGCCTGGGTCTGAAGCTGCTGGTTGGGCAGTTGCAGCAGCACCCAGAGAGCTCTCCTCCCAACTCCCACCAGCTTTATGGAGTGTGCAGCCAAAGCCGTGCCTCCCTGCTGCAGCCAGCATGATGGCAGCAGCCACTGCCATCAAAAATACTCAGCTCGGCCAGGCGTAGTGATTCACATTTGTAATCCCAGCACTTTGGGAGGCTGAGACAAGCAGATCACGAGGTCAGGAGATCGAGGCCATCCTGGCTAATATGGTGAAACCCCGTCTCTACTAAAAATACAAAAAAAAAAAAAAAATTAGCCAGCCATGGTGGCAGGTGCCTGTAGTCCCAGCTACTCAGGAGGCTGAGGCAGGAGAATGATGTGAACCTGGGAGGCGGAGCTTGCAGTGAGCGGAGATCGCACCACTGCACTCCAGCATGGGCAACAGAGTGAGACTCTGTCTCAAAAATAAATAAATAATAATAATCAGCTCAAAATCATTCTTATGCCAGAGGCATATTTTGGAGTGGCATATTCTGATCTGCTAAAACCATATTTTAGAGTAACATATTTTGTTTTTTTACAATATTAAATCTTTCTCCTTTTCTGAAATGTGCATTTATGACCATAAACTTCCCTCTAAACATAATATTAGTTGCATCCCATGTATTTTAGTGTATCATATTTTTATCATTCAGTTAAAAGTATTTTCTGACTTATTCTTTGATTTGGAACTTATTTTGAAGGATATTGGTGTTAGAAGAAAAGTTTTAGACAAATTAAATTTAACAGAGTTTAATTGAGCAAAGAACATTTCACAAATTGGGCAGTCCCTAGAACCAGAAGAGGTTCAAAGTGACTCTGGTGGTTGGAAAGGATTTATGGACAGAAAAGGGAAAGTGAAATACAGAAAACAGAAGTGAGACGCAGGAACAGCCAGATTAGTTGCTTGGCAGCCAATCCAAAAGGCAACTAAGCGTTTGCCTTATCTGAGCATGGTTTGAACCATTGGCTGCCTGTAAGTGGTTGAAATATGACTGCTGTGATTGGCTAAGACCTACTTGTTACAAGAGTAGGTTACAAGGCCTGGCATGGTCGCCCACACCTATAATCCTAGCACTTTGGGAGGCCAAGGCGGGTGGATCACCTGAGGTCAGGAGTTCAAGACCAGCCTGGACAACATGGTGAAACCCCATGTCTACTAAAAATACAAAAATTAGCTGGGCATGGTGGTGCGCACCTAATCCCAGCTACTTGCGAGGCCGAGGCACAAGAATCACTTGAACCTGGGAGGTGGAGGTTGCAGTGAGCCAAGATTGTGCCATTGCACTCCAGCCTAGGTGACACAGTGAGACTCTCTGTCAAAAAAATAAAATAAAATAAAAGAGTAGGTTATAGTCTGTTTACACATCCAGTTAGGTTACAGTTCATTACTTACTGAGAAACCTTTAGGCCAAACTTGAACTATGTAAGGAGGCAGCTTTAGGCTAAATGTAATTTAACCCTTGTATATTTTCAAACATTTTGATTTTTTGTTTGTTTGTTTTTTTGTTCTTGTTATTGATTTCTTGCTTAATCCACTGAGTAACATTCTCTGTAAATTTTTAATCCATTGAAATGTTTTGAGATATTTTATGGCCCAGTAAATTGCCAATTTAGGTAAATGTTCAGTACGCACTTGAAAAAAAGACATATTTCTTTTGTAAACCAAAAACAAAATCCTAAGCTACCCAACTGATTGAATGGACTCCCTCTGGGCCAAGGAAAACCTGAAAAAATGAATTCCAAATCATGATGGGAAGGGAAGTTGGAGAGGCCTCATTATGCCCCCTCCCTTTTGGAGTTTAGGCACAACTGGCCAGCATTAATATTAAAAGAGAGATCATAAGACCGACAAAACAGACTCTTTGTAGTAATAAAACACAAAATTCCAACCTAACTCTGGTATGGCATCACATGCTGTCTGCGGGCTGCCACCTATGAGACTTCATCTACGTAACAAGGGCCTTGGCTTCCACAACCCCCTTGTCTTAGCTCAAGGATTCCTTTCTACTGACTTCTTAAGCCTTTAGACAAAGCTTAACTCTTTCAACCAATTGCCAATCAGAAAATCTTTGAATCTACCTATATGACCTGGAAGCAGTCCCCTCCCCATAAGACATCCCACCTCTTTAGGCTGAACCAATGTACACCTTCCATGTATTGACTTATGTCTTTCCTTGCAACTCTTGTTCCCTAAAATGTATAAAACCAAACTGTAGCCCAACCACCTTGGGCACACTTTCTTAGGACCTCTTGAGAACGTATCCTGGGCCATGGTCACTCATATTGGCTCTGAATAAGCCTCTTTAAATATTTTACAAAGTTTAGCCTTTTCATCAACACTTTGGTGTATGGGTACAGTGTCCTATATATGTCAGTTGGGTCAAGCTTATCATTGCATTGTTCAATTTTTTTGTATCTTTACTGATTTTATTGTCCACCTGTTTTATCAGTTAAAAAGAGAGGTATGTTAACATATTTCACTACAGTATGTATTTATTCTGTTTCATTACTTCAGTTTTCTTCTTTAAGGTCTCTTTTATACATGGGTTGGATCTTCTCTATCTTCCATATCTATCACCTTTATATCTTTTTTTAAACCAGTCTCCACTTTTGATTTTTTTAATTTCCTCTGTTTCATCTTCTATTTCTCTTATGACATTATTTATGTTATTTATTCATTCTAGCTTCTTTTTATTTCTAAAATGGTTAGAGGTTTTTTTTAGAAAAGAAAAATGGTTTTTTCCTAACTAAATTCTGTGTGAGCTCTTTTCAAATTTTCCTTGTATCCAATTATCTCATCTCTTAATTTTTATAATCCTGACTTATGCTTTAGTTTCCTAAATTCTGTCATTTTAAAAACTCTTCTACTTCATTTAAAAATATCAAATGAAAAATTTTATGTATTTTGTAGGGCATGTCTTTCCAGAGATCATTGCCTGATGATCTGTTACTATGCTAATCAACTTTTTTCTTTAAAAACAAAACAAAACAAAACAAAACAAAAACTGAATGGGACTGGATTTCTCCTCTGCAATCCTTTTGCATTACGTATGTTTAAGTGAGATAGTTTTTCGGGCAGTCCTCAATGGGGAGAATGGGAAAAGATTTCTTGGCCTAGATTCGTGACTCTAGGGCTCCCTCTTCTGTTGTACTGAAAAATGTCTTTAAAATGGGTTGAAGATTCTGGGAATGACTTCCTCTGTCGCCTTCCTCCAGTTTTGTCTGGACCTTATCTGTACATGGCTCCCTGTCTTGCTCAGTTTAGAGTCTAGTCCCAGCCATTTTGCCTCTGTGTGAGACTTTGTCCTAGAAGGATATTTAGCTGGCAAGTTTCAAGATTTTATGAGGCGATTTCATGGGTTGTTGGGAGGATTAATTTACATGATAATTATAAATTCACAAGGTGTCTGGCAGAGAGTGCATGTTAAACATGGGATGCTTACAGTTATAATGATTAATACCCACTCATTTATCCCTACATCCTAGTCCAACCCAGAAACACATGCTGTTTCCTTCATGTGAGTCGCTCTTTTTTGTCTCCATGCTTTTGCCCCTGTTGTTCTCCTCCCTGAAAACCTCTGCACAGTCTTTGCTACCTGCCAGTCCTTCGCATGCATCTTGTTCTGGTAACATAGAGACCCAAACCCACTGCTCCCCTCCGAACCACGGTAGCTCTTCATTGCTAAGCCACACATCTCAAACCACCTTTAAGGTTTTATGCCAATGACTTCAGTTTTATTTTGATCTTTTACTCTGCGTCAAGCTCTTTAAACACATTATTACCTCATTTCATCTTCAAAGCAGTGCTCTGAGTTAGAGGCATAGATGGATGGGTACCTTTGTTGGTCTTATTTTACAGATGAAGACACTGCAGCTTAAAGAGATAAATACTCGGATACAAGGTTAATTGTTGTTAGTAGAAAGCAGTAGAGCCAGAATTTTGACCAGGCACTCTGGCTCCCAGAACTATAAGTTCAGTTATGATGCCAAAATGTATATTTGGATGGTAGGCTCCTTTAAGGATGGAACTCTATTTTATGTGTCTTTGTAGCCCTCTCTATGATTACTAGCACCTGGTGCATAGTATGTGTTCATTAAAGACTCCATCAATGCGTGGCATGGTGGATGAATGTACACATCCACCAGTGCTAGTCAAATGCGTGGGGCTGTGGGGCTTTCGGAAGAAACTTTGCTAGCTAAAGGCAGATGAAAAAGTCTCAGACACTGTTCAGTTTCTTCCAAGAAGTCATTAGTCAGACTCTTACTCAGAACTTCTTTTCTTTTTTTCCATTCAGGTTTGCGCTCAGTGAGACATTTATGTTTTCACAAGCCCTTGGCCACTAGCAATCCATCAAAAAACCCCAGCCATGGCTCAGCATGGCTGGCTGGCCAGACCAAATGGTAGGCAGACTGTCAAAACATTCACAAAACCCACACCAAATTTTTAAACTGTATAATCTAAGGGCATTGCTCTCACAGAGAAGTAACAGACCCACTGTTCTTTAATAGAAATATCAGAAAACTGGGAGCTCAGGGATGAGTTAGAAATCCAGTTTTTCCAGACATTGGAATTTCACTTGAACGTGGATTTGCTAGACAGCTGTATGAGCTGCGCTCCTGCGAGAGCACTGGCCTCAAGCCAGAAAACCTAGGTCTGCTCCCTGCTCTGCCACTTGTTGGTTGTATAACATTGGGCAAGTACTTCTTGCTGGGTCTCAGTTTTTTTAATTAAAAAAAAAATAGGGATAACAATATTTTGCATATGTCACAACATTGTTAGGTGCAGATGAAATAACACACACAAAATTCTTTGTAAACTGTAAAGTCTGTGTCAGACAAAATCAAGAGTGGGGGTCATGGAGCCAAATGAGACGACTGGGGCTGCCATTTCTAAACAGCTACCATGGGTCTCCTGAAGCAAATGAGGGGCAAGAAGTCAATCTGGTAAAAGGGAAGAATGAAGAAGAGAAAGAAAGGGAGGTAAAAGCCTACAAAATCTGAACAGGAGATACAGAAAGGACAGGAGAGAAGGGGACCCTGATGTCTTTCCAGTTCCTCTAAGTATAGGTTCATTTGGGGAGATTCCTACGGTAATCCTTATAGCAATCCTCAGTGTTACCATTGATTTAAAACAAAACAAATGCAGGTCTCTTCATCTGTTCAGTCTGCTATAACAGAAGTACCACAGACTGGGTGACTTCAAAGAACAGAAATTGATGTCTCCCAGTTCTGGAGGCCAGAAGTCTGAGATTAGGGTGCCAGCTTGCTGGGCTCTGGCAAGGGCCCTCCTCTGAGCTGCAGACGGCTGTCTCCTCATTTCATTCCAGTCCTCTGGAGCCTCTCTAATAAGGGCACTGACACCATTCATAAGGGATTATGACCTGATTACCACCCTCATAGCCTATTACTTCCCAAAGGCTCCACCTCCTAGTACCATCACATTGGTGGTTGGGATTTGAACAAATGAATTTTGGGAGAAACATAAACATTCAGTCATTACAGCGGGAGATTCTACTTCTACTACTCATTTCCACAACATGCACATTCGCATTCTAGGTTCTTGTTTGGTTAGCTGATAGAGTTGATGTGGCGGGGTAGACCTCAAATCAAAGGTGTTAGAAATGCTCTCTTTGTGCTCCCTAAATTGGGTCAATCTCATATGAAAATGTTGTCGGTATGAATTTGTAACCACCATAGGCTTGTTCATAGCCCTCACCACCATGGGCTTAGATCTCTGTGCTAGGAGCTGGGCATGGTGGCTCATGCCTATAATCCCAGCTACTCAGGAGACTGAGATGGGAGGATCCCTTGAGCCCAGGAGTTTGAGACCAGCCTGGGTGATATAATGAGACTCCCTCTCTACAACAACAATGAAAAAGATCTCTATGTTAAAACAGGAAAAAACAAGCAAACAAAACAAACAAACAAAAAAACTCCTTCATCTGAATTAACTAGTGGTTGCTATACCTACCAGAGTCCTTTGAGTCTTTTAAAGTAAAACAGAAAGAACAGAATAATCTAGCACATAGTAGGCAATCAATAAATATTCACTGACTGAAAGAATAAAGAACAAATATTACAGAGTAGCTATCCTTAAAAGCTTTCTATGAGAAAACCCACTTCTGTTACCTAGAAAGACAGAATTAAATACATATATCAAAAAGCATAAACAAAATTGGAAAAAAGTAAGGGAAATTCTAAGCAGCCAAAAATAATAAAGAAGCAAAAACTAGAGGGTAAAGCAGGCCAACAGCCAGGGATACCCTGAGGACACAGGCCTGGCCAGGGAAGCCAGAACCTCAGGCTACGGTGACCACACGAGCAACAGGAAATAAGGCTGGGCAGGGTTGCAGAGTAGGGGAATTGAAGCTGAGACCACTCCACGTAAAAAACTAAATAAATACTCAAAGGGCTAATAATGTCAATCAAAGGATAGGCTGTTAAAAGGATCTATTTACTGGGATAGGGAGTCCAGAAAAAAACTCATTTTTCTCAGTCTTAAATCTGAGTGGAAGGACGGTCTCTCCTTAAACATCAGAACCACAGGTCTACCTTCCCATATGCCACTTGCGTGAGTCAGAACATGCCAAGCCAAAAAATAAGCATAAATAGGTCTGAGTCGGTAAAAACGGGAAGTGTCTCATAAAAGCACATGCAAACCCACTTTGGAGGAATGTTCTCAATCCTAAACTTTGCAGGATTCCCACAGGTGAAGGGCAGCCAAGAATGAGCTCACAATCTAACATTGCAAGCAAAACCCTCAAGGAAACAATCCACCAACCAGGAAGATTCAGCTGTATAACAAGATAAAGAATGAGCTGCACCAAAGATTTTATGTGTTGGCATAACTAGATATAAAACCCAAAATGAATACGTTGACATGTTTAAAATTTGTTTCAATAACTAGAAGACATAGTCATGAAATTTTGAAAAAGAATGAAACAGAGTTTACACATAAATCATTAAAAGCAAAAATTAACTAAACAAAAAAATGTCATAGGTAAGACTGAGGGAAATGAGGCCACTTATGCTTTGCTGGTAAGAGTGAAAACTGGTGCTGTCCTTATGGGGGCTATTTATAGCAAATTTATTACAAAATTAAAAATGTGTAAGGTTCTGTTCCAGCAATTCAATTCCTGGGAATTTATTCTACAGATATCCTCCACATGTCCAAAAGGAGGCGTGTACAAGGTTATTTACTGCAACATTGTTCATTAGAGCAAAAGACTATAAATAACCCAAATGGCCATCATTAAAAGGCTGGCCCAATAACTTACGGTTCATCCATATAACAAAATACTATGCAACATTTTTTTTAAATGAAAGATTGAGGAAATTATGTGCTACAAGGTAAGATTTCCAAACTGTATTCAGTAAAAATAAAGACAAAGTACACAGCAAGATGTATAATAGGGTTCTTTTGTGTGAGAAAGGAGGAGAATAAAAAACTATTTATGTCTGCACTTGCTTTTATTTGCATGATAAAACTCTGAGAGGCCACCAAATAAATTAGGAAAAAAAAAAACAACAGTGGCACCTATGGAGGTCAGTTGGACTGGAGCAAATGGGGAAAGAGCCAGAGAAGGATTATTCACTGTATATATTTTCCATCACTTTGATTTTTGCATCTTGGTACGTGTATTACCTAATCTTAAAACCCAAAGTATGAAGTAATCGTACATTAGACACATCTGAAGCAACAATTCATGAATTGAAAAGAACAGGAGAAAAATAATGGCAACTCAGTACAAAAAGACAGAAAGTGGGAAATAAGAAAAAAAGCGTAACAGACATGGAAGAGAGAGTGAAATGGACTATTATATCACCAATGGCATTCAAAAAGGCAAAAAGTAGACTGGGCATGGTGGCTCATGCCTGTAATCCCAGCACTTTGAGAGGTCGAAGCAGGCAAATCACTTGAGCTCAGGAGTTCGAGACTAGCCTGGCCAACAAGGTGAAACCCTTTCTCTACCAAAAACACAAAAATAGGCTGGGTCCAGTGGCGTGTGCCTGTAGTCCCAGCTACTCAGGAGGCTGAGGTGGGAGGATAGCTTGAGCCTGGGAGATGGAGGTTGCAGTAAGCCAGGATTGTGCCACTGCACTCCAGCCTGGACAACAGAGCAAGATCCTGTCTCAGAAAAAAAAAAAAAAAAAAAGGCAAAAGGTAGAGCAAATGAGGGAGATGGAATATATGACACTGTAACAGCCAAGATTTTTTCCAGAATGTTAAAGGATGTGAATCCTCAGACTCAGGAAGCACCACAAATCCCAAACAGAATACATTTAAAGAAGTCATCTCTAGATATGTACTTCATAGTAAAATTTCAGAAAACCAAAACTGAAAAGATCTTAAAAACAGCCTCCCCCACAAAAAAGACAAATTCTCTATGAAGAATAACAATTAAACAGTAGCAACAGTGGAAGCCAGAAACTGTGACATAATAACTTAGAAGCACCGAGGGGAGTCAACAAGCAATAACTTCAAAGGGTCAACCAGCTCAAATGATAATTCAAGAACAGGGATGAAATAGACAGCTCAGACAAACAGAAACTGAGAGCATGTGCTACCAGAGAGACTCACTGAAAGCACTTTTCTAATGGGCGCTTCAAGGAAAAGAAAAGTTATCTCCAAAGAAAGCTAGATCAAAGAATAAATGAGCAAAGACACTGGTAAACATGCATAAATACAGACAAATGTTGATTATATCAAGCAATAGTACTAATAAATGATTTAACAGAGGAAAAATGAGATGGAACTAAAATACTGGACAAAAATAACTTTCAGAATGACAAAAGGTGATTTTTTTATTTTATTATCATTATTATTTTTTTGAGATGGAGTCTCACTGTATAACCCAGGCTGGAGTGCAGTGGCGCAATCGTGGCTCACTGCAACCTCTGCCTCCTGGGTTCAAGCGATTCTCCCCGCTTAGCCTCCCGAGCAGCTGGGACTACAGACGCACATCACCACACCCAGCTAATTTTTGTATTTTCAGTAGAGACGGGGTTGCACCATGTTGGCCAGGCTGGACTCAAACTCCTGAACTCAGGTGATCCACCCGCCTCGGCCTCCCAAAGTGCTGGGATTACAGGTGTGAGCCACTGCGCCCAGCCAAAAGGTGATTTTAGTTAGCAGTATTCTAAGATCTTTGTATCCTTGGGAAGGAGGGAAGTAGTAAACAATTTTAGACTGTTTAGAATGCATGTTAGCATTTTTTATGGGTAACCACCAAACAATCAGAAATAGAGGGTGCAATAACTAAACGAGTAGAGAGTAAAGAATGTAATTTTTCTAAAGTTCAGTCAACCCAAAAGAAGGAAGGAAGGGAGGGAGGAAGGATACACAGAAAAAAGCAAGACAATAAACAAATATAAAACATGATGGTGGAAACAAACTCTATTAGAACAGTAATCACAAATATACATGGACTTAACACATAGTTAAACAGTCCCTCAGGCTGGATGACAAAACAAACTCCAACTAATTATGTTTAACAAAGGCCTATCTAAAATATAAGAGCACACGGAATTTGGAAGTAAGGTAGAATACATCCATGGTGGAACGAATCAAAAGAAAGCTGGTACACTTAAAAATTATTAAAATAGGCCAGGCGCGGTGGCTCACGCCTGTAATCCCAGCACTTTGGGAGACCCAGACAGGCGGATCACGAGGTCAAGAGATCGAGACCATCCTGGCCAACATGGTAAAACTCTGTCTCTACTAAAAATACAAAAAAATTAGCTGGGCATGGTTGCGTGTGCCTGTAGTCCCAGCTATTCGGGAGGCTGAGGCAGGAGAATCACTTGAACTCGAGAGGCAGAGGTTGCCGTGAGCCAAGATCGTGCCACTGCACTCCAACCAGACAACAGAGTGAGACTCCATCTCAAAAAAAAAAAAAAAAAATTATTAACCTGGTAGATTCCATGTTACATATATTTTACCACAATTAAAAATAATAGTAAAAAAAGGAAAGTTGGAATAGCTCTATTAATACCAGACCAAATAGACATTTAGGCAAAAAGCATTGTTTGAGATAAAAAGAGCCACTACATAATAATAAAGAGTTCAATCCTGGAAGACAACACTATACTAAACTTGTTTAATAAAGCAGCTTCCAAATATGTAAAGCAAAAACTGACAGAACGAAAGGTATAGAGAGAAGCTAAACAATCTACCTTCATCGTAGAAGATTTCAACATGATTCTCTCAGTAATGACTGTTTCAAAAGACCACAGATTTGAACATAGAACGCTGCATCCAAAAATTAGCAAATACATATTCTTCTCAAGTACACAGGAACATTTACAAAACTAAACATTCGGTAGACCATAGAAAAAATGTCAATAAACCTTAATGAATGGGTGTCACACAGACAACATGCTCTGACTACAATGCAACTATGTTAGAAATTCATAACCAACAGATAGCATTTAAAACCCCTATGACTGAAATCGTGGAAAGCACACTTTATAAATAACTTGCAAGCCAAAAAAGAAATTATAAGAAAATATTTTAAAACTAGGCAATTATGAAAATACCACATCCCAAAACTTTAGAGACACAGTTAAAAAGATTCTTAGAAATGTAGAGGCTTAAATGATTACTTAAAGAAGCATTTGCTTACTGAAAATAAAGAAAAAGAAAGACTGAAAATTAATGAGCTAAGGGTTCAACTCAAGAAGTTAGAAAAAGAACAACAGAAGAAGCCCAAACAAAAGGGAAAAGGAAGTGAAAAAAATATTTTTTTTTTTTTTTTTTTTTTTTGAGATGGAGTCTCGCTTTGTCGCCCAGGCTGGAGTGCAGTGGCGGGATTTCGGCTCACTGCAAGCTCCGCCTCCCGGGTTCACGCCATTCTCCTGCCTCAGCCTCCCAAGTAGCTGGGACTACAGGCGCCCGCCACTACGCCCGGCTAATTTTTTGTATTTTTAGTACAGACGGGGTTTCACCGTTTTAGCCGGGATGGTCTCGATCTCCTGACCTCGTGATCCGCCCGCCTCGGCCTCCCAAAGTGCTGGGATTACAGGCGTGAGCCACCGCGCCCGGCCGAAAAAAAATTTTTAATGAAATTAACAAAATGGAAAATAATGATACAATAGGGAAAATCAATAAAGCCAAGAGTAGGTTCTTTGAAAAAATTAATGTGATATGTATAAATCTTTATCAAGACTGATCCATGAAAAAGAAAAAAGCCTTTTTTTGTGTTTTTTTTTGAGACAGAGTCTTGCTCTGTCGCCCAGGCTGGAGTGCAGTGGCGCCATCTTGGCTCACTGCAAGCTCCGCCTCCTGGGTTCACGCCATTCTCCTGCCTCAGCCTCCTGAGTAGCTGGGACCACAGGCGCCTGCCACCACGCCCGGCTAGTTTTTTGTATTTTTATAGAGACAGGGTTTCACCGTGTTAGCCAGGATGGTCTCGATCTCCTGACCTTGTGATCCACCTGCCTCGGCCTCCCAAAGTGCTGGGATTACAGGCGTGAGCCACCATGCCCAGCCTAAAGCCATTTTTAAAAAAATCTTTTATCAAAATAGGGCATCACTACTAACTCAGAAAGATTTTGTTTTTAAGAGAAAGAACATTGTAAACAACTTCATGCCCACAAGTGTGAAATTTTAGACAGTGTGAAGGATTTAGAAAAACGTAACTTGCCAAAACTGATACCAGAAAACAAACAAAACAGAAAACCTGAATAAAGCTACCCAATAAACCTGAATAAAATCTACCCAATTACACCAACAGAGTGCCAATCTTCTATGAAGCCTTTTGCAGAGAGGAAAAAGAGGAAAGATTTCTTCAGTTCTTTTGTCTCATTTTATGAGACAAAGGGCAAAACAAGAACTGTGGGTAACACTGTTGAGGGCTGTGGGAGAAGAACCTCAAAGTTTCACAAACTTGTAAAGAAAAGGCACTAAAGAATTATCGCAGGGTGAAGAAAACACCACATGTGACTGCATTTTGGCTCTTTAATATATGCATGATAATTAGCATCTAAACACTAGTTTTGTTAAAGGACCTCTTTGATTTCAGGTCACAGCTGTCATTTATGTGGTAGGTACTGCACTTCAGCAGACGCAATCACGCTCTATCTCCCTCGTGCATCCTATGTCGAGTGCTGCCTTCGCCTGTTCCTGCTGCTATATCAAAAGGCCTTAGCATGGGTAATTTATAAATAATAGAACTTTATTACTCACAATTCTGGAGGCTGGGAAGTCTACGATCGAGGTGCCAGCAGACTCAGTGTCTGGTGAAGGCTTTCCCTACTCCATAGACAACATCTTGTGTCCTCACACACACAGCAGAAGGGTAGAAAGGCAAAAGGGACTAATAGACTCCCTCAAGCCCTTTTATAAGGGCACTAATCCCACTCATGAGGGCGGGGCTCTCTTAATACTCTTAATACTTCTTAATACTATTGCACTGAGGGGTGTCATCAGAAATTTTGGAGACACACAAATATTCAAACTATATCGCATTCCAGGCCGGGCGCAGTGGCTCATGCCTGTAATCCCAACACTCTGGGAGGCCGAGGCGGGTGGATCACCTGAGGCCAGGAGTTCAAGACCAACCTGACCAACGTGGTGAAACCCCATCTCTACTAAAAAAAATTACAAAATTAGCCGGGTGTGGTGGCACATACCTGTAATTGCAACTACTTGGGAGGCTGAGGCAGGAGAATCACTTGAACCCAGGAGGCAGAGGTTGCAGTGAGCCGAGATCGCGCCATTGCACTGCAGCCTGGGTAACAAGAGGAAAACTCTATATCAAAAAAAAAAAAAAAGAAAAGAAAAGAAAACTATAGCATTCCACCCCTGGTGCCCCCCAAATTCATGTCCTTCTGACATACGAAATACATTCATTCCATCTCAATACCCCCAAAAGTTTTAACTCACTTCACCATCAACTTTAAAGTTTAAGTCCAGTCTACATTTCATCTGAATATCATCTTGAATAGTCCCAGCTACTCAAGAGACTGAGGTGGGATGATCCCTTGAGCCCAGGAGTTCGAGGCTGCAGAGACTGTACCACTACACTCCAGCCCAGGCAAGACAGTGGGACTCTGTCACTTAAAAAAAATAAAACGAAATGAAAAATTTAAAATGAGTATCATCTAAATCACATATGGATGAGACTTAAGGTATAATTCAACCTGAGGCAGGCCGGGCACGGTGGCTCACCCCTGTAATCCTGAGACGAGTGGATCACTTGAGGTCAGGAGTTCGAGATCAGCCTGGCCAACACGTTGAAACCCCATCTCTACTAAAATACAAAAAAGTAGCCGGGTGTGGTGGCATGCACCTGTAGTCTCAGCTACTCGAGAGGCTGAGGCAGGAGGATTACTTGAACCTGGGAGGCGGAGGTTGCAGTGAACCAAGGTTCCCACCACTGTACTCCAGCCTGGGCAACAGAGTGAGACTGTCTCAAAAAAATAAAATAAAATAAAATTACCCTGAGGCAAGCTGCTCTCCAGCTGTCAACCTATGAAATAAAAAAAGTTACGTGCTTCCAAAATACAATGGTGGGCCCAGGCACAGTGGCTCACATCTGTAATCCCAGCACTTTGGGAGGCCAAGGCGGGCAGGTCACCTGAGGTCAGGAGTTCGAGACCAGCCTGGCCAATATGGCGACACCCTGTCTCCACTAAAAATACAAAAAAAAATTAGCTGGGCATTGTGGCGGGCGCCTGTAATTCCAGCTACTTGGGAGACTGAGGCAGGAGAATTGCTTGAACCTGGGAGGTAGAAGTTGCAATGAGCCAAGATGGTGCCTTTGTACTTCAGCCTGGGTGACAAGAGGGAAACTCTGTCTCACAAAAAATAAAAAAAAAAAAAAAAATACAATGGTGGGATGGGCATAGATAGACATTCCCATTCCAAAAGGGAGCAATAGGAAAGAAGAAAGGGGTGACAGGCCTTGACCAAGTCCAAAACCCAACAGAGCAAACAACAGTAAATCTTAAGACTTGAAAATAATCTTTGACTCTGTGCCCCACCTTCTGCACACACTGGGGTGGAAGTCATGCTTCCAGGCAGCACTGTCCCCACAGCTTCGCTTGGCACCACCCACGCAGTGGCCCTCATGTATTGGAGTCCAGTCCCTGAGAATCTCCCAGATTGGAGTTGCATGCTGGTGGCTCTCCTGGTCTGGCATCTCCAGGGTCACTCTGCCCCCATGGCTCCACTGGGAGCCCTAGTGGGGGATTTCTGAGGTGGCCCCAACCCCACAGGTCCATTAGACATTTCCCTAGTGGGGGCTCTCTGAAGTGGTCTCACATCTATGATAGTTCTCTGTCTGGGCCCCAAGCCTCTGTAGGACATCCTTTGAAATCCAGGTGGTCATAGCCATGCCCCCACTGCAGTTTAACACTGCATGGATACCATGCTCCAATGTATCCAATTTTACACTTGTGGGCATGAAGCACGGCGCTCCAGCCATGGAGCATGGTATCCATGGGGCAACCAAAGGGACAACCACTGTAGACCACACTGCACCTAGGCCCACTAGCCACACTTGAGGTGACCAACGAGCTCTGTGCCAGAATGCATGGAGTAGAAATTTGATGCAGCCCTGGGCAGCAAACCACAAAGCCCCAAAGGCATCCTGGGTCCCTCCCTTGAAACCATTCGGACCACAAAACCCTGGCACTCTGGGCCTGTAATAGTAGTGGCAGCCTTGAGGATCTCCAAAATGCCTTGGGGGCCATTTTCCCATCGTCTTGATGAATATCACCTGGCATTCTTCTAGCCATATAAATCTCCCTATCAAACATTCACTTGGCCACACCATTGGTATTCTCTCTCAAACACTTTCTCATTCTTTACAACCTGGCCACGCTGAGAACTTTCCAACTCTTTTAAGTTCTACTTCCCTTTTAACTATATGTTTCACCCTTAATTCATTTCTCTCATCTTGTATTTTACTGTAAGCAATCAAGAAAAGCCATGCTGCATCCTCAACACTTTGCTTAGAGATTTCTTCTACCAAATATACTCTTTCGTTGCTCATAAGTTTTGCCTTCCACAAAACACTAGAACACAAACACAATGCAGCCAAATTCTTTGCCACTTTATAACAAGGATCACCTTTCTTCCACTTAACAAGAAGATGTTTCTTATTTCCATCTAAGACCTCATCAAAGTAGCCTTTACCGTTTATATTTCTACCAATGTTCCACTTGCAACCACTTAAATAATCTCTAAAATGATTGAAGCTCTCTCTACAGTTCTCCTCGTCTTCTGAACCCTCACTAGAAAAACCCTTTATAGTCCGTTCACAGAAATACAAGTTTTTTTCAGCATGAACCTCAAACTCTTCCAGCCTCTACCCATTACTCAGCTGCAAAGCTCCTTCCACATTTTTAGGTATTTGTTACAGCAGCACCCCACTCCCAGCACAATTTCTTGCTTAGTCTACTCCTGCTGCCATAGCAAAATATGTTAGACTGGATAATTTATAAATAATAGAAATGTATTTCTCACAGTTATGGAGGCTGGAAAGTTCAAGATCAAAGTACCAGCAGACGTGGTATCTGGTGAAAGTTTGCTCTCTGCTCCACAGACGGTGCCTGTTGCTGTGACCTCATATGGTGGAAGGGCAGAAGAGCAAGAAGGTACAAACAGACTCCCTCAAGCCCTTTTATAAGGGCACTAATCCCATTCATGAAGGCAGAACCCTCATGACCTAATTACCTCCTAAAGGCCCCACTCCTTAATACTATTGCATTGAGGATTAAGTTTCAACATGAATCTTGGAGGGACATGAACATTCCAAGATAGCAAGATTTATGGCACTGTTCTATCTAAAGCAGGTATTTTATAACCTAAAAAAATCAAAACCATATACGATATCCACATGCAAAAGAATGAAGTTGGACCCCTTTCCATACACAAAAATTAACTCCAAATGGATAATAGACCTAAATATAAGAGCTAAAACTATAAAACTCTTAGAAGAAAACATAGGAATAAATCTTCATGATCTTGGATTAGGCAGAACCTTCTTAGATATGGCATTAAAAATATAAGCAACAAAAGAAAAAAATAGGTAAATTGAACTTCAACAAAAGTAAAAAAATTTTTTTTTTTTTGAGACAGAGTCTTGCTCTGTCACCCAGGCTGGAGTGCAGTGGCATGATCTCGGCTCACTGTAAGCTCCGCCTCCTGGGTTCATGCCATTCTCCTGCCTCAGCCTCCTGAGTAGCTGGGACTACAGGCGCCCGCCACCACGCCCGGCTAATTTTTTGTATTTTTTTAGTAGAGACGGGGTTTCACTGTGTTAGCCAGGATGGTCTCGATCTCCTGACTTCGTGATCCGCCTGCCTCGGCCTCCCAAAGCGCTGGGATTACAGGCATGAGCCACCCCTCCCGGCCTGTAAAATCTTTTTTTTTTTTTTGAGACAGTGTCTCGATCTGTCACCCAGGCCAGAGTAAAGCGGTGCGATCTTGGCTCATTGCAGCCTCGACCCCTCAGGCTCAAGAAATCCTCCCACCTAAGCCTTCTGAGTAGCTTGGACTACAGGGGTGTGTGTGTGCCACCACTCTCAGCTAATTTTTTTTTTTTTTTCCAGAGACAGGGTCTTGCCATGTTGCCCAGGCTGGTCTCGAACTCCTGGGCTCAAGCAATCCTCGCACCTCAGCCTCCCAAATAGCTGGAACTATTTGGAACTATCCCAAAAAGCAGGCACACATCACCATGCCTGGCTAATTTTTGTATTTTTTGTACAGACAGGGTTTTGCCACATTGCCTAGGTTGGTCTTGAATTCCTGGACTTAAGCGATCCTCCTACCTTGGCCTCCCAAAGTGCTGGCATTACAGATGTGAGCCACCATGCCTGGCCAAAAGTAAAATATTTTTATACTTCAAGGGCACCCTCAAGAAAGTGAAAAGAAAGACAACTGCCAAAATAGGAAAAAATATTTGCAAATTCTATATCTGACAAGGGTCTAGAAGTCAAAACGTAGAAAGAGCTATTACAATTCAACAATAAAAAGACAACTCAGTTCAAAATAGGGGCAAAGGACTTGAATAGACATTTCTCCAAAGAAGGTGTACAAATGGCCAATAAGCATATGGAAAGATGTTCAACTTCATTAGCCACTGGGGAGATCCAAGTCAAAACCACAATGAGGTACGACTTCACACCCACCAGGATGGCTATAATCAAGGTTTGGCAAGGAACTAGTGGAACCTTGGTTTGATTTGGAAAGGAGGAATTAGAACTCTCATAAGCTGCTGGAGAAATGCAAAACAATGCAATCACGTTGGAAAACACTTCCTCAAAAAGTTAAACCTATAGTTACCACATGTCCCAGCAAGTCCACTCCTAGATATATACTCAGGAGAAATGGAAACATATGTCCACACAGTAACCTGTACACAAATGTTCATAACAGCATTATTCATAACAGCTAAAAAGTAGAAACAACCAATAAATCCATCAGTTATGAATGGGTAAACAAATTGTGATATGTCCATATAATATAATATTATTCAGCCATGAAATGGACTAAAGTACTGATACATGCTACAACATGGATGAACCTTGAAAGTATTATGTTAAATGAAACAAGCCAGACACAAAAGGCCACATATGCTATGATTCTTTTTATATGAATTGTCGAAAATGGGAAAATTAACAGAGAGATAAAGTAGATTAGCGTTATGAAGAAATGAGAAATGGCCAGGCACGGTGGCTCACGCCTGTAATCCCAGCACTTTGGGAGGCCAAGGTGGGCTGATCACTTGCAGATCAGGAGTTCAAGACCAGCCTGGCCATCATGGTGAAACCCCGTCTCTACTAAAAATACAAAAAAAAAAAAAAAAAATTAGCCAGGCGTGGTAGCGCATGCCTGTAGTCCCAGCTACTGGGGAGGCTGAGGTGGGAGAATCGCTTGAACCTGGGAGGCAGAGGTTGCAGTAAGCCGAGATCATGCCACTGCACTCCAGTCTGGGTGACAAATCAAGACTTCATCTCAAAAAAAAAAAAAAAAAGAAAAAGAAAAAGAAAAAGAAATGAGAAATGACCACCAGTGGGTATAGGTTTTATTTCTGGAAAGTGATGAAGATGTTCTAAAATTGACTGTAGCGGTGGCTGTACAACTCTGTGAACATACTAAAGCCATTGAATCATATACTTGAAATGGGTGAATTATATGGTATGTGAATTACATCTAAAGATTGTTGTTACTAAAGAAAACCATATACATGGTGTCTGGTGATTGAACAAATTACGCACTTGTTGAAACTTGTGTCTCTGAGGAAAAACTCTGCTTAATGCACATTCAAGTGTCAAGTTTCAGAAGGACAGCTGTCATCAGTTAAACGAGTCAAAAACAGTCATCACCCTCAATGTCATTTCGGCTCTTTAATGGATCCCCTAACAACCACTAGCATCTCTTGGGCATTAGCCACTTCATAAGCCACTTGAAACCTGCCAAGTGTACATTTTATCATTAGCTGGAAGGATGTGTAGAATTCCAAAGTCCTCTCTTTGATTTTATAGGTGAGGAAACTAACGCTCAGAAAGGGGGTTGATATCTATCGCCGTGAGGCATACGGTAAGTTTCTGGTGAAGCTGGGATCAGAACCTGTTTAGACTTTGCCTCTCTTTTCCCGCAGATACTTTGCAGGACTTCTATGTCCCTCAAACCGGCCTTCCTGTCATGGTCAGGAAAGAAACTCCTCACAGCCTCAGCATCCAAGTCAGGCCATGGGTGACAGCTGGAAAGTGATCAGGAGGCTGCAGTTTCTAGAAGAGGGTGGGGACACTGCGGAGAGAAGATGGGGCCAGATTCCGAGAAGACAGCATAAGCCCCTGTTCCTGTAAGAGCAGGGACGGAAGCAGGGACATAAACGCAAGGGATGAGCCCCAAAGTGTGACCCATGAGACATGATGTCACATGTGGTCTGGAGCCTGCGGCCACTTCTTCCCATCATATACACAGTTATGAGAACAAGTTGTGAGAACCACCTCCTCCCTTACCCAGCTGCCCCCACCCCAGAAGCCGTGTGATTTTGCCCCCCAGTGCCCTGTGAGTCACTCCACCCATGGAAACCTCACCCCACCCTGACCTCAAGCAAGGCAGAGTGCAGAAGACATGTCCTCCGGTGCTACCAGACCACTCTCACCAGCACCCACGACCTCAGCAGGGCTGGAGCCAGCGTGGAGGCCACTGGCTGTCCTCACAAAGCGAGGAGCAGGAGCCCCTGTTCGAGGAACATGCTTGGAGTTCGGAGCCTGGGCTAGGGTGGGATGTAGGTTGAGCAGGAAGTGGATGGCAAGATTAGAGCAACATCTCTCTTCTCCCACTCAGGGAGGAGGGAATGGCCACAGGCTCTGACACTCAAGAAGGGCCAGGCACAGTTCCAAGCACTTCACAACAACCCCTAGGGTCTACATGACCTACAATCCCAATTGTTCAGTGAAGAAACTGAGGCACAGTGAGGCTGAAGAACCCTACCAGTCCACACTGCTGGTGCATAACCGAGCTGCCCAAGCCCCGGCGGTCTGGCGTGTAGGCCCATGCTCTGAGCCGCCGCCTCTGCTTGCCTCTTACATCCCACACATGCGATGCTGTGCATCAGAAGCAAGGAGATGGCCCTGCTGGCCTGTTCATCAACACCAGGGCCGAGTCTCAAAGTCCTCAGCGCCCCGCCCTCCTCCGCCTGTGTGCCCTGAGTCCCCGAGCCCCAGCAGCTCTACTCGGCAGATGAGCCTCTGGCCCTGCTGCTCGCTTCCTGAGGGCTGTCAGTGGGGAGCCGGATGAGGGCTGAGGACAGGGTGGGTGCTTGTGGGAGGGGAGAGCACAAAGGACCTGTGACCACAGCTGGGGGCGGGGCAGGAAGTAGAAGTGATGTGAGTGGTGGCTGGTGCAAGGAGCCACAGTGGGCTGCCTGGGGGGCTGATGCCACCATTCCAGGAGCCTCGGTGAAGAGAGGATATCCATCTGTGTAGCCGCTTCTCTATACGGGATTCCAGGTAAGGAGAGAGCAGGGATTGGGGGGCCTGGGGCCCTGGGTGGAGGGGAAGAGGCTGATGGAGCAGGAAGTGCTGTGACCTATAAGACAAGACACCTGGGTCACAGACGGTGCCCATCACTAACTCGCTGGGCAGCCCTGTGTCCACCCTGGGCCTCAGTTTCCTCATGTATGAAATGAAGAGGTAGCGTGCAGTTTCTAAGGCCCTGCAAGTGCTGACATTAAAGCTTCTAAGAAAGCTGGAAAGAGGCTCCCTGGGACAGAATACCATGAGAGTCAGGATGAGGGCTGAGTTCACTGGATTAGGGTTATGACTGTGCCCGCCTCCTAGCTGGGATGAGCCCAGGGCCTTTGAAGATTCCCCTGGCCTCTTTGCCTCCCTGGGGCGAGCCACGCTGCCTGAAATTCCACCCTTCAAGTCACACCTTTGGGCAGGGCAGGAGGCTCCAGCTATAATGGGGGCTCTCCATAGCCCTCTTGTCTCAGAACCTGTGGTACCCAAGGGCAAAGGCCTTTGAAGAGCTCAGCTTGGATAAGGTTAGGCTTGGGTAAGGTTAGAGAAAGGAGGTTCCAGATCATAAACAGGCCCAGGCAAGGCCCCAGAAACACCTTAAAATTAGGAAGAACCTTCCAGACAATCATTGTCCATAGTAGGCAATAGGGGGGCCCCTGTCACTGCCGAAGGCCACAGAGCTTGGCAGGGAGTGGCAAAGAGGGGAGGGGCAGCAAGAAAGGATCTGAAGAGCAACCATCGAGGCCTCTCCCCACACAAAATCCAAGGGTGTGGTCAGGTCTGCCCCTTTTTTTTTTTTTTTTTGAGGCAGAGTCTTACTCTATCACCCAGGCGGGAGTGCAGTGGTACGATCTTGGCTCACTGCAACCTCCGCCTCCTGGGTTCAAGCGATTCTCCTGTCTCAGCCTCCCAAGTAGCTGGGATTACAGGCACCCGCCACCATGCCCAGCTAATTTTTGTATTTTTAGTAAAGAGGGGGTTTCACCACGTTGGCCAGGCTGGTCTCGAACTTCTGACCTCCAGTGATCCACCTGCCTCTGCCTCCCACAGTGTTCGGTTTACAGGTGTGAGCCACCACACCTGGCCAGGTCGGCAGATTTTATTCTAGAATTCGGGCTGATGTTATTCCATAAAGCTCAGAGGGAGAGCCCCAAAGGGAAAATGAGAAGAATAGGTGCAATATAGGACCTCATTTCTCTTCCAATTCTGTTAAGGGCTCAGTGGGAGGGAGAGAGGTTAGAGAGAGTGACAGAGACAAAGAAACAGAGTGAGAGTCAGGGTGGGCAAAGGGTGGCTTGTTCTGGGGCCAAAAATGACACTTCTTCAGAATGAAGGCTTCCTCAGGTCCCCAGACCCCTCCCTAAACCTGCTACAGCTACTCTGTCCCCTCTTCTGTGGCCACAGCCCCCTCCCCACCACCCACAGTTGTGTCCTGGGGACAGAGCCATCCACCTAGATCCCCATTAGGCCTTAGGGAAATTCTAAAAAGGGGCTCCCCTTGGCTGGGCTTTTCCCCTCTCTGGGCCCATCTGTACAATGTGGGGGCTGAACCAGGCCTATAAGGGACATACCAGCTCTGACATTCATTGAATAATGACTTAAGAGATATCTCAGCCCCTCCCCTTCCATGTGCCCTGATAATCTGTGGCTGTGGGGGAAGGGAGCAGTCATCCTCCATCCCTCCACCCATGGCTTCCCAGAGCCCAAGTGCCCCCTGTCTCTGCAGCTCCATGGCAGCCCGTCTGCTCCTCCTGGGCATCCTTCTCCTGCTGCTGCCCCTGCCCGTCCCTGCCCCGTGCCACACAGCCGCACGCTCAGAGTGCAAGCGCAGCCACAAGTTCGTGCCTGGTGCATGGCTGGCCGGGGAGGGTGTGGACGTGACCAGCCTCCGCCGCTCGGGCTCCTTCCCAGTGGACACACAAAGGTTCCTGCGGCCCGACGGCACCTGCACCCTCTGTGAAAATGCCCTACAGGAGGGCACCCTCCAGCGCCTGCCTCTGGCGCTCACCAACTGGCGGGCCCAGGGCTCTGGCTGCCAGCGCCATGTAACCAGGGCCAAAGTCAGCTCCACTGAAGCTGTGGCCCGGGATGCGGCTCGTAGCATCCGCAACGACTGGAAGGTCGGGCTGGACGTGACTCCTAAGCCCACCAGCAATGTGCATGTGTCTGTGGCCGGCTCACACTCACAGGCAGCCAACTTTGCAGCCCAGAAGACCCACCAGGACCAGTACAGCTTCAGCACTGACACGGTGGAGTGCCGCTTCTACAGGTGAGAGCTGGGGCTAGGGGTGGGGGGCTGGAAAAGGCGCGGGAAACTCTGGGTGGTCTAGGAGCCCTGGAAAGGCAGAGTCCTCCAATCAAACTTGGAGGCTGCTTCCACCAGGAAGAAACTGCAATCCTGGCTCTCAGACTTCAGGTGATTCAGCCCTGTGGCCTCCTCTCATCCAGGAGGTCCCAAATCTGGGAGTGCCCAGTGAGACATCAAGTAGAGAGAAAGTGAGTGAGACCATGCCTGAGAGTCCCAGCAGGGTGCCATTTAGGTCTAGTGAGTACTGAACCCTGCCTTTCCTGGGCACAGCCAGCCTTCCACAGAGTCCTTCCTGGATAGGGACAGAGGCAGGAGACCTGGCCGGGTCATCCTTCCTCATCGCTGTGTGACCTTGAGCATCTCACTTCTCTCTGAGCTTCAATCATCCACTCAACCAATACTCACACCTGCCTGTGGCAGGGCCACACTGCTGAGCGACAGCAGTCACTACCCTAGCCCCTGGGAGTAGGAAGTATGGGACCCATATTCCACGTCTGAGAAAGGCACAGTGTTTGTAGGCCAGACCCAAGTCACCTGGTCTGATTCATCAGACCTGGGGGCCACGTTTCCTCCACAGAGAGGCCGAGCATGGCCCAAGCTGTCAGGATCCCGGGCATGTGGGACCCATCCAGGGGGACGGATGGATGAAGGCCACATGACTAGTTCCAAAGTTCGACAGATACCATCAGTGCAGGATCATTGCTTTTATGTTCTTTTTTACTTTTTCTTAAAAAAAAAATAGAGATGGGGTCTCACTATGTTGCCCAGGCTGGTCTCAAACTCCTGGGCTCAAGTGATCCTCCCGCCTCGGCCTCCCAAAGTGCTGGGGTTACAGGCATGAACCACTGCTCCCGGCCAGGATCATTGCTTTTATAATAAGAAAATTAAAAGGAAAGAAAAAAATGTTATTTTGAAAAGGAAAAGAGAAAATACCTATACAGAGCACTGAGGTCCCTGAGGGGTGAGAGCGGAGGCATTCCTGCCAGCCCCGTGCCACTGTGCTTGTGCTCTGGAGCCGGGCCCCTGGGTTCCAGTCCTAGTTCTGCCCACTTACATGTGACCTTGAGCAGTCCTGAAGGAGTTATTTGATTGAATGGGGGAAATACTCCCCTGGGCCCAGCTGAGGTCTCTCTCTTCTCGCAGTTTCCATGTGGTACACACTCCCCCGCTGCACCCTGACTTCAAGAGGGCCCTCGGGGACCTGCCCCACCACTTCAACGCCTCCACCCAGCCCGCCTACCTCAGGCTTATCTCCAACTACGGCACCCACTTCATCCGGGCTGTGGAGCTGGGTGGCCGCATATCGGCCCTCACTGCCCTGCGCACCTGCGAGCTGGCCCTGGAAGGGCTCACGGACAACGAGGTGGAGGACTGCCTGACTGTCGAGGCCCAGGTCAACATAGGCATCCACGGCAGCATCTCTGCCGAAGCCAAGGCCTGTGAGGAGAAGAAGAAGAAGCACAAGATGACGGCCTCCTTCCACCAAACCTACCGGGAGCGCCACTCGGAAGTGGTTGGCGGCCATCACACCTCCATTAACGACCTGCTGTTCGGGATCCAGGCCGGGCCCGAGCAGTACTCAGCCTGGGTAAACTCGCTGCCCGGCAGCCCTGGCCTGGTGGACTACACCCTGGAACCCCTGCACGTGCTGCTGGACAGCCAGGACCCGCGGCGGGAGGCACTGAGGAGGGCCCTGAGTCAGTACCTGACGGACAGGGCTCGCTGGAGGGACTGCAGCCGGCCGTGCCCACCAGGGCGGCAGAAGAGCCCCCGAGACCCATGCCAGTGTGTGTGCCATGGCTCAGCGGTCACCACCCAGGACTGCTGCCCTCGGCAGAGGGGCCTGGCCCAGCTGGAGGTGACCTTCATCCAAGCATGGGGCCTGTGGGGGGACTGGTTCACTGCCACGGATGCCTATGTGAAGCTCTTCTTTGGTGGCCAGGAGCTGAGGACGAGCACCGTGTGGGACAATAACAACCCCATCTGGTCAGTGCGGCTGGATTTTGGGGATGTGCTCCTGGCCACAGGGGGGCCCCTGAGGTTGCAGGTCTGGGATCAGGACTCTGGCAGGGACGATGACCTCCTTGGCACCTGTGATCAGGCTCCCAAGTCTGGTTCCCATGAGGTGAGATGCAACCTGAATCATGGCCACCTAAAATTCCGCTATCATGCCAGGTGCTTGCCCCACCTGGGAGGAGGCACCTGCCTGGACTATGTCCCCCAAATGCTTCTGGGGGAGCCTCCAGGAAACCGGAGTGGGGCCGTGTGGTGAGAACAGTGAGCTTGGAAAGGACCAGTATGCTTGGACTGAAGGGGTTCTCACAGTGGGAGCCAGGGCTGTCTTCGTATTCCCATTAGACCAAGCTTGTCCAACCCGAGGCCCGCATGCGGCCCAGGATGGCTTTGAATGCGGCCCAACGCAAATTCGCAAACTTTCTTAAAACATTATGAGTTTCTTTTTGCTATTTTTTTTTTTTTTTTAGCTCATCGGCTATCGTTAGTGCTAGTGGATTTTACATGTGGCCCAACACAATTCTTCTTCCAACGTGGCCCAGAGAAGCCAAAAGATTGGATACGCATCAGACAGATGGAAAAGGGAGATTCAGACTGTTTTTCAGGGAGGTGGCTGGGTTTACACGCTAATCCCGATTCACCCTGTCCAAACTGCCTAAGCCCTCCGCCATTCTCAAGCCCTGCAGTCACAGCTACACAGATCACAGCTTCAGCCAGGAGCTGGGCAGAAGGCCAAGAGGCTGTTCCCACCAGGCTGCTCAGGGCTGGTCTTTTAGGACCCTTCCCTTGAGCCCTCTATGGTGTGGCAAAGCCTTCATTGCCTTAACTGGAGCCCCATCAGCTCCAGCTGCTCTGTCTTCTTTGCCCACAATGCTTTGCCCCTGAGACAAATGGAGGCCTGTCCTGACCTGTCTCACCATGTACATAGCTTGATAAAGGGCCAATAAATATGATGTTATGGTGATCATCATGGTGGTGTTGTGGCAGAGGAAAAGATGGGACCAAACACACCCCAGAGATAAACTTCTACATTGGCAACCCAGTGAAAACAGGCTGGCAGGTAATGTATATAAACTGCTTTTCCACTTTTGTCAGAAACGTGGGGACCCAAAATATTTTACCTTCCTCATAACTCTCTGACTCAAGAAAGCAGCAGCATAAACATGATAAATGGCAACAGGCATTCAGCTCCCAGCTGGAAGACAATAGGGCATGGTAAGGACTGTGGTCAACTAAAGAGTGCATATCTTTTGTGCGGGGGGAGGGGCTGCAGTGCTGCTCCAGCCAAACATTTCATGCAGGAACATGAGCCCCGTGCTGCCAGGTCTTCTACTTATTTAAGGTCAAACCACAATTTGACTTCTAACTGTGGCAGTTAATTTCATTTTGTGAAAATACACCTTTGTGGGCAAACATGGTGCAAGCCAAAGAGAACATGCATGTGGGCCATAATTGATCCAGGGCTATCTGCTTTGAAAATTCTACCTTCAACAGAACCATTTTGCACAAAGCTGAAAAGCTCTCCCCTGTCTCACGATTTCAAGCAAAGGAGCATTGGTTCCAACAAGGTGGGCTCTGTGGGCCTCCTAGGCCTTGGATGCAAAAAAACCCAGAGTCTCGGCTTCCAACATAAGATGAAATGGTCTTTGTTTCATGTGCCCGGGACATAGGCCTCAGCACACAGTCCCGTGGAGTGGATGGCAAGATTCCAGGCAGCTTCCTGGACACGGCTGTGCAGGCTGTGCAGGGTCATTGTCAGAGGGTCCAGAGGAGCGGGCACAGCCCTCCCGACTCTCTTTGAAACTCCCTATAAATTAAGTTCTTTGAAGTTTGTATGGGACTCATAGGCCCAAATGCCAAGCAGTGACATTACATTAACCCTAAATCCCCAGGTGGGACAGGAGGGGTGGCCAAGGTCCAAAAGCCTGGTGAAACTACTGTTACCACATGTCCCATTCACAGACACACACTCAAACCAGAGCATGAGAGAGACCTCGACACTTCACGGTGGCTGCTGCGCTCATTGGAAACAAACATGGGGGTGGGCGGTGCCTCCCGGGGAAAGCAGGTTCAAAAGGCCAGGGCGGGCCTGGCTCAGGGCACAGCCCTGACAAGAAATGGAAGTCTTGCTCAATAGCTATGTGATCAGTGACCCCCAGCAAGTCTCTCTGCCTCCTGGGCCCCAGTTTCTCCAAAACGACAGTCTATTTTACTCCCTTCTTAGGACTGTCTTGAACCTTCCTAGTGCTACAGGAGGGTGCCGAAAGTTCATGTGGTTTCATACACAGGGAAACTGAGACCTAGCAGGAGGAAGGGATTCAACTGTAGTCACAGAAGAAGTTAGCGGCAGAAAGAGCCAGCCCTAACTCAAGACCCGGCATGACACTTTCATTTCCACCCCACCTGGACATTGGGATGCTTTGGCACACCCGAGGCCCCCTTGTTTGTTTGAGGAAGTCTCCACTGTGCTAGCCTCCTTCCGTTTGCCCTCCAGGTCTTGTCCCCACCTACTTCACCCTGCTCCGACCCAGGGGACTGACCTGTCTGAGCCTTATCTGTGGGCAGGAGATTAGGGAGGTGGAGTACAAATAGTAAGGCCTTTGCTCCCCTCCATGTCCCTAGTGAGGTGGCCTTGGGCTGGCTCTGTCCCTTATGTCACTGCACCTTTCCAGGGGACCTCTGCACATCTCACTCTCTCTCTCTTTTTTTTTTTTCAAATGTGGCTTGTCTGATCCCATCTTTTCCTCTGCCACAACACCACCAGTCACCCTGGCTGGAGGTGCATTGGCACAATCATGGCTCAGTGCAGTCTTGACCTCCCAGGCTCAGGTGATCCTCCCACCTCAGCCTCCTGAGTAGCTGGGACTACAGGCACATACCACCATGCCTGGCTAATTTTTGTACTCTTGGTAGAGGCAGGGTTTCTCCATGTTGCTGAACTCCTGAGTTCAAGCAATCCTCCCACCTCAGCCTCCCAAAGTACTGGGATTACAGGTGTGAGCTACCACACCCAGCCTGCATGTCTCTTTCTTTCCCAGTTCTGGTAACTGCCCGTGCCCCTTGTCCCTTCAGACCTAGGGCTGCAAAACTCTGCCGCTGCTCATCCTAAGACACTGCACTATCTCTTCCACTCCCTACAGCTTAAGTCTGAAAAAACCTTCCACCAATTATTGTAATTTGAATATGCCACTGGCATCCTACTGGGGCCCTGGATGACAGGGTCATCCTCCTTATAAGTCTGGTGGGAAGCAGAGCCCACCTTCCCCTGAAGCTGAAAATGCCCAATTCTGTCTTCCGCACCCTCCCTTATACCTAGGAAAGAACATGGGACTGGGGCTGCCAGTCAGGTACAGCTGCCTAGATATGTGATTTCCTGAGAAGCAGGCACTGAAATGAGGGTTTGAGTGCAGGTAATTTATGCAGAAGTGATCCCAGGAGGCACCAGCAGGGGAGAGGGGAAGTGAGCCGGCAGGGAGGCTGGCCAATAAAAAGTACATTTTTGGCCGGGCGTGGTGACTCACGCCTGTAATCCCAGCACTTTGGGAGGCCAAGACGGGCGGATCACTTGAGCCCAGGAGTTCAAGACCAGCCTGGCCAACATGGTGAAACCCTGTCTACTAAAGATACAAAAAAATTAGCTGGGCTTGGTGGCACACGCCTGTAGTCCCAGCTACTCAGGAGGCTGAGGCAGGAGAATTGCTTGAACCCAGGAGGCAGAGGTTGCAGTGAGCTGAGATCATGTCACTGCACTCCAGCCTAGGTGACAAAGTGAGACTCTGTCTCAAAGTTAAAAAAAAAAAAAAGTGCATTTTCCCACAAGTCATCACTGTGGGCAGCCAGAGCTGTCCTGGAGACAAAGAAGAACACGTGCCTCTAGCCTAGCACTGAGGGAGCCAGGGTGTTTTCATACACCATGTGTGTCTGCTTCCACACATGGGTGTTAATTTCCCCCTCACTCCACCAAAGGGGCAGGCAGAGCAGAGTCCAATGGCCAGGGAAAACCCTCAGGGGAAGAGGCAGAGGCTGAGTCCAAATGTAGGGACCTGCGCTGGGAGGATACTGCCCAGGGGATGCAGGTGCCGACCTTGCTCCCCATGGAATCTGGAGCTGTCATTGCAGGAAGAGGGAGTTCCTGGGGCTGCTGGTGAGAGTGTCTAGGGATTATGGGGTCAGAGGAACAACCAGAGGTAGCTACGACTCTGCAGCAGTGTCCCCACTGGGCCAGTCCCGAGGCAGGATTTAGGGGCACTGTTCCTGGATGCTCAGGCTGCCCAGCCACCCAGGCGACTCTGTGAGATGCCCAGTCAATACATTCTTTTTCTACTTATCTATCCAGACTTGGCTTCTTTTGCCTGCAGTTAAAAACCCTGGATGACAACACCATCCCCTTCCCCAATGCTAGTGGGATCCTGCCCTTAGAACCACCACACAATTGTCCCCCAGCCCCTCCCTCCCAATGGCAGGAAGCACAGAAGCCGGGGTCCATTCACGTTCTCCATCACCTGACGGATTGTTACTGAGTGCCTTCTATGATCCAGGTCCTGGGGCCCCCAAGGACAGAAAGTCATGCTGAGCGCCTGTCCCCTTGAGGGCTGCATCCAACAGGAAGACAGACGTGGGCACACTGGAAGCTACAGGTAGTCAGGATGACATTCATTTTCATATGCGCACACAGTCCAAGGGGTCTCTTCCAAGACTTGGGGCTGGCATTGACAACAACCCAGGTTTTTTGTTTTTTTAGAGACAAGGTCTTGCTCTATTGCCCAGGCTGGAGCACAGCGGCACAATCATAGCTCAGTGCAGCCTTGACTCCTGGGCTAAAGTGATCCTCCCACCTCAGCCTCCTGAGTAGCTGGCATGCACCACCATGCCTGACTAATTTTTTAATGTTTTGCAGAGTCAGGATCTCTCCACGTTGCCCCGGCTGGTCTCAAACTCCTGGCCTCAAGCGATCCTCCCACCTTGGCCTCCCAAAGTGCTGGGATCACAGGCGTGAGCCAGCCCCAGCTTTTGTTTTTTAAGCAGTTGCCACAGCACCATCATCTCCCTCCATATACACCTTCGTGGTCCTGACAAGCTGGCAGTGAGCCTGGCGTCCCTGATGTGTTTGGACGGAGGAGATGCCTGCTGGAGGGGGAGGTGGTGTAGGGGTGAGGGAGCGAGGGAGTTCCTTGTGGTGAGGGGGCTGCTGCAGCCTTGGGAGACTGTGGTTCCTCTTGCTCACCAGCATCTCCATTCCTCCACGCCGCTCCACATCCTGACATCTGTCGCTTCCTCATAACCACAGCCTCTCTTGGTCGCCAGTATCTCTTGCTTGGCCCACTCCGCCTTTGGCCTTCTCACTGATCTCAGGGCTCGTGCATGCCCCTCACTCACCCTGCAGCCACGGTGATGCCAGCACCCTGCGCAGATCCCCTCAGACCCCACCACAACCACCAGCCCCTGCACCTCTGTCTAAGGCCTGTGCTGGGGCCCACTCTGCCTGCCCCATCAGGAGGCCAGAATTATTTGAGAATAGTGTCCATGTCCCACTCAGTCCAGAAAAACCCACAACCAGTGGCTGAGGAAAGTTGGTATACAAATACCCCAGCTCACTCCCTGTCCAGGGAATAACTGCAGGACATATGCCACACTGGCTCCCAGAGTTCTACAGCAGGTGGAAGCTCCATTTGCACACAGAGGTGACTTGCTTGACCACATACACCTTCTTGGCTGCCTCCCTTTCCTGTCTCACTACCACACCCCCTCACTGGTATTTTCTGGAGTCACCCCCCAGTGGAAACCATACACCCTTGGATCCCTGCCTCAGGGTCTGCCTCTGAGGAAACCAGCTAAGACACACATCTGACTGTGTCATTGACTGGCTCACACTCTATTGACTCCTTGCAGCTAAGTCCTTCTCAACCTTCAGCCTTTAGCTTCAAAGATCACTTACTCCAGGAAGCCTTCCCTGACTGCCAGGTCTAGGTCATGCCGCCCTCTACCCTGCTTCTGTAGTCCCCAGCGTTTCCCCATCATAGCACTGTGAAGCCACAAGCCATTTCTATCTTATTCATGGTTGAATCAACTAGTCCAGCACCTGGCATAAATTTGATAAGTGAAAAATATTGGATGGATGAGTAGATGGAAGATGAATGAGTGGATGAATGAACCCCACCAAGGAATTTTCCAGCCTCTGCTTGAACTCCCCCAGAGACAGACAGCTCATTACCTCCTAAGGTAACTGTCCCACATTTAGAAGGTTCTAACCATGAGCTCTCATGTTACACAGAGACGTACCTCCTACATAGGAGCCTACACAGTAGGCTACCTACCACAGAAGCCTAGCATCCACTCCTGGTTGTGGCTCAAGGATTCTATATATTTAAAGCTTTGGTTTTAGCCAACCGTGTTAGTCCTAGCTATTTGGGAGGCTAAGGCAGGAGGATCACTTGAGCCCAGGAGGTCAAGACTGCAGTGAGCTATGGTCATGCCACTGCACTCCAGCCTGGCAACAGAGTGAGACCCAGTCTCTAAAAATACATACATACATACATACATACATACATACATACATACATACATACATAAATCACTGGCCCTGTCTTCAATGTGGTTAGGCAGAAGGACCACTGGGCTGATTCCAGTCCATGCAGCAGCTTCCCCTCACTCTCCTTCCGTGAAGGAGCCATGGAAGGGCCAGACACTGCCCAGGAGAAGGTGGAGGTGGAGCTGGGCCAGCCGCCTCTCTTCTCTGTAGCTGACAACAGAAGTGAGACCCCCTTCTGGGAGGGATGGATGCTCTTGGTTGTTTGCTCTTGATTCTTTGTTCCTCAATAGACCTCATCACCAACTGGGGTCAGTTGCAGCTAGGGCAGCTGTTTCTCTGGGCAAAGCTGATGCCCACTTGGCCTGGGCAGGTTCTGGCCACAGAGGGGCAAGGTCTACCACCTTAGCCTGCTCACAGGATCTCCTCCCTTCCCCTCCCCTCCACTGGCTGATGAGGTCCTTTCCAGCCTCGACTTCCACAGCTCAGCTGACCACAGCACTCCTGGGGCAGGGGCAGGCTGAGCATCTGCCAGGTTTTCACCGTTGAGGACAGGAGGATGTGACTGGTGCAGTTGAGACCAAGGTCACAGGTGAGATTCTCAGGGGGAGGTTAGAGTTAGTGATGCACAGAGATAGTCTCAGTCACAGACAGGATCCTGGAGAGGAGCCAAGGACTGACATCCAACCTAAGCCACATTGAAAAGACCCAGCCACACACTGGAGACCCAGTCACAGAAACCAGTCCAATCATATGAATTTCGACTTTGGTCCAAGACAGATTCCCAACCTCAATCAGTTCTCTTGTACATTGCAAGCACATAAAACTCCCCCTCCAGACTTGAGTCCCCAGCTGCAAATGAGGGGGCTGGAACCGTGATTTATTTGCAGCTTTCAGCATGGAGAGTCTCAGCCCTGATCCCACAAGCTGTTCAGTCTCTGACACTCAGTGGCATGGCCTGGTGTGTCAGAGGTGTTTGAACCAGAGCGACTCCATCTTGAATAGGGCCTGGGTAAAATGAGGCTGAGACCTACTGGGCTGCTTTCCTAGGAGGTTAGGCATTCTAAGTCACAGGATGAGATAGGAGGTCAGCACAAGAAACAGGTCACAAAGACCCTGCTGACAGGACAGGTTGTGGTAAAGAAGCTAGCCAAACCCATCAAAACCAAGATGGTAATGAAAGTGACCTCTGGTCTTCCTCACTGCTCATTATATGCTAATTATAATGCATTATCATGCTAAAAGACACTCCCACCAGCGCCATGACAGTTTACAAATGTCATGGCAATGTCAGGAAGTTACCCTATATGGTCTAAAAGGGGGAAGAACCCTCAGATCCAGGAATTGCCTGCACCTTTCCCAGAAAACTCATGAATAATCCACCCGTATTCAGCATTTAATCAAGAAATAACCACAAAAATAGCCAACAAGCAGCCCTTGGGACTGCTCTGCTTATGGAGTAGCCATTCTTTTGTTTCTTTACTTCTAAGCTTGCTTTCACTTTATGGATTCACCTCAAATTCTTTCTTGCATGAGATCCAAGAACCCTCTGTTGGGGTCTGGAATGGGACCCCTGTCCGGTAACAGGTGGACCCAGCAGCCCCGCCCTCACCAGTCTGCACAATGGGTACATCTCATGAACAACACCATCTTTCTCATGCTGGAAGAAGCCCTGATCCTATTAACTTTCTCTTCCCAAAGGCTCAGATACTCAACCCTGCCCAACCAGAACAAGAGCAGCTGCTGTTGTTTGGTGGGGCAGAATCAGAACCTTTTGTTTATTGTAGGGCTCCAACTGTACATCTGCACTCATAGTTAATCTCCACAACAGCTGGTTCCCAGTTTCCTCTTAAAAGAGCAGTGACGTCAGCTTGCTGGCAGGACACTGGATTTTTCCCTGGGAACCCCAAACTCCTTGTGAGATTCAACCATCACAAAAAGAGGCTGACCCTGAAGAAAACATACTTGTCTCTCTTTCCTCTTTATGAAACTGCCTTTGCAAAAATTATAACAGTGAGAAAATTATGACAGTGAAAGAGATCTGATCTGACTAACTCCCATCTTGCCTTTAACCTCCAGAGTGCCATTGGTCATTCCTGGGCTTGGGCCAAGCTAACTTTGGGAGAAATTTAGTTTACAGTCTAACTGATACTAGCCCTTCCCCAAAACTCAACTGCCTTGTAAAACTAATGAAAAACCATCAGGTTAGAAGGATGGGAGGAGCCTGAATTCTGCTAAGATGTAGACAGAAACGATTAACCTCCATTATTCCAAAGGACACTAGATTTGCAACTTCCCCAATTACTCCTGCCCATAAATAACGTCACTACTGAAGAACACCTAAGATTGGCCTTTTGAGATGTTCTTTTAGACTCGCATTTCTGACAACCAGATGGCCCCGCCTGGACCCATGACTCTTGGCTCAACTGCTCCTGTGGTCCCCACCCAGAGGCAGACTCAACAAGCAGGAAGACCATTTTCCACACCTCTACAATTGTGTCCCCAGACAATCAGCAGCCCCTCTTCCCTTGCCGCCAAACTATCCTTGAAAAACCCCAGCCTCTGAATTTTCGGGAGTACTGATTTGAGTAATATACCTTCAGTCTCCCATTCAGCTGGCTCTGTATGAATTAAACTCCTCATTGCAATTCCCCTGTCTTGAAAATCAGCTCTATCTGGGCAGCCGGCAAAATGAACCCACAGGGCATTTGGGGTTCATTTTTGCAGTTACATTTATTCACAGGAATCAGCACCATCAGGCACTAGGACCTTCACGCAAGGCTCCGCCAGTGGCAGAAGGCAGTAATTGAGAGGGGACATAGCTACTGCAGACGCCTGTCCTCCACCATGGTAATGTGGGTTCTAGGACTTCATGTGATTTCATTTCATAAAGCATTTTTCCAAGTTGGAGAAATGGAGAGACCTCACTCCCTTTCCCTGCCCTTCACTTCCATTATTTTTCTCTCACAAACACCAGAAGTAAAATACTAAAAAATAACATTTCTTGAGCACTTACTATAATGTTTTAAGGACCATACACGTAACACATGTTGTTTTACATGACATGTACATACAACATGCATATGTAATACATATTAGCTCCTTTAGTCTTCCCAACAACGCTGTAAGGCAAATAAGGTTGGTGCAAAAGAAGTAATTGCGGTTTTTGCCATTACTTTTAAACGGCATTACTTTTTAAAAGTAATGTCATTACTCTTAATGCCAAAAACCACAATTACTTACTTTTAATGGCAAAAACCACAATTGCTTTTGCACCAACCTAATACTTATCCCCATTTTAGAAACAAAGTAGCCCAGAAAGCTCTGGTTTTTCCCCTCACATGTGCCTGAAACTTCCTCCAGCAGCTGCACTGCAGGACGCCTGAACGCCCACGGTGTGCTCCTTGCAGTCTCCCCTAACGCCATCCCTTCCTGGTCCCCACAGCCATCTTCAACACAGTGGCTGGAAAGGACTCACTTTAGGGGAATGTCCTTGGGGGGCCATCTCCCCAAGCTACCCTGACACTTGTTTTTTTGAAAATCTGATAAGATATACACAACACAGTATTTTTCATTTTAACCATTTTAACCATTCATAAGTGTACAATTCAGTGATGTTAAATGCATTCACCACTATCTACACCTAAAATTTTTCAGGATCCTCAACAAAAACTCTGCAGCCATTAAAAAATGGCTTTCCCTTAGCCTCTGGTAACCTCTGTTCTTTCTTCTGTCTGTATGAATTTGCCCTATTCTAGGTACGTCATATAAGTGGAATCATGCAATATTTCTCGTTTCTGCTAATTTCAGTTAGTACAATGTTTTCAAGCTTCATCCGTGTTGTAGCATGTATCAAAATTTTATTCCTGCTGGGCGCGGTGGCTGACACCTGTAACCCCAGCACTTTGGCAGGCTAAGATGGGTAGATTACCTGAAGTCAGGAGTTCAAGACCAGCCTGGCCAACATGGCGAAACCCCATCTCTACTAAAAATACAAAAATTAGCCAGGTGTGGTGGTGGGTGCCTGGAATCCCAGCTACTCAGGAGGCTGAGGTGGGAGAATTGCTTGAACCTGAGAGGCAGAGGTTGCAGTGAGCTGAGATCACGCCACCGCACTTCAGCCTGGGCAACAGAGTGAGACTCTTTCTTAAAAAATAATAATAGAAATGAAAAACGTTATTCCTTTTGTGGCTGAATATATTCCATTGTATGTCTAGAGCGCATTTTGTTTCTCCATTCATTCATCAATGGACAGACACTTGGCTTGTTTCCACCTTTGGCTATTGTGAATAACACTGCTGTGAACACTGACGTGCAAGTATCTATTTGAGTCCCTGCTTTCAATTCTTTTACATATATACCAAGGAGTGGAATTGTTGGGTCATATGGTAGTTCTATGTTTAACCTTGTGAGAAGCCACCAAACTGTTTTCCACAGCCTGCCTCTAGCTTCTTAGCTAGCCTCTGCCTTGGCCTTCCTGAGCCCACCTTCCCACCCGTGAACCCCAAATATCTGAGACAGGTCTCAGTCAATGTAGAAAGTTTATTTTGCCAAAGTTAAGGGTGTGTGTGTGTGACACAGCCTCAAAGGTCCTGGGAACATGTGCCAAGGTGGTCGGGGCACAGCTTGGTTTTATACATTTTAGGGAGACATGAGCCATCGATCAGTATAAGCAAGATGAACATTGGTTCGGTTCTGAAAGGCAGGACAACTCGAAGTGGGGAGGGGACTTCCCAGTCATAAGTAGATAAGAAACAAATGGCTGCATTATTTTGAGTTTCTGATTAGCCTTTCCAAAGAAGGCAATCAGATACTCATTAATCTCAGCGAGCAGATGGATAACTTTGAATGGAAGGCAGATTTGCACTAAGCAATTGGGGTCCCAAGAATTAACACACCCATCAGATCAGGACTTGACCAGGGGTCCAGCTTCAGCTCCCCAGCATCAGGGAGTCCACCCTCTACTCAAGGAAGGCCTTTGCAGCCAACCCCCCACCACACACACTGCCCTACCTTAAGCTCTCCCCTGGAGCAGAGGCCCTGGCCAGGAGGGGAGAATGGCAAGCTACATGGGTGTGCACCTACGCTGCGTCCAGGGCTTCTCTCCCTGGTACCACCTCCTCCTGTTGATGCCTCTTTGTCTCCATAGCCCCTGCACGGGCCTGGCACAGCATATTGATTGATGAATGAATGAATGAATGAATGAATGAATGCTGACATGTATTCCCACTTCACCTCGCCCCCTCACAGGACTGTGAGCTCATGGAGGGTAGGGGCCACCGCTTGTTCATCCCAGTATTCCCACAAAGCCTGGTCTGAAAGGGAAATTCACAAACAGGAAAACGTCTGTTGGACCAAAGTGAATTAAAATGACTGCGAACTGAGAGCAGATTGTTGGAGCGGTGGGGGAAAGAGAACAAGAGAGGGAGAAAGTGGGGGAGAAAGAGGAATGCCAAGCCCTGCTCCTGAGAAGAAGCTAAGAATAGGTGGCCTGGGTTCCTGTCCCCTCCCCTCCCACCTCCTCATCTTCAGGGCTCCCTTGCAGAAAGGAGCAGCCCCCTTCTCACTGCTTCTCTCCCACCCAGAAAGGCCAGCTCTTCTCCTTTTTACCTGGAAACGGTTGGAGACTCACAGTTGAGGGAGACAATATTTTTGGAGGAAGGGACTTGGCCCAGAGCCAGCCAAGGTTCCCTGCCCCTGCCACACACGCCTAAGAGGCACAAACTCATCATAAATGCCAAGCACTTTCAGGGGTTTTCGTGTATTTACCTTTACTTACCACTGCCTAAGTGCCTACTTTGGGACAGGCCCTGCATAAATGCTTGATCTCACTTTATTTTCCTAAGGGCCTCTTTTATACATGAGGAAGCTGAGATTCAGAGAGGTCTGATAGCTTGCCCAAAGTCCCCCGCTCACTTAATTGCTGCAAAGGGTAGGATTTGGACAAGCAGCGTCTGCAGCCAACGGCACTGGGTATGTCCTCCCCTCAGCTGCTGCAGGGCCTGAGGCAGTGCCCGCGTGCCCTAAGTCACTCTTCTCCTTCTGCAGGACAGAGGGGACTCCTCAGGGCCCTCCCTCCACACTGGTTAATCTCAGCTCCTCTGGCTGTTGCTCCCTACTCTCCTGGGCATTTGGAAGTGATTCCCACAGGTGGCAGTGCCAGCTCTCCAGGGGCCAGAGCTAGGGGCACTCACTGAGCAGACCCCAGTTCCCATGCCCATTCTTGGGAGGAGAAGAAGGTGGGCAAGGTTGGAAATGGGAATTACAGGGAGCTTGAAGGAAAAGTAAGGAGTGTGCCCTGAGTACACCCATGTCAGTCACCATGCTGGGCACGCTGGACCCCTTCTCTGTCACTCCAACCCTCTCAGCTGGCAGTGAGGACCTCACAGGCAGAACAGGAAGAGAGCTGGCTCCAGGCCATATGTGGATGGGCCAGAAGGCCCCACTCCCCAGCACTCACACCCGCCCTCTCTCCGGAGGCTGAGTGCTGAGGGAGTGGCCAGGTCTCCAGTCTGCCAGAAGCCCCTCCCCACTGCTAACAGAGCAAGCTGGGCACAGGAGACATGAAGAGCCCAGGTCTAAGCCGGAGCCTGCAGTCTAGACATGAACATCCGTTTATGATTTAAAAAACAAAACTAAAACAAGATTTTCAGACCCCACGACAGGGCAAATGAGATGGCAAGGAATTATGTAACTTTCTAAAGAACCTAAATTGCTTTCAAGTTTTTTGGAAACCATTTAGACCATGCAGTTTTGCTTATTAAGCAAACCATGCAGATCAGTTTACAAACCCTGAGTAAGCAATCCCTCGTGACTCTGACATGCTCCTGGAAGCTGGTACTGCAGGGACCCCCATGGGGTGATGCAGTAGCTCATTCTTGCTTATTTTCTGTAGTGTATTTGAAAATAATACTGTTGCCAGAAAAAGAGGGGTACGGATCCAGACCCCCAGGGACAGTTCCTGGATCTTGTGTAGGAAAGAACTGGGAGCAGGTCACAGAGAACAATGAAAGAAGTAAATGCATTGGAAACTCCTTTGTTACAGAGTAGGGCATCCTCAGAAAGCAGGAGGAGGAACGCACCCTCCTTTGTTAGTGTTTCCACTTATAAGAAACAGGCTGCACCTGCCTTTGTTAGTGTTTCCACTTAAAAGAAACAGGCCGGGCTTGGTGGCCCACATCTGCTTTGGGTAGCCAAGGTGGGCGGATTGCTTGAGCCCAGGAGTTCAAGACCAGCCTGGGCAACATGGTGAAGATCTGTTTCTATAAAAAATACAAAAAATTAGCCCGGCTTGGTGGCGAGCGGCTGTAGTCGCAGCTACTCAGGAGGCGGAAGCTGAAGGATCGCCAGAGCCCGAGGAAGTCAAGGTTGCAGTGAGCCGTGATGGTACCACTACACTCCAAACTGCACTCCAGCCTGGACAACAGAGTGAGACTGTCTCAAAAAAAAAATGCGTAAAGAGGGTTGTATTTTTAGACCATTTGGACATTCTGCAGGCTTGGTGGGAGATGTCCTGTATGGCCATAAATATTTTGGAGTTATAATTGGTAGTCAGCTTAGAATATGGTTATTTTCAGAACATAAGCCTTAACCTTATAGGTGCCTTGTGAGTGCCCAGCTATTCACTTTAAGATAGAGTCACTCTAGTCATGTTTTATTAAACCAGAGGCTTAATAAGCAGGGGTTCCTCTAACAATACTAGGACTTTCTTGAAAAGGCTTCATGATTTAGACTTTCTCCCCAATTACGTCTCCCAGCTATTTCCTAAAAGCATTTGTTTATTGGTTATCTTTGTTGTTCTTTGTTCAACAGAACTGGACAAAAGGTTCCTTACTGATACCATCTGGAGTGGACAGCATTCCCAAAGCCTTCCCAGACCAGAAGTGGGGGGTGGGCTGTGCCCCTTATGCTGAGTGTCCTTCAGCAAGTAGCTTCCCCTCTGAGTCCCCAGCTACTCGTGTGCAGCCTGGGCACATTACCAGTGAAAGCAGTTGAGATCACACATGTGCTCACATGTAGGAGGCCCTAATGTAAAAGCAGCTCTAGGCTTTCTCAGAGCCACACTGGAAAGGCCTCTGCTTCTGGGTTGACGCCTGTCCTGCCCTACCTCCTCTGACGGCTGGGAAATCCTGCCCGTGCTGAGGGGTGTCTGGGGGGAAAGCATTATCAATTCTATTTTAGAGATGAAGGGATTGAGGCCGGGAGAGTGGAGCGATTCACTCAGGAAACACTCACGGACTCTCCTGTGTACGGTGCCATGGGGACACAGAGACACACCCGTCCGTCTGCAAATGGCTTCTGTGCTTGTGGCTGTTCTCACCTCTCGCCAAGAGACCTGCTCCAGCAGGGGCCAACTTTCCCCTGCCTAAAATCTTCCCTGGAAAATCTCTTTATGAAGCTATGACCTTGCCTGACCTCAGTGAAAGAGACAGTGGGAGAACGTCAGCCACCCGGGAAAGAGGTGGGGGCAGAGGGCAGTCCAAGGGCCTGGTCCCACTGCAACAGCCTGGTACCGAAGGCAGGCAGGGAGGGAGGGAGGGACCTAGGCAACTGCAAGGGGGTAGTGTCATCTCGCATGGCCACAGCCTTCCCCCCAGGAACTCCACGGCACCCTCCCCGCACAGGAGTTCCATGGACCCCTCCAGCACCTAGGACTTAGATGTACCCACCTACCCAGGGCTTCCACGCCTCCCCTAATCCCCCACCACCCAGGGCTTCCACGCCTCCCCTAATCCCCCACCTACCCAGGGCTTCCACGCCTCCCCTAATCCCCCACCACCCAGGGCTTCCCTCCCAAGGGGTTGGAAGCAGCAGGATGCTTTGGTCACTCAGAGCCTGTGTGCTTTAAATTCTTTCTCAAAACCCTTGTAAATTTAGCCGAAAGAGCAATGACATAACCTCCCCATGGGAAGTACAAACACACCCAAGTTCATTCCCGTCTTGCAAGCCTAGAAAACACCCATAGGCAGCCACCTCAATGGAAATGCCACCCAGGGATCCAACAGAACCCATGCCCAGGCAGTCCCAGGACACGTCTTTTTGGGGAGAACTCACCAGAGCTGCCAGGACAGAAGCCTAAGCAGCTAGTTCTCAGTTTCGAGCAAGGCTTCCAAATGCTGGGCACATTGACGTGTCGCCAGTCATGGGCAAAGTGAGCAAAATAAGGACAGTGTAGTGTCTTAAAGCTACTTCATCTAAAAATTTAAAATAATAATAATAATAAAGAGACAATAAAATAGGCAAAGGTGACCAAGAAAAAAATATGTAAAATATTCATAAACATTAAAATTGAGAATGGGGACAAAAATACAGATGCAGAGGAGGCATTTTGCGTTTTTTTTTTCTGGAGACAGGGTCTCATTCTGTTGCCCAGGTTGGAGTGCAGTGGTGCAATCGTAGCTTACTGTAGCCTTGAACTCCTGGGCTCAAGTGATCCTCCCACCTCAGCCCCTTGAGTAGCTAAGACTACAGGTGAGAGCCACCACTCTGGGGGTTGGGGTGTAGAAGGGGAGTGTTGGCTATGTTGCTCAGGCTGGTCTTGAGCTCATAGTCTCAAGCACTTCTCCCACCTTGGCATCCCAAAGTTCTGGGATTACAGGCATGAGCCACCACACTTCGCTGAAAACCTTTTTTTTTTTTTTGACACGGAGTCTCACTCCATTGCCCAGGCTGGAGTGCAGTGGCGCAATCTCAGCTCACTGCAACCTCTGCCTCCTGAGTTCAAGCAATTCTCCTGCCTCAGCCTCCTGAGTAGCTGGAACTACAAGTATGCACCACCACGACTGGCTAATTTTTGTATTTTTAGTAGAGATGGGGTTTCACCATGTTGGCCAGGCTGGTTTTGAACTGCTGACCTCAAGTGATCCTCCTCCCTCAGCCTCCCAAAATGCTGGGATTACAGGTGTGAGCCACCACTCCTGGCTCAAAAATCTTGAAAAAGATTGCTATCTATGTGTTACTCTAAGAAAATGTTGCCATTTTACCAAAACTGACCAAAGGGAAAGTAAGAAGCCCAAAAAGACTAATAAACATAGAAGAAAAAAACTTTATGAAAAATTCACACCTAAAAAAAGACCAGTCCAATATTAAGAGTTCTATGAAAACTTCAAGCCACAGATGATCCACAAGTTATATGAACTATTCCAAAATGTTGAAAAAGACAAAACTACCTAACACATGTATAAAACTATCATAACCCTGACAACAAAATTAAAAAGCATAACATGGTGGAAAAAAAACACTCATAAACATAGTCACAAATATCCTAAATAAAATATTAGAAATTTAGTTTCAGCAATATGATAAAAGAAGACAACACCATGACGTAGTAATAAACATTTAAGAATGTAGGCCGGGCGCAATGGCTCATGCCAATAATCCCAGCACTTGGGGAGGCTAAGGCGGGCAGATCACCTGAGGTCAGGAGTTTGAGACCAGTCTGGCTAACATGGTGAAACCCTGTTTCTACTAAAAATACAAAAATTAACCAGGCGTGGTGGCAGACACCTGTAGTCCCAGCTACTAGAGAGGCTGAGGCAGGAGAATAGCTTTAACCCAGGAGGCAGAGGTTGCAGTGAGTCAAGATCACACCACTGTACTCCAGCCTGGGTGACAAAGTGAGACTCCATCTCAAAAAAAAAAAAAAAGAATGCAAAGGATCAGTCAACATTGGAAAATCTGCTAATGTACTTTTTAAAATTAACATATTAAAGGAGAAAATATATGACCACCTCAATAGATGTCAAGAAAACATTTTTAAAATTAAAAATCAATTTATAATTTTTTAAAATCTGCAAACCAGTAATAAAAGAAAATTTCTTTAATTTGACAAATGCGCCTACTTGAAACCTAGATCAAAAATTACAGTTAGTGGTGAAATATTCCCATTAGACTTAGAAAGTATAAAAATGGTCACTATTCCAAATATTGTTCAGGAAGGTCTAGCCTTTATAACAAAAGACAAGAAAAAGAAATACTAATTATACATATTAGAAAGAAATTAAATAGTTATTATTTGCAGATAATACCATCATCTATCTCCAAAATCCAAGACAAGTTTTTAAAAACTTAGTTATTAAGTGGGTTCAAGAATATGGCCAAATTCAAACAAAAGGAAATATTTATTTTTTCCTACATGAGCACTAATCAATCAGAAAACTTAGTTATTAAGTGAGTTCAAGAATATGGCCAAATTCAAACAAAAAGAAATATTTATTTTTTCCCGCATGAGCATTAATTAGTCAATCAGAAACTGTAATAGAAAAAAAACCATAATTTCAAAAAATAAACCATGAATAAATTTCATGAGAAGTAGGTATGACTTAAAAGAGGAGTGTTAATAACTTTTATTATTAAAAGACACAAAAGAACCTTAATAAACATAGGGAAAAAACATATTCCTTAATGGGAACACACAATATTATAAAAGCGCCCATTCTCCCTAAATTAGTCAATAAATTAAATGTAATTTCAATCAAAATACCAATGAGATTTTTAAATAGAAGTCCATATGCTGGTTCTAAAATCCATTTGGAAATGAAAGTACACTGGAACACTCCAGAAGTATAGAAGAATGAAAAAGAAAGAATGAATGAAAGAAGGAGAGAATGAGGATGGGAGACAGAAGGAGGAAGGGAGAAAGAACAAGAACTTGAGAAGACCTCGAAAAAAATCAATGGAGAGACTAGAGTACACATATAGAATATGTCTGCCTTGCAATGACAGAAAACCCAACCCAGCTCACTTAAGCACAAAAGGATCTGGGTTGTCAGTTAAAAGTTTTGTGGGCATAGGGGTAACCTGGCTCTAGACATGATGGGGTACAGCAGCTAAAGGGCAACAGCAGTTGCCTCAGCTCAATTCCACTGGCCTTGGTGTGTTGGTTTCATTTTCATATTTGTTTTCACCTTGTGGCTGTGTGACAACTGTAGCCACGTCTGGCCTCTCCCTTTTAAGTTCCACAAGAATAGTTAACACTCTTCCAGTCACTCAGAAAAATGCCAGGGATAAGCTCTGATTGGGTGTAATTGGCCGGCTGAGTCACATGGCCAGCCCTGGGCCAATGGCAGTGCCAGGACAATGAGATGCACAAATTGGCTCAAGCCTTGGTTCTTGTTCCTGCTGGGGATGGGGAAAATCAGACATGGTTACCAGAAGGATGAATGGAGGCCAGGAGCAACAACAACCCCGTGTCTACTCTATGGACTCAGGTATAAGTGCTTACTTCACATATGATGAAAACCATAGTTCCAGTAAGGGGGAAATGTGGCTATTCCATAAATAATGTAGGCCAGCCTGGTGCAGTGGCACATGCCTGTGGTCCCAGCTACTTGGGAGGCTGAGGCAGGAGGACTGCTTGAGGCCAAGAGGTCAACACCAGCCTGAGCAACATAGCAAGATCCCATCTCTAAAATAATAATAACAAATAATAATAAATGTGGGCCAACTGGATATCCATTTTGGAAAAAAAAAATACACTATCTCATGTCATTCACAAAAGTTTATTCCAGATGAATTAAAGCATTAAACATAAAAGACAACACTGTAGAAATATTCAAAGAAAACATAGGAAAGAGATCTAGAACCTTGGGTAGGGAAGGCTTGCTTACACAAGTCAAAAAACACACCATGTATAAATTGAACAACTTCTCTATGAAAAAATACACTAAAAACGTTACAAGACCTGAGACAAACTGGGAGAAAGAACTGACTGTATATCTATCTACCTACCCACAAAACAAATTATATTAAAATTTTATGCCTGTTAATTAAAAAAAGACAATCTAGCAGAAAAATGGGCATATACATAACAGAATAAATTCAAATGGCCAGTAAACATATGAAAGGATGTTCCAACCTCATTACTAATCTGGAAAAGTCGAGTTAAGGTAAAAATAAAAGACTTTCTTTCTTATCAGATTGGCAAAAATTAAAAGGATTGGCGACCTCAAATGTTAAGGCAGGAATGGGGAAATGGATACTTTCATAAACTGTGAAAGGCTATGAGTGTTTAATTCAGCTTAGATGCCGTCATTTAGTTCAAAGAAAGAATAACAATTACTTTTGAAGGGCAAAGACACTGTGCAGGTTTGTTGATGGTGAGGTGGGCGGATGTGGGAAAAGGAAAGAATAGCCAAGAGGGGGTGCAAAGTGAAACTCAGAAGGCCCATAGATAATCTACCAGTGTGACTCAGAGAACACAAGCCATTTCCCATTCTTGTGGCTGTAGAGGGGAACCTCTTGAAAGTACACAGGGGTTTAAATAACATCAAGTCAGAGAACCACAAGAATTTGACGGAGGGCTTTCAAAGTCATCATGCTTTCCCCTTAGTCTCCTCCCCGAGTCACCCCAGCCTGGGCACTCTTCCAGGATCTACCTTTCTCTCCTCTCAACCTGTCATCGAAAATGGCAGAGAGGATTACCATATCCAGCCCTGAAACAAGCAAGGATTTGGCATCAGACACGGGTATCTCTAGCTGTAAAATAACACCTTGTGGTATTGTTGGAGGGTTGAACGAGATGATGACTGTAAAAGAAACCAGATATAATGCTTGACAAAGTAAGTAATCTAATAAAGGACATCATAAAATAAGCAAAGGTTATTGATCTGAAGCTAGGTCAGCTCCAGCATAGACTGAGACACACAGGAATGGAGAGGACAGGCTCTAAGACAGCATGTATATCTAATGGTATTTTAAAGCTAAAAAATAAATGCAACATATATGATAAAGTTATCATCTTAACAAATCAATAGGAAAGGGGTCAAGTGTGGTGGCTCACCCTGTAATCCCAACACTTTGGGAGACTGAGGTGGGAGAATCACTTGAGCCCAGAAGTTCAAGACAAGCCTGGCCAACATAGTGAGACCCCATCTCTACAAAAAAAAGAAAATTCAAAAATTAGCCGAGTGTGGTGGCATATGCCTATAGTTCCAGCTCTGGAGGCTGAGGTGGGAGAATCACTTGAGCCTAGGAGGTCGAGGGTGCAGTGAGTTATGATTGCACCACTGCACTCTAGCCTGGGTGATAAAGTAAGACCCTGACCCAGAAGCAGCATAGAATTTAAAAAAGAAAAAGAAAAGAAAAGAAAGAGAAAGGGAGAAAGGGAGAAGAAAAGGAGAAAGGCAGAAAGAAAGAAAAAGAGAGAGAGAGAAAGAAAGAAAAAGAGAGAGAGAGAAAGAAAGAAAGAAAGAAAGAAAGAAAGAAAGAAAGAAAGAAAGAAAGAGAGAAAGAGAGAGAGGGAGGGAGAGAGGAAGGAAGCGAGGAAGGAAGCGAGGAAGGGAGGGAGTGAGGGAAAGAGAAGGAGAAAGAGAAAGAGAAAGAAAGAGGAAGGAAGGAAGGAAAGAATGAAAGAAAGAAAAGAAAGAAAGAAGGAAGGAAAGAAAGAAAGAAAAGGAAGAAAGAAGAAAGAACAAAAAGAAAAAAGGAAGAGAAAGAATGAAAGAAAGAAAAAGAGGAGGAAAGAAGGAAGGAAACAATGAAAGAAGGAAGGAAGGAAAGAAAAGAAAGAAAGAAAAGGAAGAAAGAAGAACAAAAAGAAAGAAAGAATGAATGAAAGAAAGAAAGAGAGAGGAAGGAAGGAGAGAAAGAGAGAGAAAGAAAGAAAGAAGGAAAGGAAGGAAGACAAACGCCCAAACAAAAAAGTCAGCAAAGGACATAAACAATTCATAACAGAAAAAAAAATGGCCAAAACACATGAAAAAAATCCAACTTCACTATTAGTTAAAAAGAAATAAAATTGAACAAATATGAGATTCCATTCTGAGTCATAAAACTGTGGGCAGTGCTAGCAAGGCTGGGAAAGAGCATGCCCACTCACTGCTATCTGAGACTCTGAAACAGGGCATTTCTAAAGGACAAACTGAAGGTACACATGGAAAGCCTTCAAAATGAAGCTTCCCTTTGTTTAGGAGATAACCAGAGGTTTGCACTTCCATCCACAGATTTGGAGGCACCAACCCAGATGGCTACAGCCTCCTCCATCCACAGGGAAGATTAAGCAACAGTTCCCTGACCCATGACCACCATCGTGGACAGGACCTGCCCCCTCTCTTGAGATGGCAGCATAGGGCAGGGCAAGAACCAGCTCTTAGTCTGCTGGAACTGTACCATGTGAAGCTGGAAACCAGGGTGGTCATTTTCACCAAGCAGTGCCACAGCAGTGCCGGCCTTCAGAGACAAAGCAGGTGCCCAGAGAGGCTGAGACAAGGCAGAGGGTGGGTTGTTCAAGTCTGTGCAAGAAAGCTATTTGGCGAAACACCTGTGAAGAACAAAGGAGGAAACAGAAGGCAACAGGAAGGGCCTTCAAACCACAGTGTGGCTCTAATACCCACAAAAAGAGAGAGGGAAAGAGCCAGAGAAATAAAATCCTAAGCCCCTCAACTGACCAAATGGACCACCTCTTGGCCTAGGGGACCCCCGAGAAACCTTAAAAATGGAGTTCCCGGACATGATGGAACAGGAGGTTGGACAGGCCTCATTATGCCCCCTCCCCCCCTAACCATTAGGCTTTCTTCTCTAAGGGTTAAACAGAAACCACTGCTTCACGCTGGTACCAACCAACTGCCTAACACAGCCCCTCCCCTTTTGCAGCTTGACACAGCAACCGCTAAGCAGTCCCTCCTGATAAAAAAAAAAAAAAACCCTGGCCACAGAGTGGTTCTGGCCAGTCTCCAGAAGCTGCACCCAGAGGGCCTTCGTGTCCTCTGCTTCCCGTTTTAATGTAGAGGGCCTAACTGTAATATGTTTAAATGTTAAGTCTCCACCCCAAAGTGAATCTGGGACACGTGTTACATACATGTTACCCTACTACGAATGCCCTTGCCTCCCCTTTGTGAATATTCATTGCTGCTCCTATAACCTGTTGAATATGTATATCTGGACACCCTATTCAGCGTAAATCCCTGTCTTATTCTCCCCACCTTCGAAGTGTCTGTTTCTGGCTTCTGGCCAGAGGCTACGTTTCCCAGCCTGTCAGAATGACCACCCAGCAGGTTGCAACCCTTTATGAGAAATAAAGCTCTCCTTTCCAAATGTGTATGAACCTCATCTTTCCTCAGTAGACACAACAAGCCTGACACTGCAGGATAGCTCTGGGCAACTCTTGGTCAGACCAATGGGGAGGCTCCCAGCCTCGCTGCAGGATGGAGGGGCAGACACAGCCAGCTCTATATCCCTGCCCTGCTCAGTCAGCAGCCTGTGGGTGGAGTGTGCTGGATGGGGGAGCAAGGCCTTGGCACGAACACTGTGTTGGATCCAGAGGTGCAATTGCTGGAAGGTGGTCCAACTGTTCTCTCTGCAGCAGCAGCAGGTTGTCCTGAGGGGAGAAGTGAGTGGTGCACCCCTATGGAGGACACAGAGGGAGCTTCCAGGACTCCCCGGGCAGCCTCCTAGTCCCAGTCCCTGCTGCATTCCTGCCATGGTCCTCTGCTGGTCATATATATATATATATATATATATATACACACACACATATATATATATATACACACACATATATATATATATACACACACATATATATATACATATATATATACACATATATATACATATATATATACACATATATATACATATATATATATACATATATATATATATATACACATATATATATATATATATATATATATTTTTTTTTTTTTTTTTTTTGAGATAGAGTCTCTCTCTTTCACCCAGGCTGGAGTGCAGTGGCGCGATCTTGGCTCACTGCAACCTCTGCTGCCTCAGCCTCCCGAGTAGCTGGGATTACAGGTGCCTGGCACTAATTTTTATATTTTTAGTGGAGACAGGGTTTCACCATCTTGGCCAGGTTGATCTTGAACTCCTGACCTCATGATCCACCCACCTCAGCCTCTCAAATTGCTGGGATTACAGGTGTGAGCCACCGTACCATGGAGTCATATTTTTTACACTCTCCCTCTTTGCTTAAGCTAGCTGGGGCTGTTTTCTGAAATATGTCACCCAAAGGAGTCTAATTATTACCTGTACAAAGATTTGTGTTTGAAGACATTATTTGAAGTATTGTTGTAAGTTTTAACATTAAAAACCCCAATGCAAGTCTATATATCCTGTTAGAGGTTTGAATTACACAGGTGTATGCATTTGTAAAAACTCATCAAATGGGCTGGGCGCGGTGGCATACGCCTGTAATCCCAGCACTTTGGGAGGCTGAGCTGGATGGATTATTTGAGGTCAGGAGTTCAAGACCAGCCTGGCCAACATGGTGAAAACCCACCTCTACTGAAAATACAAAAATTGTTAAGTAAGATTGGCTAGGTCCAGGTTCATTCTGCCTCTGCACAGTGAATAAATCATGATGACATGGGTTTTGCAAAAGAGAAAGATTTGCAAGGGCAATACATGAGGAGGTGGGAGAACAGCTCTCAAAACCACCCCCACCCGACCCTTGAGGATAAGGCTTAAGGATATTTACAGGTAAGGGAAGTGGGATGATCTAAATCATGGGGACAGGTGATTGGCAGTGGGAAAAAAATGAAGTGACAGGTTCCTCCTGAGCAAGGGTAGTCAGGCTTCACGGCACTTCACAGGGCACATGCAACAAAAATGGTGGCATTTGCATGATCTGAGGGTGTTGTCGTCGGCCCTCTGACTTCAAAAGGCCACCCCTTGGGCACTTGGGCAGTCTAGGGTGAAGGATCGGGGTCTCAGCTAGTTTGAACTAGACAGGCGCTGGCCAAGTTCCTGAAAAACACTGAAGTGAATATTACCATGGTGACCTATGAATGTTATCTATAAAGTAGCCAGTGAAGGTTAAGTTCCAGTGTTCAGCGGTGAGGCCTTCAGCTACCACAGCCTTCAGCTTCATAGAAAAAGCTTGGGAGGGGGAGAATTAAAAAAGCAACCCAAAGCAAGCAGGGCAGGTAGACCTGATGGAATTAGCCCATTTTCAATGTTGTGTGTAAAGAACTTAGTGCAGGCCTCAGCACGCAGTCAGTGCGCAACAGACCCTGGCATCTGCCCTGCCCTCCTTTAGGCCAAGGTGGAGAGGGAGAAGTGCTTTTTCTCCTTTTCCCTCAGGCTACGTAGAGGCAAGAGGGGGAAGGATCAGTCTGCTATTGCCAAGGAAGGGACGCCACCCAGAGAAGGCAGTGACTGGCCAAGGTCCCCAGCAGGCTCTAGAATTAAAGTCACTCTGGAGCTTCCTGTCCCAAACCTGCTGTACTGGGCAATGCAAAGCAGGCAGGTTTTCTGGAAGCCAGGCTGTCTGCCCTAACCCAACCGAACACATTTATGGAAATTCCTGCTACACTCTCCCAGGGCCGATGTGCCAAGGGTTCTCCCGCTGTTGGCTTCCTCTGGGAAACCAAGTTAGTCCTTCCCAACGACTCTCCCTGGCCCACCAACCCCACCTCTGCTCTCATCTTTAGAGAATTCTGCATGGCTTCCCCCAAGAAATACTAAGAAATGCCTTCATGCCTCTTACTGGCTCCTCTAGTGCCAGAGGACACCCAAGCTGAGGTGCTGCATTCCGAGAGCCAGTGGTGCCCTCTGCCCCTGACCCCCTGCCATCACTCATGAGTAATGTCACTTCCATACCACTAACTCAGATACTCCTCAGATGGACTCTTCTGCTCCAGGGCTCCTAATAACATACTCTACAGAACAAGACAATTCTTGCAGTGAGTACCTGCTGTGTGTAAGGCCCAGCAATAGGAACTTCATGGCCATTAACTCTGATCCTTCCACTTACCCTACAAAATAAGCACTTTTTTCTTTTTCTTTTTTTTTTTTTTTTTTTTGAGATGGCATCTCACTCTGTCTCACAGGCTGGAGTGCAGTGGCGTGATCTCGGCTAGCTGCAACCTCCGCCTCCCAGGTTCAAGTGATTCTCCTGCCTCAATCTCCCGAGTAGCAAGGATTACAGGCACCCACCACCATGCCCAGTTAATTTTTGTAGTTTTAGTAGAGATGGGGTTTCACCATGTTATCCAGGCTGGTCTCGAACTCTTGACCTCAGGTGATTCACTCACCTCGGCCTCCCAAAGTGCTGGGATTACAGGCGTGAGCCACCACGTCCGGCCCAAAATAAGCATTTTAATCCCACTTACAATTGAGGACATTGTGTCTCAGAGAGGCAGTGTGATTTACCCAAGCTCTTTTGAACTGCTTCACTGTATGGATGGATGCTGAAACCACGCTTGCTGGCTGAGCAGAAAGGGGTGTGTGTAGCACACAGTACTAGGTGGCCAGAGAAGCAGGCGGGGATGTCACACAGCCAGGGACAGCACAGAGAGGAGAAAGGCCCAACCACCCACGGGGCTGCACGGGTCTCAGTGATACCTTTTAAAACCAGAGCCCAGGGAGTAGGAATGAGAACAGGGAGGGAGATAAAGATACTGGTTGAATTTTCACAACTAGTGGATGGTTACACTGTACTTGTGTGAATAAAAGACGAACAGCTTTTTGTAAGAGAAAACCAGTTACAATACATGCGTGCCAATTCTGCAGATACAATTTGAGGTTTCCGCACTGAACACCACAAGAAAGGACCAGGCAGGCGATGGCCGGTGGGCGGCTTCATTCTTTCTGTTCATCCAAAACCAGTTCTTGTGACAAGTAGAGAAACCAAAGGCCCTTTGTGGATGGGCCCTTCTCAGGGTCTGGCCAGATCTCAAGTCTGGCTAAAGGATGGGAGAGAGGGTGCAGAGATTAAGAAGAGCTCAGACCATCAGTGCTATATGGTTTCCGGGGTGCGGTGGTCCCACCCGACACCACAGGCCCCCTGGCTCCCCCTGGGTCCACAACATCACTGGTTCCTTGTTCTAGAAGCTCCAGAAGAGAGGCAAGTGGCGTCCTGGCTGGTTCTGGCCTATCACACCGCCACTGTTCTCCAAACCCTGCCCCACCCTAGCTCTCACGACACCTGGCGAAAATGATTTGTTCATTCTCTCTTGTCCTTGCAGTGCCACCAGCTCCTGGAAGGCAGGCTGTCCCCGTCCACAGCTCCCTGGTGCCTGGCATGGTGCCTGGTCTGTGTAGATGCCCAATTTTGCAGTGATCTGCTGCATCACTGCCCACAGCTGACATGCACAGACCTCCCCCTTGCACATGTCCCCTTATACACAGAACACTAAGGGCAGTCATCACGACACTAAGGGGTGCACGTCCCAGGTGGACCCAGCTAAGGCCCGCCTAGTCTGGGCAAACTGGTGTGACAGGACCCCCAGAAGATTGAGGGGCTTCCAGGAGAGAACATGTCTTAAGGGAGTGGGAGCCAGGCATATCAAGGCTGCTAGCCTGGGGTACCGGGTCTCCACCAGGGCAGCAGGGAAGACAGGGTGGAGGCTTAACCAGGGACCTGGCCAAATCCTTGGTTAAAAGTAGGCACAGACCCAAGGTCAAGTCCCGCCTGACACGGCACAGCCTGGGCACCTGAAATGGGGGTGGGGGTAGGGTCAGGGATGTCTGAAGTCCTGGAAGCAATGAGGATGCCACATGACAGTGACCACACATGTAGATCAATGGGGGACTCCTTCTGAGCACCCACAGGGCTTGGAGAGAGAGACTGGGCAAAGTCAGCTAAAACTGATTGTATACTCACAGGCACTGTCAGGCACTGTCCTAAAGGTTGCATGTATATTAACTCGTTTTTTAATATTATAATTCAGCAATATGTACTGGTATTTAAGAAAGAGACATAACAAAGAATGTATCAAAACATCACTAGTGGCCAGGCGCAGTGGCTGACACCTGTAATCCCAGCACTTTGGGAGGCCAAAGCAGGTGGATCACCTGAGGTCAGGAGTTTGAGACCAGTCTGGCCAACATGGCGAAACCTTGTCTCTATTAAAAATACAAAAATTAGCTGGGTGTGGTGATGCGTGCCTAAAATCCCAGCTGCTTGGGAGGCTGAGGCCGGAGAATCGCTTGAACCCAGGAGGTGGAGGTTGCAGCGAGCCAAGATCGCGCCACTGGACTCCAGCCTGGGCGACAGAAAAAGATTTCATCGAAAAAAAAAAAAAATCACTAGTTTAGATTAACACAGAGGAAAGATCAGACTAAATGGTACTTTCTTAAAATGAGCTGCTAAGTTGTATATGTTTACGGTGTACAAAAGGATGTCTTGAGGTATATATACGTTGTGAAGTGGCTAAGTCAAGATATTTAACATACACCTTACCTCACATACTTATCATTTGGTGACACATAGCTACCAAGTTACGAGAACACTTAAAATCTTCTCTCTGCAATTTTCAAATACACAACATTGTTATCAACTGTAGTAAGCATGATATACAATAGATCCCTTGAACTTACTCTAACCGAAATGCTGTGAACTTTGACCAACATCTCCCCAACCTCACCCCATTCCACCCCAGCCTCTGGTAACCACCATGTTACTCTGAGTTGGATTTTTTTAGACTCCACATATGAGATCATGTGATACTTGTCTTTTTGTGCCTGGCTTATTTCACTCAGGATAGTGTTCCCCAGGTTCACTCATGTTGTCACAAATGACAGGATTTTTTTTTTTTTTTTTTTTTTTGAGATGGAGTTTTGCTCCATGGCCCAGGCTGGAGTGCAGTGGCGTGATCTCAGCTCACTGCAACCTCCACATCCCAGGTTCAAGTGATTCTCCTGCCTCAGCCTCCCAAGTAGCTGGGATTACAGGCACCTACCACCATATCTGGCTAATTTTTGTATTTTAAGTAGAGACGGGGTTTCAGGTTTCACCATGTTGAGCAGGCTGGTCTCGAACTCCTGACCTCAAGTGATCCACTCACCTCGGCCTCCCAAAGTGCTGGGATTACAGGCGTGAGCCATTGCGCCTGGCCAGGATTTCCTTTTTAAAGGCTGAATAGTATCCCATTGTATACAGACCACATTTTCTTTATCCATTCATCCACTGATGAACACACTGATCCCATGTCTTGGCTACTGTGAATAATGCTGCAGTGAACATGGGGTGCAGACACCTCTCTGACACACGGATTCCATTTCCTTTGCATGTGTACCCAGGAGTGGGATGGCTGGATCATACACAGTCCTATTTTTGGTTTTCTGAGGACCCCCCACCCCAGTGTTTTCCAGAACGTGTATACTAACCGACAATACCACCAACAGGGTGCGAGGGTTTCCTGTCTCCACATCCTCGCCAGCACTTCTCTTCTGTCTCTTCCTGCAGCCATCCTAACAGGTGTGAGGTGGTTTCCATTGCCTTTCCCTGGTGATTAGTGATACCGGACATTTCTTTCATATGCCTGTGGGTCATTTGTGTGTGTTCTTTTGAGTTACTTGCTTTTTACTATTGTATTGTTTGGGTTTCCTATGGATTTGGGATACTAACCCCTTATCAGATGGATGGTTTGCAAATGCCGTCTCCTATTCGGTAGGCTCCCTAACTCTGCTGATTGCTCCTTTGCTGTGCTGGGTTCACTCATTTACCATGAGGGCTGAGATGCTGCTGACCAGCAGGAGCTACTGAAATGTGGGTCAGTGCCATTCATGTCATTGCTAAGCGTCCTCCCACAGGCTACAGCAGGCCCAGGGGAACTTGGGAACACACACAGGCACACCCACTCACTCCTGTGTGTCCCCACATCCCAGGGAGAGAATGGCAGAGCCACCCCCACCCCCACCCCCCTCCACCCCACCCCGGTGTACACAGCTCTACACTGGTGTCCAGAAGCCACACAGAGCATTCTTGCACCTAGAGAAGACAACTTCCATACCCTGCTGGGCTGGGAAAGAACCCCCGGGGCCTTCTCTCCTAGTCTGGGGAGAACACCAACCCTAGGGGCGGTGGGGGCTCTGGGTTCCATTCTGCCCACCCCAGCTGACCTCGGAACTACAACCTTGTTCCCCTAACCCTGCAAGCATGGGGGAAGAGGCCTGGAGTCAGTGCTGTCTCTACCCCACCCTCCCCACTGACTCTTTAAATGCCAGCACTCAACCAGGGGTGAGGTGTGTTCAATCAACCAGAGGCCCAAAGGGGTCAGGTGGGGCCCACAGGGGTTAGGGGAGAAAGTGGAGGCTGAGATCCAGGCTCCTTCACAGGCCCCCAATTCCACTTTGCTCTATACTGTTTCCCTAGATGCAGCAATCCTTCATATGTTAGTGAGAATTCGCTGGTTCCGTTGCTTTCTTCAAGGAGGAGCTCAGCCTGACATCCAGTGTAAGAGGGTGAGGCAAAACTGGGGATGCGTGTCTGCAAAAACCCGCCTGCTCTAGAGCTGGAAGTGCCAAGAACAGGTGCTCTCAACTCACTCTGCCTGCCCACCCTTACTCTGAAGGGGCAGGGACCTCAGCCTGTTGTACCAGTTCTAGAACGTCTGTCTGACACTAAAGACATATTAGCAGCCAGGTGCACTCACATTTAGCTGTTTTTAATGCTTAAAAGCTCTGTACAAAAAAAAAAAAAATCACAAATGAATCCTCACAACACCCCTGTGAGGTAGGTAGGCAAGTATTATTCTCCCATTTTACAGATGGGGAAACTGAGGCAGAGAGGTGATGTGATCAGCCAGTGGTCCCAACACAGCTGAAAGTCAGAGCCAACCATGAGAACACAAAGGATCCCTCCCCATTCAGTCCCATCTCTGACTCCGCATCTAGACCTTGTCTGCAAAGAAATTAAAACGTCTTAATTCATGCAAAAATAAAAACAATAAACCTGAAAAGGTAGTGAACAGACACACAGTAGTTCTGCAAAAGAATTCAGCCAAGGGGGTCAAATATTTTCCAATACTGGATAAATGGGAACAACTTCGGCCTCCTCCCCTTTTCAAATATCATGACCAATGACACATCCTTTTTTTTTTTTCCTGCAGAAGTACACGAGCCTAACCAAAGACAGGCTTTCCTGGTCCCAGTGAGCCAAGCAAGGTGGACAGCCTCCTCACTGTTCAGCTCCTGGGTTTCAGCAAGCACCAGTCCCCAGCTGGAAGAGCTGCAAGGCTCAACGCAAACATGGCACTTCTCTGCCACCTGTTCCCAGCAGCCTTCCCGCTGTGTGGAAACAGTGGATCCCAGCAGCCTCTAACTCAGCAGGGTCTGGCCTTTTCTGCTCCCACCGGAAGGCAGGCTCAAAGATGCTCAGCAAGGATGGCCTGGAACCCAGGTGATCCCCTCCCACCACCCTCAGTGCACCCTTGCACACCTCACTGTCCATGAGGACCACCCCAGCAACCACCCTCAGCTAGCACTCCTTGGGGCTCCTGCTGCAGCAGGTGGGGGCACCAGGCCATCCTGGGCTGCCGGGACAGAGAGAGATGCCGGGGGACCTGCAGCTCCAGGCCTTGGCTTCCTCTGTGCCTCCTGCCCAGGTTCCCAGACAAGTGGAGCAGGCCTCTTCCTCTGTGCTGCGTTCGCCCCCTGGAAGCTCTTTCCTCCCCATGAGAGGGGCTCCCTGAAGTCTCCAGCTCCTTGAGAAACCTCCACCATCCTGCCAGCCCCACCAGGCTGGGTAGGTTGTCATTCCTGAAGTCTCCCAGGTCGGAGATGGGGGCATGAGAGTCCAGAAAACTGGGTGAAGCTGCCTTTCACATAATAGATCTATCCAGAACACTGTCCCCTCCACCCACCTCAGGCTGCCAGACGCCCGAGGGCAGTGCTTGGGCAGCAACAAGGGGAGCGGCAATGGCAGAGCAGCAGGAGTAAGGAAGTGGGGAGCTACCAGTGGCCGGGTCTGCTCTGTGCCAGGGGCTGCCAGGCCAATCTGAGAGAGGGGAGAAGAGGACAGAGAGATCCACAGTGTTTGGCAACTGGGGGAGTGAGCCCCTTGGAGGCTGAACGCCGGCCTGTCTGCAAGGTACACACAGCAGTGTGCACCTTGTGAGCACTCCAGTGAGTGCTCCTCCCTGGAGGTCAGCCACACACCTTGGTGGTTTGCAAGGGATGGCTGTGCTGTCTCCCTGTCCTATAAAAAGTTCTTTCTAAAAAGGCTCCCAACTCCGCTCAGTCTCTCCAGGAAGTGGGGGAATCATTTCAAGGCCAGCACCCCTCAGGGCCGCTCCCAGCCAAGAGCACCTCAGACACCCCAGGCCTGCGTGGGGCCCTGTGGGTGGGGGGACAGGGAGTAAGGCCCCCTACAGCAAGTCCTCGGGGGCAGAGGGCTCGAGGCTGCAGCTCTGCTCCTGCCACCGGTAGCGCAGCCTGGAGAAGGGCTGGTCCTCCCCGCTCTCCAGCTCGGGGAAGCCCAGCTCGTTAAGGATCTCGTAGATGCCAGCCTTCGATGCCACCTGGGAGGAGAGCAGAGGCAGGAGCAGTGTTTCAGGGGAGGGAGGGTGCCACTAAGGCCACTGAGTTCTGAAGATGAGTCTGTGGCCTGTGAACTTGGTGACCTGAACAAGTTTGCACCTTGACTTCTGTTAACTTCTCTGAGCGTCAGTTTCCTCATAGCAAGGAAAAGACTCTACCTCACAGGACTGTCTCAAGGAGGACTCTACACATACAGAAAGTACTGGGCAGACAGTGAGTGCTCCACACAGATAGCAGCGAGGGAGGCCAGGCACACACTGGGCCCTGTGCAGCTCGATGCTCCCACGTGGACGCCCAGGAGCAGGGCCTAAAGGGAGGGCTGGAGGAAGAACGTGGATGCAGGGGCAGGTAAGGCTATGGCCTCTGCCCCAGGTGGGCTAGCTGGAGGCACCCCTGGACACTCAGCCCTGCCGCCCAGCAGCCCAGACCCTGGCACCAGACTCAAACCATCCACAACCAGTCCCCTTCTCTCTCCACCATCCTGGGGAAGGGGAGGGTGCAGCCTCCACTTAGAACAAAGGAATGGGTCCGTCCCGCTCTGGGGCCTCCCTCACTGCTACCCTCCACTCATCCGCAGGAGAGAGGGGCTGAGGTCCCGAGGCTGGAACCCACACTTCTGCCTGGACCGGCAGCCCTCCTTTCTTGACCTCCCCCAGCCCCAGTGGGGGATTCAGCTGGGGAGGGGATCAAGCTTCCTCTCGGCCCCAGGCTCCCCCAACTTCTGCTCTCCAAGCAGAACCCAAGCAGGAAGTGTCCTCATCCCCTTCCACCTCCACCCCTCCCCAGGGGCTCGCAGAGGAAGCTGAGCCCAGGCCTGCTCAAGAAGGCACCCCGACATGGCCTTGGTGTGACCCCATCAGGTCTCCCGACTCAACACACATCACATGCACCGGGGGCATTTCAAATGCTTCTCCACCTGACGTCCCAAGGCCCACCCTCAAAGCCTGCCACTCTGCCTCCACTCCTTCATAGCCCTGAGTCCACTTCACACCTGCCTCAGCCCCCATACCCTTCCTGTGCCCACTCTGGCCAGGTCACCGGCCCCTGCTCTCCACCCACCCACTTCCCAGGAGCTAATTCCAGCCTCCAGTCCAGATTAGAACTGCCAGGATCTGCTGGTGAGGTCTGGAGGGGCCAGCTTCCTGGCAGAGGAGTAATTACAGGCCGCTTTGCCAAGGAGGGAAGGAGGCCTCTCTTCTGACCTAGAGGTGCCAAGGTGGCAGCTCTGCCTCTAAAACAACTGAGTGCAAGAAGAGCCAGGAGGCCAAACAGAGAGGATCCAGGAGGCCGGACAGCAAGGGAGGTGTCTTAGGTCAGGATACAGTGGGCTCTGGAGCCAATCAATCAGCCCTAATGCCAACCTTGAACAAGTCACCCACCCTCTCTGTGCTCAGTCTCTGCCTCTGTAAAATGGGAGAGCGACAATCACAGTGTGCTAGACCTGCCTAGTACAGGCTCCAGCAGATGGCACTGTATGTCTCCCCAAGTCCCCAACGCAGCCTTCAGGGCTGGCACCCACAGGATCCACATCACCTCCATGTTAGTGCTAAGGCCAGCAGCTGTGGAGGAGTTGGCTCACTGGTCCAAGGTCACGGCTGGAGGGAGAAAGGGGCAGGGCCACTACAGCCTCACCCTAGGCCCTCGCGGAGCACAGGTGAGGGCTGACCACAATTGTGGGCATGAAGTGCCCAGGTGGGCCCAGAGCTGTCATGCACGCAAGGGTGGCTGTGGTGACAGGGTCCCACCCCCAGAGGCTGCCCTGCTCTGTCCCTCACCACTCTGTCCCCTCCCTCCTCCTCATTCATTTGTTCATTCATCAAACTCATCAACTGCCTGCCAGGCACAGACAAACTGCTCGGGACCCAAAGTCAGATTAGACAAACTCTTGGCCAAACAGAAGCCTCCTGCAGAAAGGGGGATGGGGGCTCTTCCCGCCTGTCACGGGGTCCCCGCAGGCCATGTACAGGCACTGAGTGGCTGTGACCCAGCTCCATCTGCAGGAGCCATCGCCCCGGCCCCTCTCGGCCTCAGCCTCCCCTCACCTCCTGCATCCAGGTGCTGAAGGGCCTCTGCCAGGAGTCGGCCTTCTCCAGGTGGAGGTACGCGTTGAAGAGAATCAGGCAGACATAGCGCTCCAAGTACTGCAGGCTCCGCAGCTGCAGCCTCCGCATTTCTTGCGCCTCTTTCGCTGCCTTCGCCTGGAGGACAGGACAGGGTGGGGTCAGTGTGGGGGGATCCGTGTCCCCCAACACACAAACATGCCACCCTGCTGCCCTGAGTGCCAGGGCAGGGTGATCCAGCCTCAGAGCTGAGGGCGTTGCTTCCACCTGGGTTACAGGACAAGCAATGGAGCAAGCCAGGGCCGCGGGTCAGGAGCCCACTTCCTACCTGAGAGGCATGGCAAGCCTCCTGGCCTCCCTGAGCATCCCTCTCCTCGCCATGGAATCATAACCACTGTCCTGTTCTGAGGGGTGAACAGGGACAGCAGGAGAGCTCATTGTAGATACCCTGCATGGCGCCTGAGGTATGCTGAGGCCCTCCCACACGGCAGGACCGATGCCCAGGGTGGGAGGACCCTTACTGCCACTTCCTGCCAACCCCCAATCCTCCAAGGATCAGAGGAAAGGCTTCACTCCTCTCTCTGCTGCCCCTCAGGCCTCCCTCGGCGAGGGTATGAGGGCTCTGACCAGTGGCCTGGGAGGCGCCGATGGCAGGGGTCATCAAGGCTACATTCTCGAGGCTCTGCCGTGTGGACGCACATCAATCTCCTCCCCTCAATCCACCCCTACACTGGGCCTACTGGGTGGGTGAGTTCATCCTCCAGCCTTGAAGGGGAGAAACCCCATCTTGGCCTCTGAGCCCAAAGGTCCCTAAGTGACTTCCAAAAGTGAAAGGGGTACACATAAAGCCCTCAGATCCCCCAGCCCTCACCCTCTCCAAGGCTGGGGACAGGTAACAGAGAAAGGCCACCTGGCCAAGGAGCAGCAAGAGAGGAAGTGGCTCAGGAGAGGGGTTGGGAGAGGATGTGTGGGTGCAGGGGAGGCTGTGGGGCATCGATCTTTTAAGCAAGCAAGCCTGAGCATCTTCATGGGAAATGGCACCAGGCCACGTGCTGGGGCGGAGAGGGACAGCAAAGCCAATTAAAGAGAGATTTCCCAGAGAGTGTGGGAGTGCCGCTGGGCCGTGGAGGCCTGGTGGATTTGCACAGACAGAACGTGGACCAGATGGGGGAAACAGAGGTGAGGCTGCTGCCTGGAGTTTGGGGGCTGAGAGGGGCTGGCCTGGCTGGAGGGAGGATGAGGAGGGACAAGACGGGGAGCTGGGCTGGATCTATTATGGAAGCCACCTGTCACCTAGAAAGTTTATCCCAGGTCAGCGGTTCACAACCTTGCTGTCCATGAGAAACATGAGGAACTTTAAAATGCAGATGCCTGGGCCCCACTTAGAAAAATCCAATGAGAATCTCAGCAGGGTGTAGCCTGGGCATCGGGATTGTCAAAATCCCTCTGGGTGACTCTCTATAGCTAAGGTTACACGTTATGGCTTCAGTACTGGGGAGCCACTGAGGGTTTGAGAGTATGAGTGACTTGTTAACAGAAGATGTATGGGAGATTTGTGCTCAGGAGGAAGGGAACTTAAAGAGGGTCCCTTCTAGGTTCTCCATGATTTGGGGAGTCAGGGGACAGGCCACAGGCCAGGGGATAAGGCCCAGGACATGCACAGCCAGGCTCTCCTACAGGGCACCCTGCCCACCCTGCTCCTTCCACCCCTCACAGACATGTCACCCACCCAGCACCCTCCCCTGCACGCTATGGAAGGGGAGTTTGGAAAGCGAAGGCCACACCTCGCCTCACACCCATCCCCTTCTCACCCCATCCCCCAAACCCACAGCAGCTCTCCCTGCTCCAGGAAGAGGACGTGGCACAGGGGTCATCCCTCGGGCACCAGGAACATCTGTGCGAGGGCACAGCAAGCCCCAGCCTCTGGGAGCCGGAAAGGGCTGCTCTCCTCACAGCTGGGCTGCAGCTGGAAGCCCTTCCGCACAGGAACACAACATCAGCCTACATGCATCTCCTCCTTAGCCCCAGGGTGGGCTCTGCGGCCTCAGACGTGGCACAGTCCACAGTCCCAGGAATCAGAGCTGGAGTAGCCTGAGCAGGGCCTGTGGTCCCCAACCTCCCACTTCTACCTCCACGGCCTTTGCTGTCTTTGCCTCCAGGGTCGCAGAGTAGATGGTAACTTGCAAAGCCTGCCCACCCATCCATCCAGAAGGAGCTCTGGGGCCCTGGAGATGGGGACAGGGGTGAAAGGTGGACAGCAGGCTGTGCCCAAGAGGGGCGAGGGGACCAGAGCCAGCACTGTGACTCCCTGGGAGACATGAGTCCCATGAGCTGGGTTCAGGTCCTGGTTCTGCCATTTAAACTCACAGGCCCCAGGTTTATGGAAGTAGGATTTCTCAGCAAAGTGAGGGATGAGAAGGCACGTGTGCACCACAGAAAGCTCACTAATCCGCTCATCCATCCAGCAGGGAGGGACCACTACACCGTGCCCATCACCCAAGCCACATACTGGGGATGCAAAGATGAACTACTCACAGGCCCTGCCCTCCGTGCCTGGAGGGGGATGGAAATAATTTCAAAGCAGCCACAGCAGCTGCAGGCTCAAGGAAGAGGGGACATCTAGGGTGGGTGAGGTCTACAGAGAGGAGGCAGAATGGTGCCTTGAGTGGCGGAGGGCATGAAAGGCAGGAAGGGGGCCCGAGAATGAGGTGAGTCCCCAGGGAACCCCCTCCCAGGGTGGGCAGAGTGGGAGGAGCTCATGGCGGTAGGGGAGGGGTAAAGGTGAGAGGCCAGGCCTGGAGTGGGTATGGAGGCCAAGCCAAGGCCTGGCCCTGCAGACAGAGGCCAGTGAGGGTTTCTGGGGATTTGAGGGCGGGAATGGCCCATGGCTGCCACAGAAGTGCTGGGGCCGCTGGGGGCAGGATTTGCTTAGAGACTGGGGAGTGAACAACAACAACAAAGATTTTACCTAAATATAAACCGCAGCCAATACAACGCAACCCCACCTATCTGCAAGGATGGACGGTCTGCGCCACAATGCAACTGGCCGCTCTCCACCCCACCCCTTAGGCTGCTTCTATCCTTCCCCAAGCTCCATCCGAAAGCCTGGAGCCTATTTCAAAACATTTTCTTAGAAGGAAGAAAAGGAAATCACCCACAGTTCCACCGGGCAAGAGCCATTCTAAACTGCTTTCAATTAAAGAGCTCAGAGGCAATGTGCTATGGGCGTGAAACGCCCTCAGCTCTGGCTCTGTGCCATGGACACGACCGCACCAGCACGATCCTCTCCCACAGCCGTGGGGATGGAGGCTGCCTGTTGCAAGAGACACGGGTAAGGATTAGGTCTGAGAAAGATTCTCTGGGGTAAGAGGTGGAGTGGCTCCTTCTGAGCTCTACTGGCAAAGGTAGAATTATCTCCAAATTCAGACCACTGTGTACAGGTGACGCCTGACCCCCGCCCCCAGAAGGTTCCGAGGGCACATCTTGCTGGATCACAGGTCTGTGATTTGAGACAATTGCCCATCTTCCTATCAAGGCCCTGGTTTCCTTAACACCGTCCCCCATGTTAGCACACTGCCTGGGGAGGACGGGTCAGCCACCTCCTGTTGATAAAAATAGTGGAGCTGTTTATATACGGCCTGCCAGGCTGTCATTAGCTGTGGTGGAGCCGGACAAGGCTTCCTCATCCATTGGACTGAGCCCTAAAATAGAAGAGGGCCAGGAGAGGTGGCCGGGGCACTGGGTACTTCGGGCATCTCAAGCCTCCGGCCTGGCTGGCATCGAGGCAGCCCAGCAGTGCCAGCAGGGGCTCTCATGAAGCTCTGCTCTTTGCCGGGCCACCAGGGAGAGGCCCACTGAGGCAGGGCTGGGGAGCCTCCCCAGGCTACCACACAAGCAGAACACGTGCGTCAGGGTCTACTGAGTGCCACCTGCGGGCCGAGCGCGTCACATCCTGACCTGAGGATTAGACCCTAACACATTCTCCTAGCAACCCAGTGAAGGAGGCGGGACTGTCCCATTTTGCAGATGAGGTTCAGCAAGGTTGTTTTTGGTTTGTTTGTTTATTTGTTTGTTTAGCACATGCTTAGTTAACCCTTCAAAGAGTAGGCATCCTGCCCAAACTCAGAGTTCTGAGCTGGGAGATGAGCCCCAAGACCCCAGCTCTTCCTACCACCCTCCCCCACTTGGCCACAGTCAAGCCCACCACTCCCTGCTCACTCTTGTCTCTGTACCTTCACCCATGCTGTTCCTCCTGCCTGGTCGGGTTCCCTCCAGGCCTATGACAAGCCCCCACTCTCCCAAAGTGCAAGCCTGCTCCGGGCCTTCCAGCCCAACAGCCCTGCCCTTCTTAGCCTCCTCTGCCCTCAGGCTGAACCTTTCAATTAAACATTGCACTAAATTCCATCTTAACAGATTCTAATTGCTTCATCAAGGCAGGGGCTGTCTCAAAACAACCATAAACCCAGGGGCGGGCACCAGCCAATAACCAGGTTTACACCTCCCCCTTCTCCCCACCGCCCTGGGGGTCTGCAGAGAACTTGGTATGTGGCAGGCGCTCAGTGAGCACTCCTCCCCAGGCCCTCTTGTCCTGGCTCACAGCTTCTAGTATCATCTTGAATCCAGATCCTAGACAGACTCTGAGGATTGCAGACTGGACATGCCAGCAGCTCAAGTGCTCCGCATGGATAAGGGTCAGGCAGCCCAAACCCACAAAGCATGTCCCAGTGAACCTCCTGAGCACACCCCAAACCTGCTGCGTCCATAAGCCTGCCCATCTCAGTGGCAACTCCAACCTCCCAGGTACACAGGCCAGAACCCGGGACTCCTCCTTCACTTCGCCCTTCTCAACCCCACGGCCAGTCAGTCAGGAAACCTCACTGGCTCCACTTCGAAACACCTCCAGAGGCTGACCGCCTCTCACCACCCTGGTCCCAGACACCCTTGACTCAGCGACAGCCCCTGGCTGGCCCCCTGCCACCTCTCCCGCCCCCTGCTGTCTATTCTCAACACAGCACCTAAATGACTGTACAAACAGTAAGCGTCTGCCCAAAACCCTGTGATTTCTTCCTTTGCACTCAGAGTAGAAGCCAAAGTCCCAGCAATCCCAGAAAAGGCCCCACAGTCTGCCTCCTGTCCCCATAACCTCTACCCTCCTCTCCTGCCCTCCAGTTCCCTAGCTCTGCTCCTCAAACACACAGCTCCCACCTCGGGGACTGCACGCAAGCCACACCCTCTGTCTGAACCATTCTTCCCCCGGATGCCAGCACAGCTCCTCCTTCAGGTCTGTTCAACACCACCTTCTCATGGAGTCCCTGCCTAACCACCCCTCACTGCAAGCCCTCATACCGCCCCGTCGGCACCTCATAACTGTGGAGTCCTAATTAGGGAAAGGGGTAAGGCTGGCGGGACCAGGAGAAAGCAAAGAGAGAAAGCAGATAAGCTCCAAGTCTGCCTTTCTTCATGGTCCAGGGACACGGCCCTCCTACGCAAATGACACAATCTTCCAGTGCCCAGCTATCACCAGACCCTCGGCTGATAGAAAAATGCAACTTAGCTCACTGCAACCTCGGCATTATCAGTACTGCACAAAGCCCTCTTCAGCAAACAGCACAAGCACTGTCCTAAAAAATCCCCAGCCAGCCTCTGTCTCCTTGCAACCAGCACTTCTCTTGCTAACTTGCCCACTGCACCCTTGCAATGTATTTTCATACTTTCTCTAAAAATCTGCCTTTCTTTACCTTTTACATACTTTCTCTTAAAACGTGCCTTTCTGTACCTTCTTTAGTAAGAAGAATTTTAGCAAATTCTTACAAGAATTTGCTAAAATTCTTCTTACTCCCCGTGTAATACCAGCCTCAGATAGTTGCAACATGTGACACTTAGAGGCTCCGCTTCTCCCAACGGATACCCCGCTGTCCAACAGACCACGGCCCTGATGTGTGTGCTGCCTGCCGCAGATCTCCGTCACTAGAGTGCAGACTCCATGAGGACGGGAGCTTTTGCCCTTTGTATGGCATCTCCAGCACCTAGCGCAGTGCACTTAGTAGGTGTGTAATAACCGTTTGTCAAATCAATGAATGACAAACATGTGCACCTTGCATTTTCATTCATTCCAGCTTCACAGGACACCTCGGTTGCCTGTGCCAACCCCTTTGCCTTCCAGAAAGGGAGGCTGAGGTCAAAGAGGTGAAATGACCTGCCATGGTCACATGGAGAGTAGGCAACAGAGCCCAAGCAGGAACCCAGGCCTCCTGTCCACCGAGGAGGCCACATGCTTGAAGACCTGGACTCAGCTGAGGCTCAGGAGAAGACAGCCCCAGAGGAGAAATAAGAAGAGCCAGCAACCCAGGCAACAGAGCAAGATCCTGTCTCTACCAAAACAACAACAAAAAAGAGGCAGGTGTGGTGGCACATGCCTGTAGCCCCAGTCATTCAGGCCTGGGGGCTGAGGTGGGAGGATGACTTGAGCCCAAGAGGCAGAGGTTACAGTCAGTGAACCATGACTGCGCCACTGCACTGCAGCCTGGGTGACAGAGCAAGACTCTGTCTCTAAAAAAAAAAAAAAAAAAAAGGAAGAGCCAACAAGGCCAGGTTCAGGGTCTTCATCAAGCCAAGCCAGACAGCAACACTCCCCACCCTGCCACCCCCTGCCATTACTGAAGACTCCTTAGTATCCCCTCGCTCACCCACTCAACAGAAAGAAACCTGGCCTGGTGACCTCTGCCTCCAGCTGAGGTGGGGAGGCAAGTGACAGTCCCCAAAGATGGCCAGTGGCTGAAGGGCAGGTTCCAGGGCTGGCAGCCCACCCTCTTCCCACGTGCAGCACCAGCCGCTGCGTGTGGTGGGTCCCCACCGAGTCCCTGCAAACTGCATCCTCAGGCCAGCCCAGCGGTGGGGCCCCAGTACAGGACGCTTTTCTGTACCTAACCCCTGGAAGGACAAAATTGCCCTCAATCCCTACCAGTAACCCATTTTCCAAAGGTGACATCATATTTTGTTAAGTAATTTCAAAGTGTGAAGGGACTTGACCTGGTGCCGTGGGCCACTCTGCATGCTGTGAGTTCAACAGACGCTGTTCAGCAGCACCTCTAGGCCAGGCACAGAGATTCAATGCTGAGAGGACACAGTCTCGTTCCTCAAGAGGCCCACTGTGTCCGCATGTAGCCCATAGAGCCTGCCTGGCAGCCCAGCCACCCTGCACACCCCACACCCCATCCCACCTGCCATGGGCCCCAGACTGGTCCTCACCACCATCCCTCAAAGCACACAGAGCAAGGGTAACAACTCCAGGTGACAGATGGAAAAACAGGGGTCCAGCAGGCCAAAGTGACTTGCCCAAGGTTCCACAGGGAGTTACTGGCAGAGCCAGGGCTGCAGCCAGGGCTTCCAACCCCTGACCCAGGGCTCTTTTGCTTGCTGCAGAAGAACGCTCTGTCCTGGAAGACTAATAGTTAATAATAAAGGTAGAGTCAGGTTTTCCTATTTATTTATGCAATGATTTACTCAACCTTCCCTCCATCCACTCACTAGAAAGACATTTGTGGAGCCCCTACTTGTGCCAGGCAGGGTCCTGGAGTCAGGGTTTCAGAGGTGGATCTTGCAGCAGAAACAAGGACCTCTGGTAACAACCACAATCGGGACAATGAGAGCAGCAGGCACCAAGTCAGGGTCTCGGGATTACCCAGGGGGTGAAGGAGGCGGTGGTGCTGGAGTTGAGATTAATCCCCTCAAGCCCATCAACAATTCTAAGCCCAGTGGTGCACACTTAGAAACCATAGCTGCTCAATGGATGTTTGTTGTTGAATAAAGCAGGAAAGTCCTCCTGGAGAATGGAAATACCAGCTTGCCCTACAATGGGAAGGAAGAGAGATGAGCGGTCTCAGCAGCCAGGTATGGTGGCTCACACCTGTAATCCCAGCACTTTGGGAGGCTGAGGCGAGAGGATGACTTGAGCCCAGTAGTTTGAGGCCAGCCTGGGCACCACAGCAAAGACCCTGTCTCTACAGAAAAATAAAAAAATTAGCCAGGCCTGGTGGCGCATCTCTGTAGTGCTGCCTACTCTGGAGGCCGAGGCAGGAGAATCACCTGAACCTAGGAGGTTGAGGCTACAGTGAGGTATGATTGCACCACTGCACTCCAGCCTGGGCAACAGAGCAAGACCCCATCTCAAAAAGAGAGACAGAGAGACAGAGACAGAGAGAGAGAGAGAGAGAGAGAGAGAGGTCTCGGCTACTGAGAACATGTGCCCTACACACACAAAAGCACACGGGTACTCACATGCACACTCACACACACACTCCGTTCTGGAAGCCGTTCTAGGCTGGGTTCAAGTGAAAGAGCCTAGTAAGCAGCCTTTGCTTGGGTTCTATTTTATGTGACAGCTCATAGCACTGCAGGGCTGCCCTAATTGCTCCAGCCCTGCTCCCAAGACACATTACTTATTGGAACCATGTCTCTGGGGAACAACTTTGGCAGCCAGGGTTTTTGTTTTGTTTTGTTTTGAGATGGAGTCTCACTCTGTCACCCAGGCTGGAGTGCAGTGGTGCGATCTCAGCTCACTGCAAGCTCCGCCTCCCGGGTTCACGCCATTCTCCTGCCTCAGCCTCCCAAGTAGCTGGGACTACAGGTGACCGCCACCTCGCGCGGCTAATTTTTTATATTTTTAGTATAGAAGCGGTTTCACCGTGTTAGCAAGGATGGTCTCGATCTCCTGACCTAGTGATCCGCCCGCCTCAGCCTCCCAAGGTGTTGGGATTACAGGCGGGAGCCACTGCGCCCGGCCAACAGCCAGAGTTTTCAAGAGGCTGAGAAAGACCCTGCCTGGGGCTCAGAGCCAGAGCTCTCTGGTCTTTTTTCTTAAGAAATGACCTCAGCCCTTGGGGCACGGAGCTGGTCTCTCTGACCTCCTGGAAGCTCCTTTGGTCGCAGGACCAACTCTGCACCAACCCAGGCAGTCACACAGTAGCGGCTGGCAGCTTCCCTGCCAACGCTTCCCTTCTCTGCCACCACAAGATTGCCCCCGGGTCGTGGCTGCCACAGCGGCAGAAAAGGGATGCAAGTCGAGGAGTTGGGAACCAGCTTCTGGTCCAGCCTCCAGCCAATCACAAAACTTCATTAGGCCTCAGTTTCTTCTCAGTCAAATGGGTCTAATAAAATTTGTCCTGTTCTCACCATCTGTCTGAGGACCACAAAAGACAAAAGGTGAGTTCTTAGAAAACTCAAATAGCAACCAGGTACAGTGGCTCACACCTGTAATCCCAGCACTGTGGGAGGCCGAGGCTCGTGGATCACTTGAGTCCAGGAGTTTGAGACCAGCCTGGGAAACATGGCAAAACCCCGGCTCTAGTAAAAATACAAAAATTAGCCGGGAGTGGTGGTGGCAGGCACCTGTAATCCCAGATACTTGGGAGGCTGAGGTAGGAAAATCACTTGAACCTGGGAGGCAGAAATTGCAGTGAGCCAAGGTTGTGCCACTGCACTCCAGCCTGGGCTACGGAGCAAGGCTCTGTCTCAAAGAAAGGGGAGGGGAGGAGGGGGAGGGGAGGGGGGAGGAGGGGGAGGGGAGGGGGAGGAGGGGGAGGGGAGGAGAGGGGAGGGGAGGCTCAAAAAGCACTGCTCAAAGTTAAAGCACTACAGTCTTTATACAATAAATCTCGCTTTGAGACCAGAGGATGTTTCCTTCTCCCTGTGTGGCTCCCTTCACCTCAGCTGTTCTTCAAACTCTTCTGAAAGGAAAACAGGAGACACAGGCTGTTTTAAAAACCCAACACTAAGAATTAACGTCACCAGGCAAAGCCCAGGAAAAGTGTCGCTGGCATTAATGATTCTAGCAGGGCTTCCTCCAGGTGCCCTGACTTTGGTTTTTGTCATAAATATTTTCCCTTTCCAAGCCCAAAAGGAAACAACGAAGTCTGCTGCGGGTGTCACCGCCCTGGGCTGGCGGCCATGTTGGATTCTCCTCAGCCAGGGCCCGGCATTCTAACTTCCGTCCAAAGCGCTGGAAGTGGCTTAGTTCAATGGGTTTTCTTTCTTTTTTCCTTTTGAGGCAGTTTGTTTGTTTATTTGTTTGTTTTGAGATGGAGTCTCACTCTGTCACCCAGGCTAGAGTGCAGCAGCATGATCTCGGCTTACTGCAACCTCTGCCTCCAGGGTTCAAGTGATTCTCCTGCCTCAGCCTCCCGAGTAGCTGGGATTACAGGTGTGCGCCACCACGCTCGGCTAATTTTTGTATTTTTTGTAGAGACAGGGTTTCACCATGTTGGCCAGGCTGGTCTTGAACTCCCGACCTCAGGTGATCCTCCCACCTTGGCCTCCCAAAGTGCTGGGATTACAGGCATGAGCCAGAGTGCATGGCCTTGAGGCAGTTCTTAAAATGCCCCAAGCATCTGGCCCCTTCACATGCAGGAGGCATCCAAGCCTTGACTCAACCTTGCAGACACTGGAGAACAGAGGGGCACCGCCGTGGGCTGCAGCCCCGTGAAGTCGGGCTGCTTGAGACAGGCATAGAGAGAAGGGTCGAGGCTGTTCCCTCAGGGAAGGTCTGTCCCAGTGGAAAATATGTCCCCAGGCTTGGCTCCACTACCTCCCAGCTGCACCCACAACCTGTGTCTGGGATGTGTTCTTGTCCTTGTCCTTCTCCTGGTCAGTCTGCGACTTCCTCAAAGGCAAGGACCATGGCTTCCAGTTCTGTTTCCCTGCAGCAGGGCTCAAGGTGGGCAGGGAGAGGTGAAATGGTGCCTCCGCCCGCTTGAGAGGCCATGTGGCATGGCAGAGAGGCTCAATCTGGGAGTCAGGGGCCGGGTCTTGTCCCCCTCCTAAATCTGCCAGCTGTGTGTTCTTGGGCAAGCTCAGTGCCTCCCTCCTCAAATGTAAAACCGGAACCAACATTAGAACACCCTTTATCACACACAGGCAAAGTGAGGACGGTGGTCGTAAAAATGTCTATCAGCCCAGCATGGGCACCTCTCGGACTACTTCCAAGTTGGCTAAGGAGATGTCAGGACATGTGTGGCCGGCACTGGGTCTCTAGTGACTCCCTGTCCCTCCGCATGAGCCTCTACCCCATCCCACTCCCTGCTGGCTCTCACTCCAGTCACCCAGACTCTCCTCACAGACTCCAGCCACATCCAAATCTGGAGGAACATTAGGCCTTGCTGAAGCCAACATCTTTCCCTCATTTTTAGACAAGCATCTCCCAAACCAACCCATCCACTGGAGACAGGGAAATCAAAGGAAACAGCAAACATGGAACCTGCCTGTCTGTCCCCAACACACCTGAGGGGAAGTCTCTCGTTCTGGAAGTATCGCAGTTAATTAATGTAGATGGAATGAGAGAGCCAGCAGATCACCATTCTGCAAGCTGGCGATGCACACTGCTGCAAGCCAGTCATAATAGGAGAGACGACAGGATCTTCCAGCCCCAACAGCAGCATACGGCACCCCCAGTAACCATTCCGGCCACACTGAGCCGGAATCTTATGAAGCCTTGGATGCGAACCATTTCCAGGAAGCACAGGCCAACTTAAACCTAGGGGTGCAACTAGGAAAATTAGCTCCAGGAAGCCCAGGAAGACAACCAGTTTACCTCACAAATATATTTCAGGGGGGAAAAGGAGAACTGTATGAGATTAAAAGAGACTTAGGGCCACGTCAACCAAATGCAACATGTGGATCTTGTTTGGATCCTGATCCAGCTGCAAAAAGCCTGTGAGATTAGTGGAAACATCTAAACATTGACCAGATGTTTGCTGGTAAGTAGCGACTGTCCATTGTTTAAGAGGCAATCATGGCGGTGTGACTGCCTTCTTTAAAAGATCCCCCTTCTTTAGAGGTACGTACTGAAATATGCACAGAAGAAGTAACATGAGGACTGCGATGTGCTTTAAAATAATTCAGTGAGAGCTCGGAGGGCTTGAGATAAAATAAGACTGGCTGAGATGGGTACTTACTGCAGCTGGGAGGTGGGCACATGAGGGCTGAGGAAATTATGCTCTCTGCTTTGAAATTTTCTGTTTGAAACATTCCAAAATACTTAAAAATATAAGTTCCTAAGTTTTGACTCATTCAGTAATTCTACTTCTAAGTATCAGCTTTACAAAAATAATCCACACAACGGAAAAGCCACATGCGCTACGAGGTCCACATCACCCCCCATCCCAGAAGACGACAGGAAAGAATGTGAAGGGCCGCGCGTGCTACACACAGCAACAGCATGAGAAACAGTACTTCCACTCACTGCATGGAATGTGAACACGGAATGCGATGATGTAAGGGCTCCTCAGCAAACACGACAAAATGCCCAGAAGCCGGAGCTGTTGCTTAATTTTGCCTCTCTCTGCCCTACGAGAACGTCAGCTCTGCGCACCTTTCATCACCGGTCCCTACTCAGTGTCCGCCCAGGGCCCAGCACTGAGGCAGCACATGCTGGCTGGGCACATGTTGAAATGCATAAACACAGCCTAGGTGAGTGGCGAGAGACGTCCCGTGGGCCTGCCACAATCACAGCTTCCAGAGAGCTGCATGCAAGTGCACGAAGCCCAGAAGGAAACGGGCAAAAGTAAAATCATCGCTGAGTTGGCAGGATTCTGGGAGACTGGGAGACTCTTTGCTCAACCTGAGCCACCTAAGCTTTTGGTACTTACTGTCCTTATTCTTGCTGTGCAACCTCAGGGTGCAGATGAAGATTCATGTACATTCTGAGCCCTCCTCTCTGATCCACAACAGGAAACTGACCTCCAAATTCTTCCACTGTTCCCAACTGAGGGCCCTGGAATAGTTTTATTGCTGAAGAAGCACAAATGCCATATCACAGGAGCTGTGTTCTTCACTGCTTATTACTAAAGTATAAGTTGACTGCTGAAGCCGGCAGGGGGCCAGGAAAAGGAAATTCACCATTTGGGGGCTCTGGGGAGTGAGGGGCAGGAAGCCAAGCAGACACATGCTGTTGAATTTCAGGATCCCAAGTGGACTCTTGGGATTTTGGAAAACTTCAGATGGGCCAAATGTGGACTGGTCCTAGAACATTCCCGGGCAAATTAAGCCGATGGAGGGGATAAAGCCCTACCCAAGCCTGAGCTCAGGTCCATTTACATCCAGAGGCTGTGGGGGATCTGACCAGGCTGATGGCACCCTCTGCATGGACAGCACCCGGCTCTGAGCAAAGAACCACAGACCCTGCTGGAGGCCACCTGGGACTTCTGGTTTGAAACCAGAGGGCAGAAGTTTAAATAAACAGCTGATACCACAGGTGAGACCCAGCTGCCAATTTCCAGAAGTCACCATTAGAGAGAAGGGGTGGTAGGGGCCGCTGCCTTTCTAGAGACTCCGCACATCTCCCTGCAGCCCACTGGGGCAACATGGATGAGATCCTTGGGTCAAGGACAACATGGTCTGGGGAGGAGCGTGGGCTGGGAGTGAAGATCGTTGCCTCTCATCCCCACTCAGCCACCAACTCACGGTGGTTAACCTGAAAAGGTTAAACACAGAATTACCATATGATCCAGCAATTCCACTCCTAGGTATATAACCAAGAGAAATGAAAACATACGTTCACACAAAAACTTGTACATGAATTTTCACAGCAACATTATTCATAATAGCCAAAAAGTTCTACAACAAACCAAATGTCCATCAGCTGATAAACAGACAGACATAATGGGATATGTCTATACAATGGAATATTATTCAGCCATACAAATGCAGTAATAATACATGCTACAACACGGATAAACCTTCAAACATTATGCTAAGTGAAAGAAGCCAGACACAAAGGACCACATGGTGTATGATTCCACTTATACGAAATGGCCAGACCATGCAAATCCACAGAGGCAGAAAGATCAGTGGCTGCCAGATGGTGGGGGAGGGGAAGCGATTGCTAGCGGGTGTGAGGTTTCTTTTTAGGGTGATGAAAAATGTTCTAAACTTGATGTGGTGCTGGATGCACAACTCTATGAATGTACTAAAAACCAGGGACTCGTGCACCATAAATAAGTGAATTGCATGGCACATGAATTGTATACATCGTGAATTGTATACATCCCCTAGTGTGGTCCCCGCCAGCATCAGTATCATCTGGGAGTGTGTTAGACCTCCAGACCTACAGAATCAGAAGCTCCAGAGTGGGGCCCAGCAGCCTGCATTTTAACAAGTCTAACATGTGATTCTGAAGCCCACTAAAGCTGGGGGCCGCTGCTTAGAATATGTGGCTCTCAGCCTTGGCTGTGTGTTGGAATCACCTGGGAGACTTCAAAAACAAGACCCGTGCCCTGGCCAAGACACCCCTACCAACTAAATCAGACTCTCTAGGGATGGAGCTCTGCCACAGCATGGTTTAAAGCTCTCAGATCTCTTGGACATGTGGGGTGCAAGCCCCTGAACTAGAGGGTGTCTCCTCTCAGTCCCTCTGCTCTTCAGTGCCTCTAAGAATTTGGCCAGGTAGGTCACTGGCACCACCTGGTGGCCATATCCCAGAATGACTCTACATCTTGCCTCTGGGCCCTCCAAGGGGCCTTGGGGCTCAGGGATCTGTGTCCTCCCACTGCAGAGGTCACGACCAACCTGGCCTTTGGAAAGGGGGTGGGTGACCTGGTGGGAGCGGGTAAGAATCCTAGCTGGCTCTGCTTCCTCTCTCATTAAAAAACACTTCACATCCAGAAGGCAGCCAGAGTGACCACCTCTAACAGCCCCAGCCACCTTCCTTCTCCAATGCCAACAGAGTCAAGCAGTCACCTCTAGCAGCCCCAACTACCCTTCCCTCTCCAATGTCCAGGGAGGAGTGCCAACTCACCCATACCAACTCATCTCCAATAACTTCTGTGTCATCAGATGCGGGCACCGAACCACCTTTGCTGCCTCTAAACTCGTTTTGCACCTTTCGGCCCCCTGGCCTTTGCCATGCATCCCCTCCCACCTGATGCGCCTTCCCAGGCTGTCTCTGAGGACACTGCTCCAGGCCAGCTCTGGGGGAGCCCTCCTGTCTCCCCACGGCTCAGGCCCTGTCACGCTCCCTGCTCCGCCCTCTGGGTGCCTCGCAGTGGACATCGAGGGCTGCAGAGCTCAGAGGAAGGGGGGCCTATCAGCTTCAGGAGTCAGGGAGGTAGGGGCTCTCTAACAGAGCCTGGCCAGCATGGGATGGAAGGTCTAAGATGCTCTGAAGCAGGCATCCTTTTTCAACTATTGGGCCTCCAGCTTCCAGACTGAACTGGAAGCTTCCATTCTCAGCCCTCTCAGCATCCTCTGAAAGTGGGAGGAACTTAGCTTCTTAGCTCATTGCTGCCAAAAGACCATTGTGAGTGGGACCCAAAGGTAACTCAAAAGGAGACTCAGGACCCAATCTAACTGTGGCCCTGAAGAAAACAGTTCTTCCTAAATTCACCAAAGTCCGTCTTCTGAAACTCCTTAACCACCTTCCCCTCCCCACATTTAACAGACCTTTTTTTTTTTTTTTTTTTTTTGGTAGAGACAAGGTCTTGCTATGTTGCCCAGGGAGGTCTCAAACTCCTAGCCTCAAGTGATCCTCCTGCCTGAGTCTCCCAAAGTGCTGGGATTACAGGTGTGAGCCACTCTTCCCCTGGCCTGGCAGCCTCTTTATCTCTCCAAACTCCCCTCCCAAATGACCTCTGATCTTAGACCCAGATTGACCCCAGATGCCTTGCCCTGCCTTCCAGCTAGGCATCCACCCTTTGCCCCAATCAGGGCCTGATCCATGACCCTGAGCAAAAGCTGGGCCCAATCAGTCATTTCCCCAATGTGTGCACAGCTACAGCCGAGCATAGGGCTGGCTTGGGGCAGGCCCCCTCTGCAGGGGCCACAGGCAAGAGCTGTTTCTGAGAATTGCTGGCCAGCAGTGGGGAACACATGGCTGGTACATATAGCCCTCTCTCAGCACCATGGAATCCTCACCCCCTACCCACCGGCTCCCACCACTGCCCCTCCCACTCAGCACCGGCCTCTGTTCCAGAAGCCAATCAGATTCAATGGGCCAGAGAGGAACAGAAGTGAATACTCCACACAGAGACCCAGGCCAAAAACTCCAGAGCCCACACTAGCCTGTGGTCATGGGACTGGTCCAGTAGGGCCGAGTGCAACAGAGCAGGGAGTATTGGGGACCCAGGCAGGCTTGAGGGCACATTCTTTCCAGATAGGCTGAAAATCCAGATGGTTACATGAAATCTGGACTATTATGAAACTTTTTTTTTTTTGAGGAGTCTCACTATCACCCAAGCTGGAGTGCAATGGCACGATCTTGGCTCACCGCAACCTCCGCCTCCCGGGTTCAAGCAATTCTCCTGTCTCAGCCTCCCGAGTAGCTGGGACTACAGGCGCCTGCCACCATGCCCGGCTAATTTTTGTATTTCAGTAGAGATGGAGTTTCACCATGTTGGCCAGTCTGGTCTCTGACTCCTGACCTCAGGTGGTCTGCCTGTCTCGGCCTCCTAAAGTGCTAGGATTACAGGGGTGAGCCACTGCACCTGGCCAAAACTTTATTTTTATAATGTAATGAGTTATTTAAAAACAATTTTTACAGATAAAAAACACCCCATCTGGGAGCCAGCCCCAGCCCCAGGGCAGCACAGACATACCCACGTCCTGAGATGACAGCCTCCGTGCTAGTTGTGAAACAGCCACCCCAAGACCCTGAGGGTCTCCACCCACCCACTACCTGACTCCTGTCTGGGACCTCTGGTCCCCCCGCCAGGACCCAGAAACAAGAGGGTTAACGCCTGGCACCACAGGGCTCCTGGGTGTTCACTCTGATTGGCCACATCCTTGATTGGTCCTAGGGCCACAGCAGTTGTTGAATGCTTTGAACATGGCCCCTGCATGCATCTCCCCTACCACTCCAGAATCTGGTACCCATACCAGTGGGTCGGGGCTGGGGATGTGTCCATCTCATGGATCACTTCCACTTCCAGAAGGTGGAAAAGTGACCACGAGCCAAGGAGGGGCCCCTAGGACCCCTAGCAACCCCAAAGCCACATCAGCCACTCCCTGGCTGTGCACACCTGGAAGGGTGGCTGGGGCAGGGTGGGGTGGGGTGGGGTGGGGGCTCACCTGGCGGTAGGTGCAGATGATGATCTCCCGCAGGTGGTAGTGCATGGGCGTCATGGTCTCGCTGACAGTGTCCAGCGCTGCGTCCACCTCCTTCTTCACACGGTGCCCATCGGGTAGCAGCTGCACCACCTTCATTACTACCTGGGGCCAGAGAAGGGGGGTGAGCAGACATAAAACTGGTAAGAGCCCTCAGCCCAAGCACCAGGCTTGCACCCTCACCAAAAGGCCACACCAGGCCTAAGGCCCAGGCGCTGAACAGAGAGCCCTGCCTGCTCCTCAGTTCTCAGACTGAGGGAGGACAGGGGGATCCTGAACATCTCCGGGGCCAGGCTACCCAGATGCTTTTCTTTTTCCTCCACAATTGGGATTTATTGGTTGTGTTGAGGATCAGTACACAGACATTGAATTTGTACCGAATATCTAAAAAAGGCATGGATTATGATTCCTTTTTAGTTATTCCATTGACATTTATTGTTGTTGTTGTTGTTGTTGTTTGGAGACAGAGTCTCACTCTGTCATCCAGGCAGGAGTGCAGTGGCATGATCAGGGCTTACTGAAGCCTCAACTTCCTGGATTCAGGTGATCCTCCTACCCCAGCCTCCTGAGCTGCTGGGACTAAAGGCCCATGCCACCACGCCTGGCTAATATCTTGTACTTTTAGTAGAAACGGGGTTTTGGCATGTTGCCCAGGCTAATCTCGAACTCCTGGGCTAAAGCAATCCACACCCTTGGCCTCCCAAAGTGCTGGAAAGTTATTCCATTAACTTTCCAGCTTAAAATTTGGAGGCAAATTGTTCTTTAAGAAGATATTAAGTACCAGTATTTTCAAGTGTTGATAAACTGTGGCATAAGCCCCACCAATCCACAACTTAATGTCTTGCACACTACACAGATTTTCAGTGTCCAAGCACATCAATAGAGTTACTAGGAAAACGGGACTGCCACAGCCAAAGACATCACAGAGTGCACACAGTTCTCACAGGAGAGCCACAATCAAGAAGTGGTTTACATTAGAAATAATTCTACAAAAAAAACCATGGGAATATAAGTCATTTAAGATGTTCAAGACATATTAAATGCACGACTGTGACTCCAAATTGCCATTTTGTATGCTTTGTATTACATGATACAAAAACCACCCCAATGCACCCATGGAATGTTAAGCTGATCTAAGGTGCTTATTTTTGTTTTGTTTTGTTTTGTTTTGCTTGAGATGGAGTCTCGCCCTGTCACCCAGTCTGGAGTGTAGTGGTGAGATCTCGGCTCACTGCAACCTCTGCCTCTTAGGTTCAAGAAATTCTCCCGCCTCAGCCTCCCGAGTAGCTGGGATTACAGGCACCTGCCACCGCACCCAGCTAATTTTTGTATTTTTAGTAGAGACAGGGTTTCACCATGTTGGCCAGGCTGGTCTTGAACTCCTGGCCTCAGGTGATCCACCCGCCTAAGTCTCCCAAAGTGCTGGGATTACAGGCATGAGCCACCACGCCTGGTCGAGGTGCTTATTTTTTAAGCAGTAGAAATCCTGCTTCAAATGAGGCCTCATGCAGAACTTTGATCTATAAAACAGATAGCTGTCACGTACTAGGGCTGGAGGGGTGAGGAGGGGGTGTAAGAAGCCTCCCCACCCTCCTCCTAACCTGCAGCAGCCCCCAGCCACTGCGCAGACGCTCAGAGTTGGACACCACTCATCTGATATAATTCCCCACCCCAGCCAGGTGCAGTGGCTCATACCTGTAATCCCAGCACTTTGGGAGGCCGAGGTGGGGAGATCGCTTGAGGCCAGAAGTTCAAGACCAACCTGGCCAACATAGTGAGACCCCATCTCTGAGTAATAAGAAAAAGAAAAAAGAAAAAAAATGATATAATCTGCCCCTTACTGCTGGGAAAACTGAAGCCTGTTTAGGTTACTCTATGGCTTTTCCCCCACAGGCCCTCCCAGCCACCCTGTGCTGAGTTCCCCTCCAAATCTGTCTACACTGCACCTCTCTACAGCTGGCACCTGATCCAGACCCCCATCCCCCTTTGCCTCCACAGCAGTACCCTTCTGACCAGCGTCTCCACCTCCTCCCCGCCCTCCCTCTCCCTGGTGGCCAGAGAGGTCTTACGAAAGTATAAATGTGAACCCATGTTGTATAATCCCCGGGCTTTGATCTCTTCATGGCTCTCTTACACTCAGCACAGAAACTGGGGTCTAAAGGCTCCCCGCACCACTGGGTCCAGCCTACCTCTCCAGCATCACCCATAACCCCTCCCACCACCTACCCCCACCACCCTGCAAGGTCCCCACAGCGCCCTGTCCCGTGGTCGACAGCCACCTGCTCATCTGCTTCCACTTTCACACCTGCTCCCCACTAAGTGAGGGGCTTTCTGCCGGCACCTGGAGTGGTGCCTGGCACCTGCCCGGTGCCCCAGCATCAGCTGCCCAGTGAATGAATGAACACCTAACTCGCTCTCTTCTCTCTCTGGCTGCCACTTAAGAACAGGGAAGGGCCTTTCCCCAACTCCTGCGTTTCTCAGAGTCCTGGCCTGGTGCTGGGCACCCCAGCAGGCATGGAGTTGCAACCAAGTGGGAGGAGAAAAAGGAACAGTCTGGAAGGAACTAGTGGCAGATCTGGCTCAGGCTGTGCCCAGGGGAGTAGGAGGGAGCTGTCCAGTCCACATCCCCAATCCCAAGCTCTAGGCAGGTCCCCAGGAGGGTGCAGGGAACTGCGTCCTCTGGGGGCCACCTCAGACAGAGGGCTGCAGCTCTTCACAGGGAACCCAACTCCTGGCCTCTGCTGCAGCTGTTCCTCCCCTGAATTCCACATCGACAGCTGTCACTACTGCAAAGCCAGAAACTCGAGGTCATCCTAGGTGCCCTCCTCACCCCACATCCAGGAGCCCTCAAGACCTACCAATGAGGACTGGGCTGCTCCTGCTCACCCTGCAGCCCCTCCTCACTCAGCTCCTGCCTCTCCCTCCACTCCCCAGTCCACATATAACTGCCTGCTGGGGCCCCCAGACTGAGAGCCTGATCACAACCTCCTCTGCCTCCCTCCTGGCCTCACGGTCAAGGTCAAACACATAGTGCAAACCTCCAGGGCCTTCACAATATGGGCCCCCACCCCTCAGTCCTGCCTGCTTCCCTTCTGACAAATCACAGCCTTACATAGTTCCTGCCCTTTCCAGAATCCCTCCTTTGCACACTTGATCCCTCCAGACACTCCCCTCCTCACCAAGGATACTCACTCATCTTCCCCAAAGGCACTCAAATGCTGCCTCCTCTATGAAGTCCTCTCAGGCTCCCTCAGCTGCACTCTTGGCCCTTAGAACCAGTGTCTGCTCTGGGCCTCTTCACGCTCTATTGATCCTTTCTCCCCAACAGACTGTGGGCTCAGCAAATGCTGAACTAATTGCAAAGGAAGCTGGTCTAGATTATCTGGGGGTGGGTGAGGATAGGGTGTACAGGGGTGTCTTCAGGTCATATGATGTAACTTTGGAACACAGGCTCTGAGGTCTACAGCCTGGCTTATACCCCAGCCCCACCTCTCTGATGTGGCCCTAGGGTAATAAACTTGTCTCCCCAGGCCTCATTTTCTCATCTATAAACTGGGAGCAGTAAAAGCACCTACCTCCTGGGAGCTGGGAAAGGGGACAGAGGGAGTACACACAGCTCCCAGCACGGGGCCTGGTGTGAAGAAGGAGAGGCCTGACCATCACATTCAAGGCACCGATGCAAAGACTAAACTCAGCTGGAAAATAAAACCCTTATACATATGGTCAACTGGCTTTCAACAAGGGTGCCAAGACCCTTCAATGGGGAAAGACAGACTCTTGAACTAACGGTGCTGGAAAAACCAGATATCCACATGCAAAAGAATAAACTTAGATAACCCTCACCTCACACCATATAAAAAAAACTAACTCAAAATGGATCAAAGACCTAAACCTAAGAGTTAAAAACTATAAAAGTCTTAGGATAAAACACAAGGGAGAAGCTTCATGACATTGGAGTTGGCAATGATTTCTTGGATATAGCACCAAGGGCACAGGCAACAAAAGAAAAAACAGACAAACTACATCAAAATTAAAAACTTTTGTGCATCAAATGACACTATCAATGAGTAAAAAGTCAGCCCACAGAATAGAGAACATATTTACATATCACCTCTCTTATAAGTGATTAGTTTCCAGAATATATAAAGAACCAAAACTCAACAACAATCCAATTCAAAAATGGACAAAGGACTTGAACAGACATTTCTCCAAAGAAGATATACAAGTGGCCAATAAACACATAAAAAGATATTGAACATCACTAATCATTAGAGAAATGCAAATCAAAGCCACAATATACCACTTCATACCCAGCAGGATGGCTATTATCCAAAAAAAAAAAAAAAAAACGGCTGGGCACAGTGGCTCCCAGCACTTTGGGAGGCCGAGGCGGGTGGATCATCTGAGGTCAGGAGTTCGAGACCAGCCTGGCCAACACGGTGAACTCCCATCTCTAAAAAAAACAGAAAAAAGAAATCAAGTGTTGGTGAGGATGTGGAAATATCAGAACCTTTGTGTGTTGCTGGTGGGAATGTAAAATGGTGCATATACTGCGGCAAACAGCATGGTGGTTCCTCAAAAAAGTAAACAGAATTACGATAGGATCCAGCAATTCCACTCCTGAGTATATGCCCAAAAGAACTGAAAGCAGGGACTCAGCTACGTGCACTATGCATTTCATAGCAGCATTACTCATGACAGCCAAAAGGTGGAAGCAAATAGTGTCCCTTGATGGAGGAATGGAGAAACAAAATGTGGTCTATCCATACAATGGGATATTATTCAGCCTCTAAAAGGAAAGAAATTCTGACACATATTACAATGTGGGTAAACCTTGAGAACATTATGCTCAGTGAAATAAACTAGTCATAAAACACAAATACTGTACGATTCCACTCATAGAAGATTCCTAGAGTAGTCACATCCATTGAGACAGAAAGTAGAACAGGGGCTGCTGGGAGGGAGGATGGGGAATCATTACTGAATAGGAGAGCAGAGTTCTGTTTTGCAAGATGAAGGAGTTAGATGGGTTGTGGCAACAGTTGCACAACAACGTGAATGTACTTAACACCACTGAACTGTACATTTAAAAATGGTTGAAATGGTACATTTTATGTTATGCATATTTTACCACATAAAGAAAAGGAAAAAGGAAAGAATCAGAGAATCAGCCAGAAGAAGGAAGGGAGAAGGCACCGCATATGCAAAGGCTGCAAGAGCTTAGCAAGTGTGAGGTGCTGCATGGCGGTCAGGGCCTCAGGACTGGGGCGAGGGCAGGGGAGGGGCAAGTGGCGAAGTTAACCAGTAAGACACGAGCCAACTGTGCTGCTGACTGTGGGTCAGCCATGGGCCAACTCCGAGGGACGTTGCCACGACTCTCGGGATGCCTGAGAAGATGGCCTGTGGCATGTGGCAGGTGCACAATACATGGATGACTAAATCTGGAATGTTTGTGGCTGGCCATCCAGTGCCCTAATCTGAAATAGAGGAACAGGCAGGGCAAAGTAGGCTGGGGACCCACACAAGGTCACCAACCACAGCTGGGTTGAAGGTGCTGGGAGGTTGTTATCAACATTACCCAGACAAGACGGTGGCCAGTGACCTCCCCAAGGCACACAGCAGCCCAACAGCAAGGCCGGGCAGGGAGGGGTCCAGCCCACATCTCCATAGCCGGCCGTCTGCCAGGGCCTCAGAGCCAAGCTGTCCCATGCCTTGCTGGGCTCATCTATAAAATGGGAACAGGGAAGCACTGATATGATGAGGTGGCAGACGTGACTGCATTGGGACGTGCTTTGAGGACCCCTAGACCGGCAAGCAGGAGTCCTCCTCCTCCTCCCATCCCAAGGTGCCTCAGGGACCCCGCAGGGCATGCTCACCTGAAATTCACCCTTAGTGAACTTGGCATCAGGCACACTCACGAGCTCCTCCTCACCCACCTCGGGGAAGCCCTGAGGGAAGACAGCTGCTGAGACAGAAGCCCCCTCCCAACGCCAGGAGCCCCTTGCTGGGGAGGACTTGGGGGCTGCCCAAGACTGATGGAAGGGGCTCTGGGACCACACCCGGCTGTCTCTGCCCCTCACACCCTCCTGTGGAGCCAGTGTGCCTGGGACCTGAGTGTCTACCCTCCTCCAGGCAAATCTCTAATCTCACTTGAGAGGCCACACGTACTTGGATGTGCCAGAAGGCCAGGACAGCCACCACCATCGCAGTTGTGGTACGGCCCTGGCCGCTGAGGCAGCTGAACACGAAGCCAGTGCCTGGGTCCTTGGAGAGGGCGGCCCGCAGGGCCTCCAGCAGCTGGTCAAAGTCCTGGACGAGAAAAGCAAGGTCTGGGTCAGCGGGCGTCTCTTGGATGCACAAACCCCAACAGGGTCCCCATCCACATGGCAGCCCCAGCCACTGTCCTCGGGCCAGAAATTGTCAGGCTCCCAAGCTTGCACACACAAACAAAACTCACCGGGGTGCATGAGACCATGTGCGTGTAAACAGCTGCACCTGTGCAGTCGTAATCACCCTCACACCAAGCACCTGGACAGGATGTGTGAGCCAACACAGCATGCACCTGGGGCTCAAGGTACCCACCCTCCATCAGGCAGGACATGCACCTGTATGTCACCCCTGTGTACTGCGCCCCTGGGCTGCACATAGACTGCTGGCCCTGCCACCCACCTGAGCTGGACCCAGCCCTGGTCCCACCATGGACGGGGGCCTGACCTCAGAAGAGCCCTGCAGCACAAGGCCACCAGGAGGCAGCAGACCGCAGGCAGTGAGAGCCGCGAAGAGATGCGCCAGGAGGGGCTCAGGCAGGGTAACAGACCCCATTGCCAGTTACACAGCACACAGCGACCCACCTACAACACACGCACCACGCACACGGTGGCTCACCTACAACACACGCCAGACACACGCACCACACAGGGATCCACGTCCGGTAAACACACACACTATACAGACACCCACAGTCACAGACCTACAGATGCCACACACACACATTCCTAACGACCCCTCCACAAACCCTACCACACACCACACCACTCCCCTAAAGATGGTTTTCCACACACAGCCCCCAATACAGACAAGGGAGACATCACAAACTCCATAAAAAGACATGCACACACACACACATTCCACACACCACCCACACACTCCATACACAGTCCCCCAACTGAGACACACACACCACGGACACCCTGGACATGTTCACCCTCAACACACACACACACCTTATAACAAATACACACACACACCTGTAACAGAATACACACACACCCCGATAACACACACACACCTATAACACACACCCATAACACAATACACACACATACACCCTACAACATAATAAACACATGTACACACATCTTATAACACATATGCACATACGTAACAGAATACACACTCCAATACACACACACCTATAACAATACACACACATATACCCTATAACACATAATAAACACACGTACACACACACAAAGCTTGGAAGGAATGTGAATAAACCACTTGGGCCAAATCGGAAAACCTCGTGAGACCATTCCCGGGCCCCGTAGAGAAGCTGGGGTCGTTTCATTCTCCCAGAGCCCAGACCAGAGGGGAGACAGGGAGGCCTCCTGTCCCTCCCCAGAGGCCTCAGCCTGAGCAGCACCCTCACCTCCTCTCGGGGGGCACAGAAGTCCGGCATGGGGATGCGGTGGTAGGTGAGGCCAGGACAGGCCCTGCGGTGCTGGCTGAAGACCTCCTGCATGGTAAGGCAGGTCTGGAACCTGTAGGTCAGGGGGCCCTCCTTGCCTGGGGGAGGCTCGCTTAGATGGGCCTTCAGCTGGGCCTCCAGGGTCTGGGCAAGGGCAGGAGGGAGGACACAGGCCACTGGGGCAGGCTCTAGGCTAGCCCTGAAAGGCCACAGCCTGCCATGGCCAGGCCTGGCCCTGGCTTCCAGTCCCATCCCTGACCCCCCCAAGCCTCAGGGGTCACAGCCACCCCCCAAAGCCAAGCAGGTTAGCAGAGCACTTTAGTGGGAATCCTGAGTTGGCCACTCCCTGACACTGCTCCTCCCGGGGCCTCAGATTCTCCATCTGTCTGCGGGAGTGTGAGGCCTTCTGAAGACCCTCCCAGGCCACTCCCCAGAAGCCTCGGAGGCAGGGGTGCCTAGAGGGCAGGGGGCCTCACCTCCAGCTGGTCAGGAGCCACAGGGGGCCCAGGCCACCGCAGGCTGTAGGTGTGCCCGTCACACTCCAACACGGCCTCCTCCCGAAGGCTCACCCAGACAACCTTCCGCAGCCTCCTCTTGGCGTCCGTCAGGTAGGCCAGGATGCTCCCCAGGGCCTGGGCACAGGAGGGCCGGCAGTGAGTGCTCAGCCCTCCCTCCCCAAACCCACTGGGGGACCCAGGCCCTGAGGGCCGGTCACCTTGGCGCTGGGCTGGGCCGTGCCGTAGATGGGCATGCGGGGCACCCGCCGGAAGTTGGCCACATCCATCTCTCTGACAGTGCTGAGCGCGTCCGGGGAGACCAGATCGTCCTCCCGCTGTGGGGAGAGCACCAAGCCTGGGACCCACAGCAGCCGACTGTAGCCGCAGAAAGGGTCAGGACCTGGCCCAAGGCAGACGGGGGGTGGGGTGGAACCCGAGCTTCACAGTTTACAAAGCACTCCTGCACACTTGGAGCTTCCCCCGGCCCTGGCAAGAAGAAGTGCAATGGTGCCCACTCTCTGGACCAGGAAGCTGAGGCTCAAAGAGAAGAAGCTGGAGGCAAAGATCATAGAACCCTGCCCAGAGCTCTTGGGTTTGAGACTGAGGAGAAGGTACCAGAACAGCTGCCAAAGCTGCAAATGCTTGCTGGGGCCTAAGCATGACCCCATTCTGTTCACAAGAGGATCCCAACACCCACAGCCTCTCTTCTTCACCTCCTGCAAGGGCAATGCTTACCCCAACCCTACAGGAATCCAGTGTTTAGGGGCCAGGGCCAGTACACAGCCATGCCCACTTCTCCGACTGCCAGTCATACTCACTAGGGAGCCCCTGGCGATGAGGTCCCTCGGAGCCACAGGGCCTGCTGAGCTCAGCGTCACGGGCAGGCGGTACAGCTCAGGGTGGGCACACAGCCAGCGGCTGAAACTGAGGGCAAAGGCCAGCGGGTACTGCAGCCCGAGGCAGAGAGACGAGGAATTCAGGGGCACAGGGCCATCCTGAACCCTCCCTGCCCACACCATGGCAGGGGAAGCCCCAAAAGATATCCAACATGGCCCAGAGCAGGGACAAGGGAGTGGCTGAGAGAAGACCTGGACGTCTGGTGTCCTGGTTAAGGACAGAGACAAGGGCCCGGTGGAAAGAGGTGGGGCCTCCCTATGCCCAGCTGCTCAGGGACTACTCCCGAATCTGGGTCTCTCCTGGCCTCCCTTCCCTCCCCGGTTCCTTGGGGGGTCTCCCTCCACAGCAAGCCAGTCACTGCGGTGGGGAGGCTGGGAGAGGCCCAGGAGGAGGGGACGTGGGTCTGCTCCTCCCAGGCCCCACCTGCTCATGAAGGTAGTAGTTAAACAGGATCAGGTAGAAGTATCGCTCCAGGCTCCACAGCGCCCTCTGCCAGACGCTGTGTCGGCTGCCGCTTCCCTGAGAGAGAGGACAGGGTGTTAAGGACAGACTCCTCAGGCAGTCTTGTCCCTGTCCCCATCCCTGCAAGGGCAGGAGTTAAGCCTTGGAACTCCCCAGAAGACAGTCTTTCCCTCCCTTCATGACACAGTTCTGCCAGGCTGTAAGTTCTTCTAAGTGTCTCACCCTATCCCAGATGCTGTGGTTATCTGCGGTCAGGGGAGATATGTGGGTGACCACACCAGGCACTGTGGTTCTAGGTGCAGGGCTGGTCTCCCCAAGCAGGCTCCCAGCGCCAAGACAGGCAGGGGCTCCCTCACTTAGCTCCAGCGACACCCAACAGGTCAGGGTTGTGCACCCTCTGTGTTGAGGAAGCCAAGTGTGTGAACACCCCCGAGCCAGAGGCCCTCCCTTAAGAACTGGAACCTGGCTGGGTGCGGTGGCTCACGCCTGTGGTCCCAGCACGTTGGGAGGCTGAGACAGCCAGATCGCTTCAGCTCAGGAGTGCAAAACAAGCTGGGCAACATGGCAAAACCCCATCTCTATAAAAAAATACAAAAATTAGGCATGGTGGCACATGCCTGTAGTCCCAGCCACTCGTGAGGCTGAGGTGGGAGAATCGCTTGAGCCTGGGAAGTTGAGGCTCCAGTGAGCTATGATCTCACCGTTGCACTCCAGCCCAGATGACAAAGTGAGACCCTGTCTCAAAAAAAAAAAAAGAACTGGAGCCTCTCCACAAGAAAATACAAATACAAAGACCCTCACAGCAGTGCTCCAGGGGAGCCATCCTAATTACTCCTAATTTACAGAGGGAAACGGAGATTCAGAGAAATGAGGTAACTTCCTTAAAGTCACACAGCTGACAGCAAACAGAGCCAGATTCCCCAAGTCTCCTGACCCCAGCCCAGCTTCCTCTGCATGGGGGGTTGTCCGAGAGAACCCCAAGGGCCCTCGGATCTCCAGGTTCTCCTGCTGGGTCAGTACCTTTTGGAGGGCAAGTGAGATTCAAGTGAGATTCACAGAGGCCCTAAAGAAGGGCCACGCCCTTTGGTGAAATTTAATCCCATCTTTGGGAATCTCCACCAGGTGTCGGCAAACTTTTTCCATAAAGGGCCAGACGGTAAATACTCTAGACTTTCAGGCTTCAGGGTCCCTGCTGCAGCTACTGAACTCTGCCATCCCAGCATAAGAGCAGTCGTGGGCCAGCAGAGTAGAGAACAGCAAGACTGTGTTCCAGTAACACATTTACAAAGACAGGCGGCAGGCTGGATTTGGTCTAAGCCGTAGTTTGCTGATGCCCAATCTAGACTAAGGGGAGAAAGAATCCTAAATACACAACAGCCTTCATTTTCATGAAGCTGCTCAACAAAGAAGTATTTACACTGATGGGGAACTGGAGCAACTCAATTGTCCAAGAAGAGGGGGACTGTTTAGTAAATCACAGCAGGGGTGACATTCCAGGGACTCTGTGGCAGGCTCTAAGTACTGTATGGGATTTTTTTTGGTTTGGGTTCGTTTTGTTTTGTTTTTTGAGACAGGGTCTTGCTCTGTTGCTCAGCCTAGAGTGCAGTGGTACGATCATAGCCCACTGCAGCCTGGAACTCCTGGGCTCACAAGATCCTCCTGCCTCAGCCTCCCTGATAGCTGGTACTACTGGGCACACACCAGCTCCCTGGTAGTTGGTACTACGCGTGCCACCACACCCAGCTAATTTCTGTGTTTTCTGTGGAGACAGGATTTCACCATGTTAGCCAGTCGGGTCTCAAACTCCTGATTTCAAGTGATCCATCTGCCTCAGCCTCCCAAAGTGCTGGGATTACAGGTGTGAGCCACCGTGCCCAGCCTTTTAAAAATATTTTTAGAAAGAAAAAGACCCAGTGTTTTGGGAGGCCAAGGCAGGAGGACTGCTTGAGGCCAGGAGTTGAAGACCAGCCTGGGCAACATAGCAACACCCCATCTCTAAAAAAGTAAGGTGTGGTGACATGCACCTGTAGTCCCAGATACTCAGGAGGTTGAGGTGGACGAATCCCTTGAGTCTAGGAGTTCGAGGTTGCAGTGAGCTATGACTGCACCACTGCGCTCCAGCCTGGGCAACAGAGCAAGACCCTATTGAAGGAGAAGCAGGAGGAGGAAGAGAAGAAGAAAAAGGAGAAGAAAGGAGAAGGAGGAGGAGAAGGAAGGGAGGAGGGAGGAGGAAGACGAGAAGAAGGAGGAGAAGGAGGAAGAGGAAGGAGAAGGAAGGAGGAAGAAGGAGGAGGAAGGAAGAGAAGGAGGAGGAAGGAGGAGGAGGAAAGAAGAGGAGGAAGGAGGAAGAGGCGGAGAAAGAGGAAGAGAGGGAGAAGGAAGGGGAGAGGAGGAAAAGTGGGGAAGAGGAAGAGGGGGAAGGAGGAAGCGGGGGGAGGAGGAAGGGGGAAGGAGGAAGAGGGTGAGGAAAAAGAGGGGGGAGGAGAAGGAGGAGGAGGAAGAGAAGAAGAAACAAGAAAAAAGAAGAAGCTGCCTCTGTGGCTTTAGATTCTTTCCATGCGCTGTATGATATAAACACTATCAAGCCCACCTCCTTTCGCTAAGGCATGGGGACAGGGTCTGCTGAGACAGCCTAGAGCCCATAAGTCTTTCAGAAGCAGCCAGCTGGACCAAACCCCAGTCTTCCCAAAGAAACACCAGGAGTTTTACTAGTGGGAGGCCATGAGTGGCCTGGGGAGTATCTGAGTCCAGGGGCCCCTGCAGCCCTGGCCAGCAGCCCCTTCCTCTGTCCTGTTTATTCTGCAGCTGAAGGGACCTGGTCAGGAAAAGTAAACTTCCCCTCTTCCTTGTCCTTCCTGTGGGCCCAGAGCCCCTATCTCCCCTTCCTCTGAAAACTGCTCTTCTCATGGGAGACGCAGCAGCCAGAAAAAGTCAGTCTGAAAGAAACCAGTCAACATGCCTAATGAAATCAGGCTGCAGGGCTCACAGAGAAGCAGAGTGCTCACACGTCCTTCCATGCCTCACCTGGGCTGGGCTCTCCGGTCGGATACCTTCTAACTTCTTCTGGTTTTCCAAGACCACTTCTTTCAGGTCATGCAACTCGGCACAGGCAGTGATGGCTCTGTCCACCTGGTGCCAGAGACCAAGGCAAGTAAGAGGGAGGTGGGGGGGTGGGGAGCAGGGTCAAGGCAGAACGGCAGGAGAAAAGAGAAAAGAGAGGGAAAGAAAAAGATTGGCAGAGAGGTAGGGGAGGGTATCGGGAAGGAAGAGAGCCCCGACCAGTGAGAGGAGTGACCGTCCCCTCCACCACCCCTGCCCCAGCCCTTTGCTGTCCCTCACTCACCTCTTCCACCATCCTCCTTCCCTGGGGCACCATGCGGAGAAAGCTCTGGATCACCTGGAACTGCTCCATAGGCAGGGGCTTGGCCTGCGTGGGGGCAGCCCTGTCGAGGCAGGGTCAGTACATTAGCAGGCTCTTCCAAAGGTCTCACACGGCCACCCGCCTGCTGTCTCCACTCATATGGCCGCTGGGGGACACCAGACTACAGGTTCCTTCTGAATCACATTGTGGGAAGCAGGGGACATTTCCCCAACTAGGGAAACTGAGGCCCAGAAAGGTCAGGTGACTTTCTCCAGGTCTCCCAGCAAGTCTCGTGGCAAACCAGGAAATGAACCCCAGATGCCAAATTTCCAGCTCTGGCTCTGGGCTCCTAGACATGTCCCCACACTGTGGGGCAGCCTGTCCCCTCCTCGGCCCCACAGCCCTTCAGGACGCTGGGCCCCGGGCCACTCACTCTGGCTGGGAGGTGGTCCCACTGCGGTGAAGCAGGATGAGGGTGCCCAGGACCATGCCCAGGTTGGTCCTGCCCACGCCCATCTGGCAGCTGAAGACGAGGGCTGGGGGAGGCCCGTGGGCATCACGGAGCTGCAGCAGGCTGGGGGTCTCCTGGGAAAGACCATGAGGATCAGGCCCCAGTGAGACCAGGAAACCCTGGGCTGAGGCCTGAGCAGGGAGAAAAGCATGACATCAGCCCACCCTGCCCCACAGTCTGCAGCAAAGTGGGCTCCAATAGGTGTCTTGGCCTCTTCTGCCAAAGCCACAGCCTGATCAGCTCCACCTGCTCCCTCCCCAGGCCTTGGAGGAGCTCAAAGAACTGGAAGTGAGAGCGACTCAGAGGGCACCAGGCCAGTATTAACACCTTCTGCAAGATGCCAGTGAAATAAGATAATGCCCTGAAGGGGGCTGGAGAGAAACTCCGCCAGGACTCAGGAAATGTCAGCTGAACAGTCTATAGGGCAAGAGTCGTTAGCTCCACTAAAGAAAGGAGGAACTGAGGTCTAGAGAGGTGAGGTGATTAGTCCGGGACCACACAGCAAGTTGGCAGCCCAGCCACGGCCAGCAGCTGGGCCAGCGGTCAGTGATGGACTCTGCCATAAGAGAATGCACAAACACACACCTACATACAGGTACACACACACAAACACATACACACACAGACACATACACACACAGAAACACATGTATCCCCACACAGAGACACACAGACAGGAACACACAGACACACAGAGAGACACATAAACATGTACACACACTCCCCACAGACACACACAAAGGCGCTGACACACACAGACATATACAGAGACAGACACCAACACACGTCCACCCTAACATGCTCACATACACAACACAGAATGAAGCCTTCCTCTGAGGAAGGCGAGAGGCTGTGCCCACCCTGAGCACCTCCATGGGGACGACTCTCAAGACTCCTCCCCCATGCGCGCCCGTGCCCCAGTTACCCGGAGAACACTGACAAAGGCGTCCAACTGGGCCTCCAGGGGACTCCCTTGCTCGGGCAGGGGCAGGCGGTGGTACCTGCCAGGTGAGGGAGAGCAGCCATCAGGCAGGCACCCACTCTGGGAATCCCCCTCACCCCCTATTCCCGGGCACTGTTTGGAAATGGGCCCCACTGTGGGAGACATGGGTGTGGGGGACTCCGCCCAACCTGCAGATGGTGAAACTGAGGCTGCAGCTGGAGAGCAGGACCTGGAGCACCCATGGCCAGGGCTGGGGGTGGCCCTGTGGTACCTGTAGGTGGGCTGCAGGAAGAGGGGCCGCTTGTACACCTCCTCCGTCACATGCAAGTCGTCCTCACCATGGATGGCCACAGCATGGGGCTCCCCCCACAGGTCCTCGGTGTTATGGTACACATGGTATGTGTTCTCGCTCAGCTGGGCAAAGTCGTGGATCTAGAGGGAGGTGTGGGGGTCAGAGGGCCATGGCCTGAACTTCAAGACCCTCCCTGAGTGTCCTGGCTGAGCTCTGGAGTGACCAGACCATGCAGAGGCCACAGGCAGGCTTCTGCCCCCCATGAGGGAACTACACAGCCAGAAGTGCTCTCTATGCCATTCCTGGGAGTTCTGAAGGAATCGGGGTGCCTACACAGGGGCAAGGCAGGAGGGCTCTGCCCAGTGGGTGCAGGAATTCACAAAGCCACCAGTGCCAGGACGGGGGAGGTGTGGTCAGCTGGGAGCTGGAGCCGAGGGGAGCAGAGCACACAGGAGGCCTGGAGGGGATGGGAGAGGCAAAGAGCTGGGCGCCGGCATGGCCTCGGTTCCTGACCTGGAAGTTTCTGGGGACACTGGGACCCCACACTCTATTCACACACCTTCATGGTATGTCAGCTGCCTCAGAGGCCTCCACAAGCCTCTGTGTTATGGAGGAGGAGGAGGACAGAGGATACTGAAACAGGCCCACAGACCCACTGAGGGAACTGACTCAGAGGCTCGTGGCTCTCAAAGCGTTGAACTGCAGCCTTGGTCCTTCTGGTCTAGCGCTCTTTTCACTCACCTAGAACCCTTTCTTTTTCTTTTTCTTTTTTTTTTTTTAGAAAGAGTTTCACTCTGTAGCCCAGGCTGGAGTGCAGTAGTGTGATCTCGGCTCACTGCAACCTCCGCCTCCCAGGTTCAAGCAATTCTCCTGCCTCAGCCTCCCGAGTAGCTAGGATTATAGGCATGCGCAAGCACGTCCAGCTAATTTTTTGTATTTTTAGTAGAGACACAGTTTCACCACGTTGGTCAGGCTGGTCTTGAACTCCTGCCCACCTCGGCCTCCCAAAGTGCTGGAATTACAGGTATAAGCCACTGCACCCGGCCCACCAGACCCCTTTCTAAATAAGGACATTGAGCATCAAGGAGACAAGCAGGGTGGGAAAGGGGCAGAGGCAAAGAGAGCTAGAATAGGAAGTCCTTCCTCTGGCTGCCCGTGAGTCAGCCTTGCAGCCAGCCACTCACCCAAGCAGGGCACAACAGTGGGGGAACACGGGCCAGTAAGAGCAGGTGAGCTGGCCCCAAAAAGAGCATCTGCAAAGCTGGGCTGTGGGCTGGGGTCTCCCGCACACCGCACTGGTCCTCACCTCTTTCCGGATGGCCAGCTCCAGGCTCTCCACCCGGACCCCGGGTCCAAGGCCCTGGAGGTTCTCATGAAGGTTCTGCTTGTCTCGAGGTGTGTAGGACACAAAGTCCTCATCTGCACGCAGGAAAAGCACAGGTTCCTCCCGCACACAGAAGATGACACACTCCTGCCAGGAGCCCGAGGGGGAAGGAAGCCATCATCATGATCCCGCACAGACACCTGCACCACTGCCCCACCTCAGGGCCTCTGCCCAAGCTGTTCCTTCCTCCTGCACCCCACACCATCCCTGCAACCTGAATCCTACCCAAGAAACAAAGCTCAGTCCAAATGCTACCTCCCTGTGACCCTCCCAGTCAGCAGTGACCCCTGCCTCCTGTCAGGGTCAAGAGTCCTTCATATGAATCTCTTGGCGTTAATTCCTGCTTTGTACTATCAATGAATGCATCTTTTCCCCCTTAATGGACCACAGGTTCCTCGTAGGCAAAATCATGTCCTGGTCATTTTCATGTACCCATAATTCCTAGCATGGTGTCCTAGCATGGTGTCCTGGATAAATCAGGTGTTTGATGAACATCAGCTGAAGAAATGAATGCCCCATGACCACGCAATCATTCATTCACTGAGCACCATACAGGCAGAGGGAAATGTGTGGGCAGATGGTCCCCTTGAGGAACTTATCATCAAGATGGGAAGATGGGACCTGCACACAGCCCACACCCCCACCCCATTCTGTCTCACTCAAAGCCTTTCCACCTTAACTCCGGGGTCAATTCAGATGCAGCTGCACTCAAGAAGCCTACAATCGCAGCAGACCCTCAGCCTGTGTCCTAGGGACACGCAAAACCCTGCCTCAACATCCGACAGGTAAGAACAGTCCTTGAAAGCAGGCACTTGGGAATTCAGCTGCCTGGGTTTGGGTCTTGGGGTACCACTCATGAGCTGTGTGACCTTGAGCAAGTCACTTAGCTTCTCTGGGCCTGTTTCCTCCTCTGCAAAATGGGAGACAAACTGCCACTCCATCACAGGGCTAACATCAGGACTTAAGTGTTAGCTGTGATCACCATTCAGCAAGCTGTCAAATTATGAGCTGGCTCCTCCTGTCACCCGGTCACGCCCCCTGCTTCCTCTGAGGCTCCCAAGTAGGGTCTATGAAGGCTTCTGACCTTGTGCCCCGCCATCCACTCAGGACATGCAATCAACATTCACCAGAATTTCCCAACCAGACCAACAGCAGTGACCATCCTGGCAGGCAGGGCCTGGTCCAGGCCACTACCCCACCTCTCCAGCATGCAGCAGGCCCCTCCAGCGCCTCTAAAGCTGCCCCTCCAAGGTGCCCCTCTCCCTGGCTTTGGGGACCTGGCTTCTGCCTGGGAAGTGGCATACTTACCCTATGTCCGTCCTTCTGGAGTTTCTGGAGGACCCGCCTGAACCCTGAGAGGCTGGGCTGTCCCATGCCGAACACAGTGAGCCCACCCTGCACCTGCCGGAAGTTGGGGGCCCCACAGCTTCCCACGGTGCCCAGCACATCCATCTTCTCAGTGACATCCCGCACCAGGAAGTAGCGGCCCTGGCAGGGGAGAGCCACAGGAAGGTCACTCAGATGGCTCAGGGGTATTTTCTGCAGATGGAGCTCTGTCCTGGGCTCCAGGGGACAGGGAGGGGGGAAATAGGGGCAAAAAGAACATGATCCTGCCCTCAAGTTGCCTGCAGTTCATGGAAAAAACAGACAAAATATATAACTCTCTGTGATCTGGGGAAGGGTATCATAAAGTGTAGGAAAAGGAAAGACAACTCCTCCAGAGGGGACATCAGAGAGGGCTTCATGTGGGAGGTGACGTCTGAGCCAGGCCTGGAGGAAAGAGCAGGGAGAGGCTCTCCAGAGGCAAAGCTGGCTCTAGGGTAGGAGCTCCCCTGGAAGGGGCTTTTGTAGGAAGGCAGAGCTGGGGCACCAGGAATCAACCAGAGGATCACGGTGCTAGCTCCATCCTAGGGCCCTGCCCGTTCTGAAAATGGGCAGAGAGACGGGGAAAGTTGGGGAGGGCCAGAGGGAGGTGAGGGAGGGAATTCATGAGAGATAGGGGTGGGAGGCAGCAGGCGGGCTGGCAGGGTAAGGCCTGAGCTCACTTGCACCAGGTAGTGCTCAGGGGTGTTGTCCGAGAGCCGGCCCAACGTGTAATGAGCCTTGAGCAGCTCATCATGGATCTGGAACTCCTCCTTGCAGTTGTACCTGGGGGGGGGGGGGGGGGGCAGAATGGAAACTGAGTCAAGCAACCTCCTTGGTCAAGGCCAGCTCCACCCTCACAGAGCCCACCGCAGGAAAACCCCTGTGGCTACGATTTGTGGCAGAGACTGCCCATTGTCCCTCAATATCCACTCTTCCCTTCTTCCTCAACACGACAGCCCCAGGGCTGTGACTGAGGACTGAGCCACCCAGCTGAAGACTACATTTCCCAGCCTCCCTTGCAACTCATTGTGGTCACATGATTTAAGTTCTGGCCAATGATGTGAGGAAAAGTGATGTGCGTGCAAATTCCAGGCCATTCCCAAAGAGAAGAGGTGCCTTCTATTTTGTCTTCTCCCCTTCTGCCTGGCTAAAATCCAGAAGTGATGGCAGAGGTAGAACATCTTAGATCATAAGACGGAAGCCACATGTTGATGATGTTGGAGCAATGAGGGAGAAGGGGCCTGGATGATCACGGAGCAGCCATCCCAGCCTGGATGTCCTCGTGGACTTGCATGTAAGAGATGAGCTTCGTCCTGAGGAAGGCATCTTATCTGGGTTACTTTATGACAGCGGCCTAGCCTGTACCCTGAAGAAGACAACATCACTGGATGGTCCCTCCATCAGATTGTATTGGAGGGACAGTCCCTACACTGCTAACTCCACACACAGTGAGGTGGTTTAGAACGCAGGCTTGGGGCATGAAGCCCAACTCCACCCACCGCTTGGTAACTCTATAGCTTTGGACAAGGAGCTCATTTCCAGGAATTCCTACCCCCAAGACTGTCCTGAGAATTAAATGTGCTAATGATTGTAAGTGCTTAGCCCAGTGCCTGGGGCACAGTAAGCATTTATTAATATAATTGTAGTTCTACCTCCACACAGGGCTATTTCAAACAAAACCCACAGATAAAAATCAAGATTTCTGTAGATGCTAAACCAGGTAAAAGTCCAAACACTCAAACAAGATTTACTGTGCCCTCAAGACACAACAGCTCCAGTGCTGATGATAACAATGAATATGACAGAGCCTCCCAGAGTTAATGATCTGATGTTAGGTCCTCTTGACAAAAGAAGTGCCTTCATATACACCATGGAATACTATGTAGCCATAAAAAATGATGAATTCACGTCCTTTGTAGGGACATGGATGAAGGTGGAAACCATCATTCTCAGCAAACCATCGCAAGGACAAAAAACCAAACACCGCATGTTCTCACTCATAGGTGGGAACTGAACAATGAGAACACTTGGACACGGGAAGGGAAGCATCACATACCAGGGCCTGTTGTGGGGTGGGGGGACGGGGGAGGGATGGCATTGGGAGATATGCCTGACGTGGATGGTGGGTTGGTGGGTGCGGCACACCAACATGGCACATGTGTGCATATGTGATGGACATGCACGTTGTGCACATGTACCCTAGAACTTAAATTTTAAAAAAAGTGCCTTTTGGAAAGGCAGGGGGTGGAATGGGTATGGCAGAGGAGCACTAGAAGAGGCCTGGGTTCCCACTCCAGCTCTGCCTCCTTGTTACCACGTGACCCATGGGGAGCAAATCTCTCTACCTCCCTGAAACCCAGTTTTCACATCTGAACTAAAATGCATTAGATCACGGGTTGCCATTCCTTTTCTGGAAAGGGCCACACAGTAAATACTTGCTTTGTGGGCCATACAGCGCCTGTTGCAACTACTCAATTCTGCCATTGAGGCCCTAAGCATCCACAGATACTATGTAAGTGAAAGGAAGTGTCAACATTCCAATAAAACTTTATTTGAAGAAAACAGGCCACATTGGGCCTGCAGGATGTAGTTTGCTGACCCCTCTATTGGATGATCTCTAGAGGTCCCTTCCACTTCAAACATTCTACACCCCCAAAAAGTGCTGTGCTCATGGCTGGCTCCAGGCCCTAAGCACAGCCCTGTGTACAGGATTTTTACGGCTGGTCAGCAACTGTTCTGAGACACATCACTTGGTTAAATATTCTGAATGTCATCTCTGCTTATGTTGATAAGGAAACTGAGGCCCAGAGAGGGAAAGGAACTTGTGCAAGGTCACAGAACAAAGCAAGGGCAGAACCAGGCCTGGGGCACGAGTCTTCGTGCTACCTTCAGGCCCCAAACCCACCTTTGTCATTTGTCAGTACAGAGACTCCATATCAAGTCTCTTTTATATGACATCCCTTTTCCTCCCCTTACCAGAAGCCCAAGAATTGATTATGATGATGGTTTTCCTGGCAGGCCCCAGAGCTGGCAGGCAGGGTTTATCATTCCCACCCCTCAGGTTTCCTTATACAGAAGGACCCATCTGCTAAGTCTTTGCCAAACTTTGATGTGCGGAACACATTTAATTCCTAGCTAGTCATCTCCTGCTTCCTGCATCCTGGAAGACCCAGAGGAGGGGAGCACAGTGGGCAGAGGTGTGGAAAGTACAAGGCTTCTCAACGCACCAGGAGATGGATCCAACATCCCCTCCATCTTCCTGTCCTCCCCAGCATGGCTCTCCAGCACCCACCCCTTCCTCCAAGCCCCACAGGGCAGACAGGGTTTCAGGGACCCATCATAACCCTCTTCCTCTGGATGCACACAGTATGTACAGATCTCAGAACACCAGAACATGCTGCCAGAACAAGCCCTGAGGGGCATCATTAGGACAGCCAACTAGCAGCTTCCAGCTCCTTCAGCCCAAGGCCCTTCAACAGCCTGGTGTTAGCCTCAGTTTTGAGCCATAATTACTGTCTGTGAAAAAGAAATCCCAATTTCATCCATCAAGTACATAAACTTCTTTTGAAAATGTTAAGCCAAAAATTATTTTCAAAAGGGGGGTCCCCCAGCCATGCCTCCTCCTCCGCATTCCCCCACACTGTGGACGTGGTGAGTAGCATGGGCTCAGAGACCCATGACAGAGACCAGCTCTGCCAGGTGCATGCAGTGTGACTCCCAATGAACTGCTTCATCTCCCTGGGCCTCAGTGTCATCATCTATGAACCCGAATCCAGTCTGCAAGCGTTAAGTGCTGTATGCCACTGCACCCCCAAGCAGGTCCCCCCGCCCATCATGTCTCCCAGGGACATGGGCACACTCCCCCTGCCACTCACGTGATCACAACAGGGGCCACCTTGTTGGGGATGATGGACTTGGCCTTGCTGTTATGCAAGCTAGTGCTCTGGAAGGAGTGGATGCTGACGGAGTGCCGACTGTCCATCGTGCCACTGCCCTGTAGGCCCTCAAATGGGGTGCCTGCCGAGACCGTCTGCTGGGCTGTGCTGGCCGTTGTACCCATAGTCTGCCAGCAGCCTCAGGACCCCAGACCTGTAGGATAAGAGGGTGTGCAGTGAAGGAGGGGATGGGAAAATCCACAGCAGGAGACCTGACCCACCTCTCGCCCTCCACCATACAGAGAAAGGCAGCTCACTCTGCAGCTGGAGACAGAGGCAGGCTTGCCTCCTACACCGTGGGGCCCAGAAGATCACATGCTCACTGAGTGCCTGCTCTATACCCGGCCCTTTACCGATGCTTTGGGGGAGTCACGGACATAGACAGACATAAAGATGCAGCCCCCAACCCCTTTAGTTTACACTCCTCTTGTGAAAATGAGACAGAAAGAGGTGAATCATCCACAGCAGGTCAGGGCCTAGAGTTCAAAGTGACTATTTCAGGTGGTATAGACAAAGGCCAGACCTTTCAGGCTAGGAGAAGCAGGAAATGTCACCGAGAAAGAACCAGGGGCAGACAGATGCAAAGAAGGAAGTCAGACTTGGATTTGAAGGCTTTGGATGGGAACGGATGCAGAAGGACATATAGCCACGAATGTCATAAAATAAGGCCAGGGAAGTCCAGATTAGGTGAGCTATCAGCAGATCAAGTGTTCAAAGAAAATACCAGGCCCCAAACTCAACATCAACATCAATATCTGAATTGGTGGCCGGGTGCAGTGGCTCATGCCTATAATCCCAGCACTTTGGGAGGCTGAGGCAGGCAGATCGCTTGAGACCAGGAGTTCGAGACCATCCTGGCCAACATGGTGAAACCCCATCTCTACTTAAAAAAAAAAAAAAATACAAAATTAGCCAGGCATGGTGGCATGCACCTATAATCCCAGCTACTCAGGAGGCTGAGGCACGAGAATCGCTTGAACCCGGGAAGTAAAGGTTGCAGTGAACAGAGATCGAGCCACTCCACTCCAGCCTAGGTGACAGAGTGAGACTCTATCTCAAAAAAATAAAAAATAAAAATCTGAATCAACATCTATATCCTCAACAGGCACAGCTCCCACCCCACTTGAAGAACGCCGGGCACCCTCGGGGATTCGGCAGTCCTCCTGCAAGGCTCCCTCCTAAGGAAATACTTGAGGATGTGTACACAAAGTGGTGTACCACGATGTTTTGTTGACTGGGGTGTTGTTTATAATCACACAACATTGGAAACAACCTCTAGCCCACAGCAGAGGATTTGCTGAATAAATAATGAGACATCTATAGGGTAGAATGTTAAACAGCCATTAAAAATATCATTGGCTGACATGGAAAGACATCTAGGACAGAGCAGGTTGCATAGGAAGTGCAGGCCACAGCCCCACCTTAACTCACGAAAGGGCATCAGGATGAGTCCAAGGGACAGACACCAGGATGCTAGCATGAGTTATCTGCAAGTGATGAGATTATGGACGATTTTTATTTTCTCTTTTTTGCTTATCTGTATTTTCTAATTTTTCTCCTCCAAACACTGGGTAATATGGTTAAAACCTATTTAAAGAATAAAGGAATGGCTACAAAAGATGGCTGGGACATCTTTTAAGGGCTGGTCAAGGGATGGGGAAGGAGTGGCTCAGGGGTCCGAGAGCCAGAGCTGCAGAGAAGGGAGGGGGCTGGGAATTCCACATGGACAGAGGGCGACAGACAGGAGGGACAGAGGCTCAAGGAACTTTCTGGGAGCTCCGTGGCCACTGGCCCCACATACTGATGGTCCAGGACTGGGGATCGGGGCAAGCTGCCCTGCCAGCCCCCAACCCCTCGACTCTGCAGAAGCACCAGGACAATAAGCATCCTTGGACAATAAGCATCCTTAGAGCATGGCAACCTTCCCAGCTGCCCTCAACCAGGCACAAGCTGCTCCACATCAGTAGGGACTGTCTGCTCCCAACCATCCACACTCCCCCCAGCCCTCCCATAAGCAGCAGCATCACCTCAAGAAGTGGAAGGTAGGGTCATGGGGTCAGCATGAAGCTGAGGTCAGGTCAGTCTGAAGGCTGAGCTCACTGTCCTTTCTTCCCCAGGTCCTGAACCAGAGCTCTGATCCCCAGGTGGGTGTTCCCCAGGCCTCCTCTGGACCATGCACTCAGGCTCCTACCCTAGAGCCACCTCCCATTCAGGGACTCTCAGAGAGAACAACTCCAGACTCATCGGCCCTCCCAGAACCTTCTCAAACAGCCACCCATCCCTCTCCAGTCTGGAAAGATCCTCCCACCCCCAACCCCACTCACGCCTGTCACCCTTGAAAACTCCCAGGAGCCTCGTGACAGCTTCGTTAACACACACACCTTGTGTTTAAAAGAGCCCCATCTCCATGGTGCTCCACACCCTAATTTCTCCCTCTCTTTCTCTCTCTTTTTGGCAAGGGTGGAGGGAATGAGCCTCTATGTTCCCAAACAGAAAAATAGGCAGCTCAAAGAGGGGAGGGAGCTCTGCAGTGGCCCCCTCACTGGCCAAGGGCAGAGCGGAACCTTCTCTCCACCTCACCAGCCCTGGCAGGCCCCAAACGGCCCTCATCAAACTTTCCCAGACCCCTCCCAGCAACCTGGGCCAAAAAGACATGTGTGGGAACAGCCTGGAGAACAAGGGCTCAGGGCAGCTCTCCCGAGGGAGAGGATGGGCAGGACACAGAAGGGTCTGCAGAAGGCAACAGCTGGCCACAGCTTCAGGCCAAGGCCAGGCATCAGGGCCCGTCCCCACAGGGCTGGGCTCGGCCTGACACCTCCGCCTCTCCTCCCCTGCCTGCCCCCAGCTCCAGTTCCAGCCACCCTCACCTCTCATGGGCTCCAGAGGCAATGACAGGCTACAGCTGGTGCCCTGCAAGGGTGGCCCAGAGACGACACAGATGTTCACAGCTGCAGGCCGCAGGGGTAGAACAGGCAGTTAGGGGTGGGAGAGCAATGTCCTTTGAAAATCAAGCCCACCTCCAAAATATCTAGAGGGGGGTGCAACCCCAGGCTTGTCACACTGTAGCTCTCACCCTGAAATCTCTCTCAACTCTGCCAGAAAGAACCTCACCAGCGTGGGGCCTTCCTCCTGCTGGCCACACACTGAAGGGCCTTGGACCACTTCCTTCCCCTCTCTGGGCCTCAGTGTCCACAGCCACTGTAAAATGATAGTGAGGGTTGGGATGGTCTGAAAGCCCCTTCCAGCTTCAGGGGGATCTGGCGCCTCAGATTAGTGGTCCCAGTGGTCACAGCACGGCGGTCACCTGCCAGGGACAGGGGTCAGCAAAGGTAGGGGTGCAGGTGGGGTGCCTAGTGCTCAAACCTCTGCTAGGGAAAGACAGGGGGAAGTGGGTTGGGATGAGATGTCCCTGCATAGTTGGTGAATTGTTTATGCCTTTATTTCCTACCTTCTAACTCTCCTTTGGTCATGAGTGAGGGCTGCTCCTGCAGTGACAATGGAGTGTGAGGCAGTGCCCACGGAGCTCACAGCCATTTTCACGCCACATTGCAGTGGGATCTGGAAATGTCGCTTACGATACCACTCTTCTAAACAACAGTCATTATCAGACCCACCAGGGACCACGTGTGCCCCCGGTCCCCTGCCTACAGACGCTGGGCTGACGCACCTGGCCAGCTTCGGGCAATTCTGCACCTGGTGCTCTTAAACCACTCCCCACTCCCACTATGGGTCCTCATGATTCAGGTGAACTCAACAAGCTTGGAGAATCCTAGCAATCCTAGACAGAAGCCTGACCTTGCCTTATAAAACTAGCTGCAAAGAAGCTGCAATTACATTTGCAAAGTGGGATTTGCAATACTTGGGAAACCTCAAAAAAAAAATCACAACGGCCTGGGTGTCCACCATGCGGGGCACAAGCCTTTCCCTCAAAGACACTCCCCAGTGTGACACCCCCATTGAAGCTGAGCCACTGCAGCCTTGTCACTGATGAGTCTCTTCAAAAGTAAAATGTAACCTTAATTTGCCTAATGGGTTATCTTATTAGTGCAATAATACCTAAGGACAAATATTACCATTTGTTTACTGTTTATTATTTAAACGCAATGTGTTTAAGTATTTTGACAGTTCTCTCAATGAAACATATTTCCTTTGTAACCCCACCTATTTTATGTATTTAAAAGCATTCTGAGAAGGAGTCCATGGGCTTCTGCTTGGGGGTCCTTGGCACAAAAAAAAAGAGGAAACCAGCTGCGCTTGCTTCATGCCTGTAATCCTAGCACTTTGGAAGGCCAAAGCGGGCAGATCACTTGAGGTTAGGAGTTCAAGACCAGCCTCGCCAACATGGTGAAACCCCGTCTCTACTAAAAATAAAAAAAAATTAGCCGGGCATGGTGGCGGGCTCCTGGAATCCCAGCTACTCGGGAGGCTGAGGCAGGAGAATCCTTGAACCCAGGAGGCAGAGGTTGCAGTGAGCCGAGATCATGCCACTGCACTTCAGCCTGGGCGACAGAGCAAGACTCCATCTCGAAAAAAAAGAAAAAAGAGGAAACCTTGCTTTAAGGGAAGAACATTCCCCACCCACAAACACAGGCCCTCTTCCATCTTCTCTGCTTCTGTTATTAATATTCCAAAGCCCTCATGAAGCGCTGGGCACCTTGCTGGATGCTTTATGTCATATCGATCCCCAGAACCCTATAAGGATGAGGCCTCATTGTGTCCATTTTCAGATGAGGACAGCTGGTCTTTGGGAAGGGGCAGCAGTTGACAACTGCCCCTCAGCTTCCTCCCTGCCTCTTTAGAGCTGACCCTAGCAGCAAAAGCACCTCACACTGTCCCCTTCCCTCTTGGATCTGAACAACTCCCAACCCCATCCACTCCACTCTCTGCCTGACGAGGCCTCCTAGAGAGATACACAGCTTCCAATACACAGTCAGGGACTCCAGGACCCATCTCACCCATGGAAGCCCTCAGTATCCAGCTAAAAAGCCACAGAATCATCCAGGCTGCAGCTCTAATGGCATTTGAGAAAGTCTGGCACACAGACATGCCATTCTCCTGCCTCTCATGGCAGTCAGAAAAGAAACTGGCCGGGCGCGGTGGCTCACGCCTGTAATCCCAGCATTTTGGGAGGCTGAGGCGGGCGGATCATCTAAGGTCAGGAATTCGAGACCAGCTTGGCCAACATGGCAAAACCCTATCTCTACTAAAAATACAAAAATTAGCCGGGTGTGCTGGCAGGCGCCTGTAATCCCAGCTACTTGGGAGGCTGAGGCAGGAGAGTCGCTTAAACCCAGAAGGCAGAGATTGCAGTGAGCCGAGATCACACCATTGCACTCCAGCCTGGGCAACAAGAGCAACACTCCACCGCAAAAAAAAAAAAAAAAAAAAAAAGAAAGAAAGAAAAGAAAAGAAACTGACCTATGGAGTCCTTGGCAGAGAGGTCACCTCATTTCCTTAAGAGGACTCAAGCTTCAAAAGGTGGGACATTAGCTCCAACTCACCCACTAGCTGCCTGATGCTCCAACATACTCACCCAACCTGCCAGAGTGGTGAGCCTTTTGTCAATGGCAGTATTCAAGCCCAGGGGAAGCTAGAGATGCCCATTCTGGGCCCTGGGGTAGGAACAATAGGCAAGAGGTTCAAGAGCTGATTCCTAAATATCTTGGGAGTAGAAGTCCATTGCTTTGTGTATGGTTCTGGGGGAAATGAACCATCACCATTCCAATCTTGGTTTCCCCACCTCGAATCTAAAGTTTACAAACCCCCACCTTCTTTGTCCTTCCAGGGTGCAGCAGCCACAACCTCCCAGCATGTCAAGCCCAGTGAGCTTGAAAAAGATGACTGGTAGCTTTTCCAAAATAGAGTCTGGCTTCTCAGACTGCAGCAGAAAGGTGGCTGTCTGCCACTGACCCCAGCCACTACGCCCACCCCGTCCCTTTTTCCTGCCCTCCCCGCCGGCCGGAATCCCAGACCCTCTGGCACAATCCCAAGTCCCACCTTAGAGATGCTGAGACCACAGCAATCTCCACAAATGGCTGTTGCTGCAAGACCCTATCGCTGCTGAGGCCTAACCACTCAAGACCCCCTGCCCTGTATCCCCCAAAAAGCAGATTCAGAGCTGGCCACATCCCTGAAGTTCATCTAGCTGTTGTGGTCTGAATGTTTTGCCCCTAAAAACTCATATGTTAAAATCCTAATCCCAGGCTGGGCACAGTGGCTCACACCTATAATCCCAGCACTTCGGGAGGCTGAGGCGGGCAGATCACCTGAAGTCAGGAGTTCGAGACCAGCCTGGCCAACATGGCGAAACCCCGTCTCTACTAAAAATACAAAAATTAGCCCGGCGTGGTAGCACACACCTGTAATCCCAGCTACTCGGGAGGGTAAGGCAGGAGAATCACTCGAATCTGGGAGGCAGAAGTTGCGGTGAGTTGAGATCGCGCCACTGCACTCTAGCCTGGGCGACAGAGCCAGACTTCGTCTCACAAAAAAAAAAAAAAAAAGAAAGAAAGAAATCCTAATCCCCAAGGTCATGGTATTAGGAGGTGGAGGCTTTGGGGGAGAGGGGGTAATTAATTCATGAGGGCAGAACCCTCAGGAATGGGATCAGTGCCCTTATAATAGGGACCCCAGAGAGCTGCCTGGTCACACCATCTGAGGATACGGCAAGAAGGCAAGATCAATGAAAAAGTGGGCCTGTATCAGATAATGAATCAATGCCTTAGTCCTGGACTTCTCAGCCTCTAGAACCATGAAACATAAATTTCCGTTGTTTTTAAGATACCCAGTTCATGGCGTTTTGTCGTAGCAGCCTGAATGGACTGAAATATTAGAGGCCAGGCACAGTAGCTCACACCTGTAATCCCACTACTTTGGGAGGCTGAGGTGGGCAGACTGCTTGAGCCCAAGAGTTCAAGACCAGCCTGGGCAACATAGCGAGACTCTGTCTCATTTACAAAAAATAAAACATAGTAAAATGCTCTCTTTCCACAGATGAGGCAACTGAGGCACAGAACAGGAGAGTGATATGCCCCCATTCACACAGCAAGTGGCCACAAGGACAGAATTGGGACTCAGGGCTCCTTTCTCCAGACCCAAGGCTCCCTGGCTGGGCTGCACTGCCTCTGGCCTGAGGCAAACAGGAAGACTGTGTTGTGAACACACAGAGATGTGTCAGTATGGAATTATGCTAGTCAGTCACTGTGTTGGTCGAGAGTGTGTGACTCATGTGTCTGCCAGGGGGCAGGGGTCGGGGACTCACTGGGGTGAGGTGGGGTTTGAACAGCCACCTGAGAGAGCCAGAGACCCTGAGCGCAGAGAGGGGTACACCAGGAGGGCCAATGGGTCAATCTCTGACTGCAAGGCGTTTGACGTATATTATCTCATTTAATCCTGACCCAAAAAAGAGGTGCCAACTCTTAACAAGTCAATATCAAGTCAATTTTTTTAAAATGTAAAGATGGGCAAAAGATTTGAAGATACATACAGATGCCAAATAAGCACATTAAATAGATGTTCGGGATCATGTCATCAGGGTCCTGCACTAGAATGACAAATTTAAAAGACTGACGATACCGAGCTCTGAGGAAGATATGAGTAACTGGAACTCACATACACTGCTGGCGAGCAGTGAAAGCATACAGCCACCTGGAAGACAGTTTTGTAATTTCTTACTAATGGAGACATACCCTTCTCATATGACCCGGCAATTCCACTCTTAGGTACCCAACCAGGAGAAATGCAAATACGTGCAGAAAAAGACTTGTACACAGCAGCATATTCATAACAGCAAACATTGAGCCCAACTTAATGTCCATCAACTGGTGAACAGATGAACGCAATGTGATAGGTCCACACCATAATATACCACACAGCGGCCGGGAGTGGTGGCTCTCGCCTGTAATCCCAGCACTTTGGAGGCCGAGGCGGGCGGATCACCTGAGGTTGGGAGTTCGAGACCAGCCTGACCAACATCGAGAAACCCCATCTCTACTAAAAATACAAAATTAGCCAGGCGTGATGGCGCATGCCTGTAATCCCAGTTACTCGGGAAGCTGAGGCAGGAGAATTGCTTGAACCTGGGAGGCAGAGGTTGCAGTAAGCCGAGATTGCGCCATTGCACTCCAGCCTGGGCAACAAGAGTGAAACTCCATCTCAAAAAATAAAAATAAAAAAAACAACCCCAAAAAGGAGCAGACTACAGATAGACACAACAATATGGGTGAACCTCAAAACTATTACCGAGAGAAACAAGCCAAGCCCCAGACACTTACACTGTATAACCCCGTGAAAACTGCAGGGGCAGACAGCAGGTCGGTGGAGGAAGGACTCAACTGCACGAGGGCACATTTTAGGGGATGGAACTGCTGGGGATACTGAATGTGGTGGCCACACAACGGCGTACATTTGCCAATGCTGATCAAACTGAACACTTAGGCCAGGTATGGTGGCTCACGCCTGTAATCCCAAAACTTTGGAAAGCCGAGGTGAGCGGATCACCTGAGGTCAGGAGTTCAAGACCAGCCTGGTCAACATGGTAAAACCCCATCTCCACTAAATACACAAAAATTTGCCAGGCGTACTGGCACATGCCTGTAGTCCCGGCTTCTCAGGAGGCTGAGGCAGGAGGATCGCTTGAACCCAGGAGACGGAGGCTGCAGTGAGCTGAGATTGCACCACTGCACTCCAGCCTGGGTGACAGAGCAAGACTCCATCTCAAAAAAAAAAAAAAAAATGAACACTTAAAAAGGGGTAATTTCATTGTATGAACGCTACCTCAGTAAATCTGTTAAAAACAAGAGGTGTCCCCATCCTTTGTCCCACAATGTTCTCCTCTCGTGACACCTTCCCACTGAGCTCCGTCATTCATCAGCTGTGCAACCTTGGCCCCATAACCTCTCTGGACCTCTGCTGCCACTTCTGTGAAATGGGAACAACAGTAGCACCTCCTTCATGGGGTAGTTGCGAAAGTTAAATAATATCTTGTGGGTAAAGACCTCAGAAAAGGGCCTGGCCAATAAAGGTAAGGTGATTCTAGGTGTTTGGGGGACACTGGCCCATTGGCCTCTGAAGCTGGGCTGTGTGCCTTGTGATCACTGAGCCCTGGAAATCTGGCTGGTCCACACTAGGACATGCTGCAAGTGTAACATACATACCGGATTCTGAAGACTAGCTACAAAAAAAAAAATACAGTAAAATATCTCATTAACAATGTATATTGGGGCTGGGCACAGTGGCTTATGTCCATAATAGCACATTGAGAGGTCGAGTCAGGAGGATTGCTTGAGCCCAGGAATTTGAGACCAGCCTGGGCAACACAGAAACGCTGTCTCTGCCAAAGATAGAAAGAAAAAAAAATGGCCAGGTGTGGTGGTGCATGCCTGTAGTAGCAGCAACTTAGAAGACTGAGACAGGAGGATCGCTTGAGCCCAGGAGGTCAAGGCTACAGTGAACCATGATCGAACTACTGCACTCCAGCCTGGACAAGAGTGAGACTCTGTCTCAAAAAATAAAAAACTAAGAACCAAAACATAGTTTATGTTGATTACATCTCAAAATGATAATCTTTTGATATACTGAGTTAAATAATATATGTTATTAAAACTAAGTTCACTCATTCATCTGTATTTGAAGGCAGCTGTTTAAAGTGCCACACAAGGCTGGGAGCGATAGCTCACACCTGTAAGAGGCTGAGGTGGGCGGATCACTTGAGGTCAGGAATTCAAGACCAGCCTGACCAACATGGAAAAACTGTGCCTTTTTTATAAAAATACAAAAATTAGCCAGGCGTGGTGGTTGCACGCCTGTAGTCCCAGCTATTCGGGAGGCTGAGGCAGGAGGATCGCTGGAACCCAGAAGGCAGAGGTTGCAATGAGCTGAGATCGCACCACTGCACTCCAGCCTGGGCAACAGAACGAGACTCCATCTCAAAAAAATAAAAATAAAGTGCCACACGTGGCTCCTGTGAGATTTCTACTGGGTGGCACTGCTCTGAGTCTTAAGTCCTCTGTGACCCTGAGGACACCTCTTGCTCAGCTCAGGGTACTCAGGGCTGAGCCCAGTGCCTGTGGCAGGTAAGAGTTTAATAAATATCTGTTAGAGGCATGCAAAAGCCCCAGAAAGTTGGTGTTTTCATTCCCATTGAACAAAAAGAAAAGCGAGGGCTTGCAGGAGTGGCAACTCTTCACATCCTGACCCCTGGCTGGGGACACAGGGCTTAGGCTCTGTGAATCGTGGGCTCTGGGCAGGACACCAGCTGAACCCCACTTCTATCATGCATTAGTCACATTATCTTGGGTTCATGGCTTGATTTCCCCAAACTGTTTCCCCAACTGTAAACTGAGGACCACCGGTACCTCCCCTGCTGGACCGTATAAAGATGAAATCAGTGAATGTGTGCAGAGCAACACCTGGATGGCCCGACACACAGCACAGCGAGGGCTCCAACTCCTCATCTGCCCTGACCTCATCCCCCCACACCATGGCTGACCCTGCACTGAACTCCCAGCAACTGCCAGCTGCCACAGACGTGAACCTTCAGGACCAGGACTAGAACCAGGGGCCTCGCCCAGGCGCCATCTGTGAATGGCCAGCAGTCCCTGGCTCTCAACCAAGGCAGCCAGCAGGGCAGAGCCAGGCTGGGCTGGGCCACAGCAGCCACCCTCCTTAACAACCACGATCATCACATCACTCTCCTCATTCTGCTTTGTCTGGTAAGCCATTCGGGATAGGTTCCCATCTGCTCTTGGCCTTCCTCAAGAACCAGGAGGCCCCAGCTCTGTTCTGGGCCCTCGCACAAGTCCTCCACCCCTGGAAGAACAGGTGCCCAGCCTGAGTCAGCCCAGTTCTCTCCAACCCTCTGCCCCCACCAGCTTTGGGCCACTAGCACCTGACTGACCTATCTCCTTCCCTTTTGAATCTGATCCAAGAGGGCAGGGCAGAGTCTCTCCATCACTTTACCTCCCCACCCTGTCTGGTTACTGATGATGGGCCAAGGCTGGTTCTCAACAAGTAGGCACCAAAGACTGGGGGCCATCTACTTCAACAGCAATGGTACTTATTCCTGAGTAGTGAGCTGCAGGGTGATATTTATTTTCTTCTGTTTTGCTCATCCATCGCTTCTAAACATCTTACAATGAACATGATTACCCTAGGAACATTTTCTTTTTAAGTTTAGTTATTTGTATAAGTTTCCAAGTTGGGCAAAGGTCACAACTCTTCACCCAGAGAACCCTCACCCCACCCACCTCAAAGCACCCCATGCTCCTCCGGCCCCGTGTCCTTAACCCTGGCCCTCTGCCCAGGCGCACTCTGCCCACTGCAGCGCGTGTTCCCCTGACAATAATTCCACTTGTACAGTCTGGTAGGATTTTTGTGTCTTTGCTACAGCCCTCAAGAGAGCCGAGAATTAGGATCCCCAGTTTACAGAAGAGGTGACGGCTGAGCAAAGTCAAAGACATGAACCTCCCAGGTGACAGGCTTCATGGAGGCAGAGGCTCCTGGCCCCGACTCCTTCATCTCTTGGGGGTCCCACAGACCCATCCTTCATGACCTCTGCCCCTCAGCCTCTTTCTCTTTAAAACTAGGAAGAGTCCAATCTAAATGTTAAAATAAAGCTGTCTGGGGGCTGGGATCACAGGAACCCTTCACCTGCTAAATTATGTGTTTCTCAAGTGTTTTTATATTTTTCTAAACTAGAAAAAAAATAGTTTAAAAGTTAAAAACAGAAATTAGAGGACGTGTGGAAATGCAGTCCTTTGCTCTGCAGGCGGGGCTGCCACTGCGGGGGGCAGCCCTGACTTCCAGCCTTCAGCCTGCAATCCCTGGGGAGCCTTTGAAGCAAGCGCCAAGTCCTGGCAGGAAGGAGGCCTCATGGCTGCCACACACTGAGATGACAAGTCAAGGTGGGCATGCAGCAGGAAGTGGGCAAAGGTGGACAGAATGACCGGACGGCCCGCAGAGGCACTGTGGCACATGGAGGCCAGCACCCAGGGCCAGCAGAGTGTGGGAATGCAAATCAGGTCGGCCCACTGAGTGGAGAGAAGCTGTGGAGGGATGGGGAAGTCCCTGCCCGCCCTCAGAGAGCAGGGGGAAGCCTCCCTCTCAGCTCACCTGGCAGGCGGGTTCTCGGGATGACAAAGCCTGCCCCGCAGCCAGCAGCGGTCCCTGGGTCACCGGGTGTGGGCCAGCCATCACGGGCCTGCAGGTTCCTGGAATTCAGGACCTTTTCCAGCACCCCTAGTTGCCTGCCTCCAAGTGGGTCTGCTCTGCCGCTCTGTCTATGGGATCTCAGATTGGGGAGCAGGGAAAGGCTGTAATGAGCATTTTGAGGACAACTGGGAAAATTTGAGGATGGAGTATATGCTGGATAAATAAGTTAACATCCTCAGATTGTGGCTAAAAGGAGAATGCCCTTGTTCTTAGGAAATACAGGCTGAAGCGTTTGGGGGTAATGCCTCTTGATGTCTGACGTTCATGATTTAGAGAGAGAAGTAAATGGAACAAATCTTACCTGGTGTTGGCAGACAGGAGTTTACTTACTGCACTCTTCCTTTTTTTTGATCTTTTGAGATGGATTCTCACTGTGTCGCCCAGGCTGGAGGGCAGTGGTGCAATCTCGGCTCACTGCAACCTCCGCCTCCCGGATTCAAGCAATTCCTGCCTCAGCCTCCCAAGTAGCTGGGACTACAGGCATGTGCCACCACTCCTGGCTAATTTTTTAATTATTTATTTATTTATTTTTTTTGCAGAGATGGGGTTTCACCATGTTGGCCAGGCTGGTCTCGAACTCCTAACCTCAAATGATGCACCCACCTCGGCCTCCCAAAGTGGTGAGATTACAGGCATAAGCCACCGCACCCGGCGAACTCTTTCAATTTGTCTGTAGGTTTAAAATTTTTCCAAATAAAAAAATGGGGGTTAAAAAATTTCAAAAGTAAAACTGAAAAAAGTGTTAAGCTGTCTTATGAGAAGTGCTCCATGGATTCCTCCTGGTTCTGCCCTTGAGGACCCAGAGGATTCATCCTCACTGGAGGGAGACGGCTTGTGGCCCACAGGCAAAAAGGGGTCGGTCTCAGGAGCAATCTGTATGATCATCATAGTTTTGTATTTTCCACTCTAATTAGCCACCCGTAGTTTGAAATCAATGAATTTCAAATAAAAATCTAGATCTCCGGCTTCTCTTGATGAATTAAAAAATGTGCAACAACAAGGTGCCACTGGAGGAGGTGAGCAGGGGGTGGGCTTGGGCAGGGATCCCTGCAGTCCACCAGGCTGGACTTCCACACTGTACTTGGGCCCTGCCCTGGCCTCTTGTGGGCTACAAGGAGACAGTGCTCCCAGTCTAACCCTGTCCTGGGGTGGGCCTTCCACTGCTTACCGTGTTCACTTGTGTCCCAGAACCTGCAGAGCTTCCTTACTTTTCCCAAGCCTTTCAGTCCCCGCTTCTTGGCCACTGTCCTATGAATGAGCTTGGCCCTTGCCCTCGGGCCTCAGCAGCCCAGACACAGACCACACTTTCTTGGCATGCTCTGACCACACTAAGAAGAGGTCGCTGCCTCCCTAATTCTAACCACTGCCACTGAGCTGTCTGCTAACACCTCTAAAGCCTTTCTCCCTCGGGCTCAGCCCCTGCTTCCCCCTTCCTGGCCTACAGCATGTGGCTTTCTGGTCCCAAGGCAGGACTGATGTCCCCATTGGGAAATCTCTCTGTGAGAGACTCAAGCCCTGAAGCTCTGGTCCAGCTTTTCAGCCTGGAAATGGCCCAGATTTAATCAAAAATCTCACAATGCCTTCATCCCCCAGAAGCAGGGACAGCCAGCTGAGCACACAGCTGCCCAGAGCCAAGACTGCATTCCCCACCTCCCTTGCAGCGACCTGGGGCCATGTGACTAACAGGCTAACAGTACTGCTATGGTTTGAATGGCCCCTCCAAAACTCATGTTGGAATTTAATTGCCATTATAATAGTATTAAGAGGCCTTTAAGAGGTGTGATTAGGCCATGAGGGCTCTGTCCTCACGGTGGATTCAATGCCTTTTTTTTTTCTCTTTTGAGACGGAGTCTCGCTCTGTCTCCAGGCTGGAGTGCAATGGCGCGATCTCAGCTCACTGCAACCTCCGCCTCCCAGGTTCAAGTGATTCTTCTGCCTCAGCCTCCCGAGTAGCTGGGACTACAGGCACCCGCCACCACACCCGGCTAATTTTTGTATTTTTAGTAGAGATGGGGTTTCACCATGTTGGCCAGGCTGGTCTCGAACTCCTGACCTCATGATCCACCTGCCTCGGCCTCCCAAAGTGCTGGGATTACAGGCGTGAGCCACCACGCCCCGCCCTCAATGCCTTTTAAAATTGGGATTTGGGGAGTGAGTTTTATCTGTTTCACATGCTCACCTGCCCTTCTGCCTTCTGCCATAAGAGGACACAGCAAGAAGGCCTGCACCAGATGCCAAGCAGATGTCAGTGCTGTGCTCTTAGACCTCCCAGCCTCCAGAATTGTAAGTCAAATAAATTTCTGTTCATTATAAATTACCCAGTCCATGATATTCTGTGATAGCAGCAGAAAATGGACTAAGACAGGGACATAAGCGTCAGTATAAGATGCCAAGTTCTGGAATCCTTCCTTACAAGACCCCTTTCCTCCCTGTCTCGATCCTGCTGCCTGGACACAGATATGATGACTTAAGTTTCACAGCCATCTTGAACCATGAGCCCTTGAAGCCACAGCCTGGGAACAGTGCGGTGGACATCAAGTTCCCCAAGGAAACTATAGGGTAGAGCTACTATACCAGACCTGGTCTGCAAAACTCTGGGCTTAGACAGGACGAAGAAATAAACTTCCAAGTTGTGTAAACCACTGTTATTTGGCTTTTCCTATTACTTGCAGCCAAATCTAATCCTGATTAATGCACTCTGTTATTTTTAGGTTTGACCCTCAGTGATCACATGCCACATGGGAACAGGGGAGAATTTATTTCTTTCTCCTCTTGCAGGAGAATGTCAAGTTTCCCTACTGGTGAAAGCCAGGCTACACTGTGGGCTGGCAGCTCCACGTTTGGGCGGAGTGACTCCAGGATCCTGGGAGCCCAGGATCCAAGTGTGTGGTTCACAGAACGTAATCCCTGCCCACCAGGGCCTGCAGGATAGCTAAGGATACACACACGAGATGCACACCGTTAGAGCACCATCCACTAACTGCGAGACAGCATGGTGAAGCAGCTTTCCCTGAGTCAGCTGCAGAGATTTCGAAAGTCCCAAGCCGCTAAATGTTTGTTCCACCTTATAGATAGAGACCTGGCCTCTACTGCTCCAAAATGGCAGAGAAAGACCACAAGCCTCTCTGCATCTGGAGGGCAGTCTCTCCTTTTCCCTCTAGGGAGCCTTCTGAGACAAGGAAGTCCCTGGGAAGCGAGAAGGTGTTACCTGGATGGGAGGGACCCTGCCCTGTTGGTTCTTTCAGGAAGGAGCAGAGGGAGGGGAGTGTAACAATTAGGAAGGAGCTGGTCAACTCACGGAAAGGCAATGCCTTCTTCTGAAAAAGGCTGGCTCCTGTCTATCTCTAGGTTCCATGCAGCCAGGTGTTGGGGGCAAATGCCTTAGGGAGGGGGGCCCAGGGAGAATAGGGTTAAGAGTATCTGGAATGCTCATGTGCTCACTTCCAGGAAGTCAGGCATTTGGACATTTCAAGGTCAGCAGAAACTCAGAGTGGCCTAAGACCTCACCCAGTGCTCTGCCCTGCTGACACTCTCCTGGCTGCCACCAGGGACTAGACCCAGAGTGACAGTGGGAAAGCACACTTCAGCCCCACTTCCAACCTCCAGCAATCTCCCAGGTACCTAAAGCATCATTTCAAGGAGCTGGGGAGAACCATGACCTGGATTCTGGGCATCTGTCTCCATCCCACCCACCACTGTGGCCTCCAGTCTAAACTCCTTTGCCCAGCACTCAAGTACCCCCTTAGGCACCCTCATCTCAACACCATGAATTTGCCCCACACATCCCCAATATTTTAGGCAAATCCAGATCCCAGCTGCCCCGTAGTGTTGAACAGGAAAAAAAAGCCCCACTAGAAGTTTTCCTCCAGCCCTGACTTTCCAAGAGTTCGGCACAGCCCACGCTTATTTCCATCTGGACGAGATAGATGGGTGGTTTTCAGACATTTCAGCGGCTGAATTCTTTGTGCAAAATCAATGTTTCCTGAAAGCCCTGTGTGTCCAACAGCCAGGAGCAGAGCTGGTGTACTGGCTGCACGCTCAGAAGAAGCTGCAGCGCTTCCTGCCCCCAGACCCAACCTGTGCCCTCCTAGAGAGAAGTTCCAGAGCTGCCCCACAGAGCTGCTCAAGGCCCTCAAGGTCCTCCCAGGACCTAAGGCCCTTCCCTGCCCTCACCCTTGTGGGTCCCACAACCAGGCACGCCAGGCCACCCTCACCCCCTTCAGTACATCCATCAACATCCAGTGGAAATGAATGGGCCTCCTGCTCCAAGCCAAGCAGCACTCAGCCTGTGCTCCACCCAGCCTGGCCCTGACCCCGGTGGCCTGGTGTTTCCTAAGTACATGCCTCACCTCCCCACTCTGGGTCTGATGTTCCTTCTGTGGGGCAGCCCTACTAACAGGATTCAGCCCACAATAGTTGTAGATTCCAAATGCCACTTTACCAAGTGCATTTCACATTGGAACTTCAGGACAACCTTATGAGGAAGGGAGAAGCACAGGGCAACTGTCCCATCAAGCAGGTGAAAAAACAGGCCAGAGAGTTCTCTACAGTACAAGACAGAGCCCAGCCTCCGTTTCCGCAGCTGGCTCTTCCTGCACTTCACCTGCCACTCCCTCATTCCTCCACTGAAGCCACCCCAGCTTTCCCAACGGACACTAGGAAGCTTAGAGCAGGGACCGGCAGGGGGCAAAGAACACGTGGGACCCAGGGGGAGAGTACCCCTTCCGGAGCCATGGCCTCTCACACGCCCCTGGCAGCCAGATGCCCAGGGTGAGTAACAATGGAGCTAAAAATAGGGCCCGACTCTGGGGGACGGCAGAGGGCCGAGTGGCCAGCTGGAGGAAACATCTGCCTCAGCTCAAGAACAAATACAGAGGAAGCTGCCGTGCTGCAGGGTTCCCCTACTGTGGGTGCAGAGCACATGAAACGTCCAGGTCTGTACCCAGGGCAGGGGCTCAGACCAGCCCTTCACCTGCCCTGGGCCTGGTCCCGCAACTCCCACAGGCCTGCACACACACACACAGGTTCCGCAGCTCCCACAGGCCTGCACACACACACACACACACACACACACACACACACGCCATACAGAGTCGAAACCCACCCTGGGCACCCACGTGTATCTTAGAGTTGAGAGCCAGAAGTACCTTTGAGACCCAAGTCTGACCCTTTCATTTTACAAAGGAGGAAACTGGGGTCCACGGGTGGCCGGAGACCTGCCCACAGTCACAAGAACAGTGGGTGGTGGCGTTGGGACAGGGTTCTCCTGCTCCTCACTCTCTATGGCACCTCGTGCTCATGCGCATCACTGGGCACGTCCAGCTGGGGCCAGTGACCCTGCTTCTGAGGAGGCAGATTCTACCTTAAGCATATCAGCTGGACTCAGGGCGCAGCATGTGGCAGTCCAGGAGCACGCTGGGCTGGCCCAGCCCTTCTCCAACCTGCTGCTCCCCAACTCCCATGCCCTAAACTCCAGCCAGTGCACCTCCTCACAGTCCCTAGAATGGGCACCATCAACAGGCCTTGGCAAATAATCAACATCAATAACAAAAATAATAAGAAAGCCGAGGAGCATCTTACTGGACCAGGGGGTGGGAGCAGGGTGTTTTGCAGTCTGTTGATGGCAGAAATGTTGCCTTTGAAGATCCTTGACATATTCCATAAACAACAAGGCTGGGCCGTCTCTCAAATGGTCTGGCCCAGCCAGTTTTCCTCCAGCGACAGAAAAGATGCTGCTGTTTCTTCCGTGGAGCAGCGAAGTTTGAGGGCCACACACCAGCCCCCCAATCACTCATTCCACATCTTCCTGACTGGCTCAATCTTCTTGTCCAGCCCACTCCCTGCATCAGGAGGCTTCCTTATCCTCCCCTCCGTGCCTTCCCACCACAGGGGTCTCCCTGGGGACCCACCAGGCAGGACCTGGTGCTGGCCTTCACTGGCATCCTCAGGGCCTGGCCTGTGCTTGGCACAAAGGAGCCACTTGGATAAACAAAACAGGGAAAATTTTTTTAAAACAATAAAAAGCTAGCCTGGGCAAGATGGTGAGACCTCATCTCTACGAACACATACATACACCACACACACACACACACACACACACACACACACACACACACGCACACACAAAACATACAAATGTAACAATTAGCCAGTGTGGTGGTATGCACCTATGGTCCCAGAACTTTGGGAAGCCAAGGCTGGCGGATAGCTTGAGGCCACAAGTTCGAGACCAGCCTGGGCAACGTGGCGAAACCCCATCTCTACTAAAAGTACAAAAATTAGCCAGGCAAGGTGGTGCACACCTTCGGTCCCAGCTACTTGGGAGGCTAAGGTGGGAGGATCACTTGAGCCCAGGTCAAGGCTGCAGTGAGCTGTGATCGCACCACTGCACTCCAGCCTGGGTGACAGAGCAAGACCCTGTCTCTAAAATTTTTTGTTTGTTTGTTTGTTTTTTGAGACAGAGTTTCGCTCTTGTAGCCCAGGCTGGAGTGCAATGGCACTACCTCGGCTCACTGCAACCTCCTCCTCCTGTATTCAAGCGATTCTCCTGCCTCAACCTCCCAAGTAGCTGGGATTATAGGCACCCGCCACCATGCCCGGCTAATTTTTTTTTTTTTTTGTATTTTTAGTAGAGACGGGGTTTCACCATGTTGGCCAGGCTGGTCTTGAACTCCCGATCTCAGGTGATCCATCTACCTCGACCTCCCAAAGTGCTAGGATTACAGGCACGAGCCACCGTGCCTGTCCTAAAAAAATTTTTTTTAATAGAAAGATAATTTTTTTAATAGAAAGATAATTTTTTTAAAGGATCAACTTTGCAGGTGTCTGTGTTGTGAGAATAAACCAGACAGCACAGATGGGGTTTTAGTCCAGGTCCCACAGTACAACATACAGTCCATAAGTGGCCACCATGTGTTGACTGCCTGAAAGAAAATGCTGGGTGGAAGGCGCTGACCTTTGACCACCCCCACCCCCAGGTGAGAAGGCTAAGGAGGAGGACACATGGAGGCCAGAGGCCAGGGAAGCCCTTTCAGGTCAGAAGGAAGACAGAGGGCTCCTCTCTGAGAGGCAGATTCCACCCATGAGGGAGAGTTGCCTGATTGAGACCCCTGGGTCTCTCGATGAGTCGTGCCCTCCCTGCTGCTCAGAGGGGCAAGTAAAATGGGGCACCTATCAAGTCCCCTGGGCCCTTCACTCACTCCTGAGGACCAAACATGTTAGCACCTTGAGCAGGATTTGAAATCACAAACACTGAATTCTTAACCCAATGGCTTCCACCTCCACTCCCCCAGGCAGTGTCACTCAGGTTAGTTGGGGGAAAGGATAATAATGGCAGCAGGTAACATGTACTGGACTCCAAGAGCGTGCCAGGCACTGTGCTCAGCCGTGCATCTGTCATCTAATCCTACAGTTCTGAAAGCAGGCTCCACAGACCCCAGGGCCCAGCGCCTTCCTTCCAGGGGTCCAGAGGTCAACAGGATTCTCACCGCAGCACTAAGACGTCACTGCCTTTCACTGGAATGACATTTGGTGGCTCAAAAGCCATGAAGGGGGTGAAACTGCTAGAGTCTCAGTAGAACAAGGCAGCAGCCCCAAAATGGGCCGGTCTCACTGTGTTCCCAGAGATATGCACTCGCGGTGACAAAATTCACCAATGTCACGTAAGGGTCCATGATGAGGCAGTAAAAATGATTAGTTTCACTGAATCTTAGCCTTTGGGTACATGTCCATTTGACATTCTGTGTGATAAAACGGGAAGTGCATGTAAGGCCCAAGAATGACACAGAGCTCGTCAGAGTTGGAGCTGACCCAGCCTCTAGTCCAAAGAATACTATTTTTTTTTTTTGAGATGGGGTCTTGCTTTGTCACCCAGGCTGGAGTGCAGTGGCACGATCACGGTTCACCACATCCTCAACCCGGGCTCAAGCTATCCTCCCACCACCTCAGCCTCCCAAATAGCTGGGACTACAGGTATGCGCCACCATGCCCGGCTAACTTTTGTATTTTGGGTAGATATGGGGTTTGGCCATGTTGTCCAGGATGGTCTCCAACTCCTGGGCTCAAGTGACCCGCCCACCTCAGCCTCCCAAAATGCTGGGACTACAGACGTGAGCCACTGCACCTGGCCGGGAACAACATTTTTACTTGACAGAATGACCAACAGACAAACAGTGGGTTTTCAGATATGAGTATTTGGCAGACAGTTTCTGATTTGTTTTTTTGTTTTGTTTTGTTTTGTTTTGTTTTGTTTTGTTTTGTTTTGAGACAGAGTTTCTCTCTTGTTGCCCAGGCTGGAGTACAATGACGTGATCTCGGCTCACGGCAACCTCCGCCTCCCGGGTTGAAGCGATTCTCCTGCCTCAGCCTTCCGAGTAGGTGAAATTATAGGCATGCACCACCATGCCCGGCTAATTTTGTATTTTTTTTAGTAGAGATGGGGTTTCTCCATGTTGGTCTCGAACAGGCTAGTCTCGAACCCCCGACCTCAGGTGATCCGCCTCCCTCGGCCTCCCAAAGTGCTGGGATTATAGGCGTGAGCCACCACACCTGGCCATGGCAGATATTTTCACAAAAATGAGTAAAGTGAGCCTGTCCCTTCAAAGAAAACAACTGACTTAATTTGTTGCCAATAATAAAGTTGGAGCTTGGAGCTTTCAAGGGAAAATTAGAATTTTGGAAAGCGTGTGTCACCCACTGTGAGTTCAAAAGCTGCTGAAAACAGAAAGATTTTTCTGATAATAGGTGTGACGATAGTAACAGATGTGACTTTTTTAAAATGTTGACATGAAATGTATCCACATTTGGAAGATCTGTGTAACACACAGGGCCAATATTTTCCCAAAGACAGATGCCTGATATTACAAAATCCCGTAACGGAGCCATTCGCACTGCAACACAGTCCAGTGGATCTTAACGTGACGAGGTACAAAATGTTCATTAATGTGCTTTCAGATTCCACATTTCAACTAGCTTTAAGAATCAACCACCTGTCAAATTTTTACATAGGATCAAAGGAAAATATCTAGAAGCTAATAAAATATTCCTCCCTTTTCACATTACATATCTGTGGTGAAGCCGATTTTCTTCACCATACTTCAGTCAAAACAATGTATCACAATAGATTGAATGCAGAGGCAGGCATGAGAATCCAGCTGTCTTCTGTTAAGCCAGACACGAAAGAGGCTTGCAAATCTGAAAGGCAATGCCACGCTTCCTATTCAATTTTTTTGTTTTGGAACATACAGTTATTTTCCAGGAAAAATAATAGATTTTATTTATGTTACCACATAATAGGCTTGTTATAAATGAATTTATAAATACGTGTTTTTGTTTGTTAGTTTTCTGAGACGAAGTCTTAATCTGTCACCCAGGCTGGAGTGCAGTGGCACGATCTCGGCTCACTGCAACCTCCGCCTCCCAGGTTCAAGTGATTCTCCTGCCTCAGCCTCCCGAGTAGCTGAGATCACAGGCATGCACCACCATGCCTAATTTTTGTATTTTTAGTAGAGACAGGGTTTCACTATGTTGGCCAGGCTGATCTCGAACTCCTGACCTCAGGTGATCCACCCACCTCAGCCTCCCAAAGTGCTGGGATTACGGGCGTGAGCCACCATGCCCAGCCGAAATATGTGTTTTTAAATATACTGTTTCAATTTCCAGTGTGGTAGCTATTGATATATGTATACAAGCCACACAAAAGCTCTTAGAGTCGTCAATTTTTAAGTGTAAAGGAGCCCTGAGAATACGTTTACAAACAGTTTGATTTCACCTTCATAACCCTTGCCTTACTCCCATTTTTGCAGGTGCAGACACTGAGGCCCAGATGGTCCGGGTTAACTTGCCCCAAGGGTGCGCAGGTGGCTGAGCAGGGCTCAAAGCCAGGCAGCCAGGCTTCCCAGGCATGCTCTTTATAGCTGCCCCTCATCTTACATCACGCTCCCAAAGGAAGTGCGGAAGGATAAAAGAAGACGTGATACAAAGGAAGCCACAGACATGAAAGAAGAGAATGTAAGTAAATATTTGTATAATCTTGGGACAGAAAAGAACTTTCTACACAAAATTCTGGAGGCAGAACACATAAAAGTTAAAGTGGACAGATCAGACTGCATAAAAAATAATCAGCTTTTGACCAATCAGAAAAAAACAAAACACGAAGTTACAAGGCAAATGACAAACTGGATAAAAATATTTTCAATGTATTTTTATTATTTGTCATTCTCTTTTTTTTCTTCTGAGACAGAGTCTCGCTCTGTCACTCAGGCTGGAGTGCAGTGGCGTGATATAGGCTCACCACAGCCTCCGCCTCCCAGGTTCAAGCGATTCATGCCTCAGCCTCCTGAGTAGCTAGGATTACAGGCACACACCACCATGCCCGGCTAATTTTTGTATTTTTAGTAGAGACGGGGTTTTGCCATGTTGGCCAGGCTGTTCTCGAACTCCTGACCTAAGGTGATCCACCCGCCTTGGCCTCCCTAAGTGCTGGGATTACAGGCATGAGCCATTGTGCCCGGCCTATTATCTGTCATTCAACATATGGATTATTTTTCAAACAAATGGGAAAACAAGTACATTTTGAAAGTAAAACAGACCAAAAATAACAAGCAAAATAGAAAGAGAAGAAATACAAATGGCCAATGAACATGAGACACAATGTCCAACCTAACTTGTAATGGAAAACCCAGAAATCGGCTGGGCATGGTGGTTCACCCCTATAATCCCAGCACTTTGGGAGGCCGAGGCAGGCAGATCACGTGAGGTCGGGAGTTTGAGACCAGCCTGACCAACATGGAGAAACCCCATCTCTACTAAAAATACAAAATTAGCTGGGCATGGTGGTGCATGCCTGTAATCCCAGCTACTCAGGAGGCTGAGGCTGGAGAATTGCTTGAACCCAGGAGGTAGATGATGCAGTGAGCCGAGATCACGCCACTGCACTGCAGCCTGGGCAACAAGAGCGAAACTCCAAAAGAAAAGAAAAGAGAGAAGAGAAAAGAGAAGAGAAGAGAACCCAGAAACAATGAAAACCATGCAGTGTCCATCATCACATCGGAGGTGAACCAGGGTGGAAACACCCATGTGGGCATGGGCACTGGGGACGGGCTCTCTCCTGAGCACCTGGCAGGATGTAAACCGGTAATAATTCTAAAATATCTTTAAAGTGGCCTTTTTAGATGAATGGAACCATGTAGTATTTGCTTACATTGGCTTCTTTTGCCCCATATCCTGTTAGGGATATTCATCCACCACTGCTCCATCCATTTTCATGACTACACAATGACGTCCATGATACATTCCACTTCAACCACTATGAATGTGAAAGATATTTCTAGTCTTTCACTAATATCAACAAAACTGTCCTGCAGACCCTTTGACCCTGCAATCCTTCTATCAATGTATCCAAAGGAAACAGGGAAAGACAGGGCCACAAAGGTATCCAGTACAGTTCTGTTGATATTAGTGAAAGATTAGAAATGTCTTTCACATCAACAGTGCTTGAAGCTGAATGTATCATGGATGTCATTAAGGCCATCAAAATGGATGGAGCAGCAGATGAACATCCTTAACAGGACATGGAGCGAAAAAAGCCAACATAAGCAAATACTACATGATTCCATTTATCTAAAACTCAAAAACAGGCAAAACTAGTCTATAATGTTGGAAGTCAGGCAAGAAGTCCTGTTGAGAGCAGGAAGAGGGTGTGGTGATGGGATACAGGAGTCTGTATTTTTTGTAGAGATGAGGGTCTCACTATGTTGCCCAGGTTGGTCTCGAACTCCTGGCCTCAACTAATGCTCCTGCCTCAGTCTCCCAGGGCACTGGGATTACAGGCATGAGCCACTGTCCTTGGCTCTTTTATGGATGTCAAACTTCGAATGAAATAGCAGCTTATTTACTGATGTAGAAAAATATCTACTATATGTCTAGTTTAAAAAAAAAAAGACACTACAGGATTTTAGAGTTTTGTTCCATTAAAAAGGGGGAGGCCTCTTGTATACAAATGTGCATGAACACAGGTATGCATGCACGCACGCACACACACACACACACACACAGAGTAAAAATGTCTGGAAGGACAAATCTCAAAACATCAATGGTGAACCGTACTTATCTCTGAAAAATGGGATCTCAGATGATTTTTCTCATCTTCCTGGATATCTTTATTTTCTCTCATTTCCCTACAGTAAACATACACTATTTAGAAAAAAAAGAAAGACAAAAAAGAACTACACAGTGGCCACTGACACCAGCAACCATGGTTCTGCAACAGCTTCACAGCCCAAGGGACCCTGACCCCACGGGGTGAGGACGCTCCCGAGGTGCCACTGCTGGAACGCTCAACACCTTCTCATGGGAAAACTGGCCAGTGGGGTAAGAAGGAGCTGCGTAGACGCCAGCGCTGTCCCTCACCAGAGGCCCATGGCTTGGCCTCTCTGAGCCTCGCTCTCCTGCAGGGCAGTGAAGGTTAAATAAGGCCATGATGTCCTGGCCAGACCAGGTTAGTTCTCAGGATGGTTCTTACACTCAGGTTCCCCCAGGTTCCATGGAGGCCCAGGGAGGCCGAGAAACTTCCTCACCTCATGCAGCAGGCCTGTGAGGCCTGGTTTTCCCCAGAAACAACCACAGGAGGCACCCTGGCCCACACAGTCCTCCCCACAATTGGAGTGTGGTCTGGAGGCCTGACCCCAGGAAGTTCTCTCCCCTCCCTGGGCCTCAGCATCCCCAGGAGTAAAAGGAGCAGGCTGGGCATTGCACTTGACCTCATGTAGCCTCCCTCAGTGGCAGGAAAGGTGGGATGGCTTATCCAGACAGGAAGTGACCTTGCCGGATGAAAGACAGGCCAACATTCCATCAGGAGCCCCCACCTGCTGGTGGCCTGTGGGGTCATGGGAGCCAGGAATGGGTGGGCATACAGAGGCCAAGGAGGAAACAGGATTTACTGCAGAAGGCCAGGCACACGGCAGACCCCCGGCAGGGAAGTGACTTCATTTCACACATTGTCCTCTTCACTTCCGCCCCTGGCATGGGAGGAACTTAACCCTAAGAGGGCCATATTGCACCGGCTCCAGCCAACTCCACACGGACCAGAGCAAGAGAGTCCAAGCTTTCTCCTTCCCCCACCCCTATAATCCCCAATCCACAGATGAGGAAACTGAGGCACAGAGAGGCTGACAGAAGCGCAGGGACTCCAGCACCTTTCCCATTATACCGAGCTGCACAGTGGCGGAAGACGTTAACTAATGGTCGGGAACTCTGGGAAGGCTTCCCGAAAAAGGAACAGAGCTGGGACTTAAAGGATGAGCAACATTTGATAGACCGGAAGGGGGAGGAAGCACACTCTGCACAGAGGGAGCAGCATAGAGAGAGGTGCCTCCTGTATAGTATTGTGGGAAGAATTAAGGTGCTTGTGAGGCCAGAATATAGGATGAGGTGGGGTAGGCCGAACCCCAGTCCCTGGGGACCATGCCAGGATCTTAGGTGTTGCTCTGCGGGGTGTGATGTGCTGCCCAGCTGTGGCAATGGGAGAGAAGCACGACCACGGCCTGTGTCCACCTAGTGGGGCTGCAGGGAGGAGGCACCATGTGGAGGCACCTGAGCAACAGGGTGGGTACTGCTCTGGGACATCTGGGGTGCAAAGCTCACCCCACCAACCCCAAACTAAGAAAGAAGTTCACAGTTCCAATAGTACCACGTGCCAAGGTACCACACACCAGACCAATGAGCAAGCAGGGCGTTGAATGCAGACTGTGTGGGCTCGAGCCTTAGCTCCACCACGACCAGCCTGATGCCCCTGACTGAAGCTCCACCTCTCTATGCTTCAACACCTGTCAGTGAAGTCCATGCCCACACCCACCTCTGAGGCCATGAGGACTAACTGAGAAAACCCCTGTACAGATCCACCTGAGTGTCACAGCTGGAGCGTGACAAAGAGTCACTGCCATATCATTTCTCCAAATAGCCCTGCAGCTACAGATTGTGGCCATTCTGATGCATCAGGAGGCTGAGTGACTTGGCCTAGAACCCACAGCAAAGAAACAGTGGAGCAAAGATTCAAACTCAGGCCGTCTGGCCCTGAATGCCTAGGCTCACACCAGCCCATCAGGCAAAACAAAACCCACAAGAATGAACCTGCACCTGCCAGCTGTGGCTCTCCAGGCCCCCGGGCAGCTTCGGGCAGGGGAGCAAGCACTCCACCACCTCAAACCTCCAGTGGCAGAGGGAGGAGCAGGGAGAAAATGCCAGGCCACGGGAGAGGAAGAAAAATATTTTTAAGTTTCTCCCTCTTCCTGTTTATCTGTCCCTTCCATCCTGAAGTCCTGGTAGCTGTTTTTTCAGGGAAAGTCCTGCCAAGAGGGACATCCTGCCGTGTGGCCACCCCAGGCCAAGCCGCCCCTGCCAGCCTCACACTGCGGGCTCTGAGGCCCACCTCCCTGCAGACACTCCCGCCTGGCCCAGAGGCTGCTGCATAAAGAGGCTTTCAGAAGAAGCTGGGGCCCAGGAAGGGGACCTGGGGCTGGGAGGAGGGGCCCATACCATGGCACCAATCAGCTCCACACTCAGGCCAGAGAGGTGACAAGAAGGATTTGAAGAAATAACTCTAAGCCTGGTATTGAAGAAGGAAGGGCCAGAGCTGGGGTCAGAAACACACAGCACTGGCTGTAGAGCCAGGCAGAACTGGCATCCAAACCTAGCTTGCCCGTGACTTACTGTGTGACCTTGGCTAAGTTACCGAACTTCTCTGAGCCTAGTTCCCTTATGTGTAAAATAAGGATAATGTTAATACCTACTTCATAGGGATATGGTAAGGATTACATGAGACAATGTAAGGAAAGTGCTAGCACCTGGTAAACATAACAAATGCTATTTATTGCCACTCTCACCATCAAGCTGACCCCCTCACTCAATCCCAAAGACGTATGATACCTTTTTTTTTTTTTCTGAGATAAAGTTTTGCTCTTGTTGCCCAATCTGGAGTGCAATGGGGCGATCTTGGCTCACTGTAACTTCTGCCTCCTAGGTTCAAGCAATTCTCCAGCCTCAGCCTCAAAAGTAGCTGGGTTTACAGGCACGCGCTACCACGTCTGGCTAATTTTTTGTATTTTTAGTAGAAACCGGGTTTTACCATGTTAGCCAGGCTGGTCTCAAACTCCTGACCTCAGGTGATCTACCCACCTCAGCCTCCCAAAGTGCTGGGATTACAGGCGTGAGCCACCGCGCCCAGTCTGTGCGATACCTTTCAAATATGCTCAAAAGAACAATTACAGCCTCAAAAAAAAAAAAACAAAACAGGACAGGCATAGTGGCTCATGATTGTTATCTCAACACTTTGGGAGGCTAAGGCAAGAGGACTGCTTGAAGTCAGGAGTTTGATACCAGCCTGGGCAACACAAGATCTCACCTCGATAAAAAATAATTTTAAAGATTAGCCAGGTGTGGCGCACACTCCTGTGGTCCCAGCTACTTGGGAGGCTGAAACAGGAGGATTGCTTGAGCCCAGGAACTTGAGGTTGCAGTGAGCTAGGACCATGCCACTGTGCTCGCTCTAGCTCTGGTGATAGAGCAAGACCCCATCTCTAAAGAAAAATAAAATAAATGTTAACATTTTTTAAAAGAAATGAATTCTGACACATGCTACAATACGGATGAACCTTGAGGACATTATGTTATATGTTTAAGCCAGACACAAAAGAAGAAATATTGTACGATTCCAATAATATGAGATACCTTGGTCAAATTCAGAGACAGGAAGTAGAACTGTGGGTGCCAGGGCCTGGAGGAGAGGGAGTGGGGAGTTAGTGTTTAATGGGTGCAGAGTTTCAGTTTGGAAAGAAGGAAAAGTTCTGGGGCTGGATGGTGGTGATGGGTGCACAATATGGATGCTCTTAATGACATTAAATTATACAATTTTAAACGCCCAAAATGGTAAATTTTATGTTACGTATATTTTACCATGGTAAAAGAAAATTAAGGCCTCGTTAAAAAATGTTTTTAATAGGCCAGGCACATGGCTCCCGCCTATAATCCCAGCACTTTGGGAGGCCAAGGCGGGCAGATCACGAGGTCAGGAGATCAAGACCATCCTGGTTAACATGGTAAAACGCTGTTTCTACTAAAAATACACACACACACACAAATTAGCCAGGCATGGTGGCACACGCCTGTAGTCCCAGCTACTCGGGAGGCTGAGGCAGGAGAATCGCTTGAACTCGGGAGGCAGAGGTTGCAGTGGGCCGAGATCGCGCTACTACTGCACTCCAGCCAGGGTGACAGAGCGAGACTTTGTCTCAAAAAAAAAAAAAAAAAGTTTTTAATGCCTATATTCATTTCTATCTCCAGCCCTGCAGAGCTCAGGATGGAGAGATGGAGCAGATATGGAAAGAGCTAAAGGCACCACCACCCAGAGAGTTGGCACAGTCAGGAGAGCTGTGCGAGTGGCGCTGAGGAATGACCCAAACGCTACCTCGGGTCAGGGAGTTGGCGGCCTTGTGGCCAGGCATGCGCCGGCCCCAGACAGGCTGGGTCTGAGCGAGGCAGCTGTGCACACCTGCACCCGCCAGGAGCACACGTGAGTAGAAGGTGTGTGCAGGGCTCTGCTCAGATCTTCATCCACGTATGTGCACCATCCCAGGCTCAAGATGCCAGTACAGCCCCTATGTGCTGATCGGGGTCTGTGCCTGGCCAGCACCAACATCCAACAAACAGCAAGCCCTCCTCATCTCTCCCAGCACCAACCACCACGTAGGGCAAACTGCAGTCTGGCCACTCGCTCTGGAGCCAGGGATGGGGAAGGAGGTGGGCGAGGAAGGCAGAGAAGACTGCTGCTTCGTGGGCACGCCCAGTGAAACGAGACTTGGAAATATGGCCCTCCAGAAGCCCCCCTACCCCCAACTCCAGCCTGCCCACTCTCCCACAAGGCTGCAGCTGGGAGTGGGAGGTTGTTAAGACTGGAAGGTGAAGGGAGGAAGAGGGTTAGACAGGCTAATTGAGTTATCATGTGACCCTGGGCAAGGCTCTTCCTCTCTCAGACCCTCTGGAACCTCCTCGGTCTCCCTCTTGGTGAAAGGAGGATTCTACCCCAGCACCCAGCAGTTCACACCTGGCTCTACGTCCTAGAGAAGCGGGTGTTCATGTTCATCAAAAGACACAAAAATGTTCACAGTAGCTTTATCCACAAGCACCAAAAAAGGAAACATGGCAAAGTCCCAACAATAAGAAAAAGAATTAACAAATTGTCCCTACCATGGAACCCTACTCAGCAATGAAATGAACGATACTGATACCTGCAGCGACACGGGTGACTCCCTCAGGGCTGATGTGGAATGAAAGACACCAGATAAAAACAGCTCATACTGTGTTAGTCCACTTGTACAAAGTTCAAGAATAGGCAGGACTGATCCTTGGGAAGGCGGTCAGGAGAGTGACCACCTACAGGGGTGGCAGGGTGGGGGAAAGGACCGGGAAGGGGCACCAGGGAACCTCTGGGGCACTGGAAATGTTCTACACCTTGATCTGGGTAGGGAGACACAGGTGATACAACCGTAGCAATTCATCAAGCTATGCCTTGATTCACTATCTGAAAATTAGATCTCAATTGACAAAATAAAACAGAAATAGCTAATAACTCATACTCTGCCCTCCCCTGAGGACTGCAGTGAGGCTATACTAACAGGCTGTGTGTGGAAACATGGCAAGGGTTGGGTTATGGGTAAGAACATGGGCTGGGAGTCCGAAAGACCAGAGTTCAAGTCCTGATACTCCCTAATGGGATATTTCTTCCCCTTTTTAAAATTTTCTTTGTTGGTTAACCAGGTTTTGTTGTTGTTACTGCTGTTGTTGTTGTTGTTGTTGTTGTTGTTTGAGATAGAGTCTCCCTCTGTTGCCCAGGCTGGAGTACAGTGGTACGATCATGACTCACTGCAGCCTTGACCTCCCAGACTCAAGCAATCCTCCCATCTCAACCTCCCAAGTATCTGGGGAACTACAGGCACACACTACCGCAGCTGGCTAATTTTTTTTTTTTTTTTTGTAGAGACAAGAATCTCACTATGCTGCCCAGGCTCCCCTCAAACTCCTTGGCCTCAGTGATCCTCCTGCCCCAGCCTCCCACAGTGCTGGGATTACAGGTGTGAGCCACCACACCCGGCCTGCCAGATGTTTTTTATTACAAAAGTAACTTGTACTTATTGTCACAAGTCAAAGGTCTATAGAGAAAACGCTTATGCCCTTCCCATCCCCATCCAAGCCCACCTCTTAAGCTTCCTTGTGCAACAAGCTTTTGCCCTTAACAGGACAACACAAACACCCCTCCCAGCCAATACAGGTAATTCCAACCCCGTCTGCTTAATACAAACACCCCTCCCAGCCAATACACGTAATTCCAACCCTGTCTGCTTAATGGTGGCAAAAGCCATTTCATTGCATCACTACTCATTCAACAAACAGCTGCGAAGTACTGACCCTGTCAACCAGACAGGCACAGACCCGGACCCTCATGGAGCAGATCTTCCAACAAGAGAAGGAGAGGGAGGGAGGGAGGGAGTCCACCAGGGAACACGATTATGATACACTGTATACATTGTGATGTGGGCTACCAGGGGCTGAGAGGCTGAGCTAGATGAGAAAGATAGGGAAGGAACATATTTTAGATATGACAGTCACGGAAGGCCTATGCCGACGTATGAAGACAGGAAGGCCCCGGCCGTGTGAAGACACATGCCCGGCAGCAGAGGGAACGGCCCGTGCAGATGCCCTGCGGTGGGAAGAACACAGAACTGAAAGGAGACAGCGAGTCTCCGGTTCACTGCCGCAAAATCCTTGTGCACACAGCCTTGCATCCTGATAGTTTACTTCTTTAGGACAGGTTACCAGAATTCAGGAGGCTGAGCTAAAGATGTGCACTTAAACAGCTTTCCGAGATACTGCCAAATTACCTTTCCAAAAGGTTGTTGCATTGTATACAGCAACCAATGCTGCTTCATGCTTAAGAAAGCCAGTTTTCCCACATCCTGCCTAGTTCAACACGTTACCAATCTTTTTCATTTCTGCCCATATAAAAGCTCCCTACTTCACTGTCTGCAGAATGGAGGACATGACCAGTCCCCTTCCACAGGAAGCTGTGAGGTTTAACTGAGAAATCCCTCTAACTTGCCAAACTCAGTGCCTCACACAGACCAAGCCCCCGCCCACGGGAACAGGCTCTTACCATCCTTTCCGTGCAAATGCCCAGAGGTAGCTGCCAGTTCCATAATTACCCCGCTGACAAGGGGAGCTTCTAAGGGAGTTCTGAACGCTCAAACCCACGAGGTTCACGTGACTGTTCTGGAGTCAGGGATATGGGGAAGAGGAGGTGGCAACTGTGGTTCAGCCAGAGAGCCCTGGGCAGGGAGTGGAGAGACCAGGTTCCAGTCCACCTTTCTGAGGATCATTTTCTCATCTATAAAATGGGCTCATGCATTCTCTCTTCCTGTAGCTATCCTACAAACATTTCTGGGACACCACCTATGTGTGAGGCACTGTTCTAGGAGCCAGAAATACAGAGCAAAAATCCCTGCCTCATGCACACTAGCAAGAGACACAGAAATAAACTATATAAATTAGTAAAATAGTATACAAGGAGATGCAGGGAAGAGGTGAAATTTTAGACAAGGTATACAGGGGAGGCCTCACATGAGAGTAAAGACTGAAGGAAGTGACAAGGCAGCCCTGTGGCTCTCTGGAGAAAAAGGACCTCCGGTCGCAGGGCTAGTCTATGCAAATGTCCTGTGGGGGAGGGGCGTTCCTAGGGTATTGAAAGAGCCATGAGCTAGCCGGTGCGGCTGTGACAAGGTGAGCATGAGGCTGGGTATTGGATGATGGTGTCCTGGAAGCCACAGTAAGGACACTGGCTTTTACTGTGAGGATACAGGGAGCCCCTAGGGAGCTTAGGACAGAGAAGTGCTCTGACCTGAGTTTTAAGTTCTGACAAGGTCTGCTAGCTGCTGTGTTAGAAGAGTTGGTTGGGGACAAGGGCAGAAACCAGCAGAAACATCAGGTGGCTACTCCAACAGTGCAGGTGATGCTGGAGGCGGGGCTAGCAGCAGAGGACAGGTGAGGACATGGCTCGCCGTGCATCCATGCTGAAGGTGAGGCCAGTGAACCTCCTGGCACATCTTTTCTGAAGTGTAAGAGAAAGAGAGAAACCACGGACAGCTTTGCAGTGTTTGGCCTGAACACCTAGAAGCATGGGGTTGCCACCAACTGAAACGGGCCAGACTTGGGGGAAGTGGGTGTGCAGTGAGGACTGAACAGACAGACAAGGGGGCCAACGCCACCCTCAGCTGCAATCTTAGAAGGAAGCAGCATCCCAAAAGAGGAACTGGTCCTGAGGCTCACACAGGCCATTGTGGAAAGCGACACAAAAGACAGACAGAGGAAAAGAGGATCTGGAAAGGAAGTCAATGTGGCATGTCTGACCCACTGCAGACATCACTGTCCGCAGAGCCCAGGCTGTGGCCATGGCTGGGCTGCTCACAGACCTCCTTCACGGGTGGAGAAACTAAGGAACAGTTCTACAGTAAGCACCTCTTGTTTATGTGCCAGAAACAGGCTATGAGTGGTGACTTATGCCTGTAATTCCAACATTTTGAGAGGCTGTGGCGGGAAGATCACTTGAGCCCAGGAGTTCAAGGTTGCAGTGAACTGCAATCATGCCACTGCACTCCAACCTGGGCAACACAGCAAGGCCCTGATTCAAAAAAAGGAAGCAGCAGCGGCAGCTGGAAAGGGCCGGAATGAGCCAAGGTAGGGGGGCAGGCAGCCAGTGAGCCCATTTGTTTCCTGTAGCTCGCACCGATTACCCACAAAAATGGGACTATGGAGTGAGACACAGTGTCCTCACCCACCAAGGGAGATCCCAGGATTCCCAAGAGGTGATGCAGGACCCTGGGTTGCCAAAACTGAGAACATGACTCAGTCCAGACTCCATGAATACCTGCTTAGGGATCTGTGAAATTTTAAAATTGAGATATAATTCACATACCATAAAATTCACCCTTTAAAGTACAGATGCTCCTTGATGTAATCATGGGGTTACATTCTGACAAACCCATCATAAATTATACATATCATAAGTCAAGGCCAGGTGGTGGCTCACACCTGTAATCCCAGCAGTTTGGGAGGCCAAGGCAGGTGGATCACCTGAGGTCAGGAGTTCTACACCAGCCTGGCCAACATGGTGAAACCCCATCTCTACTAAATACACAAAAATTAGCCAGGCGTGGTGGCAGGTACCTGTAATCCCAGCTACTCAGGAAGCTGAGGCAGGAGAATTGTCTGAACCCAGGAGGCAGAGACTGCAGTGAGCCAAGATTGCGCCACTGCACTCCAGCCTGGGTGACAGAGCAAGACTCTGTCTCAAAAAAAAAAAAAAAAAAAAAAAAAAGTCAAAAATGCATTTAATTCTGGTAACACAGCAGATAGCCCCTGACTTAACGATGGTTCCACTTACACTTTTTCAACTTTACAATGGTAGAGTGATACAAATCGCAGGATGTAAAGAGGTCCTTGACTTACCACGGAGTTATACGCAGATAAACCCATTGTAAAGTTGAAAAAGCATAAGTGGAACCACCATAAGTCAGGGACCGTCTGTATATGACTTAATGATTTTTAGTATATTCACAAAGTTGTGCAACCATCACCGCTGTCTAATTCCAGAACATCAAACTCAAAAAGTTAAACAAAGACTTACCATATGACCAAGCAATCCCACTGCTAAGTATATACCCAAGAGAATAAAAAACAAGTATCCAAACAAATACTTGCACATGAACATTCATAGCAGCCAAACAGCTATTCACAATAGCCAAAAGGTAGAAACAACCCAAATGCCCATCAAATAATAAACGAATAAACAAAGTGCGGCCTATCCATACAATGGAAAGTTACTCAGCCATAAAAGGGAATGGAGTACTGATATTTGCTACAACACAGATGAGCCCTGAACACTATGCTAAGTGAAAAAAGCCAGACACAGAAGGTCACATATTACATGATTCCCCTTACATGAACTATCCAAAATAGGTAAATCCAGAGACAGAATGCAGATCCATGGTTGCCAAGGCTGGGGGAGGGGAAACTGGGAGGGATTACTTAATGGATGGATGGAGTTTTCCTTTTGGGGTGATGAAAATGTTTTGGAACTGAAAATGTTTGTGGTGATGGTTGCAAAACATTGCAAATGTACTGTCACTGAACTGTACACTTTAAAAGGGTTATTTTAATGTCATTTCAAAAAGTAATGAGAGCATCCCCTGGTCATCTGAATAACCATCTCATAAGCAAGCAGTGCCCTACAATTTGAGCCTCAAGTTTGCTCCTGTGTTTACAATCCAGTTCCTTCTCCATGAAGGCCAAATGATATCATCACACACAGCACAAAGAAAGGTTGTGATTCAAATAGGAAAAAAAAAGCAGGTGGGGAGGGAGAACAGAGCCACCCCATAGCCCATGGCAGCCTGGAGGTGCCCAGTTCAAAGGCCCAGCCTCTTAGCAGTCAGGACCATGTGCATGTTGACAGCATCTGTGTGAAGTGAGTAAAGCCCATCTCTGTGCCAAATTCCTGATTCCTACAAGAAGTGGGTTTAGGCTGGGCACAGTGGCTCACGCCTGTAATCCCAGCACTTTGGGAGGCCGAGGCAAGTGGATCACGAAGTCAGGAGATCGAGACCATCCTGGCTAACATGGTGAAACCCCGTCTCTACTAAAAATACAAAAAATTAGCCAGGCGTGGTGGCAGGTGACTGTAGTCCCAGCTACTCAGGAGGCTGAGGCAGAAGAATGGTGTGAACCCAGGAGGCGGAGCTTGCAGTGAGCCCAGATCGCACCATGCCTGGGCGACAGAGCGAGACTCTGTCTCCAAAAAAAAAAGAAGTGGGTTTAAGAGCCACTACAAGCAGATTTCAATAATGCCACTATTCCATGCTTATCTTCAATCAAACAAGCCAGCTTTCCGAGTATCGGGCAATACCCCATTAAAACAGACATTCAGGGATTGCTCACACGTAGTCTAGGCTTAAATGTGAGGTCTGATTACCCCAACCCGTCCCATCAGCCCAACATTATTAGTACTTCCCTATACAACAGGCCCAAGAAACAGAGGCAGGGAACACAGGAGAGGCCCAAGGGCACAGCTCTCTACCATCAACCCAAGGCTGGCAATGTAGGTGCAGTTAACATCCTTCCAATTAAAGTAATTGTTCATTGGAAATGAGTTGGCTTTCTGGTTTTACTACTATTTCCTGTTTTTTTAATAGTTTTGTAAAAACTTTAAGTCTAAGGTGCTTATGCCTGGTCTTATACACATTTCAGTTATATTACAGTAAGAATAATGTCAATCAGCAAGTGAGGGGTTTGTTGTTGTTTTTCAAAAGGGAGTCCTGAGCTCAGGAGTTGAAGACCTGGGCAACACAAGACCTTGTCTCTATTAAAAAAACTTTTAAATTAGCCGGATGTGGTGGCACATGCCTGTGGTCCTAGCTACTCAGGAGACTGAGGAGGGAGGATCACCTGAGCCCAGGAGGTTGAGGCTTCAGTGAGCCGTGATTGCACCACTGCACCCCAGCCTGAGCAACAGAGTGAGACCTTTAAAAAAGAGAGAGAGAGAGAGGGCCAGGCGTGGTGGCTCATGCCTGTAATCCCAGCATTATGGGAGGCCGAGGCAGATGGATCACCTGAGGTCAGGAGTTCAAGACCAGCCTGGCCAACACGGTGAAACCTCATCTCTACTAAAAATACAAAAATTAGCTGGGCATGGTGGCAGGTGCCTGTGATCCCAGCTACTCGGGAAGCTTAGGCAGGAGAATCGCTTGAACCCGGGAGGCGGAGGTTGCCATCAGCCGAGATCACGCCACTATACTCCAGACTGGGCAACAGAGCGAGACTCCATCTCAAGAAAAAAAAGAGAGAGAGAGGGAGTCTACAAAAAACCCATATGTTGTATGATTTCATTTATATGAAATGTCTAGAATTAGCAAATCTATAGAGATACAGAGCATGCTAGCGGGCTGGGGGTGGGGAGTGACTACCAATGGGTACTGGGGTATCTTTTGAGGTTGATGAAAATGTTGTAAAATTAGACTGTGGTGAGACAACAGCTCTTTGAATGTACTAAAAGCTACTAAATGAGTGAATTGTACAGCATGTGAATTAGATCTCAATAGGGCTGTGAATTGGAAGTCCACGTATTACCCACATTTGAGCAGCACTGAGCTGCAGAAAGGGAGACATCCACAAACCCACCTATGCAGAGCTCCCTGCCAGGTCCTCCCCTCCCCCTACAGGATTCCTGAGCCCAGGATGAGACCCCAAGTCACAAGACAACCCCTTCCTGGGTAAGCAAGTGGCTGCCCTGGAACCACCACACAGGATTCCTATCTCCCAGAACCCATGTCTTACAATTAAGGCACTACTTTGTACTGTTAAGTTAGGGAAAACTTAAAAACAATGAAAACAACCAACTTTAGGATGCAGGGGATGGGGTTCATCTACACATCGATGGCAGTGTCAAGGAAAGCAGCATGACATAAGACTCAGAGCACCTGGGACCCCACTGGCTGCAGTCTCATTGGTTGGGGTTGGGGTGGGGCCAGGAGGGTGAAAATCTGAGCCCAGGCAGCCCCTTCCTCAGAGGCCACAGGCATCCCATCCTCCACCCACGTAGGCTGGGCAAGATAGCTATTGGGAGGCCCCTACAGGCTGCCTAAAGAGACTTTGGCAAGGGGCAACTCCCCAAGGGTCCCTCTTCTGTCAACCCAACGAACTGCCCTCTCCTGGGCCTATTCCTTCCAGTGACACTTCAGAGAGACGGGAAGAAGCCCCCACCAGCGGCAGCCAAGTCGGGGTCATTGGTGAAGCGGCAGAAGGACACATCCGCCCAGAACCCCCAGCAGTAGGAGGATACATCCACCCAGACCCCCAGCAGCAGGAGGATACATCCACCCAGACCCCCAGCAGCAGAATACATCCACCCAGACCCCAGGGACGGGTCACGACAGAGGCTGTTTTGGACAGACTGATCCCCTTTGATCCAATGCTACTCTTCTCCAGAACCTGCTCTAAATTAACCACCTCCAGGAAGACTTCTTCCCATCTCTCCCAAAGCCTCGCCAAGCCCCAGCTCAGGGCATGTGCTCAGAACTCCCATGGCAGTGGTGGGGTCCCTCTGCATGATACATGGCCGGATGAAAGCAGGCCCCACAGCCATGGACCGAGTTTGAGCTCATTTACACCCCAAAAATAAAAAACCACACAAATTCATGTAGAGGTACAGAAAAAAGACCAAAGGATACTCAGCACACTGCTGACAGTGTTACCTACGGGGACCAGAGAGAGGGGAAGGAGGGGAAAGGGGACTTTGACATTTTACTTTCTATGAAGCTACTACTTGAATATTTTGTGAAGATTATTTTAGGCCAGGCATGGTGGCTTACGCCTGTAATCCCAGCACTTTAGGAGGCTGAGGCAGGCAGATCACTTCAGTCCAGGAGTTCAAGACCAGCCTGGGCAACAGGGCAAAACCCCGTCTCTACTAAAAATACAAAAATTAGCCGGGCATGGTGGTGCACACCTGTAGTCCCAACTACTCAGAAGGCTGAGGTGGGAGGATCATTTGAGGCCAGAAGTTAAGGCTGCAGTGAGTCGACCCTGAGCCACTTCACTGCAGCCTGGGCAACAGGAAAGAGGCCCTTCTTAAAAAAAAAAAGAGAGAGAAATTTTAAACTATTTTTAACATATCCCACACATTGGAATACTACTCACCAATAAAAAAGGAATGGAACTGATTAAATCATCCAATAACAGAGATGAATCTCAAAAAACATCATGTTGAGTAAAGAAGCCAGTCACTAAAAGCTACCTGTTATATGAGTCCACGTATGTGAAAAATCCAGAAAAAACAAAATCATAGTGACAGAAAGTAGATGAGTGGGCCTGGGCCCAAGGTGGGAGTGGTGACCGGCTACAAGGGAGCATAGGGCCCTTCTAGGTGATGGAAAGTGTTGTCAGACTTGTCTAGGAGTTGGCTGCATGCCCAGGACTTTTACCGACATTCACCAAAGTGCACACTTCACGCAGGTGTATTTTATGGTGCACATATCTCAACAAAACTGTTTTTTGTTTTTTTGTTTTTTTTTTTAAAGAAAAAAAGTACTGTGGTGGAGAAGGGAATGGTGAGTAACTGCTTAATAGGTGGAGTTTTCCTTTAGGGTGATAAAATGTTTTAGAATGTGATAGAAGTGGTGGTTGTACAACATTGTGACTATACTAAATGCCTCTAAATTGTGGGCTTTAAAATGGTTTATTTTATTTAAATGGATTTCACCTCAGTTTAAAAAAAAAACATTGAAGATAGGCAGGGGGAAATGTTCATGCCCATTCTGCAGGTGAGAAAATTGGGCACAGCCAGGTGCGGTGGTTCACGCCTGTAATCCCAGCACTTTGGGAGGCCAAGACGGGCGGATCACAAGGTCAGGAGATCGAGACCATCCTGGCTAACACAGTGAAACCCCGTCTCTACTAAAAACACAAAAAATTAGCCGGGCATGGTGGCGGGCGCCTGTAGTCCCAGCTACTCGGGAGGATGAGGCAGGAGAATGACGTGAACCTGGGAGGTGGAGCTTGCAGTGAGCCAAGATTATGCCACTGCACTCCAGCCTGGGCAACAGAGCGAGACTCTGTCTCAAAAAAAAAAAAAAAAAAAAATTGGGCTCAGAGGGACAGTCAAATGCCAGCCCAGGGCTTATTTACCTGATGCCTTAGGGCCCAGCTCAGAGCCCCCTGGAGCAGAGACTACTCCACACCTCCCCAGAGGGCTCCCCAAAGGGCAACTCTGGGGCTCGTCTCTAGGGAGGGCCCTTCTCTTTGGGCATTCAGAAATCAGATTCCCACCAGGCCTTGGGCTGAGCCAGCAGGGCAACCCTGCAGGAGACTCCAGAAGTCCTTGTGCTCCAGCAGACAGGGCTGCCTCGGGAGGAAGGGAGGGAGCACACCGGCAGATGATGGTCAAGGCAAAGCTAAACCACCACTCAGATCAGGCTGATGAGGTTTTTTGTTTTGTTTTGTTTTGTTTTTTGAGACAGAATCTCACTCTGTTGCCCAGGCTGGGGTGCAGTGGCGCAACCTCAGCTCATTGCAACCTCTGCCTCCTGGGTTCAAGCTATTCTCCAGTCTCAGCCTCCTGAGTAGCTGGGACTACAGGCACCCACCACCACACCTGGCTAATTTTTGTATTATTAGTAGAGATGGGGTTTCACCATGTTGGCCAGGCTGGTCTTGAACTCCTGACCTCAAGTGATCCGCCTGCCCCGGCCTCCCAAAGTGCTGGGATTACAGGTGTGAGCCACAGTGCCCAACTGGCTAATGAAGTCTTCTAGGCCCTGTCAACCAGGGTGCCGGGGCCCTGATAGAGGGCTGTCCCTGGGAAGTGCAGGGGTTGGCACCAACCTCAGGGGTCCCAGGATGAAGGGTTCAGTCACTACAGGGCAGACGTCAAAGCAGAAATGTGGTGGGTGGTGATGGCGCCAACCCAGGCAACAACAAGTGGGAGCAGAAGCAGGTGCAGATCAAGAACCTGGAGGGCAAGTTTTTGGTCACCATGTAGTCCTCAGAGAAAAAAAAAAAAAAGATATTGACTTTGATACCTCAACAGTGGTTGAAGAACTGGCCATTGAAGAGAACCTGCCTCCTGATTTTCAAAGTATATGACAGGAAAGAAACTTCCTCCTGGAGGAATACCTGGCAGTAACCTCTCAAATCCTAAACAATCGGCATAACTTGCTGGAATGAAGCCAAGAAAAATTAAATAAGATGATGCCCCAAGAACAACAGCTTGCCTCATAAAGGGAGCACGAAGATGTTCTTGGATAACTCTGCCATGAGAAAACATCTGCACAGCCACAGTCCCAGAGTCCTCGTCTGTGAAGAACACGGCAAAGCTCTTGTTGAGAGCTCAAGACCAGAACAACACCAACCAGTCTGTGCTGGAGAGAAGCTCTTTCATGGCACATGGTGGGTCTGTGGGAAATGCTTTTTATTGGACTTCAATTTGTGCACGTGTGTGTGAATCCATACCAGAGACAGGACCCATGTGTGCCCCTTCCGTGGTTGTAATAAAAGAAGTTTGTGGCTGGGCACGGCGGCTCACATCTGTAATCCCAGCACTTTGGGGGGCCGGGGCGGGTGAATCACTTGAGGTCAGGAGTTCAAGACCAGCCTGGCCAACATGGTGAAACCCCATCTCTACTAAAAATGCAAAAATCAGCCGGGTGTGGTGGTGCACACTTGTAGTCCCAGCTACTTGGGAGGCTGAGGCAGGAGAATCGCTTGAACCCAGGAGGCAGAGGTTGCAGTGAGCTGAGATCACACCATTGTACTCCAGCCTGGGCAACAAGAGTGAAACTCTGTCTCAAAAACAAGAAAAAAAAAAAAAAGAAGTTTGCTCAGACAACTAACCTGAAATCTTACATCTTAACACACACCAAGGACAAAAACAATCAGTGAACAGAAGAGAAAGAAGCCCCTTCTCCACCATGGAAGTGCCTTCCAGAAGTATAACAGGGAATAAACATACCTCTCCTTTGTATATTATTTCTAGGAAGAATTTTAAAGATGAATCCTACATACTTAAGGGAGATGTTTTGAAAAATAGTAAAAAAAAAAAATTTAACTTTAATAATAAGATAACATTGCTAAGATGTTCGTACTCTGTAATCTTGTTTCAAAAACATGGTGGTTTTGTGAAGTATGATCCCAACAGAAGGACAATTCATGAATTTCACATGAAAAGACAGTTCTTTGTACAACACTGCTAAAAATGGGATTTCTTTCCATATTCTTAAAAATATGAAGCTCACCTATTGTTTACAATTTGTTTAACTTTGTATTTTCCAAGTGTGCATATTGGAATGGGGGATGCTTAGCAATACTATGTGTGCATTTTCTGAAGGTTGATAACTTTGCTTGCAGTAAATTTTCTTTAAAAGAATGGGCAGTTGCAGCTGGGCGCAGTGGCTCATGCCTGTAATCCCAGCACTTTGGGAGGCCGAGGCGGGCAGATCACCTGATGTCAGGAGTTTGAAACCAACCTGGTCAAAATGGCAAAACCCCATCTATACTAAAAACACAAAAATTAGCCAGGCATAGTGGCACACACCTGTAGTCCCAGCTACTAAGGAGGCTGAGGCAGGAGAATCGCTTGAACCCGGGAGGCGGAGCTTGAGTGAGCTGAGATCACGCCACTGCACTCCAGCCTGGGTAACAGACCGAGACTCTGTCTCAAAAAAAAAAACAAACAATAAAATAAAATAAAAGAATGGGCAGTTACATGTACACTTCAAAAGTATTTTCCTGTTTAAAAAAAGTATATGGGTTTTGTTTGCTATCTTAATTTTGGTTGTATTCTTTGATGTAAACACATTTTCTATCATTGCATCATTCAGCTATATTGAATCATGTAGTATCAAATATTAGACGTGATTTAACAGTGTTAATCAATTTAAATCCATTTTAGTCTTTTTTTAGAAAAATATTGGGGTCGAGCACGGTGGCTCATGCCTGTAATCCCAACACTTTGGGAGGCCAAGGCAGGCAGATCACCTGAGATCAGGAGTTTGAGACCAGCCTGGCCAATGCGGTGAAACCCCATCTCTATTAAAAATACAAAAATTAGCTGGGCGTAGTGGTGGGCACCTGTAATCCCAGCTACTCAGGAGGCTGAGGCACGAGAATTGCTTGAACCTGGGACGCAGAGGTTGCAGTGAGCTAAGAATGCGCCACTGCACTCCAGCCTGGGCAACAGAGTGAGACTCCATCTCAAAAAAAACAAACAAACAAAAAATATATTGCCAGATGCTGATGTTCAGTGTACTTTCTTTGCCTGTTCAATCATGGAAGGTGGCACTCAGTTGCAGAATGTGTTGTACCTTTCAGCACCTGATGTATACATCCCGTGTAACAGAAAGGGCAACAATAAAACAGTGATCCTAAAAAAAGCCGGGGACACATCCATGGGCCACTCTGTGACCAGCAGGAAAGGGGTTAACTCCTTCAGGAGATTCTCCATTCCAGGAAAAGGAAAAGGGGAGGAGAAGTCCCTTCTGTGCTTTCCAAACAGAATCTTCGAAAAATGTCCCAGCGTCCCAGGCCTCCATTCTGGGAAGGCCAGACAGAGGCCGGCACAGCCCACAGAGAGGAAGGGCCTGGGGCTCAGCAGGATGCAGAAGCTGGCAGGGTCCCAGGTCATCTCAGGGCACCCACCCCTCTCCCCTCCCATGGGCCCCAGCCCAGCCTGTTGGCCGTTTCCCAGGGTACCCACAGCCCTCACAGCACCACATCCTCTCTCCTTGGGGAATTTCTGAAAGCCCCAGCTCCCTGGGAGCCCAAAGCATTGGCAGTGACACACCCAGTTCCCAAAGATGTTCTCTACTGCCTTCCATGGGTGTGCAGATGACCCAGACACCCCACCTGCCTCTCTCATCAGTGCCCCAGCTTCAGCCCAGGCAGGGGCACCCCTTAAAGCCAAAGTCAGCCCACATGCCAGTTATGGGAAATACACAAAACGCTTCACAAGGGCTGTCACACCTCTGCCACGCTGCTCTTTCTGCTGGGGAAGCCTTGCCCTCCTCCTTTGCAAACTCCTGGCCATCCCTCAAAGCCCACGTGAAGTATCACACACACCCCAGGCCAGCCATTCCCTCCCTCAGGCTCCAACCATAACTAGCACAGACCCCATCACAGAACCAGACATGGTGTCTGCATGTACCTCACTCACCTCCTGGCAGGGACAGAGTTTAATCTACCTTCGGAGCCCCTGCACCTCATACTGAACCCAGGGCCAAGAAAGCTCAGGAACCCACATCAAGATGCCACGCTGGTCCCTTCCCACCAACTGGTCCTGTGCAAGCATCCTGGCCTCTGCTGAGAGAATAACATCGTGGTAATAACATAAGCACCTAATGTTTACTGAGTACTTCCTAGGAGCCAGACAGCCTCGGAGGCTCTCTGCGATTACCTCCTTTCATCCTTGTGACATTCTCATAAGGGAGTTGCTATCCTTAACCCTGTTACACAAGGGACTTGAGGCACAGAGAGGTTAAGTTTCTTGCCCTGGGCCACATGGCTAATGAGGGAGGGAGCAGAAATTCAGACCCTGGTAGTTTCTTTCCAGAGCCAGTGTTCTTAATCACAACAGGTCTATTTGCAGGTAGGAAGATGGTCGAGGCAGATGTGTCAGGAAAAGCCCTGAGTGGAAAAGGAACTCAGGGATTATAAAGGCCAGTGCTTCCAGACCTTCTCTTTCCCCGGGTCCCAGCCAAAGGCCTCGGAAGACAAACAGAGCCTCCTCCCAGACTAAGCCTGCTGCTCCCAGGCTCAATCCTGTGCTGAGCACCAGTTACAGGAAACATAAAAAGTCCATCTGCAAGTGCCTTGGCCCAAGACAGGGGCAGCACATGGCTGGGCTGCCCTCTGGGAAACGAAAGCCATGATTTGGGACTATTCTTAGCAAACACTGGCTCCCCTCCCAGAGGCCCAGCAGTCAGCAGGCCCAAGCTTCCATACGCCCGCCCAGCCTGCCATTTCCTGACCCCGTGTATGGAGGTCCCACAGGGCTAAGGAGGGACTAGTGGGCACCGACTGAGGACAAAGCCCTCCAGCTTTCACAGGAGAGGTGCCTGGCCCACCCAGCCTGCTCCAGACCTCACCCAGAGGCCCAGGGCCATGCACCTGGCTGCTGAGGAAGCCCTGCAGAGTCCTGGCCACAGGGGATGGCTCATAATCAAAGGCCCCCACCGCCACATCAACTGAGCACTCACTCCATGCCATGCACTGGGCCACATGCTTTGCACTGATTTTCTCCCACTGAACCCACAAGGAGGTAGAGGTTACTGACCCCACTCTAAAGATGAGGAAACCAATACATTAATTGACTTGCTGGAGGTTGCATGGTGCATTAGTATCAAAGCATATCTAGAATCTGGGCTGTCTCTCAGGTGCCAGGTTGGGCAGAGGAGACCTGAGCATAGCCAGGTGGGGGACCCCTTCCCTGTGCAAGCCCACGGCTTAGCAGAGAAGGAGCCCGCCCCAGAGGGCAGTGGCTCTCATCACAGACGCAGCTACATGTGTGCTCTCTCTCTCACCTGGGGGATCCCTGTCAAAGACCCGCAGGCTTGGGTTCAGAAGGAGAATCCCCAGACAGTTCCTCTCCTATTCTGGTAGGAAAGGAACAGTTGGAGCACCCTACCCAGGCCACACAGCCTCACTTCAGGAAGCCTCTGGAGATCCAGGGAAGATGAGAATCAAAATTCAAAGAGCACCTGCTGGCACTTAAGGCACAAACACAGCCTTGTAATGCAGAGGTGGAGAGGCCAAATGACTCTGAGTAAAACACAGGAGACTGAGCTTTTTGGGGTCCTCAAACCCCAAAGTGAGAGTCTAGAAATAAGCTCCACCACAGAGCACCTGTACCATCACCACCCCAAACAGGACAACTTCCGGGCACTGTGCCACGCAGGGAAACAGTGATAACCAGGCAATGCACGCCTCGGCCTACCTCTCAGAACCCACCTGTGTCTGGTTCCTGGCCTCTGCTGTCCGCTGGCTCTGGCAAGCATATGTGTCTGTGCCCCCCAGGAGCTCACAGCCAACTCCATTCTGCCCAGGCACTTGAGCGGCTTCCCTGTGGCTCCGAGTCTTTTGTCTGGGAATGTCGGTTCCCATCCCCGTCTGTGCTCTGCTGGGTCTACCTATATGTCTGTCCACTTACATGTCTGCCTCCCATGTGGGGAGATTCAGATCCCAGCAATGGTGTATTTCTATGTACGTGTCTGCAGCCCATACGTGGCCCACGCTGATGGGTTCATGTATGTCTGTCCCCGCACATGTCTGTGTCCCTGGGTTGTTTGCTCACCCCCACCATCCTCCTGTGTCTGTCCTCAAGTATATATGTATCCAGCTCCTCTACGTCTCTGCCCACACAGATGTAAACCTGAGCACACACACGCACTCACGTCTCTGCCCACACGGGGCATCCCCCACAGGTGCCTGGGTAACCCAGGTCTGTGCACCACCTGTTTGGAGGCAGGCAAGTGTGTTCACACAAGTTCTCACAGTGCCAGCCAAGGGCTTCGGGTGAGCTCAGCAACTCCCACTCCCAGAACTGCACCCAAGGCCACGAGCATGAGCACACTGCCACCTCCACGAAGTGCTCCAGAAAAACAGAAACCTGCCAGGGACAATGAGGGAGGGGGCAGGGCCCCAGATACAGCAGAGCCTCACAGAAGTGAGGTCAGAGCTGTGCCAGGAACCACCCACCTCAAGCCACCTGGGCCCTACTGTGCCCACCCCCAACACTGGCCAGGAAAGGGAGGGGGGTGCATGCACCACCTGGGGTCTGTCTGCACTCATAGGAAACTGGCCCAGTGCCTGCCAGCCTCCCGACCTACCCCAACCCCCCGCGACAGAGGCTCTTCAGAAAGGAAGTGAGGACTTCCTCCTGCTTACCTCTGAACCTCCTACAAGGCTGGCTCTAGACCCCAAACCCCAGGAGCCACAGGGCAACTAGGAGTGTCCTGTGCTCAGCCCAAGCCAAGAAACCAAATGGGTTATTTCAGAAATCCACCAGCAGGAAACAAACAAACCTGGGAGTGGGTGGGGATGAGTGCAGGAGAACCTCCTCAGCGCCCCTGCTGCTCCCTGCCCTTGGAGCAAGGTAATAAGGAAGGGCGGGCATGGAGCTGGAACATTTCAGCACATTTGCTTGCTTGCATGGAACTGGATCTCTGCTGCCCTGGCACTCTCGCAGCCTACATTACTCACATAGCAATTAATGGTGTGTAGCCTCTTGGCTTTCCACTATTACCAGTTCAGGACTGGTATTGAAACCCTGTATCGGGGAACTTTGTGTGTTTATGTCCTGTCTTGCCCCCAGGGGCTGAGCCTCCTGAGGACAGAATCCTCCAAATCCTCCTCCATCCACACATTCCAGGGGCACGGCCCAGTGCCCTTCCTGGCATTTAAGAGGTGCTCGGCCACTGGGTTCAGGTTACTCTACCCAGAAGCCAAGGAGTTGGTTCCTGGGCCTCTGGCTGGGAGAGTAGAGATGCCCAGAAGATTCCCTGGGCCATGAAGCTTTACTCCCATCTCTGACAACCCAAGAGAAAGGGCTCCAACCATCCCGGCCACCTTCAGGAGCCGGGTCTCCCATAGGCCACTCTCTCTCTGACAGGTTACTGCCCCTTCAGGAAAACCCTCTGAAACTGAAAAACGTACTCTCCTTGGAGACCCGGGCCTACAGAGGAAGAGGGCCAGACTGGGCCAAGAATCAAAGCCTGTGCCCGCTGAGACTTCTGGACTCGTCCTGGGTCTGAGGGCCTCACGCCCCCTAGAGATGAGTCCCAGGACCCCATCTCGGTCATGAAGCGGCTTCCCTCTCCCCAATCTCCCCCTAACTTCGCGGGAAACCCTAGCTCCTGGCCATGCTCCCAGGTCTGGCAATGAAAAGTGGAATTGTCACCAGGCCATGCCTACACCAAACCCAGGGAACTCGGGAGAGGGGGTAGCCCAGGGTCCAACACACACAACCACCCAGCAACTGCTCCCTGTGAGTCCCTCTTGCCTCCCAGGGACCAATCCTGAGCGGGTGTGGGGTGAAGGCCCAGGACCTCACCTCTCCAAAGGATGGGGAGTTGGTGTCTGGAGCAGCCTCGGGCTGGGGGGTGCCCGGGGGATTCCAGATTTGCCCTCCCCTCGCCAGCCCCAGGGCAGGACACTTCGGTACCTGCCAGCCCGCGGCTCCGGGGGGCATCCGTGCTCCTGCGGCCGGCGTGCTGCGCCCGAACTGCGGGCGCCGAGTCAGGCAGCGACGGGGCGCGCCCGGCGCGCGCTCTGGCTCCAGCTCGCTCCTCCCAACTTCGCCAGCCCATGCGGGGGCAGAGGTGGCTCCGGAGGTGGGCAGGCCAGGCGGACCCGGCGAGGCCACGCGAGAGGGAGCCCGTGCTCACCGGCGACGGGACCTGCGCGCCCCGGCCCGTGCGCGCCGCGCTGCTCCCCAGCGCCCCGCTACCCAACGCCGAGGGGCGGACCCGACCCGGCCGCCAATCACCGCGCCCGCCCCCGCCCGGACCGCGAGTCCCGGCCCCACCGCGAGGGGCGGGGGGCTCAGATTTAAAGACACACTCAGCCCAGCCGCAGCCCCCGGGCGGGAGGAACGCGGGCGCCACGTTCCCCGGCTGCGCTTCCTCCCTCCGCCCGCCCACCCTCCGCGAGGAGGAAAAGTTTGGGGCGGGGGAGACTGCCCGGGAAGCCAGTTCCTCTTCCCTCGTCGCTAGTGCGGCTCCTTCTGGAAGACACCCAAACCCGACATCCAGCCTCCTGGCTGCGAGAGGCAGCAGCGCTCTGGGCGCCACACCCCGTCCCGGACGCCGGCTACCCGCGACACCCGCTGGCCCGGCTTCCCTCGCCCCCCTCTGCTTTACAGCCAGGCCGAGCCTCGGCGGGACCGAGCCCAGCATCCGGGCTCCGGGCCGGCCTCGCTGTGCAGTGCGGCCGGAGCTGGATGATGGTGCGCTCTGCACTTTTGCCTCCCACGTGTCGAAGGGGAGCCCCTAAACAGCAGACGGTCCCCCCAAGCAGGGGCTTCTCCCACGCCCCGGGGTCCTAAGGAAACGCGCCCCTCGGCCCCCAGAGGTGAGAGGGGAACAGCAGAGCAGAGCTTTGGATGGAGAGGGGTCCCTCCGCCCCCACCCATCATGCGGCTCCAGGCAGTGACCCGCACCATAGGCCTGCCCCCCCCACCACTCCTCACCCCACACGCGCGGACTAGCACTAGGCGGCAGCCAGCCCGGCCCACTCCGACGGCCCCGCACGCCCCCGCGAGCACGTGGGTGAACGCACCCACGTGCGTGCGTTCACTCTTCGCTGTGCTTCCTCGCGGAGAGATAGGCTTTGTTGTGGTTGGTGAGTCACTTCCTCCCTCTCGCTGCTCCACACTCGGGAAATCCTTTTTTCTCACCTGTTACCACCTGCCTCACCCCCATTCAGGACTGGAGCTGGATTTCGGCGAGCTGGGGTTGCCCCAGGATGCAGGCAGTGTAGGCCCCACCTCTGTCAGGCTGGAGAGCGCTGGGCTGGGAGAGGGGAACACATTCCCCATGACCCCTAAGAATAACTGAAGACAAGAGAAATCACTCATTGTGGTGGTCTCACCATGTCCCTAGCACCTAGCTCTTAAGTGCCTCGCGAAGTTATAAGGTCGGTACTTTTCTGATCCCTATTTTAACAAATGAGGAAACAGGCCCAGGGAAGACTTGTCCTCAGCTCCATACCTGCTCCTGCGCCACCCAAGGTGTGTGAAAAGGACAGCAGCAGAGAAAATCCCATAGTGGCCTTGGGAAACAGACCTGACCTTCAGAGTTCAGCAGAGCTAGGCTCAAAGTGGCTCACAATTTACTGGCTGTGTGGTCTGGGAAAAGTGACGTAAGTTCTCAGATTCCCAACTTCTACATCCATAAGATGGCTTCATCCTCCTTCAAAGAGGTATTTGAGAAGCCAGTGAGCTGGGCAAGTAATGTCCAGGCATCGTGTGTGGCACACTTTAGGACTCCATCCTGGGCCACAGTTTCCTTCCTTCTTCCTCTTGCCACAGCCCCATATCCCATCCCACCAGCTGTCAGACTCCCCAGCTGAAGCCTGCCATCCTGAGGATGCATTCCAGGATAATGTCCTCTTCTAGGCCAGGACTAAGGTAGGAGCAACATGTGTGTGAGCAGGTGCAAAATATACATTTACATACATGTGCATGTGTATGCACACATGTATACACATACATGCACATATATGTATACAAATATATACATAAACATGCATACCTATAGGGATGCATGCACACATATATACATACAGAAACATAGCACATACACATATGCACATAATACACACATACAAATACACACACTTTGCTTCCCCTCACCCTCCCTGCCCAGCAGATGCTGGGATCCACGGCGGTGTGCCTCTCTAGCTCCCAGAGAACAAAAGCTATGTCCTACCTGTGCCTGACCTGTCTTTTGGCCCACAGCACAGTGCCTGGCACGTCTCCATACATTCATTTGTACTCACCACACACACAGTAGGTGTTCTTGTTGAACCAAGCAGAAAAGCCCAGGACAAAGATGTTCTCAGGACAGCCTGCAGTCACAACCCTTCTGGATCTAACAGTTAGCCTCAGGGTTCAGCTGGTAGGTAGGGGGCTGAGGGCTTGGAGGTTCCTCAGGGTCAGGCCACAGACTGCATCCAAACCACAGTGCCCAGCCTCACCAGCCCACCACCAGCCCCCCAGAGGGCCTGCCAAGTCCCTACTCAGAATAGCGAGTCCTGCAGCCCTGGCTGTCTGCTGGCTATGGGGCTAGAAAAGTCCCAACCACAAGAAAGATTCAGTCAGATCTGCCCCACCGTGGGCCTGGGAGGGGAACAAGGACTGAATGTTGAAGGAGAGAAGGCCACAGAGCAGCCCTGGGTACACCCAAGAGAAGGCATCCTGCTCTCTCCCCAGCCCCAGGCAGAACGAAAGAATCAGTCGAGCCAGCTCTCAGTTGAGCCCATTTGAGCCTCTCAAACTGCAGCAGAAGATTCCTGAGAAATCTGGAAGCTCAGAGCAGAAGCCCAAAATCCCCTGAGAAAAGATTCATGGGTCCCAGAACAGGATCTCAGGAAGGAGAGAGGTCGGGACTGACCCCCACTCACCCAGCACTCCACCAGCACTGCCAGCACCCACATCCCCCACACACAAACGTCCAAGACACCATGTTATCATGCTTGTATTGCTCGTGCGTGAACTCATATTTGCAGGGATCCATGTTTGTGCAAGTGTCTAGTGGGAGTGAGTGTGGCTTTATAAGTGAGCATGTGTGTATGTGTGTGTACGTGTAGCACACACACAAAGCACCTGCAACCGTCCAAAACCAGACAAGCTGCTGCTGCAAAGAATATGAGTAACCTGTTACTCACGCCCCGACAGACTCGCCTGTGGCCATCCACTGCCCCATCAGCCCAAGCAAGGTGCTGGTGCTCTTGGGAGAGAGCTCCCAAGTTCAGTTCCTGGGCAAAAACATGAGCTGTGGGAACCCCAGATTCCCTCCAGGGAACACTCAAGCCAAAAATGATTTCCTGACAGGCACAAATGACTCGCTGGAAAGCAGAGGAGCTGGGTTCAAACCAGCAAAGATGAATCTTGATCAAAGATGGGAAACAGGCCCTTGCTGCTCTTCTCTACTCCCCACTCTTCCCTGACATCTGCCACAGCTGAGGGACACTGGACCTGAGGAGTGGACAACATCAGGACATGGGCTGGCCTTGCTCCTTGTGACCACCTTACTGCCAAGAACAGGGATCATGTGCACCCTTCAGGGTGGGAGTCTTGTGGCCTGTGATTTCGCCCTGAGCCCAGTGGTCTCTGAGCCTCAGGCAAACTCATCCGTGACGCCTGAATCCCAACACAGACGGATCCCCTGTCTGCCCTGGCCATCCGCCCTTCCAGGCCCACTGCCCCATCTCCAGCATCCAGCACTCCCACTTTTTCAGCCCCCTTCTGTGTGCAATCCTAAAGACAAGGGCTTTAAGCAGGGCAGACCTGGGCTTGGATCTAGCCACAGCAACTTTACCACCATGTGACCCCTATGCTACAAGTTACCACATTGCTCCAAGTCTCCTCATTTGTAAAATGATGCAAAGAGCAGTTCTTGCTTCCTGGGAAAGTCTGGAGGATAAAAGGTGCTTGGCACTCAGCAAGTACTTACTGATGACTGCTGTTCCTGTCATTACTGTTGCCACCCAAGCTCACACCATGACCTAGCCCTGAACCTGCCAGGGCAGAGGGGTGTTTGGAGGCTGAGTTCAGGTTCCTCCTCCAGGCAATTTGCCTTGGACTCCTCCCCTATCTGCCCATGGGATCTCTGTCCACTCTGGAATCCTTCCCCTCCCTTCCCTGCCAGGCCCTGGGACCTGAGCATCCCCATCTGGCGCAGGATACATGTTCAGTTATCGGCATCATATTATGGGCAGGATTATTCATTTTATTGATTATATCCTTCTTTGGGTCTAAGCCTAAGGATTACGTCCCCCGACTCCCAAATTCATACACAAGGTTCAAACCTTTTTTTTATCAAGACCCAAAGTAAGAAATACATTTTACACCAGGGCCAGCTACACAGATATGTGAATGTGTGTTATTCACAAAAAAATGCTTAGCCTTACTGCATTGGATGCATCCTGCTTCCTTCCTTCCTTCCTTGGACAGAGTCTCAGGCTGGAGTGCAGTGGTGGTGGCACAATCTCGGCTCACTGCTGCCTCCGCCTCCTGGATTCAAGCAATTCTCCTGCCTCAGGCTCCCGAGTAGTTAGAATTACAGGCGCCCGCCACCACGCCCAGATAATTTTTGTATTTTTAGTAGAGACAGGGTTTAACCATGTTGGCCAGTCTGGTCTCAAACTCCTGACCTCAGGTGATCCACCTGCCTCGGCTGCCCAAAGTGCTGGGATTACAGGTGTGAGCCACCACGCCCGGCCCTCTAATCTATCTTATCCTATTTCTTTTTGTTATTGCTGACTGCAGGGCACTACACTGATTTTGCCCGTGACCTCCAGTTTGAACATGCTGCACAGAACAATGAGGTTCCTAAGAGCAGGGACCAGATCTTGCTCCCCTCCCTCCCCACAGGACCACTTAAGGGCCTGACTGAAGAGCACCCAGGACATGTGGCAGGAGCGTGACTCTAGCTCCAGAACATTCTTCAGGTTCTACAGAGATGCTCCATCAGATCAGGAGAGAAAAGCAGGGAGGAATCCTGGCTCATTCATTCCACGAATATTTCATTCATTTATTTAGTCAGTCAGGCCGGGTACTGTGGCTCACACCTGTAATCCCAACACTTTGGGAGGCTGAGGGGGGGGGGGTGGATCACCTGAGGTCAGGAGTTCGAGACCAGCCTGGCCAACATGGCGAAACCCCGTCTCTACTAAAAATACAAAAAAATTAGCCAGGCATAGTGGCGTGCGCCTGTAATCCCAGCTACTTGGGAGGCTGAGGCACGAGCATCGCTTGAAACTGGGAGGCAGAGGTTGCAGTGAGCTGAGATCACACCACTGCACTCCAGCCTGGGTGACAGACTCCGTCTCAATTAAAAAAAAAAAAAATTAGTCTGTAAACAAACATTTATGGAGCCCCTTCTATATTCCAAGACTGTTCTATCCCCTGAGAAGTGAATGAGGCAGACAAGTTCCTGCCTTCATGGAACTGACATTTTAGTGGGCTGGGAGGACAGTAAACAAGTACACAACAAAAAAAGAAGGATCATTTCTTCTGGTCCCTGCAGGGCTGTCGGGGAGAGAGTGAGGGTCCATAGATAGACAGCTGGCCCCTGTCTGAGGGAGAGCTGCTCAAGCATCCAAGCTCCATGTGGAAATGCTCTTTAAGTGCCCACTATGTGCCTGACTCTGGGCTCAGGACACAGAGATGAATAAGACCCTGCCCTGCCCTCGAGGTGCTCACAGACCTGTGGGAGAGGCAGACAAGTCACGGATCATTTCAGAGCCCTGTGTTTCCTGCAGAGTCGGGGTGGGGCCAGGGTGCTGGGGAAGCACGATTGGTGGCACCCAGCAGGGCGGGATGCAGGACCTTCCAGGTCAGCTAGGGGTGGGGAGACGTGGGTGCATTCAAGGGCCCTGCCATCTCTAGCAATGTACGGAGGTTTGTTCTGGCTTCTGCATCAGACAAGACCTGAGTTTTCATTTGGTTTCTGCCACTTAGCTGTGTGACCTCAGGCAAGTCACTTAATGTCTCTCTGAGCCTCAGTTTCCACATCTGTAAAATGGGGATAGTCATACCTACCTTGACGAGTTTTGAGATCAAATGAACTAATAAATTTAAAATTCTTAGCAAATAGCTGTCTGAGAGGAAGTTCATAATAGGAGTTGTGGTTATCAACATCAGAAGATTCCTCTCCAATGCTTGGTCCTTCTGCCCACACCTCCTCCCTCCCCCAGCCAGCACTCGTACAGAGCCCCCGGGGCATGCAGAGAATCCCCCACCACTACTGCCGTCAGAAAGGTGCTCCAAGTGGCCTTCTACTGGGTCTCGCTGCAGAGTCCCAGGCTCTGGACACTGGGAAAGACAAGGGGTGGGAGGGGGCTGCCAAACCCTGCAGCAGCAGGACCATCCATCCCTGAATAAAAAGGCTGTCACCCCTTCCGTCCCACCCTCTCCCTCCTTTAAATAACTCAGATCTGGCCAGGCGCAGTGGCTCACACCTGTAATCCCAGCACTTTGGGAGGCTGAGGCGGGCAGATCACCTGAGGTCAGGAGTTTGAGACCAACCCGGCCAACGTGGTGAAACCCCATCTCTACTAAAAATACAAAAATTAGCCAGGCATGGTGGCAGGCACCTATAATCCCAGCTACTGGGGAGGCTGAGGCAGGAGAATCGCTTGAACCCGGGAGGTAGAGGTTGCAGTGAGCCAAGATCGCGTCATTGCACTCCAGCCCAGGCGACAAGAGCAAAACTCCGTCTCAATAAATAAATAAATAAATAACTCAGATCTGTTGCCCAGTTGTCTCCAGGCAACACCACTCCAGGCTCCCAAGGATGTCTCACTCTGACAGAGCCCTTTATGAAGATGCTGCAGGGAGGTGGGGGTGAGGAAGGGGTCAGGGATCTACGGAGGCCAGGCCTGACACAACCTCCCAGGGGCTTTCGTGTGACGAGCTCCAAGGCTGACACTGCTCTGGGCTAGTGGGCACTTGGAGGGGTTGCTTACCAGGCACATTCCAAAGGCCGAGGCCCCCAGACTTGCTAGGAAGGTCCCAGACTCTGTGAAGCTTCGGGCATGAAGAAGCCAAAGCAGTGCCTTGGGAAGGTCACTGGCCAGGGTTCAGTTTCCTGCATGCCAGGCTCAGTGCCAACCCTCACTGGCTGTGTTATCCCAGCCAGACCACCACTCTCTGAGCCTCAAAGAACCTAAGCGCTGGAAGACAGTTTTGCTGATGGGTGGGAAACAGATATTCTCACACTTTTCTGGCAGTATCCATGCAAATGACAAAGGCACAGACCCTTTGCCTCAGCAATTCCATCACTAGGACTTTCGCCTAGAAATGTGCTTGCATGTGTGCAAACTGACAACTGAACAAGGCTATTCATAGTTTGAGTGAGATGATGAAAGAGAAGATTGAAAGGTCTGTCAGTAGAGAGGTGATTGGCTAAACTATGGAACATCCAAAACTAGGAACACCGTGCAGCTATTTTAAAACCCAAGGCAGATGTATGTGAGCTGAGAAAAAATGCTTGCTAGAGTAAAGGGCAAGATTCAGAGATGGACATGGACAAAGATGACCACAGTGGTGTTGACCATGACAGTGGGGTGCTGGAGGCAGCCTCAGTATCTGTCTCTAAGGTGATGAATAAGTCACATGGATTCCAACCACAGAATCCTGTCCGACAGTTACACCCACCCAGATGCACACACACAAATGTGCAGCGAGCTTGGAAACCCAGTATCCAGGGATAAGAGTAATAAATGTATAATACTATCGAGGCTGAGTGCGTTGGCTCATGCCTATAATCCAAGCACTTTGGGAGGCCAAGGCCAATGGATCACCTGAGGTCAGGAGTTCAAGACCAGCCTGGCTAATATGGAGAAACCTCGTCTCTACTAAAAATACAAAAATTCAGGCCGGACACGGTGGCTCACGCCTATAATCCCAACACTTTGGGAGGCCGAGGCGGGAGGATCATGAGGGAGGTCAGGAGTTTGAAGCCAGCCTGGCCAACATGGTGAAACCCCGTCTCTACTAAAAGTACCACAAAAAAAAAAAAAAACTAAATTAGCCAGGTGTGGTGGCGCATGCCTGTAATCCCAGTTACTCAGGGGGCTGAGGCAGGAGAATCACTTGAACCCAGGAGGCGGAGGTTGCGGTGAGCCGAGATCGTGTCATTGCACTCCAGCCTGGACAATAAGAGTGAAACTCCACCTCAAAAAATAAATACATAAATAAAATAAAAATAAAAATACAAAAATTTCCTGGGCGTGGTGGTGCGTGCCTGTAGTTCCAGCTACTTGGGAGGCTGAGGCAGGAGAATCGCTTGAACCCAGGAGGCAGAAGTTGCAGTGAGCCAAGATCATGCCACTGCACTCCAGCCTGGGTGACAGAGTAAGATCCTGTGTCAAAAAATAAAATATAATAAAAAATAATATTATTTATTATATAATAAAAAATAATATTATTTATTATATAATAAAAATATTATTTATTATATAATAAAAAATAATAAATCACACTTATAGGCTTGTATACACACAGTCAACCTCTGGAAGGCTGTAGAAGAGGCTGAAAAGAGGACTTAGTCCTAAGAGGGGACTGGGGTCTGGGAGAGGGGAGCAGACTGACCTCCCACTATCCTACTGCATAGTTGAGTTTTTTACACCATGCATTTCTGACATTCTAATAATTAAGACATTTGTCATTTTAATTTGGAACATTCTTACATATGCACAAATGTAGAGAATAGTATAATTGATTCTATACACCCATTGTCCAGATATGACAGTTATCAAGATTTTGCCACACTTGCTTCATCTACTGTTTTCCTTTTCCTTGTTGGAGTGTTTTAAAGCAGCCCCCAAATATCACACCATTCACCCCTTCTGCCATCAGAATACGATGGACATAATAAATGCAATTTAAAGAAACAGAGTCAGGGCCGGGCATAATGGTTCATGCCTGCAATCCCAGCACTTTGGGATGCTGAGGCGGGCAGATCACCTGAGGTCAGGAGTTTGAGACCAGCCTGGACAACATGGTGAAACCCTGTTCCTACTAAAAATACAAAAATTAACCAGGCACGGTGGCGGGCGCCTGTAGTCCCAGCTACTCGGGAGGCTGAGGCAGGAGAATTGCTTGAACTCAGGAGGCAGAGGTTGCAGCGAGCCGAGATTGCACCACTGCACTCCAGCCTGGGCGACAGAGCGAGACTCCATCTCAAAAAAAAGAAAAAAGAAACGGACTCTAAGAAGCCAGTCAGTGCACCCTGCCAGACCTGGAGCAGCCCTGTACTAAACCCCCTTGCCTCTGCTTGACTATTCCCAGCAATGAGGAACTCATGACCTGACTCAGTCTCCTTTCTTGTGGTGCTAGCTGAGGTCTAGGCTTCTCAGAAGGCACAGACACCAGCCAGCCCACCCACCCTTTGCATCTTGCAGGCACCCAGCAGCAGGCAGGGGTGGCCCAGGGGAACCCAGCCCAGCTTATCAGCCCGCTCACCTCTACAGCAAACTCAGAAGCATAATGCATTCAATGCACATTCACTTCAACTAGCAGCCGCCGGAGCTCCGCTGGCTTGGAAGGCCCCTCCAGACACCCCCAGACAATCTGAGATAAGCATTCACGGTCCAGCAGTTAGGAGTAAACAGTTGTTCCCCAGCCTGCCTGTGTGTGCATTTGAATCACTGGTGGAGGGGTTACACGACAGACTCCCAGGCTCCGCCCAGCCCTCCTCAGCCAGAATCTCCAGGGCTGAGCCTGGGAAAGCCCCCTCGGAGGGTTTAAGGCCACGGTAGAATGTTTCACATTTGGGAATCCATGTTCCAAGGGACTCCGAGGTAATCCTCTGGCTGATAGGCCAATCTGACCCTTAGCCGCCTGCCAGCCTGGGGTGAGATGTTCCCAACTCCAGCTGGCAGAGGCCCCAGCGATGCCAGCTCCTCTTAAGGGTGGGCTGGCCAAGGCTCAGAAGGAACACATGCAGTCCCTAAATCCAAGGTGCCTTCCGCGGCTAGAGGTAATGGATTCAGAGATGGTACCGTGCCCCCTCCACTGTGGGTAGATAAAGGCAAGCTTTAAAGCCACGCTACTGGATTTAAATCCCAGCTCTGTCCCTTACCAGCTGTGTGCCCCTAGTCTCAGTCTCTTCATCTACTATAGGACCATAATAAGAGTCCTGCCTCAGGAGAATTGCTTGAACCTGGGGGGCGGAGGTTGCCGTGAGCCAAGATCACACCACTGCACTCCAGCCTGGGTGACAGAGCGAGACTCCATCTCAAAACACACACACACACACACACACACACACACACACACACACACACACACAGTCCTGCCTCATGGGCTAGGGTGAGGCTGCTGTGCTCTGCCCACTACACCCCGTCCATAAGAAGTCCTGGGCAGGGGCTCCTTGTGGGCAAAGGCAGGGAAGGGGGGCTCCACACTTGGGCTCTAGGGAAAGAAAGTTTCCTTAAAAACCTTGCCTGGTGACCAGGCACAGTAGCTCAAGCCTGTAATCCCAGCACTTTGGGAGGCCGAGCCGGGTGGATCACCTGAGGTCAGGAGTTTGAGACCAGCCTGGCCAATGTGGTGACACCTCCTCTCTACTAAAAATACAAAAATTAGCTGGGCATGGTGTCGGGCACCTATAATCTCAGCTACCCGGGAAGCTGAGGCAGGAGAATCGTTTGAACCCGGGAGGTGAAGGTTGCAGTGAGCCGAGATCGCGCCATTGCACTCCAGCCTGGGTGACAAGAGCAAAACTACATCTCAAAAAAAACCTTACCTGGTGGACCACACCTGCCTTCTTCCCAGTAAGACAGGCAACTACTCCGACAGAGGGAAGCCCAGGGGCCAGGCTCCATAAGGGCCATCACAACAGATCAAGTCCCCTGACCAGGCTTCTGGAAACCTGAATCCTCATCTCATTCCTGTCTTCCCATGTCTGTGCTGGGAAAGCCAAGGAGCCTCTCAGCCTCAGTCTCTTCATCTGTAAAATGGGATAAATAACCCCTGCCTTGTGCGTAATCACAAGGTACTGTCCTCAGACCCCGTCAATGGGGGGTGGGTGGGTAAACTGCCCATTTGGTGGCAGGTGGCGAACTTCAGATAACTCAGGGGCATTGCCACAATGAGCCCCAGGGCACTCCTTCCATGAAAATCCAGGCTGGGGGGCTCGTAGTGAGGAGTTAATCTAACTCCCCACCTCATCCAAGAATCCCCTCCATGCACTCCTGTCCTATCCTGGGTGCGTTCTAAGTGCTGGCTACTGTGTCAGAATCATGATCTCACTCCTCACAAAACCCTTAGAGCAGGTTCCATTGCTATCCTCATTTTACAAATGAAGAAATTCAGGCACACAGCAATTGAGGAACTTGCCCAGTGTTCCCCAGCCCTCTCTGACTCCAGAGCTCTTGTATACGGCTACTAAACTGCTGCCTAACTTGAATCCTCCCAGTGACGGGGATCTCACTCCTTCAGACGCCATCCGCTTCCCCGCGAACTGTGCGGGGTGTTAGGACGTCCTTCACCCTTCTCCACACATGAACCCGACATCCACTTCTCAGTGGCTCCCCTCACTCTCCAGCTATTCTTTTACTTCCCCTCACCTCCCACCCCCCACCTCCACCACTGGGACCACCAGAGCACAGGTACCTCCTCCCGGGGGACTGCCCCTCAAATATTTGAGAAACACCATCTCATACCCCCACCCCCAGGCTTCTCCAGCTAAACATTCCAGGACTTTCAAAGGCTGGTGGGAACCTCTAGGACCAGAAGAGGCCTTAACTGTGATTCTAACTCCAGCTCCCCAGGGGGCCTCTTTCCCAAGGGGGTCAAGAAGAGAATGAAACCCTGCTTTCTCTCAACACTCAACACCTCCCATACCCCCCAGAAGCTGGTCTCCTGGCTCTGACTTCACACCTACCTGACATTTGACACTTAGAGACCCATGGACAAGTCCCTTTCTGCACCCCCAGGCCCGCCCGTCAGGAGTTGTCACCCACTTCAAGTCTCTGAAGAGGGTGCAGGAGTGGGCTGCTGCTGGCAGGAGGCAGCGAAATTGTTAAAATGCCCACCATTTCCTTACAGGGAGAGAGGGTGAGGCCAGGACGGTGGGGCTGGGGTGGCTGTGGAAGGAAGGAAAGAGCCCATGCAGGGGACTCTCGGAGCCCTGGCAGCATCCCGGAGGTGAGCTTGCTAAGCCTGCCTGCCCCGGGGCCCTTGCTTTCTCCCCTCAAATTCCTGCCCCTTCTCCCCAGAGTGTTCCACATTCTCTCACGTTCTCTTACAACTTCCCTCACGCTTCTCAAGGAGGGCTGCCTGCCATCTCCAAAAACCACTATTTTAAAAGCCTCGGTGATTGTTTAATGGGTAAGGAGTTCCAGCCTGAGAAGATGTAAAGCTTCTGGAGATGGATGGTGCTGATGGTTGCACAGCTACAAGAATGTACTTAATGCCACTGTAGTGTTTAATTAAAAATCGTTAAAATGGCTGGGCGCGGTGGCTCACACCTGTAATCCCGACACTTTGGGAAGCTGAGATGGGCAGATCACGAAGTCAGGAGTTCAAGAGCAGCCTAGCCAACATGGTGAAACCCCTTCTCTACTAAAAATACAAAAATTAGCCAGGCATGGTGGCGGGCACCTATAATCCCAACTACTCAGAGGCTGAGAAAGGAGAATCGCTTGAACCTAGGAGGCAGAGGTTGCAGTGAGCTGAGATCGCGCCACTACACTCCAGCCTGAGCGACAGAGTGAGACTCTGTCTCAAAAAGAAAAAAAAAAGGTTAAAATGGCAAACTTCATGTTATGTATATTTTACCACAATTTTTTTTAAAAGACAACCCACTGAATGTGAGAAAATAATTGTCCTCCTCCAACAAAAGGCCTCCTCACAAAGTCCCAAGGGGGCCTGAGATCCAGCTCTGAATCAGGAAGACCAGCATGTGGAGGAGGTAGAGACACTGGAGGTCCCAAAGCCCCTCTCCCCTCCAGCCTCCCCGGTGACAGCCCTGGGGCATGGGGCAGGATCAGAACAGTGAAGGCCAAGAGACTTCCAGTCCAAACCCCACTCAGAAGAGCAGAGCTAAAAGGAGCCAGAGAGGGAGTACCTGGCCCAAGGTTAACAGTAAGTTAACCACGAAACTGGGGCCTCAGGGGGTAAATGTCTGTGGGACCCTGGCAGGGGTTCAAAGCAGAAGACCAGGACCTTTCTCCCTGCTGTCCTCCATCCTGAGGAGGGACCAGCCTAATCCAACAAGCCCCCTCAAGCTCTTCATTCACCTGTGAGTTCTGCATTCAGCCTGTGCAGCCTTGGCGTATGGAGGCTTCACCCCTCCCTGAGTGGCAGCGTGATGTCTTGGAGGGTGTCAGGCTTTGGAGTCAGATTGGCCCGCCTGAGTCCTGACTCCACTCTGTAAATATGTTTCTTAGACTCAGGCCCCTCACCTGTAAAACTAACATAATCACGCCTAATTGGCAGGGTTATTTTGACGATGACGGCAAATGACATAATACCTATGGAGGACCTGATATATAGTAGGTGCTCAGTAAATACTCATTCTCTCCTCCTCCCTCCCTGGAACCCAGGGCCTCTGCCTTCTACAGAGTCAGCAGTACCACTGTCAGCCACTAACTGCCTGAGTAACCAGGGATAAGTCTATTCCCTTCTCTGAGCCTCAGTTTCCCCACCTGTAAAATGGAAGAGAACCAGGGGACCTTTCACCAGCATATATAAGCTACTTAAAAGTGTATGTAGAGGCCGGGTGCGGTGGCTCACGCCTGTAATCCCAGCACTTTGGGAGGCAGAGGCGGGCGGATCACGAGGTCAGGAGATCGAGACCATCCTGGCTAACATGGTGAAACCCCGCCTTTACTAAAAATACAAAAAATTAGCTGGGCATAGTGGTGGGTGCCTGTAGTCCCAGCTACTCGGGAGGCTGAGGCAGGAGAATGATGTGAACCCAGGAGGTGGAGCTTGCAGTGAGCCGAGATCATGCCACTGCACTCCAGCCTGGGCAACAGAGCGAGACTCCATCTCAAACATACATACATACATACATACATACATACATACATACATACATACATACAAGTGTACATAGAGGCCGGGCATGGCGGCTCACTCCTGTAATCCCAGCACTTTGGAAGGCCAAAATGGGTGGATCTCCTGAGGCCAGGAGTTCGAGACCAGCCTGGCCAACATGGTGAAACCCCATCTCTACTAAAATTACAAAAAAATTAGCCGGGCGTGGTGGTATGTGCCTGTAATACCAGCTGCTCGGGAGGCTGAAGCAGGAGAATAGCTTGAACCCGGGAGGCAGAGGCTGCAATGAGCAGAGACTGCACCACTGCACTCCAGCCTGGGCGACAGAGCAAGACTCCATCTCAAAAAAAAAAAAAAAAAAAGGAGGTACAGTTTTAGCCTGGAATACCCCAGCAACTGAAATGAGTGAACTACCCATACAAAGCAACATCATGGATGAACATCATAGACCTAATGATGAGTGAAAGAAGCCAGGCCGGGTGCGGTGGCTCATGCATGTAATCCCAGTACTTTGGGAGGCCGAGGTGGCTGGATCACCTGAGGTCAGGAGTTCGAGACCAGCCTGGCCAACATGGTGAAACCCCATCTCAACTAAAAATACGAAAAAATTAGCTGGGCATGGTGGCACACACCTGTAATCCCAGCTACTCAGGAGGCTGAGGTGGAAGAATTGCTTGAACCCGGGAGGTAGAGGTTGCAGTGAGCCAAGATTGTGCCACTGCACTCCAGCCTAGGCAACAAGAGTGAAACTCTGTCTCAAAAAAAAAAAAAAAAGCCAGATACAAACAAGAATACAGGATAAGATCTCATCATTTATATGAAGTCCAGGGACAGGCAAAATTAGCCTATGACAATCATCAAGGCCAGAAGAGCAGCCCGTGGGTGAGGGGCAACACTGACTGGGAGCGGCCCGAGGGAACTTTCTGGGGTGCTATAGCTTGATCTGGATAGGGGTTACGTGGACAAACGCATGCGTGAAAACTCATCAAGTTGTAACTTTAGGATTAGTACACTTTACTGTATGTGTATCTTCATCATCCCCTTCACCTACTAAGTTCAACCTCACTTCTTTCCACACTGGTCAAGTGTGCTCTGTCCTCAGGGCCTCTGAACTAGCTTGTCCATATTCCTAGAAGGCTCCCCATCCAGATCTTCCTTTCTTCCAATTAGGTCTTTGCTTAAATGTCGCCTCCTTGGAGAGGCCTTTCCTGTCCCCACATCTGAGGTGGCCACTCAGTTCCTCCCTACTGCATCCCCCTATTGTAATTCTCAGCATAGCACCTGTAGTCCTTATCTGATGTTTTCCTGGTTTTTTTTGCCTGTTTGTTTATTGTCTGTCTCCCTCCACTAGGATATTAGCTCCATGACAGCAGGAATGTATCCATCTGGGTTCAAATCTTGGCTCCACCTAGAGCAATGTCTGGCACACAGTGGGTACTAAAGTAATATTATTAATTAGATATTAATCTCTAGAGCAGGTAGAATTATGTCTGGAGACTTTACGCTCCTCTCACCACCTTTTCTCCTCTAGGTGGTGAGAGGAGAGTAAAGTCATAATTCTACCTGCTTTACCTGTTCTTTTTTTTTGAGACGGAGTCTCGCTCTGTCACCCAGGCTGGAGTGCAGTGGCACGATCTCGGTTCCCGCCTGCCGGGTTCACGCCATTCTCCTGCCTCAGCCTCCCCGTAGCTGGTAGCTGGGACTACAGGCACCTGCCACCATGCCCGGCTAATTTTTTGCATTTTTAGTAGAGATGGGTTTTCACCGTGTTAGCCAGGATGGTCTTGATCTCCTGACCTTGTGATCTGCCCGCCTTGGCCTCCCAAAGTGCTGGGATTACAGGCGTGAGCCACCATGACCGGCGCATTTTTTGTTTTTTGATTCACCCCACAAACATTCGAGAGAGACCTACAATGTGCTGGGTGCAATCTGAACTCTCCAGGAGTTCACCACGGGGTAGAGGAAAAAGACCCACGCCAGATCTTTCCAGTGGAATGTGAGTGATGGACAATGGGGCATGTCCCCAGGCCTGGGGGAATGCCCAGAGTGAGTGGCTGGCTCAGTCTCCCAGTTCCCAGGGCTGGGAGCCCACAGGGGCTCCTGGGTGTGGCCACGGATGCAGCCAAGTAACAGGAAAGCCTGTGCCTTGGCAGCAAGCCACCCCCTTCTAAAAAACCAGAGAGCTCAGCCAAGGCTACCCACTGTCCCCGCCTGCAGGCCCAGTCACCTGCTGCCATGGCAACCTGTCTTGCCAAGCCAATGGCACTGGGCACAGGAGGCACAGTGCCAGGGGGGCACAAGGCATCTGCCAGGCTCCCCTGTTCTGGCAAGGGAGGCACCTTGGCCAGCTCACGCCACAGCTGGGAGAGTTGTGTGTTGTTCCTGCATATGTGTGTGCATGCCCTGCACAAGCATGCACAATTGTGCCCAGTGCAACAGTAGGCAGCCTCTCCCCAGCTGAGACTGGACTTCCAGTAGGGGGTAAAGAATTGTTCAATGATAAAAGCTCCCATTTACTGAGCATTGATTACATGCCAGGCACCAGAAAAAAAAGACTTTTCATGTATTTCCTCATTCAAGTCTCACAACAATCCTATGAGGCACGTAGTATTCCCACTTTACAGGGGAGGCATAGATTAGTTAAGAAACTCGCCTAAGCCTCACAACTAGGAAGCCCCAGAGCCGGGAGTAGAACCCAGGAATGGGGCTCCAAAGCCTTAATGTTAACTTCCAGGAGCAGTCTCTCCACTGACTGAGTCACTCAGTTTCCCTACTAGTCATTTGTTTTCTGAGCTCTGCGCAAGCAAGGAAAAAGAGACAGGTGAGATCAGGTCTCTGGCTTGAGTTGCCCCTAGTCCCCTTGTAGGACATGCAGGTAGATAATCATGATGCCAAGCCGAGGGTGGTGGCTCACACCTGCAGTCCCAGCACTATGGGAAGCTGAGGTGGGCGGATCGCTCAAGGTCAGGAGTTTGAGACCAGCCTGGGCAACATGGTGAAACTCCATCTCTACAAATAATACAAAAATACGCTGGGCATGATTGCACATGCCTGTAGTCCCAGCTACTCGGGAGCCTGAGGTGGGAGGATGGCTTGAGCCAGGGAGGTTGAGGCTGCAATTAGTCATGATTGTGCCATTGCACTCCAGCCTGGGTGACAGAGCGAGACCCTGCCTCAAAAATGAAAACAAAAACAAAAAACAAAAAAATCACAATGCCAAGTCGTAAATCTCAAAAAAGCAAGTGCCAAGGGCTTTCTGGGACTGAAGACAAAAGAGGGCATGGCCTGGCTCCCACATCTGCCATGTGGATCTCAAGTGGGGGCCCCGGGATTTGCATAGGAGCTGTTCTGGAATCTGAGGACTGCTATGGGTACCCATCTACAGAGGTGAAGCTCTGGTCTGGGAGGCCATCTGCTGGACAGATGGCAGCAGGACAACTTTGGCAGCTGGGCCTCCACACCTTTCCTTCACACGTGTTTCCTGGGTGCTGACTGTGTGCCTGGCACTGTGCTAGGCACGGGAGAGGCAGAGCAACACAGACAGTAAACCAGACAGCCCTGTGGAGCTTGCCATCTGGTGGGGGTGGCAGACATTAACCCATAGCCCCAGAAATAAAGACATAATTCCAGCTGACAGTAAGTACTTGGGGTACTCCTAGGGAGTGTGACAGGGGTTCGTGGGGAAGGCCTCTCCAAGGAGGTCATCCCTTAAGCTAAGACTTGAAGGCTAATTAGATGTGTGCCAGGCAAAGAGTGGGAGAAAGGGCATTCCAGCCAGAGGAGACAGCAGGGGCAAAGGCCCTGCAATGGGAACACTCACATCACACTCTAGAAGCGGAAAGAAGGCTGCTGCAGCTGCACAGCAATGAGCCAGAGGGCTGAGGCCCGCAGGCCGGGGTTCTGGAGCTTGTATTTTCTTTTATTTTTTTTTGAGACGAAGTTTTGCTCTTGTTGCTCAGGCTGGAGTGCAATGACACGATCTCAGCTCACTGCAACCTCTGCCTCTTGGGTTCAAGTGATTCTCCTGCCTCAGCCTCCCAAGTAGCTGGGATTACAGGCGCATGCCACCACGCCCGGCTAATTTTTGTATTTTTAGTAGAGACGGGGTTCTCCACGTTGGCCAGGCTGGTCTTGAACTCTTGACCTCAGGTGATCCGCCCGCCTCGGCCTCCCAAAGTGCTGAGATTACAGGCGTGAGCCACCTGGCCCGGCCTGGAGCTTGTATTTCATCCTACAGGCAATGAGAGGCACTGAAGGGTTTCAGTGAGGGGAGTGATGCCATCCCATCTAGCTCCTGAGAGGAGTGGATTCTGGGGGGCCAGGGTGGAGGCAGGGAGGCCTCCACAGTTGTCCAGGAGAGAGATGATGGTGGCTGGGACCAGGTGGTGACAGAAGAGATGGGGAGGAGCAGGTGGATTCTAGAGAGCCATTTTGGAAGTGGGATCCACATGGCTGGTATGAGGTTGGATGTTGTGGTGTTGAGGGAGGAAGGAATCAGGAATCAGGGGCTTGGCTGCAGACAGAACGCTGGAGAAGGCGCAGAGGAGTTCAGTCTTGATGAATGGAGCCGGAGATGACTGTGAGGGAGCCCACGGGAGACGCACGGTAGGCCGGTGGGTGCAGGGGTCCAGAGTTCTGAGGACTGGTCTGGGGTAGACAAAGGCCGGGCACCATGGGCATTGGTGGCTTTTAAGCCCCAGGATGGGTGAGACCCTCCAGGAGAGGCAAGTAACCGCAGGGGAGAAGAGAAGTCGAAGCACAGCCTTGGAGGGCGGGCTTCGAGGGGAGGGGAGGCCTGGGGCAGGGGGAAGAGGCTCAGAAGACAAAGAGGACTGAGCAGGGGCCCAGACGGCGGAAGGGAAGCTTAGCCGCACGAAAGCTAAGAGGTGGGGAGCATTTCAATCGTGTCAAAGGCTGCTGTGCGGCCAGGCAGGGCTGGAGCCAATTTGGTAACACGGAGTCTCTCCTATACAACCCAAGCCAGGGCAGACGCCATGGTGGGTGGAGGCAGGAGGCACACAATGGAACCGGGTGAAGGGTGACCGTGAAGCGGGGAGTGTAGGCACCACGGACAACTGCTGTGGAGAAGGTGCGGCAGCTGGAGGGGAGAGGGCTGGCTGTGAAGATGAGGGCACAGGGCAGAGTGGCGTTCACCTATGGGGTGGCTGAGGGGGAGTACGTGGGGGAACGGAGGACAGGCAGGGCTCCGAGCTTTCCAGCCTCTGTTCCTTCCACTTTCACCTTGTGTCTGCAGTTACCCCATAATAACCACCCCTAACTCAGATGAGGACAGCTGAGTCCCAGAGAAGATCCCAACGTCACAAGGCGGGGGCTCTGCCTAAGCTGGCTCCGCGCACAGCAGGCTGTTTGGAGTCTGCCAAGACTCATGCAAAGGTCATGTGGGCCCCTTGACCAAATCTGGACGTCCTTCCCTCCATGCCAGGTTGGCACTGCCCAGCCCCAGCAACCCCCCCATCCCCACCCATCCGAGGCAGTGCCACAGAGGACAGCAGACAGACCAGGCACGGTCAGAGAGATCCATTTTGAAGGGGCTTGACCCTCCTACTGTCGCGGGAGGGGGCTTTTAAAGGAAAAGAACACAAAAATACAAATGCAAAAATTAGGTCCGGGCCTTGCAAGGGTCTGAAACTTAAGCTTCAATTAGCCTCAGGGCAGCTCCGCCTCTGACTGCAGTGACCTTGAAGAAGTGACTTCACCTCTCCGAGCCCCGGTTCCTCATCTGAAAAGGGAGCCGTCAGTATAGTGCCAGCGGGAGGGCTAACTGAGGTAACTGTGCAAAATGTTTATCACAAAGCAGCGTCCCAGTGAGCGATGGACAAACGGTGGCAGTGGCTCTTATAAACCGGGCTCCCTGGGGCTTGGAGTGGGGTGGGGTGGGATGGGGGAAGGGTGAAGCAGTGGGTGGGCGGATGGCGGGGGATAAAGGTGGGGGAGCCGCTCTCTCCCTGAGCCCAGGAACAGCAGTAATCCCTTGGTTTAGCAGTGCAGCACCGCGGTAAGGCGGTGATGGTGTGCGGGGCCCATCCTGACTCTCCTGCCCACGCACCAGGCCTCGCCTGGCACCAAATGGGGGCCCCCCGCGTTTGGTGGCGCCCCACAATTTACCAAGCAGGCACATCCCACCCTTCCCACCAGCAGCAACAGAATGAGGCCACTGGACAGAAGCCCAGCGAGGGGACGGGACAGATGGGAGGGGACACATCCCGCTGAGGGCAGAGCCCTGGGTAACCCCCACCCCGCCCGACCACAGGGCCTGGGCAGGAGCTCGCGCCGGAGCGTCTCTGTCTCACTAGGCTCTTGTCCCGGCCCCGGCGGCGGGACCGGCAGTGCGGGGAACAGGGGAGAGGGGCGGGTCCCCCTTGGCGGCGACAACGCCACCCGCCCGGCGGGAACACTCACTGCCGCCTCCAGCCTCGGTCTTCTTGCTCCGCAGCCCGTCTGCTCTTCGGCTGACTCACCCGGGTCGCCCTCCGCGCGCTTTCCCACGAGGGCGGGCGCCTGGGCCTCTGCCTCCAGCCCAGCCGGCCGGCCTGGCGCGCTCACCTCACCGGGCTCCGTAGGTCCTGCCATGCCTGGGGCCTCCGCTGAGCGCCTGGGCTGTGCCAGGCGCCCGGCCAGGCGCGGCGGGGCGGGCGGGACTGGGCACCGCGCCGCACAGACCACTATGCCCCTTCGCTGCAAACAAGATTGCGAAGCTAGAGGCAGGCAGGCAGGCACGCCGACTCCAAGTCCAGTGCTCTTTTCCTCTGCCTCAGCCTCCTCCTGCTGACAGCAATCAAGAAAAGTACCCTTTCCAGCCTCATTTATTAAGCATCTATTACGTACACCGGGCACTGAGTGAAAGGGTCCAGAGGGGGCTTCTGTCCCCTGGAAGCTCACAGTCTAAGAGAAGGTGGATAACAGGGAACACGGTGTAAGGACCCTGAGAGAGGCTGACTGGGCTGGAGAAATCCTCCAGGCTGGCTTCCTGGAGGAGGAAGCCTAAAGAATTAAGCAACTTTTTTTTTTTTAGGCGGAGTCTCCCTCTGTCGCCCACGCTGGAGAGCAGTAGCGAGAACTCGGCTCACTGCAACCTCCGCCTCCCGGGTTCAAGCGATTCTCCTGCCTCAGTCTTCTGAGTAGCTGGGATTACAGGTGTCTGCCACCACATTCGGCTAATTATTGTATTGTCAGTAGAGACGAGGTTTCACCATGTTGGCCAGGCTGGTCTCGAACTCCTGGGCTCAAACAATCTGCCTGCCTTGGCCTCCCAAAGTGCTGAGATTACAGACATGAGCCACCACACCCAGCCAACGTTTATTTTTAAATGGTAGTGGAGAGGATGCTTTATGGCCCGGAAAGATGTTCTGGTTTCATAAAAGAAGTAGTTTACAGAACAGTTCACATTGTGTGAATCTTCTAAGTGCACATAAATGCATGTGCACATAAATACCTAAGTGCAGGGGACAGGAAGAATGTACCCCCAAAATATTAACCATGGTTATATCTAGATCATGGGGTTACAGGGGATTTTTCTCTTCCTGTATATACCGTTATATAGTCTGCAAATTTTCTACAGCGAATAGGCATTCATTTTGTGTTTAAAAAGCACAATACGGGATGGGCACGGTGGCTCACGCCTGTAATCCCAGCACTTTGGGAGGCCGAGGCGGGTGAATCACCTGAGATCAGGAGTTCAAGACCAGACCAGCCTGGCCAACATGGTGAAACCCTGTCTCTACTAAAAATACAAAAATTAGCCGGTGTGGTGGCAGGCGCCTGTAATCCCAGCTACTTGGGGGGCTGAGGCAGGAGAATCGGTTGAACTCAGGAAGTGGAGTTTGCAGTGAGCCGAGACCGCGTCATTGCACTCCAGCCTGGGCAACAAGAGTGAAACTCCATCTGAAAACAAAAAAAAAAAACAAAAAAAGCACAATAGCACAATACATAAGAACTAAGCAGGCAGGGGAGGGGGGCAGGGGGGTGTGTGGGAATTGGCTGCATTTCATCAAAGAGTGGGTAGAGGAGAGGGAGAAGAAACTGTACAGGCCCTGAATGTTAGGAGACACTTCCACCCGCTGGCCTCAGAGCTCCACCAAGCATAGGACAGTCAAGTGCGGCGACAGGGCTAGGAATCATCCTAGATGTGGAAACTGAGGCTCAATAAGGTCATGTGCTGGTCAGGGTTGAGCTGGGAGCAGGACCTAGGTGTGCTGCCCCCCATACCCCAGCCTAACTGGTACTAATTTAAACAACCCTCCTGCTCCCCCACCTCTGCCCTCAGGGAGTTTCCTTGGCTGCACTTTCCCATCAAGGACGATTTTCCCAGCAGGGTGGGTCCCTCCAAATTTTTGTTACTGACCCCACCATCCCTGATGGGGCAGCTCAGGACCTGAGGCAGGTACAGGCAGAGAAAGGGTATGTGACCTTAGATCTTCCAGTGGGGAAGGAAAGGTCGGACAGGGACAGAGAGGACAGAAAAACGGAGCTGAGGGGTGGGGTGGGAGGGCAGGAGTAGGCAAGAATAGGCTGGGAAGGTTGGGCTGGAAGCTCCCCTGGGAGGGAGGCTGGTGTGGCCAAGACAGGAGCTGGGGGGAAGTGGCCCTGCGCTTGGAGCCTCCCTCACTCCTCATAACCCCAGCGCTTTCTGGCTCTGAAACAGCAGCCTTGGTCAGGGAGTGTTTGCAGCGCAGGTTGGTGGGAGAATGATTGGGGGATGGGGGCATGAACACGGGAGCAATGGGAGAAGGTCGGGGAGGCCTTGTAGTTTTGTAACATCTCGAATCATGAGGAGATGATCTCAGCTTTAGATTGCCCATTTCCCATTCCCTAAAGATATGTGGGGTGATCTGTGGGCAAACAGGCACAGATCGCTCCTGCCACCCCTGACACTCCTGACACCCAGAGTAAACGGAAAGGGCCAGGAGAACATGCTGGTGTCTTAGCTGTTTGTCCCTCCTGATGGCCAAGGCAGGGAATGGAGTTTAGAATCAAAATAGTCCTGGGTACCAATTCTAGCCACTTAGTACCAACTTGACCTTGGGCAGGTATTCCAAGCCTTCATTTTCTCATCAGTAAAATGGGAATAATTATACCTACAGAATGCAACATCAAAGGAGCTCCTTGGAGTCATGCATTTAACATAGTTACCCTGTACCTAATTTCAGAATAAAAATGAGACAAGTCTGAAGCACTCAGCACCATGCCTGGCACAAATTTGGTAACAATTGGCTTCAAACAAGTTTGTCCATCTATGGGATGGACACTCAATTGGCACAGCCCCCACTGCTGTCCTAATTCCCAAGTGTCCAGAGGTTTTGCTAGTAGCCCTAGAATGAAAGACTCTGAGGGTGGTTGGTGGGTGAGAATGTATGCAAGCCACTTCCAGTGAATGATCTACTCAGGGAAGCTACTTCCGGCCCCACTGGGTCTCTGCTTAATCGTATTAGCTCTCCCAGGCTTCCCTGCATACCCAGCCAGGTATGGGGTATGTGCATCTTCCTCACCTGCCTTTGAAGCCTGGGGCCCTTTGATGTTAGTGGGGAATGCACCAGCCTGGGGCTCTTGAGAGCTCTGCGGTCAGTGGCCAACAAGGAACAGGGACTGGGGAGTTTGAGATGATGTAAGTGCCCCCAGCCCCTGCCTGTGTGGGCTTTGGAGTCAGACTGCCTGCACTCCAATCCCAGCACCGTTGTTAATGAGCTGTGTGACCTGAGGCAAGTCACCGAGCCTCTCTGAGCCTCCGATCCCTCATCTTTAGAAATACCTATCTCATGGGTTTGTGAAAAGCCAGAGAGCTAAAGAGAGGGAGAGAGAAAGACAGAGAGAGAGACGGAGAGAGAGAAGAGATTATGCTGTTTCCCACCTTACTCTTTGAAAGAGCAAGGATTCCCGGGTCCCACCCCAGGGCCCCTGAGGCTATAGACCTACAAGACTGATATCCTTAAAAGTTTTAAAGCACTTTTAAGCTCTAATAGAAGTACGTTCTATTAAGTATACTTCTATTTCAGAAGTATAAATGCTACAAACTTACAAAGAACATCAAAGTTTATTTAAATTTTTTACACATTAGTTTTATGAATTTCAAATAAGATATATATAGACATATATAATTTTTTTGAGACAGAGTCTCACTCTGTCACCCAGGCTGGAGTGCAATGGCACGATCATGGCTCATTGTAGCCTTAATCTCTTGGGCCCAAGCTATCCTCCCACTTCAGCCTCCTGAGTAGCTGAAACTACAGGTGCTTCCCTCCACACTTGGCTAATTTTTGTAGTTTTTGTGGAGACGCTGTGTCACCATGTTGCCCAGGCTGGTCTCGAAGTCCTGGGCTCAAGCAACTCTCCTGCTTCACCCTCTCAAAGTGCTGGGATTACAGGCATGAGCCACTGTGCCTAGCCAAGTTTTATAGTTCTAAAGTTCATTACATTTAATTTCATTTTTACAGCTTTAGTAAAATACACACAACTGCGAATATTTTCTTTTTTTTTTTTTTTTTGAGGCAGGGTCTCACTCTGTCACCCAGGCTGGAATGCAGTGACATGATCTCAGCTCACTGCAACCTCTACCTCCTAGGCTCAAGCTATCCTCCTGCCTCAGCCCCTGGAGTTGCTGGGACTACAGGCACGCACCACCACGCCAGACTAATTTTTATATTTTTTGCAGAGACGGGGTTTCACCATGTTGACTAGGCTACAATTGCAAATATTTAAAGTGTGCATTTTGATAAGCTTTGAGATATATATAACCATCACCACAATTAAGAAAATGAATAGGCCAGGCACAGTGGCTCATGCCTGTAATCCCAGCACTTTGGGAGGCCAAGGCGGGCAGATCACCTGAGGTCAGGAGTTTGAGACCAGCCTGCCCAACATGGGAAACGCCGTCTCTACTAAAAACACAAAAATTACCGAGTCACAGTGGCGCACGCCTGTGACCTCAGCTACTCCAGAGGCTAAAGCATAAGAATCGCTTGAACCCCAGAGGTGGAGGTTTCAGTGAGCAGAGATTGCACCACTGCACTCCAGCCTGGGTGACAGAGTGAGACTCTGTCTCAAAAAAAAAAAAAAAAAAAGAAACGAAAATGAACATATTTATCACTCCCAAAACTTTCCTTCTGCCCTTTGTTATCCCTCCCTCTCCCCCATCCCTAGGCAACCCATTGGTCTGCTTTCTGCCACTATACATTAGTCTGCATTTTCTAGAATTTTATAGAAATGGAATTATCCATAACATACTACTTTTTGTTGGGATTCTTTCACTCAACATCATTGTTGTATCATTGTTTTGAGATTCATCCCCTTCATGTGTATCAATAGCTCATTCGTTTTTATTGTCAGATAGTATTTCAATATATGGATATACCACAATTTGTTTACTCATTCACTTTTTTTTTTTTTTTTAAGAGACAGGATCTCACTCTGTCACCCAGGCTGGAGTGCAGTGGCGTGATCATATTTCACTGCAGTCTTGAACTCTTGGGCTCAAGTGATCCTCCTGCCTTGGCCTCCCAAAGTACTGAGATCACAGCCACCATGCCTGGTCGTTATCTATTCAGCTTTGAACTTGAATTATCCATGGTCTTTTGGATGGTTTTGAATTTTGAATAATATGTTTTTAACATAAATGCTTTTTGAAGATAGCAACTGTTGACGGAAACAAAACAATAAAATTTAAAATATATTACTCAAAGATCACAAAACCAAACAAGTATAAAAGAAATTTCAATAAATTATCAGAAGCTGGTTTTGTAAGTTTCTATCACTTATAATTTTGAAGTTATTAAAGATTAAATATGACTAAAATAGTGCACTAGGACTTTTAGAGCTCTCTTTATGACTAATAATTGCTCCCAGTGATTACTGTCTTCAAGCAATTTTGGAAGACACTGAGCTAACTGCACATATAAATCTCTTTGGTACAGTCAGTGCCTGGCACACAGTAAGCACTCCCTAAGTGCTGAGTTTTATTCTTAGTTTGTTTAGTGTTTATTCTTCGTTCTGATTCTTTTTTTTTTTTTTTTTTGAGACAGAGTCTTGCTCTGTCTCCCAGGCTGGAGTGCAGTGGCGGGATCTTGGCTCACTGCAAGCTCTGCCTCCTGGGTTCACGCCATTCTCCTGCCTCAGCCTCCCGAGTAGCTGGGAGTACAGGCGCCCGCCATCACGCCCGGCTAATTTTTTTGTATTTTTAATGGAGATGGGGTTTCACCATGTTAGCCAGGATGGTCTCAATCTCCTGACCTCGTGATCCGCCCGCTCCAGCCTCCCAAAGTGCTGGGATTACAGGCGTGAGCCACCGCGCCCGGCCTTTTTTTTTTCTGAGACAGAATCTCTCTCTATCGCCTGGGCTGGAGTGCAGTGGCACTACCTCGGCTCACTGCAACCACTGCCTCCCAGGTTCAAGAGATTCTCCTGACTCAGCCTTCTGAGTAGCTGGGATTACAGGTGCCCACCATCACGCCCAGCTAATTTTTGTATTTTTAGCATAGACAAGGTTTCACCATGTTGGCGAGGTTGGTCTCAAACTCCTCTCCTCAGGTGACCCACTCGCCTCAGCCTCCCAAAGTGCTGGGATTAGAGGCGTGAGCCACCGCACCCAGCCTCGTTTCTTCTTGAGACATAGTCTCACTATGTTGCCCAGGCTGGAGTGCAATGGCACAATCTTGGCTTACTGCAACCTCTGCCTCCTGGGTTCAAGCAATTCTTCTGCCTCAGCCTTCTGAGTAGCTGGAATTACAGGCACCCATCATCATGCCTGGCTAATTTTTGTATTTTTTGTACAGACGGGGTTTCACCACCTTGGCCAGGCTGGTCTTGAACTCCTGATCTCAGGTGATCTGCCTGCCTCAGCCTCCTAGAGTGCTGGGATTACAGGCGTGAGCCACCGTGCCCGGCCCTTAGTTCTGACTTTTTTTTTTTTTTGAGACGGAGACTCGCTCTGTCGCCCAGGCTGGCGTGCAGTGGCTCGATCTCAGCTCACTGCAAGCTCCGCCTTCTGGGTTCAGGCAATTCTCCTGCCTCAGCCTCCTGAGTAGCTGGGACTACAGGCACCCGCCACCATGCCCGGCTAATTTTTTGTATGTTTAGTAGAGACGGGGTTTCACCGTGTTAGCCAGGATGGTCTCGATCTCCTGACCTCGTGATCCACTTGCCTCAGCCTCCCAAAGTGCTGGGATTACAGGCGTGAGCCACCGCGCCCAGCTTATTTTTATTTTTATATTATTATTATTATTATTTTTATTTTTATTTTTATTATTATTGAGAGGAGTTTCGCTCTTGTTGCCCAGGCTGGAGTGCAGTGGCACAATCTCAGCTCACTGCAACCTCCACCTCCCAGGTTCAAGCGATTCTCCTGCCTCAGCCTCCCTAGCAGCTGGGATTACAAGCGTGTGCCACTAGGCCCGGCTAATTTTTGCATTGTTAGTAAAGGAGGGGTTTCACCATGTTAGTCGGGCTGGTCTTGAACTCCTGATTTCAGGTGATCCGCCTGTCTTGGCCTCCCAAAGTGCTGGGATTACAGGCATGAGCCACCACACCCGGCCAGTTCTGATTCTTATTCATGGCTTTCTTTCTTTCTTTCTCTCTCTCTCTCTCTCTCTCTCTCTCTCTCTCTCTCTCTCTCTCTCTCAGAGCCTTTCTCCCACCCCCAGGCTCAGAGTTAGGTCATCTCCAACTCAACTTCAGCACCAGTGACTCCCCGTGGAGGGGAAGTGGGAAGGTGGGAGGCAGAGGCAGCTGGCTGGGCTGTGGGAATCTCTGAGAAGCTTCCGGGGTGGGAGGGGAGGGCACCCTCCTGGTGGTCTCTCTGTTTGTTTCACAAAACCTTCCCATTCCGCGGGGTTCCAAGGCCAGGCTGTGCCTTCACCTCCTGACCCTGTGGGAAGCGCAAGCCTCGACTTGGCTCCACCCCAAGAGGCTGGGGGGCCATGGGAGCAGGAGGAGCTTGAGCTTCAGAGTCAGACAGACCAGGCCCTGCCAGCTGGATGATGTGGGGCCAGTCACCCTGTCTGAGGGTGGTACCAGCCCTGCTCAGGTCACATAGCTCCTGCAAGGACCACGGGAGAGACTGGAGGCATGAGCGATGCACACAGAAGGTGCAGTAACATGAATCATGTCCATAAGGAGATGGGGACACAGAAGACATTGTCTTGCTGATGTCCAGACGTCAGCATGCCAAGACAGTGCACCCAGTATTTGAGACCCACTGTGTATCCAACCGTGTGCTCAGGAGAGTGAGGTGGAAGAACTTGAAAGCAGTGGAAGCTGCTGACCTGAGGGACTTATGTCCTTTTAGTGGCCACTGGACCAAGAAGCACCTTCCCTGTCTTTGCCTTTTTACCTCTGTGTCCTGCAATGCAGACACCAGGTTAAATGCATTCATTCAACAAAGGTGTACTATGAACACTTGCATGTGTCAAGAACTGTGCTAACGACTGGGGGTCCAGCAATGAACTAAACAGAGAAGCTGCTTATAGCCAGCCTAGTGCTGGGGAGGGGAAAGGATAAAAAAGAAACTTACAGTACAAAACAAAATAAGGTAATTTCTTTTTTTCTTTTTCTTTTTCTTTTTTTTTGAGGCAGAGTCTTGTTCTTGTTGCCCAGGCTGTAGTGCAATGGCGCGACCTCGGCTCACTGCAACCTCCGCCTCCCAGGTTCAAGCGATTCTCCTGCCTCAGCCTCCCCAGTAGCTGGACTTACAGGCATGCGCCACCATGCCTGGCTAATTTTTGTATTTTTAGTAGAGACAGGGTTTCGCCATGTTGGCCAGGCTGGTCTCGAACTCCTGACCTCATGTGATCTGCCTGCCTCAGCCTCCCAAAGTGCTGGGATTGCAGGCGTGAGCCACTGCGCCCAACCACAAGGTAATTTCTGACCATGGAAGAGCTGTGGAGAAAATCAACAGAGTGATATAACAGAGTGCAGGATGTCAATTTAGATGGGGGAAGCTGGGAAAGACCTCTCTGTGCAAGGAAAGTAATAATAAGTGACTCTGCTGGGACAAGGGAGCATCCAGTGTGGCTTCTCAAGTCACAACGACTTAGGGCCCCTCACATTACCACCTGCTAGATGCTCCACCTGGGTAAGCTGCTTAACCTCTCTGAGCCTCAGTTTCCTCACCTGTAAAATGGGAGTAACCATCCAATCCACTTCATAGGATTGATAGGAGAGTGCAAACACATTATAGTAAGCCTTTATAGAATAATAGATTATGTCTATCTCATCCAGCCTGGGCCAGCTACCCACAATGCATGAATTAGTCCCTTTGAAGAAGGACAATGAGATGGGCCCAACCCAAACACTCCTAACTGACTCCAGAGTGACTTTCTCTCATCTAAAATATAACAAGTGGGGCTGGGAGCAGTGGCTCACACCTGTAATCCCACTGCTTTGGTAGGCTGAGAGGGACGGATCACCTGAGATCAGGAGTTCAAGACCAGCCCGGCAACATAGTGAAACCTCGTCTCTACTAAAAATACAAAAATTAGCCGGGCATACTGGTGCATGCCTGTAATCCCAGCTACTCGGGAGGCTGAGGCATGAGAATCACTTGAACTGGGAGGCAGAGGTTGCAGTGAGACGAGATCAGTCCACTGCACTCCAGCCTGGGTGACAGAGTGAGACTCCATCTCAAAAAACTAATAATAATTTTAAAATAAAATAAAATATAACAAGGTTCTCCAGGGCCAGGCAAATTGGGTGTAATAAGTTAAGGATTGACTCTAGCACTTAAGAGAATAGACCCTGCCTAAAGGAAATAGTGACAATTTGGCTTTAGGGAAACTTTTCCATGTTGAAATGAGGGTCCAGGCCTTTCTTTCCATTTCTCAAATGAAGAAAAAAAAACAAAAACGTATTTTATGAACAATCTCAAAAATGTACACTGTTGGCATCTTAAAAACTTTTCTTTCTTTTTGTTTTTTGTTTTGTTGTGTTTGAGACAGGGTCTCAGTCTGTGGCCCAGGCTGGAGTACAGTAGCACAGTCATGGCTCACTGCAGCCTCAACCTCCTGTACCCAAGCCATCTTCCCTCCTTTAGCCTCCTGCATAGCTGAAACTACAGGTGTAGGCCACAATGCCCAGATACCTTTTTCTTTCTTTTTTATTTTATTTTATTTTTTGAGGTGGAGTCTCACTCTGTCGCCCAGGCTGGAGTGCAGAGGCACATCTCAGCTCACTGCAACCTCCGACTCCGTGGTTCAAGCGATTCTCCCGTCTCAGCCTCCCGAATAGCTAGGATTACATGCATGCACCACCACACCTGGCTAATTTTTGTATTTTTAGTAGAGACGGAGTTTCACCATGTAGGCCGGGATGTACTTTTCTGTTGTTTTAGAGATGAAGTCATGCTATGTTGCCCAGGCTGGTCTTAAACTCCTGGGCTCAAGTGATCCTCCTGTCTCAGCCTCTGAAAGTGCTGGGATTACAGGTGCAAGCCATGGCAGTCAGCCCAAAACTTTTAAAAACATAGTTGGCGGGCAGACAAAACACTGCATCAGCCAGGGCCAGCTGCAGGCATGGTTTGCAACCTCCACTTACTGCATACCAGGCCCTTTGCCCAGCGCTTTGAAGAATACAGTGCAAACCAGCACCAGGCTTGCTGGTGGGAAACTCCCAGGGGCTCAAAGATCATGTCCCATAAACAAAGAATGGCTGGGATCAGAGCCTGGATAAGGAAGGGGTCTCAGGGGAGAGTGCCTGAGGGGAGGGAGGTCATACAAGGAAAGCTTCATGGAAGAAAAGACTCTTGGGCTGGATTCTGTGGGAGAAATAGGAATGTTTTGTTGAATGAAGAGGAGGCAAAATCATTTTGGGCAGAGAAAGAACAGCTCTGAACTTTGGGGAAGGGCAGGTGTTTGCATGTGGCTGGAGTGCTTTTGGGCTCGAAGGGGTTTGCAGGGGAGGGCTCTGGACAACAGGGCTGGAGATGGAGGCTCATTTCTAGCTTGAGATCACAGAGAGCCACGAGATCACAGAGAGCCACATATGCCAGCAGAGTCACTGGATGGCACCTCTCAGCCTGGGCATCAGCCTCCAAGACCAACAGTTGGGGATACAGACTAAAGGTAGAAGCGAGAGACTTGTCTTAGACCTGCCTTTATGAGATTGAATTCATTCACGTAGGTTGCAGATTCCAGCAAACAGTGGGCAGTTATAAACCAGGGGCTGGGGCCTCAGAGAGAAAGGAGTCAGGGGTCACCCCTGCTCCTAGGCAGCTCACAATCTGGTAGGCTGGTGGCCTTCACTGAAGAGAGTTTAGACAACTGCTCTACGATGCTTTATTTTGCTTGTTGATTTTCTTCTTCTTCTTCTTCTTTTTTTTTTTCCTGAGACAGGGTCTCACTCTGTCACCCAGGCTGGAGTGGAGTGGTGTGATCATGGCTCACTGCAGCCTTGACCTCCTGCCATCTCAGCCTCCCAAGTAGCTGGGACTACAGGCACAAGCTGGCTAATTTTTAAATTTTTTGTAGAGACAGGGTCTCACCATGTTGCCTAGGCTGGTCTCAAACTCCTGGTCTCAATCGATCCTTCCATCTTGGCCTCCCAAAGCACTGGGATTGCAGGCACGAGCCACCACACCCCGCCCTGATGCTTTACTTAGAAGAGGGCTCTGCTGGCCAGGTGCGGTAGCTCATGCCTGTAATCCCAGCACTCTGGGAGGCCGAGGTGGATGGATCATCTGAGGTTGGGAGTTTGAGACCAGCCTGGCCAACATGCTGAAACCCCATCTCTACTAAAAATACAAAAATTAGCCAGGCCTGGTGGCACTCACCTGTAATATCAGCTACTCAGGAGGCTGAGGCAGGAGAATCACTTGAACCTGGGAGGCAGAGGTTGCAGTGAGCCAAGATCATGCCACTGCACCCCAGCCTGGAGACAAAGTGAGATTCCATCTCAAAAAAAAAAAAAAAAAGAAGAAGAAGAGGGCTCTGCTAAATTGCTGTGGGGGCACTTACAGGTTTGTGGAAGAGGAGACTTTTAAACTGTGTCTTGATAGATGAGTAGGAGTTTAGGAGTTTACCGGGGGAGATAAAGTAGAAACAGCAGGAGGAAAGAATATGTGAAAGGCAAGGGTGTTTGGGGGCCCTGCTTTGGGAATATGGGGTTCAATCACTTAGCAAATACTTACTGGTACCTGTGTGCCAGGAGCTATGCTAGGCACAGAGGGATATGATGAAGCAGGTGCTCTCCACCCTCACAAAGCTTATGCTTTAATTCCTGTGTACCTCAGTTTCTCCATCCCTGAAAGGCTTTCCGCACAGAACATCAGTGAGGGGTGAACAGGATTGCTTATATAGGCAATATACAGGCAAAGGCAGCCAGTGTCACCCCTGGCATACAGGAAATGCTCACTAAACACATGTCCTTGATTCCCTGAGAATCTAGCTCTAAGTCAGCCTGCCAGAGACTCACTAGACAAGCAGGTTTGTTCGATGAATGAATGAATGAATGAATGACTAAATGCTACGTGCACTATACACTTTACACACATTTACTATTTATAGCATTCCTGTCAGTAGATATGATTTGTCTCCATTTTACAGCTGAGCAAGCAGAAGCTTCAGGATGCTAAGTGCCTGGTCTAATATCCCTAGGCAGGAAGTGACAGAGAAGTATCCAGATTCTGCCTCCTGGAGGCTCAACTTCAGGATCCAAGCACTTAACCATGTCACACATTGCTGCTCACATCAAGGGAGGGTCCAAAATGTCTCTATGGAAAGCATCTGAGAACCTCAAGGGACTTTGCCCCCACCCTCTTGCCAGCTGGGATGGCCTCAAAGGTTATCTCCCAGGTCAGGGAATCTGACGGTCAGTCTGTCTGGGCAGAGGAAACGAGAAGGTGTCATTCCTCACCTGGAAAAAGGGCACTTCTGGTCTTTCTTATATGAAAGAGATCCTGGACTAACTAATGTCTTTAAAAAGTGAGGGTGACTGTTAGCCTCGGTCCTAAAAAAGCAACAGAGATTCAGGTTCTTCCAGGGATAGTGCCAGAGCCCAAGAAAGTTCAGAGATGGATGAGCTTTGTCAGACAGTTGCTCTTGCGGGTCAGAGAGAAATTCCAGGCCTCCACAGGGCTCTAAGCCAATACACATCAGAAATGAGCTGTCTGCAGCTGTTGGACCCTGGGAAAGGCAAGACGTTATTTGAGAGTTTTTTTAAAAGTCTTAGTACAAGGCACATTTTCACTCCTCTTCTATGGGGAAGCAACGGGTTTGGGTGACAAGCAGACTGACCCTTCACATACTGGCTGTTTCCACTTGTAAATTTGTGGCTTTGGGCAAATTATCTGAGCTTCTGTTTTCTCATCGTCTCTGAAGTGGGGATGAGGATAAAATCAATGCAATTATTAGCAGAATGTCTGGTGCATTAGGTGCTCAATAAATGTTAGCTATGGTTATTATTATTCATTTTACCTTAAACAGTGAGCGCCGGCCAGGCGCGGTGGCTCATGCCTGTAATCCCAGCACTTTGGGAGGCCAAGGCGGGTGGATCACAAGATCAGGAGATCGAGACCATCCTGGCTAACACGGTGAAACCCCATCTCTACTGAAAAATACAAAAAATTAGCCGGGCGTGGTGGGGGGCGCCTGTAGTCCCAGCTATTCAGGATACTGAGGCAGGAGAATGGCGTGAACCCAGGAGGCGGAGTTTGCAGTGAGCCGAGATGGCACCACTGCACTCTAGTCTGGGCGACAGAGCGAGACTCCGTCTCAAAAAATTAATTAATTAATTAATTAAAAATTAAAAAAAAGAAGCTTCTGGTCCAGCATGGAAAGCATGCCATCTTTTTTGTTCCTTCCCAGTCTCAGTGGATGAGGGTGCTCTGAGCTGAGCTGAGCATGTTTAAACAGGGACCACCTACACACTAGGCCACATGGTGATTTGGTAGACCTGGGTTCTGGAATTGGCTTCACTGCGTCTGACTCCTGCACCTCCATCTAGTTGTCTGTGCCTTCCCTGTGCTGCCATCCTTGGAACCTGAGTCCTGGTCAGAGGCTCCCACAGCACAAACCACAACCTGTCATTGTTGTATTTATATGTGCATGACCTGGATGAGGGTGCCTTCTGCCTCTGGGGAGGGGTCTGACACAGAGGGCTGAGGCTGAGTCTCTAGGCTGGGGAAGTCAGATGACAACCATGGACCACCCACAATAATACCCGCATGCATCATCCTCTACGGTGACATCAGGTTTTAGAGCTTGTAAAGCATTTTTACATTCATTTCGTTTAGTCTACATGGGAGGAGTAATCTCTAGACAAGTTTTGCAGATGAGGAAACAATGTAGAGAGGTGGGTTACAAACTGCAACAAGAACCCTAGCCCATGTGGGTCCCAAAGTTGGCTGATCAGAATCACTGGAGGGCCAGGCTCATGCCTGTAATCCCAGCACTTATGGAGGCCAAGGCGGGCAGATCACTCGAGGTCAGGAGTTCGAGACCAAGATGGTGAAACTCCTGTCTCTACTAACAGTACAAAAATTTAGCCAGGCGTGGTGGCATGTGCCTGTAATTCCAGCTACTGAGGCAGAAATTACAGCTACTGAGGCAGGAGAATCACTTGAACCCAGGAGGTAGAGGCTGCAATGAACCGAGATTGTGTAACTGCACTCTAGCCTGGGTGACAAAGTGAAACCCTGTCTCAAAAAAAAAAAAAAAAAAGTATCACTGGAGTGCTTGTGAAATATGTAGATGACCATGCCCTCTCACCAAATTCTAAATCTGAAGGTCTGGGTCTGGACTTGAGAATCAATAGTTTGGCCGGGCGCAGTGGTTCACGCCTGTAATCCCAGCACTTTGGGAGGCTGAGGCGGGTGGATCGCCTGAGGTCAGGTGTTTAAGACCAGCCTGGGCAGCATAGCAAAACCCCATCTCTAATAAAAATACAAATTTTAGCCGGGCATGGTGGTGGGGACCTGTAATCCCACCTACTCGGGAGGCTGAAGCAGAAGAATTGCTTGAACCGGGGAGGCAGAGGTTGCAGTGAGCCAAGGTCGTGCCATTGCACTCTAGCCTGGGCGACAAGAGCAAAACTACATCTCAAAAAAAAAAAAAAAAGGGGAGTCAACAGTTTAACAAACACCAAGGTGATGCGTATCTTCAGGCAAGTTCAGACATAGTGCCATTCACTGAATTTTTTTTTTATTTTTTTGAGACGGAGTTTCACTCTTGTTGCCCAGGCTGGAGTGCAATGGCGCAATCTTGACCCACTGCAACCTCCGCCTCCTGGGTTCAAGCGATGCTCCTGCCTCAGCCTCCCGAGTAGCTGGGATTACAGGCATGTGCCACCACGCCCAGCTAATTTTGTATTTTTGGTAGAGACAGGGTTTCTCCATGTTGGTCAAGCTGGTCTCAAACCCCCGACCTCAGGTGATCTTCCCACCTCAGCCTCCCAAAGTGCTAGGATTACAGGCGTGAGCCACTGCGTCTGGCCTCACTGAATTATTTACTTGTTTTTATTTTTTTTTTTTAAAGAGGGTCTTGCTATGTTGACCAGACTGGTCTCAAACTCCTGGCCTCAAGCTATCCTCCAGCCTTGGCCTCCCATGTGTTGGGATTACAGGCATGAACCACCACACCTGGCCTGAATTATTTACTTAACACAGATTTTTTGGGTTCCAACGATGATGATGGTATATACTGTGTGACAGCAGGATGAACAAGACATTTCCAGCTTTAGGAAACTAACAGACTGTCCAGGGCTCATGTGGTGGACAGCCCAGGTCTCCTGAATCTTAGATGAGGCCTCCAGCTATGTGGGACAGCCTCCTCCCCTAAGACAGAGGACAAAGGCTTGGAGCTCCTAGTTGAGCCTGCTGGGCCTTTCTCCATTTTCTAACAACCTGCTCAGGTCGCAGCCTATGGTTCTTTTGTTGTTGTTGTTGTTGTTGTTGTTTTGTTTTTTGAGACAGGGACTCACTCGGTTGCCCAGACTGGAGTGCAGTGGCCCGATCTTGGCTTATTGCAACCTTTGCCTCCCAGGCTCAAGCAATCCTCCCACTTCAGCCTCCAGAGGAGCTGGGACTACAGGCGCACACCACAAAAATGCCTGGCTCATTTTTGTATTTTTGGGTAGAGACAGGGTTTCACCATGTTGACCAGGCTGGTCTTGAACTCCTGAGCTCAGGTATCTGCCAGCCTCATCCTCCCTAAGTGCTGAAATTACAGGTGTGAGCCACCGTGCCTGGCCAGCAGCCTATGGTTCTTTTGAGCTAGAGGCATCCTGTGAAAGAAGTCAGGTGTATAGAGCACTTAGCACTATGCCTGGCGCTTAGTAAGTGTTCAGTAAGTGTTGGCCAGCAGCTAAGTGCTTGTCAAGGCTAGGTAGGTGGGGGGAGCTAAGAAGAGAAAGAGCCCTCAGGTGTAAAGGAAAACGGATGGGGCCAGACACTGGGGCAGGGATTTACATTTCTTTAAAAGTCATTCCAGCCCTGATTTGACTTTGCACCTGGAAGGGAGGAGGCCAGACAAGATCACTCTTGTGCAAATAAGGAAAGCTGAGCCCAGAGATCAAAGTGAGTGGCCCTGAGCCGACACCCAGGTCTTCTGTGGCCCTGCCACACCAGGCAGGGATTGGGGGATGTGGGCAACAAGGGTAACACCTTTCCTCCTGAAATCACTGGGGTGATGTCTGCCTGTCGGGGAAGAGCCTGATGAACCAGGATCACCCCGTTGGCTCCATCTGGCTCCAGCTTCTGCTGAACACTCCCTTTTCAGGTGGAGAAGTCATCGTCCTGGTCCCTCCTGCCTTCTGTCTTCCCCAGGAAAGCACTTCAGTATTTGGTAGGGCCAGGGGTGCTCCCCGAGGCCATCTAGACAGTGGCCAGGGAGGCTGCGCCGGCCAGATTGTGTCAAAGTCTGCCTGAGAGCCACGAGGATCCCTCGGCATTCTCTTCCTGCTTCTTGAGGAGCCTGCGGTCCATTTGCAGCCTGAGTGGAGAGGATGGGGCAGGGATCCCAGGTGAGGTCGAGTAAGGAAGTCGCAGTTCTGACCTGGGAATCTGCCGGGACAAGCCTGCTCTGTCTCAGCATCAAGGCGTTTGGTACCTAGAGGAGCAGGGTGCCAGGGTGTCCAGACCGGGCAAACCAGGAGCCCTAGATCCCGTCCCTGGAACTAGGTCCTCCGCCAGCTTTGCGGGCCTCCTCCGCACCAGGCTCAGGTCTCGCCCATCCCCAGCAGGAGGTCTCTCTGCCCCCCACCCTCCGGAGGGGGGTTATATGATCTTAAAGCTTCCCCAGAGGGAGGAAAGGTGGGGGCGGGGCGGCTGCTGAGGCCCAGGATATAAGGGCTGGAGGTGCTGCTTTCAGGCCTGGCCAGCCCACCATGCACGCCCACTGCCTGCCCTTCCTTCTGCACGCCTGGTGGGCCCTACTCCAGGCGGGTGCTGCGACGGTGGCCACTGCGCTCCTGCGTACGCGGGGGCAGCCCTCGTCGCCATCCCCTCTGGCGTACATGCTGAGCCTCTACCGCGACCCGCTGCCGAGGGCAGACATCATCCGCAGCCTACAGGCAGAAGGTAGGCAGTGCCGCGTGCCGCGCCCTGCTGGGCACCCCCGGGGCGCCTCCGCCGCGTCCAGCCAGCGGACTCGGGAAGTGCTGTGGGTTGGGGGCTGCGGCTCCGAGCCGGGTTTGCAGCCGCCCGGGCGTCCCGAGCCCAGGGCCTAGCTCTGCGGGTGTCTCCGCGTCAGCAGGCTCGGGGTGCAGCGTTGGTGGCTGGGGGCGTATCCACGGCCGAGTCGGGAAGGGATTCTAGCGTTCAGGGTGTGTCCTCGACGGGGACCATTGTCTCTGGGTTTTGGTTTGGGATTGCGCGGAGCGCAGCGCGGAAGGGTGGGAGCTTCTAATCTCCAGTCTTGTGAAGTTGCTTATCCCGGAGCCTGGGTCTGCGCATCTGTAGGATAGGTGTAATAAATAACACCTCGCCTATCAGACTGTGGAAAGCGCGAGATGACAATGCGCGCGAAACGCTCAGCGCAGTACCCGGCACAGCCACAGTCAACGGTCGTTGGTATTACTGTAATGGTTTGGTCTTGGCGATTTTTTTTTCTTTCTGCGAGTGAGGGTGAATGGGTCCCGGGGTGTGACGTCGGGAGTATCGGCAGCTGAGCTGGTAACATCGGGGATTCGGGCTCACGGCCCGGAGATCAGGGATGGGCTGTCCCGAAGTCGCGAACTGTGGCAGCCTTGGGTCCTCCAGCCGCGCCGGGGAAGTGTCAAGTGTCTCGCTTAACCCCGGGTTCGGGGCCATGATTTGCAGGGGAGTGGGTGTCAAGGACGGCAGGGATCTGAGGGTATCGCCCTCGAGGACCTGGCAGCGCGTTCTGGGCACCCAGCGCGGCGAGCAGGTGGGTGCTGCGGAGAGGGAGCCCCTTCCGCGCCTCAATCCACATTCTGCCGCCTGGGCAGCCGCGGCCGCCCACGCCTCCCTCCGCCTGCGGGGGCCAGACGGCCCTCCCTGGGGCCGGGGCGCAATCCACAAACGCTAATCTGATCCGACCTGCCGCCTGCCCGCCCCTTGTGACCTGGTGCCGGGGGCCCTTCGCTCCCGCGCCTGGGGTCAGACAGCCGGTGACCCTCTCCGGAAGGGTCATCTGGGGACCAGCCAGACCAGGGGACACCCTCGGGGGCGGGGCAATGAGAAATTTGCTGGAGTGCTCGGCCCCTCAACCGAAAAGCGGCCGGGGATGGGAGGGGGCAAAGAAGGGAGGGAGCGCTTTTCCAGTTCACTCCCTTCTGGAAAGTTCGAGATGTGTGCGGTGATGGACAGGCATCTGGAAACTGGGTTCTAGGCCTCAAATCCTGCTTCCTGATTCCCTGTTGTCCCTGGCGCGTCTTGGTTTATCTGCCTTCCCTTCTGTAAATTAGGAGACTGCTCTCTTTCAGCTAAACACTGTTTTTTTGTTTGTTTGTTTTTTCTTTGAAACAGAGTCTCCCTCTGTTGCCCAGGCTGGAGTGCAGTGACACGATTTCGGCTCACTGCAACCTCCGCCTCCCAGGTTCAAGGAATTCTCCTGCCTCAGCCTCCCGAGTAACTGAGACTACAGGCGCGCGCCACTGCGCCCAGCTATTTTTTAATATTTTTAGTAGACACAGAGTTTCACCATATTGGCCAGGCTGGTCTCGCCTGGTCTCGTGGTCCGCCTGCCTCGGCCTCCCAAGGTGTTGGGATTACAGGCGTGAGCCACTGTGACCGGCCTAAACACTGTTTTTTAGTGTACAGCGGCATGTGGCACAGTTACGTTGTGAATTGGCCTCATTTTCTAAGAGCAGTGGGAAGAGCCCGCCTGGAGGGAGACTGGAGGAGAAGGGATGTCCTGGCCCCACTCCTTCCATCTTGGGTTTATTTAGAATAAGCTGCACCGCAGTTGCATGAAAGGGATGTTGGAGTCCAATTGGGTTTACATCTGTATCTGTTGCCGTTTAACCTTCACCTTGGACCTTCAGTTTTCTCATCTGCAAATGGTGAGATGAGAGGAACAGTGAGGAGATTTAGAGAATGCCTGTGAAACACTTGGCACACGGGAAGCCACTGATGGTAACGACCCTTATAATTTATGAAAATGTAGAGTGGGTGCTCAGTGTCAGGTCCTTACAGCCCTGCCTCACAGCCCTGTCTGGGGACGGCGGTGTCGGTGACTGGAAGGGAACCCAAGGGTGTGAGCCACTTTCTTCTTCAGAACTGGAGGTGGGGCCGGGCACAGTGGCTTACGCCTGTAACCCAGCACTTCGGGAGGCCGAGGTGGTCGGATCATGAGGTCAAGAGATCAAGACCGTCCTGCCCAACATGATGAAACCCTGTCTCTACTAAAAATACAAAAATTAGCTGGGCATGGTGGCGCGCACCTGTAGTCCCAGCTACTCGGGAGGGTGAGGCAGGAGAATCACTTGAACCCAGGAGGTGGAGGCTGCAGTGAGCTGAGATCGCACCACTGCACTCGAGCCTGGCCACAGAGCGAGACTCCATCTCAAAAAAAAGAACTGGAGGTGGGCCAGGAGGACATCAGGGGCATCTGTGTGGCTAAGTCTGCATTCAGCATATGAATGGGTTTTTGGGTGTCCATGAACCCCTTCCTCATACCCACCTTAAAATCACATTTGTTGTATTTGGATGTGTGTTTCTTTCTGATAACATTCCTACCTTGCATCAGGCACCAGTGACACCCACAATATTAGAACCCTTATTCTAAGATGAACCAGAGAACCTATCAGCCCTGTTCCAGGGCACCCTGGCAGCAGTGGGAGAAGGTAGGAAGGGTCACAGACTTCTTTCAGCAGGAAGGAGCAGCCTCTTCCCTACCCAGCCTTTCCCACTGCCCATCCTGTTCATAGGAAACTTTGCACCCCTGTCCAGGTCCTTGTGGCCTGTCCGGACACCTTCATTTCTAACTCTCGGACCTGGGCAATAATGAGGCAGCTGATGATGGCCAATGTTTATTGAACTTTGGTTGTGCTGGGCATGGCACATTACATGAATTATCTCAGTTAATCCTAACACCCCTGTGAGGTGGCTACTTTTACCATCTCCCTTTTACAGAGAGGGAAACTGAGGCTCAGAGAAGGAAAGTAGCCTGACCAAAGTCAAACAGCAAGTGACAGAATTTGAGCCATCATGGGGAGACTTGGGGGCCCCTGCTCTTAACCATTAAGCAGGAGTGCCTTCTTCTAAAAGAGTTGAGATAAAGTTTTTCTTTTTTCGAGACAGAGTTTTGCTTTTCGTCACCCAGGCTGGAGTGCAATGGCGCAATCTCAGCTCACTGCAACCTCCACCTCCTGGGTTCAAGCGATTCTCCTGCCTCTGCCTCTCAAGTAGCTGGGATTACAGGTGTGCACCACCATGCCTGGCTAATTTTGTATTTTTTTTTTAGTAGAGACAGGGTTTCACCATGTTGATCAGGCTGGTCTCGAACTTCTGACCTCAAGTGATCCACCCACCTCAGCCTCCCAAAGTGCTGGGATTATAGGAGTGACCCACCGCACCTGGCCAAGATAAAGTGTTTTTAAACTCACCGCCCGAATCCTCCAGGTACAGGTGGCAGCAGTGAGTGCTGAGTAATGTTAGCCTCCTCCCCACACTTCTGGGGAAAGCTGCTAGTCAGGGGCCGGTTATTGCCTCCTGTAGGTGCTAATGAGGAGGGAAGTGGAAATTAAGTGAAAAAGAGCTGCTGGAGATAGGCTGGGAGAAGCTGCCATGAGGCTGAGATTGGGAGTGACCCCTTTACAATACAAGCTGGATTTCCCAGAGAAATTCACTTCCTCTCTGACCAAAGATGCTCAACGAGACAGTCAATGAATAAACTGTTATGCAGCCAGCCTGGACCTACATCAGAGATCATCACTACCTCCAGAGTCTATTCACAAAGAATTATAAATGCCCTGTCTTATTTCTAATGAATAACCCCAACTTTTATTTAGCAATAAACCTTCAAACCTCTTTATTTCTCTGGGTCCTTGTGATAATCAGAGAGGGTGGTACAGCATTATTCCCATCGCAAAGAAGAGGAAACTGAGCTTGAAGAAAGTTCATTACTATGTTTGTTGTTGTTTTTGTTGAGACAGAGTTTCGCTCTTGTTGCCCAGGCTAGAGTTCAGTGGCGCGATCCCGGCTCACCACAACCTCCACCTCCTGGGTTCAAGCAATTCTCCTGCCTCAGCCTTCCTGAGTAGCTGGGATTAGGCGTGAGCCACCACACCCGGCTAATTTTGTATTTTTAGTAGAGACGGGGTTTCTCCATGTTGGTCAGGCTGGTTTCGAACTCCTGACCTCAGGTGATCCACCCGCCTTGGCCTCCCAAAGTGCTGGGATTACAGGCGTGAGCCACCGCGCCCGGCATCACTATTAAGTCACCTGAAAATCCACAAATCTGTGCTATTCCCAGACATCAGGGAAAATCAATCCAGGACCAGAATAAATGGAGTGTGCTCCCCTACTCCTTGTCATCCAGCTTGGGTTTGGTTGTCTTGGGTGTGTGGAACAGGGCTGGGTGTGTGTGTCTTCTGGGTGATGATCTCTGATGTAGGTCCAGTCTGGGCATCTAACAGTTTATTCATCTGTTGTCTCATAGAGCATCTTTGATCAGAGAGAAAGTGAATTTCTTTGGGAAATAATCCACCTTGTATTGTAAAGGGGCAACTCCCACTTTCAGCCTTCTGGAAGCTTCTGGGTGCATGTGATTGCTGTGTGCCCCAGGTGTGTGAATGACCTGGGACAGGAATGGGCGAGCATCCTGTAGGTGGGTAGACATGCCTAGAAAGCCTTTAGAAACCTATTTGTAAGGTTGCCAAAAACTCTTAGGAACTGGGGGGTGGGTAGAGGGTGACCAGTCTTTGGCTTCTATTGCCTGTGGCTCCCTGAGAGCTCTGAGCTTTTCCATGATATTCACATCTAGCTCAATGTGTCTGTAAAACAAGTCACTCTTTTTTTTTTTTTTTTTTGAGACAGAGTTTCACTCTTGTTGTGCAGGCTGGAGTGCAATGGCACTGTCTTGGCTCACTGCAACCTCTGCCTCCCGGGTTCAAATGATTCTCGAGTGGCTGGGATTACAGGCGCAAACCACCACGCCCAGCTAATTTTGTATTTTTAGTAGAGACAGGGTTTCTCCATGTTGGTCAGACTTCATGTATGGGAGGAGACAGGGGAGGGGGAGATGCAACTCATCACATTTTTACTGACTGTCCTCTGGCTGTGCAAGTTATCTTGGAAGGGGGACTGGAAGAACAGTAATTCGGAGTCTGGGCTTGGCAGTTGGGCAAATCCAGGTTTACTCTTGGCTCTGCCACCTTCCAAGAATGACACCTTGGTCAGATCTTTTAACCACACTGAGCCTCAGTTTTCCTCATCTCTAAAAGGGACTCGAAAATCTTACCAACTCATAGAGTTGGGGTGAGAATTCGAAGGTAATTCTATATAAGGTAAGGCCTCCAGCAAGAGCTATGGTGGTTGTGACACTGACTGAGGCTGGGGGAGGCCCTCACTCACCCTCCTTCCTTCTTGGTTTTCTCCTACCCAGATGTGGCAGTGGATGGGCAGAACTGGACGTTTGCTTTTGACTTCTCCTTCCTGAGCCAACAAGAGGATCTGGCATGGGCTGAGCTCCGGCTGCAGCTGTCCAGCCCTGTGGACCTCCCCACTGAGGGCTCACTTGCCATTGAGATTTTCCACCAGCCAAAGCCCGACACAGAGCAGGCTTCAGACAGCTGCTTAGAGCGGTTTCAGATGGACCTATTCACTGTCACTTTGTCCCAGGTCACCTTTTCCTTGGGCAGCATGGTTTTGGAGGTGACCAGGCCTCTCTCCAAGTGGCTGAAGCACCCTGGGGCCCTGGAGAAGCAGATGTCCAGGGTAGCTGGAGAGTGCTGGCCGCGGCCCCCCACACCGCCTGCCACCAATGTGCTCCTTATGCTCTACTCCAACCTCTCGCAGGAGCAGAGGCAGCTGGGTGGGTCCACCTTGCTGTGGGAAGCCGAGAGCTCCTGGCGGGCCCAGGAGGGACAGCTGTCCTGGGAGTGGGGCAAGAGGCACCGTCGACATCACTTGCCAGACAGAAGTCAACTGTGTCGGAAGGTCAAGTTCCAGGTGGACTTCAACCTGATCGGATGGGGCTCCTGGATCATCTACCCCAAGCAGTACAACGCCTATCGCTGTGAGGGCGAGTGTCCTAATCCTGTTGGGGAGGAGTTTCATCCGACCAACCATGCATACATCCAGGTGGGATGCCAGGCGTGAGGGGGAGGGGAGGCAGTAAGCTGGCCTTGGGGGACAGGGCTCTAGCTTTGCTATTAAATGACTATGTTCCTGTATTCACAGTTACTCAAGCACCTCCAATGTACCAGGATCCTGTGCTAGGTACCAGGCATGTAGAGATGACCGAGTGTAACATCCTTATAGAGCCTGTATGGGGTCATGCGTCACTGGGTAGCCTTGAACACATTGTTTCCCTGGGACTTTATCCTTGTCTTTCATAAAATTAGGGGGTGGGGGTAGACCAGAGGGTCTCAGCACTTCCCTAGCCCTGACATTCTAGGAAAGGAAGAATCTGGACTTTGGGGACAGGCAGGCCTGCATTTGACTCCTCATTAGCTGTGTGATACTGTTTAGGTTGCTTATTCTCTCAAGCTTCAGTTTTTCCACCTGTAAGATGAGGAGGGCAATGCCATATTTCAGAGGGATGCTGTAGGGTTAATGAGATGACATGCACATGGCATGTAAAGCAGTTGGTAGGTAACAGGCATGTTTGGCTGCATTATGGGGCCACGGTTGGAATCACACTGTTCCAGCCACAGTATTTTGGTTGAGAATTGACTACCCATTCTACAGAAGTAGACAAGGCCAGCCAGGTGCGGTGGCACATGCCTGAAATCCCAACACTTTGGGAGGCTGAGGTGGGCGGATCACCTGAGGTCAGGAGTTTGAGACCAGCCTGACCAACATGGTGACACCCCGTCTCTACTAAAAATACAAAAATCAGCCGGGTGTTGTGGCACATGCCTGTAATCCCAGCTACTCGGGAGGCTGAGGCAGGAGAATCACTTGAACCCGGGAGGCAGAGATTGCAGTGAGCCGAGATCATGCCATTGCACTCCAGCCTGGGCAACAGGAGCGAAACTCCATCTCAAAAACAAGAAAAAGTAGACAAAGCCAGAGGCTGCCACTTGGTGCCACTAGTCAGCCTAAGGTCTAGGAGGTGGTGGAGGAAGAACAGAGCTGGTGAGTTAGGAAAGAGAAGAAGATGGAGAGAACAGAAAATATAACCTAATATGGTGGATCTGATGTTATAGGTGGCCCTGCCCTGCTGTCCAAGGTCATATGGGACCAAAATGTTTTCATTTTACTCCATGAAGTCTGGAATGAGAATTTCTTGGACTTGCAATATATCCTCCATGCCAAGCCTCAGGCGGGATTCAGGGTCTCTGGGGAGCATGAGCACATGGGCTGAGGTCATGCAAGGGAGTCCCTGGGGGTACTAGAGCTTCCGAGGATCTGTCCTGAGCCTCACCCAGGCCTGCTGATTTTCATCGCCCACCTGGAGCACCACAAAGACCCAGACAGTCCCAACTGCCAACTCTGACACTCTGATCTAAAAAGACGTTACTAGACCACAGGGACAGGCCCTGGTTCCAAAACGCCAAGGGATTGTTCCTTTCCTCCTATTGACTCTCTCTGTCCTTCTCTGGCTGACAGCAAATCCCATAAGAATTTCCACATGACTAACTATTCTGCTTCATATTTCTAGAACTAAACCAGGAATTTCTTGGAATATTTTAAAAATTGGTATTCACAGCCGGGCACGGTGGCTCACTCATGTAATTCCAGCATTTTGGGAGGCTGAGGTGGGTGGATCGCTTGAGCCCAGGAGGTCAAGACCAGCCTGGGCAACATGCCGAAACCCTATTTCTACAAAAAATACAAAAATTAGCCAGGCATGGTGGCATGTACCTGTAGTCCCAGCTACTCAGGAGGCTGAGGTGGGAGGATCACCTGAGCCCAGGAGGTTGAGGATGCAGTGAGCTGTGATCACACCACTGCACTCCAGCCTGGGCAACAGAGCAAGACCATCTCAAAAAAGAAAAAAAAAATGGTATTCCCTTTAGACTAGAATAATAGGAGAACATAAAAATTAGCTACCACTTAAAAAAAAAAATAGCTACTACTCTACCCAGATACATGTAATTTTTTGAATCTGTTTAAAGGCTGTTTTCACAAAACAAGCACAGAGCTAAAGGTAGTTTAGACATTAGAGTTCATGATATATTGGCAAGCTAATTCCTTTATGAAAATAATTTTCTGCTATTTTTGCACTCAGGAACTGACTTTAACTCCGTAACTTTTTTACTCTTTACCCAGAAATACTATTCTGACCTGCCCATCAGGATGTGAATTGACACACCCTTCCTTTCCTTTACAGAGTCTGCTGAAACGTTACCAGCCCCACCGAGTCCCTTCCACTTGTTGTGCCCCAGTGAAGACCAAGCCGCTGAGCATGCTGTATGTGGATAATGGCAGAGTGCTCCTAGATCACCATAAAGACATGATCGTGGAAGAATGTGGGTGCCTCTGATGACATCCTGGAGGGAGACTGGATTTGCCTGCACTCTGGAAGGCTGGGAAACTCCTGGAAGACATGATAACCATCTAATCCAGTAAGGAGAAACAGAGAGGGGCAAAGTTGCTCTGCCCACCAGAACTGAAGAGGAGGGGCTGCCCACTCTGTAAATGAAGGGCTCAGTGGAGTCTGGCCAAGCACAGAGGCTGCTGTCAGGAAGAGGGAGGAAGAAGCCTGTGCAGGGGGCTGGCTGGATGTTCTCTTTACTGAAAAGACAGTGGCAAGGAAAAGCACAAGTGCATGAGTTCTTTACTGGATTTTTTAAAAACCTGTGAACCCCCCGAAACTGTATGTGAAAGTTGAGACATATGTGCATGTATTTTGGAGGTGGGATGAAGTCACCTATAGCTTTCATGTATTCTCCAAAGTAGTCTGTGTGTGACCTGTCCCCCTCCCCAAAGATTAAGGATCACTGTATAGATTAAAAAGAGTCCGTCAATCTCATTGCCTCAGGCTGGGTTGGGGGAGCCCCACAGCTTTCTGGCTGGCCAGTGGCAATCTACTGGCCTTGTCCAGAGGCTCACTGGAGTGGTTCTCTGCTAATGAGCTGTACAACAATAAAGCCATTGTCTAGTTCTCCTGGGCCAGCTGGTGCCTGTGAAGGCAGAGGCAGGAACTCATCCAAGAGGACCGGCCATGTTGGGTTACAGAAGACATCCCTGCGTCAGTCTGCTTCGGCAGACACAGCCTGAGTTTGTTAAAGTTGGTGACAATCCACCTCAGTCTCTCAATGTGTGCTATTAATGAGGCCTCTGAGCTTCCTATCCAGCAGTGGTGAAGGCCTTGCCCTGGGTGGCAAGATACTTGCTCTATGGTCACAGCTCAGCCACTGGAAGCTGTGCGACCTCAGGTGAGCAATTCACTGTCCAGTCTCCACTTGTAAAAGGAACGCTGGTGAATCCTAATGCATTCATATTAAATGTCTGTTGTCAGGCTCAGAAGAGCCATGAGCTTTAAGCTGTAGACTGAATAGGAAGAGCTACCTTATCCCTACCTCCCTCTAAAGCTTATAAAGCTTGCTAAACCCAGTCCCTGCCACATGCCCTTAATCTAACCTTTATCGGCTCTTTTGTTACTCAGGGTTCTAAGACAGACTTAATTTCAGGTTCCACATGGGAAGCACAGCAAAAGGAGCCTGAGTGAGGCAGCTCTATCCCCAAAAACCCCTGACCACAGTTATCTTCCAGGTAAAAAGACCTCAAAGGCAGCAATTCTGGCTGGGTGCAGTGGCTCATGCCTGTAATCCCAGCACTTTGGGAGGCTGAGATGGGAAGATCACTTGAGTCCAGTAGTTCAAGACCAGCCTGGGCAACATAGTGAGAACCTGTCTCTGTTTAAATAAAACAAACAAAAGAAGCAATTCTGCTCTTAACAGCTTGATCTCATTGAGCATTGCCAAAGCAGGGGCACTTTTTTTGTAGTTTCATGGAGCAAAGGGGCCACTTTATTGGGAATGTGAGCCCACAGTATATCTACCCCATTCTGCTTTCCCAAGAAGCCTACCCACTTATGCTAAAGAAAATGATTCCAATCATTTGTGAACCCTGTTGAGCTCAGACGAACTCAACTGAGGCTTTGGTTGAGTCAACACCATAGTCATGGCCCAGAAAGGGGCTGGATTTGCTGGAGCCAGGCCTGGGCTTGAGAAACCTCAGTGCCTTGATTCCACAACAAAGCTGATCCAGCTGTTCACTGCCTGGACTAGAAATAGACTGCCCAGATCCAACAATTCAGAATCAACAGGATTCTGCATCTGCCCATATACAGAACAGCAGAGCAGGGACAACCTTGTGAGGTCAGCTTGTCTGATCCCCATTCCTAAGTGAGACCCCAGGGAGGCCTCAGGGCCTGACCACACAGCTAGGAGTGGCAGGGCCAAGAGCTGAGCTCTGGTCTCTTGAGCCCTACGGGCACTTACTGCTTAACAGCAACTAGAGGTTTGTGCTCACCTATCTTGGGATCCAAGCCTTAGCCTTTAGAACCAAACATTTGAACCCAATTACACTACTGAACTAGTTCTTAGAAGTGAACATCCCACCCCAGGACTTTCTTACATGGCTGGTGCCAGAGAGCGAAAGGTCAAGCTATTTGTAGCTACAGCTTGTGGGAGTGTTTACAGTCAGCTGTATTGACTCCAAGAACAAACCCTTGACGACAGGGCATTGCCTCATGTCAAATAAAAGTAGTGCACAAAGTAGTGAAACTCTGTGTTTTGCTGACCCCTGCTGAAAGCTCAGTGTTTGCTACGTCAGCAGCAGAGTCATTCTGTTGCCTGGACAGAGTCACTGGGGCAAAGCCTACCTACCCGAGCCTAGGGAATAGCTCCATGCTCTAGGCCATGTGCTTGCTGAAGGCTCTATAAGTCACTTTAAATACTACCTTGGAGAATTGTGTCCTGTCTGAACCTGGGATGTTTTCTGTTGTTTTGATACAGGATCTTGCTGTCAACCAGACTGGAGTGCAGTGGCACAATCATGGCTCACTGCAGTCTTGCCATCCTGGACTCAAGCAATCCTCCTACTTCAGCCTCCCAAGTAGCTGGGACTGCAAGCATGCACCATCATACCCAACTAATTTTTTAGATTGTTTTTTGTCAAGACAGGGTCTCGCCATGTTGCCAAGGCTGGTCTCCAACTTCTCGGCTCAAGCTCTTGTCCTGTGTTGGCCTCACAATGTGTTGAGATTACAGCTGTGAGCCACTGCACCTGGCCTGAACCTAGGGTTTTAAGAGCACTCAAGAGTTATTTTAACTTGCTCTCAAGAAGTGCCAAGTCAGTTGTGAGTGGTAAAAATTGGACACATTACACTCCTTGGCTGAGGAAGTGGGTGGGCCTGGCAGTAGGTAAGCCTGGAGAAATTAGAAACATTGTAAGAAACAGAAACACGGGATCCATAGAGATGTGGGGAGTGGCTGTGACCCTGGGATAGCACCCCTAACCTGGGGTTTATCTCCGTCTTTAAGTCTTCCTTTTCGGTCCGGCGCGGTGGCTCATGCCTGTAATCCCAGCACTTTGGGAGGCTGAGGCGGGCGGATCACGAGGTGTGGAGTTTGAGACCAGCCTGACCAACGTGGTGAAACCCCGTCTCTACTAAAAATATAAAAATTAGCCAGGCATGGTAGCACGTGCCTGTAATCCCAGCTACTCAGGAGGCTGAGGCAGGAGAATCACTTGAACCCAGGAAGCGGGGGTTACAGTGAGCCGAGGTCGCACCACTGCACTCCAGCCTGGGCAACAGAGCAAGATTCAGTCTCAAAAAAAAAAAAGTCTTCATTAGCAGTAAGATCCTTACCTATCCTAATTGCCTTTAGGGCAGAGTAAAGGATGTAGGAAAGCGCTTTTAAGGTTTTGGTCCCATCTTCCCTTAAAGAGATCCTTTAGTCCTTCTATAGGTTCCATGAGTAGGTGGTAGCTGCAGTGCTCAAACCTGTTCCATTCCTAAACTTACACACTTGGAGGGAAGAGGAGAGGGGGCTGAATAATCTCTGGGTGTCCATGTCAACCGGGCTGTGCTTGAGTCCCTTAAATACTGTTTCCTGAGCTGAGTATACTAGGCACTGGGCTCTTTATGACATCAACTGGGCCTGACAACCACCTAGAAAAGTTGTTTCTTAACCTTATTTTAGAGAAAACTGAGGCTTGTAGAATAAGAATTCTGCTGGGTAATTTGGCTACTAAGCAGCACAGCTGGAACTGAAGCTGCCTGACTCCAAAGCCTGTGCCCTAAACCCCTAGACAGTTCCGATGGGAAAGCTTCCTCCAGTCCAGTTTTATTCTGTGGACCTCTGTGCACGTGAAAGAATTCTCATTCTCAGGACTAATACATGAAACCCGCTGGATTAGTTAACAGCAGGGAATCTGACGCTCATGCAGCACAGCTTGGTTTGAGGTAACAGGCATGATGGGCATCTAACCAGTGCTCCCAGGGGCACAGGCAGCCCCTCTTCTGAGAAAGGAAAAGTTGTTTGGGCTTCCTCAGGGCTGGCACTTAAGAGAAGGACATGCTTGGGTGCCGTCAGCCCAGCATATACATGTTCACCTGCAAGCTCCTGAGCACAGGACCAGGGTCATGCTCCCTGAGAGTCCCACCATCTCCTTTGCATACACAGGTCCACATTGACAAAGTGCATGCTCCGCAAGTGTGGAGAACTGACAGATAAAGAGCCAACTGCCTCTTACCTCTGCCCATCTCCCCCACCAGCTGAAACTCCTGAAATGTGAAATAACCTTAGCAGGATTTCACCAGAAATTTTTAAAAAATTAAAACACCAAGTTGATACTCAAGATCTTTACTGATTTAACTATAACAGCAACCATTGATGAGAATTTAATTTTTTCCTTAATTTCCAAACATCTGCTGGTTTGGAAGAATAGTTAAAATACAAAAACAACTGATCATGGAATCACACAGGACTGCCTCAAGGACTGCGTGGTACCCTCTGCTATCCATCCACACACAGTGAAATGGATGGGAGGGATGAGGGAACAACACATCATGGGAGACAAAGGGAAGACCAAGGAAAGTGCTGGCAGTCTCCGCTTTTCCATTCAGAATGGATGGAACTGGGCCGTTAGTGGCACTAAGACAGGGCAGGGCTATTTTTTTTTTTAAATAAAATATTTTAAAGATGCATAAAATGGACACCTTAGCACGTGAGTGTCCTCTGGGCTCTTCAAGACACCTTCTTTAAGGTTTACCCCTGGAGTAGCAGAGGGTCTCCTCACCCAGGTGGAAAGAGATGGGCTCCATCTGCAGATGAAGGAAAGGCACTGGCGCACAGCACTCAGCAATGTAGATACAGGCACCAGGTAGGAGCAGGATGGCTTACCCAGCAACCTGCCTCTTAGCTCCCTGCTAGTGTTCTTCCCTCCTCCCCAGTTTCCAGTTAAAAGTACCCTTGGCCTGGGCTTTAAAAAAAAAAAAAAAAAAAAGATTAAGCTGGAGAGAAAGGGGATACACTTGGGCAAGAATGGATATTTTGTGCTAGATTCATGGAATTTTCTAAGTGTCCAGGAGTTTTGGTTTTAAGCACCGGCAAGAGCTCCCTTTGGAAATTTCAGTGTGGCCAAATGATTATCAAGCATTGCAGCATCTCTGCCAGCCTCCCACCCTTAGAAAGGTGGCAGAGTGAGAGTTTAAATACCCTTGGAAATGTGTTTCATCTCAGTAATATTTCCACTGGGTATCCATGACATACAGTATGGTCTGCCAGGGCTGCAGGCAGAGAGCCATAAGCAAAGAGAATCCACAGACCCGCTGAACAGGGACTCAAGCCTTCTCCTAAATCTAAGCTTTGCCAAAAGGTTATCAACTTCCAGGACCAGCCTAGAGAAATAAATTTAAATTCCAGAGAGTAGGCTAGGTGATGTAAGTGACTGACTGAAAAAACAAGTATCAATAACTCTTAAAGTTTTCAGTTAGAAATTTCTGTAAGTTAGCCTCAAGAAACTCCACTACTAAACTGGAAAACCATGACTAGGAACAGGAAGCGGCCCTGGGGTAGAAGCATTCTAAAGAATTGTGACCCAACTGCATCAATATCTGATTTCATCTTTTATTAAAAGCTGAGAGTTAAAGAACTGTAGGGATAACTAAGTCCACCTCAAAGTCCAGACAGAAACTGCCCTCCCAAAGAAACAATGTTTCTTTAAAACAAATACCACACCTTCCCAGATATTATGGGTAGGTAAGTGACTAGGTTTTGCAGATTAATCTATAGCTGCCCATGTGCATGTAGTCCAGAAAACATGCCAAGAAGGAAGAGCTCTGAACCAGACACAGAAAGGCAGTGTGGCTTCCTCGCTCAAGGGGAATGCAAAGGGCTAAGAGCCCTGGCTTCAAGCAGCTGTTATCCTAGATGAGGAAAATGCAAACAGATTCAATCTCTGGGATATTGCTGCCAACATGCTAAGCCCTTCACCAGTTGCCTTGATTCGAAGCAGTTCCTCTATGTATACTGGCTAAATGATGGACTCCGGCAGTGAAACCCACATACTCAGCAGGCTGCATTCTAATGAGAATGAAGGAATTTAACTAATGGTGTTTGAGCTGGAAAGGTAAGGTCTGAGAGTCCCAGTGAGCTGGAAACCCAAAAAAAGAGAAGACCAATCCACCTCAAAATAAGAAAGAAAAACAAAATTCATTTAAAGGTACTCTAAAGATGAGTTCTTTACTTCTGGAAGAAGAATCCTTTTCTTATAGCTCCCTCAACAGCAATACTTCTTATCCAAGTATACTCTCAAGCAAGCAGGGCTACAGATAAGAAAATGCTGGGAAGAGGCAGAGCATAAATCCAAACAAGAATTTGCATCTTTGGCCAGGCGCGGTGGCTCGCGCCTGTAATCCCAGCACTTTGGGAGGCTGAGGTGGGCGGATCACTTGAGGCCAGGAGTTCGAGACCAGCCTGGCAAACATGATGAAACCCCATCTCTACTAAAAATATAGAAATAAAAATTAGCCAGGCATAGTGGTACATGCCTGTAATCCCAGCTACTCGGAAGGCTGAGGCAGGAGAAACACTTGAACCTGGGAAGCAGAGGCTGCAGTGAGCTGAGATCGCACCACTGCACTCCAGCACCCCAGCCTGGGCGACAGGGCGCAACTCTTGTCTCAGAAAAAAAGAAAGAAAGAAAGAAAGAAAAAGATATTGCATCTTTAAGGTCATCTGAAATCTCTAAAGACTTGGTTAGGAATGAGTGCCAGAAACACATAGCAGCCATTCACTAGAATGTCTTAAACTGAAAAACTTCATGTAAGTTTGTCTTTAGCATGAACACAAGACCAGTTATTTAAGAACACATTGCCATCAAGAAGCCCAGGAAGAAATGGGCATGCAGGGTTAACCTATGCACTGGATTTAGAGGAGCAATCAAGCATAGACATTTGTAATTCTCAGATGTTCTCTATTTTATTGAGTGGTTGCTTCCTGGGTGAGAGACCTGACCTGAGTCTGTTGAGACTGGAGAGACCAGGTACCAAGCACCGACTCTGGTGGGAACCTGGCTTCCTGATAACATCATCTATTTCACCTAAATGTGAACTGCTTTCTTTTCTTCAGCTCAATAGCTTAACATCTAATTCATGTTTGCTCCCTTTGCTGGACAATCCCCATTCCAAATAAGACAGGTTTAGTGGCTCGGCTGGAAGGCCCCAGTTCCTTTTGCTAACTCCTAGCTACAGGAAAATAAAAGTGGTAACTGAGTCTTACAGACACCAAGTCTAGGATGTGCAAATAAGCATACTTGAGCTGTTGGTAGTCAGGCATATTATTTTCTACTACTCCTGGGAATTGCCATGTCTTACCACCCCTCTCAAAACCAGCAGGTAGCTTTGGGGAGTTTGCCTTCTATCCCAGTTTGGCTATGCACATCTTGGAGAACTGTTTTTGATAGCAATCTATCTTTCAGCTTATCTAGATTAAACCTACCTCCCTGTTGACCTACTTTCATCCCCAGTTGGGGTGTGGTGCTTTTAAGATATGTCCATAAATTCTTTGCTACTGCTCCATTGGGGTAGAGGTATGTGTAATTCCTCTCTCCTTGAGTGCAGGCTGAACTTAGTGGCTTGCTTCTAACAACTAGGATAAGAAGTGACGGTGTGTCCTTTCCAAGACTATGTCTTAAAAGGCACTGCAGCTTTCTCCTGGCCCTGCCCCATGATCTCTGGAATCAGCTGCTCAGGGAGAAGCCAGGTGTCATGGTGTGAGGACACTCATGCTGCCCTACGCAGAGACCCACATGGGAAGAAACTGAGGCATCCTGCCAACGGCCACAAAGAGAGAACTTGGAAGTGGTTTCTCCAGCTCCAGCTGACTGCAGCCCCTGTTCAATCTTGACTGTAACTTCATGATACCATGGGCCAGAACCATCATGTTAAACTACTCCCAAATTCTTAACCCACAGAAACTGACAGATAATGTTTACTATTTTAACATACTAAATTTAGGGTAATTTTTTACACAGCAATAGATAACTAATACAGGTGGAAGGACAAAACTCTTGGCTTGGAAGCCCAATACCTAGAAAGCCAGCTTCTCTGTATCTGTGCCCTTGAAAATGCTGTACCTATTTAAACAGAATATGAGAACTGCTGAACTCAATAAACCACACTAAAAAGAAGACAGAATCATGACAATGCATGTCTGCTGTTGGAATTTGAAGGGAAGTCACTTCTCATTAAGCTCGATTGTCCGCCCAAGTATAGAAGCATGGGTTCCTCATAAAAAGAAAACTACAAATGGTCACTAAGATGTTAAGAGCTGTCTCAAAGTGGTAACTTAAGAGTGCTCCTTCTCTCTAAAAAACCCCGGACACATTATTCATTAAGGGTTTCATCTGTGAGGTTCCCTCCAAACATGCAGAGGTAAACCACTCAATGGACTCTGGCTTGTTCTAAAAATAATTCCATGAGGCATGACACAAAGGTATCATCTATTGAAAGTTTATCTCATGCCTTGTGAAATTATTTTTTAAATGCCAATTTATCTCCATAAGATAAAAGAAAGACTGTCTAGTAGTGGTGGCCTCTGGGAAAGAACTGCACCAAGCTGTAAGGAAGTCCTTGCAGAGAAGGGTAAGGGATTGAACAGCTGCTGCATTATACAGCTGACACTCCCAAGAAATACTAAAAACATGCCTTCTGATTAGGGGGTCACATGCAGAAGCTCCCCAAGACAGCAAGAAAAAGGAAAATGGCATCTTGATACTACTAAAGCTCATGCTTTAAATCCATTCCTCACCGTTCAGTGAGGAAGCCAAGTTTTCACACATAGCAATAAAGATCAAGAAGAGTTCACTCTTCTGCTCACTGACAGACTGACTAGCTGCTAGTTGGGTCAAATTCCACAGGATGCCAAGGCCAGTGTATGAAGAATGAAAAGCTTCATTCCCAAAGAATCAGGCTCCCCGGGGTACAAAGAGGTCCTGAGCATGCTTCTTATGTAAATTACAGAGCAACTTAGGTTTTTCCAAGAATATGTAAAATGAGACTTGGAGTTTAATTAAAAACAGAACAGGGATACATTAAACAAACAAACAAAAATTACTTTTCTGATTATCAATTTTTTTTGAGACTCAAAGCATCCCCAAAACATTGGAGATCCAGCTTATTCCTGAGACATCAACCATCACAAAAGGTTTTCACTCTGAACTATTCACATTTTTGTGGCAGAAAACAGAACAAAGTTCTGCAGACATCCTTCCTCTCTTTCTAAAATATATTCACAAACAGGGTCTTTTCATAGTTCAAAAGAAAAACAAACAGGTTTCTTTCTTGGCCAAATGGCCTGTTACTCTCACCCTGGGATCTGATTTCTTAATAAAAAAGTTCAGGGCACCAAATCCAACCAGAAATTCCCAGGACACCAGTGGCTACTTAACTATGAGGGGATGGATGCTTTTGTCTTTCTATGAGGGGAATCATTCTCCCGGGATTATTATGCTGCTCAACAGCCCCAGGACAGGTAGGTGGGAAGGAGGGTGAATGCAAAAGCGAAAGGGTCACAGAAAAGAATGAGGCTTTCTTGAACAACCCATAGCAAGGCAGAATGGTCCAGTTTTACAAACCACCCACTACAAACTCCAAACATGCACACCCAAAACTAGAGGGGAAAGGAAAGAGCTCCTGGGGGACTAGGGGAGACAAAAGATGGTGACATAGAACAGCAGACTTGCCTATGAACGTTTCTCAACTTCCTAACACTGGAAGATGTTTAATTAAAAAGTTGCTGTTCAAAATTGTACTGAAAACATATCTAAAAATAGGTCTGTAGTCATCTTAAAAATAAAAGGTCACTTCTCAGATAAGAGGAGTGACAGATATTCTCAGATACCAACACTTCAGGTATCTTTGATGTAAATTTGAAAAATGGCCTGGTAGAGAAAAAGGAAGGAAAGGAAGGAGAGAGGAAGAAAGTGAGGGAGGTAGGGAGAGAAATTCAGAGTACAACAGGAAAGGCAAGAAAACTGGGAGGAACACATTTTTTAAGCCCATGCTTATCTATCCCAGCAGCCAAACAAAGCAGATCCACAAAGGAAAAAAATGCAGTTCTTTTCTAAGAACATTCTGAAAATCAACTTCAAACTCAAAACATAAGAAACTGCAATCTAAGAACAACTACCACAATGCTCACTGGACTTAAAAATGACGACTGAGACCGGGTACTCAAATGGGTCAACGTTCTTCAGCGGTCATTCTTAGGCATTATCTGACAGAATACTATGATCAGGCCTTACCCACCAAGTGGAAGCTAAAGTGCCTCTATTACTTGGTATGGACCTGCTCTAGGAGCAGACAAAATCACTTTGCTTTCTTGAAGTACAAGAGGACTCTGCCAGCAACGAGATGCAAGCAGGGAGGAGTGGCAGAAGAAGAGCAAAACTGGTTACCAAGGGCTCTCTTCTGATGTACAGAGTTAAAAATATCTGCACAAATGCACTAAGTAAAAGAATGGGAAGATGAACTATAATACCAAAGACAGAAGACATTCCTCCCAGAGGAAAGAAAGGAAGTGGACCTCAAAACAGTGTCACAGGGTAACGCTACCAGAGTTGCACAAGCTGTGCTCTGTCCCGAGGGACGAATACCTCAAGGTAAAAGGGAAAGCAGCTCTCTTTTTATCATTTCCCCCTGCTGGTTTTAAAGACCCCAAGCCCAGACTCTTGCAACACTGAACCATAGGTGGGATACAGGGAGGAGAGACAGAGGGTAAGGAATATGAATGGTGTTAGGCCCACCAAGCTCTGTATCCCTTCCCCAGACTTCCCAGCCAGGCAGTTGTTGGTAGGTTGATATTTGATTTGGGACAAAATTACAGGGTATGAGGGTGGCTCTCAATAAAAAAACAACTAGGAAAGTCAGAGTTGAACTGTTTTCCTCTAAGGGCTGCTTAGCTCTACAGAAATACAGCAAGGGCCTTCAATCTAACCTGTTTAACTGGGAAGGGGAACAGGAGACAGGGAGAAGAAATGGTCAGATGAAGCTCATCTTCCCATCATTTGGCACCCAGAGGAAGACGGGGAGGTGGAGACTGTAATGGGGACTGCTGGTATTGCCTCTTCTGTCTTTTCACTGTTGATCCTATTGGCCAAATCAGGTGCACACAAGTATCAGTGTTGCTGCTTTTCTTCTAATCCTTGCAGGAGAGTCAGATGTCCATCTCGAACTGAGCATCATCCCCTAGTTAGGACCAATAAAATGAAGAGTTTAGCACGTACACAAAGAAGCATAACAGTTTTAACTGTCATTCCCTCTAAATGAGAGACAAAAAGTAATTCAAATTGTCCCACTCTCTGCTGCCTTAAAACAATTACTCTGCTTTGCTTTGGCTGGTCTTAATCTGAAAAATAAGAATGGCAGTCCCATCACCCATGGGGAGAAGTTTTGGGGAAAAGGACACAAGTGAAAACATCCCCATTGTCCCTTTGTCTTCAGGATGACTAAACAGCAGCTCTTGGGGAGCTCTTTGCCATCTCTCAGGGGAGCACATTCTTCTGGAGGCTTTGGACTTTGGCCCTGCTCCAAACTAACACTTTGTCCATTAAAAAACTCATCTGAAATATGACAAAGCGGAATGCTGGCCCCCATCTAGGGGTCACCAAGTGCAGTCCCTGAGGAATATTTCAGGAGCTGGCCACTCCTACCGCACCATTCTGCTTCTACAGTGATAAAGAAAAAAAGAATGTGTTGGAGGAGGGGTAATTTAGGTAAACCTTAAACGCAGTTCTGGAAAATAGAGGAAATAAACCATACCGCTTTTCCTCACACCATATAAAAGAAACTCATATAAGAAACAAGGTCGGCCAGGCGCAGTGGCTCACACCTGTAATCTCAGCACTTTGGGAGGCTGAGGCGGGCGGATCACGAGGTCAGGAGATCGAGACCATCCTGGCTAACATGGTGAAACCCCGTCTCTACTAAAAAATACAAAAAATTAGCCGGGCGTGGTGGCAGGCGCCTGTAGCCCCAGCTACTTGGGAGGCTGAGGCAGGAGAATGGCGTGAACCCGGGAACCAGAGCTTGCAGTGAGCCGAGATCGTGCCACTGCACTCCAGCCTGGGCAACAGAGCAAGACTCCGTCTCAAAAAACAAAACAAAACAAAAGAAACAAGGTCTATTTGCCTGAGGGTGATGGAAATGGGGGCTATGAAATTGTTTTGTTTTCTGTGTGTGTTATCCTTAGTCCAATGAAGCCTAGGCCAGGAAGTCCTTAAGGCATGGTTCAAAGAGTCATTTTTGGGGTTTATCATCCTGATTCTGGATTCTTTTCTCCCACCAACTACATCAGATTTATGATTTAGAATTCAGGGTTTTCAGAGTATTTCAAGAAACCTTTGGGGGAGGAGGGAAACCTTAGAGACATATAACTGAACATTAGTTATTAACTGAAGAATTGGCCAGGCACAGTGGCTCACACCTGTAATCCTAGCACTTTGGGAGGCTGAGGCAGGTGGATCACCTGAGGTCAGGAGTTCAAGAACAGCCTAAGCAACATGGCGAAACCCCGTCTCTACTAAAAAATACAAAAATTTGCCAGGCGTGGTGGCAGGCGCCTGTAATCCCCGCTACTCGGGAGGCTGAGGCAGGAGAAACGCTTGAACCCAGGAGGCGGAGGTTGCAGTGTGCTGAGATTGTGCCACTGCACTCCAGCCTCAGTGACAGAATGAGACTGTGTCTCAAAAAAAACAAAAAACAAAAAACAAAACTGAAGAATCAATAGCTTCTCAACCTACAGCAAACAGACATTCAAATTCCAAGAGCCACGCTCTAGGTCTCCAACATCGCCATTCTCTTACCAACTGCATGTTTCCTGTCGTGATTGTTCAAGTTGTTCAAATTGTTTACTTCTACTTTGGAGTCTTCAATTAAGGTGCCAGGGCTAGTGACTCCTGGGATATTGGGCAGGTGGCAGGGTGGGGTCTGAGCCATGGGAGAATTGCGACGATCCAACAGAAACTTTCTGTCATAAATGATTCGAGTTCCTGGAAAACAGGGTTAAAAAGAGTTTGAAACAATTTAAGGGGTTATCAACATATAATACCACCCAGGAATTTAATTTAAATCCCATGTAATCCTAACTTTTAAGGATTTTACAATTCAAGTTGAAAGCATAATCTCTAACCTCTCTGCCTGTAAACAGGCTCTTCTGCCATCTGGAATGCCCTTTCTCTTCTGCCAGGGACACTCCTGTTGATCCTTCAAGACTCAGCTCCAACCATCACTTCCTTTATGAAGCCACCCCCACCCCTCACTTTTTTAAAAGGTTCTTCCTCTCCATCTTACACACATCATGTATTACAGGACTCCTGTTTATCCATCTGTCTCTCTTTATAGACTCTGAGTTTCTTATGTCAGGGCTATGTCTTATTTATATGTGACCTAGGCCCTAACATTAACATCTTTAAGAAAAAAAAAGTTTTAAATGAAAGAATAAACAAGTATGAGAAAAAATAAACAGCCCCTTTTAAAGGCTTTCCAAAGAAGGACTGAGACTAACATTCTTCTCACAGCTATAGTCAAAGCTGAAACTGGCAGCCCCTCTCTATTCTACAAAACAATCTGCTTACCAGTTAAGTGCTACCTGAATGTTTTAAAAACAATAGTTTTGAAGAGTACACTTTAACTGATAAACAGTTATGGAAACGTGCTGCTTACAAATGGTCAACAGGTACATTAAAAGGTGCTCGACATCACTAATCATCAAGGAAATGCAAATCAAAACGACAATGAGATATCACTTCACATCTCTTAGGATGGCTATTATCAAAAAGACAAGAGAGCCTGGGCATGGTGGCTCATGCCTGTAATTCCAACAGTTTGGGAGTCCAAGGCAGGAGGACTGCTTGAGCCCAGGAGTCTGAGTCTAGTCTGGGCCACATAGTGAGACCCTGTCTCTAAAAAAATTATTTTAAAAAGAGCCAAGTGAGGTGCTGTTGGTCTGAAGTCCCTACTACTCGGGGGTTGAGCCAGGAGAATAGCTTGAGTCCAGGAGTTCGAGGCTACAGTGAGCTATGACTGCACCACTGCACTCCAGCCTGGGCAACAGAGCAAGATCCTGCCTCAAAATGTAAATCAAATATAATTTTAGGACAAGGAAAGTAGAAACTTACCTTCAACCTCTTTGCTTTGAAAAACAAAAACTAGAGTAGCACTCAAAAAGGCATCTAGAAATTATGAGGAACGAGGCATTCTGGGTAGCACAAAACTTAGTTCAACTTTCAAAGGGTAAACAATTTCAATTATCTTGAATGAAAATACTTCTAATACAGATTTAAATCCCTTTATGGCCTTCAACAGAAAATGATTCAACCCTCTTGATGAATCACAGTATTATGAAAATTGTTTATTATACTATGTTGTGACCTAAGAAGTCTCTAAGCCCTATCAAGTTGGTGCTCTGTACAGCTGAACATCACTATACAGAGTTCGGATGGTCAAAGTTGTGCTGGTGCACCCCTCCCCCACAGTGCCCTTGTCCCCTTAGACTAAGAGCTACCTTTTTTCCAGGCTACTACTATGACTCAGTCAGCTTAGGCTGCCATAACAAAATACCACAGACTGCACAACTTAAACAACAGAAATTGTCTCATAGTTCTGGAGGCTAGAAGTCCAACACTAAGATGCCAGCATGGATGGTTTCTGGTGAGGGCTCTCTTCCTGGCTTGTAGGTAGCTGCCTTCTCTTTGTGTCCCTTACATGGGGGTAAGGGGGCCTCAACTCTGTGGTGTTCCATCTTATAAGGGCACAAATCCCATCATGAGGGTCCCACCTTTATGACCTCAACTCAGCCTAATTAACTCCCAAAGGCACCACCTCCTAATACTATCATGTTGGGAATTAAGGTTTCAACATAAGAATTTTGGGGAGACACAATTCAATCTGTATAGCACACCCTTAACACCCTTTCTAACTTGGTGTTTCTAGTCTGGTGGGTTTGGAAATCAGCAACTTGCTTATTAGCATGCTATGTAAAATAAGGGCAAATAGGCTGAAAGGGGGTCTGATGGCCTTCCAATGAACAAAGGGAAGGAGCTTTAACAATGGACTTTGCCTATCTGTTTGAGTTACCCCACTTTTGTTCATGATGAGATTTCAGAAGGGTGAGGTTTCACTGTCAGATGAGTCAACTTGCAAACTGGAACAAGATTATTCTTACTTCTGTAGTACATCAAGCTTGGAAATTGTGGAGATGAGGTGGTGAAAAAAGCACAGCACAGAAGCAAGCTTTCTAAATTATGTATCAGCAACAACGCATACATTAAAGAATTGCAATTAAACCAACTAGGATATAGGTAGTGGAGATTCTGCCTAAATGTGTGAGGTATAAGAGAAACTCTGAAGAACCTCTATGACCTTAAAGAGCTGATAAGATACGGTATTTTACAAGTTTATTGAAATAGCATTCATTTACAATTGATCCACTTACAGTGTATAATTCAATAGTTTTAGTTGATTCGCAGGACTGTACAATCATCACCATAATCAATTTTAGAACCCTTTCATTACCCCCATAACCTCCCCCAACCCCTTAGATGCCACCTGATCTCCCCACACCCTCTGACCCTAGGCAACCACTAATCTACTTTCTGTCTCTATATAGTTTTACCTACTCTGGCCATTTCATATAAATGGAATCATACAATACAGTCTTTTGTGACTGCTTCTTTCACTTTCATAATGTCTTCAAAGTTCATTTATGTTGTAGCATTTATCAGTACCTCATTTCTTTTTCATTACCAAATATTTCATTGTATGTATATATCGCACCTTATCAATTTATCAGTTGATGGACTGGTAAGTCGATAAAAACAAGTCCATCAACTGATAAATGGGTTGTTTCCACTTTTTGTCTATTATGAATAACATTCACGTACAAGTTTTCATGTGAACACATTTCCATTCTCTTGGGTATATACCAAACTAAAAAAGTGGAATTAGCCAGGCATGGCTCACACCTGTAATCCCAGCACTTTGGGAGGCCAACGTGTATTACTTGACCTCACAAGTTCAAGACCAGCCTGGGCAACATGGCAAAATCCCGTCTCTTAAAAAAAAATACAAAAATTAGCCAGGCGTGGTGTTGCATGCCTATAGTCCCAGCTGCTGGGGAGGCTGAGGTGGGAGGATCACTTAAGCCCAGGAGATGGAGGTTACAGTGAGCCATGATTGCACCACTGCACTCAGCTTAGATGACAGAGTGAGACCCTGTCTCAAAAAAAAAAAAAAAAAATTAAAAAATTAAGGTAGAACTACTGGGTCATATGGTAACTCTACCTTTAACCCTTTGAAAAATTGCCTGGTTTTTTTTTTTTTTTTTTGAGACAGAGTCTCGCTATGTCACCAGGCTGGAGTACAGCTGCATGATCTTGGCTCACTGCAACCTCCGCCTCCTGGGTTCAAGCGATTCTCCTGCCTCAGCCTCCCAAGTACCTGGGACTACAGGTGCATGCTACCATGCCCGGCTAATTTTTGTATTTCTAGTAGAGACAGGGTTTCACCATGTCGGCTAGGATGGTCTCGATCTCTTGACCTCGTGATCTGCCCAGCTCGGCCTCCCAAAGTGTTAGGATTACAGGCGTGAGCCACCGCGCCCGGCCAGAACTGCCTGTTTTTCAAAGTGGTTGTACTATTTTACATTCCCATCAGCAGTGTGTAAGAGTTCTAATTTTTATATATTGTAGCCAACATTAGCAGATATGAAGTGGTTTCTCACTGTGGTTTGATCTTAATTTGCATTTCCCTGATGGCTAATTATGTTGAACATGCTGTTTTCATGTACTTAACAGGCCATTCCACCACATATCTTCTTTTGAAGAAACTGTCTATTCAGAACCTTTACCCATTTTTCAATGATTTGTCTTTATTACTAAATTATGATAGTTCTTTATTCTGGATATAAATCTCTTATGTGACTGCAAATATAGTCTCCTATTCTGTGGGTTATCTTTTCATTTTCTTCATGATCTTCGAAGCACAAAAGTTCTTAATTTTCATGATGTCCAATGTATGTTTTTTTTTTTTTCTTTTGTTTGTGCTTTTGGAGTCATATCTCAGGCCACTGCCTAATCCAAGGTCATAAAGATTTGCCTCTGTCTTCTTCTAAAGGTTGTACATTAATAGCTTTTGCTCTGACATTTAGGTCTTTGAGCCATCTGGTCCACCTTCAGTTTTTCTGTGTGCATATCCAGTTGTATCAGCACTATCTGTTGAAAACTGTTCTTTTTCCACAGAATTGTCTTGGCACCCTTGTTGAAGATCAATGGGCCATTATTGCTGGGTTTATTTCTGGACTCTCAATTTTATTCCATTGATCTATATGTATATCCATATGCTAGTACCCCACTGTCTTGACTTGTAATAAGTTTTGAAACCACAAAGTGTAAGTCCTCCAACTTAGTTTTTCTTTTTCAAGATTGTTCTGGATATTTTAGGTCCCTTAAAGTTCCATATGAATTTTGTCAGCTTGTCAAAGAAGCCAGCTGAGATTATGATAGGGACTGTGCTGAATGTGAAGGTCAATTTGTGGAGTACTACCATCTTAACAATATTAAGTCTTCTGATCCATGGCCACCAAATGTCTTTCCACTTATTTGGGTCTTCTTTAATTTCTTTCAACAATGTTTTGTAGTTTCCAGAGTAAAAGTTTTATGCTTTGTGACTAAAGTTATTCCTATCAAATTGTTTTCATGCTATTGTAAATGGGATTGCTTTCTTTTTCTTTTCTTTTTTTTTTTTTTCGAGAGAGGGTCTTGCTCTGTCGTCCAAGCTAGAGGGCAGAAGTGCAATCTTGGCTCACTGCAACCTACACCTCCTGGGCTCAAGCGGTCCTCCTGCCTCAGCCTCCCTAGCAGTTGGGACTACAGGCACATGTCACCCAGAAAAAAATAATTTTTGTATTTTTTGTAGAGACGGGGTTTCACCATGTTGCCCAGGCTGGTCTTGAACTCCTGGGCTCAAGCCATCTGCCCACCTCAGCCTTCCAAAATGATGGGATAACAAGCGTGACCAGTTTTCTTTGTTTTTGCTTTTGAGATGGATTTTCCCTCTGCTGCCCAGGCGGGAGTGCAGGGTGTGATCTCAGCTCACTGCAACCTCCACCCTCTGGGTTCAAGTGATTCTTCTGCCTCAGCCTCCCAAATAGCTGGGATTACAGGTATGCGCTACCATGCCCAGCTAATTTTTGTATTTTTAGTAGAGATGGGGTTTCACCATGTTGGCCAGGCTGGTCTCGAACTCCTGACCTCAAGTGATCTGCAAGCCTTGGCCTCCCAAAGTGCTAGGATTACAGGCATGAGCCACTGTGCTGGGCCAAAAACAGGTTTTTCTATATGGCTCTTTTATCTTGCAACCTTGGCAAACTCACCTATTATTTCTAATAGTTTTTTTAATGCATTCCTAAGATATGTTTGATTTTGAATGCCAACACAGTAAATAATTCAGACAACAAGACACACTGAAGAACTAGCGTCTTAATGCTGTAATGTTCTCAAATATAGCCAGGAAAAATATGACTATGAAAGTATAGTATTTATAAGTTTTTGAATTTTAGTAATCTCTGCAAGCTAAAAAAAATTTAATTGTAGTGGGTATAAAGCAAAAATACAGAATCAGCTTGTTAATCACTAATGATTTTAGGGTGTAATTCAAAAGAAACTGACCTTTTAAAAAACCAAAATTATTCAAAGAAAAAAAATTAAGATTCAACCATGGATAAAATGGCAGGAAAAAACCCTTTATTTCCTTTATTGAATATTATGTTTACTATAAACTTACATCAATTCCAAGACAATCTATTAAAAAATCTAAAATATTTAAGGTTTCTTATACATATGCATGCACAGATGTACATTTTCTGAAGCAAGGACTTCCTAGCAATTCACATTTCACCCAGACTCCCTCCAACGCTATGTCAGCTCAATTTAATGTCAACCAATGCAGCCATAAGTAACTAGAAACAAGTTAACCTTAAGCTACTGAAGAAGGAAAACAGACTACACAAGAAATCCATAGCTCATATAACACAGTATTAAAATGGGGCATGATTGTGATCAATTGATGGAGTGTTACAAAAATTAAAAAACAATTTTCCATTCCTTCTCTATGAAAATAATCATGCTCCTTAGTCTTATATTGGAAAGTTATGAAAAAAAATCACAATATTGTATATGCTGTTTGATTTTCAACGTTTATAATCAAACTATAGTAAAAGCATAGAAGAATTAACAGTTAAGGAACAGTACGTAAATGTTACAAACTCTGATTTCTTTTTTTTTTTTTTTTTTTTTTGAGAGTCAGGGTCTTGCTCTATCACCCAGGCTTGAGTGCAGTGGCATGATCACGGCTTACTGCAACCTTGACCTCCTGGGCTCAGGTGATCCTCCCACCTTAGCCTCCCAAGTAGCTGGGACTACAGTCCAACTAATTTTATATTTTGTAGAGATGGGGTCTCATTACGTTGCCCTGACTGGTCTCAAACTCCTGGGCTCAAGCGATTCTCCTGCCTTGGCCTCACAAAGTGTTGGGATTATAGGTGTACGCCACCAAGCCTGCCCACAAACCCTGATATTATAAACATAATGAGGTTACATACCAGCAAAGTAAAGGCAGGAGGACAGGTGAATGGTGTACTTTTATACAGTGGAGAGCTAAAGTTGACAGGTTGAGACACATATTATTTAGAGCTTTAAAGATAACTACTAGAGGAGCCAAAAATGATAATACAATTTACAGAAATTAGTAAATGGAGAGAGGATGAGAAACAAGAGACAGAAAGTAATAAAAGTATCTTAGATTCCTCATCTTTCATAATGGGGAGTTAACAGTATTGTCTAATGTTAAAGAAATCACAGTATACATATATTATTTACAGCAACAATGGTAGCCAGCAAAAGCACTGTAAACAGAAACTGCTGAAAGTGGCTGTCTACTGGCATTTTACCCTCTTTTACATTGTTGAAGTTTCATTTTTCTGCTTTGTTTCAAAATGTACATATTTTTCTTAGTCTTCATGTTTGGATTTCAGAATAGGAAGCTTTAGATCTAGGTTAACATTAGCTATTTATAAATTTTTCATCCCTTAGTGACCAGATATTAGGATAAATCTAATACTTTCATCCAGGACTTTCTAGATTTAACATTACTAGGGAAATATGAGAGTAAAACTGAGTCCCTTTGACAGAGAGGGGGGAAAAACCCTATCTACCTTTGAATCTAAAAACCAGTGATTCTCAAACTGCAGAAAACAACAAGAAGGTCAATGAATAAAGCCCAAAGTTATGCTTGCCAAGATGGCTAGTATAGAAACAAGGTCATTCAAGCGTAACGGCCTCTTTCAATACCAAGTACCTTAGTTTAAATGATAAATAATCCATGCATTAAGCTATATAGTTAAGAAATTATGTAAGCTGAAATTAAACCACACAGAGAAAGTCCACTATAACATGGTTAACTTACAGGGTAGTTGTTAACTATATTTTTACAGGGAGCCCCCACCCCCACCCCCCGGCCGCCATCATAAAATTCTGTTTAACTAAGTCTGCTTCCAGAATTAGAATTAACCATTTACTCACGCAAATAGACAGCCTGGAGAACGAAACATTAAGTAACTTGCCCACAAGCCCTCCAAAAAGGCTGAGATGGACCCACACCCTCATAAAATAGAGTTCCAAGCAGGAAAGGAGAACATGAAGTCAAACAGGGCTTTCCTCCTGGGACTTTCTCCGTTGGAGGGGAAAATCTCAGAAGCCATCAGCAGACTTCCTTTACATCTCATTTGTCCAGAACTGGTTCAGATGCCCACCAGACCAAACACTGGGGAAACTATGACTGACTTAAGAGCTGTCACAGTCTATATCCTGGGGTTTAGCACCTTGCCATTTAAAAAATGAGGGAATCTGGCAGCAAGCAAGAAGAGGGAATAGCTATTGAGCAGGAAACCAACAATGTCAGCCACATCTGCATTCAATATTTACCAAAATTTAGTAAAGATTACATACATATTAGTTTGACCAAAAAGGGTAAAAAAAAGTTAAATTAAGAGGATAGGAGACAGAAGTATATACATTGGGAGAAGGGTGTATATAACAACTAAATCCTCATCTTCCATAGCAGAAAATGAATTAATATCCCAAACTAAGAAATAGGCTGGGCATAGGGGCTCACACCTATAATCACAGCACTTTGGGAGGCTGAGGCAAGAGGGTCATCTGAGCCCAGGAGTTTAAGACCAGCTTGGGAAACATGGTGAGAAATCATCTTTACAAAAATTTTAAAAATTAGCCGTGCTTGGTGGCACTCCTATGATCCCAGGAGGCTGAGCCCAGGAGGTCAAGGCTGCAGTGCACATTAGCTAAATGAGTTTAAAATGGTTTCTCTGAGAGTGGAAATGGAGATGAAGGAACGGGGCATCGGAATGTTGCTTTTTGTTGTGTGGCCAGTAAGACTATATGACTTTTACAACTTTGTTGCTTTCATAGGTATTAAAAAAATGTAATAATAATAAAAAAAAAAAGCAAAATGGCAAGAAAAAAAGCATGAACACTGATGAATGTTCATTTACGAAAGGACAATTACTACGTGGTTCCATTTAACTGAGATTCCTAGAGTAGTCAAATTCATGAAGACACAAAGTAGGATGATTAGCTGCCGGAGGCTGCGGTGGTACTGCTTAATGGGAAGTTATTGTTTAATTGGTATGAGGTTTCAGTTTAGGAAGATGAAAAACGTTCTGAAGATGGATGGTGGTGATGGTTGCAAAACAAGGTGAATATATTTAATCCCACTGAGCTGTACAATTAAAAATGACTAAAATGGAAATTTTTGTTATGTATGTTTAAAACATCAAGAGATAGTGTATTAAAAAACCATTATAAGGAACTAAGAAAAAAGATGCTTACAAAATATCTTATAAATACATACATACAAACCAACACTGCTAGGGCAGCAGGGACCACGAGGAGGAAGGTATCCTTCAAGCCTAGACATTGAATTAAAAAAAGAAACAAAGCATTTGGCATGTAACTTCAATTTCTACTAGGAATTCTTGACAATTCTCCAGCTATGTCTCACATAAGGGCCCACCAAAAGATGAGAAACAGATACAAGATGAACAAGCAGCAAGTGCTTCTAATGCACTCAGAAAAGAAGTCTAAGCCTGTCTTTCTCTCTCCCACCCCCATAAGGGAAAATAAGAAAGGAAAAAACAGAAAGGACTTAACAAAGAAAGTGTTTTCTCTGCTTTTTATTCTTTCAACTTAGGAAGGTAGAACAAGGTCTATGTTTTATTGACTGAGTTATAGAACATTCATGAATGAACTTCAGTTTTAAACATCTGTTCTTCATGGAGACTCTGGATGAAGAGACAGACTCCTGAAAAGCTCTATGGCAAATAACCCAGAGGAAACTAAAAGCTGCCTAACTCTGTATTCTTCAGGGAGACAGGTGGTGGCCAAACCACATTCACTGTGCACAACCATCAAATCTCTGAAGTGCTAATAAACCAACAAAGACAATTTTTATCTTAACAAAAGAAACAGGGCTGGGCATGGTGGTTCAATCCCAGCACTCTGGGAGGCCGAGGTGGGCGGATCACTTGAGGTCAGGAGTTCGAGACCAGCCTGGCCAACATGGTAAAACCCCATCTCTACTAAAAATACAAAAATCAGCCACGCGTGGTGGTGGGCGCCCGTAATCCCAGCTACTCAGGAGGCTGAGGCAGGAGAATCACTTGAACCCAGGAGGCGGAGGTTGCGGTGAGCCAAGATGGCGCCATTGCACTCCAGCCTGGGCAACAAGAGTGAAACTCTGTCTCAAAGAAAGAAAGAAAAAAAAAAGCAGCTCCCTTCACCCCCAATACTCTTTATTTTGGTATAGTTCACTTTCACTCCCAGTGGATTATTTTCCCTTCTTCCTGCTTTCTCCTTTTTTCCAAACCCATCCAATGACCTTTATGAAATTCTGTCCCAATGAACCAATCATATCAACTATCCAAGAGGCAGAAGAGCTACAACCCAGACAAAATTTCAGACCATCACAGTTAGTTCCCCTCTGCTGCCCTTGTTATGGTAACAGCATACTTTTCCATGGCTGATGAGAACTCTGTGAAGGAAAAGAAAGGCAAAGAGAAAGGGTAAAAGAGGTGTCTCTGTTTCTGCTCATTCCGCAGAGCAAAACAACTCTTCTAAAAGGGGGCAGTTCAGCACCTAGAAAGGAAATAAGGTAGCGGAAAGAATCATATTAGCTAGCATTCCAGAGGTAGAAAAGTCTCTTTAAATGTTTGCAAACTTCCTTTCCTAGTAAGATAAGCATCTCAAAACAGTAGAGGAAAAAACTGGAATAGTGATCAGGATACTAAATTTGAGGGACTCACGGACAATAATTAGCTGTTTAATACTAACAAGTTACTTAACTTCTCTGGGTCCCAATTTCTCTCAATAATAAAATGAAAGCATTAGGTTTCTTCTAGGTCACTAGTGTTATTAAAAGTGGAGCCAACTATAGTAACTTTACCTTCCTTTGAGGGCAGAGGTAGCTTCTCAATGGAAGAACCAAATATCATCCCCACTCCTCCACAGGCAGATAGAAAAAAAAATAAAATCCAAGAGCTTTTTTTTTGGCCTGGAATTTGCCCAACAAAAAGTTTCCTCTTCCTTCATAAGGAGAAAGGGTACTCTTCCAGCAATATGAGAAATCCAAGAGGTTACAGCAAGTGTGTTTTCACCCACTTCTCACTTCCCAAACCACAGAAAGACAATTTTGAGAAAGCTCAAGGGTAAGCTGTATCTCCTGTGATCCCCAATGAATAAAGAACTCTTCAAGGGGGAGAAACTCTAAGTTTGCTATGCTGTGAATGTCCCTGCTCAGTCTGATCATTTAGGGCATTCGGTCCATCAACTGTTGTTATGCTGGAATGCTCTGACATGTATGTGACCCTCCAGAAGATTTCTAGAAGTTTGAGGCAGGAAATGTTAATCCCCTCCCTTACCACTAAATAGAGATTTCCAATACAAGCCTATCACTCATTTTTCTAAATGTTTTCAAGTCTGAAATATATGTTAGCACTTGACTCTACTCTTTCAGAACTAAAAATCTTATCTGTCTGCCCCTACCCCCAAATCAAGAATTTAAACCTGTTCAGACCAAGGACTGTATTTCCTACTTTTGTCTGTTGTCCCCTTTTGTGCGAACCACTCCCCTGGGCACACAAAATTTACTAACGATACCTAACCATATTAATCCAGGAGTCTGGAGGTGGCCAGATAACAAACTATTGCACCCTGGTTGAGGGAAATAAAATTACATGATGAGAGGAAGATGAATGTAGCATTAGAGATACACAAACCGTCAGAGGGGGAAGTTAAATCAGTAAGTAAAGAACACCTAAACAGTATTCATTGCTGTAATAGTGATTAAATCCAACTGCAACGGCACCATGTCCTTATAAAGATATTAAATAAGCCCTCATGTTAAAAATCCACTGATTACAGCCAGGCGCAGTGGCTGACGCCTGTACTCCCAGCACTTTGGGAGGCCGAGGCGGGCAGATCACGAGGTCAGAAGATTAAGACCATCCTGGCTAAGCCGCCCCGTCCGGGAGGTGAGGGGCGCCTCTGCCCGGCCGCCCCTACTGGGAAGTGAGGAGACCCTGTGCCCGGCCAGCCGCCCCGTCCAGGAAGGAGGTGGGGGGGTCAGCCCCCCGCCCGGCCAGCCGCCCCGTCCGGGAGGGAGGTGGGGGGGGTCAGCCCCCCGCCTGGCCAGCCGCCCCGTCCGGGAGGTGAGGGGCGCTCTGCCCGGCCGCCCCTACTGGGAAGTGAGGAGCCCTCTGCCCGGCCAGCCGCCCCGTCCAGGAAGGAGGTGGGGGGGTCAGCCCCCCGCCCGGCCAGCCGCCCCGTCCGGGAGGGAGGTGGGGGGGTCAGCCCCCCGCCCGGCCAGCCGCCCCGTCCAGGAGGTGAGGGGCGCCTCTGCCCGGCCGCTCCTACTGGGAAGTGAGGAGCCCCTCTGCCCGGCCAGCCGCCCCATCCGGGAGGGAGGTGGGGGGTCAGCCCCCCGCCCGGCCAGCCGCCCCATCTGGGAGGTGAGGGGTGCCTCTGCCCGGCCGCCCCTACTGGGAAGTGAGGAGCCCCTCTGCCCGGCCAGCCGCCCCGTCTGGGAGGGAGGTGGGGGGGGGGTCAGCCCCCCGCCCGGGAGGTGAGCGGCGCCTCTGCCCGGCCGCTCCTACTGGGAAGTGAGGAGCCCCTCTGCCCGGCCACCACCCCATCTGGGAGGTGTACTCAACAGCTCATTGAGAACGGGCCATGATGACAACGGCGGTTTTGTGGAATAGAAAGGGGGGAAAGGTGGGGAAAAGATTGAGAAATCGGATGGTTGCCGTGTCTGTGTAGAAAGAGGTGGACATGGGAGACTTTTCATTTTGTTCTGTACTAAGAAAAATTCTTCTGCCTTGGGATCCTGTTGATCTGTGACCTTACCCCCAACCCTGTGCTCTCTGAAACATGTGCTGTGTCCACTCAGGGTTGAATGGATTAAGGGTGGTGCAAGATGTGCTTTGTTAAACAGATGCTTGAAGGCAGCGTGCTCGTTAAGAGTCATCACCACTCCCTAATCTCAAGTACCCATGGACACAAACACTGCGGAAGGCCACAGGGTCCTCTGCCTAGGAAAACCAGAGACCTTTGTTCACTTGTTTATCTGCTGACCTTCCCTCCACTATTGTCCTGTGACCCTGCCAAATCCCCCTCTGCGAGAAACACCCAAGAATGATCAACAACAACAAAAAAAAAAAGACCATCCTGGCTAACATGGTGAAACCCTATCTCTACTAAAAATACAAAAAATTAGCTGGGCGTGGTGGTGGACGCCTGTAGCCCCAGCTACTCGGGAGGCTGAGGCAGGAGAATGGCGTGAACCCAGGAGGCAGAGCTTGCAGTGAGCCGAGATCGCGCCACTGCACTCCAGCCTAGGCTACAGAGCGAAACTCCGTCTCCAAAAATAAATAAATAAATAAACAAATAAATCCAAAGATTATGATGGGCTCTCCCAATAAATACAAGCTCAACAGTAAAGAAGAGCCAAGATCACAAGTATTTAAATCCAAAACAAGAAACTGTGTGTAGAAACAATGTCGGGGGAAGTTAAGTGATATTTGAGAAAACAGTGATTGAGTGTTGTTAGGAGGAGGGGTAATGAATTAGTATTTCTGGCAGACTCTTTGCAAGCACTTTAAGAACTAATCCAGGCTATGAGACAGGCTTCTATCTTTGAAGCAACGCTTAAAGACTATGCCCTTATTTTTAAAAGTATGGTAGCTTGACTATTTGACATAAGCCAAAAACGTGTCTAGGTGGCTCTTCCCTCAGGGGATTAATATATAGCTGAAAGTTTAGTTCCCTTTCCAAATACATTATAGCTGAGTGCAGTTGTCACTATGACGTGTTCTGAACTTCTGGAAGCACAGGCATTTACTGAGCAATACCACAAAGAATTCTGGAAGAAGTTATAAATCCCTTTCCATCACCTCGGAAAACAGCATCTATTTCTTAAAAGCTATCAGTTCAAGTTCAAGACAACTCTTATATGGAGCAGATTCTGGTCTGCCAAAATTTTTCAGGATTAAAAAGCAAGATCTTGGCCGGGTGCAGTGGCTCACGCCTGTAATCCCAGCACTTTGGGAGGCTGACGGGGCGAATAACTTGAGCCCAGGACGAGCCTGGGCAACATGGAGAAACCCAGACTCTACCAAAATACAAAAAAATTAGCCAGGCGTGGTGGCACGTGCCTGTGGTCCAGCTACTCAGGAGGCTGAGGTGGGAGGATCGCTTGAGCCCAGGAAGTAGAGAGTGCAGTGAGCCGAGGTCGTGCCACTGTACTCCAGCCTGGGCGACAGAGTGAGACCCTGTACCATGCTCAAACACGAGTTGGTCTTGAACTGATCATATCGGGGGGAGATTTCTTCCATGAGTTAAGCCACCTAAGAACTCCACTATTCTGCAAAGTTAACATTTCCTTAAACCCAGCTCTCCATATATATTACTGAACTTCTGCCTGGGTCATTTAAAAAGCCTTTCAAGGCAGCCCGCCCAGCCCCCAGAGCGGCCTGGCTGAATTTCTCTGTAAAGCTCCCTCCTAGATTTTATCCCTTGGTGTTGGCAAGAAGGTCTCCTTACTCCACAGGCCTTGCTATTGTGCAACTGATTTAAGGATGGTCCAGGCCTAACTGCATCGGATTGGTTGTAGTACAGCTCCTGAGCCCTGCCCACAGGAACAAGGCTAGCAATCCTCTAGACCGCAGGAGCTGCGAAGTCCCCACCCTCTAGCAAGAGGCCACCCCAGCACCAAAAGAAGACAAAGTTCTGAAGTTAAAAAGGAGGCCCCGTTCCCTTCAATAAGGCTCCTCAAAATCGCTTTCCAGGCTCCTCCCTCTGGAGGACAGCCCAGTTAGGGCACAGACAACCTTTGAGCTCTCTTCCCGTGACCAAGCTTCACCTCTACCCCAGTATTACTTATTTGTAAACAGTTCCTGGTCATGCTTTGAAAAGCAATGCCAGGGAACCACCCTCTCTCTGGATTGCCTCTCTCTAGCCCCTTCCACAGGATCAAGCAACCACCCCACCCAACTGGGGTGTCCTTGACAAAGGTCCTTCAATCCATTTCCAAAGGCGTCGCTGCCGAAAGACACCCTACCTTAAGGCTGTCAGCACCCTACCACCCCCACCTACTTTCCCTTGGCTATTACTTGAGCTTTATTTTATCACGCTCTCCTCCCGGCCTGGGGACTCCCCTCACCCGTGGGGCCTCGTCCAGCAAAGTAAACAATGCTGTCAAAGCGGGATAACGCTGGGCGAGGCTTCCAGACTCCGCATTCCAGCCTCCTCCCGGTGTTCTAAAAGCAGCAAAAACAAGCCATCGCAGGATGCCAGGGCCGAATTCCTCTCCCAAAGTTCTTTTTTAAAAAGCCCCGGAGCCAGCTCCAAAATCAAGCATTAATTTGCACAATCTACGACAGGCAATGCAGACTGTAATGCAAGGCCAAGTGGAGCCAAATCCGCCCGGGAAGGAGGCAGAGAGGAGAGAGAGAACTGGGTCGAATGCGTAAGCCTGCCACGAAGCGGAAACAAGAGCTCTTTTTCGCGACAGGACAGCCACATTCCCGAGTGGGGCGCGCGCCGACTCGAGCTGCGGGCAAGAGCGAACACGAAGTAAAGGGTCCCGAACGCTCGGGCGGGCCCAAGGGCAGCGTCCCCGGGGCTTCGGTGGAGCTGGGGGCGGGGGCGAAGCGGCCGGGCACCGAGGCGCCGAGGAGTTAGAGGACCGCGGCGGGACACCGGGCGCGGCGGACGGCTGGCCGGCGCTCACCTCCCGGTGTGGTGGAGAAGAGCGTCCCCCCGGGCGTGGTGCAATAGTCATGAGGTAGCTGCGCGGCGTCGCTGATGGCCACGGTGCGGGTGGGGATGGCGCGGCTCTGGCTGGGCTGGTGGCCGCTGCCGGCTGACGAGGACATGGCTGTGGGCGCGGGCTCTCGGCTTTGTCCGGCGGGCAGGCGGCGGCGGCGGGGCCGGGGCTGCTTCGGCTCCTCAGGCGGACGGAAAAGCGCGCTCTGCGCGCTCCTCGCTCGCTTCCTCCCGTTCCCTCGTCCCGCTCCGCTCCCGCCGCCGCCCTCTCAGCCGCCGCCGCCGCCGCCGCTCGATCCTCCGGCCTCAGCCAGCAGCCTCAGGAGCAACAGCAGCGGCAGCAGCGGCGACGACGACGACCGGAAGCGGGCGAAGGCGGGAGCCAGAGGGAGTTGGGGAAGCTGGTCGGCCGGAGGTGACGTCGCCGCGGGGCGGGGCGAGGCAGTGAGGGGCGTGGCTGAAGTTGTTGAAGGGGGCGGGGACGAGGGGCAGGGCTGAGGAAGAGAGTGGCTTAACCCCAGCGAGCGGGAGAAGAGCCAGAGGGAGCGCGAGCTAAGTGTTTGTGAGCCTGGTGAAGGCGGACAAGGAAAACTTTCTTCTTATTGTTTGTCATTGTCGGTTAACACCACTTTACTTGAGCAGACTTGAGTTTCTCATGCATTCCTATGCATTAAAAATGTAATTTTACTTTTAATTGTTCATTATTAATTCAGGCACTACATGCACGATGTACTGTATTTTAAAAATCAAACAGAGCAGAAAGGTTTATGGTGCCACTTTCTCCCAGTTTCCGAACTCCCCTCAACCGCTGTACCAGTTAATTGTGTATCCTTCCAAAGACCATCACTATATACACACATAAAGCAAGATCTAAACATTAGGAAAAGGAAGAAACCAAGAGCCACTCATGGCAACAAGAATGAGTATTATTGTATTAGAGTTAAAATGAGGCACAGGAGAGGGCTTAGACCATGAGGTACCTGAAAAATCTAGATCTGGAACTCTATTCTTTCCTCGAGGGGTTCTCAAACTTTGGGTCTCAGTACCTCTACATTCTTGAAAATTATTGAGGATTTCCAAGAGCTTTTGTTTGTGTGGATTATATGTATTGATAATTATTGTATTAGAAATTAAAACTGAGCCGCTGCTGATCACTAGTGGGATTGTACCTGTGAATAGCCACTGCATTCCGGCCTGGGCAACAGAGTGAGGCCCTGTCTCTAAAAAACAACAACAACAACAACAACAAAAAACAAATTAAAACTGAGAATGTTTTAAATGTTTATTAATTCATAAAATAATAACCTATTACATGTTGACATTATATTTTTTAATTATCTAAAACAAATAGTGAGAACAGTGGCATTATTTTATATTTTTGCAAACGCTTTAATATCTGGCTTAATAGAAAACAGCTGTATTCTCATATCTGTTTCTGTGTTCAAGCTGTTGTAATGTGTTGATTCAACTATATGAAGAAAACCCAGCCTCACACAGGTATGTAGTTAGAAAAGAAGGTTGTCTCAGATCCCCGAGGGGCTCTCCAGATCACACTTTGAGAACCGCTGCACTAGGGCAGCACTACTTCTGCCCACAACATGCCCAAGGTGGGACTGGGAAGACACTCATGGGTAAGGCCAACATAGCTACCATCATTCCCATTTTGCAAATGAGAGAAATAAGGGTAAGAGAGGTTGAGGGGAAAACAGCTATTGCTTCACTGCTCAGAGGGTCAAACAGGTGCTTGGCAAGAACATAGACAAAAGAACTTACAACAGCCCAGGGCAGGCCAGGGCATTACATGGTACTGATTTTGTGGTGAGTGCCCCAAGAATCCAGAAAAAAAAGTCCCCTGCCTGTCCTGCCATCTGGAAGCTGCCAGAGTTGCAGAGGGCTGAGTTTAACCTTGAAAGACTCTGAGACTTTGGACATGCCAACAGAGACACTTCTAGTGGAAGGAAAGGGGAAGATACTAGTTTACATTTGTGTAGAGCTTACAGTGTGTGGTTGATAAAGTGCATCAGTCCAGTAGGGGCACAGTAACTCACACCTATAATCTCAGCAATTTGGGAAGCTCAGGTAAGAGGATGGCATGAAGCCAGGAGTTCAAGACCAGCCTGGATAAAAAAGCGAGACCCTCCTCTCACATTTCTACAAAAATAAAAATAAATAAAAAATTATCCAGACATGGTGGTGTGCACCTATAGTCCCAACCTACTCAGGAGGCTAAGGCAGGAGGATCTCTTTAGCCCAGGAGTTCAAGGCTATAGTGAGCTACGATTGTGCCACTGCACTCCAGCCTAAAAAGACCCTGTCTCTAAAAAAGTTAGTTAATTAATTAAAAAATAAAGTGCATCACTCTTTGAACTGTCTTTATTTACAAATTTTGGGGGTGTTCTGGGGACAGTGAGGTGGGTCCCTTCTGGCCAGAGCAAAGGGTAAAGATGGCACAAAAAAGTTAAGCTGGGCGCAGTGGCACACGCCTGTAATCCCAGCACTTTGGGAGGCCGAGGTAGGCAGATCACCTGAGGTCAGGAGTTCGAGACCAGCCTAGCCAACATGGTGAAACCCCATCTCTACAAAAATACAAAAAAAAAAAAAAAGTTAGCCGGACGCGGTCGCGCATGCCTGTAGTCCCAGCTACTTGGGAGACTGAGGCTGGAGAATCGCTTGAACCCTTGAGACAGAGGTTGCAGTGAGCCGAGATCATGCCACTGCACTGCAGCCTGGGCAACAGAGCAAGACTCCATCTCAAAAAAAGAAAAAAAGACACAGAGGATAGGACTAAAGATGGGATGAAATGAAATAAAGGAACCAAAGTACAATTTGAAAGTTTTGGGGACAGGTGCTTTTTATTTATTTTGCCAGGCAGCCTGGGGGAAGTGAACAGAGCACAGGTTTCGGAACATACAGACTGGGTTTGAGTCCCAGCTCTGCCGTTTACAAGCTGTGTGACCCCAGACAAGTTACCTATGCTCTCTGAGCCTCATCTGTAATGTGGCAATAACCATGTTACCTCATCTGGTTAGCATATAAAGTGCTTAGCAAATAATTGCCTCTTGACAAAGTCATACTGAAATTAATTGAGGTTTTATTTATTTATTTATTTATTATTATTATTATTATTATTATTATTATTTGAGATGGAGTCTCGCTCTGCCGCCCAGGCTAGAGTGCAGTGGCGCGATCTCGACTCACTGCCAGCTCCACCTCCCGGGTTCACACTATTCTCCTGCCTCAGCCTCCCGAGTAGCTGGGACTACAGGCACCCGCCACCATGCCTGGCTAATTTTTTTGTATTTTCATTAGAGACGGGATTTCACCATGTTAGCCAGGATGGTCTCAATCTCCTGACCTCATGATCCACCCACCTCGGCCTCCCAAAGTGCTGGGATTAAAGGCGTGAGCCACTGCGCCTAGCCAGTTTTATTTTTTATTATTACTATGTTTTGAGTCAGAGTCTTGCTCTGTTGCCCAGGCTGGAGTGCAATGGCGTGATCTTTGGCTCACTACAACCTCCGCCTCCTGGGTTCAAAGCGATTATCCTGCCTCAGCCTCTCGAGTAACTGGGATTACAGGTGCCTGCCACCACGCCTGGCTAATTTTTGTATTTTTAGTAGAGACAGGGTTTCACCATATTGGACAGGCTATTCTCTTGGCCAGGCTGGTCTCAAACTCCTGACCTCATGATCCGCCCACCTTGGCCTCCCAAAGTGCTGAGATTACAGGTATGAGCCATGGCCGAGGTTTTTTATTTATTTATTTATTCATTCATTCATTCTGAGACAGAGTCTCGTTCTGTCGCCCAGGCTGGAGTGCAGTGGTGTGATCTCGGCTCACTGCAACCTCTGCCTCGCCGGTTCAAGAGATTCTCCTGCCTCAGCCTCCCGAGTAGCTGGGATTACTGGCACGCACCACCACACCCGGTTAATTTTTTTGTATTTTTAGTAGAGACAAGGTTTCACCATGTTGAAACTCCTGAACTCAAGTGATCCTCCTGCCTCGGTAACTGAGGTTTTAGATTTTCCCATTAGGACCTCTGGTGTCTCCTGCACCTTTTCCTCAATTAAAAGTCAACAGTCAGGCCAGGTGCAATGGCTTATGCCTGTAATCCCAGCACTTTCGGAGGCTGAGGCAGGTGGATCACTTGAGCTCAAGAGCTCAAGAGTTCAAGACCAGCCTGGCCAGCATGGTGAAACCCCATCTCTACCAAAAATACAAAAATTAGCCAGGCATCATGGTGCACGTCGGGTCCCAGCTACTACTTGGGAGGCTGAGGCAGGAGGATCACTTGAACCCAGGGAGGTGGAGGTTGCAGTGCCACTGCACTCCAGCCTAGGCGACAGAGAGAGACTTGGTCTCAAAAAAACAAAAACAAAACCAAAAAAAGTCTATAACTGTCTGGTTTCAAAAGTACCAGCACAAAATTGCCTTTGTGCTCTTTTGAAATAAAATGTGTGTGTGCATGTGCATGTGTGTGAGTGTGGTTGTGTATGTGTGGATTCTTCACCTCTAGAAAACCCTAAAAAAGCTCACTAAACTAATTTTTTCACACTTTCTAAAAACTTGCTTTTTTTTGGTAACAGCTTTATTGAGATATGCTTATCTACTGTAAAAGTCAACCTTTTTTTTTTTTTTTTTTTTGAGATGGAGTCTCGCTCTGTCTCCAAGCTGGAGTGGAGTGGCGCAATCTCGGCTCACTGCAACCTCCACCTCCCGGGTTCAAACAATTCTCCAGCCTCAGCCTCCCGAGTAGCTGGGTCTACAGGCGTGTGCCACCACACCCAGCTAATTTTTGTATTTTTCGTAGAGACAAGGTTTTGCCATGTTGGCCAGGATGGTCTGGATCTTTTGACCTCGTGATCTGCCCGCCTCGTACTCCGAAAGTGCTAGGATTACAGGCATGAGCCACCATGCCCAGTCAAAGTCAACCTTTTTAAAATGAACATTTCAGTGGTTTTTAGTATATTTACAAAGTTGTTTATCCATCACTATTGTCTAATTCCAGAACATTTTTATTGCCCCCCAAAGATAGCCCAGGAACATAGCAGTCACATTTTCACCAAAATGTCTTGAATTTGATGAAACTTATGCTGATAAATTTTATTTATTTATTTATTTATTTATTTATTTATATGTTTTGAGGCAGGCTGTTCGTCTGTCACCCAAGCTGGAGATCATATCTCACTGCAGCTTGGAACTCCTGGGCTCAAGCAATCCTCCCCGCTCAGCCTCCTAATGCGCTGGGATTACAGGTGCATCCCACTGCACCTGGTCAAGTTTATATTTTTTATTTGTTATTGAATCATTTTTTGAGACAGGGTCTTGCTCTGTTTCCCAGGCTGGAGTGCGGTGGCGTGATCATGGCTCACTGCAGCCTCAACTTCCCGGGCTCTAGCAATCCTCCTGCCTCGGCCTTCAGAGTATATGGGACCACAGGCATGTGCCCTGCCCGTTTAAAACATTTTTTGGGATCTCACCCTGTTGTCTAGGCTGGTCTCAAATGATCCTCTCAAGTGATCCTCTGACCACCTCAGCCTCCCAAAGTGCTGGGATTATAGGTGTGAGCCACCATGCCCAGCCTCAGGTGAGAATTTAAAGGATAAATCTATTTCTCCCCCATCCCCAGAGCCTACCATGGGAGACTAGGAGGCCCTCTACATGGCCTGAAATGTACAGGTGGATATTATCTCTGAATGAGTTTATCTAGATAGGTGGGGACTGGGGAGCTGCTGATGCAATTGTGACCCCACAGACACAGGACCCTTTAGATTCATACCTGATGTATTTCCAGGATCAAACATGAAAGATATCCCACAAGTAGCCAACCCTGTCTCTGAATTTTTTTAATTTATTGATATTACTAGAGTTTGAAAGAAATGAATGCCAGGCATGGTGGCTCACACCTGTAATCCCAGCACTTTGGGAGGCCGAGGTGGGTGGATCACTTGAGGTCAGGAGTTCGAGACCAGCCTGGCCAACATGGTGAAACCCTGTCTCCACTAAAAATACAAAAATTAGCTAAGCATGATGGTGGGTGCCTATAATCCCAGCTACTTGGGAGGCTGAGGCAGGAGAATCACTTGAACCCGGGAGGTGGAGGTTGCAGTGAGTGGAGATTATGCCACTGCACTCCAGCCTGGGCGACAGAGCCAGACTCCATCTCAAAAAAAAAAAAATGGATGTGGTCCAGTGTCCCTGACCTAGGGGTATCCCTTCTGCAGTCATCGATTCCAATGTTCAGCCACTTTGGCTTCCCAAAACCCATTCTTTCTAATCACCTGCACTCACCTGCTGCCCCTGTTCCCTCTGGTCCTGTCTTTCCCAGGGGGACAGGGAGGCTGGTTTCCGCCCTCTGTGATGTAGCTACTCATGCTAGATCTGTATCATTGTAAGGATAATAGCCCCTTACATTTAGATAACACTTTTCCACTTCACAAAGCACTTTAACAACAACTAACCTCATTTACGCTGAGCCACAGCCCAGTGATGGAGGCAGCCTGCTTATTATTCTTATGTACATTTTACAGATGAAGCTGAGGGTCAAAGAGGTTGAGTGACTTCCCTGAGGTCCTATAGCCAGGACCTGGTGGAGCTGGGACTAGAACCCAAGCTCCTGGTTGGTGGTCCTCTGCACTTTCTCCTGCACCTGTTGGCTTCCTGCACTCCTGAAGAATGTGGGGTGTCCATCTCCTGAGCTCCTGAAATATAAGGCAGAATGTGTTGAGAAAGTGATCATAATAACAGATAGCATGTTTAAGTGTCCAGGTTGTGTCAGGTGCTGTGCTAGGTGTCTTTTAGAGATCTTACCTCTAATACCACTGCCATACATAGTAGGCATTATTATACCTATCTATTTTACAAATGAGGAAGCAGCCTCAGAGTAGCTAGCTTGTCCAAAGTGATCTGCTGTATCTCTAGAAATTTCTCTGGCCTCTCACAGTTGTTTGGAACATGTCACTGTGCCTAGGCTTTGACATCAGGCATACCTTGGTTTAAATGCTAGCTCTAACTACCAGCTTGCTGTATGACCGTGAGCTCTGAGCCTGTTGTCCAAAAAATAGGAGGAAAAACTCCTCATTCACAGAGCGCTCTACTGAGGATTAACTGTCAGGCCTAGCCGAGGCTTGGCTGACGGGAAAGGCGATTAAGCACCAAGCTGGATTCAGGAAGGTGCCAGGGCCATTAGGGCTGGAGAGGAGCAGCAGGCTAGCAGTGTGTCTGTCTGCCCAGTATGCTGGAGGGGTCCATGCTTGAGTTTTAGTATTTCCCTCATTTGGAGGTCTTGTCAGGTGATGCCTTTTGTCTGTAGCTGTAGACTTCAGAAAATGAGGTACAGCTTGCTCAGTGTTACATAGGCCTAATAAAGTCATCTATTGAAACCGGTATTATTTTCTGCCTACTTATTACAATTCAACACCTGTCATTCATATCTTTCTTCCTCTTCATCCTGATATTTAGTAGAAGATTCTTCATGGGTACAACTCCTATAACCCCTGGACTGCAGGTGAAAGCAACCATCGAAGTGGGCAGGATGCTTAATGCCACACCACACCTGGTGGGATGTGCTGGTTTTCATAGCTTGAGCTCAACCAGAGAGAGCACTTTTGAGATGGAAATGCACGGTCATCCAAACAGTGAATGGTGTGCCCTGCCTTGTGCCAGCCACAGCCCAAGGCAAAGAACATTGCGTACAGAGCCTGGGAGCCAAGTGCTCACCAAGTTGAGGCAAGAGGTAAGAGGCTCCCCTGGGCAAAGGGGAGCCCAGATTTTTCTTGGGTGAGCCCAGATTTTTACGATGACTGGGTGGGCACTGTTGGATTCAGGGTGGAAGATGCTGACTTGACTCTTGGGCATCTGATTCTCCATGCAGGCTTTAGACAAGCTACTTGGCTTCCATTTATCCATGAATGAATTCACTCAGAAGTATTTGCCCAGCTCCTGGAATGGTCCTGGCTTTGGGCTCAGGGATGAACAAGGGTAGACCTCATGGAGCTCCCATCTAGCCATGGGATCCACCTGCCTTGGTGACAACTCCTTGCATCCATATCTTCTGGCTGGATTTGGATGGGTAATTCATCCATCCACACTGAACTGGACTCAGAAGCTGTGGGGTAGCAATAACGAACAATGTAGATTGGATTGCATCATCACTCTTTCTTCCATGGCTCCCCATAACTCTTGGGATCTTGAATAAGGCCCTGCATGGTCTGTCCTCCTCTCCCACCCTCTCTCTCACACTTTCTGTGCTCCTATTCCTCAAACAGGCCATGCTTCCTCCCATTCTAGGGTCTTTGCACATGCTATTCCCTTTACCTGGTTGTTCTCTGTGGTGAACAGACTTTAAGGTTGCCCTCATGATCCCCACCTCCTGGTGCTCACACCCTTAAGTGTGGGTGGGGCCTGTGATTCCAATATGGCAAAGGCGATGGGATGTCACTCCTGTGCTTATATTAAGTTATATAAGACTCCATCTTGCTAGTAGACTCACTCTAGATTCTTCTGTCATGCACACTAGCTTTAAATAAACATGAGTCCTACAGCCACAGGAAATAAACTCTGCTAAGAACCAAGAGAACCTGGAAGCAGACTCCACGTGAGAACTCATCCCTGGCTCACATCTTAACTGAAGCATTGCAAGGGACCCACTTCTGCAGAAACTGCAATATAATAATTGTGTTGTTTTGGGCTGGGTGCAGTGGCTCACACCTGTAATCCCAGCACTTTGGGAGGCCGAGGTGGGTGGATCAACTGAGGTCAGGAGTTTGAGGCCAGCCTGGCCAACATGGTGAAACCTTGTCTCTACTAAAAAAATACAAAAAAATTAGCCTGGTGTGGTGGTGTGTGCCTGTAATCCCAGCTACTCAGGAGGTTGAGGCAGGAAAATCACTTGAACCTGGGAGGCGGAGGTTGCAGTGAGCCGAGATTGTGCCATTGCACTCCAGCCTGGGCAACAAGAGTGAAACTCCATCTCAAAATAATAATAATAATAATAATAGTAATTGTGTTGTTTTCACTGGGTACTGTGGCTCAAACCTATAATCCCAGCACTTTGGGAGGCCGAGGCAGGTGGATCACCTGAGGTCAGGAGTTCAAGACCAGCCTGGCCAACATGACGAAACTCCATTCATACTAAAAATATAAAAATTTTTTAAAAATTAAAAATATATATATGAATTAGCTGGGTGTAGTGGTGGGCGCCTGAATCCCAGCTACTCAGGAGACTGAGACAGGAGAATTGCTTGAACCTGGGAGGCGGAGGTTGCAGTGAGCCAAGATCACGCCACTGCACTCCAACCTGGGTGACAGACAAGACTCCTTCTCAAAATAATAATAATAATAATTGTGTTATTTTAAACCACTGAGTTTGTTGTTTGAAAAAAAAAGTTGAGCAAATTCATTATTATTTCTTATATGCAGCACAGGAAACTAAACTATTCTCTAATATTCACCTAGTTGACTCCTATGCACCTCTTATAATCCCCTTCCCAGTCAGATTCATTTTGTCAGGGAAGCCTTCCTTACCCTCTCTGCCAAGGCCCAATCTCCTTGTCATAGGCTTTCATGTCCCTGTGTGCCTCTCCTCCACATGACCTGTCCAGTTATAATTGTGTGAGGATTCAATTAATATCTGCCCCTCCACTAAAATTGTATGTTCTATGAAAGCAGCCTGTCATGTTCTCCACTTTTTCTCAGGGACTAGCACAGTGTCTGGCACATGTAAGGTGCTCAATAAATATCTTTTGAATAAATAAATGATTTGTAGGACATTCAGAGTGAGGAGAAGTGGAGTGATAGGCAGGGGCTGGATTGCTCAGTGGTTAGAGGCTAAAATGGCACAGGGAAAAGTTTAATGATGTAGTCCTAAAAACTCACTGTTTTTTTTTTGTTTTTTTGTTTTTTTTTTTTTAGACAGAGTCTCCCTTTGCCACCAGGCTGGAGTACAGTGGTGCGATCTCAGCTCACTGCAACCTCTGCTTTCTAGGTTCAAGCAATTCTCCAGCCTCAGCCTCCTGAGTAGTTGGGGATTACAGGCACCTGGCACCATACCTGGCTAATTTTTGTATTTTTAGTAGAGACAGGGTTTCACTATGTTGGCCAGGCTGATCTCGAACTCCTGACCTTAAGTGACCTGCCCACCTTGACCTCCCAAAGTGCTGGGATTACAAGCATGAGCCACTGCGCCCAGCCAAAACTCACTTTTATTGTGACATATCTGGACAACTGGAGCTAAAGCGTGTTTGGGAACATCCTTGATGGGAATATGTTTCCATAAAACAGTCACACTGAGCCACCCCCAGGGCTTGGCTTCTCTTGGAAATTCCAGGGTCCTTCCTCCATCTAGATGTTCCTTCTAGAAGAACATCTTGTATTCTGATCCCCAGGTAACTTTCTTAACCATATCCTCCCTATGAGTTCTACCTTCATGGTCAGAGAAGGGAAATGCAGGGGGAGAAGAGAGGGGTGCAATGAGGAGGAGGGAGCTACAGCTTGGCAGTTTTAATAAAGCCCACAAAATGCCAAATAGCTGATAGATAGAAATGTGAGTCCATGGGGTGCTATGGAAGGAATTCCCCTCAAAATTATTATGTTGAAGCCCTAACCTTCCAAGTGACTGTCTTTGGAAATGGGGCCCATAAAAAGTTAATTATGGTTAAATGAGGCCATAAGGGTAGAACCCTAATCCAATAGGGCTGGTGCCCTTTTAAGAACAGGAAGGGAGGCCAGGCATGGTGGCTCACACCTGTAATCCCAGCACTTTGGGAGGCCGAGGCAGGCAGATCACGAGGTCAGGAGATTGAGACCATCCTGGCCAGCATGTTGAAACCCCATCTCTACTAAAAATACAAAAATTAGCTGGGCATGGTGGCGTGTGCCTGTAATCCCAGCTACTCAGGAGGCTGGAGCAGGACAATCGCTTAAACCAGGGAGTCGGAGTTTGCAGTGAGCCGAGATCATGCCACTGCACTCCAGCCTGGCAACAGAGTGAGACTCTGTCTCAAAAAAAAAAAAAAAAAAAAAAAAAAAAAAAAAAAAAAGAACAGGGAGAGAACCTGGAGCAAGCATGATGTGAGGACACAGAAAGAAGGTGGCCATCTACAAACCAGGAAGACAGCCCTCACTGGAACCATCAGCCAGCACCTTGGTCTTGGACTTCTCAACCTCTAGAACTGTGAGAAAGTACATTTCTATTGCTTAAGCTACCCAGTCTATGGTATTTTGTTATGGTGGCCTGAGCTAAGATAGAGGGTTATCCAAAAGGCTCCATTTTGTGCTATAAAAATAAGGTTGAGAGGCTTCAGCATTCTTAGTCTTGTATTCTCCACTGTCTTCAACTGATAGGTAGATAGAGACAGGGCCTCCCTCTATTGCCCAGACTGGAGTGCAGCTGTGTGATCTGGGCTCACTGCAGCATAGACTTCCTGGGCTTAAGCAATTCTCCTGCCTCAGCCTCCCACATAGCTGGGATTACAGGTCCATGCTACCACATCTGGCTAATTTTTTTTTTTTTTTTTTTTGAGACAGAGTCTTGCTCTGTCACCAGGCTGGAGTGCAGTGGTGCAATTTCAGCTCACTGCAGTCTCCAACTCCCGGGTTCAAGTGAGTCTCCTGCCTCAGCCTCCCGAGTAGCTGGGATTACAGGCACACACCACCACACCCAGCTAATTTTTTTTTGTATTTTTAGTAGAGACGAGGCTTCACCACATTGGCCAGGATGGTCTCGATCTCCTGATCTTGTGATCTGCCCGCCTCAGCCTCCCAAAGTGCTGGGATTACAGGCGTGAGCCACCATGCCTGGCCACATCTGGCTAATTTTTTAAAAAAATTTTGGCTGGGCATGGTGAGTCACCTGTAATCCCAGCACTTTGGGATGCCAAGGCGAGAGGATCACCTGAGGTCAGGAATTGGAGACTAGCCTGGCCAACATGGTGAAGCCCCGTCTCTACTAAAAACTACAAAAATTAGCCAGGCATGGTAGCAGGTGCCTATAATCCCAGCTACTTGGGAGGCTGAGGCAGGAGAATCACTTGAACCTAGGAGGCAGAGGTTGCAGTGAGCCAAGATCACACCATTGCACTCCAGCCTGGGTGACAGAGTGAAACTCCATCTCAAAAAAAAAAAAAAAAAGAATTTTTTTTTATATATATATAGAGAGAGATATGAGGTCTCACTATACTGCCAAGGCTGTGCAGCGAACTCCTGGGCACAAACTGTTATAAAAGTCCTGTTAATAAATAAATCCTCCTGTTTCCCATATCTGTCTCTCTGGTCCTCTGTTTCCCACAACAAAATGATCCTCCTGTCTTGGCCCCTCAAAGTGCTGGGATTACAGGCATAAGCCACCACGCCCTGCCCTTTTTGGTCTTTATCTCGTCTGCTGCTCTAGTGCCCCTCACAGAAATGTTGATGTTCCCCAGGTTTTGCCCTTGGTCTTCTTCTTTTCTCACTCCACACCTCCCTCAGGTGAGCCTACCCACTCCTGTTGCTTCAGCTTCTTCCAATGGTTCCCAAATCTGTAGCTTCAGCCTAGATTCCTTGCTAAGCCCCCAGCTCAGATATCTAACTTCCTCTGGGTGTCCCTCTAAGTGGATGTCTCCTAAATAAAGCCTGCTGTCTCCCCGTGCCAGTTCCCCCCTCCCCTGCATGCCCTCTCTTGGTACATGACATCACGATCCTTCTGATCATTCCAGCCAAAAACTAAAGGTCAACCTCAATTCCTCTTTTTCCTTACTCCTCATATCTAATCAGTTACAATGACTTGTCTTTTCTTTCTCTTAAATATTTACGTGCCTCTCTCTGTTTCTGTCTTTTCTGCCTCTTAGTCCCATAGGGAGAACCTGAAAGACTGTGACGTATCTGTTGGCTCTGTATGGCTTTAAAAAAAACAAAAACAAACACAAACAAACAAACAAAAACAGGCAAAAGGGAAAGGAGCAATGGATGCACAGGGGAAATGTTCTTTTGCTATTTTTTTTTTTTTTTGTATTTTTAGTAGAGATGGGGTTTTGCCATGTTGGCCAGGCTGGTTTCGAACTCCTGACCTCAAGTGATCCGCCCATCTCAGCCTGCCAAAATCCTGGGATTACAAGCGTGAGCCACCACATGTTTCTTTAGTCTATTCCATTTATAAGAAATGTTGGTATTGGGAGGCGGAGCTTGCAGTGAGCCGAGATCAGGGGCCACTGCACTCCAGCCTGGGCGACAGAGTGAGACTCTGTCTCAGAAAAAAAAAAAAAAAAAGAAAAGAAATGTTGGTATTAGCCACTGTGATTGGCACCAGCTGACATGGTTCCCAGTGGTTTCAACCTCCTGGTATTCTTGCCCTGTGTAATTCAGTCCCCTTGAGTGTGGGCTGGACCTAGTGACTTGCTTCTATTGAATAGGACAAGAGTATTTAACCGCCCGATAGGTTCACCTTGCCTGCTGCCTAGACACAGCCGCTTTATCAAGACAGGGGAATTGCAATGGAGATAGAGTAATTCACACAGAGCCAGCTGTGCAGGAGACCAGAGTTTAATTATTACTCAAATCAGTCTCCCTGAACATTCGGAGATCAGAGTCTTTAAAGATAATTTGGCAGGTAGGCGCTTGGGAAGTGGGGAGTGCTGATTGGTTAGAATGGAGATGAAGTCATAGGGTGTTAAAGTGAGGTTTTCTTGCCATCTTCTGTTCCTGGGTGCAATGGCAGAACTGGTTGAGCCAGACTACCTGTCTGGGTGGTGTCAGCTGATCCATCGAGTGCAGGGTCTGGAAAATATCTCAAGCACTGATCTTAGGTTTTACAATAGTGATGTTACCCCCAGGAGCAATTTGGGGAGGTTCAGACTCTTGGAGCCAAAGGTTGCATGACCCCTACACTGTAATTTCTTTTTTTTTTCCCAGATATTTTATCTTTTTATTAAAATCTCTTACTAAAGCCTTCTTACACTGTCTTGATGCTTCTTGAGTTCGGAGATTTGTTCTCCTTTAATTTCCATTTTCTTGACTAAACACTCTAGTTCACATTCTATCTCGTCACAGACTGAATGGCTTTCAGTTTCCTTCATTTGTTTGAGTAGTTCTTAGTGCTCCATGCTCATTTGGTCCAGCTCATCTTGCATTGCCATCAAAAGTTCAGATAAATTGTCACAAATGGAAATGGACTTTTCTGAGTCAGGAGTAATAGCTTTACACCAGGCAGTTGTTCTAGAAGGCTTGGGGAGACATCTAGTCTCAGTCACGTTAAAAGGTTTCTGAAGGATATGTGGGTCACGATGTTGCCTCATCTTTTCAGCCACAAAAGGCAGTGCTCCAAACTTTGAACAAATTTGCCAAGGTGGTCCTCTCTTTATACATTTAGTTTTCTTTGAAGATTTCTTCTTTTCCTTGGAGTGCTTTAAATTTGAAACTGAAGACATAATTTTACTGATTTCAAGTCCAGTTTGAAGCTCAGAAGCTTTGTCTTGAAATAGCTTACGCTGATGTTCTTCTTCCTTAAGTTTTTCTTCTAAATGTTTAATCTTGTCCTCAGCAGTTTTCTGAGTTGTTGTAAGTCTAAAACACTCTTTTTCTAAGACATCAAGCTTGTCAAGTTTTGCATACAGCTTCATCTGATCTTGTTCTTTTTCCCTCTGAAGCTGGGCCTGTTGTTCTAGGATCATGTTCTTTTCTCGCTCTACATTGAGAACCATTCTCTTTGTATATTCTAGTTGCTTCTCTAGAAGAGTGCAACGAGACTGGGCTGAGCTTAACTGTATACTTACATCTTTTTTCTGCTTTATCAGCTCCTGATGTGCTAGATTTCTCTCATTTGTTTCATTCTCTAAGGCCTTCTTATACTGTGCTGCTTCTCTGGAAAGAATGTTCAGGTCATCTTCAGCTTGTGTTCTCTCCAGCTCTAAACAATGAATTTTTTCCTGAAGAGTTTTTAAGGCTAAAATAAGAGCTTGGCTATTTGGGCTATGAAGTATCTTAGGAGAGGTAACTTCTAAGTTCGCAGGATGGCAATTCTGAGATGGTTCATTCTGGGTGAATGAGGGAACAAATACTCTTTCTGGAGGTTTATGATAGCTTCCTACTATACTATGCATTAATTCAGAATCCATTATCAAGCAGACGCTCTCAGTCAGCCCCTGCCACCGCTAACCGTTGGTTCGCGGGCACCCCCCTAAATTGTAATTTCTAATCTTGTAGCTAATTTGTTAGTCCTGCAAAGGCAGACTGGTCCCTGGCAAGAAAGGAGTCTTTTTTTTTTTTTTTTTTTTTTTGTAGACAGAGTCTCACTCTGTCACCCAGGCTGGAGTGCAGTGGCATGATCCCGGCTCACCGCAACCTCCGCCTCCTGGGTTCAAGCAATTCTCCTGCCTTAGCCTCCTGAGTAGCTGGGATTACAGGTGTGCACCACCACGCCCGGCTAATTTTTGTATTTTCAGTAGAGACGGGGTTTCACCATGTCGGTCAGGCTGGTCTCGAACTACTGATCTCGTGATCTGCCTGCCTCGGGCTCCCAAAGTGCTGGGATTACAGGCGTGAGCCACCGTGCCCGGCCACAAGAAGGGAGTCTTTTCGGGAAAGGGCTATTATCAATTTTGTTTCGGAGTAAAATCACGAACTGAATTCCTTCCCAAAGTTAGTTCAGCCTACGCCCAGGCATGAACAAGGACAGCTTAAAGATTAGAAGCAAGATAGAGTCGGTTAGGTGTGATTTCTTTCACTGTCATAATTTCCTCAGTTATAACTTAGCAAAGGCAGTTTCAAGTATAGATGTCACAACCAGGACTGGATTCTAAAAGACTGACTCTGCCTTTTTTTTTTTTTTTTTTTTTGAGACAGAGTCTCACTCTGTCACCCAGGCTGTAGTGCAGTGGCGTGATCTCTACTCACTGTAGCCTCCACCTCCCAGGTTCAAGGGATTCTCCTGCCTCAGCCTCCTGAGTAGCTGGGACTACAGGCGTGTGCCACCACACCTGGCTAATTTTTGTATTTTTAGTAGAGATGGGGTTTCACCAGGTCGGCCAGGCTGGTCTTGAACTCATGACCTCGTGTGATCCGCCCACCTAGGCCTCCCAAAGTGCTAGGATTACAAGTGTGAGCCACTACACCCAACCAAGCCCATATATATATATATATATATATATATATATATGTTTTTTTTTTTTTTTTTTCGAGGTGGAGTCTCCCTCCATTGCCCAGGCTGGAGTGCAGTGGTGTGATTTCTGCTCACTGCAACCTCTGCCTCCTGGGTTCAAGCGATTCTCGTGCCTCAACCTCCCAAGTAGCCGGGACTACAGGTGCACGCCACCAAACCCAGCTAATTTTTGTAATTTTAGTAGAGACAGGATTTCACCATGTTGGCCAGGCTGGTCTCAAACTCCTGACCTGAAGTGATTCACCTGCCTCAGCCTCCCAAAGTGCTGGGATTACAGGCATGAGCCACTGGGCCCAGCCCCAAGGCCCTATTTTTAAGGTTACTTTTTATCTATGGCAAATGATACTATGTTCCACTTGTGGAATGATATAAAATTCCTTTTTAAAAATAAATGTTTTTTTAAGTTAAAAAGTGAGTTGAAGGAAAAATATAAGTAAATAATACTATGGTGTGTTGGTAAAGCATTTCCTTCAGAAAAAAAAAAAAAGTCATGATTTGTAGTGTGTGCTGATTTCTATGGTGTAAGTTCTTCCACCATGCCTATTTCTAGTAATCCAGGTGATGGCACTGTACCCAGAGCTGGGAAAAAATGGGCAGAAGGAGCAAGCTCCAAGTCTGCACAAGTGACTCCAGCTCACCACTGGGTGGGGCTCAGATATAGCAAAAATCAGGAAGGTGGTATGGCAACAACTGACGCTTGAGAAATGCCTCTTGAGTCACCTTTGATTAGAATCGTATTTTCCATAGCAGAGCACAACTGCCTTGAGTTCTTGCTAATTTGACTACTTCTTGCTAATTTTCGTAAACCTGCAGTACCTGGCAGGGTAAGAGGGGTGGGCACCTCTCAACAGGCTGAACCTTCTGGAAGAGGTACTGGGGGAACTACTCTTCTGCCTTAGGATGGCAGTGACTTGGAGTTACCTCTAGTTCCTGGCTGTCGGTAGCTCAGCTCCAGGGAGAGGTGCGGCCCCAGGTGGAGGACAGAGTGAGAAACAGGATGATGTGTCGGGGCAGGGTCTGACTCACACCTGTGGAAGGAAGGACCTTCTCGGTTCGTTTTTATTTAAATGTTCCTTCCTCCCTTCCTCCCTCCCTCCCTCCCTTCCTTTTTTTTTTTTTTTTTTTGGGGACGGAGTTTTGCTCTTGTCACCCAGGCTGGAGTGCAATGGCCCAATTTTGGCTCACTGCAGCCTTTGCCTCCCGGGTTCAAGCAATTCCCCTGCCTCAGCCTCCCAAGTAGCTGGAATTACAGGTGCCTGCCACCGCGCCCGGCTAATTTTTGTATTTTTAGTAGAGACAGGGTTTCACCATATTGGCCAGGCTGGTCTCAAACTCCTGACCTCAGGTGATCTGCCCACCTCGGCCTCCCAAAGTGCTGGGATTACAGGCGTCAGCCACTGTGCCCGGCCTCTTCTCTTTTCTTTTCTTTTCTTTTCTTTTCTGTCTTTCTCTCTCTCTCTCCTTCCCTTCCTCCCTCCCTTACCTCTCTACTTTCTTGCTTTTTTTTTTTTTTTTTTTGAGATGGAGTTTCACTCTTGTTGCCCAGGCTGGAGTGCAATGGCACAGTCTCGGCTTACTGCAACCTCTGCCTCCTGGGTTAAAGCAATTCTCCTGCCTCAGCCTCCCTAGTAGCTGGGATTACAGGCACCCACCACCACACCCAGCTAATTTTTTCTATTTTTAGTAGAGATGGGGTTTCACTATGTTGGCCAGGCTGGCCTTGAACTCCTGACCTCAGGTGTTCCACCCGCCTCAGCCTCCCAAAGTGCTGGGATTACAGGCATGAGCCACCGCACCTGGCAAAGATGATTTTCTTTCAAGAAGTGTGAGATAAGGGCCAATATGAGGAGAATAGAATGGAAAAGGAGAAATTTACAGTTTTATATTGTATTACAGCTACTGCAACAAAGTGCCGCAGGCCAGGTATCTTACCAACAGAAATTCATTGTCTCACAGTTCTGGAGTCTAGAAATCTGAAATCAAGGTATTCGTTGGGTCCTTCTGAGAGCTGTGAGGGAAGGACCTGTACCAAGCCTTTCTCTTTAGCTTGTAGATGGCCATCTTCTCCCAGTGTCTCTTCACATGATCTTCCCTCTATGCATGTCTGCCTGTCTACCAATAACCACTTCTTATAAGGACACCAATCATATTGGATTAGGACCCACCCTAATGACTTCAATTTTAACTTGATTCCTTCTGTAAAGACGCTACCTCCAAGTGAGGCCACATTCTGAGGTACTAGGGGTTAGGACTACAACATATCTTTTTTTTTTTCTGGTGGATGTGGGGTGGGCGCACAAATTAACTAATTAGCAGGCCTAGAAGTTCTTTGATGAGAAGTAGACTCTATCAGGGTCTTCAGTCACAGGAGTTGAGATGCTGACTCTGTCAATGGGATACTGTCCCTTTTACAAGTGCCCTGAGAATTTATCCTGCCCAGTGGGGGTCAGACCCTTCAGGGAATAACCACAGAACAATTTTGTCTTAGCACAAGACTCTTCCTATCTGCAAGTAATTTGCAAGGATTTCAAACATCTCCGGAGGCTGTAGCCAAGCCCTGGCAAACATCCGAGTCTGTTCAGGGTGTACAGCTTCTGACTCAGGTGGCCAGGCTTGGACCACCTTGCTAAGGGGTCCAGGCCTCTAAAGATGCTCTGGATCTCCTCGGAGGAGACTATTTGTTTGGGGCCAGTTGAGCTTCTTCACCGAGAAGCCTCAGGGCCTTCCCTTGCACAGCCCTACCTCGCTGATTCCCTCACTGGCTGTTCTGAAACTGAAAATGGCCACGAACGGTGTGAGGCTTGTAGACCCTAACAGTGAGGGATAATATTTTGCCAATTGACTGCATTGAATGGAGTCAGTAAACATAGTGACTGAAAATCTTACCACTGTTGATAAGTATTTTCTGAGTACCCAATAGGTATTGTGAGAATACTTTTTTTTTTTTTGAGACCTGGTCTTCCTCCTGGGCTCTAGGGCTCAAGCTATCCTCCCACCTCGGCCTCCTGAGTAGCTGGGACTACAGGCCCAAGCCACCATGCCCGGCTACTTTTTGTATTTTTTGTAGAGATGGGGTTTCACCGTGTTGCCAGGCTGCTCTCGAACTCGTGAGCTCAAGTGATCCTCCCGCCTCAGCCTCCCAAAGTGCTGGGATTACAGGCGTGAGCCACAGAGCCCAGCCCAAGAATACTTATGGAGTCCTGTGACAGATTACAAAATTAGCCCCAACTCTCTGCTCATCCCTGTACTCATATTCTTTGCAATGTGACTTCGCTGCTTCTCCCATCAGGAGATGGAGTCTATTTCTTCACCCTCGAACCTGGGTTGGCCTTGCCATTTGGTTTAGTCGATACAACTGTGGAAGTGGACTAGTGCCGATTTTGAGCCTAGACTTTGAGAGACCTTGCACCATTCCACTCGTGCTCTCGGAGCCCTGCAGCTCCATGTGAACAAATTAGGCTAGCCTGTTAGTAGATGAGAGACATGCGACCTACTTGCCTCAGTTGGCAGCTAGCCACTTCCCAGAAGCAGAGCCTTCTGACTGCCTGGCGATGAACCCGGATGCATGAGGGAGTCCAGCTGAGACCAGAAGAACTGCCCAGCTAAGCCCAGCCTCAAATACTGACCCATAAAATCATGAACTAAATAAGTAGTTATTGTTTTAAGCCACAACTAAGTTTTGGGGTGTTTTATTATGCAGGAAACACTGATGGATACAAGCACTGAACATGCGTCAAGCTCTGGTATTTGCAATCAGGCAGACTCTCGGGAGTAAAGACTTGTGCAGAGATGATAGAATAATGGGTATAATGCACTAAGTGCTCTGGAGAAGCAAAAACAGTAGGAATAGAAGAGGTGGATTTGAGCTAGGGAGGGATCTTGTCTCTGTGGAGTTAGAGGGTCCAGGATGAACTGCCTGGGACAGGGGACTGTCTGAGGGAAAGTATGAATGTTGGAAACCCCAGGCTGGGGCCATCAGCCAGCAGTATATACTGAGCCCTTACCATGGGTACAGAAACACTGTACTGGCTGTCTCAAGTCTGCGTATGGACTAGCAGAGGAGAGAAGACATCCACGTGTAAAAGTTGGGTAGAAGTGTCATGCTGGTTTTCAGTGAAAACAGAAGTAGCTATGCCTGCTTTGTCCACAGTGGCAAGCAGCATCTCGGCTTGGGCAGAATGGGACTCTACCCATTAGTTATTTATATCTGGTACTTGCTATATATCTGGCAGGGATGTGGTGTTGATGGGTTGAGAGAGATCTCCATAGTTTTCCCTGGGAAGGCACAAGGGGTCAGAAAACATGGCTGCTTAAGTATCCACTTGACTGGTAACCCCTTGAGGGCAGGGTCTGTGTCTGATTCATGTCAGTATACCCCAAGACACAAGGCTTTGCATATACTAAGCAATCAGTTTCAAAAGACTTACTTTGGAGATATTTATCATCCTCTTCTCTTTATTCCTACTAACCTATTGTAGTTTTTTCCTAGGGCTGCTATAACAAATGGACATAAACTGGGTGGCAACAGAAATTTATTCACTTACAGCTCTGGAAGCTATTAAGTCCAAAATCAAGGTGTCTGGAGGGTTAGTTCCTTTTTGGAGGCTCTGAAGGAGGAATTATTCCCTGCCCGTTCCTAGCTTCTGGTCCCTGCTGGCAGTGCTTGGCACTCCTGGCCTTGGAAATGCATCAGCTGATCCCTGCCGCCATCACCACAGGTGGTTCTCCCTGTGCGTCTCTTCTGTGTCTCTTCTCTTACAACGACACCAGTCTCAGTGGATTAGGGGCCCGCCCTACTCCAGCATGACCTTAACTCATTACATCTGCAACGGCCCTACTTCCAAATAAGATCACATTCTGATGAACTTTAACATATTGTTGGGGGTGGAGAGGGCATAAGTAACCCTTAACATCCATCGAGGCCCAAGGGAATGTGTGTTCTTTGACTGCCTAGACCCCCTAGAGGCGGAATTAAATATTCTTTTTTTTTTCTTTGAGACAGAGTCTCACTCTGTCCACTCAGGTTGGAGTGCCCATCTCGGCTCACTGCAACCTCCGCCTCCCGGGTTCAAGCGATTCTCCTGCCTCAGCATCCCGAGTAGCTGCGGCTACAGGCGCCTGCCACCACGCCCGGCTAATTTTTGTATTTTTAGTAGAGACGGGGGTTTTGCCATGTTGGCCAGGCTGGTCTCGAACTCCCGACCTCAGGTGATCCGTCTACCTCGGCCTCCCAAAGTGCTGGGATTACAGGCGTGAGTCGCCGCGCCCCGCCCTCAAGTCATATTTTATAGATGAGAACATTAGGATTGGAGACGCAGGGCCGAGACACAGGGCCTTGCATATACTAAAAACCTCAATGGGCACCCGAAGTCATCATAGGAAAATTTCCCTATGCTCCATGTTCACGTGTTTCAAAGTATCCCTGATCTGGCTAATTCAACTCCATTCCCTCGAGAAAACCCAATCTGGAGCCCCGGTCCTAGAGATCCTGGGATGTACTGCGCGTCCCACTCTGTATCTCCGCCCCCTCAGGCGTTCTCCCTCTAGAAGCAGCACACAAAGCGGTTACTCCCTGCGGCCGGGAGCGCGCGGGCTGCCCTTCCGCGCGCCACCCCCGCGCGCGCCGCTCCCCCACTGATTGGCTGAGCGCATCCCGAGCCCAGCCTGCTCCCGCCGCGGCGCCGGTCCTGGCGCCGGGATTGGCGGAGTGGCCGCGCGCGCAGATCCCGCAGCCCCGCGCGCCCCGCCCCGCCGGCTCGGAACTCGCCTGGGGCGCCGCCGGCGGCGGAGGGAGCGTGACTGCGCTGCGCAGGGCGCTAGGAGGCATTGTCGCCGTAAGTGGAGCCAAAAGCGGCCCGGAGCGGGACCACACGCTTCTTGCCCCGCAAAGTAAATGTAGTCCGAGGTCAAGCGTTGCAGGGGCTGGGGGAGAGAGGGCGAGAAGTGTTCCGATTTTTGCAGCGTCCCCTCCCCTCCCCCAGGTCACCCGGTGGAAAAGAGCAGCGGTGCACCAGCGGAGGCTCTGGCGGTGCCAAGGGGCTCGGCATGCGCGGGCTCTTGCTTGCTCACTGCACCTGGACCCCGATGGTTCAGGGGAGTGGGTGCAGAGGTGCCAGGGAATAGGGAGCTCGGAGAACCGCTCCCAGGCGGGCCTCCATTCCTCGCGGGAGGCGCCCTTGCTTGGAGAGGCTGCTGTGCATTTCGTCCCCGAAGCGACACTTTCGGGGTTTGCTTCCGCTCTGGGGAGCTGCAGACGCCTGCTCCAGAGCGTGCCTCTCGGCCTCCGGGCAGCGTGGGAGCCCCGGGGCCTCTGCGATCACTACCATTCTTCCCTCTGCCAGCTTTATTCTCCCAGTCCCCGCCTGCCGGGCCAGCGGACGAGGTGCCATTGGCTGCAGGCACCGGGGGTGAGGCGGATCCTGGCACGCGGGGCTGGGGGACCCTTGCCTGGCTACCGCGCGTAGTGCTGGAGGCTCAGTCCGAGGATGCCTAGATGTTAGCGAGGGAGCACGCGCTGAGCTTCCCGAACCCCATGCCACAAAAACAAGGCGCCAGCAGGTCCCGCTCACGTCCCAGCGGGCTTCTTTCCCTGGGGTGGGGAAGTGGGTCAACTTCGTTCTGATCTGAAGGGGGGTTTGGGACTATTTGGGTCGCTCCTCACCTCCCCACCCGCTCCCCGGCTTGGCATGGTCCAGAGCCCGGGCTGGAGCCAGCGGTAGGGCCAGCTTGCACACATGGCTCCGGAGGCTCCGGTTGCCCATCCGAGCCCCTGCCAGGCTCTAACGTTCCCAACTGACAACACCAGTAACTAAATATAGGAGCAGATGGTGGGGACGGGCTGTCGCAGCGGCTCCTTTGCAGAGGTCTCCGGACTGCAGATAAGGTAGAGTTATTGATGGTAAGGGCTGGAGTCAGGGGGCCAGGTCAGGGTTTAAGCAAAAATCACCCCTCCCCCAGCCAGCCTGAGTCCAGGTGAAACCAGGTTATAGGGACAGGAGGGCTGTATTGCCAGCTCCCCCAAAGCAGGACAACGTTTTTGTCTGGCATTGAATTTATTACATCCAAACTTCCTCTCTACACCTGTTTGATTACCTACTGGTAATGCCTTGGTGTGGGAAACATGTAATGGTTCGCAAAGTCCTTTCCCAAAAGTTACATATCAGTTACTTCCCACAATAATCCGGTGAGGAAGGTGGTATTTCCATTTTACAAATGGGACTGCTCACAACACTGTTAACTTTGCAAAACTATGGATTAGGCTGCCTTCCTCAAAAAACTTCTCTTAGTTCGCTACACAGAAGCAGAGGACAGCCTTGTAAGAGGGCTGCAGTTCCCTTCCTCAGTAATCTGGGAGCCCATTGGCTCCCTGTCTCTCTCTCTCCTGAATCTCTTTGTGCACCTGCTGCTCACCCCTGTCCCTTCCCCCTGGCCATGCCATGTGCCTTCATGCCCCCCTAGGCCTGGCCCTGTAGCCTTACTACTATCAGGCTCATCCTGCCTCCCAGTGGGAAGCTTGTTCTAGCCCATACCCAGTCTCTGCCCCTTTACTCCCACAGTGGGGGCCTTATGGAAGGTGTCCAGGAGACGTTTGCTGGATTTAAACATTTCACCGGACCAGGATGCTCACTCTGAGGAATGGGGTTGAGGGTGTGTGGAGAGGGCCATGCTTTGAGGATGTAGGCAGTGTGAGTATGAGCTTCGACCCTGTGCTGAAGTGTCTCTGGGATTTGGAGTGCTTTCCCTGACATTTTCTAAGGCCTACCCTCTATTGCCTGGGACTGGCTGGGGCCAGTAGTGCCAGCTGGCTGGGGTGCCCCAAGCGGCGATCTGGCCCATGTGGGCTGATGGTGTCTGTTTCTGCCTTTTGGAACACTCTGTGACTCTCCACTACCACCATCCCTGCAGATGGCATTGACCAGGTACCCTGAGGAGCTCAGGCCTGTCAGCTGGACTTCATGAAACAATTCTTCCTTGTGGAGAAAGGGGCAGTTTTAGGTGAAGGGAGGATGGCTTCCTAGCTAGTTAATAAGCGTGGTGATTTTAAGCAGCGGGAACCTTTTGGGGGTCCCGAGCACATTTTTGCTGTACTCAGAGCATCCTCCATCCTCTGGCATAGAAGGAAGGGGCCCTTCTTCCTACTGAATTGCCCTGACACCTAGACTTTACATGTTGTTTCTGTTCCTGTACCTGTGTACACTCTGACCCACACAATAGGACGTCTGAACTTGCCACCAGTGGTGAAATTTTTAATCTGACTAGTTTTCATCAGTGGTCTAAGGCAAGGGTCCTCAACCCCTGGGCTGTGGATGGCATAGGTCCGTGGCTTGTGAGGAACCCGGCTGCACAGCAGGAGGTGAGCACCAGTAAGCATTACCGCCTGAACTCTGCGTCCTGTCAGACCAGCGGCCGCATTAGATTCTCCTAGGAGCCTGAACCCTATTGCGAACTGCGAATGCGATGGATCTAGGTTGTGTGCTCCTTATGGAGAATCTAATGCCTGATGATGTGAGGTGGAATAGTTTCATTCCTCTCCCACTACAGTGGGAAAAATTGTCTTCCAGGAAACCGAAAAGGATGGGGACCGCTGGTCTAAGGCACCACCTCCCCATCTGGTGGTAGCTAGTAGAATTGCAGGCATAGTGCCTGATTGAAAATATTCAGCCCAGGTGATCCCACCAGGCCTACCCCCTACCCTGGGCAGCTTGGTGGCTTCCCTTCCTTTCCCTCTCTGCTGTGAGGCCAGGATTGCTTCAGTGCTGTTCTTCAGAAAGCTCTTCCTCATCAGAATCGCAAGTCGGAGCTGCTTCCTGCATTTCTTTCTCCCTCTTCCTTCTTATCCCTCATACCTAGGAGATGCTCAGTAAATGTTTATGATTATTGATGATGAATTGGAGATGGAGAAAGGAGGGAGCATGGAATGGTGGGAAGAGTCCTAGGCTTGGACTTAGGATACCTGGGTTTTTTGTTTTCATCTAGCTGATTTGCCTCCCCTCTTGGGTCCTCAGCTTTCCCATTCATAAAGTGGTTAGAACAAGTCACCAAGATGCTAGCAACATGGCTATGATTTAGGCTTAGGGGTACGGTCTTCGAGGCAGCATGGTGAAGTTGTTGGGTCCAGTTTGCCACAGTCCTTTCTATTCCCTTCTGCCCTGCACTGGCTCGCCTTATGCAGATTGGCCACCTGGCACTATTAGGCATTTGGTTTTTGACCCTTCTCAATTTAGACAGTGTCTTAGATTTGTTGTAAGAGTCTCTTGACCTGTATTCAGATTGGAAACACAAATGATGTCTGTTGATCTTCACCATTAGGGGATACTAACTAAGCACCTGTGTTCAGTGTGTGGAGAGAAGCACAGTATAGGTCTATTCCCTGGCCCCAAGCTGCCCACAGGTCAATGGGGGAGACAAGTGTTGGTTTGTTGATTTATTTATTTTTGAGACAGAGCTTTGCTCTTGTCACCCAGGCTGGAGTGCAATGGGACGATCTCGGCTCACTGCAACCTCCGCCTCCTGGGTTCAAGCGATTCTCCTGCCTCAGCCTCCTGAGTAGCTGGGATTACAGGCATGTGCGACCATGCCTGGCTAATTTTTTTTTTTTTTTTTTTTTTTGAGCGCGAGGTTCACTCTTTGTTGCCCAGGCTGGAGTGCAATGACACAATCTCGGCTCACTGCAACCTCTGCCTCCTGGGTTCAAGTGATTCTCCTGCCTCAGCTTCCCGAGGCGCCCGCCACCACGCCCAGCTAATTTTTGTATTTTTAGTAGAGATGGAGTTTTACCACGTTGGCCAGGCTGGTCTTGCATTCCTGACCTTAGGTGATCTGCCCACCTCGGCCTTCCAAAGTGCTGGGATTACAGGTGTGAGCCACCATGCCCGACCATTTTTTTTTTTTTTTGTATTTTTAGTAGAGACGGAGTTTTACCATGTTGGTCAGGCTGGTTTCCAACTCCCGACCTCAAGTGATCCACCCGCCTAGGCCTCCTAAAGTGCTGGGATTACAGGCATGAGTCACTGCGCCCGGCTGACAAGTGTATATTTAAAAGCTCATAAATAATCCAGGTGACTTGTGCTAAGTCATTAAGTGCTACTGAAACTCAGAGGAAGGAGAGAACACTGAGGCAATAAGAGGAGATTTCCTGGAGGTGGACAGATAGAAATTCCACTCATTCCTCAAAGATGAGTTCCCTCAGTGTTTTGTTCAGACTCACATGAGTATTAAACTGGGGTTATATGCTGCTGTTACATCCACATATGCACTGCTTTATCCTCTTAACTTTTATTGAGTATTTACGTGTCCTGGGCTCTGAGCTAGACAGGTGTATACATTTTGTGCTCTCAATCCTCATATTAACCTAGCAAGTTGGGTATTACTAGATCTCCTATTCACATGAAGAAGAAACAGGCTCAGAGGAGTTAAGAAACTCTCCCAAGGCCTCTCAGCCAATAAATGGGGGTGTTGAGCATTTGACCTGTCTCCAAAATCAGTGTTTTCCCACTGTTCTGTATGTGTGTGTCTCAAACCTTTAGTGTCAGCCTCTTTAGTGGAAATGCACACACATACTAAACTCACAGTAACTCCCTGAAGCAGATGGGTGGGCTTGGCCAGCCCTGGCTTGGCCTTGCCTGCCCTGCTTGTCCAGTTGACCACGTGGGAACTTTTTCTTGGTGACTGTTAGCTCTTAGCACTGTCCCCATGCCCCTTCTCTCTGCCCTTCGCCTTCTTCTGCCTTTGGCCCTTGGAGTGAGTTCACTGGAGCTTCTTGAGCTGTCTGTGAAGCTGGGACTGGGGTCTGGGGGCAAAGAAGGGGTGCTGACCTTGGACTTGAGCTCATTCCTCTCTCTATGGGGTGCTGCTATTTTTATAAAAAAGTGAGCACTGGCTATGGAGCTGGGCTGACCCTATTCTTGCCGCTTACTCACTTTGACCTTGGCCAGGTCACCTAGCCCCTCTCTGTGCTCATTTCCTTCTCTGTAATAAACAGGGAGTTGAGGGTGTTTGCAAGTCCTTATGTCTTAACACCTTATCATTTTGTTTTCCTCACCTTTCTTTCAGTCTCTTTTCCTCTAGTGATCCAATTTCTCTTCTCTCATTTCCATCTCCACCCCCCGGCCCCTGCCCGCTTTTCTTGCAGATAAACTCAGCATCAGGCTGATAATCAGGTCTGCAGGCTAGTACTGTAACCTCTCCTTCCTGTTGGCACATGGGAAAGGAATTCTTAGAGACCACCCACCGCCAGTCCGTGTGTTCTGATGGGATCACAGGGCTCTGATTTGCCTTCGTGTCCCCACTTCCTGCCATGCACAAGGCAGATATGGGTGGGGTGAACAGGGGAGCTGGGGAAATTGTCCTGGGCAGGGTGTGGACAGGGGACCAGCTTAGAGGCTGTGGGATGGAGGGACAGGTGTCTTTCTCCTGCAGTTGGCTGCGCCCTACCTCCTTCCCAATGCCCTGCCTATAGAGTGAATCACAGGCCAGCACACCCCTGAGTCCTCACACCTCCCTGGCTGCTGGCTCAGACCTGGTCCCCATGTCTGGTGAGGTCACACATGTTGATCCTCCCAGAAAACCAGTAGAACCCAGCTGCCAGACTGGCAGACCAGCTTGTGCAAAGGCCAAGCTGGATGTGGCCTGAGCTCTCGGCCCTGCAAGAGGAGGTGAGTGGCCTGGGGCCCTCCCTGCAGGCTTCCTGACAGCCTGGGTCCTGGGGGAGAAGGATGCTGGAGGGGGATGCCTGGGTGGGCCCCTGGCTGGCAGGCGGGCACTTCATGGCACTGCGTCTTCCCCAGGCTCAGGCCCTTTTGTGAGAAGCAGACCAGCCTGGGGGCTGGCGGCAGGACACCTGTGTCTGCATGCTGAAGAAGATGGGTGAGGCCGTGGCCAGAGTAGCAAGGAAGGTCAACGAGACGGTGGAGAGCGGCTCTGACACTCTGGGTGAGTGAGGGCAGGGCTTTTCCCAACTTCCCTGGAAGCAGTTGTGAGATCAGCTTAGAAATGAAACAGAGATGAAAGACACAAGCGTCAGTGTGCAACCTCATCCTGAGAATAAGTGTTTTGTGGAACTTTCATTGCAACAGTGTGTAATTTGTGTAAGACATTTCTTACTGTGGGTCCTGGTCAAAGAGGTTTGAAAACCACTGAGTGATGGCGCCTGCCTGCTTGTCCTTTGACTGCTGATGACTGAGTGTGTGTGCCCTTGGACCAGGTGAAAATACAGAGCTGGTCCTGGCCAAGTAGCATCTGTGTGCCAGGCCCCGTGCTGGGCGCCTCCTGAATGTTATCTTGTTGAATCTTCACAGGCTCCCTGGGGTGAATGAAGCCAGCTGGGCGTGGTTAGCCTCAGTCATCCCATGAAGAAAGGGGACGGCAAAATGGGTTTCTTTGAGGTTGCCCAGCTAGGAGACCCCTTTACACTCCACTATTTTTCTTGAATTGTGTCTTATATATTTTTTTGCTTTGAATTGGCCAGGGCATTTTATTCCATCAATTACCCCAAGACTCCTAAGCATTTAGGCAAACCATCCCATTTAATCGAATTCAGCAGATACTTATTGACTGTCCACCAAGTGCAAGGGGCAGCAGGGGATACAGTGCAGTTACCTGTGTGTCCTGTGTGTGCGTGCATGTGCCCGAGTGTGTTTGTGTGCATGTGTGCATGTGCATGTATGTCACCCATGGAATGCAGGCACCACTGTAGAGGCCTGGAGCACAGTCCTGCCTTGGGGATGATCTTGCAGATAGGCAGGCAGAATTGGAGTTAGGTACATGGAGAGGAATTTCACAGGCAGGTAGGGGTGTGTGTGTGTGTGTGTCTGTCTGTCTGTCTCACAAAGGAGCGCTTCCTTCCATGGTAGTTACTGCCTTAGCAAAGTCACAGAGACTGGAAAGGCAGTCAGAGGCAGAGAGGTGGTCCAGGAAGTGGAGAGACACTCAGCCTTCAGGATGAGCTTGATCACTGCCTCTTCCAGGAAGCCCTCCGCCTTCCCTCATCCACCCTTTGCTCCCTTTCTCCTCTGTAGCACCCCTTCAGCATCTGTAGAGCACAGGGACCCTGTGGTTGTTTGCTTCCCCCTGCCCTGCCCCAGAGCCCAGCGCAGTGTCAGGCACTTTGTAAACGTGTGGAAGTGTTTGCTGAGCTTAGCTAAGGCGAGAGGCATTTCCTCTATCAGCAGGCTCGCTGAAGATTGTCATTGGTGTTGGAGGGAAGCCTTTGGAAGGAGCCTTAAGCTAGTGAGCTGATGACTGTGAGCCCTCAGTGAAGGAATTCCGGAATCCTGTACTGGTCAGTAATATGGTTGTTTAAGGCTCTCTACCACTGAGACTGCGGTTCAGAGCTAGGCTTTGAGTCACATGGGCCTGGATTTGAATCTCTACTCTGCCACCCACTCACCTGGTACTGTAGCAGATTGCTTAACCTCTCAGAGCCTCAGTTTCTTCATCTATAAAATGGGAATGGTAATTGTGTCTACCTCATCAAGGTAGTTAAGAGTAATTGGAATGTCTGTAAGGTGTTTGGCACATAGGGAGCTCAATAAATGGCAGCTATTATTTTTAATTTTTGCTCATTCCCAAAAGCTGGTGGCGAGACCTAAGCCCTTCCCCTTGCAAATGCACTTTCTACAGGTGTCAGCCAGCCACGTCTGTGCTGGGTGTTCTTCTCACTGCCTTCCAATGGAGGGTTCAGTGCAAATCGACAGATGTCTGTGGTGAGTAACCTACCCCTGCTTCAAAATGTCACAGGGGGCTGGGCATGGTGGCTCATGCCTGTAATCTCAGCACTTTGGGAGGCCGAAGCAGGTGGATCGCTTGGGGCCAGGAGTTCAAGACCAGCCTGGCCAACATACTAAAACATACTAAAAATTCAAAAAATTAGCTGGTGTGGTGGTATACACATGTAATCCCAGCTACTTGGGAGGCTGAGGCAGGAGAATCGCCTGAACCCAGGAGATGGAGGTTGCAGTGAGTCAAGATCTCGCCACTGCACCTCCAGCTTGGGTGATGGAGCAAGGTTCCATCTCAAAAAAAAAAAAAAAAGGCTTCACAGGGGATAGGGACACAGCAGCTCCACTTCATTCAGATGTGGCAAGAGTGGAGAGGCCGCAGGGGAGGGAAAACAATTCTCACCGGGGCGTTGGGGAAGCTGCTTAGGGGATGGGTGCTGTTTGAGAGAGGATGTTTCAGGAGGCAGCGGTGAGGAGACAGGCACTCCAGGCAGTGGCAGGGGTGTGCCTGAGTTGGAGGAGAGGCCCTGCCCAGTTACCACAGCAGCACTGGGGCAGGTGGTGAGGGATGGTGCCTGGCAGGCGGAGAGCCTGGAAGGCTGTGTTGAGGAGCCCCTGAACTTCAACCTCTGTGGACTGGAGATTGCAAGGTCAAGTGGGCCAGTGGACAGGTGGGCATTTCTGTGAGCTGAAGAGTGGGCACCCTGCATCAGGTGAAGTGTGCAGGGCGGCTAGGGCAGGGCATGCTGCGACCAGCTCCCCTGCACTGCCTGGGAGCCATACCCACCAAGGAACCCAAGCAGTTCTCTGGCCACCCTGCCAGACCACTGCCATGCCTGGGATTGGAACCTTGATTTCTGACACCAGAGCCTGGGCCCTGTCTCCACCATGCAGCCCTGGGGTGGGGGCACATGTTTGGTGATTGCCAGGGTCATGACTGCTGTGAAGCTCTAGTCAAGTTGGGAGAGCCTTTAGCCATGGCGATCTTGCCTGAAGCTCAAGACTTTCATGTGGAGGGGACTGGGTCTTAAAGTTGTGGTTGAATAACAGGGATCCTTTGCATCTGTGCATTGGCCAGAGAAGAAGCAAAATTTCCAACCTGGCCATAGTAGGCACCTGTAATCCTGACCCTTAGGAAATGGAGCTGACCAGGCTTATACACTCTAAGGGGGCTGGGTCTAAGCAGTTAGCATGTATTGAGTACCTGCTGTATACTAGTTGCTTGGGGGCTCCCAGGAATGTGTGTAGTAGAGTCCTGGACCTGAGACCAGCCCACCACCTACAAGACAGTCTTCAGAGAACAGTGACACACAGGCTCCATGCTAAGGTGTGTCAGATGGAACACAGGTTGTCCTAATTCAGAGGTGGGAGATATTGCTGGGTATTGAAGTAGACCAGGAAGGCTTTCTGGAGGAGTGGTAATTGAATTGAATCATAAAGTAACTCTATATGGTTCTCATGTAAAATAGCTAACAATCTGAAGCATCCTAAACATCTAGCACCAGAAAATTGCTTAAATAAATTTGGTTACAGCTATACAATGCTTTTTTTTTTTGAGATGGAGTCATCTTGCTTGCCCAGGCTGGAGTGCCATGGCACAATCTTGGCTCACTGCAACCTCCCTCTCCTGGGTTCAAGTGATTTTCCTTCAGCCTCCCAAGTAGCTGGGATTACAGGTGTGTGCCACCATGCCTGGCTTATTTTTCTATTTTTTTTTTTTTTTTAGTAGAGATGGGGTTTTGCCATGTTGGCCAAGCTGGTCTCGAACACCTGGCCTCAAGCGATCTACCTGCCTCAGCCTCCTAAAGTGCTGGGATTATAGGCATGAGCCACCACACCCGGCCTATATAATGCTATTTATGTAGCATCAACAATGGAGCGTAATATTTCATTGTATGATTAAATAAAGACTGGCACATTCTCGGCCGGGCGCAGTGGCTCACACCTTTAATCCCAGCACTTTGGGTGGCCGAGGCGGGCGGATCACAAGGTCAGGAGATCGAAACCATCCTGGCTAACATGGTGAAACCCCATCTCTACTAAAAATACAAAAAAATTAGCCGGGCGTGGTGGCGGGCACCTGTAGTCCCAGCTACTCGGGAGGCTGAGGCAGGAGAATGGTGTGAACCTGGGAGGTGGAGCCTGCAGTGAGCTGAGATTGCGCCACTGGACTCCAGCCTGGGTGACAGAGTGAGACTCCATCTCAAAAAAAAAAAAAACGAAAAGAAGGATTGGCACATTCTCATATATAACGTGAACTGGAAAACATCAAGAATGCCAAACTGTATGTAGGGTAAGGTACGAATTATGTTAAACCTGTGCATATATGTAGGAAAGAAAATGGAAGGAAATAACCAATATGGAAATGGGAGTTAGAAAATACTATTTTGCATTTTCTAAATGTTCTATAATGAACGTATTACTCTTAAAATTAGGGAACAGATTTTAGGGAAAGGACCACCTGCCACTGTGGAAATAAAACACACATCTTGACAACAGATGAGAGTTCAGGGGTAGCTCATTCTCAAAGCCGAGGCCCCTGGGAGGAGACATAGGCTTCCCTGGCTTTTCCCGTCCTGCTGGGTTCCCTCCCGGGGTGGTGCTCCAGAGCCACAGGTGCTGCTGCAGAGTGGGAGATCCCCTGTAGAGACTGGGCTGGAAGAGCTCAGTTACAGGCTTGCTCTCACCTTACTCAGCCAAGTAACCCTGGTAAGCACTTCACATGCTCCCCCAGTGCTCCTGGGGCACCCCTGGCTAGAGCTGGAGCCAGGCCTGCTTCCTCCTGTAACTCGAGGCGAGGATCCCAGCCTTTCTCACTCCACTCCAGGCTTCTCCATCCCCAGAGACGTGGGCTCCTTTCCATTTGGCCCCTGGGAGGCCCTCAGCTTGAGTTGAAGCTGCTTTCCTCCCAGTCTCTCACCCCTCCTCAGCATCATCTTCTCGATGTTTCTAAGGAGCATGCAGAGTTGCAAACTGCCCCTTAGGTAGTCTGCTTCCCCTGAGCCAGGCTCTCTTTCCCTGCCCCTTTTCCATCTGGGTTTCCGTGGGTCCTGGACCGCTGAGGGGCCTTAGTCTGACCCCACCCTTCCCTCCAGCCTGTGGTTGTGGGGCCAGGCTTCCCTGCACCCCGCTCCTCTCCGGGTCTTAGGCTCCTGGCTCTGCAGTGTGCATGGGGACTGGCTTTTAAAGAATAATCGTGACACAGAGGAGCAGGATTTGAAAAGGCCTGAGGCCCGAGACTCTACTACACACATCCCTGGGAGCCCCCAGGCACCTAGTACACAGCAGGTACTCAATACATGTTAACTGCTTATATTTTTGGTAGAGACCCTGTCTCTACCAAAAATAAAATTTAAAAAATTAGCCAGGTGCAGTGGCACACACCTGTAGTGTCAGCTACTTTGGGAGGTTGAGGCGAGAGGATTGCATGAGTCCTGGAGGTTGAGGCTGCGGTGAGCCATGATCGGGCCACTGCACTCCAGCCTGGGCGAGAAAAAGTTCTATTTAAAAAATCTGATATAATATACTCTAGTTTCTCTTCAGATCCAATAAATCTTTTGCTTCTTACTGAAAAAAAAAATCTGATTTAAGGGAATAATCTTATTTCTTTCTTATGCTCTATTTTTTATTTCTTTAATCATTTTAGAAACAAGGTCTTGCTCTGTCACCCAGGCTGGAGTGCAGTGGCGCAATCATAGTTCCCTGCAGCCTTGAATTCCTGGGCTCAAGTGATCCTCCCACCTCAGCCTTCCAAGTAGTTGAGACTACAGGCACTTGCTACTACACCGACTAATTTTTAAAATATTTTGTAGAGATGGGGTCTCACTGTGTTGCCTAGGCTGTTCTCAAACTCCTGGCCTCAAGCTATCCTCTTGTCTCAGCCTATACTTGTTTTAAATCTTTACTGCTTTTTCTTTTTTTTGAAATGGAGTCCCACTCTGTTGCCTAGGCTGGAGTGCAGTGGTGTGATCTCGGCTCACTGTAACCTCCACCTCCTGGGTTCGAGCAATTCTCCTGCCTCAGCCTCCCAAGTAGCTGGGGTTACAGGTGTGTGCCGCCACACCTGGTTAATTTTTAATTTTTGTACTTTTAGTATAGACAGGGTTTCATCATGTTAGCCAGGCTAGTCTTGAACTCCCAGCCTCAGCCTCCCGAAGTGCTAGGATTACAGGCTTGAGCCACCATGCCTGGCCTGCTTTTTCTGTAACAGGACATTCTTGAGGGTTTCAGTCTGTTGTTCCTGCTGACTCTTGCTCACAGTAGGTTATTCTGGGTGGACTTTATATAATATAATAA